>NC_000017.11:28185980-29435980 GCF_000001405.40 Homo sapiens
ATACTGTAAGTTCAGCTCTTCATTTATTCATTCATCCAAAGAATATTTATTATTCACATCTATGCCAATAACTATTGTCAAAGAAGACTTAAAAATGGAAGCATTTAGTAAAGAAAATTTAACTTGCCAAGAATACAAAGTCACCAAATACGAAAAATACCAGATATTTAAAAGATAAAACAACCACAAAATTACCAAAGTTATTAAGTTTACATTGGTCCATTTGTAGTGAGAAAGCTGCAACTTTCTCAGAAGATATCAAATTCACAAAGCTTCAGACATCAGCACAGCAAAGATTAGGGATAAAAATAATTCTGTTAAGGAGTTCAGGTTTGTGAGAAACAGTCAAGGTTTTTTTATTTGGGGGACCAGAACCAATTAGGGTGACCCAAATTATTTTTGTAATGTCTCAGGGTACAATTTAGATTGCTTATGTGTTTATTTTGGTGTTTTTTGCTGTTGTTTTCTTTTTTGTTTTTTTACTGTGGTGTATTAGTCTGTTTTTACACTGCTGATAAAGACATACCCAAGACTGGGCAATTTACAAAAGAAAGAGGTTTAATTGGACTTAAACCTTAAAGTTCCACATGGCTGGGGAAGCCTCACAATCATGGCGGGAGGTGAGGAGGAGCAAGTCATGTCTATATGGATGGCAGCAGGCAAAGAGAGAGAGCTTGTGCAGGGAAACACCCCTTTTTAATCTGGTCAGATCTCATGAGACTTATTCACTATCACGAGAACAGCACAGGAAAGACCTGCCCCCATCATTCAGTTACCTCCTAGGTCCCTCCCGTAGCATGTGGGAATTCAAGATGAGATTTGGGTGGGGACACAGCCAAACCATACCATGTGGTATGTGAAGTGCTTAGTGATACTATAAGCCTGACAAAGTGGCAGTTCTTGCTCCCACAGTCTCTCTTTGTGATCAAGTTCCCACTATTAAGGACAATTTCAATCATATAACTTGCTTTATTGAGCTAGTGATTTACTATCATTTGATATTTTGTGTTATTTGGTAAGTTTATCTACATAACTAACAGAAGATGTTGATCAATATGTTAAAAAACAAACTCCTTTTATATGGTTAACAAAACTAGAGCTGTGTGAAATTCAGGCTTCAGAGGTAATTTCTGTCTGACCATAGAGGATTTTATAAAGGGTCTAGGATTGAAATTTATGTGTTAGAAATATTTTATTCTCTATTTCTATTTAGATTTGGATCCAAGAACCATGTAACTCACCTCTACCAGGTGTGCATACACTGTTTAGAGCTGTAAGGCATCCTCTTTCTCTGAGATCCCATGTTTTGTTTGGTTTGGTTTGGTTTGGTTTGGTGTTTTTGAGACAGAGTCTCGCTCTGTTGCCCAGGCTGGAGTGCAGCAGCGCAATCTCAGCTCACTGCACCTCCACCTCCCGGGTTCAAGCGATTCTCCTGCCTCAGCCTCCTGAGTAGCTGGGATTACAGGCACGTGCCACCACACCCGGCTAATTTTATATTTTTAGTAGAGATGGGGTTTCACCATGTTGGTCAGGCTGGTCTCAAACTCCTGACCTCATGATCCACCTGCCTTGGCCTCCCAAAATGCTGGGATTACAGGCATGAGCCACCGCACCCAGCCTAGAGATCCCATGTTTATTAATGCTCCCGATCTGCCAGGAAGGTAGTGTTTACAGTCTTTAAGGCTGGAACTTCCTAAGCCATAGAGCAAGTAGTAAGCCCATTTTTCTGGGAGGTCTTTTGTACACAAGTTCTACATGTGACATGTAGTCCTTATTCCTTAACAGTGGGATTATCACACTTAATTAAATGAAATTTGTGGTGTAGTTGTAGTTATAAAGATTTATCTAAGGAGAAAGATTTATCTGGTAAGGAAGAGTATATATTCTTTTGGAACCTATGTAAGTAACTACATAGTCATTTAAAAATAAAGAAATTAGGCTGAGCATAGGGCACAGTGGCTCACACTTGTAATCCCAGCACTTTAGGAGGCTGAGGCAGGAGAATCTCCTGAGCCCAGGAGCTTAAGACCAGCCTGGGCAACTTAGGGATTACAAAATTAAAAATTTTTTAAATTAGCTGGGCGTGGTAGCACATGCCTGTAGTTCCAGCTACTCCAGAAGCTGAGGTGGGAGGATGGCTTGAACCCAGGAGGTTAAGGCCAAGGCCACAGTGAGCCATGAGCTCACCATTGTACTCCATCCTGGCAAGGGAGACAGAGGGAAACCCTGTCTCAAAAAGAAAGAAATTAATTTATTTAATGCACACTACATAATAATTAACCATTTTTATCACTGTGTTATAAACAAAGCCGACAAGTTTGTTACTTTGTTACAGAACTATTTTTAAATTAGCCTGATGCTTTATTAGCTTTTGATCTATATTAAGGATTTTTTTTATTTCCAGTTCTGAGAGTTCAATGAGAACAAGAAACCATTTAAAGAGAGGTTTGTTCTGATTTTAACCTGTTAAATTGAAAGTCAGCAATACATTAAGAAAGAAATGAGGTGTGTTTGTGTGTCAGGGTCTCACTGTGTGACCCAGGCTGGAATGCAGTGGCACGATCTCCGCTCACCACAACCTCCACCTCCTGGGTTCAAGAGATTCTCCTGCCTCAGCCTCCTGAATAGCTGGGATTACAGATGTGCGCCACCACACCCAGCTAATATATTTTTATATTTTTGGTAGAAACAGGATTTCACCGTGTTGACAAAGCTGGTCTCGAACTCCTGACCCACCTTGGCCTCCCAAAGTGCTGGGATTACAGGCGTGAGCCACTTTTTAAATATCCATGAAGAACAGACCATTGACCATAATTAAATCAGTGTATTTATTTAGTCCATTTAGTCTGAGGTAACTAGTTATTCTTGTTTTGTTGATCTTGGGTTAAGCAGTCTACTGCCATCACATGTCTGCTCCTGAACTGAAATGATGACTCAATTACTTGATTCAGTCTAAGAGCAGGTGTCTGTGGTGAGATACACATACACAGACAAACACAGACACACACACACACACACACACACACACACACGCTGAACATCCCTAATTTGGAACTTTGAGTGCCAACATGACACCACAAATGACCTGACCTCAGTGACAGGTCACCATCAAAAAGCAGGCATACAACACACAGTTTGTTCAGTATCCCCAAGGGAAAAAAGACCCCCAGCCTCCTTCAGCTGTGATTCTATCTTCCCCAAGCATATCCAGATTCCCCCATGCAAATGTGCCCACAAAGGGTAATAAAATGGCACATCTGCAGGCCAGATGCACCAATGACAGGTTCCCCACAATGTCCCACATGCTGCCAAGACCTATAGGCATTATTTACTGTATTTTTTGCCTATTCTGTGCTCTTTGGAGTAAAAATATTGTTGAAAATGTCAAAAAGTCCTGCAGATAACCCAGCAGGTAACTGATTTTTTTAAAAAGAGGAAGCATTTCTGTTTATAGCACAGAATGCCAAGCTATTGGAGAAACTGCACAGTGGTGTAAGTGTGAAGCATCTTACAGACAAGTATGTTGTTGGAATGATCACTGTATGTAACCTAAAGGAACAGAAGGATAAACCGTTGAAGTTCTGTCCTGAAACTCATGAACAGAAGTTAAAGAAAAATAGAAGGAAAGGGAAGCCAAGGGCTCAGAGAGGCCTGGGATCAGGCACATACACTGTCAGCCTACTTGTTCCTTTGGGTTCAAACAGTGGAACACTATCCCAGTGGAATCTCTAGGAATCGCTATCAAAGGACTCAGACTTTTTTAGAAAAAAAGAAAAGGAAAAAGTTTACTTGCTAAGAATGCAGGGAAGTCAGACTTCAAAAGAGCTAGATCACCAAATACAAAACATAAACTTATTGAAAGGAAAAAAAAACAAGGTTATCAAGTATACGTTTGCCTGTTCCTGGTAGATAAACACCCGCTTTCTTCTGTGATTATCTTATCTTGAAAGGTCATGACATGCCTTTTTACATCAGCATAGCAAAAATCAGTGATAAAAGTGTTTTTAGGGAATCCGGGCTTATGAGAAACATTTCATTATTATTTGGGAACGAGAACAGTTGTTTTTGGTTTATCTGAGAACAAAAGTGGTTTTCATTTTTAAATTGTGTAATGTGAAGAAGTGCTTGGTCATATTGGAATCAGGGCAAAGTGTGTGTTCTTGTTTTTGTTCTACTGTGTACTAGTGAGTTCATCCTTAAATCTTTAAAATTTACTTTCAGTAATACACGTATGTCTACTGAGCTAAAAGAAGGGACAATTTCTTTAATTTTTTCATGGAGTAATGTTAAAAGTTTAGATTTTCAGGCAAACTTAAAACTCATGCATTCAGTATTCTGATCTAAAGTGACAGAAAATGACTAGGTGCAGTAGCTCATGCCTGCAGTCCCAGCACTTCAGGAGGCCAAGACTGGAGGCCACAAATTCAAGAACACAGTGAGACCCCATCTCTACAAAAAATTTAAAAATAAAGTGCCAGAAAACAAAAAGCTAGACTAGACTTCTGATATTCAGACTGAGCTATATCTCAAAATATGGCAGTCAGACCACTGTCTGCTGCCTAACTCCAGCAGCTTTTGCCATCATCTGTTTGGTATTCTAAGAGAATAAAAATTTCAAGCAACTTTGAAAATTGCCACTGTGAACGCATCTTCAGGATGCTGACACATATTTAGAAAATATAGCCTGTTATTTAAAAGGTAAACGTAACCCCTTCAAAGCACTACATAGTTAAATGTCATGATATTTGTGATTTTTGACCCAGCATACATCTATTTCAATGTAGTAACTTCTTAGAATTTTAGAAGAAAGGCACTTCTAAGTACTTTGTGATGGTAGATAATAACAGTAGTTGTCCTAAATCATACACTCCCTCTGCTGCTATGTTACCCACCTCTAAATTCAATTATCCCTCTTTGGACGGGATGTACTATAAATTATATATATGCTATGTCAAGCAGTTAATGTGTCTTTTGAAAGATCCTATGTGGACAGTCATTTTATCTGTAGTGTTGATGTGCTGGTCTCTAATTTGATTTCAGTCCAAAAGAATATCCGCTAAGGATGCCTTAGCCCACCCCTACCTAGATGAAGGGCGACTACGATATCACACATGTATGTGTAAATGTTGCTTTTCCACCTCCACTGGAAGAGTTTATACCAGTGACTTTGAGCCTGTCACCAATCCCAAATTTGATGACACTTTCGAGAAGAACCTCAGTTCTGTCCGACAGGTTAAAGGTGAGTATCTGTTTTGGCCTTTGGCCAGGCAATATGCCTAGTAACATTTTCCATTAGGTGGCCATGAAGAGCTGAGATCTGGATGGTAACCAAAGCTCCCCTCTATGTTTATTTTACAACCTTGCGTATAGCTGTGTGTCCGGGGCATAACAAAGCATATTTAATATTATATCCAGGGGAAGGTCGGGGAGAGGAATGAATATTTTGTTCTTATTTTCAAAGTTTATTTAGTGAGTATGACTCAAAATATGTTTAATATGTATTCACTCAGTGTCATTTCATTGATTCAAACGTATTGAACTTTATATAACATACAAAGTTCCATAAAGGATAAACATTCACTGAGGGAATTATTCCTTGGACGATGACAAGAGAAGGGAATTTCTGATAGTGTACTCATAAAATTTTGTGGCAGGATCTCCTATTGGAATACAGTGGGAGTAATGACATCCAAAATTCTGAGTGATTTTAGTGTCTACTGTAGGACATTTTACAAGAGAGAGAGTAGTCCCCAAAGTAACCACCTGAAACTATACACCTAGATACCAACTGAGGTCTTTAAGTGATCTTCAAAAAGGCAATAATTGCCAGCAACTTAGAAGAGTTCACCCATAATGCCAAACCTGTGGAGTCTCTCTCAAATTTATAGGCCATTTTACTCTTCCCACTGATGGGGTTGCAGTCTGTGTAATGCCACCAGTAGGTTTCTTATATTTAGCAACAGCTGTCATTTTAGTTTTAGGAAGTTCAGCTGAATTCTGCTTGATAGATGATGTGTGTGTTTGATTTAACTAAACCAGTAGGCAGTGCTTTTCAGATGCTGGCTAGAGTTCGCTGAGAATTCACTGCTCCCGGGCTTGCAAATTGTCATGGATTGTATGATGTTTGTTTTCTCCACAGAAATTATTCATCAGTTCATTTTGGAACAGCAGAAAGGAAACAGAGTGCCTCTCTGCATCAACCCTCAGTCTGCTGCTTTTAAGAGCTTTATTAGGTAACTATATGTATGTAATTCAACATTCTTGTTAGAATTAAAAGGATGCCAGTGTTACTTCATTATTCAGCATATTTGTTTTTATTTAGATAACATAGATAAAAGGTGCAACAGAAAGTTTCTGTTATGAGGTTTGGCTTTAGTCAAAAGTGTATTAAAACTGTAAGCATCTGGGCTGGGCGCGGTAGCTCATGCCTGTAATCCCAGCACTTTGGGAAGCCAAGGCAGACAGATCACCTGAGGTCTGGAGTTCAAGACCAGCCTGACTAACATGGAGAAACCTTGTTTCTTCTAAAAATACAAAATTAGCCAGGCATGGTGGTGCATGCCTGTAACCCCAGCTACTTGGGAGGCTGAGGCAGGAGAATCACTTGAACCCGGGAGGCAGAGGTTGCGGTGAGCCGAGATCGCACCATTGCACTCCAGCCTAGGCAACAAGAGCGAAACTCCATCTCAAAAAAAAAAACAAAAAACTGTAAGCATCACATTTTACACTGGTGCCAGTTCACTGCGGTTGCTTTGGCAATTTTTTCCCCGGATGACCATTGTGCTGCCTCATCACATATATGGCAGTCCTGCTGCAGCATTAGTATGGTGGCCACCTGTCCTGGAGTTAGACGTGGTCATCTCAGTTCCCACTACCATTCTCACTCCCTAGTAATAACTGCAAGCAAGAAAATAATTTTTTTGTGTGTAGGTGGACTGCTGGTGTAGCCTATTTAGAGGAGAAGTCAAAAGGCATATGGTAGAGCTATGAACCTACATTGGAAGTTACCAGGCTTCATTCTCCTTGTCTGTCTGTCCTTTCCTTCTCTTGATTTCTTTTTCCTTAACTCCTTATATATTGATCAGGGTCTAATCGGGAGAAATAAACCACTTCCCTAGAATACAAACGGGGAAAATTCAGTAATAAGAACTGTTAACTAGGAAAGATGATCAACTGCTAAAAGGCATAAAAGAGGATTCTGAAGGCTGCTGAAGTAGCAAATGCAGAAAGCAGCCACTCCCTGTAGACTGAGGGAGAGTAAACAAGAAAGGAATTAAGAATTTAGAAGAGGTTCCTCATGTAAGGACCTCTTTGGAGAGGGTATGGCTGCCACAGGAACTGGAACACACAGCACGAGGGTGGTGCAGAAGAGGAAGTGTGCCAGAAGGTGTGGCCAGAACTGGTCCATCAAAGACTGCCTGCCAGGAGAGTTCGGGTGGACCAAAGCTGAGCCTTCCACATGACCAAAAACAGGCACAACAAACCAAGGAAGGGAGACTGCTTCCTGATGCTACAGCCTTGCAAATGCCCTTCCAGCACCCTCTGTTGACAAAAGCTAACATTAAGCTAGGTGGCAAAGGGGAACCATGAACAGGGTCTGGCTCCAGTATCACAAAGCAGGACAAAGGGTGGATTCGGATATGAGTGGTCACACAGTCTCTATCTTCCCCGCTGCCTTTCTCCTCTCCTTTTTCTCTCTTCCTGCTGCCCTTTCCCTTTAATCATATTAAAGTTGGTTGGATTTGTTGGACCACAGTCAAGATTTTATGCTTAAAATTTGCAAAATCAGGTGACTTTCATTTCTTCCATGTATTTTTCTATTGGAAGAAGGAATTAAGTTGCACTTTTACTTATCTGTGGTTTTAAATTACTTTGTTTTACTATTTTCCCCTAAGAGTCAGTGACCCAGTCAGTTAGGCAGTTTAGCAGCTTAGGTGCAAATGATCCTGGGCCTTGGGGAAACAAGGGGTTACACTTTTCCCTCTCAAGTTTATAATCTAATTAGCAATCTTAGACATAGGAAAAAGCCAATAACAGATCTAGATCACCAATGCTAAATGATTACCTATACTTCTCCATTAATACTTGATAAAAGAATGCTTATAAGGCCCATTCAAAATAGGCCACTGTATTTTGAGAGGCTACTTTTAAATGGATGATTCTACATCCCTTAAGGTTATTTTCCTGATTGATTATTGAAATTATTACTTGTAATACCTACATTTACTTTACACTTTGAAGTAGGCACTGTGGAAAATACTTCACATCTATTATCATTTATTCATCCCAGTATCCTATGAGGTAAACAGCATTATTTCTTTCCAAATGAGAAGAGATTAAGGCACTTGCTCAGGGCCATACAACTAGTAAATGACATGTGGTTTTCAAGCCTACATATTAGCCACTATACCAGATTGCCTCTCCATAGATAACAGGTCCATAAACAAGCAACTTAGAATAAATTCAACTTCAAAGAAACAAATAAAAATCCAGAAGTGGAATTAATTTTTTCAGAGGAAGAGAGGAAAACAGGAAGTAGTGAATTACCCTTTTGTCCATTGTGACATTACAACTAATTTCTCCATCTCTGTTTTCTTCCAGTTCCACTGTTGCTCAGCCATCTGAGATGCCCCCATCTCCTCTGGTGTGGGAGTGATGGTGGAAGATAATGTACTACTGAAGATGTAATGTAGCTTTCCACTGGAGTCTGGGATTTGCAATTCTGGAGGTTAATCATGCTTGTACTGTAATTTTACTAATGAAGTTTTAAATTAACAACCACTACTTGTATGATATGAATAATATTTAGAAATGTTACTAGACTTTTAATCTTGTAAAGTGGTTGTGCTTTTAGAAGAAAAATATTTTACCCAGAGTTGCACATGTTTTATGAATTTAGTGCAGCTGTTATGGCTCACCTCAGAACAAAAGAGAATTGAACCAAATTTGGGAGTTTGGGGTTTTATGTTTTGTTTTTCTTTTCTAAAATGAAGTGAGATTGTTCACACACACACACACACACACACACACACACAAACACAAAGGACAGTCATACATTTTGATATTTGAGCCATTCCTAAAGATTTGGGGTTTTCTAAAACTAAAGAATCTAGGAACCTTGCCTGCGACCAATCATGGAGCCACGTGAGCTGATCGTGGCTGCACCTGGGGGGAGGGTAGGGAGGAGGGGCATGCCACCTAATGATCAAGCCCTATAATTAGCTTCTCATTAGAGCCGTGATGGTGATGTGTGCTGTCTAAAATCCAATGTTGTGGGTAGAGAGAATGAGTTTGTGACTAGGAGAGACTAAACTTTTGTTTTCCTTACCCAGTATAAATATATATATATATATTTAATCTATTTTTATTAGAAGTTTTTCTGCTCTTTCTTACATAAAAGAACCCCAAGCATGCATCTTTCATGTGTGTAAATAATTCATTTCTGGGCTAATTTCAAAAGAATCCCAATATTGCTGTATAGAAAGAGAACTAGCTTGCACATTTTAGGTCTGTGAAATTTTGTGAGACTTTTCCTGCACTGGACAGTAAAAAAATAATAAAAGACAAAAACAAATTTAAAAAAAAATTTAAGCCACAAAAAAAGGCACATAGGGAATTATGTCAAATGTGTTTGTGTCCTTAGGCAAAGCTGTGGGAGTCTTGAAATGTCACAGTAGTAAATAACTTATTACTTTTTGACAAGTTCTTTTTTTCTGTTGGAACACTGAATTCTTCTGTGCATATGTACATATGAATACAAATCGAAGGCCTCTACCTCCTGGAGTTATACAACTTGGCTTGTTTACCTCCACATGCTGATGATGACTATTTTTTTTTTTTGAGTTCAGTGTGGAGACTTGAAACTTGAATGTCCCTTCCAACTTTTATATTAAAAATAAAAAGACAAGAAAATTGAAGATCATTTTTCACCTGTACAAGGAATACTAATGGATCGTCTTAAAATTGGTCTAGGAAAAAACCTTGGTGTGTGTTATGGACAATTAACTGTTAAAGTTATTGTAAGTTATCTGTATTTAGCAGAGTATTTTCAACTTGAGTGATCTGAGCTGAATTTGAAGACTATTAATAAGTTATGTTTGGAAGTTTTAACTTCAATGAAGTAATTATTTGCTGTGAAAGAAACAAACATTGAATTACTAAACAAAGATGGTGCAATATCTTTGTTTTTTTTTTATGAGGCTCCTGAGAATCAACCCAACTGAAGCATTTCAATTCACTTGAATGAGAAACGTGTTTAGTATCAAAAGAGCCCAAGAAGACACTGGTGTGAAAGGTACAATCTCAGAGGTTGGTCAATTACCGTGGCACACTTTCTGGTCACTTTGTACAATGTAGATTTGAAGTACAGTGGTGAAAACATTAAATGTGACATTTGAAAAAGATGTGTCATCTGTTTTATTTCAGTTTCTTTCCTTTGTTTTCTCTTCAGTACAGCTCGTATCCTGACTTTGCAAAGTTTTGAGACACTTCCTATTTATATTTCCACTTTGATCTTTGAGGAAATTGGTTGTTTTTAAAAATCTTCTCAAAAACTTTAGATTGACAAAAACATATTGAAAATTTAGTTAAATCAATATCAAAGATGTGATTTAAATATACACAATAGAGAAGTCTTTTTAGACCTTGGAGTCTCTAATCCAGTGGTTTTCAAACTTTTTTTTCTTTGAAGCAATATCTTGGAGTCCAATATATTAAATACATAAAAGTAGATTGCTCTGTATGAAGCAGACTGGTAAAGGGACTTGACACCTCCCTCCTCTTCACTTCTGCCTCCTGCCTCTAGCAGCCCAAAGGTACTTTCAGCTAAGGAAGAAGTCCCAGCCCAGTGGTGGTGTAATCAAGGCCTGAAACCAGACTGCCTGACTTCAAAATACTTTCCCTGAGGCTAGATAAAGCAACATTACTCTTGAGTTTGTAGGTGGCGTGTACTTCTCCCTATCTTTTTTATTTAGCAAAATGAATGGATTTTTTTTCCTGACATTGAGGCAGTTGACTATTCTAACTCATGTAAATTAATATAAATACATTTATTATTCATTCAACAAAATTTTGAATACTTACTAAGTATAAGAATTACTTGTCAAGAAGCCATATTAATATCACCAATGCTTAGATAAGGAAACCAGTTTTATCACTTACAAGAGAGCATTTTGAGTTAACACATATCATTTTGAAACTAAATTCTGACCGGGCATGGTGGCTTACACCTGTAATCTCAGCACTTTGGGAGGCTGAGGTGGGCAGATCACTTGAGGTCATGAGTTCAAGACCAGCCTGGCCAACATGGTGAAACCCCATCTCTACTAAAAATATAAAAATTAGCCAGGCATGGTGGCGGGCGCCTATAATCCCACCTACTCAGGAGACTACGGCAGGAAAATCGTTTGAACCCAGGAGGTGGAGGTTGCAGTGAGCTGAGATCGTGCCAGTGCACTCCAGACTGGGCAACAGAGTGAGATTCTGTCTCAAAAAAAAAAAAAAAACAGAAACTAAATTCCTTTACAGATAAGTATTTGAGAAAATATATTGACCTGCTCTTACTGGAACCTACTTAGAAAACCAAGGAGATTTGTTCCTTGTTGCTTTATTTTTGGGAATTGCAAAACTGTGGAGTCAGTGTGGACAGGTAAGTTAGGGCTATAATCACCTACAATTTGTGTGCAGTTTAAGAACATGTGGAAGATGCAGATTATCTCTTACGATGACTCATAAGGCTTAGAATTTTTGTTTTTTTTTGTCTCTCTATGGTATGTTATTTAAAATATTACTTTATATTAAAATAAGAATAGAATGCAAAATTTGAATTTTGAAATTAAGACAACTTTTAAGATATTTTCAGAAAACAAATTGAGTTTACTGTTAACAGAGCCTCACCAAAGGCAGTTCTAAAGGGGACTGACTTTACTTCAAGAAGATGACATACTTCAAGAGGAAGAAAAAGAATAACTAAAAGCAGATCTCCAAGAATGGTGAACAAAGAAATCAGTGAACACATGGGGGAAACTAAGCAAACACAGATTGCATATAATAATAATGTCTGGTTGTGGGGATGATAAATTACAGCAGCAATCTTTAAACTGGGGTACAGACACCCCTAAGGATAAATGAAGACTCCAGGAGGTACATGGCACATATGTTTGTTTGGGTCTTTTTGAGACAGAGTCTTGCTCTGTCACCCAGACTGGAGTGCAGTGGCTTGATCATAGCTCACTGCAGGCTCAACCTCCGAGGCTCAAGTGAGCCTCCCACCTCAGCCTCCCAAAATGCTGGGATTACAGATGTGAGCCATTCACCCAGCCGAGCACGTATACTTTTAAGAGAGTCAACTTCACTAACTTTTTTTTTGAGGCAGGTCTCTGTCACCCAGACTGGAGTGTAGTGGCGCAATCTCGGCTCACCACAATCTCCGCCTCCCAGGCTCAAGCGATTCTCCTGCCTCAGCCTCCCAAGTAGCTGGGATTACAGGCACATGCCACTACCACCCAGCTAATTTTTGTCTTTTTAGTAAAGATAGGGTTCCACCATGTTGGCCAGGCTGGTGTCGAACTCCTGACCTCAAATGATCCACCCACCTTGGCCTCCCAAAGTGCTGGGATTACAGGCGTGAGCCACCGTGCCTGGCCATCTTCACTATTTTTTTTTCCTCCATTCTCTTCCGGAGTTTTATTTTCACATCCCTCTTCACAGTTATTCTCCCACTTGAAAGACGAATTTCTTACACATCTTAGATATTAATGTGGTGCAATATACCTAAGTATAAAAACTTCCTGGGTTGCCAACTACAGGGACAATTTGAAACAGGTTTTGCTTATAGAGACCTCACCTCTTGCATCTCACCACTGTCAGGTAATCCATCAATCCTGAGAGAAAACCCCTGGAAAGTAAAGCAAAGAGGACACTAGGAAGAAATACTGGGACTGGTGGTATTTTATTTCATTCAGGCAGCAAATTCGTGGCACAGCTGTGTCTGTCTTAAAATTGAGAAGTCAGAAGGTTTTTGTGGAAACACATATAAAATGAATGTAGACCTTTCCCAATAGAAAGTAAATCGGTTTTGCCCATGTGGTTTGCCAGTTAGGACTTTCCAGTAGTTTATATGGTAGACGTTTTCCGCAATTAGAATGAGCCTGAATCTACAGCTACGAAGTTTTGGGGAAAATATATTTAAAGCAAAAGATTAAAAATTAACCAAAAATATTGTAGAAATACTGGCGAGGATGTGAAGAAATTGGAATCCTTGTGCATTGCTGCTGAGAACGTGAAATGGTGCAACAGCTGTGGAAAATGGTATGCCAGTTCCTCAAAAAAATTAGACACCAGGCACAGTGGTGTGTGCCTGTAATCCCAGCTATTTGGGAGGCTGAGGCAAGAGGATTGCCTGAGGCTGGGTGCAGTGGCTCACACCTATAATCCCAGAACTTTGGGAGGCCAAGGCATGCGGATCACCTGAGGTCAAGAGTTCGAGACCACCCTGGCCAAAATGGTGAAAACCCGTCTCTACTAAAAACACAAAAATTAGCCAGGCGTGGTGATGGGCGCCTATAGTTCCAGCTACTCAGAAGACTGCGGCAGGAGAATCACTTGAACCCAGGAGGTAGAGGTTGCAGTGATCCGAGGTGGTGCCACTGCACTCCAGCCTGGATGACAGAGTGAGACTCTGTCTCAAAAAAAAAAAAAAAAAAACAAAACAAAACAAAAAAAAAAAACAACTAGATAACCAGGAAATATAACAGCCACTAAAAAGAAAAAAAAGTTATTGAGTTCTACTTTGTGTTCAATATCTCTGTGCTGGCCATGGAGATTATCAAAACAATAAAATGTCAAGGAGCCTATGGTTCATGGGGATGGAAATACAAAGAAATCACAACATGATTTCAGCTCTGCTCTGAGACAGGGTTGACTGCCCTGGAGTACTCAGGGGTGGCAGCTAACCCAAAGCAGGTGAAGTGGTCAGGTAAGCTTCCCCGGAGAGCTGAATTGAGGATAAATTAGAGTTAGCCTGGCAAAGAGAGGTGATCCGATCTGTGCTTTCAGTTCTTTATATATTCTGAATACAGGTCTTTTGTTGAGTATGTGATTTGCAACTATTTTCTTTCTGTCTGTAGCTGGTTTTTTCATTTTCTTAACATTGTCTTTTATAGAACAAAAGTTTTTATTTATGATGAAGTCCAGTTTATCAATCGTTTTCTTTTGTAACTCATGGTTTTGGTGTCCAGCCTAAGAACTCTGCCTAAACTGAGGTCATGAAGATTTTCTCCTACTTTTCTCTAAAAGTTTTATCATTTTACATTTCTTTTAGATATATGATCCATTTTGAGCTAATTTTTGTATAAGTTGTGATGTTTAGGTTGAAGTTCTCTTTTTGTATATGAATGTCCACTATTCAGACACCATTGTTGGCTCTAGGAATCTATACATGTGTTAAAACTCATAAAGCTGTACACCAACGAAAGAGTCAATTTTACTTTATGTTACTTTATTATTATTAATTTTTTGTTTTGAGAGGGAGTCTCGTTCTATCACCCAGGCTGGAGTGTAGTGGCGCGATCTCAGCTCACTGCAACCTTCGCATCCCTGGTTCAAGCGATTCTCCTGCCTCAGCCTCCCAAGTAGCTGGGACTACAGGCGTGTGCCACCATGCCTGGATAATTTTTGTATTTTTTGTAAAGGCGGGGTTTCACCATGTTGGCCAGGCTGGCCTCGAACTCCTGACCACAGGTGATCCACCCGCCTTGGCCTCCCAAATTGTTGGGATTACAGGCAAGCCACCACGCCCGGCCAACTTTGTTACTTAAAAAAAATTTTTTTTTTTCAGTTACACTTTTATAACATGCACATCCGTTTTAACGCTTATACTGGCAAGGCTGTTGACCTTTCTCTTTGTGATTTCTTCCAGGGCTTTTACTCTTGTAAAGCTCTCTTTCCACAAGAGGTCTGATGATTCTAGGAATCCTTTCTCCATTCAGTTGCCTTTGCACTTTGGTCAAAAATCAATTTGCCATATTTGCATGGGTCTATTACTGTACTTTCTATTCTGTCCCATTGACCTAGCTGTCTGTAATTCTGTCATTTCACCTGTATCACACTTTGTTTTTTTAGACAGGGTCTCCCTCTGTCGCCCAGACTGGCATGCAGTGGGTGTGATCTTGGCTCACATCAGCCTCCACCTCCCAGGGTCAAGCAATTCTCATGCCTCAGCCTCCCGAGCAGCTGGGATTACAAACATGTGCCACCACACCCAGCTAATTTTTGTATTTTTTTAGTAGAGATGAGATTTTGCCATGTTGCCCAGGCTGGTCTTGAACTCCTGGCCTCAAGTAATACTCCAGCCTCAGCCTCCCAGAGTGCTGGCATTACAGGCATGAGCAACTGCACCTGGTCTTTTTTTTTTTTTTTTTTTAAAGAGACAGGATTGCATGCCTGTAATCACAGCTTCTCGGGAGGCTGAGGAAGAATAGCTTGAACCCAGGAGGTGGAGGTTGCAGTGAGCCAAGATTGCATCACCGCACTTCAGCCCAGGCGACAGTGAGATTCCATGTCAAAAAAAAAGAAAAGAAAAGAAAAAACAAACAAAAACAAAATACTAGCCAATTGAACTCAGGAATATGTATTTTAAAAAATGCTATAGTCAGGTGAGATTTATCCTGGCAATACAGGGCTGGTTCAGTATTCAAAAATCAATCATAGTAATTCACCATATTAACAGCCTAAAGAATTAAAAGCAAATGATCAGGCAGGGCACAGTGGCTCACACCTGTAATCCCAGCACTTTGGGAGGCCGAGGCGGGCAGATCACCTGAGATCAGGAGTTCTAGTCCAGCCTAGCCAACATGGCGAAACCCTATCTCTACTAAAAATACAAAAGTTAGCCGGCCGTGGTGGCTCATGCCTGTAGTCCCAGACACTTAGGAGGCTGAGGCAGGAGAATCACTTGAACCCAGGAGGCAGAAGTTGCAGTGAGCCAAGACTGCGCCACTGCACTCTGGCCTCGGTGACAGAGCGAGACTCTGTCTCAAAAGGAAAAAAAAAGCAAATGATGATATTGATTGATAGAGAAAAACTATGTGACAAAAATTCAAAATTCACTTACAATTTGAAAAATAATACTCTTAGGCCCGACTGGGCCACTCAGACCTGTAATCCCAACACTTTGAGAGGCTAAGGCAAGAGGTATTACTTGAAGCCAGGAGTTCAAGACCAGCCTGAGCAACGTAGTAAGACCCTGTCTCTAAAAAAATTTTTTTAAAAATTAGCTGGACATGGTAGTGCCTGTAGTTTCAGCTACTCAGGAGGCTGAGGTAGGGGAATTGCTTAAGCCCAGGAGTTTGAAGTTACTGTGAGCCATGATCACACCACTGTACTCCTGCCTGGGCGGTCTCAAACTCCTGACCCCAAGTGATCCACTCACCTCAGCCTCCCAAAGTGCTGCACTCACCTCAGCCTCCCAAAGTGCTGGGATTACAGGCATGAGCCACTGCGCCTGGCCAGCTAATATTTTGTTGAAGATTTTTACATCTGTGTTCATGAGAGATATTGATCTGTAGTTTTTTTCCTTAAAATACCTTTGTTTAGTTTTGGTCTCAGGGTAATGTTGACCTCATAAAATGAACTGGGGAGTATTTTCTCTTGTTCTATTTTCTGGAAGAGATTGTGTAAAATCAGTGTCATTTCTTTTTCTTTTTTTTCTTTTTTTTTTTTTTTGAGACAGGCGCGCACTGTCACCCAGGCTAGAGTGCAATGGTGCAATCTCAGCTCACTGCAACCTCTGCCTCCCAGGTTCAAGCGATTTTCCTGCCTCAGCCTCCCGAGTAGCTGGGATTACAGGCACTCACCACCACGCCCAGCTAATTTTTTGTATTTTTAGTAGAGATGGGGTTTCGCCATGTTGGCCAGGCTGGTCTCGAACTCCTGACCTCATAATCTGCCCACCTCAGCCTCCCAAAGTGCCAGGATTACAGGCATAAGCCACTGCGCCCGGCCATTTCTTCTTTAGTTATCCTGCTCTACTGCAGACTTCCTATGATTGTGTCCGTGTTCAGGGCCAGGCAGCAGGAAGACACAGAGAAAAGAAAGCTATGGGGGTTCTCCTTCTTGGGACTACAACTCTTTTGAAAAATAAACACGCAAACACGTATGTGTGTGTATGAATGTATATACATACATACACACACACACACACACACACACACACACACACACAGTCTCAGTCTGTTGTCCAGGCTGGTCTCCTGCTCCTGGCCACAAGTGATCCACCTTGGCCTCCCACAGTACTGGGATTACAGGCATGATCCACTGCCCCTGGCCCACAGCTCTCAATCAGAGGGGGAAAGATTTCCGTTCCTCAAAGTTTTGGGTGTCTGTGGACCCTGCAGCCACTAATGCTACCATCACCACTGTCACTCTCATGGAATTGTCTAGGGGCTGGAGCACGGGAGAATGAAGAAAAGAAAAATTGAGTTCCTCTTCTGTCTCAGTGCTAGACCTTCCCTTTCCACTCCTCGAGGCAGAGCCAGCACTTCCCCTGTTGATCTTTCTTTCTTTTTTTTATTTTTTGAGATGGAGTCTCACCATGTCGCTCAGGCTGGAGTGCAGTGGCACAATCTCGGCTCAATGCAACCTCCGCCTCCTGGGTTCAAGTGACTCTCCTACCTCACTCTCCCACATAGCTGGGACTACAGGCGCCTGCCACCACGCCTGGCTAATTTTTGTATTTTTAGTAGAGATAGGGTTTCGCCATGTTGGCCAGGCTGGTCTTGAACTTCTGACCTCAGGTGATCCACCTGCCTCAGCCTCCCAAAGTGTTGGGATTACAGGCATGAGCCACTGCGCCCGGCCCTGTTGATCTTTCTCGTCGCCCCAGTGCCCATTCTGGATTTGGGGCTGTCTTGTATCCAGGCTGGGGAATATCAGAGAGAAAATGAGAAACTTGCTTCAGCTCAGTGGAACGCTGACTTCTGGCTTTCTTCCCTCGTTTCCCCGCTGTTTTTAGTTTCACACTTCTCAGAGAGCTGCCCTGTGCATGTCTGTCCATGTTTCACAGCAGCATTCAGTGGAAGAGACAGGGTGGAGGGTGCTTACTCCATCTCATCTGGAACCTAATAGCTTTTTAAACTGTCACAATTATATGAAGTAGGTATTTCTTATATTTGACAGATGACAAAACTGAGGTTCCTAGAGGATAAGTAATTTTCCCAAGATCACACAGCTAGTCAGTGGCCAACCCAGTCATCCTAGCCCCAGAGTTTGTGGTCTGAGCCGCTAGTTCTGCAGCTTTAGAGGGAGCTGAACACAACAGTTCTGTGGGGTGAGGTATGGGGCTTATGTGTTGTGGACAGGGCCTGGTATCTCACTCCCTTTAACCTGCATGGTGTATGATGGAAGAGTGCGTAGTGTTTAGGGAACTGCTTTCTTCTTTGATGAAGATCTGGACTGTGGTGGGATAGGAATAGACTTCTGTCTTCAAGACATGTGCATGTGTGTGTATGTGTGTATACATGCTTATATATGCGCCTGTGTGTAAGCCATGCAGCCATTGAAAGTGAGGATGTGGATCCATTCATTCAGCAAGTATTACTTGAACCCCCACCATGTATCACACATTATTCTAGGCACTGGGGATACATCAGTGAAGAAACAGACAAAAACCTCTGCCCTCATGGAGCCCCCATTCTAGTAGACAGACAATAAACATACAAATAAATCAATTACATAGAGTGCTAGAAAGTGGTAAGTCCTAGGGAATAAACAGGGCAGATAAGGAGAATTGGGAGTGTTGGGGTTCAGGGCTGGATATATTTATTAACACGAAATGATGTCTGCCATATACTGTTGAATGCACTTCCTAAACTGTGATTTCATATGACTTCCTGGTATTCCAGGGGAAACTCATCCAGTAAAGTTCAGCCCTTTATGAAGAATTCCCCTGTGGTCACATTCCAATTCCTGGACCTGCTGCCACCCTCAGAGCTGCATGCTCCTTCTTCAGACTTTCTAAGAATGACTCAGGTCATTGGTGGAGTGAAGCCAAGATTTCCAACTCAGTCACCTGAAGAGATGGAGATACCATTCATGGAGCTGGAGATCCCTGAAGATATGGGAATTCAGAAAACAAGCTAAGATAAGGGTGAGCTACTACTTGACCTTTCTGTGTGTCAGTTTGATATCTGTAAAACTGGGCTAATGATGGCACATTATGTGTGGTGAAGACTAAGATAATATGTGAGACGTACCTGGAATAGTACTTGGCACAGTGTAGGCACTTGAGAAACCTTGATTTATTATTTTTGCTATTAGGCTGCATTAACTTTAAGCTGACTGAGAGATATCCATGGGGATATGTCTAGAAACAGTGGACAGTGTGGATCAGGAACTCAGCAGAGGAGCAATGACACAGATTTCAGGGGTGGTTAAAATCTTGGGGGTGGATGACAACTCCATGGTGAAAAAGAGAAACAAGAAGAAACAAGAAAAGAGAGCCAAAGATCTCATCTTGGGGAGCACCAATGTCAAAGGGAAGAAACAGGAAAAGCCAGTAAAAAATCACTTTGTGTTTTGTAGTTACAATGGCTAGAAAGAGAAAGAATTATTTTAGTTGTTTCTTGGTTGTTTTTTGTTTCTTGATGGATACTTTTGTTTAAAACTTTTTATGGTACTGTTGACCTCTATCTCCTCATTCTTCCCCACCATGCCCTGCCCCTGGTAACCACTGTTTTACACTCTGTTTCTTTATATTTAGCTTAAAAAAAAATCCATGTATAAATGAGATCATGCAGTGTTTTTCTCTCTGTGTCTGGCTTATTTCACTTAGCATAATGCCTCCTAGGTTCATCCATGCAAGTAAGTTTAGACATCTCAATGTACAGAGGACTACAGTTAGTAATGTTGTATTGCATGCTGGAAATTTGATAAGAGAGCATTTTAGGTGCTCTTTTAGATACACACACGCACAGAACTATGTGAGGTGATGGATATGTTAATTTGCCTGACCCTAGTAGTCATTTCTGTATGTATATGTATATCAAGATATCATGTTGTATACTTTAAATATATACAATAAAAACAAAACAACAAAAACCTCCATTTTTATTGTAAAACAAAACACTGATATAGAAAACCAGGTAAAACAGGTAGGGCACAATGGCTCATGCCTGTAATCGCATTTTGGGAGGCCGAGGTGGGTGGATCACCTGAGGTCAGGAGTTCGAGACTAGCCCGGCCAACATGGTGAAACCTCGTCTTTACTAAAAATACAAAAATTAACTGGGCATGGTGGCAAGCACCTGTAATCCCAGCTACTCAGGATGCTGAGGTGGGAGAATCACTTGAACCCAGGAGGTGGAGGTTGCAGGGAGCTGAGATCACCCCATTGCAGTCCAGCCTGGGCAACAGAGCAAGACTCTGTCTCAAAAAACAAAAAAAAAAAAGGAAAAAAAAAGAAAAGTATGATGAGGAAGCTGCATTGCTTCTTGTGCTCCTATCCCATTGGCCAGAACATAGTCATGTGGCCATCCCTAGCTAGAAGGCACTTGATCTCTGTTTTGCTCCATTTTCCCCAACCCTCATGTCACCCAGTCTCTGTCTTCTCTGCCTCCAGACTTACCTGTCCCTTACCACAAGCTTGATGAGTTACAAGATGAACACCCCAAACCCCTGGTCAAGAAATAGAACTTTGCCAGGCCCTCCCCACCCAGAAGTCCCTCTGTGTGCATCATCCCAATCACAGCCCCACCCCGGCCCCACTCCAAAAGTGACTGTTACTAACCTGACACTTTCAATAATCACTCCTTGTTTCTTTATGGTTTTATCTCCCATGTGCATTTCTATACACTATAGTTTAGTCTTGCTTATTTTAAAAATTCCGATACTTTTTTTTTTTTTGAGACGGAGCCTCACTCTGTTGCCCAGGCTGGAGTGCAGTGGCACAATCTCGGCTCACTGCAACCTCCACCTCCTGCATTCAAGCGATTCTCCTGCCTCAGCCTCCCGAGTAGCTGGGATTACAGGTGCACATCACCATGCCCGGCTAATCTTTGTATTTTTAGTAGAGATGGGGTTTCACCATGTTGGCCGGGTTGCTCTTGAACTCCTGACCTCAAGCGATCTGCCCACCTCAGTCTTCCAAAATGCTGGAATTACAGGCATGAGCCACCATGCCTGGCCAAAAATCTGATTCATTTTAAGGTTCTTCTTCTTCCTTATCCTTCTTGTCCTCCACCTCCTCCCAGTCCTCCTACTCCTCTTCTTCTCACCTCAACATCATTGGGTATAAGATTTCTTCTAATCTGAAGTTTCCTCTTCTGTCCCTTTCTTTTTCTTACAACTTATCTGTAGAAGAATCTGGGCTGTTTGACCTGTCAAGTTTCCCACAGTCCAGATTTGGATGACTGCATACTCATGATGCAGTTCAGTAAGTTCCTCTGTCCTCTATTTCCGCAAATTGGCAGCTGGATCCAGAGGCATGATCAAATTCAGGGTCAATCCGTTTGGCAAAACTATAGGTGCTGGTGTGTTAACCAGGAGACTCATAATGTCTGGCTGCCTCTCTTTTAATTAATTTATTTATTTATTTTTGGAGATGGAGTCTCATTCTGTTGCCCAGGCTGGAGTGCAGTGGTGCGATCTCAGCTCACTGCAACCTCTGCTTTCTGGGTTCAATCGATCCTCCCACCTCAGCCTCCTGAGTAGTTGAGATTGCAAGTGTGCCCCACAATGCCCAGCTAATTTTTTTGTATTTTTAGTGGAGATGAGATTTTGCCATGTTGGCCAGGCTGGTCTTAAACTTCTGGACTCAAGAAATCTGCCCGCCTCAGCCTCCCAAAGTGCTGGGATTACAGGTGTGAGCCACCGTGCCTGGCTCTCTTTTTATTTTTTATTTATTTTTATTTTCTTGTAGAGATGGGGATCTTGCTGTGTTGCCCAGGCTGGTCTCAAACTCATGGCCTCAAGTGATCCTCCCACCTCTGCCTCCCAAAGTGCTGGGATTACAGGTGTGAGCCACCATGCCCAGCCATCTCTTTCTTTTGATGACAACAGATATTGATACTCAATGAGTAGATCCATTAATATGCTGGGGAGGGCCAGTGGTGATAAATGGTGATGATTTTCTAATTCTATCCTTTATCTTTATTGATTGATGGAATAAGTTTATAAAGAATAACTTGCCCTCGGCCGGGCGCGGTGGCTCACGCCTGTAATCCCAGCACTTTGGGAGGCTGAGGCGGGCGGATCACGAGGTCAGCAGATCGAGACCATCCCGGCTAAAACGGTGAAACCCCGTCTCTACTAAAACTACAAAAAATAGCCGGGCGTAGTGGCGGGCGCCTGTAGTCCTAGCTACTTGGGAGGCTGAGGCAGGAGAATGGCGTGAACCCGGGAGGCGGAGCTTGCAGTGAGCCGAGATCCCGCCACTGCACTCCAGCCTGGGCGACAGAGCGAGACTCCGTCTCAAAAAAAAAAAAAAAAAAGAATAACTTGCCCTCATCTACTGTCTGGCTATCCAGTTCATATAGGACAGTCAAGATAAATGCTTGATTCCTTCTCCTTGTTTATCCAGTTTTCAAGATAATGAAAAATATTAAAATGAACTCAAGCATTTAAATGTGTTTGACAGGTTTCAACCCATTACATTTTATTTATTATTATTATTATTATTATTATTGAGTCAAAATCCTGCTCTCATGCCCAGGCTGGAGTACAGTGCTGCGATCATGGCTCACTGAAGCCTCAACCTCTCAAGCTCAAGCCATCCTCCCACCTCAGCCTCCTGAGTAGCTGGGAGCAGGAATGCACATCAAGCCAGTTCTTTTTTTTTTTTTTTTTTTTTTTTTTTTTGAGACGGAGTTTCACTCTTGTTGCACCCAGGCTGGAGTGCAGTGGCATGATCTCGGCTCACTGCAAACTCCACCTCCCAGGTTCATGCGATTCTCCTGCCTCAGCCTCCCGAGTAGCTGGGATTATAGGCATCCGCCACCATGCCCAGCTGATTTTTGTATTTTTAGTAAAAACGGGATTTCACCATTTTGGCCAGGCTGGTCTCCAACTCCTGACCTCAGGTGATCCACCTGCTTCGGCCTCCCGAAGCGCTGTGATTACAGACTTGAGCCACCACAGCCGGCCCAAGCCAGCTAAATTGTTAAGGTTTTTGTAGAGATGAGGTCTCACTATTTTGCCCAGGGTGGTCTCAAACTCCTGGGCTCAAGTGATCCTTCTGCCTTGCCTCCCAGAGTTCTAGGATTACAGGCATGAGCCACTGCACCTGGCCCTAATCCATTACAATTATTACCATGATGATGCTCATTAAGTCCATCTTTGGCCAGAGGGAGCTTATTCAGGTTGGTTCTTTAGTCCTTTGGACATGCCCACATGCCCGAAGCCTCTTGTTTTCTGATTTGACAACGTGTTCCAGCCTCACCTTGCGTATTTCCGGTTCCAGAGCTTGGCTCTACCACTTCTCCAAGAAATCCCAGTTCATTCAGCTATTAAAAAAAAAAAAAAAGAAGGAAATCCTGCCATTTGTGACAATATTGATGAACATGTTGCGTTTTAATGCTAATTAAAATAAGCCAGACACAGAAAGACAAATACAATTTGATCTCACTTATATGTGGAATATAAAAAAATCACAAACTCAGAAGCAAAGAGAGGAACAGTGGTTGTCAGGGGCTGGATGAGGACGGGGAGATGGGAAGATGTTTGTCAAAGAGTACAAACTTTCAGTTACAAGATGAATAGATTCTGGGAATCATGGTAAAGCATGGGAATTCTGGTAAAGTGTGGTGATTAGAGTTAATACTATTGTACTGTTTACTTGAAATTTGCTAAGAGAGCAGATCGGAAGTGTCCTCACCACACACATACACACAAATAAATGGTAACTTTGTGGTGAAGGATGTGTTCATTTGATTGTGGTAATCATTACATAATCATTAATCATTACATTAAATAATGTATACATTATTTAATATATGTATATTAAATAATAAATTTAATAATAAATTAATAATAATTAAATAATAAATATTCAACCCCCTTGAATATATACAATTTTTTTTGAGACAGAGTCTCGCTCTGTTGCCCAGGCTAGAGTGTGGTGGCACAATCTTGGCTCATTGCAACCTCCACCTCCAGGTTCAAGTGCTTCTCCTGCCTCAGCCTCCCGAGTAGCTGGGACTACAGGCATGCACCACCATGCCTGGCTAATTTTTTGTATTTTTATAGAGATTGAGTCTCACCGTGATGGCCAGGCTGGTCTCAAACTCCTGACCTCAAGCGATCTGCACACCTCAGCCTCCCAAAGTACTGGGATTACAGGTGTTAGCCACTGCACCCAGCTGAATATATGGAATTTTTATTTGTCCATTATTCCTGAATAAAGCTGGAAAAAAAAAAAGAGAAAAGGAAAGGAAAAAAAGACCAGTCTAGATGCTATGGATGTTCATTGCCATTGGTTTCAACATTGTTTCTAGGCCTTTTCAGTAAACAGAGATTTCCAAATCAAATTCAGGACTGATGGGTGTTTATTTAACCTCTTCTGTATTACATCTGTAACCCCTTTCTTCCACATTGTAAATTCTGGTTCTCAAGGACACAGGAGATGAAAGCATTAAATATCCCATTTATTTTAGAATATGCATTTGTTTGATCTATATTATGCAGAAGTCTCAGAAAAACAATACTGACTGCCACCACCAGTTATTACTGAAAACAGTTGTTGTTTTTTTTTCTTTTTTTTTTTGCATATGCTACCCCCTTGCTCCCCCTGCCCACTTTTCTCTGGTTTTACTATATATATTGTTAGAGTATATAACCATTACATAATACACTTTCTTCCTTTTAATCCTTATTTAGTATTAGTTCTATGAAACTAAACTTCATGCTCATCACCAGTCCTTATGACAATGTCTTTCTAGTCATTTTGGTTGTCGGAGGTTTATTCTCTAGTAGATTCCTCAGGAAGGGCTCATGGGCATAATATTCCCTGAGATCTTGCATGCTGATAAAGTTTGGTTATGCATTTGAAGATCAGTAGAGCTAGGTATAAAAATCTTTGGTTCACGTTTTCTTTCCTTGAGCATCTCAAATATACATTCCATTTCCTTCTTGTGTAGAGTATTGCTGTCAAAAAGTCTGATGAGGCTGGGCATGGGGGCTCACACCTTAATCCTACCACTTTAAGAAGTAGAGGTGAGAGGATTGCTTGAGCCCAAGAACTTGAGACCAGCCTGGGCAACATAGTGAGACTCTATCTCTGCAGAAATAAAAGAATAAAACAATATTGTCTGGATGCGGTGGCTCACGCCTGTAATCCCAGCACTTTGGGATGCCAAGGCAGGCGGATCGCCTGAGGTCAGAGTTGAAGACAAGCCTGGCCAACATGGCAAAACCCCATCTCTACTAAAAATAAAAAAAATTAGCTGGGCGCAGTGGCGGGTACCTGTAATTCCAGCTACTCAGGAGGCTGAGGCAGGAGAATCGCTTGATCCTGGGAGGCAGAGGTTGCAGTGAGGCAAGATCACCCTACTGCACTCTAGCCTGGGCAACAAAGTGAGACTCTGTCTCAAAAAATAAAATAAGGTCCCTTCCAAGATTGCCGGATTGAAACAGCTCCCAGTGAGATTGATGCAGAAGATGGGTGATTTCTGCATTTCAAACTGAGGTACCTGATTCATCTCATTGGGACTGGTTGGAGAGTGGGTGCAGCACATGGAAGGCAAGCCGAAGCAGGGTAGGGCATCGCCTCACCTGGGAAGTACAAGGGGTTGGGGGATTTCCCTTTTCTAGCCAAGGGAAGCCATGAGTGACTGTACCTGGAGGAATGGTACGCTTCTGCCCAAATACTGCACTTTTCCCACAGTCTTTGCAACCAGCAGACCAGGAGATTCCCTACCGTGCCTGACTTGGCAGGTCCCACACCCACGGAGCCTTGTTCGCTGCTAGCGCAGCAGTCTGAGATCGACTGGGATGCTGAAGCTTGGCAGGGGGAGGGGCATTCACCTTTGCTAAGGCTTAAGTAGGTGGTTCCATGCTCACAGTGTAAACAAAGGAGCAGGGAAGCTCGAACAGAGCAGAGCCTGCTGCCACTCAACAAGGCCTAATGCCTGTCTAGATTCCACATATGGGGGCAGGGCATATCTGAACAAAAGGCAGCAGACAGCTTCTGCAGACTTAAACATCCCTGCCTGACAGCTCTGAAGAAAGCAGTGGTTCTCCCAGCATGGCATTTGAGCTCCAATAATGGACAGACTGCCTCCTCAAGTGGGTCCCGGACCCCCATGTAGCCTGACTGGGAGACATTTCCCAGTAGGTGCTGACAGACACCCCATACAGGTGGGTGCCCCTCTGGGACAAAGCTTCCAGAGGAAGGATCAGGCAGCAATATGTGCTATTCTGCAGCCTCCGCTGCTGATACCCAGGCAAACAGGGTCTGGAGTGGACCTCCAGCAAACTCCAACAGATCTGCAGCTGAGGGGCCTGTCTGTTAGAAGGGAAACTAACAAACAGAAAGGAATAGCATCAACATCAACAAAAAAGACATCCACACCAAAACCCCATCCATAGGTCACCAACATCAAAGACCAAAGGTAGATAAAACCACAAAGATGGGGAGAAACAAGAGCAGAAAGGCTGAAAATTCCAAACACCAGAACACCTCTTCTCCTCCAAAGGAACACAACTCCTCGCCAGCAAGGGACCAAACTGGACGAAGAATGAGTTTGATGAACTCATTCTGTTTGATGAACAGAAGTAGGCTTCAGAAGGTCGGTAATAACAAACTTCTCTGAGCTAAAGGAGCATGTTCTAACCCATTGCAAGGAAGTAAAAACCTTGAGAAAAGGTTAGACGAAGGGCTAACTAGAATAACCAGTGTAGAGAAGAGCTTAAATGACCTGATGGAGCTGAAAACCACAGTACGAGAACTTCGTGAAGCATACACAAGCTTCAATAGCCAATTCAATCAAACAGAAGAAAGGATATCAGTGATTGAAGATCAAATTAATGAAATAAAGTGAGAAGACAAGTTAGAGAAAAAAGAGGGAAAAGAAACAAACAAAGCCTCCAAGAAATATGGGACAATGTGAAAAGACCAAATCTACATTTGATTGGCATACCTGAAAGTGACGGGGAGAATGGAACCAAATTAGAAAACACCCTTGAGGATATTATCCAGGAGAACTTCCCCAACCTAGCAAGGCAGGCCAACATTCAAATTCAGGAAATACAGAGACCACCACAAAGATACTCCTTGAGAAGAGCAACCCCAAGACACAGAATTGTCAGATTCACCAACGTTGAAATGAAGGAAAAAATGTTAAGGGCAGCCAGACAGAAAGGTCCAGCTACCCACAAAGGGAAGCCAATCAGGCTATCAGGGGATCTCTTGGCAGAAACCCTACAAGCCAGAAGATAGTGGGGGCCAATATTCAACATTCTTAAAGAAAAGAATTTTCAACCGAGAATTTCATATCCAGCCCAACTAAGCTTCATAAGTGAAGGAGAAATAAAATCCTTTACAGACAAGCAAATGCTGAGAGATACTGTCACCACCAGGCCTGCCTTATAAGAGCTCCTGAAGGAAGCACTAAATATGGAAAGGTACAGTCAGTATCAGCCACTGCAAAAACATGCCAAATTGTAAAGACCATCAACGCTATGAAGAAACTGCATCAATTAATGGGCGAAATAACCAGCTAGCATCATAATGACAGAATCAAATTCACACACAGCAATATTAACCTTAAATGTAAATGGGCTAAATGCCCCAATTAAAAGACACAGACTGGCAAATTGGATAAAGAGTAAAGACCCATCAGTGTGCTGTATTCAGGAGACCCATCTCATGTACAAAGACACACATAGGCTCAAAATAAAGGGATGGAGGAAGATCTACCAAGCAAATGGAAAGAAAAAAGAAAGCAGGGGTTGCAATCCTGGTCTCTGATAAAACAGACTTTAAACCAACAAAGATAAAAAGAGAGAAAGAAGGCCATTACATAATGGTAAAGGGATCAATTCAACAAGAAGAGCTAACTATCCTAAATATATATGCACCCAATACAGAAGCACTCAGATTCATAAAGCAAGTCCTTAGAGACCTACAAAGAGACTTAGACTCCCACACAATAATGGAAACTTTAACATCCCACTGTTAATATTAAACAGATCAACGAGACAGAAAATTAACAAGAATATCCAGGACTTGAACTCAGCTCTGGATCAAGCAGACCTAATAGACATCTACAGAACTCTCCACACCTAATCAACAGAATATACATTCTTCTCACCACCACATCGCACTTATTCTAAAACTGACCACATAATTGGAAGTAAAATTCTCCTCAGCAAATGTAAAAGAACAGAAATCACAACAAATGTCTCTCAGACCACAGTGCAATCAAATTAGAACTCAGGATTAAGAAACTCACTCAAAACCGCACAACTACATGGAAACCGAACAACCTGCTCCTGAATGACTACTGGATAAATAACGAAATGAAGGCAGAAATAAAAATGTTCTTTGAAACCAGTGAGAGCAAAGACACAACATACCAGAATCTCTGGGACACATTTAAAGCAGTGTGTAGAGGGAAATTTATAGCACTAAATGCTCACAAGAGAAAGCAGGAAAGATCTAAAATCGACACCCTAACAACACAGTTAAAAGAACTAGAGAAGCAAGAGCAAACAAATTCAAAAGCTAGCAGAAGACAAGAAATAACTAAGATCAGAGCAGAACTGAAGGAGACAGAGACACAAAAAACCCTTCAAAAAAATCAACGAATCCAGGAGCTGGTTTTTTGAAAAGATCAACAAAATACATAGACTGCTAGCAAGACTAATAAAGAAGAAAAGAGAGAAGACTCCAATAGACACAATAAAAAATGATAAAGGGGATGTCACCACAGATCCCACAGAAATACAAACTACCATCAGAGAATACTATAAACACCTCTACACAAATAAACTAGAAAATCTAGAAGAAATGGATAAATTTCTGGACACATACACCCTCCCAAGACTAAACCAGGAAAAAATTGAATCTCTGAATAGACCAATAACGAGTTGATGGGGGCAGCAAACCAACATGGCACATGTATACCTATGTAACAAACCTGCACGTTGTGCACATGTACCCTAGAACTTAAAGTATAATAATAATAATGATTTTTAGAAAACAAAAATAAATAAAACAATATTAAAATTAGCTGGATGTGGTGGTTTGCACCTGTAGTCCCGGCTACTCAGGATGTCCCTGTCCCCTCACACACACCCAAAAAAGAAAATACAGAAAGAAAAGTGATGGTAATATAACTTTCTTTGTAGAGACAGGGTTTCTCTCTGTTGCCAGGCTGGAGTGCAGAGGCACATTCACAGCTCACTGCAACCTTGATCTCCTCCACTCAAGCAATCCTCCCACCACAGCTTTCTGAGTAGTGGGACTACAGGTGCGTGCCATCACATTCAGCTATTTTTTGTATTTTTTTTTCTATTTTGACCATCCATGTCAGAATTTTTTTTTTTTTTTTTTTGTATTTTTGGTAGAAATAGGGTCTTTCTGTGTTGCCCAGGCTAGTTTTGAACTCCTGGGCTCAAGCGGTCCACCTGCCTCGGCCTCCCAAAGTGCTGAGATTACAGGCATAAGCCACTGCACCTGGCCAGGGCTATATTTCTAATAATAGTTTTGTATGGGATTTGATCTTAATACTTTTACTGTGCTGATTTTTACGTGAAATAAATTTTCCTGAATTTTCAGAAGGAGGCTTCATCAGAGAGTTTTTCTAACTTCACAGATCTCTTCCTTTTATTGTTTTCATGAAGTGTGAAAATGACAGTGGCTTTGGTTTGAGCTTTTTCTGGCTCTGTTCCTCTCTCCCCCTTTTATCTGGATCTCTCTCCCCCACTTTTCTTGTCTCTGTGCTGCTTAATTTTGATCCTGCTCTTAGTGGTTTATCCCCAGTGTGGGTTCAGTACCGTAAGGGAGTCCTGGCAGGTCAGTGCTGAGAGCTCAGGGGACAAGAACTTCTCCAGGCCCTTTAGACTTGAATAAGGGCATTGGTGCCCTTGCCCTCGCCTGCTATTGTGATGGCTGTTTCAGCAGCTGTGTGCCGCCCAAAAAATGCCCATCACACTTTCCAGGGAACACCTGTTGGCCACATCTCAAGTCATACAAATCAGAGGCAAACTGAAGTGTGTATACCCCCGCATTCATCAGTCATTGGTTAAAGGTGCCCCTGGGGAATGGGGAAGTCCCAGGCATTTCCAGAGTGATGCAGACAAATTGGTCCTGGCAGTCTGAGGGCACTCCTGTGACTAAAAGATTCCTTCATTCACATGGTCAAGAATGGCTCATTTTTTGTACAGCAGAGTGACTATATTTAATAATACTGTATTGCATACTTGAAATCTGCTTAGAGAGTAGATCTTAAGGGTTCTCACATGAGAAAAGGTAACAATGTGAGGTGATGGATGTGTTAATTTGATTGTAGTAATCATTTAACAATATGTATATATATCAAATCATCATATTGTACACTTTAAGTATATACAATTTTATTGGTTAATGATACCTCAGTAAAGCTCAAAAATGGCTCATTTTTACATTTCCATTTGGCATTGCATTCAGGGTCATGGAACCTGGAAAACAGAGGAGTGAGAGGGTACCCCCATTCCTTCCAGTAGCACATTTTGGGAGTGGCACACCACACTCTTGCTCACATCCGTTGGCCAGAACTTAGTCACAAGAAGCCACTCAGCTGCAAGGGAGATTGGGAAATGTAGTTTTTAGCTGGGAAGCTGCATGCTCAGCTAAATTCTATTATAAGGGAAGAAGGGGAAAATAGATACTGGGGAACAACTGGCAGTCTCTTTCACTAAGAGTGATGGGAAAGAGTGAAAGGAAAAGACTTGTGAGGTAGGGCAAAAGGCTCCCACTTCCAGGCAGGGGGTTGAGGAGGAGGAGGCTGTATGCTGAGGTGAAGCCATACAGCCTTCATTGTGGTAAGGGACAGGTAAGTCTGAAGGCAGAGAAGACAGAGACTGGGTGACATGAGGGTTGGGGAAAATGGAACAAAACAGAGGCCAGGTGCCTTCTAGCTATGGTTGGCCACATGACTACGTTCTGGCCAATGGGATAGGAGCACAAGAAGCAATGCAGCTTCCTCGACAAACTTGTCTTCTTCTTTTTTTTCTTTTTTTTTCTTCTTTTGAGATGGAGTCTCGCTCTGTCACCCAGGCTGCAGTACAGCAGTGCAATCTCGGCTCACTGCAACCTCCGCCTCCCTGGTTCAAGCAATTCTCCTGCCTCAGCCTCCTGAGTAGCTGGGATTACAGGTGTGCACCACCACGCCCGGCTAATTTTTGTATTTTTAGTAGAGACAGGCTTTCACCATGTTGGTCAGACTGGTCTCAAACTCCTGACCTCATGATCTGCCCACCTTGGCCTCCCAAAGTGCTGGAATTACAGGCATGAGTCACCGCACCTGGACTCCTTTTTTTTTTTTCTTTGATTTCCAATTTTTATGTTCAGGGGTACATGTACAGGATGTGCAGGTTTGTTACATGGGTAAATGTGTGCCTTGGTGGTCTGCTGCACAAATCATCCCATCATGTAGGTATTCAGCCCAGCATCCATTAGCTATTCTTCCTGATACGCTCCTTCCTCCCCCACTTCTTTGTTCTGTTTTGTTTTGTTCTGAGATGCGGTTTTGCTCTGTTGCCCAGGCTGGGTGCGGTGGGGCAATCCCAACTCACTGCAGCCCTGACCTCCCAGGCTCAGGTGATCCTCCCACCTCAGCCTCCCAAGTAGCTGTGACTACAGGCACACACCACCATACCAGGCTAATTTATTTTTTGTTTTGGTAGAAACAGGATCTTGCTAGGTTGCCCAGACTGGTCTCAAATTCCTGGGCCCAAGTGGTCCCCCCGTCTCAGCCTCCCAAAGTGCTGAGATTACAGATGTGGGCCAGGAACCTGACCTTCACCACACCACACTCTTAAATGGCAAAATGCTTGCCCTCTACTTCCTTATTTCTCATCTCTGTGGCCTGGAATATGAATGTGGGGTAATGAACATTCTTTTTTTTTTTTTTTTTTTTTTTTTTGAGACAGAGTCTCTCTCTGTCACCCAGGCTGGAGAGCAGTGGCATGAACTCAGCTCACTGCAAACTCCGCCTCCCGGGTTCAAGCGATTCTTCTGCCTCAGCCTCCTGAGTAGCTGGGACTACAGGCAAGCCTCACTCCGCTCGGCTAATTTTTGTATTTTTAGTAGAGACAGCATTTCACCATATTGGCCAGGCTGGTCTCAAACTCCTGACCTCGTGATCCACCCGCCTCAGCCTCCCAAAGTGCTGGGATTACAAGAGTGAGCCACCATGCCAGGCCCGGTAATGTACATTCTTAAACCATGTGGATGGGTGCACAATCTTGGAATAACAAGACAAGACGGTGCTTGGGCTCCTTGTAGATCAGAGGCACCCTACCCCCCAGCTGCCAGCTTGGACCCTTACATGAGAGAGAAATAAATATCTATAGTATTTAAGTTACTGTTATTTGGTCTCTATTAAGGCAGGTGCACCAATATTTTAACTAATATGTTCACTTGTTGACTGATCAATTCAATAACCTAAGAGCCACCATGTGCCAGCACCACATCAGATACCAGGAGCCACAAAGACACAAGTCCACAGGGGCCTGGTGAATCAGGGAGCTGACCGTGTCTGAACCAGGTCAGAACTGTTTCTCCCTGAATCCATGCTTCTTTCAGGACTTGAGCTTCTGCACCAGCAGCACAGGCCTCTTGAGACTGTTGGACCCTAGAAAAAGTTTTGGATTCAGACTGGGAACAGGGGCACTGGTGTGGAGGGGATGTGCACAGAGCTTCCCGGGACTGGAGCCCAGGGCCCCTCACAGTATTTTATTTAAGGCTTCACAACACACACCAGCATTTGGTTTATATTTGGTTTTTAAAAATTCTTTGGTTGTTCTTTAAGACATTAAATAGAAATACCCTGGCCGGGCGCGGTGGCTCACGCCTGTAATCCCAGCACTTTGGGAGGCCAAGGCGGGCAGATCTCCTGAGGTTGGGAGTTTGAGACCATCCTGACCAACATAGAGAAACCTCATCTCTACTAAATATACAAAATTAGCTGGGCGTGTTTGCACATGCCTGTAATCCCAGCTACTCAGGAGGCTGAGGCAGGAGAATCATTTGGGCCCTGGAGGCAGAGGTTGCGGTGAGCCAAGATGGCGCCATTGCACTCCAGCCTGGGCAGCAAGAGCAAAACTCTGTCTCAAAAAGAAAAAAGAAAGAAAGAAAACGAAATACCCCATAAAACATTCAAACTATATTGGAAATATATAAAATACCGGAGAAGCCCTTGTTTTGATATAAGTAGGTCTGAGTCATTGACCAGTCTTTTGGAAACGTCAGTTCAAGTGGGCAATCGTTAAAAACAGACACGTGTAGGTCCTGGTCACTTTGTTTTGACTTCAAACAAAATTCACACTCAGGCACTAGTTTTTCTTTGGGTATCTTGACTCAAATCCCTCTTTGACTTTCTTGCATAAATCACACCCACAATCCTATAATTCATCACCTATTATTTTCAATTTATTTAAACTTAAAGACAGTTGTGAAGCAATCTGATGTAGAACAGTTCTAGATTTTTAGGATTTTCCCTGAATAGTTTATCTTTCACATCTAATTCAACATGTCAGCAAATCTTTTTGTGTATTACTTCCAAAGCATTTAACGTCATTTGCAAGGAAACAATTCTTTATGCACTCACATTTCATCAGTTTATGTAATATTTAATTTAATTATATGATTACAATGACAGTACACCTGGCATAAACAGGCTAGGGACACACCCAATCAACTCTTGGTAAACCGACAACTCAACCCAGAGCAGAGGTAGCTGAGTTCTTGCTTTTCTAGACCAGGGGTCAGCAAACTATGGCCCTGTGGGCCTGTTTTTATACATCCTGTGGGTTAAAAATGCCTTTTAGGGGCTGGGTGTGGTGACTCACACCTGTAATCCGAGCACTTTGGGAAGCCAAGGCAGGCAGATCACTTGAGGTCAGGAGTTCGAGGCCAGCCTGGCCAACATGGTGAAACCCCATCTCCACAAAAAATACAAAAAGTAGCCGGGCATGGTGGCGGGCGCCCGTAGTCCCAGCTACTTAGGAGGTTGAGACAGGAGAATCCCTTGAACCCGGGAAGGGGGACTTGCAGTGAGCTGAGATCACACCACTGTACTCCAGCCTGGGTGACAGAGTGAGACTGTCTCAAAAAAAAAAAAAAAATGCCTTTTATGCCAGGCACAGTGGCTCATGGCTATAATCTCAGCATTTTAGGTGGCTGAGGCCAGAGGATCCCTTGAGCTCAATAATAATAAAAAGAATGGCTTTTTAAAGTGGTTGAATCTGTAAGTGGTTGAAAAAAACTTAAAAAAATATTTATTCCATGAAAATTATATGAAATTCAAACTTTAATGTCTGTAAGCAAAGATTTACTAAAGCACTACTACATCCATTCTTTTTTTTTTTTTTTTTTGGTGTATTCAGTGGCTGCTTTCAAGCTACCATGGCTAAGCCTAACAGTGTCAACAGAGACTGTCTGGAGCACAAAGCCTAAAATATTTACTATCTGGTCCTTTACAGAAAGAGTTTGCCTACCTCTGTTCTAGAGCGAAGCCTGAGCCTTGGGTGCTCACTATGCCACAGGTATCTGTTACTGTGGTTTGCAGAAGCTTCAGGTGAGAGGGAGAGCTTCTAGGAGAATGCCTACCACGAAAAGTGAAAATCCCTTCCTTCTTGGCATCACTGTTTCCCAAACCCACCTCCCACTCTTCCCAAGGTAGCTTCATGGTTTGCTTCGTCACTTCCTTCCTGGGCTCAAGTGAACCTCCCAACTTGGTCTACCAGAGCACTGGGATTACAGACATGAGCCACTATACCCAGCTCTGATTTTTCTCTATAGCACTTATCAGATATATTCCATGCTTATTTATTTATTTATTTTTAATTTGTTTGAGACAGAGTCTCACTTTGTCACCCAGGCTGGTGTGCAGTGGCACCATCTCAGCTCACTGCAACCTCCGCCCCCCAGGTTCAAGCAATTCTCCTGCCTCAGCCTCCCAAGTAGCTGGGATCACAGGCGTGTGCCACCACACTTGGCTAATTTTTGTACTTTTAATAGAGACGAGATTTCACCATGTTGGCCAGGCTGGTCTTGAACTCCTGACCTCAGGTGATCCACCTGCCTCAGCCTCCCAAAGTGCTGGGATTACAGGCATGAGCCACCACGCCCAGCCTCCATGCTTATTGATTTATTTTCTATTTCCTGTCACTAGAATGTGAGCTCTATGAGGGCAAGGGTTTTGCCTGTTTGTTCACTGCCCTATCCCAGTCCCTAGATGAGTGCCTGGCACACAGCAGGGACTTCATAAACGCTTGTTGAATGAGGATCGAATTACTCTTGCTGTATGACCATCTGCTGTCTGCAGGACCCTGGGCATGAGGAAATGCCTGCAGGCGGAAGGGCAGTGGGCCAGTGCTGCACAGTGCACGATGATCAAAGAGAGGGCTTATGTGTGGGGAGTGGGTACGGGCAGGTGGGTGATGGGGTGCAAAATTCTAGACCTCTAAGGATGAATGGCAGAGGCCACACCCCCTTGATGAGTGACCCTTGAGCCCACCGGACAAGGGGAATGGTTGGCTAGGGTCCAGGTCCATGGTCTCCCTGACTTAGGGTGGCCTTGCCCGGGGCTCTGAGAATGGGGCCAAGGAAGCCCTAGTGATTCTGTCCCCTACCCTTCAAGGACAAGTTGGAGGCAGGCCCTGGTCTCAAACATCTACAAAAACAATTGTGTCTGAACTTTCTGCCCTCACAGATGTCAGCCCCCCAACCCCCAGACATGTCTCATGACCACTGAGTCATGCATCAATGATGGGTGTGGGTGTGTGGATGGATGTAGCCAAGCCCATTGACCGAGGACTGAGACATACTCCCCACTAATCAACAAGTTAACAAGCTCTCTGATGAGGAGGCAGTGATTAATGAACCAATCGGCTTGCCCTGTAAGTGGGGAGTGAAATTGGAGGGTGGGAGTATGATGGATAGGGAGGGCTTGGAGGGATGTGTGAGGCTGGCTCCTGGTCCACACTGAGACTATCTGGGTGCCCATTTACTTTGGCTATAAATGAGGAAGTGACTTCTTCAGAGGTTGTAGCCCAAATTCAGGCCATCCCATACCCTTTAGCTTCTATAATGTCTCTCCTGTCTTCCCATCTGTCCTTGGACCCCATATTCCCCAAGACATGACGGGGTTCCAGGGATGTCAGATTCCCTGTGGACATCTCACAGGCTCCATCTCTCTGCCTGGAATCAGTGCACTAGAAACTCCCTATCCCCCCATGGTTAGTGCTGCAGGGTCAGAAGAGCAAACAGGCCCCTACTCTCTGGTATCCTTGCCCCCATTAGCCTGCAGGGTCCTTCTGTAGGCCCTGACCCCTGGGATCACAGATGTACTAACAGGCTCCCACTGCCCCCTCCATCCCAGGGTGAGCACCTGTCTTTTGTCTTTCCATGGAGGAGTGGAATTCTTTGATTTCTGCTGTCACCCCTCCAAACAGGACAACAGCTGTCTCTCTGTTTGTCTCTCTGTATCTGTGTTCTGAGAACGCCTCAGACTGAGGATCCCCCATGATACAGCCATGTCCTTTCTTTGAGACTGGAGTTCTTGAAGGACAGGGCCGTGCCTTGCCCCCTGGATGAGGGGTCCCTAAGAAGAATGATTTTTCTCCTTCCTTCAAAGGTAGGATCTATGTCCCCTTGTCCTGGTGTCCTCTTCCACCTCCATGCTCAGCAGGGCACCCTGGTGTTTCCTGGGATGTGTGGTCCCATGGGGCCTGACTGGCTGATAAGGAGCCATCTGCGGAGAATGCAGGTGATTGAACCCATAAAAGAGTGACTGAGAGTTTCCTGGGGCTGCTGTAACAAATGACCACAAAGGATTCTCACATGTTTAAGAGCTTGTTGCTCTCCCTCTCCCTCTCCCTCTCCCTCTCCCTCTCCGTCTCCCTCTCCGTCTCCCTCTCCGTCTCCCCACGGTCTCCCTCTCATGCGGGGCCGAAGCTGGACTGTACTGCTGCCATCTCGGCTCACTGCAACCTCCCTGCCTGATTCTCCTGCCTCAGCCTGCCGAGTGCCTGCGATTGCAGGCACGCGCCGCCACGCCTGACTGGTTTTGGTGGAGACGGGGTTTCGCTGTGTTGGCCGGGCCGGTCTCCAGCCCCTAACCGCGAGTGATCCGCCAACCTCGGCCTCCCGAGGTGCCGGGATTGCAGACGGAGTCTCGTTCACTCAGTGCTCAATGGTGCCCAGGCTGGAGTGCAGTGGCGTGATCTCGGCTCACTACAACCTACACCTCCCAGCCGCCTGCCTTGGCCTCCCAAAGTGCCGAGATTGCAGCCTCTGCCCGGCCGCCACCCCGTCTGGGAAGTGAGGAGTGTCTCTGCCTGGCCGCCCATCGTCTGGGATGTGAGGAGCCCCTCTGCCTGGCTGCCCAGTCTGGAAAGTGAGGAGCATCTCCGCCCGGCCGCCATCCCATCTAGGAAGTGAGGAGCGCCTCTTCCCAGCCGCCGTCACATCTAGGAAGTGAGGAGCGTCTCTGCCCCGCCGCCCATTGTCTGAGATGTGGGGAGCGCCTCTGCCCCGCCGCCCCATCTGGGATGTGAGGAGCGCCTCTGCCCGGCCGAGACCCCGTCTGGGAGGTGACGAGCGTCTCTGCCCGGCCGCCCCGTCTGAGAAGTGAGGAGACCCTCTGCCTGGCAACCACCCCGTCTGAGAAGTGAGGAGCCCCTCCGCCCGGCAGCTGCCCCGTCTGAGAAGTGAGGAGCCTCTCCGCCCGGCAGCCACCCCATCTGGGAAGTGAGGAGCGTCTCCGCCCAGCAGCCACCCCGTCCGGGAGGGAGGTGGGGGGGGGTCAGCCCCCCGCCCGGCCAGCCGCCCCGTCTGGGAGGTGAGGGGCGCCTCTGCCCGGCCGCCCCTACTGGGAAGTGAGGAGCCCCTCTGCCCGGCCAGCCGCCCCGTCCGGGAGGGAGGTGGGGGGGTCAGCCCCCCGCCCGGCCAGCCGCCCTGTCCGGGAGGGAGGTGGGGGGGTCAGCCCTCCGCCCGGCCAGCCGCCCCGTCTGGGAGGTGAGGGGCGCCTCTGCCCGGCTGCCCCTACTGGGAAGTGAGGAGCCCCTCTGCCCGGCCAGCCGCCCCATCCGGGAGGGAGGTGGGGGGGTCCGCCCCCCGCCCGGCCAGCCGCCCCTTCCGGGAGGGAGGTGGGGGGGTCGGCCCCCCGCCTGGCCAGCCGCCCCGCCCGGGAGGGAGGTGGGGGTGTCGGCCCCCCGCCCGGCCAGCCGCTCCGTCCAGGAGGGAGGTGGGGGGGTCAGCCCCCCGCCCGGCCAGCCGCCCCGTCCGGGAGGGAGTTGGGGGCGGTCAGCCCCCCTGCCCGGCCAGCCGCCCCGTCCGGGAGGTGAGGGGCGCCTCTGCCCGGCCGCCCCTACTGGGAAGTGAGGAGCCCCTCTGCCCGGCCAGCCGCCCCATCCGGGAGGGAGGTGGGGGCGTCAGCCCCCCGCCCGGCCAGCCGCCCCGTCCGGGAGGGAGGTGGGGGGGTCAGCCCCCCTGCCCGGCCAGCCGCCCCATCCGGGAGGTGAGGGGCGCCTCTGCCCGGCCGCCCCTACTGGGAAGTGAGGAGCCCCTCTGCCCGGCCACCACCCCGTCTGGGAGGTGTGCCCAACAGCTCATTGAGAACGGGCCAGGATGACAATGGCGGCTTTGTGGAATGGAAAGGCGGGAAAGGTGGGGAAAAGATTGAGAAATCGGATGGTTGCCCTGTCTGTGTAGAAAGAAGTAGACATGGGAGACTTTTCATTTTGTTCTGCACTAAGAAAAATTCCTCTGCCTTGGGATCCTGTTGATCTGTGACCTTACCCCCAACCCTGTGCTCTCTGAAACATGTGCTGTGTCCACTCAGGGTTAAAAGGATTAAGGGTGGTGCAAGATGTGCTTTGTTAAACAGATGCTTGAAGGCAGCATGCTCGTTAAGAGTCATCACCACTCCCTAATCTCAAGTAATCAGGGACACAAACACTGCGGAAGGCCGCAGGGTCCTCTGCCTAGGAAAACCAGAGACCTTTGTTCACTTGTTTATCTGCTGACCTTCCCTCCACTATTGTCCCATGACCCTGCCAAATCCCCCTCTGTGAGAAACACCCAAGAATTATCAATAAAAAAATAAATTTAAAAAAAAAAAAAAAAAAGAGTGACTGAGAGAGCCCTGAACTCTCCCTCTCAGGAGAGCTCTAAAAATAGCACCCACAGCCATCTGTCCTGGGGCTGGAGGGGCTGGCTCAGAACCAGCGGCCTGGACAAGTTGGCCCCTTCAGCCCCCATGGGTTGATGGGACATCTGGAAGTACTGGAGGTCTGGCCAGGCCAGGGAGAGGAAGCTGGAAGGGCTTTATGGAGAGACCTTCCCACAGCCCTCTCTCCTACTGGGCAGGTGGGTTTGAGGGGGTTGGCATTCTGGAGGCCCTTCCCCTACTCAGCCTCTCATAGTGGGTGGTGGGCCCCAGACTTAGGCTTCCGGTCCCTGCTCCCAGGCCTGCCTCCGGCACCACATGGCTACTCCAGGTGCTGAGGCTTTCTGCCCCTCACAATTGAGAGGTCCTCTTCCTGGGGTCTGCCTCACCCTCCTTTTCCTGTTTGAATCATGGGTGACTTTGGCTGCTTCATCAGGGCTTCAATTTCCTCATCTGGAAAATGGAGATAAACTCAGCTCATTGTTTTGTGATGTCCGAAATTATGTACTACCCGGTGCACAGTAGGTGCTTAATAAACATGAGTCCTTTCCTTCAAAGGATCTGGGCTTCAGAGCCCAGTGGAGACTGCCATGGGCTGGGGACAGTGGCATGTGCTTGGGAAGGCTTGGCATCACTCAGGCCCAGAAGACACCAGTGCCCTGATTGACACCTGCATAGGGGTGGGGACATTGCCTGGGGAGAGGGCTCTATGCCACACATGGCTGGACCAGGGTCTTTGTGTGCCAGGCTGGATACACAGGTAGCTGACTCAGCTGCTTCTGGTTGGGGGACTGGCTTCTGCCTCCTCCTGCCTCTTTTCCCAACTCTTTAATGGAGAGAGAACATAACGGAGTGTTCAGAGAGGCCTCTCCCCCAGGATATCATAAACTGCAGGCCAGGAGCCCAAGGTCAGGTGCTCCCACCCCTGCCTCCAGGAGAAAGACTTTCCCCCAGAGGTCCTGTCACTCCTCAGCCCTTCTCCAAGGTATTACTGAGCAGAGGCTGAAAAGAGTTGTGTTTTGGAAAGAGTGGTCACAGATCCCACAGGCTGGAAGAAATGTGTCTACCCTCCCACCCCCCACTCCCACCATGGACTGGCTAGGGAAGACAGAATCTCATTCCTGGTCCTAGGGGCTGCCCCAGGAGTCTAATCCAACCACTTCACTTCCTCAGGAGGCTGGACCTGCCCCTGCGGGGCTGTGGGCTGAACACAGGGTTCAGGCTAGGTACCCCATCCAGTGGGACCCCAAATCTGAGCATGGCAGCTGCCCCCTGAGCTCCTATGAGGTGGAGACGTCACACAGTGGCTGAGCGTAAGCTCAAGGATCTGGTGCGGGTGGAAGGAGGAAGAAGGGCGCACCCCCTGCTGGCTCCCCCTCCCCGTGGGACTCCCTTTCCTTTCCAGGCGGGGATATAAGCCCCGAAAGGAAAGCCCTGAGCAGAGGAGGCCTCAGCTTGACCTGTCCCAGTGCGCCCTTGAAACTTTCCTCGCCTTCCACCTCCTGCTCATCTGCTTCACAAGCTGTCGCTGTGAGTGGCTGGAGCTCAAGCATGGTCTGGTACTAGGAAATCCAGGCTGTTTTGTGGGGAAACTGAGGCTGGGATGGTGGAAGCTGGGGGTGAGTGGTGGGAAACTGGATTGGAGGGGGCCATTGGAGGTGGGAAGGAGGCCCGGGAGTCCCGTTGCCAGCACAACCCTCTTTAATCTACCTCTCTGGACAGCAGCGGGGGTGGGGGTGGGGTTACGTCAGGCAGGGCTTATGTCCCTCTGACAGATTAGGAAACTGAGGCAGGAGACGGTGCAGTGCCGGAGAACATATGGCAAGCTGGTGGCTGAACCTTGGTCCGCTACCAGCCCCAGGGAGAGCACCGGAGCACGGCCCCGACGGCAGCCGCAGCCTCCCGCCGTGGAGGGTCGAGGCTCGGAATGACCCACACCCCAATGTCGCCTTCCCAGGTGGTGTCGGTTCGCAGGTCGTGGCCTCTCATGGCCACGGTGCTTTTGGCCCTGCTCGTCTACCTGGGGGCGCTGGTCGACGCCTACCCCATCAAACCCGAGGCTCCCGGCGAAGACGCCTTCCTGGGGTAGCTGAGCCGCTGCTACGCCTATCCTCGCCACTACCTCATCCTGGTCACTCAGCCGTCGTGAGCGCAGGCGCGGGGCGGGCGGAGCGGGACCCCTGGGGCTCTCCCCCTGCGGCCCCGCTCCACCGGGGGCGTGGCTAGATCTGACCGCGCCCTTCCAGGCCCCGCCCTCAGGTATGGGAAACTAGGCCGCCCGGTCGCGCGCCTCTCCAAAACGTTCTTCCCAGACTGCGAGGACCGCCTCGGCAGGTGGCGGTAAAAGCGCCCCCATCAAGTCACATAACATCCTGCCTCCGAGAGCGCGGTCTGGCCCCACCCTGGTCCATCACTTACGACGTCTCCCAGGCTTGCCTCCCCGGATCGGATTCCTTTCCCTTCGATCCCGCAGGCCGGAGGCGCAGACCTGTGGTGAGGACACCCGAGGCCTCCTGGGAGACCTGCAGACCACGCCCACCTCATTTACATGTTCACTCCCGACCCTGGAAACCCGGATTTCGCCTCCGGACAGCGGCGTCTGGGCAGGGTTCGGGTACTGCAGTCCCGCGTCTGGATGCCCCCGCCCCCTGAGCTGCAGGGCTGTGTGTGGTCCTTCCCTGGTCCCAAAATAAAGAGCGAATTGCACAGAAACGGAATGTGTGCCTTTGTATTTTCTTTCCTTTCTCCTTCGTGGAGGTGGCGTCTCGTGGAAGTGGAGGGTGGAGGCGTGGGGGCCAGAGGAGAGAAAACCTACTCGGACAGAGGCGCTCCAGGACAAGGCTGGGGCGAGCGCGGGGGTTCCCTCTGCTCGGAGCCCAAGGAAAATTCGACCACCCAGCCTGGGGCTGGACAGCGCCCAGACCAGGGGCTGCTGTGGAAGGAACTCTAGTTGAGTGGGGGCAGGGGTGGATGGGTTTCTGGAAAAAGGGGCAGGGAGCGTGGACAGGAGCCGCGGGAGAGGCAGGTAATTTCTACCGTCCCCCTTTCCCCGAGCAGAGGAGCAATGGGGAGTGTGGAGGCTGCCCGATCGCTAAAAAACCGCCCTCTCTCATCTCGCTGAATCCACACTCAGTGGATAAGTCAGGAATTGTGCTTTCCTAGTGACAAGGCCATAGGGACACCCTCCCATGTACCCCCCTCCCCTGGACTAGATACTGAAGCCTAAGGGCGCTGTGGATGTTTAAACTCACCATTCTGCACCGATTCCAGAGCCTGCCTGTAGGGTGATCTCCCCTGACATGCACCCTTTCCTGCCCCTTTCCTCCAAGAAGCTTGCCTTGATTGCCTAATTGCACTCTTCCTGCCCTCTCTGGCTGCCCAGCTCTCAGGGCCTCTGCTCTATTCACTGAGACTTCTGTCTGTGTCTTTGTGTCTTGTCTCCCTCCTGGGGCCTCAGGAAGGAAAGGCCTATGTCTCCTTCCTCAGCCTCCTGTATCTATGGGATGTCTCCAGATGCAGCCTCCTGTATCTATGGGATGTCTCCTGGGCCTCTAGTTCAGCAAGACCTGCCCAAATCTTGCAGGGGGCTAGGAGATGAGGGGGAGAATCAGGGTTGAGGCCAAAGCCTTTGACCCAGAGAGGGTGAAAAGGACAGGAAGACTGCAGGCATCCCTGTGTGGATCAGGGTTTTGAAGTACTGTTTGCAGTTCCATGGCTCTGGAAGAAGAGAAGACTCTAAAGCTAACTCTGCCATAGCTGCAGAGGAGGTCCCTGCTTGGACACAGGTCCCCAGGGGGCCACAGGGCTCTGACACCCACCCTCCCCTGTGCTGCCCTCCAGCCTCCCTGGAGGTAGAGCTGAAAGGGTGAAGCTGAAGAGGCAGCTGTAGGTCACTGGCTATGTGGATTCTGATGCTCTGTGCCTTTGCCCAGGCCACTGTCCCTGCTTGCAGAGAGCCCTTTCCCTCTCTTCAGCCTGGAAGATACTCTCAGGATAGTGGTCACCTCCTCCCGGAAGCCTTGCCTGATTTCCTGGGGATGGAGTTAGTTTCTCTGGCTCCCTCTCCCCACTCATTATCTTAGACCCACTTTCCATCCCATTTTGCTGCCTGTCTTCTCTCCTGCGATAGGACAGGTGGGATGGGAGCATACAGTGGCTACCCGGAGCTTCAGCTCACTGTGTGGGTGGGGAGTGGGAGGATGTGTCTGTGCGCTGGTGTCTGTGATCCCTTATCTATTGGTCTGCCTGGGAGAGCTGTAGTCAGTTTAAGGTGGATGGAAGAGAGACCTGGTATGAATTAGGCATGACCACAGACAATTTTTGCCCAGCTTGTCATGTCTCATTGACCATCAGTGACATGGGTCCACCTCATGTTCATTTTGAAGAGTGTTGAGCAGTTTAGGGTAATAATATTATTAATAACTATTATTAGTATAATAATTAATATAATAGCAATAATTACCTTTTCCAAAAAGCACTTATTTATGTGCTAGACTCTGAGCTGTTCGTTTTACATATATGATATTACTAGGATATTGATTTGGCTTAAAAAAACAGATAGAATTAACAGTGACTTAAACAGAAAGGAAATTTATTTCTCTTACCTGAAATGCAAGTGACATCTGGGGAGCTGGCCTCTCTGCTCCACGAGGGCATCCAAAAGCCCAGGCTCCTCATTTGTGGCTTCCCCATGCCCTCATCTATGTCATTGACAGGACTGAAGACAGCCTGCCATGACCTCATCTGTGTTCCAGCCAGTGGCAAGTGGGGGAAGGGAGAGGGTAGGTGCTCTGGTTACTATGTTGTATAATAAGTTACCCTAAAACTTGGCAGCCTCAAACAACCATTGTATGTCACTCATGATGTTGTGGGTCAGGACCAGGAAGCGCTCACCTCAGCAGTTCTCGCTTTGAGTCTCACATGCGGATACCATCAGAGGCTGGCAGATCTGCAGTTATCTAAATGATCCACCGGGCTGATGCCTGAGGAGTCTCACTCCCATGCTGGTGCCGGCTGTTGAGTTCAGCCGGGGCTGTTGACTGTCGTACCTACAAATGGGCTCTCCAGCACGATATTCTTGGGGTAGTTGGACTTACATTGTAGCTGGCTTCCCGCTTATTTCCAGAGAATTGGATGAAGATGGCATTGCTATTTAGTTTGCTAGGGCTGCTGTAGCAGGACGAGTCGCAGACAAAACTCCTGAGACACCGGATTAAAGAAGGAAGAGGTTTTTTATTCGGCCGGGAGCATCAGCAGACTCGCATCTTAAGAGCCGAGCTCCCCGAAAAAGAAATTCCTAGCCCTTTGAAGGGCTTACAACTCTAAGGGGTCTACGTGAAAGAGTCATAATAGATCAAGTAAGTGTGAGGAATGTGACTGTGGGCTACCTACATCAGCTAACACTACAAAAAGTTTTACAGTGCTTTCTCACACAATGTCTGGAATTTACAGATAACACCAGTAGTTTTGGTCAGGGGTTAATATTATTATCATTTTAACCACCAGGGCCAGGTGGTGGCGCCAAGGTCGTCTAGCTATTTATCTTTCTTCTGTTTCTTTCCAACTTTTTGCTTTCTCCCTTTTCTCCTGTCTTATAAACTAGGGAAAAGGGGAGGTTGGGGAGAAACTGGGAAGGACAACAGGAGAAGTGGTGGTCTCGTACCATATTCCCCCCCTTTGAGAATTTTCACTTTTTAGTGGGAGTTCTCACTCTCATCCTCACTTTCTGAGTCTCTTTGCGAGATAGAGCGATAGTGATTCATATAATACACGTGTGCTGAAGTTTTTTGATGAACCAAAGTAGCAACAAAACATTTTATCATTTGAAAAAGCAAGGGTAATACACAGGGGAGCAGCAAGCAAGTTCCTATTACTAGCACTACACCTACAATGAGGGTTTTTAATCCTCCTGTAGCTGGAAACCATTTTCCAAAGAAAGACTCAGGATCAAACTCGTGCCAAACCTGTACAGACACATGTGCCACCTTTGTCATGTCCCTGACTATGTTTTCAACCACCTGTCCTTGATCATCTATTTGTAGGCAGCAACTGGTTAAGTTAAATTTTTCACAAACTCCTCCTTCAGCTGCTAGCAAGTAGTCCAAGGCCAGCCTATTCTGAGAGATAGCATTCCTCATTTGGGTTTCCTGCCAAGCTAAAACAGTCAAAGTTTCATTAGTAATTATTTCTAAGATGGCCTGCAACCATATGATCTGATTGAGCATGTAGATGGGGATTCAGTATCCCCATGAGCTGTCTTGTGCCCATGCGGCAGGCCCATAATACTGTATGATCCTTTCAGGGGGCCACTCATTATCTTTCCAGTTTCCTATAACTATGCCTCTCTTGGGAGGCATAGACAGGGAAACCTAGGAGCTCACCCGTTTTTATGGGTAATAAGAAAAAGGACGGCTTAATAGTGCCAATAACACAACTGCCTGCCCATTTATTAGGTAACCGAATGTAGGCTCCGTGCCCACATATCCAGTATAGTCCAGCGGGAGCTGCCCAGTCCTGATGAGATTCTGGATGAGCCCAGGCAGTTTTTAATTTAGAAAATTTACTAAATGGGTTCTTTTCAGTGTGGTTTAGGCCCCACCAAGTAATTGTCTTTGTTGTGCTGTTGTACAACTTCTGTCCTATACAATTAAGCTTTCTTACAGGGATGATAAAGACTTTCCCTTCTCTAGCTATACAGTATTGTCCAATAATTGAGGTTTTTAGGACCCAGAAGTTGCTAGCTTGGGCCTTCTGAACTGGAATTACATCAGGAGCTGGATCAGTAGGCACCAACTCTCGGGCTTCCCAAGGCCATCGGTCTCCGATAGTGGTTCCCCCGCATACATAACAAGAAGTAACATTAAGGGAATGAGCTACATTTTCTGCTGATTGGATAAACAAATTTTTTGTCTTTTTCGGAAGTTCTGGTGCTGGCAGATTCAGCTCCTCATAAAAGGTTTGAAATACTGGCTTGGGAGAGCGCTTGTGGACCTCCCCTCTAATTAAAATGGCAACTTGGGGGTTTAACCCCGTCCCATCGATCCCCAGGGTTACACGTTCTCCCTTTTTCTAATGGGGATCTAGGGGATTGGTAATTATTAGTTCTAGTGGGTTACAGTGACCGGCAGCACAGGAAGGGTTGGCTTCCCCCTTCTGAAGATGAACCGGGTCTTTTTTGTTCTTTTTCCAAGTAGCCCAAATAACACATGGCCAAAAGGCACAATTTTCACAATCCCCTGACTCATGACAAACATATTTATTTTCTACTCTGTAGCTCCTTTCCCAGTTAAGAGAACCACATTCTGTTCCTAGTTTGTTACTATTAATGGCTGCACAAGCATCAAATCTTAAAATTATTTGTTTGGGGATTCCTTTTTCTTCTGTTCTAGTTATTATTTTACTTGTGTCACCTAGGAAAAGGCTAGTTCTTAATCTTGTTTCAAAAATGGTGGTTGCAGGGGGCTCAGATGGGTTATAACACACATCAGGTGGGTCATTTCCCAGGCTACATACCTTGTACTGAGTGGCATTATACAAACAAGTTTCTTTTAACATTCCCATATATTCATAATAACTATAGAACAGAAAGATTGTTTTAATTTGCTGTCCTACCTCAGTGACCTGATGAATACACTGGGAACAGTCCCCAGTTTGAGTAAGGTCAGTTGAAGCCCTTACTGTGTAAGTCCAGAATTTAAGAAAAATGAATCCCACGATGAGCTTCCTCATGCTTCGGCCGTGCGTGGACCAGTCAGCTTCTGGGTGTGACTGGAGCAGGGCTTGTCGTCTTCCTCAGGGTCACTCTGCAAGGGTCGTCTGGGCTTGGTCTTGCCTCCCAGGTTTCAGGTGCTGCAGGTTTTACACGGCTGTGGTGGATCCAGGCTGGGATTCCCTCTACCTTCACAGCGGTGGGAGTGGTCAGGACGACAGACTACGGTCTTTCCACCGTGGGCACAAAGAAGTTACGTTCCAGTCCTTGATCCACACTCGATTACCTGGGGAGAAAGGGTGAACTGGGGAGAATAAGCTAACAGGGCATCTCTCATTTACCCAGGCTGAGATTGTTTGTGTAATTTTTCCTAAAGCCTGTAGTTGTCGCTGTAACTCAATTTCACCTAACTCTCGGGGAGTGCCTGGAAGTCCCTGCAATATGGGAGGGGGCCTATGATACAATATTTCATAAGGGGAATATCCTGTTCTTTTAGAAGGGGTACATCTAATTTTAAATAATACCATAGGGAGAGCCTGTATCCATTTTAATCCTGTTTCCTGACATACTTTCCCTAAGCTATTTTTGATAGTCCAATTCATCGACTCCACCTTTCTGGAACTCTGAGGCCGGTAGGCAGCATGCAGTTTCCATGTGTTCCCCAATACCTTTGCCCTCTTCTGTACCAAGTCAGCCACAAATGCTGGCCCATTATCTGAGCCGATCCGTAAGGGCAGTCCAAATCTAGGAATAGGATCTCGAAGAAGCACACAGGTTACTTCACGAGCTTTCTCAGTTTGTGCTGGATAAGCCTCCACCCACCAGAGTAGGTACACACAAGAACTAGTAAATACTTGTTACCTCCACACTTTGGCATCTCTGTGAAGTCCACCTGGACATCTTCAAAGGGGGCTGCTCCATAAGCTTGTATGACGGGCGGAACAGCTGGACCTTGCTTCGCATTATGCTTTGGGCAGGTAACACACCGCTGCGTCACCGTTTTGGCAAGGGCTGACAAATGCAAGATGTAGAAATACCGGACTAACAACTTTTCAAGTGACTCCTGGCCTAGATGGGTGGTTTTATGCACAGCCAGCACAACTGCGGCTCCTAGCAGCTGTGGCACAGCTTCTCTCCCATCTGGTAACCGAATCCATCCTTCCTCCATCACTTGTCCTCCCTCTGCCTGGAGAAAGTCCTTTTCTTCTTTAGAATAAGTAGGTAAAAGATCAGGCGCTTGAGGGAGCAGGGGTGCTGTGACTGATGCCCGGAAGGGGGCAGATGCTGCTTTTCGAGCCTCTAAGTCAGCGCGGGAATTCCGCAAACCCACCAAGGTGGAAGCTCGCTGGTGTCCTCTGCAATGCATAACGGCCACCTTGTGTGGTTTCCATACTGCTTCTAATAATTGCAAGATTTCTTGTTGATATTTTATGTCCTTTCCCCCAGAGTTCAATAGGCGCTTTTCTTTATATAATGCTCCATGCACTTGAAGGGTTAAAAAGGCATACCGAGAGTCAGTGTAAATGTTGACAGTCTTACCTTCACTGAGTTCTAAGGCCTGAATGAAAGCAATGAGTTCAGCTTTCTGGGCTGAAGTGCCCTGGGGCAACGATCTGGCTTCAACAACAGTGCCCAGGGTTACCACCGCACACCCTGCAAATCTCTCTCCTTGTGGGTTGATGAAGCTGCTCCAATCCACGTATAGTTCCCAGTCTACTGATGCCCAAGGCTGGTCCCAGAGGTCAGGTCTGCTAGAGTAAACTGAGTCCAATACTTCTACACAATCATGCTTGACAGGGCTCTCTGATACCGGGAGCAAGGTAGTGGGGTTCAGGGTGTTACAAACTTCAGTGGTTATACGGGGATTTTCACAGAGCAAACTTTGGTACTTAGTGAGTCTAGCATTCGCTAGCTAATGATGTCCTTTAGTATTCGTTAAAGTCACCACAGCATGGGGGGCCTTTATGTTCAGGTTTTGCCCAAGAGTCAGCTTATCTGCTTCTTGTACTAGCAGGGCAGTTGGTGCCAAGGCCCTCAAACATGGGGGCCATCCTTTAGCAACCCCGTCTAGTTGTTTAGAGAGATAGGCCACCGGCCTCAGCCAGGGCCCCACAGTTTGGGTTAAAACTCCAACTGCCATCTTTTCTCTCTCTGACACATACAATGTAAAAGGCTTTGTCAGATCGGATAGCCCCAGGGCTGGGGCTGACATAAGTTTTTCCTTTAACTCATGAAAGGCTTGCTGTTGCTGGGATCCCCATTCAAAAGGTCCCGGTCCCCCCCACTTTGTGACCTCACACAAAGGCTTAGCTAATACTGCAAAGTTTGGGATCCACAGTCTGCAAAACCCCGCAGCTCCTAAGAATTCTCTCACCTGCCTTCTGGTCTTAGGCTCTGGCAGATTGCAAATGACCTGCTTTCTTCCTGATCCCAGGCTGCGCTCCCCCTGTCGGATAGTAAATCCCAAGTAATGTACGTGCTGTTGGCAGATCTGAGCTTTTTTCTTGGACACCTTATACCCACAGTCCTCCAGGTGCCGGAGTAGTGTGTCTGTTCCCTTGGCGCACCCGACTGCCGTGGGGTGTCCCAGCAAAAGATCAACATACTGGAGCAACACACAGCCTAGGTCTCTGGTGGGAAACTTCTGGTGGTCTCGAGCCAACACCTCCCCAAAGATGGTGGGGGAGTTCTTGAACCCTTGGGGAACCCGGGTCCAAGTGTACTGAGTAGTGACACCTGACTCCGGATCTTCCCACTGAAAGGCAAATAGCTTCTGGCTCTCAGGGGCTAATCTGATGCTAAAGAAAGCGTCTTTCAGGTCCAAGCAGGTGAAGCAGCTGTCCTCAGCTGGCAGCAACCCCAACAATGTGTACGGGTTAGGTACTGTTGGATGTAAAGTCACTGTAGCTTGATTAACCAAGCGCAAATCCTGTACCGGCCTGTAGTCCTTGGTCCCAGGCTTGGGAACAGGCAGGAGGAGAGTGTTCCGTGGAGACTGACAAGGAACTTTAATTCCAAAGGTTCTTAGGCACTTGAGATGGACCTGGATACCTTCAAGAGCTTCTCTGGGGACCGGGTACTGTTTTTGCCTAACCAGCTGGTCCCCAGGCTTAACTTCTATAAGTATGGGGGCTTGGTTGACTGCCAACCCTGGAGGGTTGTCTTCAGGCCACACTCTTGGCCACCACTTAGCCAGAGCTGGTCTTATCTCTTGGCTCAACTCAGTTAAGAAAAGTCTCCATTCCTCCTCTCGGGGGACCGTAAGGGTCATAATGACTCCCGTTCTGGGTAACTTTAGCAGCAAAGAGCCATGCTCTGTAAAAGAGATAGTGGCTCTCAGCTTGCTAAGCAAGTCCCTTCCCAACAAGGGCAAGGGACAGTCAGGCATGTACAAAAACTGATGAATCACTTTATGTCCTCCTACAGTACAAGTCCGGGGCAAGCAGAAAGCTTGTTTTGCTGAAACTCCCGTGGCTCCGATTATGTCAATAGTCTTTTTGGATAAGGGGGCGACCGGGGCGGTTACTACCGAATGTTCAGCACCGGTATCTACAAGAAAATCAATGTCTTTACCCCCAACTGTCATCCTGACCATAGGCTCTTTGGGGGCCCTTGAGCCCAGTCCCCCTCAGTCCAATAACCCTTCTGCCAGGTTGAGCAGGGCCCCTTCCTCCTTGTCTGGTGCCTCCTGCTCCAAGTCACCTTGTTTTCCTTTTAGCTGAGAGCACTTGTTCTTCCAATGTCCTATTTCTTTACAATAAGCACACTGATTACGCTGCAAGCTCTGACAGCCAGGCTGAGTTTCTTTCCCGGGGCCCCCCTTCCCTTGCCTCTTTGGGGGGTCCCCTCTGATTGCTGCAGCTAACAGATCAGCGTTTCGCTGGGCCTGACGTTCATTCTCTTTCTGGTTTTCCTTACGGCTTACTGCATCCCTGTTTACAAACACCTGGTTAGCTATTTCTAATAACTGTGATGTGTTCATCCTTGCAAACCCAGCCTGTTTCTGCAGTTTTCTTCTAATGTCTTCTGTGCTTTGAATAACTAAAGCCATGTTAATCATGCACTGATTTTCAGGGCTATCGGGATCAAAGGGAGTATACATACGATAGGCCTCACACAGTCTCTCGTAGAATTGTGCTGGACTTTCTTCTTTTCTCTGAATGACCTCAGAGACCTTGTTAATGTTTGTGGCCTTCTGGGCTCCCCTCTTTAATCCTTCCAAGAGAGCTTCCCTGTATCGGTTTAGCCTTTGCATATCCTGTCTTTCATTTGGGTCCCACTGGGGGTAGGTTCCCAGTAACTGGGTCCTTACATCCTCTTGGGGGTTTTTGTAATCAGTCGGTGCATGTTCCTCTAGCCACTTAGTTGCTGCTTGGAGCACTCTCCGCCTTTCATCTGTGTTAAAGAGGAACATGAGCAACTGGTGGCAATCAGCCCTAGTGGGGTTATGGGTCTGGATAATAGTTTGGAGCAAATCAATTAGAGCTTGTGGCTTTTCAGTATAGGATGGGGTATTGCTTTTCCAGTTGAGAAGGTGGGCAGAGGTGAAGGGCTGGTACCCAAAAACACACCTCTCCACCACGTGACCATCCTCATCTATACCAGTATACTGCTGCTCTCTCAGGGGCATTTGTATCCCAGTTTTGTGTCTTAAACGAGCTGCCAAGGGAGGGGTTTCTCCCGAGGCTTCACCTCCTCTCTTGTCTACTGTGGGTGGCCTAAGGATATGTTTGTCTTGCGGAGGTACAAGCACTGTGGAATCAAAAGTGGGGAGCCCCTCTCCCTGGTAAGGGGAGGGCACCACTGGGATCACTGGTGCCATCTCCTGCAATGTATCTTCTGATGTTGGGTTGAACAGAACTTTAGGAGTTGGTTTCCCTCAGACGGTGGAGCGGGATCCTTCCTTGGCTATCTGTCCCTTTGCTACTAGCACTGCTGCTGCCTGCCCTCTTAGCCACTGTGGGGGCTCTAGCACCAGCTGTAACCAAGTGTCTATGCATGGGAACTGGTCTGAGTGTCCTGACTTACCAGTTACCTTGTGCCATACCTTAGAAACAAGGGACCTGTCCAGGCTTCCTTCTGATGGCCAACCCACTTCTAATGTTGGCCAATCTATTTCACACAAAGTTCTAAGTTTCCCTGGTGTCATAGTAACCCCATAGTGTCCATTAAATCCCTTCTTAAAATTTTTCAACACAGTTCCTAGCGGAGTAGGCTTACTTTGTGTCTGACCCGTGTTTCCTCAAGACAAAACACCAAGCTTACACCACACACACACCACAGAACAAAGAACAGGTAAAAAGGGCACACACACACTTTTTCAGTTTACACCAAACCAGAATCAAAACCAAAATCCGAGTATCCAGAAGTCCAAGCCAGGTCAAAACCAAAACCAAAATATCAAGCAATTCAAGTCAAGTCAAAAACAAAAACCAAAGTGCCGGTACAGGCACGCCATGGGTGATCAGGCCACGCTTCCACTCAGATGGAGTGGGCAAGTTCCAAAGACCAGTCTTACCAAGTTTCAAATGTCCGGACTCCAAGTGCCCATTCCTTCCCGGTGTTCAGCCACTGCGTTGATCCTCCACAGGGGCCTGCCACGCACTGCTCTGATGAGGCGTTCCACCGGGGCAATTGCCTACCCGGGAGTGGTCTCAGGATCTGCGTCACTCAAGCTGGCCAGAGTCCCCCACAGGGATGCTCCACAGGGCAGGCCTAAGCCACCTAAGGGGCTGCCTCGACCCTCCGTCCATCAATTACCTCGCTTCCCAGGCAGGGAACCAAGAAATGTAGCAGGATGAGTCGCAGACAAAACTCCTCAGACACTGGATTAAAGAAGGAAGAGGTTTTTATTCGGCCAGGAGCATCGGCAGAGTCGCATCTTAAGAGCCGAGCTCCCCGAAAAAGAAATTCCTAGCCCTTTGAAGGGCTTACAACTCTAAGGGGTCTACGTGAAAGAGTCATCACAGATCAAGTAAGTGTGAGGAACGTGACTGGGGGCTACCTACATCAGCTAACAGTACAAAAAGTTTTACAGTGCTTTCTCATATAATGTCTGGAATTTACAGATAACACCAGTAGTTTTGGTCAGGGGTTAATATTATTATCATTTTAACCACCAGGGCCAGGTGGTGGCGCCAAGGTCGTCTAGCTATTTATCTTACTTCTGTTTCTTTCCAACTTTTTGCTTTCTCCCTTTTCTCCTGTCTTATAAACTAGGGAAAAGGGGAGGTTGGGGAGAAACTGGGAAGGACAACAGGAGAAGTGGTGGTCTCCTACCATACTGCCATAGTAAAGAGTCACAGACTGGGTGTTTAAACGACAGTTCTGGAGGCTAGCAGTCTGAAATGAAGGTGTTGGCAGGGTTGATTCCTTCTGATCTGTTCCAGGCCTCTCTCCTTGCCTTGAAGATGGGTGTCTGAGCTGTGTTTCTTCACATCATCTTCCCTCTATGCATGTCTATTTCTGTGCCCAAATTACCCTTTTTATAAGACCAGTCCTACGGGATTAGGGTCTCACACACTGTAGTATGACCTAATCTTAACTAATTAGATCCACGATGATTCTCTTTCTAAATAAGGTCACATTCGGAGGCAGCAGGAATTAAGACTGCATCATATGAATTTGGTGGGGGGCGGGGACATGCAATTTAACTTATAACAATTGCTTTCCGTGACCCAGCCTCAGAAGTCACATGGCATCCTACCCCATACTCTGTTAGTCAAAGCAGTCACAAGTGCACACACATTCAAGAAGAGGGGACATAGACCCCACTGTAGAATCACACATGAGATAGGAGATATTTTTGTGGTCATCTTTGAAAAATATAATCTGCCACAGGCAGACACATCCATTCCTAAAAACAGAATGGCAAAAATCACTTTAACTCTCAGCCCACTGGTTAAAGCCTAGTCTCATGGCCCCACTTAGCTGCAAGGACAACCTATGAGACATCTTTAGCTGAGTGTCTGCGGGCCCATCGCAAGCTCTTTGTTTTTAAAAATATTTTTATTTATAAATGGATTTTTTTGTTGTTATATAACAAACCTACATATGTACCATCTCAAGCTCTTTGATGATGAAAGGAGAATGTGGATATTTGGGCACCTAGAATTATCTGCTAGAAACATGATATCCTTTGGATGTCATTTAGAAATCATTGGGTCCTATCTCTTCATTGAACCAATGGGAATCCCAAGGCCAAGAGGGAGAGAGGCTTGCAGGAACCCATAGAGTGAGGGACAGAGGTAAGAGTTCTCATCCCAAAGCAGTTCTGTTTCTACTAAACACGAAATCTAAACTATTTCCTGGAAACTCCAGGCATTTCATAACACCCCTTCCTCCTCCTCCTGCAATTCCTCAGTGTGTGCCCCTAAAGTGCTCAGCCCCACTGCCACAGCCCCACTTCTGTGAAATAGCATTTCCCCCTGCCCCAACCTTCAAGGCCACTTCAGGCCTCATTCCCTCCAGGAACCTTCCTGCCCTGCCCTCCCTGTTCACCTCCCCAACACTGTATTTTGTAGCTTGGTGTAGTCTCTATTTCAGCAAGAAAGAAGCCGTCCTCTTTGAGAACAATTTGGAGTGGCAATGATAGGATTTGCTGTTGCGGACACTGGAGACAGGAAAGGAGAAATATCTAACTCTCCCTGTGTGTCTTCAGGAGGCCCTGGAGGCACATGGAGTTTCCAGGGCAGAGAGAAGTGGAGGCAGAGCCCAGGCTCCAAATTAGTGGAGTGAGCCCCCACTGGGTCCTGAGTTGGCTCAGAGTGGGTGAGACAAGGTGCTCAAGGTATGCGTGTGGGTGTCACAGCTATCCCCAGAGCAAAGGTTTCTCTAGGGCATAGGTCCTGGCATCTGGGGACAGCTACCCCCCAATTTACCCCCGTCCTCTGCTGCTGCCATTCAATTTTGGAATAAGACATTGGCCTAAGGGCTGGGCCAGGCTCTGGCCAGTGGCAGAGGTCGGGGGCGGAAGGGTGGTGTCTGGAAACAGGGATAAAGCCAGGCTGGAACCATGCAGACCGGGGTTTAGTCTTGACGCTTCCTGACTCCCATGTGACCTTAGACAACCTCAGCTACCTCACTGGGCCTTGGTTTTCTCATCTGATAAGAGCAAAGAGTAATTCCTGCCTCCCTCACAAGGTAGCAAAGAGGCATTTGTAAAATGACCTGTGAGGAAGTTTCTGAAGTGCACCCTTAGGTGAGGGACGGCTGCCAGCTTGCTGGAGGGCCACAGCCAGCTTCTTCCCTTTCTGAACTTTCGTGTCCTTGCTTTCAAAAAAAGCCACCCTGGCCAGATGCAGTGGCTCACGGCTGTAATCCCAGCACTTTGGGAGGCCAAGGTGGGCAGATCACCTGAGGTCAGGAGTTCGAAACCAGCCTGGCCAAAATGGCAAAACCCTGTCTCTACTAAAAATACAAAAGTTAGCCAGGCATGGTGGCGGGCGCCTGTAATCCCAGGTACTCGGGAGGCTGAGACAGGAGAATCACTGGAACCCGGGAGGCAGAGTTTACAGTGAGCTGAGATTGTGCCACTGCACTCCAGCCTGGTTGACAGAGTGAGACTCTATCTCAAAAAAGAAAAAAATCCCAAAACAAAAAACCGTCTTGGCTGGGTGCAGTGGCTCCCTCTTGAATTCCAGCACTTTGGGATGCCGAGGCGGATGGATCACTTGAGCCCATCTCTACACAAAATTAAAAAAAAAATTTGGCTGGCTGTGGTGACACACACCTGTGGTCCCAGCTACTTGGGAAGCTGAGATGGGAGGATCCCTTGAGCCATGAGGCAGAGGCTATAGTGAACATGATCATGCCACTGCACTCCAGCCTGGGTGACAGAGTGAGAGCCTGTCTAAAAAAAAAAAAAGCAAGCCATCCCCCGGCTCCTCATACAGCTTGAACTTCCTTGCAGAACCTTTGCTTCTTCATCTCCTCCCGCTGCCCCCACCAGGCCCAGAACAGATGTGCAATAAATGACCACTCGTTGGTCATTCACTGAAAGCAGCAGAGATTGCAGTTAGACAGCTAAGACCGGGGCTGTGATGGAGGACACAGTGCAGGCCAAACTGCTGCCCTGGGGTCACGTATGTGGGGACCCCATTCCCTTTGCTCCTTTACCTGCCTCGTTCACTCTGTGACCTCAGGTGTTTCTGGGGTGTTCCTCTCCTAGTCTCATAGCACTTACTCCATCCCCATCACTGCCAGTGGCCATCCTCCTTGTGCCAGAGGGCATGGTGTTGGGCAGGGGAAGAGGCACCACTATCATCTTCATTTAGTGCATCTGCAGGCCGTGAATTGGTGATTTCAGATCAGGGCTCTGTGGCAAGCACTATGGGAGTTACTGAAAAGGGGTTCTGATTCAGACCCCAAAAGAGGGTTCTTAGAGCTCCTGCAAGAAAGAATTCAGAGTGAGTCCACAGAGTAGAGTGAAAGTAAGTTTATTAGAGAAGAAAGGAAACAAGGGCCAGGCGCGGTGGCTCATGCCAGTAATCCCAGCACCTTGGGAGGCCGAGGCAGGAGGATAGTTTGAGCCTGGGCAAAAAACTGAGCCCCCATCTCTACAAAATAAATAAATAAAAGGGAAGTAAAGAAACAGAAGAGGGCCGGGCACAGTGGCCCATGCCTATAATCCCAGCACTTTGGGAGGCCGAGGTGGGCGGATCAGCTGAGGTCAGGAGTTCAAAGCCAGCCTGACCAACATAGAGAAACCCCATCTCTACTATAAATACAAAATTAGCCGGGTGTGGTGGCACATGCCTGTAAACCCAGCTACTCGGGAGGCTGAGGCAGGAGAATTACTTGAATCCAGGAGGTAGAGGTTGCAGTCAGCCAGGATTGCACCACTGCATTCCAGCCTGGGCTGCAAGAGCGAAACTCCATCTCAAAAAAAAAAAGAAAGAAACAAAAGAATGGCTACTCCATAGGCAGAGCAGCCCCCATGGCTGCTGGTTGGCTATTTTTACGGTTATGCCTTGATCATATACTAATAAACAAGGGGTGGGTTACTCATGAGTTTTCCAGGAAAAGGGTGCGGATTTCCCAGAACTGAGGGTCCCGTCTCCTTTTAGACCATGTAAGGTAACTTCCAGATATTGCCATGATATTTGTAAACTGTCTGGCACTGGTGGGAGCATCTCTTAGCATGCTAATATATTATAATTAGCATATAATGATCAGTGAGTCCGGGCGTGCTCACACCTGTAATCCCAGAACTTTGGGAGGTCGAGGTGGGCAGATCACTTGAGGTCAGGAGTTCAAGACCAGCCTGGCCAACATGGTGAAACCCCATCTCTCCTAAAAAAAAAAAAAAAAAAAAAGAACAGCAAGGATGATCAGAGGTCACTTTCATCACCCTCTTGTTTTTTGCATGTTTGTACCAGCTTCTTTATCTCATTCTGTTTTATCAGCAGGGTCTTGTGACCTGTATCTTGTGCCAACCTCCTATCTCATCCTGTGACTAAAAATGCCTAACCTCCTGGGAATGCAGCCCAGCAGGTCTCAGCCTCATTTTACCCAGCCCCTGTTCAAGATGGACTCGCTCTGGTTCAAACGCCTCAGACAGGAATACATGAAGATGAGCGAGCATTGCTGTGTTCTAGACATGGTGACATGGTTAGGCTTTGTGTCCCCACCCAAATTTCATCTTGAATTGCAATTCCCATTGTCCCCATGTGTCAAGGGAGAGACCAGGTGGAGGTCATTGAATCATGGGGGCAGTTTTCCCCATGCTGTTCTCGTGATAGTGAGTGAGTTCTCATGAGATCTGATGATATTATAAGATGCTATTCCCCGCTTTGATCAGCACTTCTCCTTCCTGCCACCTTGTGAGGAGGGTGCCTTGCTTCCCCTACGCCTTCTGCGATGGCTGTACATTTCCGGAGGCCTCCGCAGCCATGCCAAACTGTGAGTCAATTAAACCTCTTTCCTTTATAAAATTACCCAAACTCAGGTAGTTCTTTTTGTTTTTCGTTTTGAGATGGAGGCCCAGGCTGGGGTGCAGTGGCACGCTGTCAGCTCACTGCAACCTTTGCCTCCCAGGTTCAAGCAATTCTCCTGCTTCAGCCACCCCAGTAGCTGGGACTACAGGTCCGAGCCACCACATCTGGCTAATTGTTGTATTTTTAGTAGAGATGGGGTTTCACCATGTTGGCCAGGCTGGTCTCAAACTCCTGACCTCAGGTGATCTGCCCACCTCAGCCTCCCAAAGTGCTGGGATTACAGGTGTGAGCCACCGCGCCCAGCCTCAGGCAGTTTTCTATAGCAGTATGAAAAACGGACTAATACACATGGACATGCAGTATAGAAAGCACATCCACTACCACTTCCTCCTAGATTGTCAACACATCTCTGAGAGGACCCAGAAGAGGAATCTGTTGTTTGCAAAGAAGAAAATGAAAGGTGCAGTTTGGCTGACATTTGTGGAGTACCTGTTATTTCTTAGACACTTAGGTTTATCTCTGCGACAGAACAGAACTATAAGTGGCCCAGGCATCTGAGTCAATCCCTAGACCCACGTCTGTCAGGTGGGGCTGGGTCCCGACACGAATAGCAGCCAGAACAGGTCCCTCCAGGCCATGGTCCTGTGGAAGCTTCAACCCTTTTAACTAGGGTTGGAGCCTGGTGCCCCATGATGGTGAGCTGCAGCCTCTACCCACCAAACCCAAGGCCAGCCTGAGACCAGCCACCAGTTCACACCTTGTTTTGCAAGTGGAAAACCTCAGTCCAGAGAAAGACCCAGGTTTGCTGAGACAGAACAACTTTCATATTTGCCTTGTGGAATGTAAGTTGTCTGGTGAAGCATTATTGCTCTTCTTGTTACCAGAAATCAAAATTGAGAGGATCGGCCGGGCACAGTGGCTCATGTCTGTAATCCCAGCACTTTGGGAGGCCGAGGCCGGCAGATCACTTGAGGTCAGGAGTTTGAGACCAGCCTGGCCAACATGGTGAAACCCCATCTCTACCAAAAATATAAAAAATTAGTCGGGTGTGGTGGCACGTGCCTGTAATCCCAGCTACTCAGGAGGCTGATTGGGAGAATTGCTCCAACCCAGGAGGCGGAGGTTGCAGTGAGCCAAGATCGTGCCACTGCACTCCAGCCTGGGTGAGAGTGAGACTTCATCTCAAAAAAAGAAAAGAAAAAAATTGAGAGGATCAAGGCAGAACACTGATGTTCGCTGAGCCTTCCTTTATTCTCCTTACCTTGAGATGGATGTGATGAGCTCATTTTACAGAGAGGAAAAGTGAAACTCAGGGAGGCTAAAGAAATTACTTTCCCAGGCTCATGCAACCAGCCAATGGCGGAGCCAGGATTTGGACCCAGGTCTATCTGACTCTAAGCTCACCCTGCCAGATCCATGGAGTTTCACCTCTGGCCCCCTCTTCCCCAACAGTACCCCCACCAACTTCTTGGTGTCCTGATCTGGGACAGCAGAACGTCAGCACTGAGAAGTCCTTTTCTCCCTACTTGGGTGTCACCGTGTCATTCAGACACAGTTACCACTCCTTGGCCTGAGCAGGGGAGGGAGACTTGGGGTTGGGAAGAGACACTGGGCAGGGGAAACCTGGGGGCTTCTGGTGGGGATGGGTTAGTGGGGTTGAGAATCTAAGCCAGAATTGGAGACCTAGGTAGCTATGAGATCTTGAACAAGCCTCTTTACCTCTGTGAGCCTCAGGTTTCTCAGCAAAAAATTGGGAAATTATACCAATACTTTGACAGTCCCACTTAGAAAAAAAAACAATCCAGGTTTGGAGTTAGACTTTGGAGTTAGATTTTGTTCCAAACCCCGGATCTCCCACTGACTAGCTGTGTGGTCTGGAGTCAGTTACTTGACATTTCTGTGCAGATTTTGGAACCTGAATCTGTAAAGTGGGTTGTTGTGGGGATTTAGTGAGGTGACTGAGCTGGGAGCACTTTGGAAAAGGTGAGGCTTTACAAATGATGCTGGTTTTTAGCACTCCGCTGGAATGGGGGCTCTAGGATGGCTACCAGAAACTGGTACCCCCTCAACCTTTCCCCTGAACCTAGGCACATTAGTTCTCATTCTGCATCCTATGCACCCACCAAACGGCTTTCTCCAAACCTGGCACCCCACTTCTTTCCACCTTGCCTGAGGACCTGAAGCCTCTTCCCTGTTCCCACCTTGTTCTAGTTCCAAACTGCAAAGGATGGCCTGAGTTTCCATTCTTCATCCTGGAGGCTCCAGCTGCAGCCTCAATCTTCTGCCCCGAGAGAATCCATTTGATTTGGTTTGATCCTTGGGAGATGGGAGGGCCAGCTCCAAGGCCTGTGACCAAAACCTTTCAGTCACCCTGAAGTCCCATAACCCCATCTTTCTTGAACCAAGCCTGCTCTGGTGCCCAAAAGGAAGGGGTCTCAGCAATGGGGGCCCACAGGAGACTTTTGCTGTGATCCAGTTTTATTGACTATGCTGCTAGTCTGGCACCCCCAGCACTCCCGTCCCCCTCCCATCTCTGGCCCAGTAGTGGCGTTGCGAGTACCAGGGAGACAGTGGGAGGAGGGAGTAAGGGCTGCGGAGTGGGAGAGGCTGACAGGAGACGGGGACTCTAGGGGACTGAGGACTGAAAAAGCGGCCCAGCTGAGGGCAGGGACACGTCCTTGCTTGGTCCAGTGACCGTTTACTCTGGACTCTGGGTAAGTGGGCTCAGCCTGCTTGGGGATCTGGAGAACTCCCCCAGGCTGGGGTCTGGGATGGAGGGAAGGAGTTCGTGCTTTGCAGGGCCAGGGGCCTTCAAAGCCCTAAGGTCCTGCTTGGGTATTGCTCTGCATCTGGACACACCTGTCACACTAGGAGAGCCATCAGATGACTGCAAGTGTGTGTGCACACTCGTGTGCATGGCTGTGAACTGGAATGTGTCCCTGTGTGAGTGGCTGTGCCGGTCTGTGCAGGATGTCTTCTCCAGAACCCATATCTGTCTCTACTGTTGGGTGGAGGGCCAGACCCACAAGACCATGGATTTCTGTCCTTTGCTTCCCCAGTTCATTCCATGTCCCACACCCTGTGGGTGACCTGGTGTGCCCTTATTTCCCACTAGCTACTGCTGCCTCAGAGCCATGAGGACCTGGATGTCATGAGACATGTGTCTCCAGGACTCATGTCTCCATTTTCTCTGCTACACTTCTCTAACTTGCGAGGCCCTGGCTGCTGGGCTGCTCACAGGACAGGCTGTCCGTGCCTCCAGCACACTGTCTAGGAGGTGGAGTGGTCAGCTCGGAGTGGCCCTTTTCTCTGCCCTCTCGTCCCCAGGCTTGGAGAAATGGATGATGGGCTAAACGGCTGGGTAGATGGGCCCTGCTTCCGGGGCATAGGAAAATCTTCAGCATGGGCTCTTCCACCTCCACCTCCACCTCCCCTCTGCTAGCTCCTCAGATGGCTGCCGCATGCCGCTGCCTCTCCCTCCTGCTCCTGTCCACCTGTGTGGCTCTGTTGCTGTAGCCACTGCTGGGTGCCCGGGGAGCCCCGTTGGAGCCATTGTACCCAGGGGACAATACCACACCGGAGCAGATGGCCCAGTACACAGCTGAGCTCCGTAGATACATCAACATGCTGACCAAGCCTAGGCATGTGCCATGGACAAGGAGAGAGATCCCAGCCCCTGGGACCCTGGGCCCACTCCACATTCCTGGCCACACCCTATCCCCAGCCCAAGCCCCATCTCCAGCCCCAGTCCCAGCCCCTTCCAGGCCACTCTTGGGGAAACAGAGCATCTGTGCTGACCAGGCCTGGGCCCATGTGCCCTGGGCAAGAGGGTGCCTACAGGCGGATATGAAACCGGTGGGCTGGCACCTGGGCACAGTGCTTCCAGGTATGGAGAAAGAGACAAAGAGGACACGCTGGCCTTCTCAGAGTGGGGTCTTCCCATGCTGCTGCCCCCAGGTGAGTTCGACTCCCTACCCTGTCTGTCCAGCTCCCTGGGGGTGAAATGGGGATGGTGGGACTGAATCAGGGTTTGAAAAGGTGTGGTGGGGGGTGGAAGAGGGAGAACAGGAGCCCAGGGCTGGCCTGAGGCCTCCTGACGCACGAGGCCTGCCCCCCACACTGCCATGTTCCACTCTGTCCTCACAGAGAGCTCAGCCCGCTGGACTTGTAACACTACCTCCCGCCCCCTACCACTCCACGGGCAGTGCCAGCCCAGCTCTCCCCTCCACACTGTTGGCTCTGGCCGAAGCTCACTCCCTGTTCCTGCACAGGCTCAATAAAGCAAGTCAAAGCACAGCTTATCTCTGTGTCTCTGTGGACCCCTGGTGGGGGGCAGCAGGAAGAGCCAAATGCATGGAAAGGGGAGGGCAGGGCGGACGCAACAGGGAAAGCAGGCTGTGCTTGTAAATCATCCAGAACGTCCATGAGGTCATCAGTCACTCAGCTCATCCTCTCCACAGAGGGACAAGTTGTGGCCAGAGGAAGGCAGGGACTCCTCTGTGGTCATTCGGCAATCGGTGAAGTGGCAGTCTTGAGCTTGAATCTTCCCAGTTCAGCACCTGTAGACCCTCCCAACCCAGCCCCATGACAACCCTGCCCCAAGTGCACCAGTGCGTTCCTGTGGCTGAGGCAGCAGGAGCACCAAAAGGTATACTAAAGCATCCTTGGCATGGGGGCAGGGGCATCAGCCCAGCATGGAGGCACAATTCTGGTGCTATGGCAGTCATGGCTGCATCCAGGGGCCTGAGCTGCCGTCCAGAAATTTGGAGAGAATGGGCTGTCCGGAGAGGTAGTGAAATCCTGGGCGCAGGAGGTATTCAAGCTGCTGTGGAAAGGGAGGAGGCTAGATTAGCTGAGAGTTCCAGCCACTGCCATGAATCCAATCTGTGGATTCCACACTCCAGCTCTGGGAGGGCAAAGACCTGGATCCTGCCCCAAGGAGGACTGCCCGGAGTCCCAGTGCACCTGTCTCTTCCTGGCCCTTCTCAGTCATCCTGAATAGGTGGGGACAGAGCGCGCATGTGTGCGTATGTGTAAAGGGGAGAAGTGAGGAAACTAGAATGTGTCTGGTTCCTAGAATGGCTTCTCCTGCCTCCCCCACATGCTTGGCCTGAAGGGATGGGGTTATGGGTTTGGAGGATGAGGGGTCCACTTTCCTGAGCTCAGCACCTTGCACAGACCCCATGGAAGTGACTCCACAATTGTGTTTCCCCTCAAGTCCTGACTCAATCTGGTGTGTGCAAATGACCTGGAAGTAGAACCAGGTCCTAAAAGGCAAAGAGCTTTAAGAGGGTGCAGCTGCTTGGCTCAGATTGATTTTTTGTTTTTGGAGACAGGTGTTGCTCTGTCACCCAGGCTGGAGTGCAGTGGCATGAGCACAGCTCACCGTAGCCTTGACCTCCTGGACTCAAGCGATCCTCCTGCCTCAGCCTCTGAAGTAGCTGAAACTACAGGCACATGCCACCATGTCCAGCTAATTTTTTTATTTTTGTACAGACAGGGTCTTGGTATGTTGCCCAGCCTGGTCTCAAACTCCTGAGCTCAAATAATCTGCTCACCTCAGCCTCCCAAAGTGCTCCGGATTACAGGTGTGAGCCACCATGCCCAACCTCAGGTTGATTCTTAAATCCAAGGGGTGTCTGGATAGAGAGATGGCTTCAGCAAGAGAACAGTTTGAGTCTGAATAAGGGAGCCTGAAGTCCCAGCATTTTATCTGGCAGCTTAAGGGGATGGGGTGAGAATGGGGAGAGGTGTGGATACTTCCTAGAGCCAGGAGTTCGCAACCTGGAGACATACCTGGGTCTGAGAGTAGGATCAGGGCAAGGGGCTCTGCCCCCACCAAGCCTCTCTCATGGCCAAGGGAGCCCCCAGAAGAGAGAGAGCCACCCTCACGCCCAGCTTCTCAGGGACAGGCCCTGGCCAGGTCCACCCCTTCCCCCGCTCTGCTCACCCTAGAAGAGCTTAGAAGTTCAGGAGGCAAAGGCGGCCCCCTATACTCTGCACGGTAAGGGGCAAAGGCACCTCTTTTTGTTGCTGTGCCAACTCTGACAGCCCAAGCTGGGCTGTTTGGTAGAAACTTGGGTGAGGTGGGACTGGGGGTGTGTCTAGCTGAAGCTCTCCTTTGAGGTTCCCACTTCTCTCACCTCTGCCCTCCCTCTGCGTTGGAGTCTCCCCTACGCTAGTGGTGGTGTGTGGGGTGAGGTGGGGGAAGGTTGCTGGGGGAGTGAGGGGAGGACCCTTCCACCCAGCAGCTGAGGTTTTTTCTCCCACAGCAGGAACTCCAGGGTTCCCCCTCCCCATCGAAGGACTGGTCCCTCCCCGGCCCACAGAAGTCACTGAATCAACAGAGATTTGTCTTTGTTGTTTTCGCTGAGGGGGATGAGGAAGGGTTGAGGCCCCTCTCAATATAAAAGGGTTGGTGGAGGGCCAGGCGTCTGGAGGCCAAGCCCCAGCCTGGAGAAGGAAGCCCCAGGGCGCCAGTATCTCCCCGCACGCCCACCCCCGAGGGCTTCCTCTCGCTCCCACCCAAGCTGCCCCCAGTCCCGAGGCCCTTAGTTCGGTGCCGACCGTACAGGCTGTCCTACCTGGGGCCCCAGGAGGTTGGTGGTCGGGGTTCCGAGGTGTTCAGCCACTGGGGTTTCGTGGTGGTCCATGGAGGGGGTTTCGTGGCTTTCGGTGGGGAGGTGTTCGTGGCGTTTGCAATTTTCTTGTGGTTTTTAGATTTCTTTGTGCTGAGAACACGTCTTTGCAGCGGTCATGAGGCTGCTCCCAGAGCCCAGCTTGGGCCGCGATGCGCGTGGGGGTGCCCGGCGGCGTCCGTGTCCCCCCGCACCCTCCGTCGTCCTCCCTCCCAACCTCGCGCCCTCCGCCGGATCACCTGCTGTTGAAGAGCCTCCCCACGTACTTCTTTTTTTTTTTTTTTTTTGAGACGGAGTCTCGCTCTGTCGCCCAGGCCGGACTGCGGACTGCAGTGGCGCAATCTCGGCTCACTGCAAGCTCCGCTTCCCGGGTTCACGCCATTCTCCTGCCTCAGCCTCCCGAGTAGCTGGGACTACAGGCGCCCGCCACCGCGCCCGGCTAATTTTTTGTATTTTTAGTAGAGACAGGGTTTCACCTTGTTAGCCAGGATGGTCTCGATCTCCTGACCTCATGATCCACCCGCCTCGGCCTCCTAAAGTGCTGGGATTACAGGCGTGAGCCACCGCGCCCGGCCCCCACGTACTTCTTGATCGAGCCTAAATTCAGCCAGCTGGCGGCCCTGGACTGCTGCGGCACCTGCAGCCCCTCGCCCAGGGCGCCCTCCGGCGGCAGCAGCACCCACACGAGGCCGGCCACGACCAGAGCGCATGAGCAGCGCAGAGCCCGCGTCTGGAGGGGGCAGGGCGGACAGAGCCGCGGGCGGTCACGTGACCCCACGGCTGGGGTCGGCGCGATCCCTGACGGTAGCTTGCGGGTGTTCCGCGCCGTGGGCAGCCTGGCGTGCAGGGGCGCTCAGCCGAGGGACGTGGCTATTTCTGGGACACACACCAGTGCACGGACGCCCTAAGGGACATCCTGGTGCCCAGGGGAATGGTGCACACCTGGACATGCCCGGTGATGCACGCAGAAAGCATCGAGGTAAAAATGAACGGGGAGACACCTCTAAGGTGTACGCACGAGGACGGCATAAAACCATTGGTCAGCTCCCTAATCTCACCGACCTCTCTCCCGCAAATTCCTTATCGCCCTCCTTTCTCCCTGCCCTTCCCTCAAAGTGTCAGTCAGGTTGTCCTCAGCCCAGAAGACTCTTCCTCCAGACATCCTCATGGCCGGCTCTGTCGCCCCCTGGAGGCATTAGCTCAAAATCCACCTTTTAAATGGGTCTTATCCTGACACCCCTGTTTAAAATTGCAACCCGGCAGCGTGCGGTAGATGACGCCTGTAATCCCAGCACTTTGGGAGGCCAAGGCGGGCGGATCACTTGAGCCCATGAGTTCGAGACCAGTGTGGGCAAAAGACAGAGAGCCCTGTCTCAACAATTTAAAAAATAAATTTAAAAAAATTGCAACTCAACCCTTCATCTTGCTTTTTCTTGCTCTATTTTTGCACTTTCTTTTTTCTTCTTCTTCTTTTTTTTTTTTTTTAGACAAGGTCTTGCTTTGTTGCCCAGGCTGCAGTATAGTGTAGGGATCATGGCTCACGGCAGCCTCAAACTCCTGGGCTCAGGCCATCCTCTTGCTTCAGCCTCCCAAGTAGCTAGGTCTACAGGTGCACACAACCATGCCCAGCTAAATTTTAATTTTTTGTAGAAATGGAGTCTTGCTAGGTGGCCCAGGCTGGTCTCAAACTCCTGGCCTCAAGCGATCTTCCTGCCTTGCCTCCCAAAGTGCTGGGATTACAGGTATGAGCTGCCACACCTGGCCTGCACTTTCTAACTTATATATTCTATATTTATTATATTTATGTCCGATCCCTTCCCAGCGGCATCTCCTCCCTCAGTGTAGGCGTCATTAATTGCAGCTGGGCTCTTTGCTTATTTTGTCTATTGATGGATCACAAGCACCTAGAACAGTGCCTGGCACTTAGCAGATACTCAATAATACATATTAAATGAATGACTAACAGTTACACACAGGAACGCCAGCCTGATGATTCACACACCCAATGCACAGAGAATTTTGTGCCTGCAACACACCATGATTCACAGACTACGATGCCCATAAACATGATGCACACCCCCAGAGCTCCTAAGCCCCTCAACCCTCTTTTAACCGGGAACTCCACTCATCCCCACCATCCCAAGCAGGGATAAGAAGCCTTAGTAGCTGTCCTGACCATCAGAATGGCAGACGAGGCTGCCCTGGCCTAACCCCTTCATGCCCTTAGTGAGCCTGAGGAGGGCCCTTGGTGTCAGCCCCCATCCCCAGGCTCCTAGAGAATACAGCTGATAGGGGGCCCAAACATTACCATGGTGCTGGGCAGGTGCAGAGGAGCACAGCAAAGCGTCTCTGGCCAGGACCTGAGTCCCTTTATATTCCTAAGGATCCATGCCCCCTTTCCCGCTAAAGTTCCACTTCCAGCGCAGCCTTCTTTTCCTCCCCCTGTGTCATGACCTGAAAGTCCGGAACAGAGAGAAGGTGGGGGTGGAAGCACATGGGCTACCAGCTGTTCTGACCAGGGCACAGTCCCTGCCAGGGGCCCAGAGGTGTGGGTGGCAGAGGCAGGGAGGCCTGGGGAATAGGGTAATGTTTTGCTCCAAGTATACAGATCCAAGGAGAAACTGGCTCTGGGGTTGAGAGGGGGCTGTGCTTTTCCCAGGGGCTACTGTCAGGGAGTTATGCTGAGACCAGATGCCCCTCCCCATCTGGCTAGATCCAAGGTGCCTCCTTTCCTTACAGGGCTGCTGTGGGGTCCCAGCACCCCTTATTCCCCTTCCCTAGGCCTGCTGCCATGGGGAAGGGGTGGGGTTATGGTTTCTGGTTTCAGGATTGCAGGCCCCACTGCACAGCTTGGAGATTTTCTCAGCCTGCCTGGCCATTTTGGAGCCCCTGAGGCATGACCTGCTAAGCCTTCTGGAGGGTGGTGGGTCTTGACTGCTTGGATGATGAACTTAGGCCTTGGCTGCCTCAGGCCACAGAGCCTCAGCTGTGTGGCCTGTCAGGTCGCCTCTACCCGTTCAATATTGCCACCTTTCTGGGGCAAGGTTGTGAAATGTGCGCCGATTCTTCGTGCCCACCCCAACCCCAGAAGGGGCACACTAGGAAGAGCAAGGGCTTCTGGGTAGGAATCCTAAATTCACTACCTCCTGGCTGTGTGACCTTGATTAAGGGACATCATCTCCCCTGAGCCTCCACATCCTCATCTGTGAAATGGAGCTGGTTAGGACTGTTGTGAAGATGGATTTGGATTATGTAGCTCAGCCTTTGGACAGCTCCTGGCACATGCTAGATGATTAACAGGCGTGAGCCCCTCCATTCATGAAAGAAACGCTTTCTCCCATCTCCACTTCTGAAAGTGTCTCATCTTCTGGCCTCTTCTCCTTATTAAAACCCGCTCCTGGCCAGGCATGGTGGCTCATGCCTGTAATGCCAGCACTTTGGGAGGCTGAGGTAGGAGGATTACTAGAACCCAGGAGTTTGAAACTAGCCTAAGCAACATAGAGAGACCTTGTCTCTACAAAAAATTTTTTAAAAGCTAGGTGTGGCCGGGCATGGTGGCTCACGCCTATAATCCCAGCACTTTGGGAGGCCGAGGTGGGCAGATCACCTGAGGTCAGGAGTTCGAGACCAGCCTGACCAACATGGAGAAACCCAGTCTTTATTAAAAATACAAAATTAGATGGGCGTGGTGGTGCATGCCTCTAATCCCAGCTACTCGGGAGGCTGAGGCAGGAAAATCTCTTGAACTCGGGAGGCAGAGGTTGCGGTGAGCCAAGATCGTGCCATTGCACTCCAGCTTGGGCAACAAGAGCAAAACTCCATCTCAAAAAAAAAAGCTATGTGTGGGTGGCACATGCCTGTAGTCCCAGGTACTGGGGAGGCTGAGGTAGGAGGATTGCTTGAGACTGGGAAATTGAGGCTGCAGTGAACCAGGATTGCGCCACTGCACTTCCAGCCTGGGTGACAGAGCAAGACTCTGTCTCAAAACAACAACAAAAACAAACAAACAAGAAAACCCTGCTTTTGGTGGGGGTGTGAGAAACTCAATGTCAATGTCACTGAAGTTTATGGGATGGCTCAGTAGCCAAGTGAGACCAAGACTGCATTTCTATGGAGCCAATAATCTCTAGAAAAAGAAATGAGATTACCATGAAAAAATTCCATAGTACAGGGTGGGAGGAGATATCTAGGGACCAGTGTACCCTAAATACCAGTAAACAGGCTATTCCTTATTCCCATTAGTCACAGCCCAGTGCTGAACATCCCCCCGCCCCTACAAGAGCTCAAACGATGTGTCCTTTTGCAGTCTCAGCTGTCCTAACAAACCCAGGCTCTTTTGCAGGCACTGAGGGCTCTCAGCCCCTCACTCTTCTGGACTCCCTTACTAATTCCGGGAACTGTGGAGGGTTATGGGGAGGGAGGAAAGGTGGAAGAAAGGAAAGGAGGACGCTCAGAGGCTGCCTGCCAACCTCTGAGGGCAGGAGGCAGTGGTGGCAGCGCTGTGATGGGCAGGACGAGGGAATGCGGCTTGAGGACACAGCTCCAGGTGGGTATCCCTGTCAATCACCCCTTAAACTCTGACTGAAAGCTGCCATTTAAATGGACCTTCCAAATTCACTGTGGAGTATGTGCCCAGGTTCCCAGAGAGCAGCAGGACAGGGGCTCCAAGTTGGTGTGTGACCATTTGGACCGGCCCATTTCCAGGGCCCCTGAGATAAGCCCCGTGGGCTTCCTGTGAGGCATGATGGTTCTCAAATATCATTCTCTGCTACCCACTGTGGAACAGACCCAGTAATAGTGATCTTGAGTCTCCTGGCTGACTTGCCCCAGACTGACCATCCAACCCACTCTGGGACCACCGCTACTCCTCTCTGCTGGGGGTGGCCCAAACCTGGCCTCCCAGGGGCTCACTCCTTCCTACCTGCCCTCCAGTGCATCTGGGGTGCTGGTGACATCCCGAGAGAGACAGAGAGAGAGGCCATTAGCTAGGCTGCAGACCGTGGAGAGCAGCTGGCCTAGGAGGGGCCTGGCTGCCCTGTACAGCATCACTGCATTTTTTTTTTAAAGTCCCATAGAAGCCCTTTCCCCTTGGTGAGGGAGTCTCATGGTGTCCTGTGTTCTGCCCTCTAGACTGCATGCTTCCTGAGGGCAGCTGGGGTCTTGTTCAGCTCTGAACTTTCAGCATCTGGCACAGTGCCCAGCTCACCGTGGGCCTCCTTGGATGCTTAGGGGGTGGGTGGAGGTGGGAGGGAGGCAGGAGGAAGGGAGGGAGGAGCAGAAGGGAAGGAGGGACTCATGGATCAATGGATGTGACCCACAAAGGGACAAAGGGACAGATGAATGAGCGAACAAATACATGGCCTGGCTCACCTCCTCGGGCCTGGAAGCAGCTGCCACCCATGCTCACGTGTCCATGTGCTTAGCTTCACATGTGGATGTGGAAGAGGCAGAGGGAGGAAACCGAGGGACCCCCCATCTCATCTGTGGGCTCCTCCAAAACGGGCTTGTGTCTCCTCCTCTCTTGGATCTTCCTTGCTCCTCTGCTCCCCCAAACCTGAGGCTGGGCCACACCTGGCCTTCAACTGCCCCTTATTACCTCCCAGGACTCTTCTCATCTGGGACTTGCTAGGGCAGGAAGGGCAGTGTGGCCTGGGCACAGGGGCCAGGGAAGAGGAAAAGGTGGCCTCTCCCAGCCTCCTCCTCCCCCCAGCGTTCTTCTCCCAGCCCTCCTCCTCCCTGGCCCTCCTCCCCACCTCTCCTGAGCGGGCCCATCCTGCCCTCTAGGCTACAGTTCCAGCGCTCACGACGGAGCTGGAACTCAGGATGGAACTCAGGATGGGACTGAAACTGGAGCAGGCCCAGGTGTGCAGCGTCCCGCAGGGTCTCAGCCAGGTAGGGGTCCCTCCAGCAGAGCTGCTTCTGCCGCTGGGAAAACTTCAGCATCAGCAGGTCACACTGCTTCAGGTTGGCCCCACCCCGTGTTGGGGCCACCGCAGCGCCCAATCCTGGGAATGGCGTCAAGACCTCCCACCCCGTCAGGCTGGAGAGGGCAAGAAGAGGGAGATGGGTGAGCCTTGGGGATGGTGGCGTGGGGCAGATGAAGGGAAGGGGGCCTTCTCGGGGGCTTCATTTACTGCCCTTCTGGGTGGCAGGCTGACCCCATGGGGGTCCCATCCCCATTTTACAGATTAGGAAACCAAAGTTCCTGGAACAAGGTTTGCTGCAGGACCTTAAACCCAAGTTTTCCAGATTCCGATCTCTGCTCTTCTTATCCACCCTGTTTCCCAAACTTGCCCAGTTAGAAAAATCATCTGGAGTGCTTATTAAAAATACACTTTCCCAGGATCCATGCTGGGCAATTCGGAGTCTACTGGTCTGGAATTGAGCCTGGAAATATGTATATTTACCACATTCCCCGGCTAGCTTTTGTGATCCAAGAAGTTTGGGAAATAGCGCACATAGTATTTGTCGCTGCCTGGCCAGGAGAGCCACATTCCTAAGAGGAGGCCGGCAGAGGGGATGTGCACATTGAGCGGACACCCAGCCAAGGTCCCCTGACATCCCTCTCTCCCTTACATAATGTTGCTGCCCAGGTAATCCCATACCAATCTAACATGTTTCCATACTTCCCAGATAGACCTTCAACCATCTGACCACTTGGTGCCTGCTACAAATAGATGCCTGGGGAGGGAAGGGGAGGAAAAGAAAGGAGGGAAGGGGAGGAAAGGAAAGAAGGGAAGGGAGGAAGGACTGATGGATGGTTGGATGAAGGTGAAGGAGCTGAATTCCCATCAGGCCATCAATCCCAGACTTCTTGTTCTCCTAGATCCAAAGTTCATCGATTCTGGAGCCAAGCTGCCAAATTCTAAGACTGACTTTATAGCTGTGCGGTTTCCTTGGTTTTTCTCTTCTGGAAATTGGGGAGAGTGATCTTCTCTACCTCCTAGGGTTGCTGGGAGGATTATATGAAATGGACTAACCACATGCAGGCCTACCTTCCTGCTAACTGGAGTTTCCGAAATTTCTCTCGTTTTGCAATATGCTTTACTCTCCAACTAAGCAGAGTCTCCCCTTTGTCCAGATATGGAAATGATGGTTTAATGAGGAGGCTGCAACTGGCTTGGTCATTCAACATATTGGCAGCAGGGTGGAAATTGGAATTAGAGCTTGCCTTCCTTCTTCCCAGAAACTGTGAGATAGCTCTGCTGCTTCAAAATGTTTGCTGTCCTATACCCTGGTGGCCCCCAGTGTGGGTGGAATATACATCATTCCAGGACTCCCCCCCACCGAAAGAAGTAACCCCATTCTGGGGCATCCTGACCTCATAGCCATGGTAAAAGAGCAAAAGTGGGTTGGGTGTGGTGGATCACGCCTGTAATCCCAGCACTTTGGGTGGCCAAGGCAGGTGAATTTCTTGAGTCCAGAAGTTTGAGACCATCCTGGGTGACATAATGAAACCCCATCTCTACTAAAAATACAAAAATTAGCAGTGCATGATGGCACAAGCCTGTAGTCCCAGCTACTTGGGAGGCTGAGATGGGAGGATAGCTTGAGCCTGAGAGGCAGAGGCTGCAGTGAGCTGAGATCGCGTCACTGCACTCCAGCCTGAGCAACAAAGTGAGACCCTGTATCCAAAAAAAAAAGAGCAAAGCAAAGGTGGAAGCAGGGGATAGCTCTTAGAGCTCCTGCTTGGATGTGGCACTTGCCACTGTTGCTCAGGTGCCACTGGCCAAGGCAAGTCCTGTGGTCAAGCCAGGAGTGGTTAGAGAGGCCCACATCCCTCTGAGCCAAGGGCACAGCTCTCCTGTTTGAAGCCACCTGCCTTAGCCAGGATGTCTGGCTGGATGCCACACCCTCTCTGTATGCCCCAGAAGTCAGAAGCCTCACCAGAGGTTATGCAGCCTGGCCAGGCCCCAGGTACCCTCAGAAATCACCCGTAGATTCCAGTCCCATCATGGAGCATATCTCCGAAACCCCCAAGCAGAGGTAGGTGCTATTGGGCTCCCCCTGGCCCAGCCTGGAGTTGGGCTCCTCTCCCAGACACGGTGAGGGTAGTAACCTGTTAATCATTAATCTGGGGGCAAATCGGTTCATTTCCAGTCCACCAGTTCTACACCCAAACCCCTCCCTGCAGCCTGGCAGGAAACCCTCAGAGCTTGACCCTTGGCAGGTCCAGAGCAGAACAGGATGTCAAGCCCAGCTGAGGAGGCCACGCCTTGACTGGTTTCCAGTGTGGAGGGCAGCTTGGGGGCTGCAGAGCTACCTCGCCTTCAAACGCCCTCCTCCTCACCCTTCTGCTCACACAGTTCCCGTGTTTCAGAAACTAGACCTCCCTGGTAGCAGCTGATTGACTGACAGAGGGGAGAACAAGCAGGGAGTGATGGAAATTTTGGCCAATGAGGCTGCATATCCTTCAAGACCTGCCTCAAATGCCATTTTAATAGCTATTATTGTCATTATAGCTACATTCATATCATATGACATATGATATATAACACATTATTATTATTTTACTTAAGTTCTGGGATACATGTGCAGAACATGCAGGTTTGTTATATAGGTACACATGTGCCATGATGGTTTGCTGCACCCATCAACCCGTGATCTAGGTTTTAAGCTAAGCTGCATGCATTAGGTATTTGTCCTACTGCTCTCCCTCCCCTTGTCCCCCACCTCCCGACAAGCCCCAGTGTGTGATGTTACCCTCCCTGTGTCCTTGTGTTCTCATTGTTCAACTCCCACTTATGAGAACATGTGGTGTTTGGTTTTCTGTTCTGGTGTTAGTTTGCTGAGAATGATGGTTTCCAGCTTCATCCATGTCCCTGCAAAGGACATGAACTCATTCTTTTTTGTGGCTGCATATTATTATTAATTATTATTATTATTATTATTTTTGAGACAGAGTCTTGCTGTGTGGTCCAGGCTGGAGTGCAGTGGCGTGACCTCAGCTCACTGCAACTTCCGCTTCCCAGGTTCAAGCAATTCTCCTGCCTCAGCCTCCCAAGTAGCTAGGACTACAGGTCCCTGCCACCATGCCCAGCTGATTTTTGTATTTTTAGTAGAGATGGGGTTTCACTTTGTTGGCCAGGCTGGTCTCAAACTCCTGACCTCAAGTGATCTGCCCACCTCGGCCTCCCAAAGTGCTGGGATTACAGGTGTGAGCCACTGTGCCCAGCCCAAGCTGTGTTCTTGTCTGGGACTCCCCTATAGTGTGGAGTGAAGGCTCAAAGTTGGTTTGTCTAACTAAAGGCGTCATCCTTGATTATGACCTCTGACATCTGGAGAGTGCCAGAATTCCCTAGGCTGCCCTTGGGGGGCTTAGGGAACCTCGTCTCTATAAAAAAAATGTAATAATTAACCGGGCGTGGTGGTGTGCACCTGTGATCTTCTTCCTTTGCAGTACAAACTCTTATCGCTGCCTACTGGCCAATTGGCCAGGAACATGCACCCTGGTGTTTCAATCTCCAAACATTAACATTTTGCCTAACAACCAAACTATTCAGGTTCCTTTAGTAGTCCCTGTTTCCTCCTTCTCCACACACACCAGGCGGGCTGTACACTTCATTCTCTTTAGCAGGGGCAAAACATCTCTGCTACACTCAGCACCAGGATAGCTGGTTGGCCCTTTCTTAGGACCCCAAATTTTCCTCCTCATAATACTAACAATTGGCCCATGTGTACTCACTTCCTATCCCACTTTCTCTTCCAAAGGCTGAACTCCCTTGTCCAGGCAACACCCAGAAACACATTAATACCATCATTCTCTTCTGCCAAGTCCAATATCAGTGCCTCAAGGAAAACAGCTCTGGGTAGGGTGTGCTGGCTCACGCCTGTAATCCCAGCACTTTGGGAGGCCAAGGTGGGCAGATCACCTGAGGTCAGGAGTTCAAGACCAGCCTGGCCAACATGGTGAAACCCTGTCTCTACTAAAAATACAAAAATTTGCCAGGCATGGTGGTAGGTGCCTACAGGCTGGAGGCTGGAGAATTGCTTGAACCCAGGAGGCGGATGTTGCAGTGAGCCGAGATTGTGTCATTACATTCCAGCCTGGGCAACAAGGGCAAGACTCCATCTAAAAAAAAAAAAAAAAAAAAAAAGAAAGAAAACAATTGTGAAGTCAAACACCCACTGCTTCAAAACACAAACCTGAGTACAGCGCCCTATTCAGCAAGAAGCAGCCAGACAGTCAACAATGCCCCTCTTCCTTTTAAAGTAAAAGGCAAGAATGTTAGTCCAAACTGCACCATGTTGTAAGCTCCCTGCTATTTTGCAGATCTTGGTCAAAGTGAAACATTTCACAGGGGTTTGTGCTGTGAGAAACATCTTGCCTAACCACCTGACCACAAGGTGGACAAAGGCCCAACTAAAGAAATATCCCTATCATGTCTTGCTGGACAAAGATCCAAGGAACACCATGATGACATCCTGCTGGAACAAGGGCCAGAACAGCCACATCGTGGGAACGAATATCTCATCAATATCCTGCCGGGCAGCAAGCCATACTGCCCAGGCCACTCCCACCCATACCTATAAATTGCCCCAGCCTGTAAGCAGTGTAGGCTCTGGCATTAGGCTGGTCTTTTGTAGGTTTTATGCTGGATGTAAAGCCTGCATTTGCTGTTAAGCTGCCCTCTTTCTGTGTCTTTCTTTAGCCCTCACCTTCCCTTCAAAACCTAACAGCAGTAACATATAGTACAGTTCGTAGCTTAGGAGCTGTAGGCCATACCACATAGCCTAGGTGTGCTGTGGGCTATACCACCTGGGTTTGTGTAAGTATACGCTATGATGTTAGCACAAGGTGACATCACCTAATGACACATTTCTCAAGCTCCTCCTCATATGGCAAGCAATGCATGACTGTATATGAAAGCTCTTAAATAGGGATTAAGTTTCTAAATCTCTAAAAGAAAAAAGTCATTATTTACTGCATATGGACATTTTTTTTTTGAGATGGAGTTTCACTCTTGTTGTCAAAGCTGGAGTGCAATGGCAGGATCTTGGCTCACTGCAACTTCTGCCTCCCGGGTTCAAGCAATTCTTCTGCCTCAGCCTCCCATAGCTGTGATTACAGGCACCTGCCACCATGCTTGTTGTGGGAAGTCAGGGACCCCCCGAATGGAGGGACCTGCTGAAGCCGTGACAGAAGAACATAAATTGTGAAGATTTCATGGACATTTATTAGTTCCCCAAATTAATACTTTTACAATTTCTTATGCCTGTCTTTACTACAGTCTCTGAACATAAATTGTGAAAACTTCATGGACATTTATCACTCCCCCAATCAATACTCTTGTGATTTCCTGTGCCTGTCTTTAATCTCTTAATCCCATCATCTTCATAAGTTGAGGATGCCTGTCGCCTCAGGACCCTGTGATGGTTTCGTTAACTGCATAAATTGTTCGTAAAGCATGTGCATTTAAACAATATGAAGTCTGAGTACCTTGAAGAAAGAACAGGATAACAGCGATGTTCAGGGAACAAGGGAGATAACCATTAGATCTGACTGCCTGGGAGCCAGGCGGAACAGAGTCATATTTCTCTTCTTACAAAAGCAAATAAGAGAAATATTGCTGAATTCTTTTTCTCAGCAAGGAACAGCCCTGAGAAAAGAGAATGCATTCCTAGGGGGAGGTCTCTAAAATGGCCGCTCTGGGAATGTCTGTCTTATACAGTTGTGATAAGGGATGAAATATGCCCCGGTCTCCCCTAGCACCCCCAGGCCTATTAGGATAAGGAAATTCCTGCCTACTAAATTTTAGTCAGACTAGTTGTCTGCTCTCAAACGCTGTCTCCTGATAAGATGTTATCAATGACAATGTGTGCCCAGTGGGACATGAAACTTCATTAGCAATTTTAATTTCACCCTGGTCCTGTGATCTTGCTCTGCCCCCATTTGCCTTGTGATATCTTATTGCCTTGTGAAGCATGTGATTTCTGTGACCCACACCCTATTCATACACTCCCTCCCTTTTGAAATCCATAATAAAAACTCGCTGGTTTTGCAGCTTGGGCGGCATCACAGAACCCGCCGACATGTGATGTCTCCCCCGGACATCCAGCTTTAAAATTTCTCTCTTTTGTACTCCTTCCCTTTATTTCTCAGACCGGCTGACACTTAGGGAAAATAGAAAAGAACCTACGTTGAAATATTGGGGGCTGGTTCCCGCAATATCCACCCAGCTAATTTTTTGTATTTTTAGTAGAAACGGGGTTTCATCATGTTAGCCAGGCTGGTCTCAAACTCCTGACCTCATGTGATCTGCCCACCTCAGTCTCCCAAAGTGCTAGGATTGCAGGAGTGAGCCACCATGCCCGGCCAGAATTTTTTTTAAAACATTCATTTCAGTGGGAACTTAATTTGGGGCTAGCATGTTTTATTTAACTTTCACCCCAAAGTTGCAAAGTGTTTCGAGGTTTTTCTCTGTAAAATAATTATTTTAATTCAATTTAAATAAAACCCATCAAGGAAACTTTAACCTTTAAGAAATCTAGCTTCCCATGAAATGTGAGAGGAAGTCAGCACTGATTTCAGAAATCTGATTATAACAGTAGATCTACCCCTTGATGAAGTGAGTCTTGGAATCCCTTCCATTTAAAACCATTAATCTGCAACATATGCCTATTCTAGGCACTGGAATAAGATGAAGCACCTGCTTGGCGTTCACATGCTATTGATTGTGCCAGACAATGAGCAATAAAATAGGTAAGAATGGCAGTGGGGGAAGTCAGCTGGGTTCTAGTTACAGCCGCATTTCAGGAAATTGTTTAATATGCTGACTTTAACAACCTAAACCTCTTGTCCATGTGTGCACACAGGGTAGACCTCTGAAGAGTGGCGCTGTAATTTCTATGGTAACGGCTGTGTTAAGTCAAGGCAGGAAGACAGTTCAGCCTCCTCGCAGGCTAGTAGTGCAAAGGGCTCTTCACTCGGATTAAAGCCTTCTCTCCCAGACTGAATTGCCCCCCCCACTGTGAACCCCCTAAACTTGAGACAGGTCTCAGTTAATTTAGAAAGTTTATTTTGCCAAGGTTGAGGATGCACCAATGACAGCCTCAGGGAAGTCTTGACAAAATATGTCCAAGGTTGTCAGGCACAGCTTGGTTTCATACATTTAGGGAGACATCATGAGACATCAGTCAATATATGTTAAGAAGTACATTGCTTCATCTGGAAAGACAGGACAACTTGAAGCAAAGGCAGGAAGACTGAAGTGGGAAGGAAGCTTCCAGGTCACAGATGGCTGTTACACAAATGGTTCCATTCTTTTGAGTTTCTGATCAGCCTTTCCAAAGGAGGCAAATCAGATAAGCATCTATCTGATTGGGCAAAGGAGTGACTTTGAATAGAATGGGAGGCAGGTTTGCCCTAAGCAGTTCCCGGCTTGAGTTTTCCTTCGTGATTTTGGGGACCACAGATATTTTCCTTTCACATTTCCCCCCTTTTCTTTTTAAAAATCTGTTGGAGAAAGCATTTTACAAGAAAATGAGTCTCTGGTCTCAGGTTTCATTTGATCTCTCATGGCGAGGACAGTTTATTCCTTGATGGGTAGGTCCCAAAAGCTCATTTTTAGCAGGTTGTTAAGTCTCATGTCCTGCGAAGAGAAAATAGTGGGAGGAAGAGAGAGAAAACAACAACAAACAAAAGAACAATCCGGGAAACATTTGATATAGGCCTCATTACTCTGAAGTCTATGCATCAGTAGGCAGGTATGAAAGTGGTTTATGTATGTAAATAGGTTGCTGTTATTTTCTTCTGAAGTTTAAGTTGTCTGGCTTCAGTTCACAGGATTTTAAGAAAGCACAGCTTAGTTTTCAGTGACTCCAAATTAGGAAAAATGGAAAAAAGAAGGAAAAAAAAATTTAAAAATTATTTTGGAGACTTGTAATAAAAAAAAATTAGAATTTGGTCCAAACTGTAGAAAGTAATCCAAATTGAAAAAAAATTAGGCAAGACTAGAATCTAACACAGATATATAATCATTTGGAAACATAAGTTTTTCTCCAGTTTCCCATTTTACTAAAGACAAATCATGGTAGGAATAGTAAACTTATTATATTGGTCTATATATTTGTATACATTGCATCAATAATAATAATTTTTTTTACATAGGCTTTTAAATTGGCTTTGATGTAACTTTGTTCCATAAGAGAAATCTTGGATAAGACACACCCACCTCTTCTGCCTCAGGAACTGACTGAGACTTTGATGAGACTTTGATTCCATTTGTAGGCACAGATTCAGCTGGAGACCTGCCCCTGGAGCCAGAGAAATCTTGGATAAGACACACCCATCTCTTCTGCCTCAGGAACTGAGACTTTGATGAGACTTTGTTTGCATTGGAGACCTGCCCCTGGAGCCAGAGAAATCTTGGATAAGACACACCCATCTCTTCTGCCTCAGGAACTGAGACTTTGATGAGACTTTGATTGCATTCGTAGGCACAGATTCAGCTGGAGACCTGCCCCTGGAGCCAGAGAAATCTTGGATAAGACACACCCATCTCTTCTGCCTCAGGAACTGACTGAGACTTTGATGAGACTTTGATTCCATTTGTAGGCACAGATTCAGCTGGAGACCTGCCCCTGGAGCCAGAGAAATCTTGGATAAGACACACCCATCTCTTCTGCCTCAGGAACTGACTGAGATTTTGATGAGACTTTGATTCCATTCGTAGGCACACATTCAGCTGGAGACCTGCCCCCGGAGCCAGAGCAATTTGCTGCTGCACATCAGGATCTGTATGACAAGCTGACTCAGCAAGAAACGTTCCTAGAAGTGGTTCCAATGCAAGACTAGGACCAGAACCAGGCCCTAGCTTAGCTTTTCACCTCAAAAGTAGGTTGAAAATGTAGACCAGGATCTGTATGACAAGCTGACTCAGCAAGAAACGTTCCTAGAAGTGGTTCCAATGCTAGACAGGGACCAGAACCAGGCCCTAGCTTAGCTTTTTGTTTGGACTCCGGTGAAGGCCCCAAGATGGCGACAGGCAACCATCTTGGCCACCCTGACTCAGCATTAGCGGGTTCATCTTCCCCCCGTTCCCGCCATCCCGGCAAGAACGTGAGCCCGCTAAGGCGTGTCACACTCAGGAAAATAAAACCTAACTAACTCCGCCCTTGCCCCACCCCGAATCCGCCCCTAACTCACCTAGTGTCCATATAAGCCTGCTGCACCTCCAACACAGTGCGACTTCCCCGGCCCTCCCCTGCGGACCAGTGAACCTCGTCCAAGAGCTTAATAAAGGAACTTTTGCATTCTTTGCCCTGCCTCTCGACCCTTTTTGTCTATGGAACCCTTCCATTGCCTTTCACTTTTCACCTCAAAAGCAAGGTTCTAAATGTAGACCAGAATCTGTATGACAAGCTGACTCAGCAAGAAACGTTCCTAGAAGTGGTTCCAATGCTAGACTGGGACCAGAGCCAGGACCTAGCTGAGCTTTTCACCTCAAAAGTAAGGTTCAAAATGTAGACCAGGATCTGTATGACAAGCTGACTCAGCAAGAAACGTTCCTAGAAGTGGTTCCAATGCTAGACTGGGAGCAGAACCAGGCCCTAGCTTAGCTTTTTGTTTGGACTCTGGTGAAGGCCCCAAGATGGCGACAGGCAACCATCTTGGCCACCCTGACTCAGCATTTCTGGGTTCATCTTCCCCCCGTTCCCACCATCCCGGCTAGCACGTGTGCCCACTAAGGCGCGTCACACTCAGGAAAAGGAAACCTAACTAACTCCGCCCTTGCCCCACCCCGACTCCGCCCTCACCTCACCTAGTGTCCATATAAGCGAGCTGCACCTCCAACACAGTGCGACTTCCCTGGCCCTACCCTGCGGACCAGTGAACCTCGCCCGAGAGCTTAATAAAGGAACTTTTGCCTTCTTTGCCCTGCCTCTCGACCCTTTTTGTCCGCGGCACCCTTCCATTGCCTTTCACTTTTCACCTCAAAAGTAAGGTTCAAAATGTGGACCAGGATCTGTATGACAAGCTGACTCAGCAAGAAACGTTCCTAGAAGTGGTTCCAACGCTAGACTGGGACCAGAACCAGGTCCTAGCTAAGCTTTTCACCTCAAAAGTAGGTTCAAAATGTAGATCAGGATCTGTATGACAAGCTGACTCAGCAAGAAACGTTCCTAGAAGTGGTTCCAATGCTAGAACGGGACCAGAACCAGGCCCTAGCTTAGGTTTTCCCCTCAAAAGTAAAGTTCAAAATGTAGACCAGGATCTGTATGACAAGCTGACTCAGCAAGAAACGTTCCTAGAAGTGGTTCCAAAGCTAGACTGGGAGCAGAACCAGGCCCTAGCTTAGCTTTTTGTTTGGACTCCGGTGAAGGCCCCAAGATGGCGACAGGCAACCATCTTGGCCACCCTGACTCAGCATTTCCGGGTTCATCTTCCCCCCATTCCCGCCATCCCGGCTAGCACGCGTGCCCACTAAGGCGCGTCACTCTCAGGAAAACGAAACCTAACTAACGCCGCCCTTGCCCCACCCCGACTCCGCCCCTACATCACCTAGTGTCCATATAAGCGTGCTGCAACTACAACACAGTGCGACTTCCCTGGCCCTCCCCTGCGGACAAGTGAACCTTGCCCGAGGGCTTAATAAAGGAAACTTTGCCTTCTTTGCCCTGCCTCTCGACCCTTTTTGTCCGAGGCACTCTTCCATTGCCTTTCACTTTTCACCTCAAAAGTAAGGTTCAAAATGTAGATCAGGATCTGTACGACAAGCTGACTCAGCAAGAAACATTCCTAGAAGTGGTTCCAATGCTAGACTGGGACCAGAGCCAGGCCCTACCTCAGCTTTTCACCTCAAAAGTAAGGTTCAAAATGTAGACCAGGATCTGTATGACAAGCTGACTCAGCAAGAAACGTTCCTAGAAGTGGTTCCAATGCTAGACTGGGAGCAGAACCAGGCCCTAGCTTAGCTTTTTGTTTGGACTCCGGTGAAGGCCCCAAGATGGCGACAGGCAACCATCTTGGCCACCCTGACTCAGCATTTCCGGGTTCATCTTCCCCCGGTTCCCGCCATCCGGGCTAGCATGTGTGCCCACTAAGGCGTGTCACACTCAGGAAAACGAAACCTAACTAATTCCGCCCTTGACCCACCCCGACTCTGCCCCTACCTCACCTAGTGTCCATATAAGCGTGCTGCACCTCCAACACAGTGCGACTTCTCTGGCCCTCCCCTGCGGACCAGTGAACCTCGCCCGAGAACTTAATAAAGGAACTTTTGCCTTCTTTGCCCTGCCTCTTGACGCTTTTTGTCCGCGGCACCCTTCCATTGCCTTTCACTTTTCACCTCAAAAGTAAGGTTCAAAATATAGACCAGGATTTGTATGACAGGCTGACTCAGGAAGAAACGTTCCTAGAAGTGGTTCCAATGCTAGACTGGGACCAGAACCATGCCCTAGCTTAGCTTTTCACCTCAAAAGTAGGTTCAAAATGTAGATCAAGATGTATATGACAAGCTGACTCAGCAAGAAACGTTCCTAGAAGTGGTTCTAATGCTAGACTGGGACCAGAACCAGGCCCTAGCTTAGTTTTTCACCTCAAAAGTAAGGTTCAAAATGTAGACCAGGATCTATATGACAAGCTGACTCAGCAAGAAACATTCCTAGAAGTGGTTCCAATGCTAGATTGGGACCAGAACCAGGCCCTAGCTTAGCTTTTTGTTTGGACTCCGTTGAAGGTCCCAAGATGGCGACAGGCAACCATCTAGGCCACCCTGACTCAGCATTTCCGGGTTCATCTTCCCCCGGTTCCTGCCATCCCGGCTAGCACACGTGCCCACTAAGGCGCGTCACACTCAGGAAAACGAAACCTAACTAACTCCTCCCTTGCCCCACCCCAACTCCGCCCCTACCTCACCTAGTGTCCAGATAAGCGTGCTGCACCTCCAACACAATGCGACTTCCCTGGCCCTCCCCTGCGGACCAGTGAACCTCGCCTGAGAGCTTAATAAAGGAACTTTTGCCTTCTTTGCACTGCCTCTCGACCGTTTTTGTCCGTGGCACCCTTCCATTGCCTTTCACTTTTCACCTCAAAAGTAAGGTTCAAAATGTAGACCAGGATCTGTATGACAAGCTGACTCAGCAAGAAACGTTCCTAGAAGTGTTTCCAATGCTAGACTGGGACCAGAACCAGGCCCTACCTGAGCTTTTCACCACAAAAGTAGGTTCAAAATGCAGATCATGATCTGTATGACAAGCTGACTCAGCAAGAAACGTTCCTAGAAGTGGTTCCAATGCTAGACTGGGACCAGAACCAGGCCCTAGCTTAGCTTTTCACCTCAAAAGTAAGGGTCAAAATGTAGATGAAGATCAGACTGCAGATCATCAGGCATATGAGGTCTCCTCCATGGTTGCAGACAGTTTAACCTCTAGTAGGCTCTGTAGTTATGGTAAGGGATGGAATTGTGAGTTGAGTCAGGCTTGAATGCTGAGCCTGACCTTTGTCTGGAGGTGGAAATGTCACCTCACGGCATTTTGGAGCTGGAGCTGTAGTCGTCAGGGCTGTAGAAGGTTCAACCTTTGTAGTGGATTCAGGCGTGATGGTAAGCCCCCGATCTAAAGGTTGAATTGTGAGTTGAGTCTGACCCTTGTCTGAAGGTAGAAGTCTCACCTCAGGATGTTTTGGAGAAGAAAATGTAGTCGTCAGAGCTGTAGAAGGTTCAACCTCTGTAGTGGATTCTGGAGTGATGGTAAGCCCCTGATCCAAAGGTTGAACTGTGGCTTGAGTCAGGTTTGAATGCTGAGTCTGAACATGGCCTGGATGTGGAAGTGTCACCTTAGGGTGGTTTGGAGGAACTATAGTCTTCTTCAAGGGTGTAGGATGTTCAACCTCTGTACTGGATTCTGGGCTTATGGTAACTCCCAGGTGCATAGGTTGAACTGTAATGCTGGGTGACATTGAATGCTGAGCTTGATCCTGACCTGGTGTTGCGGCTGTTACCTCTTGATATGCTGGAAGTTGGGGTACAACTTTCTTAGGAGGCTGAGTTGGGGTCTCCTGCATGGTTGGAGAAAGTTCAACGTCTGTCATGGATTCTGGAGTGATGGTAAGCCCCAGATCCAAAGGTTGAACTGTGAAACTGGCTAATATTGAGTGCTGAGCTTGATCCTGCCCTTGTGTTGGAACTGTCACCTCATAGTGAGCTGGATGTTGAGCTGCAACCTCCTTAAGTGGCTATGGAAGCTGAAGTGGGACCATCTGCTGGCTTGAAAGTTCTATGTCCTTAGGGGGCTCTGGAACCTGAACTGTGGCCTCCTGCTGGGTTGGAGAAGGTTCTGCCTCCATAGAGGGCTCTGGAATCTGAGCTGGAACCTCCTGCTGAGTTAGTTATGGTCCAACCTCCTGAGGGAACTCTGGAGGCAAAGATGGGGCTATCTGCTGGGTCAGAGAGGGTTCTGTCACCATAGGGGGCTCTGAAGACTGAGCAGGGCCTGCCTGCTAGACTGGAGAGGATTCTACCTCTTTAGTTGGCTCTAAAAGCTGAGTTGGGGGCTGCTGTAGGACTGGAGATGGTTCGACCTTCTTAGGTGGCTCTGATGGCTGAGCTGATATCTCCTGCTGCGGTGGAGGAGTGACCTCTTCAGTGGACTTTGGAGGATGACCTGAGGCTTCCTGCTGGGTTGCACATGGTTCAACCTCCTTAGGGGCCTCTGGTGACTCAGCTTGAACTCTTGCTGGACTGGAGAAGGTTCTACCTTCTTAGGGGTATCTGGAGTCTGAGCTGTGGCCTCTTACTGGACTGGAGGTTCAATCTTTTCAGGAGAATGCAGAGGTGGGGAAGGCAGATCAGGCTGGGCTAGAGAAAAGTCAGCCTGCTCAGTGGGAATAGGAGGGTTGTCTTGCTGGACTGGAGAAGGTTCAACCTCCATAGTGACTGCTGAAGGTATGGGAAGCTCCATATCCACATTTTTAACTGTGGTATTAGGCAAAGTTGAATTACTTCTGAATATTGAAGACAGATCTAGAGGTGAAAATATCATCCCATCATTCAATGAACTTTCAAAGTCTGAAGAGAGCTCGACTGGAAGCTGAGTTGTGGGCTCTTGATGGACTGGAGGAAGTTCATCATTTTCGGGATATTTAGCTGCTGAACTATAATCTCTTGCTGGTGTTTCAAATGTTGAAACTGCTCAGGGGACACTAAGGGCTGACCTGGGTCCCCCTGTTGGGTTAAAATTTCAACCTGATTAGTGAAATCTGGAGTCATGGTAACCATGTGATCCACAGGTTTAACAGTGACATTGTACAATGTTGGAGGCTGAACTTGATCATGACTTAGAGGAGAAACTGTTACCTCATGATGCTCTGGAGATTGAGCTACAACTTCATTAAGGAGCTCTGGAGTCTGAGCTGGGGCCTCCTGCTGGGTTAGAGAAGACTCAACCTCCTCAGGGGTCTGTGGATGCTCAGCCTCCTGCTGGGCTGCAGAGGGGTTCTGATCCTTAATAGGTTCTGGAGACTGAACTGAAGTCTCCTGTTGAACTGGTAAAGGCCCAGCCTCTTCCAATGACTCTGGAGGCAGAGGTGGGCCCCCATGCTGGGTGGCAGAAGGTTCTACATCATTAACTGGCCCTGAGAGCTGAGCTGTACCCTCTTGGTAGACTGGAGAAGTTCCCACCTCTGCAGTAGGCTCTGTTGCTATGGTGAGCTGCATATCTGGAGGCTTAACAGTGACATTGGGCAAACCGGAATGCTGAGCTTGATGGTGACCTGGAGGTGAAACTGTAACTTCATAATGTTCTGGAGGCTGAGCTGGGGTCTCCTTCTTGGCTGGAGAAGATTCAACCTCCCCAGAAGACTCAGAGGGCTAAGCTGGCTGTTCCTGCTCACTGCGGGAAGGGTCAGCCTCCACAGGAGGACCTGGAGGATCAGTTGTGGCCTCCTCTTGGGTTGCAGAAGTTTCCACCTCCTCTGGAGACTGGGTTGGGGCCTCCTGCTGGGCTGGAGAAGATTCAGTCTTCTTGGCAGACTCTGAAGTTATGGCAATATCCACATCCGCAGGTTTAACTGTAACATTGGGCAAGTTATAATGAGCTTGATCCTCGCCTGGAAGTTGGACTGTCACCTCATGATTCAGTGGAGTTTGAACTGCACCCTCCATAGACTCTGGAGCTGAGCTGGGGCCTCCTGCTGGGTCTGAGAAGGTTCAACTCCCCTAGGAAACTCACAAGGCTGAACTGGCTGCTCCTGCTCACTGGGGGAAGGTTCAACCTCCACAGGAGGACCTGGAGGCTCAGCTGGAGTCCCTTGCTGAGTTGCAGAAGGTTTCATCTCCTCAGGGAACTCTGTTGTCTGAGCTGGGGCCTTTAATTGGGCTGAGGAAGAGTTGACCTCCTTGGGGTGCTCTGGAGGCAGAGAGGCAGCCTGTTCCTGGCTTGACATTGGGCAAGTGTGAGTGCTGAGCTTCACTCCAACTTTTAAATGGGACATTTACCTCATGATGTATTGATGGCTGAGCTACAATTTCTTCAGAGGGAGGTAGCTGCTGTGCTGGGGACTCCTGCTCTGTTGAAGAAGAGCGACCCCCTCAAGGGACTGTGAAGGCAGAGCTGGGGACTCCTGCTGGGTTAAAGAAGGTTCTACCTCCTCAGGGAGCTGTGGAAGCTGTGCTGGGGCTTCTTGCTGGTGCTAAGAGGACTGGATCTCTTCAAGGGTCTCTGGGTTTTGAGTTTCAGGCTCTAGAAGGAATTGAGAAAGTCCAGCTTGCTCATCTGAGTTCATCTGGACTTCTGAAGGCAGGCTGCCCGGATACAGTTGATGACTAAGCTCTGATTTTTTATTTTGCCCAAATTCCTACCTAAGGGGTCTAGGGAGTCATGCCCTACAAACCATAAATTCTCACGAGATGGGTTTTATTTGACCCTATATATCATGACTTACTTTTCAATGTAATTCTGGCACAAGGAAAAAATATTTAACCCACAATATATTTCCTTGCCATACCTTGAAATTGCCCTGCCAAATCTCAAGTGGGAAAAATCCACATTCTATAGAGAATCAATCCCCTTTCCTCTTTGTTTTCCTTCCTTTTTTTCCAGATCCAGGAGAGAATAAACTATAAGCCAGGCACCCTTTTAGGTCCAATAAGAAACATTTTATAACCTACTTTCCCCCTGAACTCTGCTGAGAGATTCGTCTGCACAACAAAACATGGTCTCCACAATCCTTTATCTTAACCTGAACATTCCTTTCCATTGATCCCAGGTCTTCGGATAAACTCAACCAATTGTCAACCAGAAAATATTTAAATTTAACTATAGCCTGGAAGCCCCCACTTTGAGTTGTCCCGCCTTTCTGAACCAAACCATTGTATTTCTTCATGTATTCGATTGATGCCTCATGCCTCCCTGAAATATATAAAACCAAGCTGTACCCCAACCACCTTGGGCACTGTAAGGCTCTTGTGTTGGTTTGAACCCTGAGAGCACACCAACAAACATGCAGCTAATGCTCAGTGCATCAAAAGATGCTAGTGTTTGAAAGACTCAGAGACTTCTCTCAGGAATTTGCCAAGCACTTACAGAACTCCATTTATATACAAATCTTTCTTACCCTGCCATCTCAAAAGGTATGGCTGATGGTCCATTATCTCTCAGAAAAATGTATTATAGCTCCAGATGGTAGAATGACCAGGAAGAAATTTCATCTTGCAAGTCAGTGTTTATTAAGAACCCACTGTATGCCCAGCATCACACCAGGCTGGCAAGAAACAAAATAATCCTGAGTGATCATCCTTCACAGAAAAAAGACTTGAATCATAATTGTAACAATCTAAAATCCAAACATCATCTTTTAGTGTGTCTTATAGTTCATTAAATTTTTGAATTGTTAAACACTGTGACTTGGCCAGGCGTGGTGGCTCATGCCTGTAATCCCAGTACTTTGGGAGGGCGAGGCGAGCAGATCACCTGAGGTCAGAAGCTTGAGACCAGCCTTGCCAACATGGGGAAATGCTGTCTCTACTAAAAATACAAAAATTATCCGGGCCTGGTGGCAGGCACCTGTAATCCCAGCTACTAGGGAGGCTGAGGCAGGAGAATCACTTGAACCAAGGAGGCAGAGGTTGCAGTGAGCTGAGATCGCACCATTGCACTCCAGCCTGGGTGACAGAGCGAGACTCTGTCTCAAAAAACAAAAACAAACAAACAAAAAACCACTGTGACTTGATTTTTTACTCTGGAGAAGCAAAAACTACATAGGCACATTTTGAAACACTTGGGGAAATGTATTGCAAAGCAAGGATGAAGCACTGAGGATTAAACATCTGCAAAGTGGGAAATGATGTGAATTCTAACAACAGGCTTAGAAAGTTAACATCTCTGGAAAATAAACCTCTAAAAAAAAACACACAAAAAGCCAAAGCACACTACACTTGGTGGAATATATTATGCATGACACAGAAAAGGCCAATATGTTCTACAGCCACGTTCAGGAAATGGTCTGGTTAAGACTAAAAGACGGGGACAATGGGTTCTGAGAAATCAAATGTGGAAACCAACACACTTTCGGACACACTCAGGCAAGCAGTCCATCTAACCCTAAATATCTATTAACAAATTCCTTCAAATCGCTGCTCAGACTAGGGACAAAAACATTTTAATGCACCTGACACCGGAACCACACACAAACTCGGCACAATGGCAACTGCGCAGGCAGCTTTGAAATGCTGCCTTCTCTACAAATGGCCTAAATTCTAACCATCTGTCTCTATCTGATCAGAAAAACGTTTCCACCATGTGAATTTCCACCTTTCTGTCTCAGACCAGTCCAACCAGGTTATTTTCACTTCTGCCTATTCCCCTTCAATTTAACTGCTTCTTCTTCAGGTTTTTGTGTTAGAAAAAGAGATTCTTCTGTCTAGGTCTAGTCTCTGTGGCAATGCACAAAGTCCCTGTCATTTAGGGTTGGTTTCCTCCTCATCAATCTTTTTCAGATACCCCCTAAAAAAGATGACGCTCAGAGATCTGAACTCCAGCCCCCACAATCTGTCAAGTGCAGGCCGACCCCCACCGCAAGCCTGGCTTATGTTAGCAGTGAAGGTTCGAGACAGAAGCTCTTCTCGCTGTCTCTCCTGCTGCTCCCTTGCATAGCACTGGTGCTGGAAGTTTCTGAGAGCAGTCTGCAGTTGATAGACATCATACTTTAACTGCTCAACCTGACTGGAATTGATGGAAAGAGAGATTAAATTTAACTCAGGGCAGCAGAGTCTGAGGGGGCCAGATTTTGTACTGACAAAAGACAGCATTTCCTTACTTCTCCCTACACCACCCCCCCACTATCCCCCACCCACCATGAAATCTGATTTTGATCAGTGATGTTGAAAGTAAAGAAGTAGCCTGTGGTTAAGGTGAGATGGTAGCGCATGAGATTCTGGCAGCTTGACTTCAGAATCTGCTGCTCTCTGATTCTGAATGCATGACAGGGAACAGGGGACAGGAAGCAGGTTCACTGACCTCTTCATTCTCCTGGAGGAAGCCCAAGGGCATCTTTGAGGTAAAGCATCCACGAAGCTTCATAAAACTTTCGGAAACAGGCGCTGGGGGTGGAGGTGGCAAGGGCGGTTTCATTTTAATTTCATGGTGGAGTATCAAACATTAGATCAGTATTTCATTATAGATGGACTGATTGAAGTGATTTTTCTTTTCAATCCAAGAAGAACCCAGCAGCAACCAAAGAGCAGAACAAAGCTTCATGGCAGCATTAGGCTGCAGGTGGCCATGGGTCTTGTCAGAGAAACAGAACTGGAGGCAAAATTTCAAAACGACACAAAGAGGTATGGGGTCACAAGTCTTCTAAGCCACAAACCTCACAGGCTATTTATTTTGAGACGGCATCATCCAGATAGAATTGCACCCGTTGGGGGGAATTTTTCTTTGCATATAGTCTTAGTTTTTCAACAGAAAATTCAGAATATTCTATCACCTCCCCGCTGGGAGAAAAGGCTCTCTTAATGGGCCTGGGGTATCAGAGCCATGTCAGAGGTCAGCACTCAGTTTGGCATTCTGCCTTTTGTTAGGGGGCTTCTTGCTGGACAAAATCTCCAGACTTCCAGACAGCTGAATATCTTGCCGGTCTATGCTTGCTTGGATTTTGTTTTCTACTACTGCACAAAAGAGAAAAAAGAATAATTGCTGGAAAAGAGACAGTGAACTTAAATTACAATGATAAATCAAAGATTGTTTTCAATATCCAATAAACTAGAAAATACACATTTCAAAAGAAGAAAAATGTATATACTAATAAATAGAAAATTCAAGTTATGCTATAAATGTTGTTTTGAAAAAAGTACATATATATAGCTGTTAATGCCATAACAATGCCAATATTTTTTCTTTTTTTTTCTTTTTTTTTAACCTCTGAACTTTTTATTGGCCTCCTGCTCCCCAAAGGGTCCCCTGCTTCTGCTGGCTTAAGGTATCAGAACTTTGGCATCACTGGTCTCAGACACCACTTTGCCATCCAATATCCGGCAGGTGGTAGTCTTTTGGATGGTTTGCATGGAGTTGCTGCTGTCCAGGGCATCACCAAGATTGAAAGATTGAAGTCCTCACTGTCTTCCAGCAGGCGGTGGTAGGTGGCGATCTCAGCCTCCAGCTTGACCTTGATGTTCAGCAGGGCCTCATACTCCTGGGCCTAGTGCTGTCCCTCTGCCCGGGTCTGTGCCAGCTCTGACTCCAAGTGCAGCAGGATCCTGTTGAGCTGCTCCGTCCGCAGGGTGTAACAGGCCTCCACCTCCCTCAGGCTGTTCTCCAAGCTGGCCTTCAGATTGCTCATGGAGTCCAGGTCGATCTCCAAGGACTGGACTGTATGTCTCAGCTCCGTGAGCGTCATCTCAGCAGCTCCAACCTCGGCAGACTGCGTGGTGACAACTGCGGTGCTCTCCTCAATCTGCGGAGACCAGTACTTGCCCAGCTCCTCTAAGTTCTTCGGAGCCAGCTCGTCATATTGGGCCCAATGTCTGCCAAGATTTTGGCAAGGTCATGAGATTTGGGGGCATCTACCTCCACAGTCAACCCAGAGCTGGCAATCTGGGCTTATAGGCCCTTTACTTCCTCTTCATGGTTCTTCTTCATGAAGAGCAGCTTCTCCTTGAGAGCCTTGATCTCTGCTTCCAGCTGCAGCCAAGTGACATTGGTGTCATCAATGACCTTGTGGAGCCCATGGATGTCACTCTCCACAGACTGGCACATGGCCAGCTCTGTCTCATACTTGACCCTAAAGTCATCACCAGCAAGACAGGCATTGTCGATCTGCAGAACAATGTGGGCACTGTCCACAGTATTTGCAAAGATCTGAGCCCTCAGGTTCTCGATGGTCTTGAAGTCATGGCTCCAGTCTCTGACCTGGGGTCCCTTCTTCTCCAGGTGCTCCTGGCTCTCCAGCTTCCAGTTCTTGGTATCCAGGCTCCTAACTCTGTCCAGGTAGGAGGCCAGGTGGTCGTTGAGGCTTTGCATGGTTTCCTTCTCATTCTGGATGACTCCCATTCCTGCCAGACCCCCGGCCATCACTGCGGGCAGGCCCCTGGACCCCATGCTGCCCTGGAAGCTGGTGAAGCAGGACATGGAGATCCGGGAACCAGAGCCCCTGATGCCTGCATAGACACTGGCCACACTGCTGACCAGCTGGGCACATAGCTGGGTGCCTGGACAGTGCCCAGGGACTGGTAGTTGGTGGAGAGGGTGGAGCAAGTGGTGAAGTTCATGCTGTCCGGGGAGGAGAGCAAGAGGACAGGACTCAGGTTTTGACGGCCAATTTTTTGTTAAAGCTGAAGGTAAATCTGTAGAAATAAATGTTCTACCTTTAGAAAATAAACATTTAAAGGCTGTCCAAATAAATACCTTACGCTAAATTTTCTGATACAGTTCTCTTTTCCTTTGAGATTGTTCTCACACATGGATTATAAATACCTAGTAAGAAGACTGCAGATTAATTCCCTATAGTAATGAGGTTTGTTTGTTTGTTTGTTTAGAAACAACAATATAGGCTAGGCACGGTGGCTCACACCTGTAATCCCAGCACTTTGGGAGGCCAAGGTAAATGGATCATGAGGTCAGGAGTTTGAGACAAGCCTGTCCAATATGGTGAAACCCTGTCTCTACTGAAAAATACAAAAATTAGCAGGGCATGGTGGTGCATGCCTGTAGTCTCAGCTACTCAGAAGGTTGAGGCAGGAGAATTGCTTGAACCCGGGAGGCAGAGGTGGCAGTGAGCTGAGATTGTGCCACTGCACTCCAGCCTAAGCAACAGAGTGAGACTCCATCTCAAAAAAAAAAAAAAAAGGACTACAATAAATGCCAACAGCTCTGGTTGTTATCCATACGGCAAAAAGACACCTCAGGTAACACACAAAACAAACTCTAGCTCCCTTAAAACTTAAGTGGAAAAAGCAAAGATTTCAAACTTTCTGAAGAAAATACAGGCATGCAAAAATGACCTCAGGCTAAAGAAGGATAAAACCCAGACCAGGCGCAGTGGCTCACGCCTGTAATCCCAGCACTTTGGGAGGCCGAGGCGGGCGGATCACCTAAGGTCAGGAGTTTGAGGCCACCATGACTAACACGGTAAAATTCTGTCTCTACTCAAAATACAAAAATTAGCCAGGCATGGTGGTGCATGCCTATAATCCCAGCTACTTGGGAGGCTGAGGCAGGAGAATCACTTGAACCCGGGTGGCAGAGGTTGCAGTGAGCCAAGATGGTGCCACTGCACTCCAGCCTGGGCAACAGAGCAAGAATTTGTCTCAAAAAAAAAAAAAAAAAAGACAAAACCCAAAAACTACCCGCCCCCACAAAACCCACAAACCACAAAGGAAAAGACTGATACATCTGACTACATTTAAAAAAAAAAAAACTTCTGTACACCAAAGCCACAAAATAAACAAATAAATGAATAGCACAGACTGGAGGATCTCTGCAGCAGATAACAAAGGACTGATGTGCAGAAAATATATAAAGAATTGTTGCAAGTCAATAGGAATAGTCAAACAGGAAGTTTTTTTTTTTTGGTTTTTTGTTTTGTTTTGTTTTGTTTTGTTTTTAATGGAGAAAGGGCAAATGACAGAAAAGAAAACCCAAATGGTCAATCAATACACAAAATGACACTCAACCAGGAAAACAAATGAGAAGCAATGAGATCACATTTATCCTGTCAAACTGACATATATTTTAAAGTTTGAGGACATAGGGAAACTGAAACTCTCATACCCAGCTGGTGGGATTATAAATTGGTAAAACGGCCGGTCGTGGTGGCTTACGTCTGTAATCCCAGCACTTTGGGAGGCTGAGGTGGGCGGATCACGAGGTCAGGAGATCGAGACCACCCTGGCTAACACGGTGAAACCCCATCTCTACTAAAAATACAAAAAAATTAGCCGGGTGTGGTGGCAGGCGCCTGTAGTCCCATCTACTCTGGAGACTGAGACAGGAGAATGGCATGAACCCGGGAGGCGGAGCTTGCAGTGAGCCGAGATTGCGCCACTGCACTCCAGCCTGAGTGACAGAGTGAGACTCTGTCTCAAAAAAATAAATAAATAAATAAAAAATAAAAATAAATGGGTAAAACACTTTAAATGCTTTCTGCTTTTAAAGTTATTTCTACTAAATAGTAGAAATAACTATTCTACTAAATAGTAGAAATAACTATTCTACTAAATAGTAGAAATAACTATTCTACTAAATAGTAGAAATAACTATTCTACTAGTTATTTTTAAAATAACTAGTAGAATAAAGCATGTGTCCATTCTATGACCCAGTATTTTTAGTATTGAGGAGATGTACATGACATGGATGTTCATCAAAGCACTTTTGTACAGGCCCATAATCCACTGACTTTTCCCATCCAATCTCTATTTGCTTTGAACCAATTAGAGAAGATGTAGCCCATAATGCAATTCCAATCATTACATTTCATGCTATGAAAAGATAAATGTGAAACAACAAAGCAAGTATGAATGGCATGATAGGAACTACTAATATGCCAAGTGGAAAATCTGTTTCAAACTCAACTGGGAATTCCAACAACACAACATGCTGGAAGTCAATACGAAACAGTCGAGGCCAGGCGTGGTGGCTCATGGCTGTAATCCTAGCACGTTGGGAGGCTGAGGTGGGTGGATCATTTGAGGTCAGGAGTTCGAGACCATCCTAGCCAACATACAGTGAAACCCCATCTCGACTAAAAATACAAAATTAGCTGGGTGTGCTGGTGCAAGCCTGTAGTCCCAGCTACTTGGGAAGATGAGGCAGGAGAATCTCTTGAACCCGGGAGGCAAAGGTTGCAGTGAGCCTCGATCATGCCACTGTACTCCAGCCTGGGTGGCAGAGCGAGACTCCATCTCTCAAAAAAAGAAAAGAAAAAAAAAGAAACAGGTGATGCACAAGCATGACTTGTTAGGAGTGTGGCCATTAGAAAAAAGAAGTCTTGCCAGGCACAGTGGCTCATGCCTGTAATCCCAGCACTTTGGGAGGCCAAGGCAGGTGAATCACCTGAGGTCAGGAGTTCATAACCAGCCTGACCAACATGGTGAAACCCTGACTCCACTAAAAATATAAAAATTAGCCAGGCGTGGTGGCGTGTGCCTGTAATCCCAGCTACTTGGGAGGCTGAGGCAGGAGAATTGCTTGAACGCAAGAGACGGAGGTTGCAGTGAGCCGAGATCATGCTACTGCACTCCAGCCTGGGCAACAAGAGTGAGACTCCGTCTCAAAAATAAAAAAAGAAAGAAAAAGAAAAAAGAAGTCTTACCCTCTCTAGCATGGGATAGACTACCCTCTCTAGCATGGGTGGGTAGTCTTACCCACCCGTGGTGGGCTTGGGTGATAATATAACAAAGCAGAGAACTAGTAGCAAATAAGCCAGAGTCACTGTTGCTGTCTTAAAAAGGGTTTATAGAAGCTCTAGGAAGAATTTAAAAATGGAACTGCTTTTTAAAAGTTCATGAAACTATTCACCCCTCCTCAACCTGTAATACACATCAACTTTGCATCCAGGTTGCCTCTTACCACTATGAGCATGAAACAGGGTTTGGGAGTTAAGAGATCTGGGTTGAAGGTCCAGTTCTACAACAAACAAGCTGGGGGACACTGAGCAAGTCATTTAACTCCTTGGTACTTCCCTCTCTTCAACTACAAAATAGGGATATTAATAATAACAATTATTTAAAGGATTATAAAACTAAATGAAATATGAAAATGCTGTGTAACCTATACAGCATCACGTAAGTTTGTTCTTACTTTACTTAAAAGTAGTGGCAACAATCTAGTCATTTTCACTTCACCCACTTTGCCTCTACATTTAGCTCATCAAAGGGCAAAACCTGTATAGGAAAAAAATGTTCTTGAGATAAGGTTCTTAAGCCCAGCTGCTCATCAAAATTACCTGGAGGGCTTGTTAAATGTAGAGCTTCTTAAGACAGAGTCTCACTTTCTAGCCCAGGCTGCAGTGCAGTGGTGCAATCTTGCCTCACTGCAACCTCCACCTCCTGGATTCAAGCAATTCTCTTGCCTCAGCCTCCACCGTAGCTGGGATTACAGGTGCCCACCACCACACCCAGCTAACTTTTGTATTTTTAGTACAGACGGGGTTTCACTGTATTGGTCAGGCTGGTCTCGAACTCCTGACCTCAAATGATCTGCCCACCTTGGCCTCCCAAAGTGCTGGGATTATAGGCATGAGCCACTGAGCCCAGCCCTAAATGTAGAGCTTCTTGTGCCCCAGACATACTGAGGTTCTCTAGAGATAAGGTCCAGGACAGGGGACTGATTTTGGACTACATAGGGGACAAATGTGACCCCCTTTACCATTATGGAGATCTCAAAAATAGAAGCTTGGCTACTAGCTCCTCTATAAAGTTCATCTAAATGAAATATTTAAGTGTAAAATGTTTATTTTTTCATTTTTTTTCATTTATTCATTCATTGTTCAGGTAAGTTCAGAAATTTTCAAATAACCTTAAAATGTTACACTGAGACTATAATCCTAGGTGGCAATAATCAGTCCTCTCTAAACGTGGCACAACTCACACCACTTGCTATTGTCTCACACTCAGTCAATTTCAAATATGTATGCTACCACGAGGCCCCAGCTCCTACCTTCTTTGCTCCCTCCTTCTGAACCAAATGGGAGTTACAAGAAAATCCAGTGGGAGTTCTATCTACTGGTTTGAGAAGATTTAGTGAGAAAGGAAAAACTGGATTTTAAACTAATAAACTACATTTGAAAAGATATTACACTACATGAAAAGATATTACACTTTGTTCTCTTTTCCAGATGTTTAAGCACCATTACTTTGAATTTTGGTGGTAAATTTTAAATGAACTTTCTAAAGATTTTCTTTAATAAAATAGATTTCTTATAAAACACTTTTTACTTTGTATTCTTATTTTCAGGTTTCATCCCACTTTAAAATACCAATGCTTCTCATGGAAGAATAAAGTGATTCCACTAACTCACAGACACCTGTGCTCCACGTATCTATCAGCAAGTATAGCTGCATGTACAGAAAATAGTTGCTTGCTTCTTTATTCTCACAAGCTGAGACTTTTCACTTGTTAATCATTAAAAAAAAAATTGAAATTCTTTTTTTTGTTTTTTGAGATGGAGTTTCACTCTTCTTGCCCTGGATGGAGTGCAATTGCGCTATCTCGGCTCACTGCAACCTCCGCCTCCCATTCTCCTGCCTCAGCCTCCTGAGTAGCTGGGATTATAGGCATGCACCACCAGGCCCAGCTAATTTTGTACTGTAGAGACGGGGTGTCTCCATGTTGGTCAGGCTGGTTTCGAACTCCCGACCTCAGGTAATCCGCCTGCCTCAGCCTCCCAAAGTGCTGGGATTACAGGCATGAGCCAACGCACCTGGCCAACAAATTGAAATTCTAAGTTAAATTGCTCAGTTCTCTATTAAGCCTCCACTGTACCTTTAACTTCATAATTACAACAGTCATTATACTGTATTAAATTTGTTACATTTGTCTCCTTATTAGAAATAAGCCTCTGGAGAGCAGAAGGGCAGACGTTATATTTTACTCACTCTTAAAGACTTAGTACAGATCTGGCTTTTTTTTTTTTTTTTTTTTTGGAGACAGAGTCTCACACTGTTACCCAGATGGCTCACTGCAACCTCCACCTCCTGAGTTCAAGTGATTCTCATGACTCAGCTTTCAAGTAGCTGGGAATACAGGCATGCACCAACATGCCTGGCTAATTTTTGTATTTTTAGGAGAGACAGGATTTCGCCATGTTGGCCAGGCTGGTAATCCGCCCACCTCAGCCTCTCAAAGTGCTGGGATTACAGTCGTGAGCCACGACGCCCGACCCAGATCTGGCATATTCTAAGCATGCAATAAACAAATGCAGAATACAAAACAAGAAAAGCAACAATAGAGAATACATAAATGCACAGTAATTACTATCCTTTAGGAATTTACAGTCTACTGAGGGTAAAAGACACACATCAACAAAAATTATACAAGAGAGAACATTTAAAATGCCACAGGAGAGAAATATAAAGTATAAGAAGAAATCAGGGAGGAAATTACAGTATAAGATATAAGTTACAGTACTTTCTTTTTCCCTGGACACCAATTTCCATCCCTAAATATTTGGCAAAAGTTCTTACCACTCAATTTTAACCTCAGGTTTCTAGTGAATTTATACTCATCATGAAAAATATATATTACGACTTCAAGTGCCCTAAGAAAATATATCATATTCAGAATTATCTCCACTTTTTCCGGCCCAGTATATTTCAATTCTGTAGCACTGGTATTCCTTACCACTATCATATCTCCCCAGGATAGAGAAGTGAACTAGCACCTACAGTTTAGGTATGTTAAGGCATATTGGTTAAAAGCATAGGTTTCAGTACCATGATTCTACCACTTATTTGCTATAAGACCTTGGGCAAATTATTGCTCAGAATGTCAATTTCCTCACCTATAAAATGGGAATGTCTATCTCAAAGAGGATTTAAATTAGATAATTCATGTGCAAGCACTCAGTAAACAATAAATGATAGCTGTTATAAAGGATTAACAATAAATCTAGTGAACAGGGGCTTGCTAGTCAAACACGTGCATAAACTGACTATATACTGTGCTTCATAGTTCACGTGTTTTATCAACCTTCATAGTTATACCTCCCTTTCCATTTCCAGTGCTATTACTTTTTCAAGCCTTTATCTACACTCATACCCAGATAACTTTCTAAATGGTTTTCCATCTCCCTCCTCAGACATACATTGACCAGACTATTATTTTATTTCCACCACAAATGCCAGGCTGGGGTAATGGAAAGAGCTTTAGATTTCAAATAAAAGAATTTGGGTTTGGGTTTCAGCAGTATCACTAAAACATTGTAGAATGCTAAAAATAAATTTCTCAACTGTATAATGAGTTTTAGATTAAATTATCTTCAATCTCTCTTTGTTGTTGTTGTTGTTGTTTTTAAGAAAGGGTCTCTGTCACTCAGGCTGGAGTGCAGTGGCATTATCTCAACTCACTGCAGCCTTGACTTTCTGAACACAAGCGATCCTCCCACCTCAGTCCCCAAGGTAGCTGGGACTATAGGCATACGCCACCATGCCCAGCTAACTTTTTTTTTTTTTTTTGTACTTTTAGTAGAGACAGGGTTTTGCCATGTTGCCCAGGCTGTTCTCAAACTCCTGAGCTCAAACGATCCACCCACCTTGGCCTCCCAAAGTGCTACGATTACAGGCGTGAGCCACCATGTCCAGCCTTCAGTATCTCTTCTTGCTATAAGTCTATACCTCTCTTCTGATCAAAAATTGCCTTTGGCTTACAAAATACAATTCCGCATTGAAGGAGCATTAAAGCCTTCCACATTCAGTGTGGCATGAGTTTTGGAGGCAGAAGGCCTAAGATCTTAATCCTGATTCTATAGTTTACTGGTTGCTTATCCTTGAACTTATTAAACTTCTCTACACAAAAGAGAAGTTTCTTACACGAAATGGGAATAACAGTAATTCTCTCAGGGGCCTATTATAAGATTTTAATGAGATATTTGTTAAGTGCTTAGCACATAGTAAACAATAAATAAGTATGAGATTTGTGCCTATTCTAATATTTCCCATTTCTGCCTTCCAGTTATAAGGGTGTGTGTGTGTGTGTGTGTGTGTGTGTGTGTGTGTGTTGAGACATGGTCTCACTCTGTCACCCAGGCTGGAGCACACTGACATGGACAGGGCTCCCTGCAGCCTCAACTTCCTGGCCTCAAGTGATCCTCCCACCTAAGCTGCCCAAGTAGCTAGGAACAAGGGTGCACACCACCACACCAGGCTAATTTTTTTTTTTTTTTTTGTAAAGACAGGGTCTCACTATTGTAGCCCAGGCTGGTCTCAAACTCCTGAGATCAAGAGATCTTCCCACCTCAGCCTCCCAGTGTGTTGGGGATTATAGGCGTGAGCCACCGCGCCCAGCCTAGTTACAGTTTTTGTTTTTGTTTTTGTTTTAAGATAGTCTTGCTCTGTCGCCCAGGCTGGAGTGCAATGGCACAATCTTGGCTCACTGCAACTTCTGCCTCCAGAGTTCAAGCCATTCTCCTGCCTCAGTCTCCCAAGTAGCTGGGATTACAGGCATGCGCCACCATGCCCAGCTAATTTTTATATTTTTAGTAGAGATGGGGTTTCGCCATGTTGCCAGGCTGGTCTCAAACTCCTGACCTCATGATCCACCTGCCTCGGCCTCCCAAAGTGTTGGGATTACAGGCGTGAGCCACCGCACCCAGCCTATAGCTTTTAAACTGTTCCTGGAGACCTAGAACTCTGCTTCAATCAAAACAACTGAGTGGGCCGGGTGTGGTGGCTCACGCCTGTAATCCCAGCACTTTGGGAGGCTGAGGCGGGTGGATCACCTGAGGTCAGGAGTTCGAGACTAGCCTGGCCAACATGATGAAACCCTGTCTCTACTAAAAAATACAAAAATTAGCTAGGCGTGGTGGCTCATGCCTATAATCCCAGCTACTGGGGAGGCTGAGGCAGAAGAATCGCTTGAACCCAGGAGGCAGAGGTTGCAGTAAGCCAAGGTCACGCCATTGCACTCCAGCCTGGGTGACAAGAGCGAAGCTCCGTCTCAAAAACAAAAACAAAAACAAAAAAAACACTGTGTGGGCTTCCCTTCTCTTTCATATACTGAAGTTCAACATTAAAAAAAAATTTTGAGGTGGTTTCTTCTGTTAAAGAATGCATGAAATCCACTATGCCATAGACACAATCTGCTCCAATTAGCTATGCCTACTCTTTGTCAACTGCAATTACTGTGTATACATCAGTATCTCCTGTCTTTGGTAATACCTATTCCTCTCTCCTCAGGACTTCTTTCCGAAGTCATCCCTAGTCACTCTTCTTTTGAACCCTTATAGCATTTTATTTTTATTATTTAGAGACAAGGTCTTGCTCTGTTGCCCAGGCTGCAGTGCAGTGGCATAATCATAGCTCACGGTAACCTTCAAATCCTAGACACAAGCAATCTTTTTACCTCAGCCCCCCAAGTAGCTAGGACCATAGGTGTGCACTACCTTGCCTGGCTAATTTTTAGATGGGGTCTCACTATGTTGCCCAGGCTCAAACTCCCAGGCTCAACTGATCCTTCTGCTTTAACCTTTTGAGTAGCTAGGACTACAGGCACATGCCACTGGAACTGCAACTTCTTTTCTGATTATTATTTTTTCTTGACTTAACTCACATTTAAGGTCTTTTAATTTATCCTTTAAATGTGATGATCTCTGTACTAGGAAACAAGTAGTCCCTTTATATACAGCATGCAAGTTCCCCATTCTCATTCCCTCTCCTCTCCTGCAATCCCTTTCATCCTCATATTTATTTTAATTTTTGTAGAGACAGGCTCTCGCTATATTGCCTAGGCTACTCTTGAACTCCTGTCCTCAAGCAATCCTCCTGCTTTGGTCCCCCACAGTGCTGGGACTGCAGGTATGAGCCACCACGTCCGGCCCTTTCCTTTTCTATTTTATCCCTAAAACCTAACCTCTTACTGTTGACAGCCAATTCTGACTAATCTTGTTTATTATCTGGGCCTCTTTTCTATTGTTTATATTTATTCCATTAAAAAGGTCAAAGACTCTATAGAGCCCATACCTTATTAAATCTGGTTTGTAAATAACTAAAATTATGCTTGCCTTTGGCAACTGAATAAAGACTCCAAGGCCCATTTAATTAGCAAAAAAACAGAGATTACAGCTATATGCTCCTTCAGCTACGCCAGCTCTCTGTATAACTCAGCCTTTCTGACAATCCATACCTTGCTTTGTGATTTGGGGGAGCTGCATGTTTGCTATCCTACCACCTACCTATTCCTATTTTCAGTATCAGCTTTTCCTGAGAAGGGAAAAGGTATGAATATTGATTTCAAAGTCAGGCTTATGTTTGAATGGCAGAGACTCAGTAGCTGTATAAACTTTCCAAAACTTTCAATTTATAAAATGAGCATACTAATATCTATTTCATTAAATGAGACAATGCAAAACATCTAGACTCTAGATCAATATTTGGCACATAATAAATATTAAGCATTATTTCCTTTTTACAAAGGAAAATATGAATTGAAAAGGAAAAGTAAGGCCAGGCCCGGTGGCTCACGCCTGTAATCCCAGCACTTTGGGAGGCCAAGGCGGGCCAATCACTTGAGGTCAGGAGTTCAAGACCAGCCTGGCAACATGGTGAAACCCTATCTCTACCAAAAATATAATAAATTAGCTGAGTGTGCTGGTGTGTGCTTGTAATCCCAGCTACTTGGGAGACTGAGCCAGGAGAATCACTTGAATCTGGGAGGCAGAGGTTGCAGTGAGCCGAGATGATGCCACAGCACTCCAGCCTGGGCAACAAGAGTGAAACTCCATCTCATAAAAAAATAAAGAAAGAAAAGGAAAAGGAAGATACAAAGACAACTTAGCTTCTGCAAAGTCTATTCAGAAAAATGTATCTATGTCACTATAATATTAATAAAAATATTTTCTCAAAGAATGATGTTTCTTAAGAAATTAGTAAAATATTGATACTGATTGATTGAGACAGGTCTTGCATAATTTATTTATAGAGACAGGTCTAGCTCTGTTGCCCAGGCTGGAATGCAGGAAGTGCAGTGGCCCATCACAGCTCACTACAACCTCCAGTACCAGGGCTCAAACAATTCTCTCCCCTCAGCCTCCCAAGTAGCTAAGACTACAGGCATGTGCCATTGGGCTTGGCTAATTTTTCTATTTCTGTTGAGACAGGGTCTTGTTATGTTGTCCAGGCTGGTCTTGAATTCCAGGCCTCAAGTTACCCTCCTGCCTCAGCCTCCCAAAGTGCTGGGATTACAAGTGTGAGCCACCACACCAGGTCAGAAGTTAGTGCAATATTAATTAGCATTCTAATTTAACCATAAGGCCTAAATTGTAACATTACATGTTTCTATTCTATTGTATTGAATTCAAATCTAGTTTTCTGCCTGTAATCCTAGCACTTTGCAAGGCTGAGGTGGGAATATTGTGTGAGGCCAGGAGCCTGGGCAATATAGCAAGACCTCATTTCTAGTGGAAAAAAAAATCTAATTTTCATTTAGTCATAAAATGTAGACTAAATATTGTTGAGACTTACCTAATGCAGGCCTTACTCTACTGTAGTCACCATTTATTTCCTAACTGAAACAAGACTGGGAAGGAGGTATACATAAGCAAAACCGAAGAAATGCCCCAACCCTACTCTGCTTTCACTCTGCCCACTCTAGGTCTTTTCTAAAACAATTATATTTTTTGAATAGTAATACAAGTACATGATATCAAATTTTTTTTTTTTTTTTTTTTTTTTTTTTTTTTGAGACGGAGTCTCGCTCTGTCACCCAGGCTGGAGTGCAGTGGCGGGATCTCGGCTCACTGCAAGCTCCGCCTCCCGGGTTCACGCCATTCTCCTGCCTCAGCCTCCCAAGTAGCTGGGACTACAGGCGCCCGCCACTACGCCCGGCTAATTTTTTGTATTTTTAGTAGAGACGGGGTTTCACCGTTTTAGCCGGGATGGTCTCGATCTCCTGACCTCGTGATCCGCCCGCCTCGGCCTCCCAAAGTGCTGGGATTACAGGCGTGAGCCACCGCGCCCGGCCGATATCAAATTTTTTAAATACAGGAAAATGCAACTCAGTTTCCCTTCAGAGAGTCTATCGTTACACAAATTTTTATCTTCATCATCAAGCAAATACAAACATAAATTTACAGGCACACTCCTGTATACCCACAGAATGCACCATTTTAATATTTCACAATAAAATGCCTCAGTTTTACTACCCAAGCTGTAGAGAATGTTCATCTCTCTTAACACATTTTTTCAGCTAATGATTTTATAAAGTAAAATTTTTACATTTATTTATTTCAATCCCAAAACATAATACAATGTTCTTTAAAAGATGTGTGAGATGTCTGGAGATATATTCCAAATAAAACTAACAAAACTTTGAAAAATCTGCTTCAATATCAACAAAAGGAATGTACGTGTTATTACACAGGAAGCAACTGTGTGTTATATTAATTATTTAGTAACCAGGAAGAAATGCTTAAGAATTTTATATCCTAAAAATTTTGTTAATTGCATGAATATGGCCAGGCCAGTGGCTCACGCCTGTAATCACAGCACTTTGGGAGGCTGAGGCGGGCGGATCATGAGGTCAGCAGTTCAAGACCAGCCTGACCAACATGGTGAAACCCCGTCTCAACTAAAAATATAAACATTAGCCAGGCGTGGTGGTGGGTGCCTGTAGTCCCAGCTACTCAGGAGGCTGAGGCAGGAGAATTGCTTGAACCCGGGAGGCAGAGGTTGCTGTGAACCAAGATCGCGCCATTGTACTCCAGCCTGGGCGACAGAGCAAGACTCCATCTAAAAAAAAAAAAAAAAATTGCACGACTAGCCCAGGCATGGTGGATCACACCTGTAATCCCAGCACTGTGGGAATCCAAGGTGGGAGGATTGCGTGAGCCCACGAATTTGAGACCAGCCTGGGCAACATAGTGAAACCTTGTCTCTATAAAAAGTTTCTTAAAAATTAGCCAGGCATAGTGGTGTGCACCTGTAGTCCCCACTACTCAGGAGCCTAAGGCAGAAGGATCACTAGAGCCCAGGAGATCAAGGCTGCAGTGAGCTATGATTATGCTACTGCACTCCAGTCTGGGCAACAAAGCAACATGGTCTCAAAAAAAAAAAAAATTGCTGGATTCAAGAATACCTCCATTTTAATTTTTAAGTAATCTAAATTGTTCTCTGTAGTGGCTTTCACCAATTTCTATTCTCATGGCTATGGTGTAAGTACCTATTTTCCCATAATCTTACCAAGCTAACATTTCATAGTTTAATATGCACGTCTCTTACTATGAGAATGGTTGAGAATATTTTCATATATTTGAAGGCCATCTGTGGCCAGGCATGGTGGCTCACGCCTGTAATCCCAGTACTTTGGGAGGCCAAGGTGGGTGGATCACCTGAGGTCAGGAGTTCAAGACCAGCTTGGCCAACATGGTGAAACCCCGTCTCTACTAAAAATACAAAAAAATTAGCCAGGTGTGGTGGCTCTCTCCTGTAATCCCAGCTACTCACAAGGCTGAGGCAGGAGAATCACTTGAACCTGAGAACTGGAGGTTGCAGTGAGCCGAGATTGCACCATTGCACTCCAGCCTGGGCGACAGCGCAAGACTCCATCTCAAAAAAATAAATAATAAAAAGTAAAGGCCATCTATATTGCCTTTCTGTACACAGTGTTCATACCATTTCCCCTTTTCTATTATATTTAGGTCTTTCTTAAACTGATAAATCCCTGAAGCAAAGTTGTTCTTTGCCTATAATGAGATATTACAGATATTTTTCCCAGTCTATTTGTTTGTTGACTTTGTTATGATGAAATATAACCAAATTTATCCTTTCCTTTTTTGAGGCAGGCTTGCTGTGTTGCTCAGGCTGGAGTACAGTGGCGGGATCATAGCTCACTGCAACTTCAAACTCCTGGAGTCAAGCGATCCTCTCACCTCAGCCTTCCAAATAGCTAGGAATACAGGTGCATGCCACCATACCCGGCTAATCTGTTTTTTTTTTAATTTTTTGTAGAGACGAGGTCTTATTGTTGCCCAAGCTGGCCTTGAACTCATGGCCTCAAGTGATCCACCACCTTGGCTTCCCAAAGTCCTGGGATTACAAGTGTGAGCCACTGTGACTGGCCTTATACTTTTCTTAACCCATTTATGCCTGAGGTTGCAATTTTTTAAATTTTTGCAATCAGACCTTGGCAATGACCTTGAACAGTAGGACACGAATAACTCCCAGATGCTTAGCATTCCAATAATGGAATACTAGGCATATTTGTCCATGTCTTATGGCTTCTAAGTTTTGGGTTAAGCTTAGAAAAGTTTTTCTTATTCAAATATTATTTTTAAGATAATTCCACCATTGTTCATCCTAATAATTTTATGATTTCATTTTTTACATTTAAAGCTTTTATTCATCTGGAATCTATCTGGGGTAAGGAATGACAATGGGGATCCAGTTATTTAAATTCTGGGTTGTTATTCAGTTGTCCCAACACCACTACTGAGTAACTGAAGCTCTTTTTAGATGATTTTTTAGAAGTTAGACTCAGAAGTAGAGATGACTAGTGAGCTCAGAATTAGTGAAACCAACACCAAAATTAGGAATTTAGGGGTCCTAAAACACATATAACATTAAAAGCACAGATCCTGAAGTCCAACATCTATCACATACAAAGCATATTAACTAGTACTGTTGTTAGACTTGGAAGACCTAAGGATGGATTATCTCTAATTCAGTTAAAATAACTATGTACTATACAATAGGTATTAATAATAAGCATTTATATGGCACTTTTACAGTTTGTATAATGTGAGTTCACTTACTTTGTCTTCATAACTACTCTTTAAGAAGATGGGTAGAGATTTTAATTTCCATTTATTGCTGAGGAAAATAATTCAGTGGTGGTACCTTGTCCCTTTACTTATAGGAATTGGTAGTGCCAAACTCAAACCCAGATCTCATATTTCCAAATATTAGCACTCTGCTTTTATATCCTGCACCAAGTACTTTTATGCAAAAATTAATGAGACTTCCTACTCACAAGGAGGTTGAAACGATTTTTCAATTAAATATTCAGACCAATCACATACTTAATTCTAAGCATGAAAGGAGTACACAGAAGTAGAAAACATCCTTGGCTTTAAGGAAACTTCAAAGGTCTACAGCAGTTTAAACAAATAAGGCTTGGGAGACTGGAAAATAAACCTGAAGGTCAGGAACCATCTTATCTACTCTCTCCTTGTCATACAGTATTTACAGCTGGTATAACTAGAATGTAGTGTTAGGTCAGTAAATATTTGTTGGTTGTCTAAATGTACTGATCGAAACTTCTAGACAGGGTGAGATATGAAATAATATCAGATCCCACTTATTTTTCCCAGGGGCTAAACTTTTGTCTGTGACCAAAGACTCAGCCAAATCATCAAACAGTTCTTAGACAATGTAAGTCTACACCTACTGGGCTACACCTACTGACTAAATGTATTTCACAGAAAAATAAAAATGTTGAACTACATTTCATTTCAAAACTGCCAAAAGGTTATAAAACAATTTCCAGAACTGAATCTAGTCCAACTGCTACAAAATACAACTATCATTCACTCTTGCTTTACTCTGAATTAAACACATCTTCTGCTTCTACAATAAATAATTGTTCATAATATTTCTCATCAGTTGTGCTTTCTTTGTGTTGTTTCCTTCAGATATCTTGTCAACATATATTTTCTGCAGGTCTTTTATTTTTTAATACTAACAATCACTTATCTGCCACATATGATAATTTTTTTAAAACTTCTGAAATATTTTAGCAAATACTAAGGGAGAACAAAACATGAATATGAAAATAGAAGTACAAAAATAAACTCAGTTTACAAAGTTCAATTTGTATCCTGCCACAGATAACTTCACTTCAGAGTCTGCACGCCCTATTCTCCCATCTATCCAGTGACAAGATATTGGCATTGGAGCCTCAAGGACTGCAACTTTTGTTGGCAAAAGCCTTGCATGGGTCAAGATAATTTTTAAGCCTTTGATAAAGAAAGCCCAAAGAGACCAGGCTTAAAATTTTAGTGGATGGTTGCGTGTTAGATATGTTAGAGTCCTAAACTCAAATAAAAAGGCAAGTTGACAATAAACTAGTCAATGCAAAGAGCTTACAAAAGCATAAGCCCAGAAATTACATGCAATGCCTAGTCTATAAAATACCAAGAAGGCGGCTGGGTGCGGTGGCTCAAGCCTGCAATCCCAGCACTTTGGGAGGCCAAGATGGGCGGATCACGAGGTCAGGAGTTCGGGACCAGCCTGGCCAACATAGTGAAACTCCATCTCTACTAAAAATACAAAAATTAGCCGGATGTGTTAGCACGCCACCTATAGTCCTGGCTACTTGGGAGGCAGAGGTGGGAGAATCGCTTGAACCTGGGAGGCGGAGGCTGCAGTGAGCCGAGATCGCGTCATTGCACTCCAGTCTGGGTGACAGAGTGAGACTCCATCTCAAACAAAACAAACAAAAACAAAAACAAAAAAAACAAGAAGGCATGACTGTTTACACCAGAGTGACAGGGCTTTCTTGAGTGGTTATTTATAGCAAAGGTTTAGTACAGTTAAAGAAATCTGTCATAACTTGTTTCAATATGCCATAAATGTGGATATATTCTAGGTAAAATTATGTGGGTGCTACAGAAGGAGATACGTGAGAGAAACCAGCACAATGCCTGCACACTGTTGAATCTGACACTAGGAAATAAACAGCCAGTTATGAAACAAACTCAATTCTTAATGTTGGAAACAGAATAAGGCTCCATTCTTTTTGGAGAATAAAGACACTAACCATTTAAAACAGATGGACTTCACACCAACATGTGAATATACTTAACATACAGAACTGTACACTTAAAAATGGTTAAGATGGTAAATTTTATGCTATATGTTTTGGAAAGGGGGAATTCTTTTTTTTTTTTAAGCAGAGACAGGGTCTCGCTCTGTCACCCAGGCTGGAGTGCAATGGCCCAATCATAGCTCACTGCATCCCTCAACTCCTGGGCTCAAGTGATCCTCCCACCTCAACCTCCCTAGTAGCTGGGACTTCATGTGTGTGCCACCAAGCCCAGCCAATTTAATTTTTTTTGTAGAGATGGGGTCTTGCTATATTGCCCAGGCTGGTCTCAACTCCTGGCCTCAAGTAATCCTTCTGTCTCAGCTTCCCAAAGTGCTGGGATTACAGGTGCTAGCCACTGCACCTGGCTATGTTACGTATTTTTTAACAATTAAAAAGAAAAAAAAACTTCAAATGAGCTTTAAATTTCCCTTGTATTTTTAAATGAATAGATTTATGTGTTATTGAGTACTTACTATATATACCTGTTACCATGGAGATGGAGGTAAAATATAGAGAAAACCTATTCCTCTTTTCAAGAAGGTCAAAGCTTAAAGAGAACCAAAATTCTAAACTGTTCTTCTTTTTTATTTCCTTTTTTTTGAGACAGGGTCTCACTCTGTCACGCAGGCTGGAGCCCAGTGGTGCAATAATGGCTCACGGCAGCTTCGACCTTCCGGGCTCAAGCAATCCTCCCACCTCAAGCCTCCTGAGTAACTCGGACCACGGGCATGCACCACCATGCCCAACTAATTTTGGGGGGGGGCATAAGAGAAGACAGAGATGGGGTCTCACTATGTTGCCTAGGCTGGTCTCACTGAGCTCAGGTGATCCTCCTGCCTCAGCCTCCCAAAGTGCTGAGATTACAGGCATGAGCCACAGCACCCTGCCTAAAATCTCCTTAAAAACAAAAATTGATAATAATTTTGGATCACTCAAAGTAGATGAGTAGCCATTTACCTATGCTCTCTTAAATACATTATCTATCTCTTCCCCCTCCTTTCCTCTCTGCAGATTCTGATTGTACTTTAAAGTCTCTGATGCTTAAAATGAACATTCTGGGATTCAAACAGATTTGCTAGCTACTATGAAACGGCCCCACCTTGTGTGCCTGAACAAAGAGAGTAACAATCAACAATGCTCCTGGGTGTCCTGGAATAGAAGTGGTATTTCAAATTGGAGGGAAAAGCAAATCTAGTCTTCTGGTCTTCTTCTAAAGCAATCACTTCCATTCAGTTCAACCCAACACTTACAACTATGCAAACCAATGGGACAAATTCTATCAAAAAGCCAACTCTATTTCAGTCTTCATTATCTTCTCTCTCCTGGGCTCTTACAAAATCTGCGGTCTAGCCAGGTGCAGTGGCTCACGCCTATAATCCCACCACTTTGGGAGGCCGAGGCAGGAGGATCATGAGGTCAGGAGTTCGAGACCAGCCTGACCAACATGATGAAACCCCGTCTCTACTAAAAATACAAAAATTAGCCAGGCGTGGTGGCATGCGCCTGTAATCCCAGCTACTCAGGAGGCCGAGGCAGGAGAACTGTTTGAACTGGGAGGCAGAGGTTGCAGTGAGCTGAGATTGCGCCATTGCACTCCAGCCTGGGCAACAGAGTGAGACTCCATCTACAAACAAACAAACAAACAAACAAAAACCAATCTGTGGCCTATACCATACAAATTGCTCTTAATCAGAGTATTCTTTGTAGTGTTTGCAAAGAATTCTTGTGCCACTGGAAAACAAGTTTAAAGGTAATCGCACCTTTCGAACTCCCCAAAAGAATAGGTTAATGCTTAGTGATGAATATTCCATCAAAATATATTTATTGAGCATCTCCCATTTGTCACCACTGAATTTGCAGAAGTAGAATTTAAAAAGTAAAGGTTTTAATAACTGAAATGTCCTATATTTCAAGTCCTATCCTCTTGGTTTCTCTCTCTCTCTTTAATTAATTAATTAATTTTTTCTTTTTTAAAAAAATAGAGATGGGGTCTTGCTATGTCACCCAGGCTGGTCTTGAACACCTGGCCTCAAACAGTCCTCCTGCCTCAGCCTCCCAAATTGCTGGGATTACAGGCATGAGCCACTACACCTGTCCTTGTTCCTCTCAACACACTTGAATTGATCAGACTTCAGCATTCAAACTGTCAAAATCAATTTACAAAATTCAAAGAATTCGTCAACAGTAGCACACTTCTCCCCAAAGATGCTCTTATACAATAAGCTCCCCCATGACCAGATGTACAGGCACAATGATTCCCATAATTTCTGAGGCAGCATTCACATCACATCTGCAAAGAACAAACAGTAGCTCTTGAATCCGAGAGAGCTAAAAAGTGAATGCAGCTGCTTGGTTTCCAACTAGCAAGAACTCAGAAGCTGAAATAATCCAAATGACTGGTATAGTTAAACAGGGTAACAAATGCAATGGAAACTTTGAGCCATACATTTTCCAGACCTTGATAGGAACCTGAGAAATAACCTCTCTGCTTAGAGAGCCCTCAGAAACCCCTGCTTTCATTTTATGTTTCATGGGGGTTAATTTTTCTTTCTACCACTACACAGATCTCTTATTGCAGAGCAAAAGAGCCAGGGCAATCACCAGCTTCAGGGAGAATTTAAAAGGATAAAAATTAAACTCTGCTACTGGATGATTCTCTTTATAATACTGAAGCCACAATACATTACTAAATAGCACAAATAAAGCATACTCTGATATTCTGCATTCCTTTCACTCCACCCACCCATCACCTCCACCAAAAAAAAAAAAAAAATTAAAAACAGGTTGAGCCACACACAGTATATTTGACTTGAAAGTTTCGATGACACAGCAGCTTACTCTTGCAAATTACTGGCAAATTTAACAGTGACTTAAAATACAGTTATAGGAAAAATAGACTAATCTAAGGGTAGAAAGGCAGGGAGGCAGAAAAACCCAAGCACCTTTTTAGAAAGACAACAAATATATTCAGGTACAAGATCTGCATCAGAAACAGTTTTCTTTCTTTTTCTTTGGTAAATGTAAAGACTTATCCTGAAGAGATTTTCTCAATCCCTGGCCCAGCTTCCACCCATGTTTCTGGAGTAAGCAGTGTCCAATATTATCCTGACAGACAAAACATAGAGACAAACCAAAAATATTCCAATAGTATATTCTTCCCTGCCTAGTGACACTTAAACAGATGATGAGCAAGCGATAATTCTACATATATGCATGCAAAAAGGTGCTAATAATAGCGTAAATGTGTCCAATAAGAGGGACACTAATGTAAAAAGAAAAGCTGGCTAGTATTTTATATGGGAAGAACATATAGGATAAAGGTCCTTTCTGATGGTGTGCTGGGCAACTTTCGTACATAACATTTTAAAATGGAGAAAAAGGGGAAAGGGAAAAGGGGAAGAATACATTTATGAAGTTTTAAAGTAACATTAAAAAGCATAAAATAGGCCAGACGCGGTGGCTCACCCTATAATCTCAGCACCTTGGGAGGCCGAGGTGGGCAGATCACCTGAGGTCAGGAGTTCAAGACCAGCCTGACCAACATGGTGAAACTCTGTCTCTACAAAAATACAAAAATTAACCGAGCATGATGGCAGGTGCCTGTAATCCTAGCTACTCAGGAGGCTGAGGCACAAGAATTGCTGGAACCCCAGAGGCGGAGGTTGCAGTGAGCCGAGATCGTGCCATTGCACTCCAGTTTGGGGACAGAGCAAGACTCCGTCTCAAAAAAAACATAAAATCAAAGTACGTATACAGTCATATCTACCACCTAAACAGCACCACTTTAAGATTCTTTTTTAAAGATAATATACATTGTGTTTAGTTGTTTTATGTGTCAGGCTTTCATGATACAAAGTAAGTTGTAAATGTAAGACTGTCCCACCACTAGAAATGAAAAAAACAATCAGAGCAAAATCCAGGCTAGACTTGATTGGTTTTAGAAAAGTGTGTGTATATATATATATATACATATATATATATACACACACATACATATATATACACACACACATATATATACACACACACATATATAAAATATATATGTATATAATCCCAGCTACTTAGGAGGCTGAGGCAGGAGAATTGCTTGGCCCCAGGGGGCAGAGGTTGCAGTGAGGCAAGATGTCGCCACTGCACTCCAGCCTGGGCGACAAAGCGAGACTCCCTCTCAAAAAATAAATAAATAAATAAATAAAAAGAACCATTAGTGCACGTAGTGGGGAGAAACCAACATACATAATGTCTCATCTTCCCAGGAGCACACTGGAAAAGGTATTCCAATGTAAACTACATGAAAAAAAATGCTAAAAACAATGATTAAATGTCAGCTTTTGTTTAAGGGGTCAAGCTATCAGAAACATCTGCAGCTCTTTGTCCAGTTGTTTGCTTTTTACAGTTATTGTGAAGTACGAAGACAAGGCTAAAATAAGCACTAACCGTATCAGAAAAAATGGTGCTATACATTCAAAGGAAAAGATTGAAAAATTCTAAACACAAGGTATTCTATATGTATTAAAATGTAATTTATAGTATTAATCTAGAAAAGATTAAAAGTCTCAATATAAGTAATGTTACCAGAAAACAAAGGTAAACCATTTGAAAATAATCTCATATTTCCTGAAATCAATTTATAAAGCTGACTAAACCACAAATTTCTGCATTAAAACCAAATATTGCACATTAAATTGTTTGTCTTACATCTCCATATTCAATGATAAAATGTTCTTTGGAGTCATTGAGGAAAGAAAAACATTGTTCTACTGTTATCTTCTCTAACTAGAAGTCAGAAGAAAATTAAGCCTTCCAAATGCTCAGTTGTGTTTTGTTTTTAAAGGACAATTTCCTTCTTAAATTTATAATAGCATACAACCTACAAAACTGGGCTAAGCAGCTGATTATTTCTTTGATGGGGGAAAATCAGGACACTTTTTTTTTTTTTTTTGATACAGGTTATTGCTCTCTTGCCCAGGCTGGTGTACAGTGGTACAATTACAGCTAACTGCAGCCTTGACCTTCCGGGCTCAAGCAATCCTCCCACCTCAGCCTCACGAGTAGCTGGAATTACAGGCACACATGGCCTTGGCTGGCTACTTTTTACATTTTTGTAGAGACAAGGTTTCATTATGTTGCCCAGGATGATCTAGAACTCCTGAGCTCAAGTGATCCTCCCTCCTCAGCCTCCCAAAGTCCTGGGATTACAGGCATTAGCCCCGGATACTTCTTAAAAAACAAAAACTGGAGGCAAACTATAATGAAAAATTGTTTCTAAAACAAAACATATATTGTTTTAAATATACATACATATATATATATATATGGTATCATTATGGTACACAAAAGTTTGCTGCAAGTTATTTTTGCTACATATGAACTGAAAGAATTAGAAACACTACTGATGCCAAGTGCTGACTTCCACATTACTATACATCACGAAAACTTAATATAACACTACTGCTGCTGAGGCTTCTTCCCTTCTCCCCTCCCAAATGAACTGCCAGGAAAAGCATTCCCTTACCCAGTGCTCAGCATCTATTTATAACTTTCTTACCCCCCAAAAAAAAAAGATTAAAAGTCTCAATATAAGTAATGTTTGCAGAAAACAAAGGTAAACAGGCCCTTATTTTACTACTATGAAAACAAACTTACCTGTGCAGAAAATCCTTATTTCATATCATAATTCCTACAACTGAATAATTCTAGAAAGGGCAAGGATAGCAGAATGACTCTAAGAGTATATGGTTGATTATTGTTTAATCTCTCTCTCTCTCTCTTTTTTTTTTTTTTTGAGACTGAGTCTCACTCTATCGCCTAGGCTGGAGTGCAGTAACTCACTGCAACCTCCACCTCCTGGGTTCAAGGGACTCTTGTGCCTCAGCCTCCTGAGTAGCTGGGATTACAGGCGCCCACCACTATGCCCAGCTAATTTTTGTATTTTTAGTAGAGAAGACATTTCACCAAGTTGGCCAGGCTGGTCTCGAACTCCTGACCTCAACTGATCCGCCTGCCTCGGCCTCCCAAAGTGCTGGTATTACAGGTGTGAGCCACCTGCCCGGCCTTGTTTAATCTCTTAATAGACTCATGTTGTAACTATATTTGGCACCAAGATTTAGGTATTAAACAATGCTGACAAAAATTGTTCCTCCCTCCCATTTTGTTGTTGTCATTATTTTTTTTTAAAGGAAACTCAATCTTTGGCTAAGTGGAGATGAGACATTATGCTGACTGTGTTATATTATGAATGCACTAAAATAAACATGCAAATGAAGCAGTACACTATTTCCGAAAGCAGTCCAAGTGGAGTGAGAGCATTTCCATACAAACCTGGCTTTCAAAACTGGGCTGTCAAAAGAACAGTTAAATGTAACACAAAGTGGGCCGGGCGCGGTGGCTGACGCCTGTAATCCCAGCACTTTGGGAGGCCGAGGCAGGCAGATCACGAGGCCAGGAAATCGAGACCATCCTGACTAACACGGTGAAAACCCATCTCTACTAAAAATACAAAAAATTAGCCAGGCGCGGTGGCAGGCGCCTGTAGTCCCAGCTACTCAGGAGGCTGAGGCAGGAGAATGGTGTGAACCCGGGAGGCAGAGCTTGCAGTGAGCCGAGATCACGCCTGGGCGACAGAGCGAGACTCTGTCTCAAAATAAATAAATAAATAAATGTAACACAAAGTAAGAAACTGTCCAATCACAGTTGATTGATGGTCTTTTTTTTAAATCTTGTTTTCAATTCACTGCTTGCAAGTAATGTATGTATTAAAGAAGAGTGAAAGCATAAGTAAATTCACAAGTCAAGGCCAGCTGAGAGATTCAAGAGCAGCGTGTTGTGACTGACAACAGTGAAAGGAAAAGCAAATGTTAAAGGGAGAAGGAGAAAACCGAAAAAATTTAAGTTACACACATTAGCGCCATTTTTACAAAACCACTCAAGAGGATGCTGTCACCTTCTCAGAAAAAAAAATGGTAGTGGCATTTTTCTTCAAAAACTTTAGGTTAAAACTGTTATTTAATTAAATCTACTTTCTCAGGGACTATAATAAAATAGTGAATAGGCCACTCTAAGTCTTTCCAATCATAACAAAGGCAACAGAAACAATAGACACTTCTCCCAGTATCCCCTCCCCTCACCAACCTCCCAGGGCAAGTGAATGACCAACACAGAAAACCTGGAACTTTCCTATCATTTCAAACTACCTGCTTTGGGAGGAAAAGAGGCAGCCCTGTGACTCTGCAGGAAGGGCTAGTATTCAGTCTGGTCCCCTTTCCCACCAATAAAAGAAAAACGGTTCTATAAACACTTGTCAAAGTCCAATAGGCTTAGGGTAAGGTTTTATAAACATTCATCAAAAATCCAATAGGCTTAAGGATGATGGGTAACACAAGGAGGCACATCAAAATAACTTATAACAAAGTAAAAACAAACCAGACTTGTCTATCTCTGAAATGATCAAAACTTTCTCTGTGAAAGAACAAGAAATTCAATAACCAGTCTGTGAGAAACAAGCAATCTATTCTCTCTGTTTAGTACTGTGATTTTTTCAATTATTCCCATGGATGCTTTTTTTTTTTTTTTTTTTTGTGAGATTGAGTCTCACTGTCACCCAGGCTGGAGTGCACTGGCACGATCTCAGCTCACTGCAACTTCTGCCTCCTGGGTAGCTGTGACTAGAGGCACGTGCCATCATGCCTGGCCAATCGTTTTTTGTATTTTTAGTAGAGGAGGGTTTCCCCATGTTGGCCAGGCTGATCTTGAACTCCTGACCTCAAGTGATCCGCCCGCTCAGCCTCCCAGTGTTGGGATTACAGGCCTAAGCCACCGCGCCTGGTCCATGGATGCTACTTTTTAATTTTATTTAATTTTATTTTTTGAGACGGAGTCTTGCTCTGTTGCCCAGGCTGGAGTGCAGTGGTGTGATCTCGGCTCACTGCAACCTCTGCTTCCCTAGTTCAAGCGATTATCCTGCCTCAGCCTCCTGAGACCCTGGGATTACAGGCACGTGCCACCACGCCCAGCTAATTTTTGTATTTTTAGTAGAGACAGGGTTTCACCATGTTGGTCAGGCTGGTCTCAAACTCCTGACCTCATGATCTGCCTGCCTCAGCCTCCCAAAGTGCTGGGATTATATTACAGGCCTGAGCCACCACACCCGGCCCATGGATGCTATTTATAACACTAAGTTGGTACAACTAGCTTATGGCTCAAACATGTAATCTAGACAGAACAAGAGCAATGAATACTAAATTTCTTTCTTACCTTTTCTTTTTTTTTTTTTTGAGACAGGGTCTTGCTCTGTCACCCAGGCTGGGGTGCAGTGGCACAGTCACACAGCTCCTGCATCCTTGACCTGCCGGGCTCCCACGCCCAGCCAATTTATTTCTAAACTAGTAATTATTTTGAAAAATAATTTTTTAAAAAGTAACTCTTTACTTAGTTTCAGTTACTATAATAATGACTAAAAATCTTTTGGCTTTTTTTTAAAAAATATATATAATTTGGGGTTTAATTATAATCTCATAGAACCAAAAATAAATTATAGAAACTTTTTAAAAACTGTCGGCCGGGTGCGGTGGCTCACACCTGTAATCCCAGCACTTTGGGAGGCTGAGGTGGGCGGATCACCTGAGGTCAGGAGTTCGAGACCAGCCTGGCCAACATATAGCAAAACCCCGTCTCTACTAAAAATACAATAATGAGCTGGGCATAGTGGCGCACGCCTGTAGTCCCAGCTACTTGGGAAGCTGAGGCAGGAGAATCACTTGAACCCAGAAGAAAGAGGTTGCAGTGAGCTGAAATCATGCCACTGCACTGTAGCCTGGGTGACAGAGCAGGACTCCGTCTCTCAAAAGACACACACACACACACACACACACACACACACACACACACACACAACTGCGTGGTTTACAACAAACAAGCATGATACAAGTAGGCTGCTTATAATTTTTTTTTCTTCTCAAGAGTTAACTTGATATAATTTAAATGGACATGGAAGAATTGCAAAGGAATCCTAACTTTTAATTAATAAGGCAACTGAATTTTGACAAAGGGTAATAAGCAAAAAGCTGGTTTTCTACATAATTCAGAGTTCTCACAAACCACCTATTTGTTTTCTCTCTCTGCTCAAGACCCCAAAATGGTGGCTGTGTGGCCTGTTCTTTGGTTGGAAATTAAGTTCTTCTAATTGGGAGGCTGAGGCACGAGAATCGCTTGAACCTGGGAGGTGGAGGTTGCGGTGAGCTGAGATCGCACCACTGCACTCCAGCCTGGGCAATCGTTTGAGACTCTGGCTCAAGAAAAAAAAAAAAGTTAAAAAAAAAAGAAGAACACTTAAAATTTTACTCCCAAATGATCAGGCAACAGAAATAAGATTCCTCTTATCTTGTGTGTACTACTTCTTTTTCTCGTCTTACATATTTGTTTATTCTCCCATATCCTGTGTCCTACTTCTATCTAACACAATGTAGGCTACGAAGCTCCTCCTCCTCCTCCCTAAACTACCACATCACAAATAATACATATATTTATGTATTTCGGAAGTAAATTTTCATTAGAAGTATAATTATTAATATACATTTCTGAACATGCATTTATTTATTTAAAAAAATTAAATATCCAGCCTGAGTACTATGTACTATTTGCTATTTTAAGTAAAGAAGGTAGCACTATTTAATAAATAAGGCATATATCAATTCTACTCCTATTCATTGAGATTATTCAACAATGATTACTCAATTAGACTGCCTCTGATAGTGTTCTCCCTATGATGTGTGCTAGAAAAAATCCTGGACATTGTGAGAGGTAAAATAGCATCAGTCTCATGTGCCACAGGAATAAATTTTCCAAAAATCTTTTAAGACTTCAGCCTCCAAGAAGGCTTAAAAATGTTAAATATCATTTAATTTAGTGGTTTAAAAAAAATCTTTGTTGTGTGTAGTAATGATGAATACTAGGTTGCAAATTTCATTTAATTAAATTTCCTGCTACTGTTGAGTACCCACAGAATTATAGCTTGTGTAAGGATATTAACCAACCATGCACCTTGTAGAATATGGTACTGGGAGGTTGATTCTGATAGCTCTGATCTGAAACTTTGACCCCCCCCACCCCGAGTTTTAAAATTAAAATGGAAAAATTATTTTTCAAATACAAGATACTGATCTAGCCTACAGATTTCATTATTGTGATAATCCCCAAAATAATACAGAACAAGACACAAACCAGTGATTTTTAGCTTAGCAAAGTGAGCTTGGCATTTTATCCTTATGTCAAAACACAAGACTAGGCTTTCAGTGAAACAGCAGATGAGAATTCTCCCTCTGCAGTATTATCACATGCACCATCAATTACTGCCATGCCTAAGTCTAGCATCATGCCAGCACATTAAGATAGAAGGTACTCTATGCAGTTTTCACTGGACCAGAAGGACAGAAATAAGAAAGGGAGGTGGAGTCCAGGCGTGGTGGCTCATGCCTGTAATCCTGGCACTTTGGGAGGCCCAGGCAGGGGGATCACCCAAGGTCAAGAGTTCGAGACCAGCCTGGCCAACATGGTGAAACCTCATCTCTGTTAAAAATACAAAAATTAGCCGGGGCATGGTGGTGGGTGCCTGTAATCCCAGCTACTCAGGAGGCTGAGGCAGGAGAATCGCTTGAACCCAGGAGGCAGAGGTTGCAGTGAGCCAAGATTGCACCACTGGGTGACAGAGCAAAAGCTGTCTCAAAAACAACAACAACAACAACAACAACAACAACAACAAAAACGGGCGGGGAGCGAGGGAGATGGAGAGAAAGAAGAGAAGAAATTTTAAAAAGGCAGACTGTGCAAAACAAACCAGATCATGGCTGCTTAGCTAATATGGGCCAACTGCTATGGAAGAAAAATGTTGTACACCCCAAGTTGTGTAAGTTTCTATAAACATCTAAACACACACACAAACACACAAAACACCAACCTAATTAGGAACATTAATATATGTTGATCCTTTACTATGTTACAGTTTTGAAAATAAAAGCTAAAGTTAAACTATCTGCACTCTCTAAATTGCCTTATTTTCCTAAGAAGCTAGTGTTTCTTAAGAGGAAGAGGGCTTGTCATGATGGTTATAATGATTAAGATTCCCTCTTTGACCTTTTTTCCCCACTCAAGTTTTACCAATAACTCACTGAAACCCTTATTAAATATGTGCACTTAAGCACAAACAGTAAATGCCAATGATAATGACAATTTCATTTTAACAATGGATGTGTTATTTAAAAATAATGTTTTTCAAAATAAAAATAATGTTAAAAAATTTAGACTTTTTTTTTTTGAGATAGAGTTTCATTCTTGTTGCCCACGTTGGAGTGCAATGGTGTGGTGTCAGCTCACTGCAACCTCCAGCTCCTGGTTTCAAGGGATTCTCCTGCCTCGGCCTCCCAAGTAGCTGGGATTACAGGCGCCCGCCACCATGCTCGGTTAATTTTTTTGTATTTTTAGTAGAGACGGGGTTTCACCATGTTGGCCAGGTTGGTCTTGAACTCGTAACCTCAAGTGATCCACCCACCTCAGCCTCCCAAAGTGTTGGGATTACAGGTGTAAGCTACAGAACCCAGTCAAAGTTTTTTTTTGTTTTGTTTTTAAACTAAGAGCCAGGTAAATAAATCTCCTTGTTCTATTGCTTGATATCATCAGTGTCTAAAACTAAGCAGTGTGAAAAGATAGAAATAATCAACTTTTGACAAAAACTAGACATTTCTTAAGCCACAGAGCCCAAACTTGCCATGTTTCACAAGAGTCTGATAAATAAAACTTATTACTCCTTAACTGTTTCTTCTCTTTTTTTCTTTCTTTTTTTTTCTTTTGAGAGGGAGATTCATTCTGTTGCTCAGGCTGGAGTGCAGTGGAACAATTTCGACTAACTGCAACCTCCACCTCCTGGGTTCAAGCAATTCTCGTTCCTCAGCTTCCAGAGTAGCTAGGATTACAGGGGTGTGCCACCACGCCCAGCTAATTTTTATATTTTTGTAGAGATGGGGTTCACCACGTTGGCCAGGCTGCTCTCAAATTCCCGACCTCAGGTGATCCGCCCACCTCGACCCCCCAAAGTGCTGCAATACAGGCATGAGCCACTGCACCCAGCCCTTAACTGTTTCTAATGGAACTTAAAATTTTTTTTTCCATATTCTACTTATGTAGGAACATTTCATACATAATTATGTTGCTCAGGAAAGGTGAATCTATAAAGGATCAAAATACATTTTACTCCTTTATTCAATTCACAAAATGCTAAACTTTAACTTGTTACCTTCAACAAAATATTAGTATGGGCCAAAAAGATGTTTTTCCCCCATCAAAATTCTAATGTGTTTTTAGATTGTTTTGGACCGATTTCCCAACATATTAAATATTAGATTACATCCCAAACTCTATCTGGTTACTGTATGGCATGGAAGAAAACAACTCTAAACTGTATTGGTTATTAATAAGTTTAACTTCATTCACATTAAGTGTCACACAAACACTACCTACCTAACTGGCTAAGACCCGAAATTAAGCAATGATCCATCTTATGGATTCTGTAGGCTTGTCAAGTGATGCTTGTTCAGTTTCCAAGTGTCCTTCGTCATGTTGATCAAAGTGATTACCCTGAAAAAAGGATGATCACAGCTATTTTTCAAGAGCAATAAATGTCAAATTTATTAACAGCCTAACCAAACTAAGAGTTATTTTTAAGTTTGTTTTTTTGTTGTTGTTGTTTTTTTTTTTTTTTACCTAAAAGGAGACTGCAATCATTCTTTTTCAGTAGACAATCAAAACCACACCACAAATTCCAACTTTAAAAAATTTATAAAAACGTATTAGGGCTGGGCACAGTGGCTCACGCCTGTAATCCCAGCACTTTGGGAGGCCGAGGCAGGAAGATCACTCGAACCCAAGAGTTCAAAACCAGCCTGGGCAACACAGTGAAAACCTGTTTCTGGAAAAAAAAAATTAATTAGCCACACATGGTGGTGTGAGCCTGTAGCCCCAGCTATTCAGGAGGCTGAGGTGGGAGGATCACTTGAACCCAGGAGGTCGAGGCTGCAGTGAGCTGTCATCAAGCCACTGCACTCCAAGCCTGGGTGACAGAACGAGACCCTATTTCAAACAAAACAAAACACAATTTATTAGGAATCTAGGCCCAGTAATCTGAACTTTTCTTCTAACAAATGTTGAAATTGTAAACTAAAACACTATCAACCATTTGGGACACCAATTGTCTTAGACTGACTACATTAGGAAGACTATGGACTCTTATGAGCTGCGGCAGAGCGCGACCCGTTCCCCCAGGGCCCTCCAAGCTCCTCCTGCCCGGGCCGGCAGGTGAGCTGGAGGCTCCGGGACAGGCGGCGCCCTCCGCCCTGCACACACCTAGGGCCCTGCTGTGACTGCCCCCTGGCCAGACCCAGGCCTTGAAGCGTCCCCACCCCATCTCGGTGACTGACGGCGGCATCGGCCTCTCTCAGCCGGGACCCCGCCCGGCCGCTGGATCTCCTGGCCCAAGCCTGCCGGGCCTCGACGAAACTCCACCAAGCCGCCGGCACGCAGCGCCTTTGGGTGGCAGCGGGAGTGGCGGGCCGGGAAGCCTGGCGGCCGCCCGAACACCACCCAACGGAGGACCTGAGGGTGCAGAGGTCCCGGGAAGGCGGCCTCGGGACGCAGGCAGGCTCGGCTGCCTGGTTAGGCCTCGGAGCCGCGCAAACCCGGTCCCCGTGACCGCTCTGTCCCCATTGGCTGAGACCACCTAGTCCTGACCTCAACGGACAAAGGCCTTAACTGGCCTAGAAGGAGAACGGAGTTCCGAACGACGACCGGTAGAACAGTTAGCGGCCATCGGGCGGTTGGTCTTAGTGCTACTAGACCTTGCTGCTGGAAGAGAGAAATAGTAGAATGACAGGCCATGTTTGGCCCGTTGGAAATGCCCACCACCCTTTGGGAAGATTTACTGGCCGTTTATAGAAGGCCTGTGTATATAATATGAAAAAGCTTCTCTCAACTCCACCCCAACCTTTTAATAGAAAATATTTGCCATATTTAGCCCTTCTATAGATGGAAAAAGCCACGCTGTTTTACTTTTATAAGCAATATTGCATTAAATTTTTAATAATGAAGAAAATCCTTCCTGGGTCGAGTGGGGACTTAGAGAACTTTTCTGTCTTACAAGAGGTTTGTAAAATGCACTCCCAGGCTTTTCAAGAAATTAAAAACAATCTCTTGACAGTTTCCAAAGCAACTATTCATCAAGATGATCTGCCTAGAGAGATAAACATACCCATATAATACTGTATTTGATCATAAGCAAGTTGTCACTGCAACTAAAATAAGTAAAAACAGTTTCAACAAATGATAGTTGCAGACAACTAAGAAGTTCTCTCTAATCATAGTTTTCACAGATCTCCCTGCTTCATTAGGAAGGAATAGCTCATAATTTGGTTCTAAATCAAAATGTCAATTTTCTGGTTCCCTTCTTGCAATACAGTATAGGGCATGAGGATTTGTGAGTCCCACAATGACCTAAGTCAAAAGACTAAAGACTTCAGTCTTTTGGTCTAGCCTAAATGAATTCAGTGTGTGGAATGATACGATAACCGGAATATTAACAAAAAGTTACTTTGCTTTCTCAAGGTAAAATTAAAATTCTAATTGAGGAATTGCACATGTACCCCAGAACTTAAAGTATAATAAAAAAAAAAAGGAAAAAAACTGGACTTCCCTGGGGAAAAATCCATTTGATGATGTGGCTTCATCGAGTATTCCTTTGTGAATTCCTGGATGAAATTTTCAAGGCAAACAGGAAAAGCACTGAAATTGCTGAATGGGTGAGCATTGTATGCCTGATTCATTAAATATATGCATTGGTAAATATATAAAAAAATTCTAATTGAATAAATAAAATTCAGTGATGGGGAACTCTAGCATGTAATTTGCCACATTGTATCATAAATGTTAAGTTTCTCTCACTAGACTCTGAAGTCCTCGAGGACAAGAACTAAGTCTTGTTTATCCTTTACAAACCTAATACTTAATATGGCAGCCAAACACTAGGGAACAATTAGGTGCTAACATTAAGTGGCAATGATGAACAAGTTCTAGAACAAGATGGTGGTGGTGATGGTCATACAATATTGTTAATGTACTTAATGCCACTAAACTATATACTTTTGCTTTAAGAGAAGGGGGTCTCGCTATGTTGCCCAGGCTGTCTTCAAACTCCTGGGCTCAAGGATCCCAGGCTCAGCCTCCTGACTAGCCGGAACTACGGGCTCCACTACACGTGGCTTGAATTATATACTTTAAAACAGTTAAAGTGATAAATTTTATTACGTGTATTTTACCACATAAAAATAATAAAAATAAAATTGTATGGCAAAGTCTATCCAAATGAAGAAAGGGGGAAAAAAGGAGAAAAATGGAATAGCAAGGGACAGGAGTATGTTTTCCAAAGACCAAAAAAAAATAAAAATTAAAAATAAAAAAATAAAAAAGGACTTATGAGTAGTTATTTCAGGAATAAGAAAAAGCACTCATCAACAAATGATTTTTAAAAAATTTAAAATAGCTATTAATCCTGAAAGTCTGTCTTAAATTAACCTCAATATTTTGTCCAATGATTTTTTTTAAATAACACCTGCTTCTTGGCATTTTAATTTCTACTACATTTAAAATTTTAAGTTAATTTAAAGGTGTTAATTGCAAAGTACTTCTAAATTACTAAATAATAAATATTCAAATACTGAGATTAGCTCAAACCTTATTATATTATAGAACACCAATGTACAGCCGAATATCAATTCTTTCACTCTACAGGTCTATACAATTTAATGATAAAAGAATAGACGAGGCACAGTGGCTCACGCCTGTAATTCTAGCACTTTGGGAGGCCGAAGTGGGAGCATTCATTGCTGGAGGCCAGGAAGTTGGACTTCAGCTTGGGCAACATAGCGAGACCTTGTCTCTACAAAAAAATTAGCTGGGTGTGGTGGCATGTGCCTGTATTCCTAGTCCTATAGTCCTAGCTACTCGGGAGGCTGAGGCTCCTGCCTCACTTCAGCCCAGGGGTTCAAGACTGCAGTGAGCTGATGAAGCCACTGCACTCAGGCCTAGGTGGCAAACCAAGAGTCTGTCAAAAAAAAAAATCCATCCTAAAAACAATAATTGTGTACTACTTTTTAAAAAGTAATTAAACCTTTAGTTTGTTTAGAGACAGAGTCTCTCTCTGCTACCCAGGCTGGAGTGCAGTGGGGCCATCATAGCTTACTGTAACCTTGAACTCCTGGGCTCAAGCAATCCTTCCACCTCAGCTAGGACAACAGGAATGTACCACCATGCCTGGATATGTTCTTGATTTTTTTTTTTTTTTTTTTTTGAGATGGAGTCTTGCTCCATCACCCAGGCTGGAGTGCAGTGGCGCGATCTCGGCTCACTGCATCCTCCACCAACTGGGTTCAAGCAACTCTCCTGCCTCAGCCTCCTGAGTAACTGGGATCACAGGCATGCGCCACCACAGCCAACTACTTTTTTTTCTTTTCTCTTTTTTTTTTTTTTTTTTTTTGGCCAGGCTTGTCTCAAACTCTTGATCTCAGGTGATCCGCCCACCTCAGCCTCACAGAGTGCTGGGATTACAGGCCTGAGCCACCGCACCCGACCTGTTTTTGATTTTTGTAGAGCGGTCTCACTCTGTTGCCCAGATGGTCTCAAACTCCTGGGCTCAAGTGATCCTCCTGCCTCTGCCTCTCAAAATTCTGGGATTACAGATATAAGCCATCAAGTCTGGCCTAGAATATTTAACTTAGGACAACTACGTGATGGTTTTTAAACAAAAAGAGAACTGCCCCCAAATGTATCACTATCAAAGATGATATAAAGCACAAACAGATTATTAGAGAACTACCAAGTAATTCTACAAAAAAGAAAATGGGCATCTTCTAGGAAAAACCATTTCAGCTCATCCCTACTGCATGAAAAATCACACAAGTTTTTCCAAACAGATAATGAGTCATTAGCAAAATCTTCTTTTAATCTTAGGCTTAAAGTTATTTTAGAAAACCCTTCTGTAGATTACAAACTACTGTCAGCAAATGCCAGGTTCCAAATAAGACACTTAACAAACTTCTAAATTTGTTAGCTAATTAACTTTTCAAATCATTCTGGATCTGTCAGATGCAATACAAATCAGGATTAATAATATAGTTTTAGAGTTTTAGTCCAAAAAAAGACCCACACATCTATGATTAATCTTCAACAAAAGTACAAAGAGAATTCAACAGAGAAATGATAGTGTTTTCAATAAACGACACTAGAACTCGGTGTCCATATGCAAAACAAAAAAAGAGCCTCAATCCATACTTTGAATCATAATAAAAAATTAACTTAAAATGCGCTACAGACCTAAATGTAAAACTGAAAATGAAATATTCTAAAAGAAAAATACAGAAGAAAATCTTTGCGACCACAGGCTAGACAAATATTTTCTTAGAGACAGCCCAAAAGCACAATATATGAAATAAAAAATTCATAAGCTGGACTAGGAGAAAATATTTACAAAGCTTATTCCTTTAAAAAAAAATGTGTTGATTCCTGGCTAACACAGTAAAACCCCGTCTCTACTAAAAATACAAAAAATTAGCCGGGCGTGGTTGCAGGTGCCTGTAGTCCCAGCTACTCGGGAGGCTGAGGCAGGAGAATGGCCTGAACCCGGGAGACGGAGCTTGCAGTGAGCCTAGATTGCACCACTGCACTCCAGCCTGGGCGACAGAGCTAGACTCCATCTCAAAAAAAAAAAAAAAAAGTGTTGATTTAGAGTAACTAAGGCTCACCCAGGCTACAAGGCAGTGGCACAATCACAGCTCACTGCAGCTTCTACTTCCTGGGCTCAATTATTCTTCTGACTCAGCCTCCCAGGTAGCTGTGGGACTACAGGTGTGCACTAGCACATCTGGCTAATTTTTGTTCTTTTTGGTGTGTGCGTGTGTGGCTTTTTTTTGGGGGGGGGGGTGGGGTAGAAACAGGGTTTTGCCATGTTGCCTATGTAAATGAAATGAGAAGAGGCTGGTTCATACAAGACAATTTTTATTTTATTCAAGTTAACCACGGTAAAGACTGAGTTCTTTCACATCCTTGCTCTTGTCCACTCCTCTCTCTCCATTTTTTCCATTTCTTTTCTTTTCTTTTTTCTTTTTTTTTTTTTAACAGCGTGTGTTACCCAGGCTGTTTTCAAACTCTTGGGCCCAAGCAGTCCTGGTGCCTCAGCCTCCAGAGTAGCTGGGATTACAGGCCCACAGTCTTTTAAAGGTAATTAGCACTGTTAAAATTATGCCCATTAAGGACATTTTTTTGTAAGATGCTTTTCTTGAGACATTTTTGTTAGACTGAACACACAGGCAGAACTTAAAAAAAAATTTTTTTTTGTAAGAACTTTAATCTTACCTCTAGATACATTATCTAGTCTGACAGCCTGGTCACAGGTGAGGAAAGGTTGTGCTAGCAATGTCTTTAATTTTTTAGTACATTGTGGCCCCTTTTATTAAAATATACTATTAAACACAAATAATACAAATGTAAAACAGATGTTGTTAAAAGTTCACGCTACACTGTAACAAGTAAAAACTGAAAGAAAGCCCTCCTTTCTCCTCTGTTTCATTTCTTAGAGGTAACCATTGTTTTCAATTTGTTACCAGTTTTTTAGTAAAGTTTTAAAATTTTAAAATACACATGCTGTTTGGAAGATGTGCTTCAGAAATATTGCATATGAGTTTATTGTAATTATTAACTTTTGTTTTGTTTACTTTTATATAAATAGACTTTATTTTTTTCAAGTAGCTTTAGGTTCACAGCAAATTTGAGCTGAAAGTAAAGACATGGCCTCCTACACATTTGTTATAATACATTTGTTACAATAGATGAAAGGTCCACTTCTGGTGTAGTTCTATGCATTTTGGAAAATGTATAGTGACATTTATCTATCATTATAGTATCATAGAGAATAATTTCACTGCTCAAAAAATCCCCAGTGTCACCTGTTCATCCCTTTACTTTCTTCCCTTCAAATTCCTGGCAAGTACTGATCTTTTTACTGTTTCCGTAGTTTTGCCTTTTCTAGGATGCCATATATTTCCAATCGTTATGTAGCCTTTTCAGATTGGCTTCTTTCACATACTGCTGAATATGTATCCAAGATTCCTCCATGTCTCTCCTGGCTTGATAGCTCATTTCTTTTTAGCCATAAATAATACTCCACTGTCTGGCATATCACAGTTTGCTTATCTATTCACCTACCAAAGGACACCTGAATTGCTGCCAAGTTTTGGCAATTATGAATAAAGAATGCTATAAATATTGGTGTTTTGGTTTTTGGGTAGACATAAATTTTCAGCTCCTTTAGTTAAATACTAAGGAGTGTGATTGCTGGATTGAACGGTAAAAATAGGTTTAACTTCGTAAGAAACTGCCAAAGTGTCTTGTCTTCCCTTTGACAGTGTCTTTTGCAGAGTAGAAGTTTTAAATTTTAATAAAGTCTAACTTACCAATTCCTTCTTTCATGGGTGTGCCTTTGGTTTTCCAATTAAAAAGTCATCACTAACCCCAGTGACACCTAGTATTTTGTTTGCTTTTACTTGGTGTTCGTGTCATTGTGATGAGACTACATTTATTTTAGCAGTAGGAGGAAAAAGTTTTGTGCTTCACTACCAGGGATTACTATGATTGTTGTGATACTGTGATTGTTTACTTTTGTGGGAGTTGATGGTGTTTATGTTTTTGCATTAACGTTAAAGAAATCAATTAGCCTTTTTAATAGGGTAACTTTAATTCAGCTTAAATCTGCAAATTTGTGGGATTTTAGACCAAGAAATGGCCTGAAAGAGTGTCTAGTTCAAGTTCATTTTACAAATGAAGGTACAAAGAATGAGGAATATGACATGATTTGCATGAGGTCATACAGTGAATTATTAATGAAGACAGGACTTAGAATTGCTGATAACCATTTTAAAGAACTGAAAGATGTATTGATAATTTTTCTTGTATAATAAATAATTTTGATGATGTGTTTATTTCTTATTCTTTTTGACTTGGTGTTGTGGCTCCTAATTTTTAAAAGGGTAAGTTTTAAAACAGTGAAAAATATAAACAGTTTTTATACTTTTCAAGGAATCTACGATCTAGTGGGAAATATGTCCAGAGACATGGGCTCCAATCAGTGTTGCTCAGTGGAAAGGGACAAACTTTCGGAAACAGGTTCAGAGGATGTAACAGTGCCACCAAATAGAGGCAATTGGGGGCGGGGGTAGGGTGGCCTTCAGCCAAATAGTAAAATACATAGAGATGGGGGAGGTAAGCAGGGGTGGGGTGAGAAGGGTGGGTGCATTTTAAGTAGACAGAAAAGTGAAGCAAAAGTTGAGAGGTGAAGAAAGAGCTTTGTACAGTTGCTGCCAAAGAGGCAAGTGGCCAATTTGGCATGGCCTGCTCCAAGTACCTTTCAGCTGGGGTTACAATGCTAGAATTCGCTTTCTGCCATCATTGGGTCCACTGTTAGGCTAATGGTGTTTGTCTTGTCACAATATAAATACTTTTTTAAAGGCACTAAACATTGTTCTCATAAGGACAGGGTCATTCTTTCCACACTGTTGTCTTCCTCAGTTGACCTCTCTTAGAGCCATTTGCATTCTAAGACTTATCTGACCTCATCAAATTAAGAGCTATGGTCCCCTACTAAAGAAATTTCAAACAGCTGGACAGAATGTTTTTGGACAGAGGAACCATCCACTGAAAGTGCTTGGCCTTGAAAATCTTTATAGGTAACAAATTTGGCTAGGTGACATTTGGGGTTTTTTGTTTTGAGGCAGGGTCTCACTCTGTTACCCAGGCAGGAGTGTAGTAGTGTGATCACTCCTGGGTTCAAACCATCCTCCCACCTCAGCCTCTTGAGTAGCTGGGACTATAGGTGCGTACCACCACATCGGCTAATTTTTGTTATAGAAATGGGGGTCTCACTATGTTGCCAGGGCTGGATGAGATGTTTTCTGAGAAACTGTCACATTGACACCTGTACTTACCACATTTCCTGGACAAATCCTAGCCCACACTCCTCCGGCCCCATTGCCCTCCAGCAAGCAGTTATAATTAAGTTCTACAGGGAACTTAATTATAACTTCCTAAGGGAAGGGGAAGCTGGGTGGAGCGCAGAGCACACACCTAACCCACCCCAAGGTAAATTAAAAGGATATGGTACCACCATATCCTTAAAGCCATAATGGATGGAGGGTGGGAGCAGTGCTGCCAGGCCTCTCCAGCTGTGTAGTGTGCCAACCTAGCCAGACCTCTCCTGGGCCCTGGGTTTGGTCTGAAGACCCTGTGCGGGAAGGCACTGCTCTGCCCTAGGGATAGAAGACTTGGCCTGGGGCTGGGCGTTAGGATACCAGGGTTCCAGTCCCTGCCTTGTCACTCACTTTGTGACCTCGGACAAACACCTCTCTGAGTCTCAGTTTCCTCATGAGGTGTTAGGCCCTAGATATCTACAAAGGCCCTCCCAGCTCTTCATGTTCCATTTTTTTTTTTTTTTTTTTGAGACGGAGTCTCACTCTGTCACTCAGGCTAGAGTGCAGTGGTGCGATCCTGGCTCATTGCAACCTCCACCTCCCAGGTTCAAGTGATTCTCCTGCCTCAGCTTCCCATGTAGCTAGGACTACAGGTGCACGCCACTATGCCTGGCTAATTTTTGTATTTTTAGTAGAGATGGATTTTCACCATGTTGGCCAGGCCAGTCTTGAACTCCTGACCTCAGGTGATCCACCCACCTCAGCCTCCTAAAGTGCTGGGATTACAGTCCTGAGTCACCATGCCCAGCCTTTTTTTTTTTTCTGAGACAGAGTTTTGTTCTGTCGCCCAGGCTGGAGTGCAATGGTGCTATCATGACTCTGCAACCTCTGCCTCCTAGGTTCAAGTGATTCTCCTGCCTCAGTCTCCTGAGTAGCGGGGACTGTAGGTGTGCACCACCATGCCTGGCTAACTTTTGTACTTTTAGTAGAGTTTGGGTTTCACCATGTTGGTGAGGCTGGTCTGGAACTCCTGACCTCAGGTAATCCACCTGCCTTGGCCTCTGCTGGGATTACACGTGTGAACCATTGCGCCCAGCCTTCATGTTCTCATTCAAGTGAATGGTTTGGAGAAGTGAGAGAGGAGCTGTATACAAAAGTCCCCCTTATCCGTGGGGGAACATGTTCCAAGACCCCCAGTGGAGGCCTGAAACCATAGGTAGTACTGAACCATATTGTTTTTTCCTATACATACAAACCTATGATAAAGTTTAATTTATAAATCAAGCACAGTAAGACATTAACAATAAAATAGAACAAGTATAACAATATACTGTAATAAATAGTATGTGAATGTGCTCTCTCTCAAAATATCTTACTGTTCTCTAGATCTTAGCAACCTCAGCATTATTTCCTAAATCAAAAATCTTCACCTTTTCACATAAAGGAACTTTATGGTTTCTCATTGGCATATCCGAATTGTCACATCGCTACCATTGCACTTTAGGGCCTTTGAGAGGGGTCTCACTGTTGTGGAGGCTGGAGTGCAGTGAGGTGATCACAGCTCACTGCTGCCTCAAACTCCTGGGCTCAAGAGATCCTCCCACCTCAGCCTCCTAAGTAGCTGGGACTACAGGCAAGCCACCATGCCCAGCTAATTTTTTTTTAAGAGATGGGGTCTTGCTATGTTGCCCAGGCTGGTCTTAAACTCCTGGCCTCAAGGGGTCCTCCTGCCTCGGCCTCCCAAAGTGATTACAGGTATGAGCCACCACACCTGGCCCACTATTAAATAACATAAGGCTTACTTGAACACAAGCACCGTGATAACTCAATGGTCAATTTGATAACCAAGATGGCTACTAAGTGACTAACAGGAGTAGTTAGTCTGGGAACAGAGTGGAGTCTGAGAAAGAGCAAACTGCCTTTAAAGATTTATGGTGTGAACAAAATGGGCTCTCTCCTCAGGTGACCTAAGGTTTCCCAGGCATTGACTTTTTTTTTTTTTCCTGGAAAAAAAGCAGCAGCTAATTCTGAGTCCTCCCTCCTGAGCCCCTGGTAGAGTGTTCTCTCCATGGAGCCCGGCTCCCCCCTCGGAGCAGGACAAACAGCCCTGAACACCCCTGCCTCCCTGTGGCTGCCGGCTCTGTGGTCCTGGGCAAGGCTGACCTGAGACTTGGGGGACGCCAGAACTGTGTGCCCTCACGATGCTCAGCCACCCATGCTGTTCATCCCCTGCTCCCCACCCAAAGACCTCCACATTTCTCCTACTGTCTCCTTCCAACCTGCTCCTCCTCCTCTCCAGCCAAACCCCTCCACTGTTACCTCCCCCAGTAACTGGCACTTGGCTGAGGACTCAGCTTCCCCACAGCCCTCTCCAGCGCAGGCTATTCACCTTCTCGCACCCTTCAAGGTCAGGATAAGCGGCCTCCTCCCTCCGCAAGGCCATGTCCACACAGTTTCCCCTCCACTCTCATCCCATGCTCACCTTCCTTCTGGTTACTCCCCCGTGTGCAGTGGCATTTTCGCCACCACCACCCTGGGTGGCCTTCCCTTGACCTCATCTCCAAAGACCTTCCCCTCCACTCCATTTCAGCCGCACACTCCCACGGGCAGAACCTCTTCCTGACCCCAGGAATTCAGGTATTGCACGCCCTCCTCATAAGCTCCCACCCTTCCGGCCCAGTGACTCCCATCACGCTGGCACGTGTTCCTCAGCAGGCCTCCACTGTCTCCCTGTCTTACAGCCCCCTTTGGCCTCACCTCTCCCTCTCCCCCTACCTAGCTTGAACTGCAACCTTCTGCACCTCAATCACTCTTCTTCAGCTCTTCAAAGCCACCTTTCGCTTTTCTGAACCCAAACTCTGTAGGGGTCCAACAGCCTTCTTCTGGGTAGACCCCGCACTAGAGAAATGCAAAGCACACAGCCTAAGAGATTGGGGCCTCCGGGTCAGCGGCCCCCCACCTCAGCTGGGCCTTCAACACTGCCATAATCCCTCTGTCCTAGCCCACAGCGCCCCAAGGGAAGGGGAAGCTGGGCGGAGCGCAGTGCACCCACCTAACCCACCCCAATCCTTCCATTCCCTCCGCCTCCTCCAGGGCTTTGAGCCGCATTTCCTGCTCTTCTCGAGTAGGGGTAACCTCTCCCACTGTCAAAACTAAACTAGCTCAAGTCTTTCTCACCTGCAAAATAAACTCTCGAGTGCATCTCTCTCCAGCTACTGCCCCATGTCTTCTCCCCTTCGTGACCAGCTGTCTACACTTCCTGCCTCCATTTCCCCACTTTCTTACTCCCTGGCTCCTGCCCCCACGACACAACTGTTCCCCACAGGGCCACAGGCGGGCATCACTCAGTGTTGACAGGCTGCCCCTCCCTGTGACATAGCCCCCTGCTAGTACGCTCCTATCTCAGTCCCCTCCTCCCATGACCTGAGGCTGGAGCTCCCCCAGGATCTCTCCCAGGCCCTCTGCTCGCCATCAAAGGCGGATGCCTCACAAGCTTACGACTCCAGACAGGCTCACCCAACTGCCTCCTCCACCCAACGCTGCAGCCCACTCAAGGTCCACGTAGTCCAAGCTGCATTCCTTCCTCGCACTCCCTTGCCCTGTGTCCCCTCTTAGCAAATGGCAGCCTCGGCGATCCTGCCCCGAGACAGGCCTGCGCCCAGCGTGGAGATGAACATCAGTATTTGCTGAACGTGTAAACGAATCCTTGACCTTCCCTCATGCTCCACAGCCGGTGAGGATTCCTGTCCATTTTACTGCCTCCTACGTCCCTCGAGTCCTCCCCTCTGCTTCTTTGTTCACCGCGGCCAGCTGCCTCCCCAGACCCGCAACCCCGGCTGGGCCGGGAACCTGCACCGCGGCGCTCGTGCCCCGCTCTGCGACCCCTGCTCCGTGACGGCCGCACTGCACCGGGGTACCGCGGCCCAGCACAGGCGCTGGTCACTAGTACACGAACTAGCTAGGACTACAGGTGCACACCACCACACCTGGCTAATTTTTTATTTTTTGTAGAGATAATGTCTTACTAAGTTACCCAGGCTGGTCTTCTGGGCTCAAGCCATCCTCCTGCCTCGGGCTCCCAAAGTGCAGACATTACAGGCATGACCCACCGTGCACAGCGTCAGCTTTATTTTTTTAATGCTGACTTACTGCAGAAGGCCCAAGGGCCAGTGCAGTTTTCATACTGCTGTTGTAGTGGCGAACGGAGCCACGAGGGAAGGGAGCGCCGCCGGCAGCTGCCGGGACACCAGGATACCACGCGGCCAGCACCGAAACGCTAGGCTCGCGCTCACAACCGCAATCTACACTGAGTAGCCGCGCGCCGAACGGCGTGACTAAGCCCCGCCCACACGGCGCTCCTGGCGGCCAATGGAAATGGCTTACGAGACGCCTTCTCCACGCGCTATACTTATACGGACCAATGGGTGCGCCCTGTGGGGAGTGCCGCCCCCTGTCCACGAGCCTCCTCTTCTCGCCAGCCAATGGAAGCGGTCTGCCTAGCCCTCGCGGGGGCAAGGCGGCGACCGAGGCGCGTGGGTCTGGGAAGGCGCGCGGATTTGGCCCCTCTTCTCACATCAGCGGGTCCAGGCCCAACCGACAGACTATGGGGGCTCCGGCAACCAGGCGCTGCGTGGAGTGGCTGCTGGGCCTCTACTTCCTCAGCCACATCCCCATCACCCTGTTCATGGACCTGCAGGCGGTGCTGCCGCGCGAGCTCTACCCAGTCGAGGTGAGGGGCGCCCCTCTTATCCCGGCCCGCTGAGGCTCTCCCGGCGCTGCGTCCACAGGGCCTTCACCTCCTCCGCGCTCGCGCACTCTGGGTTCCAGTTGCCTCTCTCGGGTCCTGCCCATGCCTCCCCCGCTCCTAACCCAACTTTAGTTCGGTGTTTTCCTCGGGCTTTGTCTCTATCCCAGCCCCTTCTCCCAAGCGGCGGGGGCGAACGCTTTGTTTCCTTTAAAGTCACTTCTTCCCTGGGTTTAAGGTTTCCCGCGATTCCACCTCTGGCCGGTTGTCAGTGTCTGAGGGAAGTAGTCTGGATGAAGTGGTGTCCAAAGTCACATGTTAGGTTTGCTTTAAGCTTCTGGTTTTTTGTTTGTTTGTTTGGAAGGGCTTTAAAATACCAGTCTGATCCCAAAGAAAAAATCCGAGTAGAAATAGACCTGTCTGAAGGTTTAGCACCTTGGTTGGTGCAGCTGGGGCGTTCACAGATCGTCACTGCTTCGAGATCAGGTTCCAGCAACTTCCAGAGCTCAGGAGTAAATTGCCATCTTTTCAGATTGGCTCTTCAATATTGGGTTCGAGTAACAATGATCTCCTGAGTAAAAATAAAGGTGAAAATCCCGATTTCCTGGTTGTTGGAGAGCATTCTTTCAACCCCAAACTCTGCTTTAATGCTTTGTTTTTTTCTTCAAAGCTATAGTTTTAGTTTCCCGGTTCGTTGAGGTTTTTTTCTCGTATCTGGACCCTGTGACCTTCTTCCATGGAATTCCTGTCCTCAGTTTTGTTTCTCCATCTTATCTATAACTGTAGGCAGGACTGACTTGTCTACCCGAAGATTTTATTTTGCGTCTGTTTTTCCTTAAATGCTTTTTATCTGCCGAGGAGGGGTTCTTTACCTGAGGGTCATGAACTCCCAAAAATGGGTGCAAGTGTGTGTGCCTTTTGTTTCCTGCAAGGAGAATATAGCTTCCATCGACTTTTCAAGGGGCCTAACTCTCCCAAAAAGGCCACGGCTCAAGAATGTTCTACCACTCCCATAAGTCACTCTTTTTTGTTTGCTTCTAGAACCAAACACAACTGGAAGACCTCTGACCTCCTTTTGCATGGGAAAAGCGTAGGTAGCGTGTAGCAAGTTGCAGTCTGGGGACTTGGTTCTTCCAAGAACTGGAGGTGACTTGGGCAGGTCAGGGCTCTATATCCTCCTCAACTGTTGAGAGAGTTGAGTTAAATTATAAGCTCAAACATATACAGGGTGGGTTAGTTTTCATATTGCTGTTGTAGTTACCACAAATGTAGTGATTTAACAGATTTATTTGTTTACAGTTCTGGAGGCCAGAAGTTCACAATGAAATCTTACAGTGCTCAAATCAAGGCAGGGCTCACTCCTTCTGAGGGCTCCAGGGGAGAATCTGGTTCTTGCCTCTTCCATTTTCTGGTGGCTGCCAATGTTCCTTGGCTTGTGTTCACGTCACTTCAATCTCTGCTTCGGGTCATCACATTGCCTCCCTTTCTGTAGTCAGAGTTCCCTCTGCTTCGCTTTTATAAAGACACTTGTCATACATTCAGGGCCCACCAGATAACCCAGAAAATCTCCCATTTCAAAATCCTTAATTACATCTGCAAAGTCCCTTTTGCCAAATAAAGTAATAGTCACAGGTTCCAGGGATTAGGATGTGGTTATCTTTGGGGGCCATTATTCAGCCTACTACAGGGCCAGAGAGTACAGACTCTTCCCAAAGACCGAAGAGGTCATCGCAGCTCTGCAGTAACCATTAATTGCCCTGAAGAAAGGAAAATCTACTACAGTGTTGGCCTATCTGTGGTTTTTGAAACCTGTGTGGCCAGCAATACTCAGACAGGCTGCCTGTTTACAATCTCTGGTGTTATAGGACCTTTTAATACTTGGTAATTAGCCTGCTACTCCATGTAGCCATTCCAGACTTCACAGCTGTTGTCTTCTTTATCCTTCCTGGATGTGCCATTCTCACAAGCCCGTCTTGCTCACCCCTAACAAAATACACTTAAAAGGTGCTCAGCATCATATCATAAAGATCCCATTTAAATGTTTACATTTGATAAAATTTTCTCAGTCTTTTTTTTAGAAACAGGGTCCTTTGTCACCCAGGCTTGGCGTGCTGTGATGCAGTCATGGCTTACCACAGCCTTGAACCTGAGCACAAGAGATCCTCCCACCTGTCTCCTGAGTAGCTAGGACTATAGGTGCACACCACCACACCTGGCTAATTTTTTATTTTTTGTAGAGATGATGTCTTACTGTGTTACCCAGGCTGGTCTTCTGGGCTCAAGCCATCCTCCTGCCTCGGGCTCCCAAAGTGCTGAGATTACAGGTGTGACCCACCGTGCCCAGCGTCAGCTTTATTTTTTTAATGCTGACTTACTGCAGAAGGCCCAAGGGCCAGTGCAGGCAGCATCTGGCCAGAACCTGTGTGTGTGTGTGTGTGTGTGTGTGTGTGTGTGTGTGTGTGTTTGTGTGAGATTTAGGCATTAGCACGGGCATCCTGGGTGTGTGTGTATCTGTGTGTGTGATGATGTTTGAAGGCATTAGCTCGGTGGCATCCTGGCATGGAAGGTCTGTGCCTCCATTCTTGTTGCTTTGGTGTAGGAAATGCTGATTTTGTTGCTTCTCTATGGGGCAAATAATAATAAACGCCTTGAGTTATTCTCATATTCTCTTTGAAAAATGCCAAAATTTAACATCTGTCATTTTCTTCCTGAAATAGAAGGAATGTTTCCCTAGAGTTAAAAAACCTGTAGGAGATCACCTAGTGGTTGGGCTGAAACATGCACAATAAATTTTTTTTCTTGGATTGCACCAAATCACTGCTTGGAAAAACTCATTTTTTTATTTACTTTTTGTTTTTCTTTCTTTTTTTTTTTTGATTTTGTTTTTGAGACAGTCTCTTGTCGCCCAGGCTGTAGTGCAGTGGTGCAATCTCGGCTCACTGCAACCTCTGCCTCTCGGGTTCAAGCAATTCTCCTGCCTCAGCATCCCAAATAGCTGGGATTACAGGTGCTTGCCACAACGCCTGGCTAATTTTTATATTTTGTTATAGATGGTGTTTCACCATGTTGGCCAGGCTGGTCTCAAACTCCTGACCTCAAGCGATCTGCATGCCTCAGCCTCCCAAAGTGCTGGGATTACAGGTGTGAACCACCACGCCTGGCCTGGAAAAACTCTTATTTTATTATGAAACAGTAAGAATTTAGTTTGGATAAGAACATGGTAAGGAGAGGATGGGAAGCATTTTGTAGTATCATTTGCAGCTGGGTAACATTGCTTCTGGTAAAAATAAGGAAAAACAAGTGAGCATCTGGCTCTGAAATCAGTCTGTGTTCCCATTCTAAATTATAGAAGTACAAGATTGGTGAGTAGCAACCACTGGTTTAGAGATCGTGCGTGCAGGCCAGGTGAATCTTTTATGTATAACAAGGGTGGGTTGAGTCAAATAGAGTCAGGTATAAGTGGAAACAGTTTCATTACCTTTGGTAGGGAGGCCATAACTAATAATTTTTAATGACCAGTCGTGAGCTGCGATTTTAATGGGATTAAACTTGAATATCTCCAAATATGTATTAATTACATTCAATTAATCATTATGTGCTAGCCATTATTTTAAAGACTACATGTATTAAGTCACTCTCTTACCAATAGTGAAGTAGGCACTATTACTGGCTCTATTTTATTGATGGGGACACAAGTGTAGGGAGATTAAAGGCCTTGCCTAAAGCCAGGCACTCTACCCCAGGTCCTACACGCCTCACCCATCTGCCAGGTGCCTGGGCTTTCTACTCTCCTACTCACAATTAGTCCCAGCCTCATTCTGGCATCAGGTGGCAGGTATATGACTGTGGGCAGATGGTTGGTTACGATTATGATAATTCATTATTACGACATCTGGGTGATTGTTTTTTAAATTTTGCTGATCTCATCTTGTAGGCCTTAGAAATTAAAGTGCTGTACAAGTCTGCCTCAGTTTATGAAATAGTTGGATCAGAGAGGTTGTAAACAAATTGAATAGAAAGTGAAGTTCAAATGGCCAGAATGCCTTTTTTTTTTTTTAATTTTTTTTTGAGATGGAGTCTCGCTCTGTCACCCAGGCCGGAGTGCAGTGGCTCGATCTCGGCTCACTGCAACCTCAGCCTCCAGAGTTGCTAGGATTACAGGCGTGAGCCACCACACCCAGCTAATTTTTGTATTTTTAGTAGAGACGAGGTTTCACCATGTTGGCCAGGCTGGTCTCAAACTCCTGACCTCAGGTGATCCACCCGCCTTGACCTCCCAAAGTGCTGGGATTATAGGCATGAGCCACCGGGCCTGGCCCAGAATGCCTCTTAAATTTTGCAGTCAGGCCGGGTGCAGTGGCTCACACCTGTAATCCCAGCACTTTGGGAGGCTGAAGCGAGGATCGCTTGTGCCCAGGAGTTCGAAACCAGCCTGGGCAATGTGGCAAAACCCCGTCTCTACAGAAAATTAGCTGGGCTTGGTGGCGCATACCTGTAGTCCCAGCTACTGGGGAAGCTGAGGTGACAGAATCATCTGAGCCCGGGATGTTGAGGCTGCAGTGGGCCGAGATCAAATCACCACACTCCACCAGCCTGGGCAACAGAGACTGTCTCAAAAAAAATAATAATAATTTTATAGTCAATCTTTTAAAGCAGGTAGTGTCATCCAGTATTTTTAAAAATCTAAAAAGCAAAAAAGGGATCTTAAGAAAACATCTAGTCCAAGTTGCTCATTTTACAGATGAGGAAGTAGAACCCTGGAGAGGGACAGTGACTTAGCCTTTGTGTTTCTTATCAATTCAATCCTATTCAAACCACATTCCCATCCAGAAAAGTGCTTAGAAGGAAGCGAAGGGCATTGCTATGAATTTCAATTTCAAATTAAGTACAAATTTGGATATCCTTTGGTCAATAAATTGGTTATCTAGCCAAAGCCTTTCTGAAATTAATAATATGCTAACAGGATATTTGTTTCTGGATGTTTGCTTAAAGTGCTCTTGCAGCAGTGGGGCTTCTATTTCACAATAGCGAGGCTTTATCTTTTGATTAAAAATTAACAGGAAAAATATTCTTGGATTTTCCATTGTAAGTAAGATAAATTCTTACCCTGGAGTTGCCTTTATTAATCATAATATCAAGACTTATTTGTCTTTGAAGGCCTGTGTGTCAGGGCAGCGCCACATCTAGGAGGTTAAATGTGACAAACGTTTAGTAGTCCACATAGAGCCAAGAGCACTAGGCTTTGGGCTCCTATAAAAGCCCAAGATGGGAAGCCTTAAACTCTGCTTCTTTTCTCTGCCTGTAGCCAGGTCAGCATGGATCCGCATCCTTTTTATTTGACAAGGTAATTACAAGCGTGGGGCCCAAGCTAGAACTGAGACGCTAAAACCCTGCATAACCAAGAAGCTACTAGGTAGTTTGTAGTTTGGGGCAGAGTTTGTTCTTCCACTAAAATCCTGTCTCCTAAAATAAACCAAAAATTAGAATTAGGGGAGTTAAGGAACTTGTTTGTCATATTGGAATTAAAGTGTCCAAAATTACATCGCCACAGAGGTTAGATTTACTTCCCCTTTCACTCCCACCCCCACCCCGCAAAAAGAAGAGGGAAATTCAATTCATTTCTGCATTTGAGGGAATCTGGCCTTTGGAGGAGTTTGGTGTGTAGTTGCCATTACAAAAGGGAAAGTGTCAGGATGGTTTTCATGTGTATTTGTTTTTTTAAACAAAGAATGATATTGTTGACAGAAATGTCACATTTGTTCATTCAGCGAACACCCTGAGTGCCTACCAAGTGCCAGATACTTATTGTTGCTCCTGACAGTGGCCAACACACCTGGATGTGTTATCTTGGAATTATGAACAGATTCTGGGTAACACAAAGAAGGGGCTGGAAGAGTTGAGAAAATTTCAGAGAAGGGAACATTTGAGTTAGGGATAGTAAGTTTTTATTAAATGACCACCTAGGCTGTGTCACAAAAGCCAGCTGGACATGCCATCTGCTGCCGGGGTAGTGGGGGGTGGCTAATTAATGACAGGCTCCTCCAGTGTATTTTCAAATGAGCTAGCGCCGAGCCTGTTGAGGGCAAGTGGCTGTAATTCATCATGATCGTTTTCTTTTTCAGTTTAGAAACCTGCTGAAGTGGTATGCTAAGGAGTTCAAAGACCCACTGCTACAGGAGCCCCCAGCCTGGTTTAAGTCCTTTCTGTTTTGCGAGCTTGTGTTTCAGCTGCCTTTCTTTCCCATTGCAACGTATGCCTTCCTCAAAGGTTGGTAAATGGTGGGAAAATCCCATTTTTACTCAGAAATCAGGTCCCAGAAATCTTTTGGGAAAGTATCTCCAAAGGGAAGGGGATGGTCCCCATAGTTTGTGGGAGAATGCTACAGGATCTGGGGTAAATAGCCAGGGTAGATCTTGTAAAGGGACATTAGTGTGGCTCAGGCTCATGTCTGTGGTCAGCAGGCCTGCACGGCTGCCTCAGTCGTCTGGAAATCCCTTGCATACACATGAAGCCTGAGACCACTTAAACAATGAGCTTGTTCCCTTTTGTTTTGTTCCCCAACAGAATTAATTTCTCTTTTTGTTGGCTTTTATTTCTCTGCGTTGGATAGTATCATACTGACTTATAAGCTGTAGCATCAGGCTAATCCCTAATGTGCTTCTCATTTTAAAATTATTCTTAGTGTTCTCATATAATCAATGCTTTTTTAAAAAGGTGACCATACACGTGTACTTGATAAGCTAAAACCACTGAAAATGCTCGTTTCCCATTGGCACCCCCTGGGGTCACTGAATCTGCCTTCTGATCCTCTCACCTATATATAATTACTGAACAAACAGATGCCATGGGGCAGGGATTTCCCTCCCCTTGGATTTTGTACCACACAGGTTTAACCGGTAATGGCAGTTTTATTGCCCTAGAGCTTTTCCGAGTTATGTTCTGACCCCCATTCTTGGTTCTTTGGCGAGCTGTCGGTGAGCTGTCACGTAAGTCTGCATGTTGGGCAGTGTGGCACATCCAGGTTTCCAGTTCCGAGTTTCCACTTGGAGAAGGGAGTAGAAGAAAGCAGGCAGGCAGAGACAGTGGGAAGGTCATGGACACCTTTGAGTCATGAACAGACCTAACCATTTTTCTTTTCCCCTGACTACCTCAGGAAGCTGCAAGTGGATTCGAACTCCTGCAATCATCTACTCTGTTCACACCATGACAACCTTAATTCCGATACTCTCCACATTTCTGTTTGAGGATTTCTCCAAAGCCAGTGGTTTCAAGGGACAAAGACCTGAGACTTTGCATGAACGGTTAACCCTTGTGTCTGTCTATGCCCCCTACTTACTCATCCCATTCATACTTTTAATTTTCATGTTGCGGAGCCCCTACTACAAGTATGAAGAGAAAAGAAAAAAAAAATGAAGGAAACAACCACTGGCCCAGGGTAGAGATGCCTACAGGGTGGTTGCTTGTTGGATACAATACAAGGAACACTGCTCAGAACCCACGTCTTCAGCAGCATTTGAAACACTGGCAGCAATGCACAAGAGCAAGATGGTGTCAGGAACCATGTCAAACCCTCACCTTCTTCCATTTTTTTTTTTTTTTTAAGACAGTCTCACTCTGTTGCCCAGGCTGGAGTAAAGGGCAGTGGCATGATCTCGGCTCACTGCAACCTCCGCCTCCTGGGCTCAAGCCATCTTCCTTAGCCTCCCAAGTAGCTAGAACTACAGGTGTGTACCAACACGTATGGCTAATTTGTTTTGTTTTTTTTGTGTGTGTGGAGACAGGGTTTTGCCATGTTGCCCAGGTTGGTCTCGAACGCCTAGGCTCAAGTGATCTGCCCACCTCAGTCTCCCTAAGTGCTGGGATTACAGACGTGAACCACTGGGCCCAGCCCAAACCTTCACCTTCTAAGGGCACTGGGATGAACAGACCGATCGGCTTGAGGGTGGGCAAAGGGGTGTGGGCTAGGTTATAAGGAAGTGGTACCAAATAACTGTGTGCCTGAGTTCCACCGCAAGATTACTAAAAGCAGGACCAGACCAGAAACTGCTAAAGAACATGGCCTGTTTGACATGTTCATGAGTCACCTGACCCACAGCATATATGCTTATGACTAAACCCTCCACTCCTGATTCTCAAGAGTGTATCACCTGTCAGCAAAATGAATAGTGGGATATTTTGGGCCATTTTAAATGTGAAATTTTGCCTCTTTAATGTTAATTCAAAACTATATCAATGTTTTCTTGTTCCCACCTCTAACCCAAGGAAAAAAGAGAAAACATACTATGCAAAGGAAGTTTAAACTTAAGTTTTCCTTAAGGGTCAGCCCAACAATGACTTTCAGTCAAATGGATTAAACTGGAAAATGTTTTTGTTTCTGTTGTAAACAGATCATCCTAGGCGAAAGTTTTTTTTGTTTGTTTGCTTTTAAATTAGTTTATTTCTAAATCTTAGTCTTCCACATTTCTAGAGGCCACCTGACACAAGTCCCTGTATCTGAAGTCTAGCATCTCAAGGCTGATCTGGAAGTGTGCTAGTATGCTCCCTAGTGGATAACTTAATCTTTTAATACAGTTCCGTCATTCCCATCTTGTTTTCAGAAGAGAAGGTGGCTACAGCCAGGCATAACATATCCACTGTGTGCATAGAGGGTCTCTTCACGTTGATGCTTGGCATTCCATCAGCTTTCTCTAAGTCTTTGCTCAAGTTCAACCTTAAAATGATGTTAGACAACAGGTCCCAGTCAGTTCCCTCTATTTTCACCCATTTTGCTCACAAGCCATATTGGCCCGATTAGTGGTACTGTCTGACTCACGTGTGTGATCCAAATAAAGGTAGCTGCTGACCACTGCCTGGTTTGTTTTGTGGACTAGGGGATAGAGAATCCAGGGTTCTCTCATGAGGAGTTAAACATATTTCAAGAGCAACAGGAAAAAAGGTACATCAAGCCATTTGAAAACAAAAATTTATTGCTTCTCCTTCCAAAGCTTTGTGAATTTACAAAAAAAAGGATGAAAGTTTACAAACTGCTTAGTTCCAACTAAGCATAAGAGGTGAGAACGTACACTGCAGGGCCACCAGCAGCAGCTGTGCACTGATGTTAAAACTGGCTCCCCCAGACTTGTAGTGCTGTCTTCAGGGGGCTGCATTCCTTACACGCCACCTCTTGTGACATAGGTCATTGGTCAAGCCGCTGGAATGCTACAGAGGTTTTTTTGGTTTTGAGAGGCTTTTTTTTGTTTTGCCTTCCTACTATAAAAGCGAAATTTTCAGTTCATTTCTGAAAAATAAATTGGTCAATAAATTCATTTTGTTCTGCTTCTACTTTACACAAAGCTTCATATTCAACCCGATACCTGAAAAACAAAATTGTTAGAGGCCCTGAAAAAAAGATGAAGTAAACCACAGACCTAATTCTTCTAGAGAAGGATATAGAGGTTTAAATGATTTCAAGAAATGGTGTGAGTTCAGAATGAAGAAAGAAAGAGGCAAAGCCCTACCCAGAGCCACCCATGAGAAATCTCCAGCCCTAGGAAAGTCTTCTTTCAGAGAGCCAGCCAACTTCGTGGACCCTTTCATGCTCAAACTACTAGAGGTGGTTTGATATTAACAAGTTTTCTATTTCCTTCCCATCAAATGTAATTTTATTTTTTAAAATCTTCAAATCAGGATGACAAGTGAGATGCTATTCCTGGGAAAACAATGATGAAGAATAAGGACAAGAAGTGATCATTCCAGAAGGAAGAGTGGAAATTCAGCTGTGTAAAGAACTTGCTTTACATCATGACTTCTTACCTTTCTAGCTGCATTTTCTTTTCTGCTATTAGGGCTTGAAGTTGCTGCTGTTGAGCTTCTCTCTGCTTTGCTATAGATTTGAGCAAGTTCCGAGCACCGATGGCCTACAGTATTGCCAGAGAAGGCCATGGCTTCATTAAAACCATCTACAGCATCAAGTCCTCAAAGTGGGGAGGGGTTATCTGGGAGCTGTGTCAGTCTTCAGAGAGGAAAAGAAAGTGGAGCCCCAAAGCTTTTGGGTTAAGTCAGAAGGATTAACCTACTGATCACAAAGTGCCTCAAGAACTAGACGGCAGCTTTGAGGCAGGTCTAGGAGTATTCCTAGAGCCAGGGACACAGGCACAATAGCACATTTGGTGGTGCCATTCAGCCTTGTGCCTTTCACCAATCATACTATGTAAGCCTTCATTTCTTCATTTATAAAATGAGGATAAGACCATCTACATCAGTGCTGATATGAAGATGAAACGAGGCCAGGTGTGGTGGCTCACACCTGCAATCCCAGCACTTTGGGAGGCCAAGGTAGGCAGTTCACTTGAGGCCAGGAGTTTGCAACCAGCCTGGCCAACATGGTGAAACCCCATCTTTACTAAAAATACAAAAAAATGGCCGGGCGCAGTCACTCACGCCTTAATCCCAGCACTTTGGGAGGCTGAGGCGGGCGGATCACCTAAGGTTGGGAGTTTGAGACCAGCCTGACCAACATGGAGAAACCCTGTCTCTACTAAAAATACAAAATTAGCCAGGCATGGTGGCACATGCCTGTAATCCCAGCTACTCGGGAGGCTGAGGCAGGAGAATCGCTTGAACCCAGGAGGCGGAGGTTGCAGTGAGCCAAGATCGCACCATTGCACTCCAGCCTGGGCAACGAGAGAAAACTCCGTCTCAAAAAAAAAAAAAAAAATACAAAAACCTCAGCTGGGTGTGGTGGCACACACCTGTAGTCCCACCTACTCGGGAGGGTGAGGTGGGAGAATCGCTTGAATCTGAGAGGCAGAGCTTGCAGTGAGCCGAGATTGCACCAGTGCACTCCAGCCTGGGTGACACAGCAAGACTCTGTCTCAAAAAAAAAAAAAAAATAAAGATTAAAGGAAATAAAGATTGGCAAAAGTTCAGTAGGTTAAGTGGACCAGAAGTTATTAAAATCTTAAATAAAAATTCACCCACCCAGCCCTCTACCCCTCTAAATAAATCAAGAGGGAAGAGGGATGAGAGGGTAGTGAACTAGGGTCCCAGGCCAAGATGTAGGCGGAAGACATGCTGATCTTACCTTCATCTTTTCATTTTCTGCTTCTTTTGCAAGTTGATCAACAAGCTCAATTAAACCACCAACTATTTTCTGAAACTGGCCAATTTCTTTTAGGAAAAGAACAAAAAATAAAATATTTCCTTAGTATCATCACTCCCCTTCGGTAGAGTGCTAAGGCAGTGAGAGGGCAGAGCGGACTGCCCCTTCTAATTTGTGTTAAAATAGTTCGGTGTGGGCCAGGCGTGGTGGAGAGCAACTGTAGTCCCAGCTACTCAGGGGGCTGAGGTGGGAGGATCACTTGAACCCAGGAGTTAGAGGATGTGTGATCATGCCTGTGAACTGCCACTGCATTCCAGCCTGGGGAACATAGCAAGACCCTGTCGCTTAAACACTTTGGTGCCTGTTGGCCTGTCTCCTACCCTTGGTCTGAACCTAGAGAAGGGTGGCCAGCTGGACCAGGGCATACTCGGACCTTGCATCCCCACTGAGCCAGCCAGCCGCTATGACCTCCGGCTATGAAAGCACTAGGCCCTTGCTGGGCTCATTCTCCAGACAGACCCCAACCCTGCTTCCCCAGGAGTGACAGGAAGCACTGTTGTTCACAAAAGGGCAGCCTCAGGACACAAGCGCTGCCTCTGGACTAGCTACAGGTATGACACCAGATTTCAATTAACAGTGGGGATGGGGGCTTCCCACTTGTAACCACAAAAAAGCAAGCTCACAGCATTAAGTGCCTAATCTCCCACTCACTTTCTCCAATGTCCTGGATGTGACAATTTACTGAGGGGAAACTAAGGCCCAGAGAGGTGTGTGCATGGCACAGCAATCACAGGTTAGTGACAGAACCCAAGCTACCTTTCACTAACCAAGCTCTCTCCACAACCTAGGAAACCCCCCAGAAAGCTCAGAAGTCCCTTGTTCTAGCTAGATCTGGCTCTGTACGGGCATTGGGCTTGCTTGGCTGCTGGGACAGGAGGCTTCCTGAAGATTTCCAGCCAAAAGATGACTTCAGTAAGTCTGTTGAGCTGCTTCTAGAAACTTCACCTATCACTTCTAACTCCAAATAACAGAGAACCTGCCCCTGAGAAGACTTTCTCTGAAGAAATCAAATCATGAGTACATAATTCTATTTCCCACACCCAAGCCATGGTTGTGTTCCCAGAAAGTTTAAGGTTTCTAAGAGCAAGAAATGAAAGATGGCATATCTAAAGACACCCTCCCCTCCCCATCCCGGTGTTTGGTTTGACTGGTGCCCTGTTGGGGACACATGAGAGCACAAGAGGGCAGACAGAAAAGGGTGGCACGTGGGAACTCACAGACGCCAGATTCAACCTCCAGGGAGCCAGCAGCTCCACTGTGGCAGGGCCAAGATGAGCCTGGGGTACAGTTGAAATGGCAGCTCAAAGCTGAGTGGCACTGTATCTCCCCAATACTCACTGTCCACAAAGTCTTTGCACTCTTCCTTCAGCTCTATGGTCTGCTGGGTAACCTCTGGGTCCAACACCCTCAGCTTGTTCAGTTCATCAAAGTGTAGCCCTGCTTCACCCAGGATGTCCTTGGCCATGGCTGTAAAGAAACAGGCCCAATTCCTCATCACTTCCCAGCCACCCAAGGAAATGCCTGCTGCCAAGCCAGCCCCACTCCTGCCCTTGGACACCAATGCCAAAAACCCAGGTGTTCCAAAGGATCCCCGTTCCCTCTGCCACCACCTCTCTGAGCCTCACCTGTTTCCCATCCAGGTTCCCTAGAGGAGTTCTGCTCTGAAGGAGTGACAGTGGCAGTCAGGAGGAGGTGTGTCATAGGAGCAAGGGTCAGGAAAGAATAAAGTCCGCTTGCTTGTCACAGGCATCGTTCATTCAACACACATTTCTTGAGTGCCTACTACATGCCAACACTGCTAGATGCTGGGGGTACAAAGATGAATGCAACACGGTGCCCGCCCTGAAGAGCACATAGTTCAGCTGGAAGAAGACAGACACGGAAACTGAAAAACCACACTGCGTTAAATGCTTGTTTAGAAACATCAGTAAAGAGCCAGAGGAGGACAGAGCCATTAATGAAGGAGTGACATGTGAACTAAGTTGTAAGCCATCAGTGTATTTACTTTATATATCACCAGTTATGTACTGAAAAGCACATGAAAAGGCTTCTCAAATACATATACTGGAACAACACAAAAACCAAATAAAGGAAATCCGAGTAAATTAAAAATTATGGTTAAAAAATAAAAAGTCAGGAGTAAGAATATTACTCAAAACGTATGCTTGCCTGAATTGGGAATCAAAGTTGGGTCATTCTCTTCCTAGCAGAAAACACAAAAAGGAATGAAGTATCAGCAAGAACATATCAAGGCAGGAGAACAGGGATAGGTATTCCAAGCAGAGAAAACAGCATGGACAAAGGCCTGAAGTCACTGAAAGGACCTATCTCACCTAAGGACGAGAGGAAAAAGAATGGAGCTGGAAAGGTGAGCTGGAGCCAGACCAGGAAGACCCTGCATGCCAAGCTAAGGAGTTTGGATTTTTTCTGTAGGCAACAGAGAACTAACAGAGATATCTTCTCCCTTACCAAGCCACCTTGCATTCCTGTTCCAAAGGATGCCTCAATTCTAGGAAGGAAATACTGAAAACTCACTCTTGTTCTGGCTCAAAACACACACACACACACACACACACACACACACACAATTAAACATAGACATCTTTATGACCTGTTTAAAAAGGGAGGCAATGCTACTTACATCTAGCAATTGGCTGCTATGCCAATTCTAAAACCCAGGTGCTCCAAAGTCTACCATCACCTGGACTTGCACCAGCCCCTTCCCTCTGCCCCCACTGCCCCCAGCCTCAGCTGTTTCCCTTCTGGCTTCCTTAGAGAAGTCCTGTTCTGAATGGGGTGATTCTGGGGTTGGCTGTCCAGGGCAGGTGTGCCAAGGAGGAGCAATGGCTGGAAAATAATCAAGTCTCACTGTTTCCAGAACTTCTGGTTTTTAAGATGACCAGAAATCCAGTACCTCAATGTTGGTATGTAATCCAAAAATTTTAAGTAAGGGGGAAAACCCACATCCAACACTGCATGGGCCAACTAATACATGTCTATGAGCTGTCTGTAGACGACTCTGGCCTTTGGCCTCACTGGAATCCACTGATGTAAGTGAGCTAGCATCATCCTTTTGAAGCATTTTGTTCATCTGTAGCTTCCTTAAAATAGGGCTTTTTAAAAAGATCTGGCCAGTGCAGTAGCTCATGCCTGTAATCCCAGCACTTTGGGAGACTGAGGTGGGAGGATCACTTGGGCACAGGAGTCTGAAACCAGCCTGGGCAATGTGGCAAAATACCGTCTCTACAAAAGATTTCTAAGATAGCCAGACCTGGTGACAGGTGCCTGTAGTCCCAGCTACTTGGGAGGGTAAGCTGGGAGGATCGCTTAAGCCCAGGAGGTGGAGGCTGCAGTGAGCCGTGTTCACACCACTGCACTCCAGCCTGGGCAACAGAGTGAGACCCTGTCTCAAAAAAAAAACCAAAAAATCTGTCTTTCGCAGCTACAGGTCATTAATCTGACCAGCTGCTCCAGAAAGATTGAAGTAACATGAGGGAGCAAATATCTGCTTCAACTTCCACCCCCTTCCCTGAGAGCATGCATTTATTCAGAAACATCCACTCAGTCCCTGCTCTGGGGACAGACTAGTGAAAACAATGCCTCTGGACAGATGGTAAAGAAATAATCACAAATCGTGATATTACTATAAGGAAAAGTACATGGTGCTGTGTGAAGTGCTGCAGGAGGACACAGTTCATGGGGGGCGGACTTGGAGGGGAGGGCCAACAGAGGCCTTCTGAAAAAAATGACACTTAAACAGACCTAAAGACTGTCCAAAAGTATGTCAAGTGAAAGGGGAAGCAAGGCATTGCAGGCAGAAGGAAACACGTATGTGAAGATCCTGAGGCAACAGGAAATTTGATGCATTCCGAGAACAGAGACTGAGCAAGAGAAGGGAACAGAATGAGGCTAGACAGGGAGACAACAGCTGGATCACCGAAGGCTCTGAAAGACGCAGTCATGAGCTTGGATTTTATCAGAAGGGTAATGGGACAGCCAGCGGGTTCTCAGCAGACCAACAAAATCAGACTTAGAAAGATCACTCTTGCTCAGCCTGAGAGAACCGATTGGAGGGAACAAGAGAGGGCAAAGCCCCAAGTACCTTCTTGTTCATCACTCTAACCCTAGCACCTAGCATGGTGCCCACACATAACTGGCACTCAGTAAATGTTTGTGGAATGAATGACCGTGGAAACAGGAGACTATTGCAGTAACCAAGGCTGGCAGCCGAACACAAGTGTTCCGAGTTGAGATGTTTTGTAAGTCGAGGTGATGGGGCTTAGCAATGGACTGACTGAATGTGGGGGTTTGGGGATAAGAGAAAAACAAGTCAGGCATGACTCCCATGAATCTGGCTTGGCCCACCTATCTGATTGGAAGGGCTGGCTTAAAGAGATAGGTAAGATGGAAGAAGAGGTGCAGGGAAAGAGTTCACAGATTATCTACCAACTCCCATCACACGCGTGTCTGAGCATCTGAGCAACACCTGGCCCAAGAGCTGGGACTAAGCTCCCTGAGCATGAGGCGGTGGCATACTTTCTGCGCCCCGGCTCTCCCAGATGCATGCGAGGCACTGCGAGCCGACTCTTTACTATGTAAACTCCCCGAACTTATCCGAGCCGCAGTTTCCTCGTAAGATCGTGGCAAGCATCAACGCATCAAACTCCAGGCCTAAGCTGGGTGTGAAAGCGCCCCCCTGAGAGTGGGGCGGAATTCCCACGTCTCTCCCCGCCCGGTACTGCCTTTCCTCAGGACGCGGGCCTGTCAGGCTCCTCTCGCCCCTGGTCCGCCCGCGTCCCCCGACCCGAGGTCAGCCTACCTGCCGGCCCCGCGGCGGCAGCGCGCTGCAGCCCAGGCTGATGTAGACAGGCAGCTTCTCCTGGGTCAGCGACAGCCGGTACCCAGCCAGCCTGCCACGGCCGCTGCCACGGATACAGAGCCTGTTTACCTATGACGTCACTACCTTCCTGACTCCGGAAGCACTTACAGCCCCCATTCCACAGAGCCTGCTGGGAAACAGAGGCCCGAGGGGAGGCCCGGCCTACAAGACCCAGAAGCCTTAGCGCCGGCAAGGCGGCCAGAAGTAGCTCTGCTCTCTCCGCGAAGACCCTCGGGGGATTCCGCCTCCACCCTTTCCCGGATAGAGCGCTATGCATGCAGGGACTTGTAGTCTCAGGCTCCCCAGCCGGCTGGGCTGGGCAGCACTCCGGGCGGAGTCGACGAGCGCAGGATGTGAGCTCACAGCTTGGGACTGCTGAGGGGCAGGCGGCTGCAGGCTAGGGGCGGCTCGGAGTCCGCTGGCCACCCAGCTGAGAGGAGAGGCGCCCCCGGGGACGGTGAGAGCCGGGCCCGCCGATGCCCTCGGGGAAGGGATGGACGGCCCCTGCTGGAGTAGAGCGAGCCCGGCCGGGTCCTGGGGGAAAAGGCGCGGGCGGCGTAGGGGAGATGGAGAGCTCCGATCTCCCACGGAGGGTGGGCGTGAGAACCGGTGTGGGTTTCTCGGTAGTGAGGAGTGGTCCGGGCTAGAGAAGAGCCCACACCGGCCACATTTCCCAGGACTTTTTGGGTGACGCTTAACCTTTACACCTAGGGTTTCTGCTAGATCCGCCACTCTAGCCCTCAGCTTTCCTCCCGCCGTCCTCCGTGTCTGACGGATTTCTGGGTCCTTCTTCCTTTTAGACCCCTCCTCTTTCCACCTCCGCGGCTGTTTGCCCTTTGTTGTGCTTGGGTTCCCATTAGCTTCGTTGCGTGAGCCACGGATCCGCCCTTAGCCCCGGGCATCCCCAAATATCCACACACAAAGTGCGGAAGGAAGAGCACTGTGGCTATCAGTGGAAACTTCATTCTCACTGGAATTACTTTCTGGGGCGTCACCTGCCACAGAATTCCTGGAACCCATTGGTCTGGGCGGAATGTGATTGACGTCATCCAGGGGCTCAAAGCAATTGCTTTGTAGGAAAGGAAGAGATTAGCTCTGGATCCGCCGACCTCTCTTGGCAGGCCTATCCTTTGAGCTCCTTTGCATTGGCAGAACATGTATGTGTGCTTTCTCTGATCCTGGGAAAACTAGGACTAGACACAAAATACACAGGGAACTTGCTAATACCTGTTAGAGAGGTGGATTTATTCCTTTGAGGTGGGCGGGAAAAGGGAAGGTGATCTCATACCATTCTAGTGTTTCTTAGTCATTGGCAACCTCCTGGTGAGGGCTCACCTCCCATACCCAACCCCTGTGGCAAATGAAAGAGTCTCCCAGACAAGCCGCCAAAGGAATTCACTGCTTCACACAGCACCCACGCTGGCTGTCCACTTCCTTGGACATTCTTCCCAGGGACTTACCTAAATCTTTTCAGGGACAATTTCAGTCTAACAAACTGACGTATGTTAAATACTTAAAATGTGCATGGCATTGTGCTGAGCACCATTAGGGGAACACAGCGGTAAACTTGGGAAACCAGTGCCCTGCTTCTGGGTTGCACTTACAAGGCATGAGCAACTGTAAACTCCTGCATGTGATGAGCATTCGGTGAAATCATTCCACTTTTTTTCTGTCTCCATTATTACCAATGTGGTCCAGGCTGCCATCATCTCTTCTTGCCTAGACTACTGCTTCCTCTGGTCTTCCCACTTTCTCTCTTGCACCTTTACAATTCATTCTCTACCCAGCAGCAAGTTATCTTTTCAAAATACACTACAAGCAAGTCAGATCATATCACTCCCCTGCTTGCAACCCTCCAATTGATTCATATACTATATAGCAATTAGTATGAAATCCACCTTTGTTATCATCTAACGCCTGCCTTCCCTGACTTGACATCAAACCAACTTCCCCCTACTGTCTGTGCACCAGCCATTATGACCGTATTTCTGATCCTCAAACTTGTTTTAATTTTGTCATTGTTGAGATGAGATTTCCCTATGTCACCCAGGCTGACTTTCCCAGGCTCAAGCAGTCATCCCACCTCAGCCTCCCGAGCAGCTGGGACCACAGGCATGAGCCACCATATCTGGCTAATTTTTTTTTATTTGTAGAAACAAACTCTCACTATGTTGCCCAGACTGGTCTTGAACTCCTGGGCTCAAGCAATCCACCCACTTCGGCCTCCTAAAGTGCTAGGATTACAGGTGTGAGCCACCACACCCGCCCCCTAAAACTTGTTTCTAACAGGAACTTTGCACTTACTCTTCCATCTGTCTACAATGCTCTCTTCAAACCTCAGCTGAAATGTCACCATCCCAAAGATGCTTTTCCTGTCCCTTTGTCTAAATTAGTGCCTCTCCCTAATCACTCTCATATCACTGTTTTATTATCTTTATTGCATTTATCAGGTTCTGGAATTATCTGCTTATTTATTTAAGTCCTTGTTGCTAGTCTGTTTCCTTCCACTAGAATGTAAGCTCCATGTGGACATGACTTTCTATATGTGTTCTCTTCTGAGTACCCAATGCCTGGCACGTAGGGGTACAATAAATGCTAGCTTTCTCTCTTTTTAAAAATTCCTGTTATGATGCTTCTTTGAACTGTTTGAAGGCAAAGACAATATTTTTTCATTGTTCCCTACTGCTTAACATAGTAGGCACTCAGTAGTTTAATTGCTGAATGAGTTAAATGAGCTAGTACATATTAAATGCCAAGAGATGGGGTCTTGCTATGTTGCCAAGGCTGGTCTTGACTCCTGGGCTCAAGAGATCCTCCCACCTCGGCCTACTGAGTAGCCAGGAGTACAGGCAGGTGGCAGCACACATCTCACCTCATTGTTTTTAGATTTATCCTCTGATCTTTTCTAGTCCTTTCTTCTCCCATTCTTATTGGGAGGGAAGAGGAGAGTAGGGCTGGGCTCCCTCTCAGGAAAAAGAAAGGAAAACAGCCATCCTATAGCTGTTCTTCCCTGAAAAATGGTGACAATTTCAGGAACTTGGGACAAGGCTGGTGCCAAGAAAGGGGAAGGTCAGGAAGCCCCAGCCGAAGCCCAGGTAACCTGCACCAAGAACACTGGCCGGCACCCCCGACCCTGGCTTACTGCATTCTCTCCTGAAGCTGCTTTTACTTTCCTTCCTGAAGCCAGACTCTCGGTGGTGCTCAAAATAAACACTGGCACAGACTGCTCTGGAGGCTGGAATCTTTAGAAAGGAAGTGCATCCTGTCCCTCTGGCTCCTGGGAAACTCCTAGACTGGCTGGATTCCCAGTAGGTTTGGTTGGAAGTCTGGGATCCTGGGAACCTTGACAAGAAAGTAACTGGAATCTGACTGGTAGATCTCTAGGGTGATCTGTTCCTCTGGCCCTCTCTAACTGGTTCCATGGGTTTGCTTGTCTTCCTCGCTGCCCTGAGTGGAGCTGAGTCTCAGGGAGGCTGATGAGGTGACCAGGGCAGGAGTCTGGGAGACTGCCTCCAGCCCTGGTTCCTGCTATAGTAAAAATGGCAGGGAGGCCAGACGCGGTGATTCATACTTATAATCCCAGCACTTTGGGAGACTGAGGTGGGCGGATCGCCTGCGCTCAGGAATTCGAGACCAGCCTGGGCAGCATGGTAAAACCCTGTCTCTACCAAAAAAAAAAAAAAAAAAAATTAGCTGGGTGTGGTGGTGTGCACCTGTGGTCCCAGCTACTCAGGAGGCTGAGGTGGGAGGATCACTTGAGCCTGGGAGGCAAAGGCTGCAGTGAGCCGAGATGGCACCACTGCACTCCAGCCTGGGTGACAGAGTGAGACCCTGTCTCTAAGAAAAAAAAAAAAAAAAAAGAAAGCAAAATGGCAGGGACTTAGCCTCTGCCAGGGAGCAGTGCTTGGGCTTGTCAGGGAGAGAATGAGTACGGTCGTGTTTCTGCTATTGTCTCCTCCTGGGCTGTCTCAGCTGGTTCGTGTCTTCTCTTCCCTCTCCCATGTACAGCACTGAGATTATGAGGCTCTGGCCTCCACTGGCCACTCACTCGTGACCCTTTCCACCACGGCGGAGCCTTCCAAGCCTACCTCCTGCCGTGTGGTGATCTACCTGCAGCGGGAGATGTCGGGGGACACCTGCCTGTGCCCAGCCTCAGGGGCCAAGCCCAAGCTCAGTGGCTTCAAGGGAGGAGGGTTGGGCAACAAGTATGTCCAGCTCAACGTGGGCGGCTCTCTGTACTACACCACTGTGCGGGCCCTGACCCGCCACGACACCATGCTCAAGGCCATGTTCAGTGGGCGCATGGAGGTGCTGACCGACAAAGAAGGTGAGGCACTGGGGCTGCCGCTCGGGGTGGGGAGGGCAGGAGGAGTTCCCAAGGAAATGACCAGATCTAGAATTCAGTCACTTTTCCTCTTCACTTTATGTAGGGTGTCTTCACCTGGAGTCCCTAGTAGAGCTTCAGAATTCTGTGAAATTGTATATGGAATGCTGTGTTTATGCATTTTCCAGGAAGAAGAGCCATACTTTTAAAATATTTAAATAGGACAAGATTCTCATAGGAGCCGTCACCTTAAGACTGGGCAGCGGGCAGAAGGCCGGCAGTGGCTGGTGGTTTCTGTGTTGGGCTGGGCCTGGTACCCTGAGCCTAGGCCCCTGTGGCTTCTACAGCCTGGAGGGCTGTATCCCCCGTGGGATGTGCCAGTTCTGGGTTTCAGAGAGGAAGGGTGAAGAGCAGCCATGGGCCTGAGTGCTAGAACCTCCATCCCCGCCTCTGTCACCCTGCGTAAGGGCTTTGTGCTCGTGGACCCCCTTCCCTGCCACCTGCCGCCAGCTTGTCAGGTGGCCTTTGCCTGCCTCGGAGGTACCTGGCGGCAAACTAACCCTGTAGGGCCTTCTGCACCCCTAGGCTGGATCCTCATAGACCGTTGTGGAAAGCACTTTGGCACCATTTTGAATTACCTCCGAGATGACACCATCACCCTCCCTCAGAACCGGCAAGAAATCAAGGAATTGATGGCTGAAGCAAAGTATTACCTCATCCAGGGGCTGGTGAATATGTGCCAGAGTGCCCTGCAGGTACATGGGTGGGGCGGAGCAGGGCGGGCAGATGAGGTCAGGAGTTGCCCCCTTCTTGTGGGATGGAGGACTCTGGTTCCTGGCAGGTTGTGTGGGAGGCGTGGTTGATGAGTGCAAACCTAATGAGACAAGTGAGATGCCACCCAGGCCCACCAACCTGGCAGCCAGGTGTTCACACTTGGCAGCGTGAGTAGGCCCTGCTTCTGGTTTCTATGCTTTGCTACCCGGATTTTAGGGGGTTTTTCTGTTTTTGCTTTTGTTTCTGTTTTTGTTTTTGTTTTTTGAGACAGGGTTTCACTCCTGTCACCCAGGCTGGAGTGCAGTGGTGCGATGTCAGCTCACTGCAACTTCTGCCTCCTGGGTTCAAGTGATTCTCGTGATTTGGCCTTCAGAGTAGCTGGGAATGCCAGCATGCGCCATGGCACCCAGCTAATCTTTGTATTTTTTGTAGAGATGAGGTTTCACCATGTTTTCCAGGCTAGTCTCGAACTGCTGGGCTCAAGTGATCTGCCTGCCTCAGCCTCCCAAAGTGCTGGGATTGCAGGTGTGAGCTACCGCACCCGGCCTGGATCTTGGGTTTTCTAACTGGGGGTCTGCTTTCCAGCTGGCAGTTTCTATTGTCAGGGGCCTCATGATCTGTATCTGACACTTCCTCACCAAGCAGCGGGTGGCCATGGCAGAGGGGCTCCAGAGGTATACCTCGATAAGCCTGGGAAGCAGAAGATCCTAAAGAGGGTTCTCTGTTCTGTGTCGCACAGGACAAGAAGGACTCCTACCAGCCTGTGTGCAACATCCCCATCATCACATCCCTAAAGGAGGAGGAGCGGCTCATCGAATCCTCCACCAAGGTACCAGGACCTCTGAGGGGTGCGGGCCGGGGATGCCAGTCCCCTGGCCTGGCCCCTCACTCTGAACTCCTTCACAGCCCGTGGTGAAGCTGCTGTACAACAGAAGCAACAACAAGTATTCCTACACCAGGTAGGGTGCGTCACAGGGCTCAACAGACACTGGGCAGCAGACCCAAGGAGTACTGCCTGTACTCCCAGCACGGTCGGCGTGGGTCTGGGCCTGGGTCTTGGAACTGGCTGTGCCAAGTTGGGGAAAAACAGAAAGTAGAAGGGAAATTGGGACAGAGGCCTTTGGAACTCAGCAGGGTGCCCTGGCTGGGATATAAATGATTGAAGGTGAAATGCGCCCTCAACGTGTATCACGAAGGCAGCATGGCAGGTGTTTTCACACGTGTCATCCTACCGGGTGGAGGGGATGCTAGGAGGCCGGTGAGCTGGGAGTCCCCCAAGCCAGCCTGTGCAGTTCACACTGGGCCGATTCCCTCCCCACACCCTCCAGGCCATGTCCTCTCCATAGGCCACAGTTAGGTAGACGCAGGTGGCTGCAGGTTCAGAGTCCCAAACCCTCCCTATGATTCCCTGTGGCCAGGCATATTGCCACTGTCACCCCCACAGTAAGGGAAGGAATGCCTCCCACTGACATAGCAGCCTTGTCTCCTTCCTTCCAGGGTTAGTGAGGGGAGACCTCCTTCCTCAGCTGTCCCTACTTTGACTTAAAACCAACTGAGTTCCTTTTCCTCACAGGCCCCCCAACCCAGAGGGTACCCTATGATCCTTTCTCTCCTGGCCCCCTGGCATCTTGCTTTCATTTCGGCAGGACAGGATGGGGGAAGGGAGGGAGGGGAGGGCCCCACTTGTCTAGCACCCTCCCTTGGACTGGAACCTCACTCCCAGCCGCTTGGCCCTCATGTTTTTTTCAGCAACTCTGACGACCACCTGCTGAAAAACATCGAGCTGTTTGACAAGCTCTCCCTGCGCTTCAACGGCCGCGTGCTCTTCATCAAGGATGTCATTGGTGACGAGATCTGCTGCTGGTCCTTTTATGGCCAGGGCCGTAAGCTGGCAGAGGTGTGCTGTACCTCCATCGTGTATGCCACGGAGAAGAAGCAGACCAAGGTGTGGGGGATTGCCCCTGCCTGGGTAGGGGAGGACACACACCCACTGTGCGGGGGACGTGGTCGGGCTGTGACCAGCACGGAGCAAAAGGGGCATGGACTTGGCTCTTTTTTCCAAACACGGTAATGGTGCTGGGCAAGGACAAGGCCAGAACAAGGGGTGTGGGGAATGGACGGGAACTGCTTTGTTCCTGACAGCGCAGGGCAGGGGCCGTTGACCACCAGGAAGTAGCCTAGTACAGTGGGAAGGACTGGGTCTTTGAAGTTGGCCCAATTCAGGTTTGAACGCTGGCTCACACCACTTGCCAGTTTTCTGACTTTGGATAAGCCACTTAAGCCATCTGGGCCTCAGGTTCCTCATTTGCAGACATGGGGATGATAGTATGAATTTAACGAGATATGAAAATGATACAACTCTTTGGAGCAGCAGTGTGGTGTAGAAACAGCTTGGGCTTTCGTGTTAGAATGCTGTTCAGATCTCCTGTCTGAGCCAGGGACACAGGTGGGCACAGCACTTGAGCCCAGGAGTTCAAGACCACCCTGGACAACATGGTGAAACCCCGTCTTTACAAAAAATAGAAAAATTAGCCAGGCATCGTGGCACATGCCTGTAGTCCCAAGTACTCAGGAGGCTGCTGTGGGAAGATCCCTTGAGCCCAGGAGTTTGAGGCCAGCCTAAGCAAAATAGCAAGATTCCACTTCCAAACACTTTTAATAATAATAAAATAAAATCTCCTTACTGGCCCCAACCAGCTGGGGGTTTCTGGCTAATCAACTTAGTGCCAGGTACACAGGAGGCATTTGATAGGTGACAGTCATCACAAACTCAGGTGGCCCCTCTCCCCCAGGCTGCAGTCAGTTACCCCAGAGAGTAGCTGCCTCCTGTGAGTGCAGGTCCTGGAGATGATACGCTGGGGTGGATGGCAGGTCATCCAGGAAGGGCCATGTGGGTGTGAAGAGCTCAAAGTAGCCAGACTTGCCAAGCAACTTGTCGACCCCCAAACTACTCCAGGTGCCTCCAGCTGGGAGATCTGCAGAGGGTTTGGGGAAGGCCAACTTACAGGTGGCCCTGCTTCCTTCTGCGGTTTTTGGTGTAGGGGTGGGAGGGAGGGCGACAGGTGGTTCCTGACCCTATCGGTGGTGAAAGGGTTCAGGGGCAGGTCTCCAGTGGCTGGTGATGCTGCGACGGAAGTGGCAGCGCACCTGGCATCTTCTTAAGTGTGTTGTCTTTCATGAACTCGTGTGACCCCTCACAACATGCCTGTGAGACACGCAGGGCTAGAGCCACTCTCCCCATGTGACAGATGAGTGAACAGAAGCTCAGTCCAACAGAGCAGGTCTGGCTAGAATTCAGGTGCTTGACTGCCTTCCCTTTCTCCTTCCTCCAGGCAGGTCATGCCGGTGACACACTGCGTCAGGCAGGCAGAGAAAGGCAGCATAACCACTCAGCATAGCAGCTGCTCTGTGTATGCCTCTGCTTGGTGGTTTGCTGTGTGCCAATCTTCTGCTAAGCAATCACATCTTTCCCGTAATGTTGACAGCAACTCTCAGGGGTTGAGCTGAACCAACCTTTTGTACATATGGGAGCTGCAGCCCAGAAGGGTTCAGCCCAAGGCTCCACAGCTAGCAAGTGGTAGAGCTGTGTTGGGACCTAGCTCTGGCCCACCCTCTATGCCCACTAGTCCCTTGGTCTCAGGCTGGGGCAGGGGTGTGGAGGATGTTGGTCTTCCCTGTCCTCATGTCTGTAGAGTACATCCCCTCACCCCGCCTTCGGAGGGAGGCTGGCTTTCCCTGGAGACGGACCGCCACCTGTTTTATGAGAGGTAGCGGAGGCCTTATGGAGCCTCAGGGCCAGCCGCTCTGACGCATGGCTTCCTCTTGAAGATGAAACCTTGCTCCACCTTCTTCCTCCCTAACCCCAGGTGGAATTCCCAGAGGCCCGAATCTATGAGGAGACACTCAACGTCCTACTCTATGAGACTCCCCGCGTCCCCGACAACTCCTTGTTGGAGGCCACAAGCCGTAGCCGCAGCCAGGCTTCCCCCAGTGAAGATGAGGAGACCTTTGAACTGCGGGACCGTGTCCGCCGCATCCACGTCAAGCGCTACAGCACTTACGATGACCGGCAGCTCGGCCACCAGTCTACCCATCGCGACTGACCAGACCCTCAGGGAGTCAGGGCACGGGAGGCCCTATCTCCCATCCTGTGGAACCCGCCCCATTGGCCACCCCATGCTGCTGCTGCCTGGGTCTCTGCTCTAGCACCCAGAGGCATGACAGGCCCTGCTCAGAGGTCAGAGGGTCTGGGCAGAGGAGGGACCACATTCCCCTGCCTTGCCCCTGAGCACTTCTGGAGACTGCGTCCTGTCCTATCTGCTCACCATCACCCTTCCTGCCCGACGGAGCTGCTTCTGCTCCCTGGGGCATATGGACTGACCCACCTCCTGCTGAGAACCTTCCCCTAGGCCCTGTGCAGAAGGCTACTGCCCCTTAGGCCTCAGCTGGGGGAAAGGCAGTTCTGGTGCTGTAGAGGCCCTGGTGCAGAAAGTGGGACGTCTTTTTTCCTAAGGTGTTTAAGCACAGGCTTGATAAGTTTGGTTTTTAAAAAATAATCTAGGAAATGAATAATTCTAAATCTAGTAATGAGGAAACTGAGCATTTCTTTTGCCCTCCAGGGTGCCAAGACCCTACATATGACAGAACCCTTGGCCCTTCTCCATGCCTGTGGGATCTGTTTCTTTAAAGCACTTTGTACTGTTATTCAGGAGGTTGATAATCTCCTTGACCCATGTCTTTCTACCCTAATCCCCACTTCCCTGCAGAATCAATCTGAGGGAGGGGATAAAGAGGAAGCAATAAAAAAAAAACATCCGACAGAGCAGCTCTGGCTTTGCAGCCTGGCCAGCAGCTCAGAGTGCACCGAGGAGGGAAGGATGGCTAAGCTGGGACCGGCAGTCCTCACAGGGTGCCTGTGAGAAAGGACATTTTACCCCCACATCATAGTCACATCACTGACTCCTAGGTCTAGCACGACTGCTCTTTGTGATTCTCTTGAGTACCCTTGGCTTCCAGCCATGCTGTCCTCACATACGGTAAAGCCAAAGAGCTGTCACATGGGCCAGAAACATGAGCCACGGCAGGAAGACCGTGGAGCCCGTGGGCACTGCATGGTGTTGGCTGGCATGCCCATCAGCTGAGGACAGCAAACTCCCAGCAGCCCCTACAGAGGTGGCACATGCTTGGCCACACATCTACTCCCTGCCCACACCATCTATGCTCTTGGTTGGTGCTGGCTGGGATGGCGGTTCTGCCCAGTGGTGTCTCTGAGCGCGGGATGACAGGAGCAACCGAAGCACCCTGAAGGCCTTCACTCCTTGTTGGGTAACTCAGCCATGGAGATGCCAAGCACTAGCCAGGAGGTGAGTTCCTCTTTAGGGCTTTGGTTTTCATTCCTTTTTGTTTGGCTTGGCCAAACCAGAATTCAGCTTATCTGAATTATTTTCCAAAGGAATGCTGTCAGGGAGGGACTGTTCTGCCAGCCTAACAAAGCAACGTAGCCACGTATAGTACCCACTTTCTGCTCTTTGGAGAGAACACAGGTTATCAAGTTCATCTCTCTTGACTACTCTTATGATAGCTGATGCCACAGAGCCTATGGGCAAATGCCAGACCCAGGGTTAGACACAAGGACCTGAAGTGACATGACGGCGGGACAGGGGAAATGTGACTTTCTAATTAGGCATTTTATGTTAGTCACAGTCTTGAATGTATAAACAGCACTAAGACTCTCAGGTCAGGTACCTTGGTGATCAGCTACTAGTTCTTCCAGCCCTCATTGAGGTAACAAGATAAAGACAAATCCACTTCTTTGGCCAAATTCAGGCTTTGGCTTTATGACTTTCCCACAGAGACTGGAATGCGTCAGCCTGAGACCACTGGCCTATTTTCTCAGCTGCCCTCTTGAGGTCCTTTAACACTCAAATTCCCAGCTCCCCACTGAGGTGTTGTGATGCTTGCCTTTTGACCTCCCCATCCCCTTTAGTCCCTGCTTACTACTTTGACATTCACATCCTCAGTGTCTCAGTCTTTTTTGCCGAGAAAGCACAGTAGTCTGGGACTGGGCATTTATCTTCTCTGACTGAAAATCTCTCCTTGGTCTTAAGGAAAATACTAACATTGAACTCACTGACATGATCTTAGCTTCTTTAATCAGACTTTGTGACTTAAAAGTTTGGGGGTTTTCTTTGAAAGTTTCCAGCCCTATTCAGAAAGCAACTCTTGGCTGTGTGCATTTTTCAACTCCAAGCAGCCCAGGGGTAAGTAAACAAAGTATGGATGAAGGTCAGATTTTCTTGTCAGTTTCTGAGAAACCTGGCAGCCTGCTGTTAACAACACAGGCCAGTATTGGGTTTTATTGAATTTGGTATGTGACCAAGGTCGGCCTAAAGGATGGCGCAGGTCCTGGGCAGGAAAGAATTTTTCCTTTATCACATAACTGTAATATTTGGTTGCTCAGCATAAGTGATGGAAGCAAACACTAATTTCTAATAAAATTGTGTTAAACTCAATGGTACAGAGCCATGTTTACAGTGAGCAGGCCTTGACCAGCTTGCGGCCATGGGCTGAGTTCCTGTGCTTCTGTTTATCATCTGACCTTGTGTTCTAGCCAGGTCGTAAGCGCGACTGTACTGTTGCCCTGCAACCCCAGCTCCCCCTGGAGGACTAAGGACAAGAATAACAAGGGCTGGAACTGTGATTTAATATTAATTCAAGAAAACTACCTCTAACAATCACTGCAGTGGCGGAGGAAAAGAAATCCTAAGAATTGGGGCAAGATGCAGCACAATTCATCTCTGGCTCTTGGAAATCTGAGAGAAGCTCAGGAAGTAGCTTGACTTAGTCATCAATCCATACCTAAAGCTGCTCCTCAGCCAAATTCCTGCATTTGTGGTCTGGATGCTTGGCAGAGTCATGCTGAGGGCTGGCACACCCATTGCTCCAGGAAACCCGACTGGCTTGCCTCCCTCCTCTCCTGGGCCTAGCGAGGCCAGAAATGGCAATGGTCGGTCAGTGCTAAGAGCCAGGCCACTCCGACCCTGACACTGGCCTCCCTCTCTGCATTTGGCAGAAGGTAAAGTGAACAAGAGTCCAGTCCAGCACCCCCGCCAACTAGCTGAGAGGCACAGTGACCCTAGGAGATGTCCAGCCAGCCTCCAGGCTGAGAGGGAAACAGGCACATGCCCTACCAGGGGGGCAGCTCCCTGGAAGGGCAGCAAAGAAAGCAGTCAAGGGCGCACACTGGGTCAGAAGGGGAGCCTGAGACTCTGGGAGCAGAAATGGCAAGGGTGGCCAAGCGTGCACTGGTTTACTGATCAAACCTCACGTGACAGGCCAGGAAACTCCTCCAGGCCTGTGGCAGCTGAACACAGTTCCTTGGTGGAGAGGTTTACTGGAACATGGTGTAGGCAGGGCTTATGAGGAGGCCAGCCTTGGAGGTGTCCCACATGGGTCTTCTGAAGAAAAGTTATACCACCCCTCCCCACAAAAAGAACCCCACAATCAAATTAAGAGACCCACTGTGGCCCATGATGGGGAGAGAAGAGTTCTGCAGCAATTGTGGGATGAGAGTTGTTCTTCCCGGTGACCAAGCCTGGGCACTTGGGGCCTCAGCTGGCCTACCAGTGAAGGCCTGAGGGTGGTGTCTTCTCATCTTTATTGCTTTCCAGGGAGAAGGGAGGAATCCGAACATCAAAGTGGGAGCCATCAGGTCTTTCAAAGCGGAACGTGCCCCTACAGTCAGAAAGAAGCTGGTTTAGAAGGAGCCAGGGCTGAGGCCTCCTAAGGATCTGGATGGCCCCATGCCCTCAGCTGCCAGCCACAGAGGACATGTGAGCCTGAGCTCTCTTCTATCTCTAGCTCATGACAGGATGACTGGTCCAGAGACCCAAGAGCCCCTCATGGTTATCCATGAAAAGAAAAACACAGCTGCAGTGGCTCACGCCTGAAATCCCAGCATTTTGGGAGGCTGATGCCAGCAGATCACCTGAGGTCACCTGAGGTGGGGAGTTTGAGACCAGCCTGACCAACATGGAGAAACCCCGTCTCCACTAAAAATACAAAATTAGCCGGGCGTGGTGGCGCATGCCTGTAATCCCAGCTACTCGGGAGGCTGAGGCAAGAGAATGGCTTGAACCTGGGAGGCGGAGGTTGCAGTGAGCCAAGATTGTGCCATTGCACTCCAGCCTGGGCAATAAGTGAAACTCCATCTCACAAAAGAAAAAAGGAAAACACAGCTGTCCAGATTCTGGCCTTTAGATACATACTGCATAAGCTAGCCAACTGCATTTTCAGGTAAAGGAGTGAAACACCAAGGGAAAAAACCCAACTATACAAGCAATTCTGCAGCATCAAATCACCAGACCTCTTTAGCCTAAGTCCTCAGTCCACAAATCACAGGGTACTGGGAAACAGGCGGTAATAGAAAATCAGACAAGTCCCACACAACAATATAGCAGATAAGGCTCCCTCTAAGAATGTAACTTGGCCCAGAGTTAATGGCAAGCTCTAAGCTCTCACTTTTCTGACCTACAGCTTCTGTTTGTGGAGCTGGGTGGCCCCTACTGCTGTGCACACTCACTCACCACATGTGCCCACTGGAAGCCTGCAGCGAGACGTGGCTGCTATACTGGAACGCAGGCTGCTCCTTGGATAACACTGGTTCCTGTAAAGGTTTAGGCAAAATGGGTCAGGCCAAGCCCCAGGGACATGTTTCCTGCACCCCAGGGTTACATGCTGACTGCCAGTTCATCAAGACTGGATGTCCCCTACCCAGCCACCACCACAGCAGGCACTCCCATAGCATGATACACTTCCTGCCAGTACCTCCTCCCATAGATGGCCATTTGGCTGGGCCTTTTATGCTGGCTCTGGGAAAGATAATCTCAGACTGAATGTCCGAAGGCACTGGGCAAAGGACCTCCTCTGCAGCCCGGGGAACACAGTGAGACCCCATCTCCACAAAAAAAAAAAAAAAAAAAAAAAAAATTTAAACTAACCAGGCATAGTGGTGTGTGCCTGTAGTCCTGCTACTCAGAAAGCTGAGGCGGAGGATTGCTTGAGCCCAGAAAAGTAAACTATGGTCGCACCACTGCACTCCAGCCTGGGTGACACAGCGAGACCCTGTCTCTAAAAACAAAGGACCTCCTGTGGAGATATCCCCTCCAGTGTCCATTCACACATGCTGGCGGGGACCACGGCAGGTACTCTGCAAACCTCTGCTGCTTTAATTCTCCTAATGATCATAAGATAACTGGTGTGATCCACATTTTAGGAGTAAGGAACTAAGATTTTGGTTAAATAACTTGCCGAAAGTTATGCTAATATATAACTCAGCTGGAATTTGAAGTGACTACCTAAATCCAAAGCCTTGTTCTTATTCACTTGCCCAACTGCCTCCCCAGTCCTCGCTGACTTTGATAAATGCTTGTTGAATGTGGCCCCTGACACCAGTACTGCTTGTGACTTTATTTCTCAGGAGACAGGGTTGGGTAGGCAGGGATTATAAAATCAGATCTCTTCAAGGACCAGCAGAGGATGTAAACATGTAAAGGGGCAAAGAGGCAAGACCACAGGGATTGGTGGGGGTGTGTGCCCCACCTAACGACATTCAAATTTTAGTTTTTAAAAGACACTATACCAGTTTTAAAAACTACACAAGTTTTGACTTCAGACTCACTTGGGTTTAAATTGAGGCCCTGCCACTACTAGCTATGGGACCATGGGCTGGTTATTTAACTTCTCAGTCTCACTCTTTTCATCTATGAAATGGGTTTCAAGAAACATATCTCATGTAGTTGTTTTAAGATTTCTAACCCAAAACAACACAATGTATTCACAAAGTGAGCCTCTGTCTATAACAACAAAGGAGAAGGAAGCCATGCGCTAAGCCCCCAGGCTTGCCACACAGGACCAGAATTACTAGACCAAGGATGCTCACCCTGCCCACTACCCCTCGGCCTCGCACTGTCTCCAAGGTGCCAGAGAGACTGAATATCCTCCAGTGCCGCTCCCGGAGCTGTACCACATCACTGTCAAGGTTCTCCAAACGGATACAGTAGCGCCACTGAGGTGGGTGTGGGAGAGAGAGTTTAAAAAAAATAAAATTTGGGTAACCCTCCTCAGAATTCTGTGCAAAGCAAAAGTCAACAAAGCTGACACATGCACTGCACAGGTTCCGCTCTCGTCAGAAGGTGGGCTCCCCCACCTCCACCCTGACCCCCAGGCACACCCCACAAGCTCCCCTTCTCCCAGACAGTGACACTCACCCAGTACACGTGGGAATTCTGGGCTTCCTAGGGAGAAAACAAAAAGAATTTAAGTCCCACAGGGCAAGACCAAGTGTGTTCCAATCAACATCTCTCCAGTGCAGTTGATGTATTCCAGGAAGGTTGCAGACAGACCAAGCTGAGAGTATCTGTGGGATAAGGGTGATAGCTGAACCATGGCCTACACACCCACAGGGAGGCAACATCCCTGTATCCACTCCTGGCCTCCCCACTCCTCATCCCTTCAAGATCACCAACAGAGCTGGATGCCAACAGAAATCAGTTACAGGGCTCTTACCTTTTTCACTGCCCTCCTCACCAGCCCTGCCCCCTATCCTTGCTGCCCTGAGCCCCTGTCCTCCTCCTGTCTCCCATTACTGTCCCTTGCTATAATACTTTAAGTTGGCCTCCTCCACTACTATAAGGTCCTGGAAGACAGGGACGGTGTTTCATTTATATTTGTATCCAAGCATGCACTGACTATACGTACTTTTCTGACCTATAGCTTCTGTCTGTGGAGTTGGGCGGCCCCTACCACTGCACATGCTTACAGCCAGGCGATGTGTAAGTGTCTATAATGTGTAAAAAGTGTTATGCCTACACTGCTTTAAATAATTATGTGTATATTCTTCATAAACATGGCTCCCTTTGAGCAAGAGGGAAGAGACAGGATAAAGGATTCCTTCCTGGGACCTATGAGTTTTCCTGCCCGCTCTAGGTCTTGGTGTCAGCCACTGTCTAGAGGCTACTCAACCCCACCCAACACATGCCACCACTTGGAAGCAGAACCACAGGGACATGGTTTATATTTAGACTCCCTTCCCCCGGCAGTCACCTTAAGGACACCATACACCTTGGGGCCTACCCCTGCTAGAAGGGGTCCAGGCTGGCCACATACCCTCATGCCCATGTAGAAGGGGATGACAGTGACACGTATGTTCTCAGTTGTTTCCCGATGAACATCGGAGAGCTCCAGCCAGGGGTGATTCTTCTCTTGCCAGGCCCTTAGCGTCTCCCGAGCCACAAAAGGAGGTGCTGGGGCAAGATACAATTGGTTAGTCCAATTGTGTGTTGTGGATACAATTGTATCTAGTCCAATCACACAATAGTCCAGTGCGATTGCCCCTCCTAGAAAACCCTCCCTAGTGGTGGCCCAGGCAAACAAGGTGCTCATACATGAAGCAAAAGTTCAGGCTGGAAGAAGGCACAGGACTGCTACCAAGAATAAGCCCTGAGGAGCTAGTGTGATACAATGGGAAAACAATCGGACTGGCAGTTAAGAGCCCTGGTTTTCAGCCCTCACTCTGCTACTAGCAACCTTGAGTCCCTTGTCATCATCCCTGATCCTCAGTTTCCATATCTGTAAGGAAATAACTGCCATCTGTCATCTGTCAGGTATGACACCTATGAGGCATGACAGCTCTAACAGGAGGTTGAAAAGGGTTGTGGAAATAGAGCGTTGGAATTATTTCTTTTTTTTTTTTTTTTTTGGAGACGGAGTCTTGATCTGTTGCCGGGATGGAGTGCGGTGGCATGATCTCAGCTCACTACAACCTGTGCCTCCCGGGTTCAAGCAATTCTTCAGCCTCAGCCTCCCAAGTAGCTGAGACTACAGGTGCACGCCACCACACCCAGCTAATTTTTATATTTTTAGTAGAAACAGGGTTTCACCACATTGGCCACGATGGTCTTGATCTCTTGACCTAGTGATCTGCCCGTGTCAGCCTCCCAAAGTGCTGGAGTTATAGGCGTGAGCCACAAGCACCCGGGCCTTTTTTTTTTTTTTTCCTGAGATGGAGTCTCGCTCTGTTGCCCAGGCTGGAATGCAATGGTGCAATCTCGGCTCACTGCAACCTCCACCCTCCTGGGTTCAAGTGATTCTCCTGCCTCAGCCTCCCAGGTAGCTGGGATTACAGGCGCCCACCACCACGCCCAGCTAATTTTTGTATTTTTAGTAGAGACAGGGTTTCACCAGGTTGGCCAGGCCAGTCTTGAACTCCTGACCTCAGATGATCCACCTGCCTGGGCCTCCCAAAGTGCTGGGATTACAGGCGTGAGCCACCGTGCCCGGCCCTGGAATTATTTCTATGATATTCTTTGATGAAAAGGCCCTCCCATTCCACCTCCCCTTCTTGAGAGAGATTACCTTTTGTCTGGTCATACAGAAGAAATCTTTCAAAGAGTTCATGTTGGATGGGAACCTGATCAGTGGAGGTGTAGGGGAGGATGTCTTCATGGCTGACATAGTCCAAGCCTGGCACAGAGATGCAAAAGACAGTGGTGAAACTCACAGGAGAGGAGAGAGATGGGGTTGAGAAGAAACATTAACTGGCCTTGTTCCAGTATGGGATAACCCTGATATCATACCTCTCAGCATCATAATCCCTCCCAGTGGATGACAGGACATCAGAATCCTCTCCCTGAGACACACCAGACTCCTTCTTGACGGGCACCATTCAAATGCTAACTACTCACCTGGGATGGCATAGAGGGCCCGACTGTCATCATGGTTAGCCAAGAAGGTCACAGCTTCTGTCTGAGATCTCTGAGACTAAGGCAAGAAGTGAATCAGTGGTGAAACCATGTCTCTGCTAAAAAGTACAAAAATTAGGCTGGTGTGGTGGCAGATGCCTGTAATCCCAGCTACTCGGGTGGCTGAGGCAGGAGAATCACTTGAACCCGGGAGGCAGAGGTTGCAGTGAGCTGAGATCTCACCACTGCACTCCAGCCTGGCGACAGAGTGAGACTCCATATCAAAAAAAAAAAAAAAGACGTGAATCAGGGCTTTGTTGGCCACTGTGCAGTCCAAGGCCTTGGGGACCAAGACTGACCTGGGCTCTGTTTGACCCCCTTCCCTCCCTTTGTCCCCATTGGGATGCAGGACTTTCCATGGAGAGGACCCCCAAGCCCAGCCATCTTGCTTACTTACTATATGTGGGCAGTCACGAGCATCAATCAGCACCTGATAGTAAGTGTGAGTTTTGCCTTTCACCTCCTTGGAGCCATGGCCAGCAGGGTTCTCTGCTCTATGGGGTGGGAGAAGGAGGCCAAGATCACCCCAGGAGAAATGGAAGCTGTGGCTGACTCAGCTCCCTACTCCTCCTCACCTAAACAGGCTGGTCTCTGATCTAAAGGGGCTTTAGCACCAGCTGGACACCTGCTCTGCAGCACCTCAGCTCAGCTGCTCCTCAGTTGGGGCAAATAATAGAGCATGGAAGACCATGGTATGGAGCCATCATCTGACCGTGTGGATACCTCTTAAAAGAAGGGGGCCATGTTGAGAAAATCAAATTGCCACCTCAGTCCCCAGGGCCCAGAGTACTCTTGTCTTCTTATATCCCAGGGACTGTCTGTGATCACTTAATGGGGCTGAACCTTTTCTGTTTTAATGTATTCTAGGGATGATGTGAGATTGAGGGAAAGACTCCAGCTGAACATCAAGAAATCAAGAAGACTTGTCCCCCAAATGCCCTCTGGGATACTCATAATGAAAATTAGGAATGGCTTAGGAAAGCATTCTGAGGAGGCCTAAAGGGACTCTCTGACTTAGACTATCCCTGGCACTCAGCACTTTTGTCTCCATGGGTCTTAGTCCCAGAGAAGTACTCTGGGGATGTTTCCAAGGCCTAGGAGGACGCTGTCTTCACCCCTAGTACCCCAATTACATATGTCTGCCATCTCCTCCTGAGGATACTGTGAGGCACAACCACAGGGAAACTTACTTTTCTGGAGCTGCAGAAGCCACATCCCGGTCATACAGTCTGGCCTGCCAGGGAAACAGGACGACACCTCGGTAGCCAAAAATGCTATGAAGGAAAAGCTGGAAGGAAAGAGGGGCCTCAGTGAGTCTGCAGTCCAGCAAATCCATCCAGGTGGGCCCCAGACCACAAAGCAACACAGGTGGAGGCAACTCCAGCACAAGGTCTTGCTACCTCTTCCCTTGAAGTCTGTGATCAACCAGACCAATGCTGGAACACTCTTATTTCTTCTTTACCTGGCTGACTCTACTCATCCTTTAGGTAAAAGCTTAGGCCTCCAGGAAGCCTTCCCTGACCTCCCTTCCACTTAGCACAATGTACAGCTATTGGCCATTTGCAAATCGTTCTTTTCTAGACTAGAAACTCCACAATAGCAGGAATCATGTCTACTTTGCTTTCTGATTTAACCCTAATGCACAATGCCTAGTCCATTGTAGGCACACAGAAAAATAAAATGTTGAACAAACAAAAAGTCTTCCTTACCTACAATATCCTAGAAGGGCCTAAATCTATCCCAGTGGACCCAGAACAAAGCTGATATAGAAAAAGAACCACACATCCAGAGTTTACCACACTGAAGTCAATTTTATTACGGCAAAGCATCAAAGGTATACTTTTCTGAAAGCTCCCTCCACGGCTTCCCACCATCCACTATGTTAGAGAAATCTTCAGCAACTTGGCTAAACCTCACTATAGTCCACACCATCCCTGTCCACATTAACTTGGAAAGAGAACCCACTGACACATTAAGTGCATTCAAATCCAGGAGAACAGAAACCCTATCTATAAAAATTTGATTCTGGGCTGGGTGCGGTGGCTCACGCCAGTAATCCCAGGACTTTGGGAGGCCAAGGCAGGTGGATCACCTGAGGTCGGGAGCTCGAGACCAGCCTGACCAACATGGAGAAACCGCATCTCCACTAAAAGTACAAAATTAGCCAAGTGTGGTGGCGCATGCTTGTAATCCCAGCTACTAGGGAGGCTGAGGTAGGAGAACTGCTTAAACCCAGGAGGTGGAGCTTGCAGTGAGCCGAGACCATGCCATTGCACTCCAGCCTGGGCAACAAGACTGAAACTCCGTCTCACAAAAAATAAATAAATAAAATAAATAAATAAAATAAAAAATGAATACAAATTTGATTCTGGAATGGCACCAAACATCAAGGTGGAATGAATGGAACACCATACCATGCAGGCCTGTGACCTAATCTGACTTTTTTCAGAAGCAGAGCACTCTATGAAAATGAAAGATGACCCAGCCCAATACTCACCTGCCCGGTCTCATATTTTCCATTCTGTTTTGGCACCTCAAACACACCAACTGTCTCCAACACTTTGCCCTCTGGTCGGTTTCTGAGTAGGAAGGAAAAGAACAAGCAACAGAAAAGCTGAGAAGGTAATGGTAGTTATCCATAAGAAAAAGCTCCTAGGATACTGAGGGGCCAGGGCGATGACAGCAGAGAAGGGTTTGGGGTAGTGGGACCAGCTGGAGCAGGAAAGGCTTTCCTCCTCCTTGGTGAAAACCTCCACAGTCTCCCAGTGTTAGATGTGACCGCTCCCATACTACTGTCTTCTCTCTTCACTGGGCATTCTTCATATCATGCCCTCACACTCTGCTCAAATGTACCCCTGCCCTTGTTTCTTCCCTAACCCACCCTCCTGACCTCCCACAGCACTTTAACTGTCTTGCTCACTTTTTCAATTTTTTTAGAAGGGGAGTATCTTTTTTTCTTCTTTTCTTACATTTTCTATATCACAAGTCATCAAACAATATCCTGCTCCCTTTACATTTCAGTTGTGTCCATGTCTTATCTTTATTAAATACTGTAAATTCCCTGGGAGCAATGCCTGAGTCTGATTAGCTGGTACTGCCCCCTCAGAGCCTAGTGTACAAGAGGTGCTCAAAAAATATTTGTCCTGTATTATAATTCCATGTCCATCTCCCCCTCTAACCTGTAGCCCTTACATTGCCCTTGAAAAGCTTAAACATCTCTAGATTTCCTACGGCACATCGCTCTCTCAATACCGTTTTTGTTCATATTCTCACAGGGGTCTTAAATTGCAAATAGCTATCATCTCTCCCCAATGTTCAGTGTCTAATATCAGCCACTAAAATGTCAGTCACCACTCTGAACAGGGCTGCTCTTTCTAGGGGCCCTTCAAATAAAGGCTGTTTTTACTGTTTTGAAGATGTGAACTTTATGCTTCCTCCCACTGATCCACCAGCCCATTTGATCCGCCTGTCCCATCCGTGGAAACAGTTTCCACACCATCCCCATGGCCTCAAACCCCCTTCCCCAAGTCACAGATAGAAAATCGATCTCCCCAAAGTCACTTGGAAACCTGGGGCCTACGAGGGTCCACACCCAAGAGTCTCGTTTCCCACCTCTAGCATCTTTCTGAGGCAGACCTTCACCAAATCCAAAGGCTGAGGGTTCAAGCCAATGCCCTAGGGCTGAATTAAAAAGCTTCCCTCTGACATCGGTGCTGGGGACCCCAGCCGGGGAAGTAGGATTCACTTGGGGAGGGTAACCTGTTCCCCCCCAGGGCCAGCCCTGTACAACCAGGGCTCTGGGCCGCGCTGGCTTCCCTGCTCCTGGCACATGTCCCAGACAGCGCAGGTCGGCTCCCTGCTCGGGACCCTCTCCCGGGTCAAACTCCAGTCACCCTCAGCAGGCCCGGGCCCCTGGCCTCCGCACTGGCTAGGAACACGCTCTCTGGGCTCCAGGCCCAGTTCCTCGCGCCCCCTGGCTCCGTCCCTCACCGGGACGAGAGGTGCCTCCGCGTCGTCGTGGTCGACGCTGGCGAGAAGGCTCCAGCTCCGGCCGCCGCACAGAGCGGCCTTGGCCACCGGGCCCCAGTCAGCGACCGGGACCACCAGCGGCTGCCCACGGCCAGGGCCCGCCGGGCTGTACAGGCTGCCATGTCCCGCCCGAGCGCCCGCCCGGCTGCTGACACAGAGCCCGACCCGCGGCCGGGCGGCGTTCCGCCCCAGTCCCACACTGCCCCGCGCGGCGTCCCGGCCCTCTTGGCCCGCCTGGTCCCACCCCGGAGCTCAGAGCAACTTCCGGTGCGCTTAGCGTTACTTCCGGCGCGCGGCGGGCGGAAGTCCGGGTTGGGGTCACCTGACCGGAGAGCCGGCTAGATATGGCGTCCTCTTTGCTTGCGGGCGAGCGATTGGTGCGTGCTTTGGGCCCCGGCGGGGAGCTGGAGCCAGAGCGGCTACCCCGAAAGCTGCGGGCCGAGCTTGAGGCCGCGCTGGGGAAGAAGCACAAGGGCGGTGATAGCTCCAGTGGCCCCCAACGCTTGGTTTCTTTCCGTCTCATCCGGGATCTGCACCAGCATCTGAGAGAAAGGGGTGAGCCCCAGTCTCCAGTCCGGGGTCCCCTCCTTGTGTCCAGATCGATTCCCTCCTGAGGTCTTTTCCCATCATTCCCCTTCTTCTACGGAGCACTCATCTAGACAAGTCAAGAGTCACTCCATAAATCCCAGGGCCACCCACTTTCTTAACTCCCATGGGAATTTCTCGTGGATGACAAATTTGCTTGTGCAGTTTCTGCTCTTTTGAGAGCCCCCTCTTCACTTCCAGGCACACCTAGGCCCAATTCACCCTTGAGAAAGTCTAGGTTTTTACCAAATACAAATATCACAGGTTTTGTCTCTTCTTTTTCTCCACTTTAGGAATCAGCTTAGCATAGTGAGCTTGTAGGAATCCGGATTTCTTTCCACCTCAAAAGCAAGAGTGGTGAAATCTGATACTTTGTTTTGTTTGTTTGTTTTTTTAATATAGGATGGCAAAAGCTGTGTTGAAAGATCTGGCCTGAGAGTAGCATGTGAGTTCCAGTCCTAGCTCTGTCACTAATCCTTTGAAGGAGTCATTTCTCCTCGCTGGGCCTCAGTTCCCTTATGTGTAAAGGGAAGGAACAGGACAAACTAGCACATAAGGTATTTTGCCAGAAGTAACATAGACCAGCCAGAAGTGCAAAGGGTAGACTGCTCAATTATTAGAACTAGAAAGGACCTTAGAAAGAGATTGCCTAGTATTAGTGTCCTCTGAGCATTTAGCATCACTATGACCTAAACTTATTTAGGGAAGAGCTGTTGTGGCCACAGAACTGATCTAACCCAAAGGCACAAGTAAATGGCTTACTTGTTAGTTATAACACTGGCAGGATAATTGAGAGCTGACAGCTAAAGTCACCTGCGCAGCACTGGGAGATACCTACATGGAATTATCCAAAATTCTTTTCAATTGAAAATGATCCTGGAAATGGATTAATGTAGAGATGGCCCTGTTTTATTTTGGTAGAAAGAAGGGCTACACCCCTCTTGATCTTAACCCTTCAACCTCAGCTCGTGGATCATTGTGTTTGTGAAACCTTTTCTTCTCAGATTCCAAACTATACCTCCATGAGCTCCTAGAAGGCAGTGAAATCTATCTCCCAGAGGTTGTGAAGCCTCCACGGGTATGTAAGGGATATGTTTGTGAGAGTGGTTATTGACTGAGTTGGGCTTATCCATGATACACTGAACTTATAAATCAACTTTTAGGCTTGAAAAATTGTTTTTGAAATCTTTGGGATCTGGGGGAGCCAGATATTGTCCTCCCCATCAGCTGTTTGGAAAATTGAGATCAAAAAAAAAAAAAACAGTTTCAAAGCACTGGAGTTACGACTAGTATGTGGGTCTCCTGATACCTTTAGCAGTGCTTTACCCCTGGAACCAATGATTGTGATGTGCTTTCTAACAAGCTGGGAATATCATTCTTCTCATTTGATTTTTCTGCTTCAGAACCCAGAACTAGTTGCCCGGCTGGAGAAGATTAAGATACAGCTGGCCAATGAGGAATATAAACGGATCACCCGCAACGTCACTTGTCAGGTAAGGACATGCTCTTCAGTACGTGGTCTAGGTAGCCCCTCAGAGTAGGGCCCTGCAGTGGAAGAAGATACAGAGTTTAGAAAAAACATGGAAACTTGGTTTCTATACTGTTCAGGGACCATAGGAAGTCTGCATACAAACAACACAGTTCCCATCTCATTCACTGAGACTCTGGGCTGAGATGGTGACCAAGTTTTAAACGTCATAGAAGTGGGAGTTAGCCGGGCACGGCGCTCATGCCTGTAATCCTAGCACTTTGGGAGGCTGAGGTAGGTGGATCACTTGAGGTCGGGAGTTCGTGACCAGCCTGGCCAACATGGTGAAACCCCGTCTTTACAAAAAATACAAAACTTAGCCTGGCGTGGTGGCGGGCACCTGTAATCCCAGCTACTCGAGAGGCTGAGGCAGGAGAATCACTTGAACCCAGGAGGCGGAGGCAGAGGCTGCTGTGAGCCAACACTGCACCATTGCACTCCAGCCTGAGCAACAAGAGCAAGACTCCATCTCAAAATAAATAAATAAATAAATAAATAAGTGGGAATGAATCTTGGAGGCTTTTTTTCTTCTTCTTTTTTTTTTTTGAGATGGAGTCTCACTCTGTCACCCAGGCTGGAGGGCAGTGGCAGGATCTCTGCTCACTGCGGCCTCCGCCTTCCAGGTTTAAGTGATTCTTATGCCTCAGCCTCCCAAGTAGCTGGGATTACAGGCATGCACCACCACGCCAGGCTAATTTTTTGTATTTTTAGTAGAGACCACGTTGGCCAGGCTGGTCTTGAACTCCCAGCCTCAAGGTGATCCTCCTGCCTCGGCCTCCCAAAGTGCTGGGATTACAAGGTGAGCCACTGTGCCCAGCCATTCGAGCATTTCTTCTGACAGGGCTCCCTACTACTCTATGGCATGCTCCTACCCTGGAACAGGAGAGTAGATGGGTACTGGCAGCCTATGTCCTCTCTCCGAAATGCCTGCTCTGTAGTCCAGAAAAGAGTCAAAATGGTTCCAGACAAAAGAATCCATGGGGAGGGCAGAGTTAATATGTTGGGGAATAGAGAGGGCTGAGCCAGACTGTCAATGGATGCTCTCTGAGCTGCTTCTATTCTGAATCATCTTCTTTTTCTTTTTCCCAGGATACAAGACATGGTGGGACTCTCAGCGACCTGGGAAAGCAAGGTGAGGTACTAGGAGATCAGGCTTCTAAAACCTTTTCCTGAGATGGGTCATGACACTCAGGCTTGTTGTTTGACTGAAACCCAGTTGGTGGGGGAGCCATGAGATAAGAGCACCTCCTAGAGAATGTTGAACTAAAGGTGCCCTCTCTGGCTCCTCCCCAAAGTGAGATCATTGAAGGCTCTGGTCATCACCATCTTCAATTTCATTGTCACGGTGGTTGCTGCCTTCGTCTGCACTTACCTTGGAAGCCAATATATCTTCACAGAAATGGCCTCGGTGAGTAGGCACTGGGCAGGGCAGGGTGCCCCTGGTGGGGGTGTTAGTGGGTAAGGGAGGACGTATGTGAAAGTGCCTTGCACAGGTTAGGTATTGAACAGATATTTATGCCATTAATAAGGGGAGCATTAGAGCTTTCCAGCAGTCACGGGAGGTTAGGTAATAACCCCAGGAGAAGCCACATTCTCTTTTCTTCCCCTCCCCCAACTTAGAGGGTGGTTGGGGGGCTCTCCATCCTCATTAAAGTTGCTGGGGTACAGAGCTGGTTGTTGGCCTGCATCCCTTAAGCCTGGTTCTCCCCATCTCCAGCGGGTGCTAGCTGCATTGATCGTCGCCTCTGTGGTGGGTCTGGCCGAGCTGTATGTCATGGTGCGGGCAATGGAAGGCGAGCTGGGAGAACTGTAACTGGTGCTTCATCATCAAGTCTAGAGAAGACTTTGGGGGCTTCAGGCTCCAATTGGCAGTCACCGACTCAGTCAACCCATCAGACTTTTTGTATTCAGCTCCAGTTAGTCAGAAGACCAGCCCAGGCCAGCTGCTGTTTCTGTGGGGAGCCCTAATCTTCTGTGAATTTCCAAAGGGAGCATTGGAGGAGATTGAGATAACACATCTTTAAAACAGAAAGAACTGGTCTTGGTCTATCAGTACCTCTTCCTGAATCTGGTACCCATCTGCCTTCTCCAGTTCATTCTAAACACTGCTGGGACTAGGGTTTTTCCATCAGGAGCAAATGGAATCCAGGCCTTCCCAGAAGTAGACCATACTGCCTTGAACTTGTCCATATGTACAAACTGATCACCAGCTTTCTCCATACATTTTTAATGCAGACCTGTAATTGAGTTCAGAAGCCTCCAAGAAAACAGAAAGGATCCCCTTTCTCCAGTTTGTGCTGGAAGAGGAGCTGATCAGAGACATCAAATAAGAGAAAGATGGGTTGCTAGAGGATGGTAGAACTGGAAGCAAGGCAGCTACCTTTTTGCAAAAGGAAATGGTGTTAGGCCCCTTTTCCAGAAGATAAGACAGACTCATAGAGATTAAATGATCACTATGGTCCTTCTTCTGTTAAATGGAGCCAAAGACGCCTATGTTGTTCTGAAGTCTTGTAATGTTTAACTTCTGAGAACTTAGATTAGTGGTGTGATGATAGAGTCTGTATAACGCATTGAAAAGGGTATCAGGCTTAGTTATTTATCCAATAAATATTTATTGTATGCAGGGTATTCCTATTTTAACTCCTGTGACAACACAAAGCATAGCGATTTCCATAGTTCTAACTGTTCAGGGTCTGCTCCTCCTGGTACACTCTTTTTGGTTCACTGTATGTACTCCTGTTGTCTTTTTTTTTTTTTCCAAAGCACTTTTCTGTTTTCATAAATTATATACTCATTCACTCAGTGGACACTTCCTCTACAATGTTTGCCAGTTTCTGTTAGTTGGGAGAAGTGTCAGCTGTGAAAAGAAAAAGTAGGTGGCATTTTACAGTGTTTCCAGTAACCTGAGCTATATAAAATTTGTGTTAAAAAGCTACACTGGGCCAGGTGAGGTGGCTCACACCTGTAATCGTAGCATTTTGGGAGGCTGAGGCAGGCGGATCACTTGAGGTTGGGAGTTTAAGACCAGCATGGCCAATATAGCGAAACCCCATCTTTACTAAAAATACAAAAAAATTAGCCAGGCGTGGTGGTACATGCCTGTAATCCCAGCACTTTGGGAGACCAAGGTGGGAGGATGCTTGAGTTCAGGAGTTTGAGACCAGCCTGGGCAACATGGCAAAAGCCCATCTCTACAAAAAAACGCAGAAATTAGCTGACATGGTAGCGCACGCCTGTAGTCCCAGCTACTCAGGAGGCTAAGGTGGGAGGATCACTTGAGCCTGGGAGGCAGAGGTTGCAGTAAGCTGAGTAAGCCAAGATCATGCTATTGCACTCTAGCCTGGATGACAGAGTGAGACCTTGTCTCAATGAAAAAGCAGGGGGCACTGGGAGGGGAGAACCAAATGCCCTATCCTCCAGTTCTCAGCATATAGAAGGGAGCTCTCTCATCTGCTAGCCACTCCTGCCTCACTGTGCCATGCTTTCTGTAATGCACTCTGGGTCCAGGGACTGCTTGGCAGGAGGTGGGAAGAACAAGAAGTTTAGGGCCTTCCCAGTTTCTTAGGGCCTGTCTGGAGAGGGAACTAGCGTTTACTGAGTTTTTACGATGTGTTACACACCATGTAAAGCCCTTTACCTACATTATTTCTTATACCCCAAACAGAGAGCAAATAAGTATCCCCATTTTTTAGTCACATAGAGTTCCAGAGTTGCCACAGTTACATCGCAAAGTCAGGATTTGAATCCAGTGCAGACCGCAAACACCATGGTTTTCTCTCCAAAGCAGAGCAGCTCCAGAGGTGGAGGTGACTGGAATGTCCTAGATTCAGTGGGACCAGGAGCTGGGGGTGCTAGCAGAGGCTCTCATCTCCCCAGGGTCTTGTCAGTCAGAGTCCTAAACCCTTCAATTAACTATCCCTCTAATCCCAGCTGAAGCCTGGGTAATACCTCCCACCAAGAGGTATCTGTGTGGAACCTGGCCCTATTTAGGGATTAGGTGATGGAGATAAATTTCCATGGCAAACGGCCCTCGTCCCCGTTCGTTTGCAGAGCACAACAATCCAGATTAAGGTACAGAGTTTGGGTTTTATTTGGAGATTAGTTGGTATTACAGGTGATGGTGATACCAAAACCCAATGCTGCTATACCTGCCTCCATCCCAGATCTGTCAGGTTGTCTCCACAGCCCCACATCAGAGGGCATCCAATCTGATCTTTGTGAAAATTAAATCAACATAAGCCCCAGCTTCCTATCTTTGCTTCATTACTTTAATGCCACTCCCTCTTCACATCCGTAGTTCTGATTAATTTGTCCAGGTGGTCGATGGTCAAGAGAGGGGGCCCTGACCCATAAAGAAGTTGGCTCTCCAGCAGTCTAGATGAGGAGCAGCACTCTCCTCTCCTACCTCACTTAGCAGTTAGCAAGGTAATGGCCTGGAGAGACCTCAGGAGACAGGAGCCTGCCCCTTCAGAAGGAGGAGGCCATCAGCTGGTGAGAACTGGGGACCAGGCCTGGCAAGAGTGGAGGAAAACATGACCCTCATCTCATCCTTCTGAAGGTACCACCTGCCACAACAATGAGCATATGCCCCAAAGGGGTCAGGGTGTGGGGTGGCAGGAGCCAGGCCCCAGTCTGCTTAGGACCTGCATCTAGGCTGGCCTGGAGGCCAGTGGAAGGGAGGGATGCCTGAGCTAAACTCCTTTCCCGTAGGGAATCCCTTTGCATAAAAAGTGGGGCCAGGGAATCCACTTCTGATGTGTTCAATCCCAGGAGGGGCAGGGTGGGCCACAGGAGTCAGAGGAGGGGCCTTGCAAGTTCTGGACAAAGACTAGGAGTGGTCCACATTGACGACAATGGCCAAGGCATAGATGAGGTCAGACAGGCTGCCTAGTGAAGTCTGGGGAGTAGCTCGCTCTAAAGAAGGGTGGACCTCTGAAGCCCCAGCTGATCCCCATGGGGCTACAGCTTTAGCCCCTTCCCAGCCCTGCCGTGGACTCAAGCCAGGAGCTGGACAGGAGCTATGTCGACACACTGAGGTGCGCTGAGGTGTGCCGCTGGAGGGTGGAGGTTGGCCTGGCATTTGGGGATCCCAGGGCTGCTGGAGGGTGTCTGGAAGAGAACAGGAGCTCTGGGGGCACTCAGACCCAGGGCTTAGAATTCCTGACTTCCTGTTCTTGATTATTTTGGCCCAGCGCTTCTGGAACCACACCTGCTAGGAAAGAAGAAGGGGTCTGTTCTGGCCCCAGCATCCCCTCCACCCAGGGACAGGGGAAACAACCTGAAGGCAGGCTACCCAGCGAAGGGGCTGTGGGCCAAGCCTAGATGTTGGCTGTGTGAGAAGGGGTCACAGCTCACCTGTACCTTGGCCTCAGGAAGGCAAGTGACCCAGGCCAGGTGCTCATGGGTGCTGATGTTGGGGTAGGGCCATGCTGCAAACGCCCTCTCCAGCTCCAGTAGCTGCCCTTTGCTGAAGGTGGTCCGCTTTCTCCGGTGGGAACCCAACCCGCTGCCACCGTCTGCAGGCCATGGTGGGGGTCAAGCTGGGACTCCCTGCAAGAGCCTCCACCCAGCCTCAAAGCCCTCAATCAACCCCGAAGTCCCTACTCCCACCCCTCTCCAACCGTCCTCATCCTACCATGGCCTGCGTTCTCACCCTGCCCACACTTCCCCCATCAGATCACCTGCTGAGGATGCATCCACAGGGCTGGGCATGGAGCTGGCAAAGGGTAAGGTGCCAGAGGGCCGTGCCAGAGGGCCATGCCAGGGCTGTGCCCACACCAGACCCCCCCATTTGGGTTTTATCATGCTCAGGGTGGCTGGCCCCGCCTTCAGGAGTGGAGAGGTTTAGAGTCCAGCTCAAGCAAGGCAGAGAAGTCTCGGTGGGGAAGAAGGGAGGCTGGAGGCCGGGTTGGGCTTATGAGGGTATGGGTGGGGCAAATTGTATACCCCCTGCCCCTCCAAGGCCTCGCAAAGGAAGCTGGACCCAGCATCCCTTCTCAAACCTCAAACTGGCAGTCTGTGCCTGAAATCCTATACTTCATGAAAATCCTCCCAGGGGTCCTTCCAGGCAGCCAAAGAAAACCATCTCTCCAGTGCTCCCAGGCACTGGCTGCCCCTTCTGGAGCCCTTAGTGCTCTGAACCTGGCTACCTTCAGGGGAGAGGGAGTGGAGTCCTCTCCCACAACTGGGGACTGGGCTGGTGAAGTGGGACAGGATGAGAAGGATGGTAGGGTGTCAACGGGATGAATGGGAGCCAGCCGCTGTCAGCAGGACTGGGGAACAGATGTCACCACCAGATTGCCCTCAGGTCTGCTTTAGAGCTTTGCCTCATCTAACCCTTTCTCTCTCTGGCCCCTCAAGAGCCAGATGGACTTCCTGGGGTTCGGAACCTGGAACCAGAGGAGGTTCCACAGGTGCAGTTGAGGGGTTCTAAGAAAGATGATAAAGATGTTTATGTGTACAGTATTCTCTTCCTTGGATATATTCTGAGCCACTTTTTCTTAAATTTTGAAAATTTTTTTCTTTTTTCTTTTTTTTTCAAGATGGAGTCTTGCTTTGTCACCCAGGCTGGAGTGCAGTGGCGTGATCTTGGCTCACTGCAACCTCCACCTCCCGAGTTCAAGCAACTCCACCTCCTGCCTCTTCCTCCGGAGTAGCTGGGGTTACAGGCGCCTGCCACCACACCCGGCTAATTTTTTGTATTTTTAGTAGAGACGGGGTTTCACCATGTTGGCCAGGCTGGTCTCGAACTCCTAACCTCATGATCCACGGGCCTTGGTTTCCCAAAGTGCTGGGACCACAGGCATGAACCACCGTGCCTGGCCTAAATTTTCTTTTTCTCACTCTGTTGCCCAGGCTGGAGTACAGTGGTGTGATTTCTGCTCACTGCAGCCTCAACCTCCCAAGCTCAAGCAATCCTCCCACCTCAGCCTCCTAAATAGCTGGGACTACAGGCACACACCACCCATAAGTTGCCCAGCTAACTTATTTATTTTTGTAGAGATGGTGTCTTGCTATATTGCCTAGGCTGGTCTCAAACTTCGGGATTCCAGCAATCCTCCCACCTTGGCTTCCCAAAGTGCTGGAATTACAGGCATGAGCCACCATGCCCAGACAAAAATTCCCCCCCTTTTTTATTTTGTTCTGTTTTTAGAGATAGAGTCTCACTCTATTCCCCAGGTTGGAGTGCAGTGGTACAATAATAGCTCACTGCAGCTTCAAACTCCTGGGCTCCTGGGCCACTTTTCCACAAGAAGTGTGTGCTTTTGAATTTCCTTTCAGTTTCTGCCCTTCACTATCTCTCCTGGTCTTGCTGCTCCCCATCCTAGACCCTAGACAGAGACCTCAAGAAAGGCTCACCCTAGGGGTGGGTTTGGGGAAGCACAGTGACTGGTTCCCCAAGTGCTCAGGAGTCAGAGCTACTAGGATTTCAGATCAGGATGGACAAAAAAGCTGAGCCAGAACCCCACCAACTCTTGCCCCTTCTCTCTCCTCCAAGACCCTAGTCAACTCCAAGGGGCAAAGCAAGCCTCACCCACGGAGGCTGGCCTGGTAACTTTGTCATCATCAGAGGAGTTCAAGTGTCTGCTTAGCTGCTGGTGGGTTGCTGGGGGCTGCTTAGCTCAAGAGGAAGGGTAGCTCTCAGGAGGCCTTCCCCAGCCCCAAACCGGTTCACAGAGAGGTCCTGAGCACAGAGAGGTCCTGAGCCCAACATGGGTTGGACACGGCGAGGCCCTTCTCTGTCCCTTCTCTGTCCCCCTCACCAACCCATTCTGACAGTCCAGCTTCCTCTCCTTTACCCAGACAGGGATGTGTCTACCCCAGTCAGAACAATAATTTTAAACTCGGGGCTAAGGGACCTTTATTGGGCTGGGGGAAGGAGATGGGAGGAGGGAGCTACAGAGGGCCCGGCCATGTGGGCTCTGACTCCTACAGATGGCCAGGAGCTGGGCAGCCCAGCCAGTACTGAGCGATGGAGCGTGGGTAGGGAGGGTCCACAGTGTCCACTCGCCGTGTGCGAAGATTGACTCGGTAGTACTTGTCTGGAAGAGAGGAAAGCAGAGGATGCGTGAGGCCCAGCCTGGCCCTGCCCACTCTTCCCTTGAGAAGTCTAGGGTCTCTCCCAGAAGGGAAAGTGAACATCCATGATGCAGCTAAGGACTTCTGGCCTGGCTTTCTGTGGTCACTACTTGCAGGCTGCGTTCAGCCCTTGTGCACCAGGGACAGCAAGGAAAACCCAAGCTAGACCAGCTTCAGGGGTGGCAGCGGCTCCTACCTCCAGAGAAGAAGAAGACACTCTGGATGGGTTCACAGGTGGCAGGCACAAGCCAGTCCATCCTGTAGTCATCATAGTTGTTGGCTCCCAAGTTGCTCTCCTCACTGGAGAACAAGGACAGCCACGTGGCGCGGGATGGCCGGCGGGAGTTCTGGTTGCGGCCACGGCTGTGGCCTCGTTGTGAACGGTAGCCTTTGCGGTTGCGATGCCTAAACCTTTGTTTCTTGGCCAAGGAGGGGCGGGGTGCCATGCCTGAGATGTAGATGCGGCCAGCCATGGCTGCGTCCACTTGCCCTGGCACACCGTGCCAGTCCCGGCTAATGAACTGGGGCTGTCTGGTACCAGCTGTGGCAGGGAAGGGGTGAATGAGAGGTCTTGGGGGTCCGAATCTTGCCCCTTCCAGCGGGGCCATTAGAGTTCATCTGCTGCACCTTGCCCAAAGACACACAGCAGCGAATGGCAGAGCCAGGCCTTTGACTCTCAGTCCAATTCCCTTCCCCCTGTGCTTTCCCTCCACCATATCACTGGTGTCTCGACCCCACCCCCCCAGGCCCCCTAAACTCCTCAGCCACAGCCCCTCCCTCTGCTGGCTGTGCTCTCAGCTGTGCTAGGCAAAGTCCAAGGTGTGGGGTCCAGGTAGAGCTGAGCTTTCCCCAAAAGGTCAACAGAAGCAAAGTCTGGCCTGAGCAAACAGACTTTGATCGATAGCTCCACAACCACAGCCCCCTCCAGCCGGCCTGGCTCTACCAATACCAAGGGGTTTCAGCCCTTTTGAGGGAGAAGCAAGACTTGCCCTCTCTCCATACCAGAGGTTCTGCCCCAGAAGAGAAGCTCGAAGATGTCCTCCCAGCTGTCCCGCTGCATCATGGCAAAGTGTTCAAACACAGCCGACAGGGAGCTGCCTTCACACTCCTCCTGACTGGGCTGGTGCTGGAACTGGTACTCCCAGTACTGTTTCCCTGAGGAGCAGGGTGGTGGGCATTAGGAGGGCTGGGCCAGGGCAAGACTGGAGATCCCAGAGGCTGTTGAAGTTAGGATCTCCCAGCATGAGGTGGGGGTCAGGGGTGGGCACATGCTGAGGCCTGTCCCCAGTGAAATGTGAAAGGAATCCAAGACTGCTCCACTGCCTGCTCAGTCTCCCACCACCCCCTGAGTACCCTTGAAGAAGTAGACCCGCTCCCGGCCACTGTAGCTATGGGCAGGGAGGGCCAAGGCTGCATCCACGTTGTCCGGGATGCCATCGAAGCCGTCAGAGATATTTCGGGGGTAATCAGGGTCCAGGACACCATCCTCAAAGCGCCAGTACTGACTACCCTAAGAGGTGGGGAAAGTGAAAAGGGGTATGGAGGCCGCTGGCTGGGCACAGAGGCAGAGTCCCTTGCCCTAAGGCAGCCGTTCCCAGGTCCAGGTTCACTGCCCAGGACCTGGAGTCTTGGGGCTGCCCTGTGCTCACAGAGCTCCCACCAGGTCCTGCAGGGCCCTGGGTCCAGCTTCCCTGTCCACCCTGTCCCTGGGAGCAATAGCTCTCAAACCCTCCCTAGATGCTTTCTACCCTGGCCCACAGCCCCTGGCACCTTGAAGAGGTAGGTCTTCCCCTGACAGTTGATGCGGGTGAAGGCGGCATCGATGGGGCCCTCGATGCCCCAGACATCTCGGATGAGCTTGGGGTACCCAGGCCTCACTGCCTTTTCGTCCAGTTCATAGCAGTACTGCCCTAGAGTGGAGGAGATGGTGTGAGAGCAGGGACGCTCCTGGGGCAGACCCGCATCCCCAGTACCTGCCCTGGATTCACCTCGGAAGGCAAAGAGGGAACCGTTCTTGAGGTCGGTGAAGGCGTCGAAGGGCTTCCCACTGCACAGCTCCTCCTCTGCTGGGGGCTGAGGTCTCCCTGGATGAAGGGTCTCAGGCCTTGAGTCTATCCCCTCAGGCTTAGAGGCGCCCACCTCAGGCGCAGGGGCCTCTTCCTCAGGTTTCAGAACAGGTGTCTGCTCAGGATTCCCTTTGGACTGGGCCTGGAGGTCAGAGGTCAGGGAGGGGCCCCCCACCTGTTCATGGACAGTGGCATTGTTTTTCTCCTCGCCATCGTCATAGACCGTGTACTCATCCTCCGGCATAGTGAACACATCCCCGCGAGTCACTGCAGAGAGTGGATGGTAGTGAGTCTCCAGCAGCAGGGGGCACCCCAGCCCACCCACCTGGGCTCTGAACACACCTTGGGGCTTGCACTCAGCCGTATAGTCTGTGCAGCAGCTCTGGTAGTAAGAGCAGAGCTCGTCACACTGGCACTTCTTGTCCACGTTGAAGCCCTCAGTGCAGCGGCCCTTGCATGACTCTATGAGGAAGGAGTGTCAGTCGGTGCCACCAAGCCCAGACCACCCTCGCCCTCCCTACATTGACCCAGATGGCCACCAACACTCCCCTGTACCTTGGTCAGCCAGAGCAACCCATGCCAGCAGGGCCAGTATGAGAAGGGGTCTCAGGGGTGCCATGGCAGGGCTTCTAGCTCAGTGCCTGGCAAGCTGGGCTCTGGTCTCCCTGAAGTCTCCGCTCTGATGCCTGAGGAAGGGAGGGAGAGGCAGAGACAGGGAAGGAGGGCACTGGAGAAGAGGAACTGCCTTTTCTGCTGCTCTGTTTGCTCAACCTCCAGCCCATCCCCTCTGCCCCCTCCAGCGGCTGCTGCAGCAAAGGTCACATTCCTGGAACACTGGGCCTGGGCGAGCTGGGAGATAAGACCTTTGCCAAGCTCAGAATCATTAGGTCATCGGAAGGGGAATTAGCACCGTGGATCTGGAGGGCAGAAAGAAGGCTCATTGGGCAACAGCTTTATCTCTCTGAGTCTTAGTTCATTTTCAGTAAAATAGGATTAACAAAGCCTTGCTTCATGGGGTGTTGGGAGATTACATGAACTGGACCAGACAAAATGCCCAGTAGCTGGAGCAGCCACAAATTCCTTCTCCAAACATAGCTATTGATCCATGATTGTTTGATCAGACACATCCCTGGCTGGGTGCTCATTCGCCATTATTTATTTAGGGCAGGAAAAAGGGAGTGGGAGGAGAGATTGTAAGCACTCTGGGGAATTTTATTTTTTAGCATAAAAGAACAAAGTTTCATTTCTGGGTTCTTCTCTTGGGTGCATCAATCTCCCCAGGCTGGAAATTTGGGTAAATATCAACCCACTGGACTGGATTTAATTTCTGAGTCTTTTCTGAGCAGGCCACTCCCTGTCCCCAGGCTCAGTCTCCCCATCTGTAAAGAGTGGGCTTGTTCAACACACTTTTAGACTCTCGAGAGAAATATGATCCCTCTACCTGGAAAATGCCCACTGGCATGAAACACCTGATTTTGTGCCCAATTTCAGGTGTCCACAGAACTTCTGAAATCCTCCCATCACCTGAAAAAAGTGATCCTGAGATTTTAGCTGACTTTTTCTGTTCTGTAATCAGAGGGGACTGTGATTTGGGCCAATTTCTTCCTCATGGGCTTCAGTGGAGTCAGCTGTGGAATGGAACATCAATTCCCACCCCATAGGCATGTTGTGAGGTTTCGCTAAGAAACAGCCATAAAAGGGCCTTAAGAGTTATGATGATTGTTTTAACCATTTAGTAGGGAGGGGGCATCCAGCGGTGTTGCTCCCACGTACCGATGTCACGTGGGGCGGGGAGGCGGGGCGGAGAACGGAGAGCGTCCTCTCATTCTCCACCCCCTTCCTCCAAGTCCAGCGCAGGGGGAGGTGGCTGCGACTGACTGAGGGGCTAGGGAAGGCTGGCCAGGGGCGTGGGCGTGGCTGGGGACGGCTTGGGGGTGGGGCTGCGCAGGAGGCTGGAGGAGCCCCGCGGGACCCAGAGGCGGGGCGTCGGCCCGGGGACCACTGCTCCTCCGGGGCGTGGCTGCAGGAGGCTGGAGGAGCCCCGCGGGACCCAGAGGCGGGGCGTCGGCCGGGGACCGCTGCTCCTCCGGGGCGTGGCTGCTGCCGAGCATCTCCCAGCTCAGCCGAGCCCGTGCCCAGGCCACGCTTTGTTCCAGCCGCCGCCTCCTCTACCCTACGGCGTCCGGAGCCATCCCTCGCCTGCTCGCTCTCTCCTTTCGCCCACTCCCTGCATCTGGGCCTGCATCACCTTTGCCAACCGCTCCCCCGATCCTGCCGACACTCCTCCCCCAAACTTCTGACCGGCACCCTTGCCTGGTACCCTTCTCTCCATTCCTCCCCCTCCATCTTCTTTCCCCGACCCCTCTCGGGTCCCTCTTTTCCCAAAACCCGGGTCTCTCCGCGTGGCCCCGCCTCCAGGCCGGGGATGTCCCCCGCGGCCCCGCGCCCATGGTCCTGACGCTGCTTCTCTCCGCCTACAAGCTGTGTCGCTTCTTCGCCATGTCGGGCCCACGGCCGGGCGCCGAGCGGCTGGCGGTGCCTGGGCCAGATGGGGGCGGTGGCACGGGCCCATGGTGGGCTGCGGGTGGCCGCGGGCCCCGCGAAGTGTCGCCGGGGGCAGGCACCGAGGTGCAGGACGCCCTGGAGCGCGCGCTGCCGGAGCTGCAGCAGGCCTTGTCCGCGCTGAAGCAGGCGGGCGGCGCGCGGGCCGTGGGCGCCGGCCTGGCCGAGGTCTTCCAACTGGTGGAGGAGGCCTGGCTGCTGCCGGCCGTGGGCCGCGAGGTAGCCCAGGGTCTGTGCGACGCCATCCGCCTCGATGGCGGCCTCGACCTGCTGTTGCGGCTGCTGCAGGCGCCGGAGTTGGAGACGCGTGTGCAGGCCGCGCGCCTGCTGGAGCAGATCCTGGTGGCTGAGAACCGGTGAGCGCGCCAGGCCGGGGTTGGGAGAGCGCCGCGTGGTGTGGACAGTTAAGCGCCTGCGTTCCCGTGTGCCTTGCGCCGTGCCTTTGCCTCCCTCACCTCTCTGACTGCCTGCACTACATCTCTGTTAGGGGTCAGCCTGTCTGTTTCACAGATAAGGAAACTGAGCCTTGGGAAAGTTTAGTGACTTGCTCAGTGGATCACAGTGAACTAAGATTTGCTCCCAGGGCTAGTGGGGTGAGGAATGGAGTTACAGGACAGGAGTCCGTCCCTGGCTCTATGGATGGAGATGGCATCCTATTGCCAATTCTCCCTCTCCCCCGCCCCCCAAGCCCACAGCTCTCCTTCCCACCGGCTTGGGTTCCCGTCTATGACACCTTCTCTCGCCATCATCCCATCCCTCTCCCAATGAGAGAAGAAGGGAAACACAACGCTCAGAAAAGAGGGAGGGAGACCTCTCCTTTCCCTCCTCCCCAGGCTGTAAGGCGTGCTGGCCTGAGGCTGCTTACTCCCTTCTTGCCGCCCCAATCCAACTTCTGCTCCATCCTTCATTCTGGTTCTTGCAACAGGCCAGACATGATCTCATTCTGCAGCTGCTGATGGGAAACAGTTTTCTGCTGGGAGGCATGGGTGGGGGAAGAGGACACCGGGGTGCAGAGCCCGGCGGGGACCAGGCAGAGTGTGTGTTCTCTCCCTTCACCCCACTTAGCACCAAGATGCCGCAAGAGGGTCAAACAGAGGCCTGGTTGCCACTCTTGCATGTCTCTTGGGATCTCTCCTGGAGTATGAAGACCTCCAAGGACTCACTTTCCCTCCCTTCTGATGCCAGAGCAGACCAAGCTGTCACACTCCAGTCTCATGCTGAAGTCTCCAGCTTCTCAAGCTTAGAAGAGTTTTTGGAAGAGTCACTTTCAGCTCATGCAGCTCTCACAAGTGTGAAGGGAGTGGGTTGGGGGTGTTTTCCTTGCCATTTTCGAAAAGAAAAAAATTACCTGGTGATTGGTGGAAAGATACAACTGTCAAAAATGCATGAATGAAGCAATTTAGGTTGGGAGACCAAGATAGGGTTCTGCTTATTTGGCAAGCCATTAACCTCCCATCTGACATCCGTTGCCATGATGGGGATAGGCCATGAATTTGGAGGGGGTAGCAAATAAAATATGTGCTCACTGGGTGTGGTGGGGTCAAGGCTGGTAGGTGTGCCCTGCAGGCTTGCTATGTGGAGTCAGGAGCTATAACTACAATCCCTGGAGAGTGAGTACAGCCAGCAGCCCAAGGAGAGGAGGGTTGCAAGATGCAAACAGTACTGCTATATCTCAAGGTTAAAAATGGCAATTCTCACCTGGTTCAGAGTTACCGAGAGAAGAGTCACTAACCAGTGTCCCTGGTCTCAAGAAACGCACGCTGGTCTCTTCAGGACCAAGGACAGAGCACAACGTGCGTGGTTGCTATCACAATACTTCCAAAGAAAGGCAGGATCCCCGCCAGGCGCCGTGGCTCACGCCTGTAATCCCAGCACTTTGGGAGGCCCAGGCGGGTGGATCACCTGAGGTCAGGGGTTCGAGACCAGCCTGGCCAACATGGTGAAACCCTGTCTCTACTAAAAAAAAAAAAAAATACAAAAATTAGCTGGGCATGGTGGCGGGCATCTGTAATCCCAGCTACTGGGGAGACTGAGGTGGAAGAATCGCACAGAACCCGGGAGGTGGAGGTTGCAGGGAGCCGAGATTGTGCCATTGCACTCCACCCCACGCTGGATGACAGAGCAAGACTCGTCTCAAAAAAAAAAAAAAAAAAAAAAGGCACTGTCTATAATCCTAGCACTTTGGGAGGCCAAGGCAGGCAGATCACCTGAGGTCAAGTGAAACACAAAAATTAGCCAGGCATGGTGGTGGTGCGTGGTGTGTGCCTGTAACCCCAGCTACTCTGGAGGCTGAGGCAGGAGAATTGCTGGAACTCGGCAGGCAGAGGCTGCAGTGAGCTGAGAGCGCGCCACTGCACTCCAGCCTTGGCAACAGAGTGAGACTCCATCTCAAAAGAAAAAAGAAGGGGAGGGTCCCTGCACCCCTTGTAGGCTGCATGAGAATGGGGCTGGAAAGAAGAGAAGGGGAGTGACACACTGCGAATTTATGAAATGTTTTTCTCCTTCACCAACCAAGCCCCCACTGCCTCATCTCAAAGAAGGCTCTTCTGGGCAAGCATGGTGGTTCATGCCTGTAATTCCAGCACTTTGGGAAGCTGAGGTGGGTGGATCACTTGAGGCCAGGAGTTCAAGACCAGCCTGGGCAACATGGCAAAAACCCATCTCTACAAAAAATATACAGATTAGCCGGGCGTGATGGCATGCACAGTCCCAGCTACTCAGGAGGCTGAGGTGGGAGGATGGCTTGAGCCCAGGAGGCGGAGGTCACAATGAGCTGAGATCATGCCACTGCTTTCCAGCCTCAGTGACAGAGCCAGACCTTGTCAAAAAAAAAAAAAAAAAAAAAAAAACAATTCCATCAGTGTGCCTACCCCTTTTTGCCACTTCCCTCTTGCTTTCTTCTTCTCAGGATGCTATTGCACCCATTGTCAAGGAGCCTAGGTCACAGTTTTCCTGACTTCCAACTACCAGAAGTCCAACAGAATATGGCTCTTCAAATCTGGCCCCACAACACCCAGTGAGGTCCCCATATGACTGCTAGCCCTCTATATTCACAGTCCACCCCCTTCAGGGGATCTTAATGAAGCTATCCTCAGAGTAGTTAAATGGCTTTCCCAGGAATATTCAATGAATAAATGGAGGAGACAGGTTTTTGAAATCACAGAAAGGCGGCCAGGAGCAGTGTCTCATGCCTGTAATCCCAGCACTTTGGGAGGCCCAGGCGGGAGATTGCCTGAGGTCAGGAGTTCGAGACCACTCTGGCCAACATGGTGAAACCCCGTCTCTACTAAAAATACAAAAAATTAGCCGGGCTTGATGACGTGTGCCTGTAATCCCAGCTACTCTGGAGGCTGAGGCAGGGGAATTGTTTGAACCAGGGAGGTGGAGGTTGCAGTGAGCCGAGATCGTGCCGCTGCACTCCAGCCTGGGCAAGAGTGAGACTCCATCTAAAAAAAAAAAAAAAAAAAATCACGAAAGCCATTGCACATAAATTCAAAAAAGTGGAAAAGCACACAAAAGGTATACAGTTAAAAGTTATTCTCAGCCAGGCATGGTGGCTCATGCCTGTAATCTCAGAACTTTAGGAGGCTGAGACAGAAGGATTACTTGAGCCCAGGAGTTTGATTGAGACCAGCCTGGGCAGCATAGTGAGAGCCCTGTCTCAATTTTTTAAAATTAAATTAAAAATTTTTTAAAAGTTCTTCTCAACCAGACCCCCTCTCTGGAGATAAACCACTATAACAAGTTTCTTGTATATCCTTCCAGAGAGAGTCTCTGCATATACAGGCATTTGCATGTATATTATATAGACATGTTTGCAATATATATACAATCTTCCCCTCCTTTGGAGCTGGGATTTGAATCCAGACCTGTGTAATTCTAAAATATCTGCCCATTTCACCAGACCCACAGCCTCTCAGACCACAGAAGAACTGGGAGCTGGGTGAGTAGTTATCACAAGAGTGCAGCACAGTTCCACTCTGTAAAGGTGCCAGGTGCATAGGGAAAAGTGAGGGCTGGGGCATCAGGAGACTCAAAATAAAGTCCTAGGTCTGAATTGATATGTTCCTGAGCAAGTCCTTCCCTTCGCTGGGCCTCAGGTAAGTCCTCTGAAAATGAGAGTGTTGGCTGGCCAGGGGCGGTGGCTCACGCCTGTAATCTCAGCACTTTGGGAGGCCAAGGCAGGCGAATCGTTTGAGGTCAGGAGTTCAAGACCGCCTGGCCAACATGGTAAAACTCTGTCTCTACTAAAAATACAAAAAAAAAAAAAAAAAAAAAGAGCCAGGTGTGGTTGTACATGTCTGTAATCCCAGCTACTTGGGAGGCTGAGACATGAGAATCAGTTGAACCCAGGAGGTGGAGGTTGCAGCGAGCTGAGATTGCGCCACTGCACTCCAGCCTGGGTGACAGAGTGAGATCCTGTCAAGAAAAAAAAGAAAAGAAAAAGTAAGGGTGTTGGATTAGATAATTTCCTTCTTATCTTTTGTTTTTGTTTTTGTTTTTGGTAGAGACAGGGTCTTTCTATGTTGCCCAGGCTGGTCTCAAACTCCTGGACTCAAGCAATCCTACTGCCTTGGCCTCCCAAAGTACTGGAATTACAGACATGAGCCACTGCATTCAGCCAGATTAAATAATTTTCTTATTTTATTTTTCATTTTTTGAGATGGAGTCTCCCTCTATCACCCAGGCTGGAGTGCAGTGGCACGATCTTGGGCTCACTGCAACCTCTGCCTCCCAGGCTCAAGTGATTCTCATGCCTCAGCCTCCCAAGTAGCTGGGATTACAGGCACCTGCTACCACGCCCAGTTAGTTTTTGCATTTTTAATAGAGATGGAGTTTCACCATGTTGGCCAGGCTGGTCTCGAACTCCTGACCTCAAGTGATCTGCCCACCTCAGCCTCCCAAAGTGTTGGGATTACAGGCGTGAGCTACCGCACCTGGCCACATTAGATATTTCTTAAACATATCCTGGCTCTTACATTCTAGGCATTTATGCAGTCAGATGTCTAGAAACGCAAAATGAAGGTGAAGGATCTTGAACTCTGGAGACAGGCAGATCTGGGTTCAAATCTCAGCTGTGCCTCTCAGAAACTGTGTGACTCTGGGCATGTCATGTACCCTCTCTGAGTTTTGGTTTTCTCATTGGTAAAAGGAATAACTGGGCCAGGTGAGGTGGTTCATGCCTGTATTCCCAGCGCTTTGGGAGGCCGAAGTGGGAGGATTGTTTGAGCCCAGGAGTTTGAGACCAGCCTGGGCAATATAATGGGATCCTGTCTCTACAAAGTAAAAGAAAACAAAACAAAAAAAATCAGCCAGACATGGTGGTACATGCCTGTAGTCCCAGCTACTCAGGTGGCTGAGTTGGGAGGATGAATTTAACCTAGGTGGCCAAGGCTGCAGTGAGCTGTGAGCTTATGGCATGTTCCGGACTCAGGTAGGTTCTGCAGTGGACACAAAATCACATGCACTATGGTCACTGTGGTGCCCTTTGGGCAAGGACTCCATTGCTGGCTAGGCCTCTACCTCTTTGGCAGTAATGTCACCTGTGGAGGACATCACTTTTTTTTTTTAGACGGAGTCTCACTGTGTCACCCAGGCTGGAGAGCAGTGGTATAACCTCGGCTCACTGCAACCTCTGCCTCCTGGGTTCAAGTGTTTCTCCTATCTCAGCCTCCTGAGTAGCTGGGATTACAAGCGCACACCACTACACCTGGCTAATTTTTGTAATTTTAGTAGAGATGGGGTTTCACCATGTTGGCCAGGCTGGTCTTGAACTCCTGACCTCAAGTGATCCTCCTGCCTCAGCCTCCCAAAGTGCTGGGATTACAGGCATGAGCCACTGCGCCCGGCCATCTGTGGAAGACATCATTTGTGGAGGTCAGTAAGGCAGGAAGCCTGAACCTCTACCAGGATGTGGCAACTCTCCCACCTGCTCAGCAGGCCTCCAAGTTCTCTCTGTTGGATCTGTCCTCTCCACCACAGCCAGAGTGAATTTTCTAAAACCCAAATATGGCCAGGCCACTCCCCTCCCTGAGAGTTTTCAGTGGCTTCTCTTTGACATCAAGATAAACTACAAATGCCTTGAGGTGCCTCAAAAGGTCCCCAGGTCCGATCTCTTTTCACACTCTCCCCTTGAATCTTCTGCCTCAGCCATGGAAGTGTGGGCAGCTCCCCAAGTGCACCAGCTCTCCAACACCTCCAACTCTTTGCATATACCTGTGCCTGAAATGCAACTGAAATGCAATCTCTCCTTCTCCTCCTGACTAATGCCCACACTATTCTCTTGCCCTAACTCCATAAGGAACCATTCAGTATATCTAATGTGTATCTTTCTATCTGTGTTCTGCTAAAATCTTTAAATCTTTATTCTTGGTCTTGTGTGCATGTATTTTTAATGTATATTAATAGTGCTGTGTCATATAGCACATTCTATTTCTTACTTTTTCCCACTCAGTGTTGGGTTTTATTGGTTTTTTTGTTTTTGTTTTTGTTTTTTGTTTTTTGGGTTTTTTGTTTGTTTGTTTGTTTTGAGACAGGGTCTTGCTCTGATGCCCAGGCTGGAGTGCAGTGGCCCAATCATGACTCGCTGTAGCCTCAACCTACTGGGCTCAAACTATCATCCTGCCTCAGCCTCTCAGGTAGCTGGGACTACAGGCCTGTGCCACCATACATGGCTAATTTTTTTGATTTTGTAGAGACAGGGTTTTGCTATGTTGCCCAGGCTATGTTGTCCAGGTTCGTGTTGCTGTGTTATCACCTGCTCAGTCACTTGGACCTCCCTGCAAATCCTACAGAGTAGGCACCTGCCCATGTTACCTGACTCTCCCCAAGCTTGATACTGATTGCCTCCAACTTCCTCACACTACAAATGACACTGCAGTGAACATCCTTGTCTAAGTGCTTTTCTCTATCTATATGACAATCTCTTTGGGAGAGGTTGCCTGTATTGTTCAGCTTCTGATTTTGCCCATCTAACAGGTGTAAAGTGGTAGCTGGTTTTCTGTTTGCTTGTTTTCTGCCAGTGAACATTTTATTCAAGGTATGTGTGTGGAGAGTGGTCAGGGACAAAGGAGAGTGGGAATGGCCTTTGAAATAAAATAAAATGATTTAGGTGAAGAAACTCTAGGAAAGGGTAATTTTCTCCATTTAGATCTTTTTTTTTTTTTTTTTTTTTTTTTTTTTGAGACGGAGTCTCGCTCTGTTGCCCAGGCTGGAGTGCAGTGGTGCCATCTTGGCTCACTGCAAGCTCCGCCTCCTGGGTTCACACCAGTTTCCTGCCTCAGCCTCCTGAGCAGCTAGGACTACAGGCACCCGCCACCACGCCCGGCTAATTTTTTGTATTTTTAGTAGGGACAGGGTTTCACCATGTTAGCCAGGATGGTCTCGAGCTCCTGACCTTGTCATCCACCCGCCTCGGCCTCCCAAAGTGCTGGGATTACAGGCGTGAGCCACCGCACCCGGCCTAGATCATTTTAAGAAAGAAAATGACAGATAAGGTTTCTGGTCTATGGAACTAACAAACAAGTAGACTATTAATATAATATCAGATATTAAATGCCCTGAAGACAATAAAATAAGGTAATGAGTTAGAAAGTGATGGGGAAAAGCCTTTAGATTGGATGATTGGAAGGAAGTAACATTTGAGCAGACATTGGAATGACGAACCATGAAGCGGATTTTGTTGAAGAACATTTCAGGTAGCGATAGCTATTGTTTTAATTTTCATTTCTCTGATTACTAATGAGTTAGAGCATCTCTTTATCTGGTTTTTCAAATTTTGGATTTCCTCTTGTCAATTGCCTGTTTATGTCCTTTGCCCATTTTCTTTTGAATTTGTTGCCTTTTTCTTCTTGATTTGAATATTTGCTGATATATTCTACATATAAACCCCTCATTGATTTTTTTCTTTTCTTTTTTTTTTTTTTCTGTCTCTCTCTCTCTTTTTTTTTTTTTTCTTTTGACACAGGGTCTCACTTTGTTGTCCAGGATGGTCTCAAGTGAGCCTCCCACCTTGGCCTCCATGTGCCAGGCATTGTGCCAAGCATTCTACAGGCATGAGCCACCTTGCCCAGCCTGGTTTTATATTTTCCCTTTTTGGTTTTAGACATCGCAATACCTCTGGCATTCTTTCTATTCCTCAAACACGTCAGCTCCTCTGCCCTCAGGCCTTCATCCTTGCTCCTCTCTCTGCCTGTTATGCTCCTCCCAGATATTTGCACACAGGGATTTCTTCACATTAAGCTTAGATGTCACCTCTTCCCACATACCCCTCCTCCAGGCACACGCCATTACATCATCCTGTTTTGCTAGCGCCAAGGCCCTATCACTACGATCTGGTTCACTCATTGTTTTCTTGTCTATGTCTTCCTCCATCGCCCTGAGGATAAGCTCTGGCCAGTCTCTGTTAAACCTCAGCCCCTAGTGCAGTGGCTGGCACAGGGGACGTCCTCAGGAAGCATCTGTTGAATGAATGAATAGATATGCCCCGGTCATGGGCCATGGAGTGAGGAAAAGGCAAGGCTAAGAGTGGTGTGCTTCAAGTGACACTTCAAATTAGGACAAGTTAATATTTGTTGAGTTTTTACCATGTGCCAGGCATTGTGCCAAGCACTCTATAAGGCTTATCTCATTAGTCCTGATAATAATCCTATGAGGCAGGTATTTCTATTTTCTATTTATGAGATAAGGAAAGCAAGGTAGAGAGATAAAGGAAGCTGCCCAAAGGTCTCCTTTATCCCAGTTAGAAAACGGGCTGAGAAGAAACCAGGACCCAGGGGATCTGCTCCTGAGCTGAGGCTCTTAGCCACCACACATACTGCCTCTCAAGGGGAGGAGGGAGGGGGAGAACGGCTATGGCCAGAATAGAGCACCCTTAGAATCCGAGAAGTGGGGTCCTCCCAGGGGAGGAGATGAGGGTGGGGAGCAGGGAGGGGAATGCTCTCCCCTATATGAGGCCGGTGAGGCCCAGAGAGGGTTAGTGACCAGGCCCCAAACGGGCAAGCCAAGCTCCCCAAGCTGCGGCAATTCCACTGTCCCCTTCCACTTTCACTGGGCAGAGACCGCGTGGCGCGCATTGGGCTGGGCGTGATCCTGAACCTGGCGAAGGAACGCGAACCCGTAGAGCTGGCGCGGAGCGTGGCAGGCATCTTGGAGCACATGTTCAAGCATTCGGAGGAGACATGCCAGAGGCTGGTGGCGGCCGGCGGCCTGGACGCGGTGCTGTATTGGTGCCGCCGCACGGACCCCGCGCTGCTGCGCCACTGCGCGCTGGCGCTGGGCAACTGCGCGCTGCACGGGGGCCAGGCGGTGCAGCGACGCATGGTAGAGAAGCGCGCAGCCGAGTGGCTCTTCCCGCTCGCCTTCTCCAAGGAGGACGAGCTGCTTCGGCTGCACGCCTGCCTCGCAGTAGCGGTGTTGGCGACTAACAAGGAGGTGGAGCGCGAGGTGGAGCGCTCGGGCACGCTGGCGCTCGTGGAGCCGCTTGTGGCCTCGCTGGACCCTGGCCGCTTCGCCCGCTGTCTGGTGGACGCCAGCGACACAAGCCAGGGCCGCGGGCCCGACGACCTGCAGCGCCTCGTGCCGTTGCTCGACTCTAACCGCTTGGAGGCGCAGTGCATCGGGGCTTTCTACCTCTGCGCCGAGGCTGCCATCAAGAGCCTGCAAGGCAAGACCAAGGTGGGTGCAGATGTGGGGTTGGGTGGATCAGGGGTTAGAGAGCCTTTGGGAAGGTTTCCCAGAGGAAGTCACATTCAACCGGGTCTTGAAATACACATCAGAATTAGATGAAGCAAGACAAAGGAGGAGCGGGCCAGTCATTTTGGCGTTGAAGGCAAACCCGAAGTTTGGACTTGGTTTTGGGGGCAAGAGGAAGACACTAAGAAGCTTTTAAGCAAGGGGACACTTGTGTTTTACAAAGATCATCCTAGCTGCTGTGTGGAAAGGGGCTTGGCAAGGGTGAGGACGGAGGCAAGGCAACCCAATAAAAAACTATGACTTGCAGGGGTGGGCGTTGGGGGAAGGGGGAGACAGCGATGCCAGTGGCAGAGAGCAGATTCAAGAGATGTTTAAGAGATGGAGTTAGCACTTGGTGGCTGGGAGAAGGAGAAAGAGGAGCTGAGGATGACTCCTGGCCCTGAACATAGGCAATGAATAAAGTGAACTGGGTGAGAGACAAGTGGAAGTGGGGAAGGGGAAGAAAGTGACTTCTGCAGGACATATGGAGTTTGAGATGCCTGAGAGATGCCCAGCTGGGGAGCTTCAGTGGGTAGTGTAGCCTTTTGAGTCTGGAGTCAAGATGGCTGTTAGAGACAGAGGCTTGCGGCTTGGGACAGGACATCAGTGTGTCAGCCAGATAACCCCCATCGGAGTCCCAAGGGGTCCTCATGTCCAGGGCCTAATCCACCAGTGACCTTTGCCCACTGCTTTAACTTGCTGTGTGACCTTGAGCACCTGGCTTCCCCTCTCTAGGCCTCTATCTGGGCCTCATTTTTATCTTCTGGAAAATTCAGTAAATTGGACCACAGCAGCAGTTCTTACCCTAGATGTGGGATAGTTTTAGCACCACAAGTTTGTGGATTGTACTTTTTGGAAACAGAGATCTACTATATTGCCTAGGCTGGCATCAAACTCTCAGGCTCCAAGCGATCCTCTCTGCCTCAGCCTCCCAAGTAGCTGGGACTACAAGCACGCACCACAATCCCCCAGCTGGGCTTTGTTTTTAAAATGTTACAGGTTGAAGATTCTCCCTACAATATCACTCTCTCTTCTTTGCATTTTTTTGTGGAGGCTTGGAGGTTGGTGATAGCTGGTGCACAGAGATGTGGTGCATACCCCATGACCCACCTTGTCTGTACCCCAGCTGTCATCTGGGGGTGCTCAAAGGAGTGTGTCTTACAGATGATTGTCACCCATCATGTATGTCCCTGCAGATCAAAAAGAGACTGCTGGCTGGGTGAGGTGGTTCATGCCTGTAATCCCAGCACTTTGGGAGGCCGAGGCAGGTGGATCACTTGAGGTCAGGAGTTCAAGACCAGCCTGGACAACATGGTGAAACTCTGTCCCTACTAAAAATACAAAAATTAGCTGGGCATGGTGGCAGGTGCCTGTAATCCCAGCTACTCGGGAGGCTGAGGCAGAAGAATCACAGGAACCTGGGAGGCAGAGGTTACAGTGAGCTGGAATCGCACCACTGCACTCCAGCCTGGGCTACAAAGTGAGGCTCCATCTCAAAAAAGAAAAAGAAAAAGGAGACTGCTATGTTAGGGGGGTCTCTGGGGCCTCTTTCAACATCCAGTGTTCTAGGAACTTCTGATTCTTCTCTCTGCACTCCAGAGCTGGGTCAGGGAGGACCTGCTCTACAAGGCAGGTCATTTTGCTTAGGGAAAAGGGTCTTAAAGGAAGTAGGGAGTGAGGACCCCAAGGATTGGATCTGGGCCGCAACCATGATCACCAGCCTGTCACCCCTTTCCCATCGAGGCCAAGTGAGTGTAGTTCAACAAAGACATCTCGAGTCCCACTCTGTGTCCTTCATCGTGCCAGATGCAGGTTTCCAGTAGTGACTAAGACATGTCCTCAGCTTATACTCCAGTGGAAGTTGCATCGTCAACCAGTGACAGTGGCATTCAGAGTGTGGTATAAGACCTCATTGGAGGTGTGGGCCAGGATGTGGGGGAATCAAAGCAGGCTGCATGAAGGAGGTGCTAATCAATTTGGATTCTGGTGGATGAGTAGGATTTCCGTGGAGTGGGAGGATTCCCATGAGCAGACTGGAAGAACTAAGGGTTTGGAAACATAGTGGGCCAAGACCCAGAGGTGTGAAAGCCTTGGAATGTGTGCATGTGCGTGTGTGTGTGAAGTGTAAGTTAGTGGAAGGTGAGGTGAACTGGGAGTGATGGGCAGCTGCACTGTGCCCTGCCTGGCGCTATGCTGAGAGCTCAACTTTATTCCAGGGCCGGTGGATGCTGTAGAAGGGATATAAAGGAGGGATAGGCCCCTCCGCCCCCAACCCATCCGAGTCAGGACCTGGTCAAGAATTGAGAGAACTTCAGGAGGGGGAATCCGCAGGACCCCATGACTTAGTGGCTGAAGGTGGGGCCAGGGCAGATGGAGAGACTTTGGGTTGTGAGAAGAGACAAGGAGAGGGACTGGGCACGTGTGGGAGCACCTGGAGAGCTGGTGGGACCTACAGCCCTCTCCCCACTCCCTCCCTAGGTGTTCAGCGACATCGGCGCCATCCAGAGCCTGAAACGCCTGGTTTCCTACTCTACCAATGGCACTAAGTCGGCGCTGGCCAAGCGCGCGCTGCGCCTGCTGGGCGAGGAGGTGCCACGGCCCATCCTGCCCTCCGTGCCCAGCTGGAAGGAGGCCGAGGTTCAGACGTGGCTGCAGCAGATCGGTTTCTCCAAGTACTGCGAGAGCTTCCGGGTAGAGTCGCGTGGGATACGCCTCCCCCGAGTCAGAGCGGGCGCCCTGTGCACAGGGACTGCGTTCCCTCCCCGCCTCGCAATCCCGCGGCGCCAGGGTCGCTTTTGGGGGCGGGGAGCCTGTACGCAGCCACCGTTAGGGTCACTCGGCTCTGATCTAGGTCCCATCCGCCTCCTCCACGCCATCTCCAGTTCCTTCCCTTGCATCTTGTGCTCGAGGTCCAAGGGCGGAGTAGCGAAGCCCTTCCTGACACCCGACTCCTCCCCCAGGAGCAGCAGGTGGATGGCGACCTGCTTCTGCGGCTCACGGAGGAGGAACTCCAGACCGACCTGGGCATGAAATCGGGCATCACCCGCAAGAGGTACGGAGCCTCCTGCCCGCCGGACCCCAGCTAGGTCTAAATAAGCTCCCCCTCCGCCCACAGCCCGTCCGAGTCTGGACCTCAGCGTCTTCTCCTCCGTGGGGTGCAGGTTCTTTAGGGAGCTCACGGAGCTCAAGACCTTCGCCAACTATTCTACGTGCGACCGCAGCAACCTGGCGGACTGGCTGGGCAGCCTGGACCCGCGCTTCCGCCAGTACACCTACGGCCTGGTCAGCTGCGGCCTGGACCGCTCCCTGCTGCACCGCGTGTCTGAGCAGCAGCTGCTGGAAGACTGCGGCATCCACCTGGGCGTGCACCGCGCCCGCATCCTCACGGCGGCCAGAGGTCAGCCCGCTCACCCGGGACCCCGCCCCAGCCCCAGCCCCAGCCACGGCCCTGGAATGGTGAGGGGAGACACGGGGTGGAGCCTTCCAGCCTCGCCGTGGATTGATTGAGCACAAACGTGGGTCACACTGGGCTCTGAGGATGTAAAGATGAATACGTTGCACTTTACCTCAAGAAGTTCCCAGTCTGAGGTGGGTAGGCGGTGGGAGGAAGGAGGCTATTAAACAGGCAAGCGGCCCCGGCAGGAAGCTACCCAGGTCTCCAGTGGGAGCACAGAGGAAGCCCAGCCCACCCCATCCACCCAGGTCTAGATTTCAGAGAGGACAGGATGCCTGACCATGTCTTGAGAGGTGCACTGGCGGGGAGGGGTGGCAACAGGAAGGGCAGCCCAGGCAGAGGCAGCGGCCTATGGAGAGTCCATGCAGTGGGGTGTAGGCGGGAAGGGTGTGCGTATGTGTGTTATCCTATTGGCCAACAGCTTACAAAATTTGGGTCTAGAGGTGGTTTAGAGTGAATTCTAGGCCTCTAGCCACCCTCCTTATTTACTAATTTATTTTTACTTACTAATTTACTACTTAGCTAATCTTTATTGTCAATTACAAGGTACTCTGTTTGGTTTTTAAGATATTATCCCATCAGTCTCTATATTGATTCTATGCAATGAGTGTTCAGTTTTTAAAATCAACCTTAAAGAACTCTTGAAAGAATAAAAAGAGGAGTAAGTGTCCAGTTTGAGGGCCGGGCACCGTGGCTCATGCCTGTAATTCTAGGACTTTGGGAGGCCAAGGCAGGCGGATCGCTCAAGTCCAGGAGTTTGAGACCAACCTGGGCAACATGGTGAAAGCCCATCTCCACTAAAAGCACAAAAAAATACAAAAAATTAGCTAGGTGTGGTGGCGCATACCTGTAGTCCCAGCTACTTGGGAGGCTGAGGTGGGAGGATCACCTGAGCCCAGGAAGTTAAGGCCGCAGTGAACTGTGATCAGGTCACTACACTCCATCCAGCCTAGGCAGCAGGAGTGAGACCCTATCTCAAAAAAGAAAAAAAGTATCAGTTTGAGGAGTTTTGAAAGACATCTGTGTGACCCCCCACCCCCACCATCATCATTAAAGATATAGAATATTTCCATCATGGGTGTTCCTTTTAAAGATAATGAAACTAACATTTAAAGAATTCAAATACATTTCCCACAGTCATAAAAGTCATTAGATGGCAAAACTGGGACTTGAGCCCTTGTCTTTCTGCTTCATAAACAAACAAATGTTGTCTATGAGGGTTATGTCTAAATATTATAAGAAGATGAATTCTTTTCATTTTATCCTTTCATTCAGCAATTACAGACTAAGCACCCACAAGACACAAGGGACTGAGCTTTGGCTGCATTCTTATGCTTCAACCAAAGCAGGTTGGCTTTTATTATTTTTACATTGCAGCTCCCATTAAAACTTCAAGATTTCATTTTTATTATAATTAATTAATTTGAGACAAGGTCTCATTCTGTCACCTAGGCTGGAGTGCAGTGGCGCAATCACAACCCACTGAAGCCTCAACCTCCCGGGCTCAAGTGATTCTCCCACCTCACCTCCCAAGTAGCTGGGACCACAGGTGCGCAACACCACACCCAGCTAATTTTTTTATTTTTTGTGGAGACAGGGTTTCACTATGTTGCCCAGGCTGTTCTCAAACTCCTGGCCTCAAGCAATCTTCCCAACTTAGCCTCCCAAAGTGTTGAGATTACGGGCGTGGGCCACCGCACCCAGCGCAAGATTTCATTTTTAAACAACAGGAAAATCCTAGGGCAAAAATAGCTTACAAAAAATAGTTTGTATAGTGAGTAGGGAGCCATGCATAGTTTTTAAGTGGGAGGAATGACATGCTCAGATTTGGATTTTAGAAAGATGTTCTGGTAGCTGTGGCAAATGGACTACACTGGGCAATTCTTTTCTTTTCTTTTCTTTTCTTTTTTTTTTTTTTTAGTCAGAGTCTCACTCTGTCGCCCAGGCTAGAGTGCGGTGGTGCATTCTTGGCTCACTGCAACCTCTGCCTCCTGGGTTCAAGTGATTCTCGTGCCTCAGCCTCCCAAGTAGCTAGATTACAGACATGTGCCACCATGCCTGGATAATTTTTTGTAAAGACAGGGTTTCACCATATTGGCCAGGCTGGTCTCGAACTCCTGGCCTCAAGTGATCCACCCACCTTGGCCCCCCACAGTGCTGGGATTACAGGTGTGGGCCACTGCCCTGGCCTAGACTGGGCAATTCTAGCTGGGTTTGGGGAGGCCATTGAGGAGGCTGGCATTGGAAACCTGAGCCAGGGAAGGGCCCGGAGGCTGGAGTCCAGTATGTTTAGTAGGTAGAATCCTCAGAATGCGGTGCCTGGCGCTTAGTACTGAGCGTGGCTCCAGAGGAGCAGAGTGCTGTCTGTTTTACTCACTGCTGAATCTCAAGCACTGAAGACAGTCCTGGCACACAGCAAGTGCTTAGGATGTATTTGTTGAATAAATTAAATGGGAGGCAGGAGTTGAGGCTGATACCCAGGTGTCTGGCTTTGGTGGGAAATAGGGAAGAAGGAATGAGGGGGAGATTTGGGGTGTGTTGAATTTGGAGTGATTGTGGGCAGCTGGCTGTTCAGGTCTGGAGTTCCAGAGAGAGGTCAGGGCTGGAAGTGCATGCATATCAATGTCCCTAGAACACAGTGCCTGCCTCCTAAGAGGAACCCAACAATAACATGACCTTCCTCCTGGAGGCCCCATTTCTCCTTTTTGGGGCAGGCCACCCTCCCCAGGCTGGGCTGAGAGGGCTTGGTGGACTGGGGACTAAGTCCACAAGGGATGATATACCTGACAGTGAGTGATGCGGAGGGGCCACCTTCACCATGCTGCCTATTGCCCACTTCAGAAATGCTACACTCCCCGCTGCCCTGTACTGGTGGCAAACCCAGTGGGGACACTCCAGATGTCTTCATCAGCTACCGCCGGAACTCAGGTTCCCAGCTGGCCAGGTGAGGAGGGGCGGGCGGGCAGCGACGGGGCGTGGGGACAAGGCTGTGGCACTGACACAGGACTTACTTGCAGTCTCCTGAAGGTGCACCTGCAGCTGCATGGCTTCAGTGTCTTCATTGATGTGGAGAAGCTGGAAGCAGGCAAGTTCGAGGACAAACTCATCCAGAGTGTCATGGGTGCCCGCAACTTTGTGTTGGTGCTATCACCTGGAGCACTGGACAAGTGCATGCAAGACCATGACTGCAAGGATTGGGTGCATAAGGTAGGTGCCTGCCTATGCTTCTGCGGTCCCAGCATTGGCCTGTGGTCCAGAAGATAGGGTCGTCTTCTATTCCTTCTTGTCTGCACATCCCGGCACACTTAGCCCTGAAGCACCTCCTTGGCCCAGCTGGAAGTCAGGAACCACAGCTCTGACTGTAATAGGACTTTAGCAAACCACAAGGGACAAGAGACTAGGCTTTGGCTCTCTGAGCCTCAGTTTTCTTTTTCTTTTTTTTTTTTTTTTGTTTTTGAGGTAGAGTCTCGCTCTGTCACTCAGGCTGGAGTGCAATGGCGTGATCTTGGCTCACTGCAAGCTCCACCTCCCGGGTTCACACCATTCTCCTCCCTCAGCCTCCCGAGTAGCTGGGACTACAGGTGCCCGCCACCACGGCTGGCTAATTTTTTTGTATTTTTAGTAGAGACAGGGTTTCACCGTGTTAGCCAGGATGTGAGCCTCAGTTTTCTTTTCTGCAAAATGGGGTAACTTACCTGTTCCACTCACCTTATAGAACTGTTGTGAGGATCAGAGAGACATAAAAATGCTTTGAAAAATAAATTCCATGAGAGACAGGAGAGCATAGCGACAGGCAGAATGGAATAGTTGTTGAGAGCTCAAAACTGAGAGTTTGAATCCTGGCTCTGGCCTTGGGCAAGTTACTTAACCCCGATAAGCTTCATATTTATTTCTGGAAAGAGGGTATAATAATAGTATCTAACTCCCTAGAACATTGTTATAAGGACTAAAAAAGCCAAAATTTGTGAAGTGCTTAGCAGAATGGCTGGCACATAGTAACTGCTCAATAATGGTAGCAATTATTATTATTAATATAATTATTATAACTACTATATCTGTTTAATTCATCATTGTATTTTCAGTGCCTGACGCATTGTAGGAACTTATTGAATACTAACAGAATGCATTGATGGATAGCTCCATATTGCATCTTCAGGTTATTAATCATTAATCGGTCAGTAGGAATTGGAGTTGGGGCTGAGGGATGCAGTAGTCATCTAAGAGACAGGATGAGACAAGCAGTCAGCTCAGAGACAAGAATATGCCCAGAGGGCTGGGCACAGTGGTTCACACCCGTAATCCCAGCACTTTGGGAGGCTGAGGCAGGAGGATCACTTGAGGTCAGGAGTTCGAGACCAGCCTGGGCAACATGGTGAAACCTTGTCTCTACTAAAAAAATACAAAAATTAGCCAGGCATGGTGGCGCACACCTGTAATCCCAGCTACTCAGGAGACTGAGGCAGGGGAATCGCTTGGGCCCAGAAGACGGAGATCACACCACTGCACTCCAGCTTGGGCAACAGAGTGGGACCCTGTCTCAAAATGACTAGATCGCATACAAGTTGGTGTAAATGCTGAGCCAGGTAAGCAAACATCTTGCTTGCCACAGGGGTTTGGAGAAGGGAGAGAGCATCAAGGTGTCAACGAAAAGAGTCAGACTCTATGAGCGACCATGGCCTGTGACACAGCCCTCAGGAGACCCTGAGAACACGTGCCCAAGGTGATCAGGGCACAGTTTGGTTTTATACATTTTTGGGAGACACGAGACATCAATCAATACATTTAAGATGTACATTGGTTTGGTTCAGAAAGGCAGGACAGCTCAAAGCAGGGGCTTCCAGGCTATAGGTAAATTTTAAATTTTTCCAGTTGATAATTAATTGAGTTTATCTGAAGACCTGGGATCAATAGAAAGGGAATGTTTAGGTTAAGATAAAGGGTTGTGGAGACCAAGTTTTATTGTGCAGAGGAAGTTCTCAGGGCAGACTTCAGAGGGAGTAGGTTATAAAATGTTTCTTATCAGACTTATAAGGGTGCCTGGCTCTTTGTTGATTATCTCCTGAGTCCGGAAAGAAAAAGAAAAAAATGGGGGGAAGGGGATTCTCTATAGAATGTGGCCTTTTCCCACAAGAGACAAACTTGTGGAGCAATTTCAAGATATGGCAGGGAAATATATTTGGGGTTAAAATATTTTTATTTCCTCCCTTATTATGTGATGTTATGCTAGAGTCAGGTTAGAAAGCAGACCACGCTATATAGGGTTAAAATTAAAACCTCCTCCGATAAGACTTTATGGTTTGTAGGGCATGACTCCCTAGGCTCCTTAGGTAGGAATTTGGGCAAGATAAAAAAAAAAAAAATCAGAGTTTAGTCCTCAAAGGACTGGAATAATCAGGGAAGACTTCATGGAGGAAGCAGGTCTTGAGAAGAATCTTAAGAATCTGGGTAAGTGGAATAGAAGGCATCCCAGGCCAGGGTAACAGCATGAGCAAAGGAATAAAGGTAGGGAGGAGAACAGTGCTGAAAGCCCACATACATCTTGGTACTGCTTTCTCCATATCACAGATGAAGAAACTGAGGCTCAGAAAAGTAGAATAATGTTCCCCTGGCTGCACTACTAGTGTAGAAATCAGAAAAGCTAGGCTTCAAATTCCATCTATCTGACTCCAAAGCTCATCACTTTCCCAAGATCCACACTGCATTCTATGGCACAGCTCTGAGGGGGTGTGAGGGGAGGTGATGGGGTAGGGCTGGATTCGGTTGACACCAGAGATGATTGTATCTCTTCACAACTCCACATCCAGTGATGTCATGTTGGTAGCTTGTCATCAGCCATGGTGGGAGTATTTACACCAAGGAAATTGGCAACCACTACAAATCAAAGTTTTGTTAGTTTGGTTGATTGGCTGGTTGGGTTTTCTTCCCCCATGAATAGCTAGTTACTATAAAGTTAGCAGCACACCACTGGCTGGATAAGAACCATGGAAACCAGGTAAAGCAGTGTCTAAAGGCAGGAGAAGACCTGTGCTTAAAGCACTGGAAATCAAGGAGCCCATGAAGGAGAAGATGCCAGGGCGGTGGGTCTTAGGATGAAGGCTCTGACACTGGAATGCAGTCCACATGGAGTGTGGAGTCAAGCCCCAGAGGCCATGTAGGAGGGGCTGAGTACTAGGCCTGGTTTGGGGAGGGGCACTGGGGCAGTTGAGCATCCAGGAAGAACATGGCTGATAACCCAGAGCACGTGGCAGGCAGCCTTTTGAGAGAAAGAAAAGAGTGTCTGTGAGCTCCATGAGACTTCAGACCTTGCCTCATTCATCTGTGTCCCTGGTGCCTAAAACCATGCATGGTACAAAGGAGGCTCTATGCAATTGCACCAAAAAAAAAAAAAAAAAAAAAGAGAGAGAGAGAGAGGCTGAGGCTGTAGAGGAGTTTATAGAACAATTGAATCAATGATTAAGCAGACAAGTGATACTGATGAAGCTGAGATGCCATGCCTGGGAGAGCCATACATATCTAGTAGATTTACCAGGTTAGAGGACTTGACTCCGTTTTTTTTTTTTTTTTTCCAGTAGAGATAGGGTTTCGCTATGTCACCCAGGCTGGTCCCGAACTCCTGAGCTCAAGCCTGGAGTTCAGTGCCTGCCTCGGCTCCCCAAAGTTCTGGGATTAGAGGCATGAGCCACCGTGCCCAGCCAGAGGACTTGACTCTAATTGTTTTCGTTCTCAACCAGCTAGGTGATCCTGAACAAACCATTATCCCTTTCTTTTATTTATTTAATTATTTTTTTTTTTTTGAGGCACAGTCTTGCTCTATCACCAGGTTGGAGTGCAGTGGTGAGATCTTGGTCGGCTCACTGCAACCTCCGCCTCCCGGGTTCAAGTGATTCCCCTGCCTCAGCCTCCTGAGTAGCTGGGACTACAGGCACACGCCACCATATCCAGCTAATTTATATATATATATTTTTAGTAGAGACGGGGTTTCACCATCTTGGCCAAGATGGTCTCGATCTCCTGACCTCGTGATCCGCCCGCCTTGGCCTCCCAAAGTGCTGGGATTACAGACATGAGCCACCACACACGGCCGCCATTATCCCTTTCTTGGCCAGCCTCTGAATCTGTGCGATGAATAATTTGTACTGTCTTTGGTTTTGTATAATTCTGGATGAAACAAATTTCTAAAAATTTCCAAATAAATTGCTGCAGGCTCAGGATTCATTCCAATGCTCAGCAGAAAGGCAGCAGGGCTTGGCTGAAACAGCCTGGACTTGGACTCTCGAGGCTTGAGTCAGAGGACCGGCCCCTCGTGGGCTGGGCGTGTGTGTGGCTTAGGAGGAAATCCCTTCCTCTCTGGGCTTTTTTCTCTCCATCTGTAAAATGGAGCGGCTCCCCAGGAAGCCAGTCAAGGACGAAGTTACGCATGTTCTTTCCCCAGGAAGGCTCCACTTCCCAAGAATGCTTGGCACCCCTTGTCGTCCCAGCAGATGGCAAAGAGGTGAGAGGAGCCTTTGTCTTGGACCGGCCCCAGAGGCTCCGTCATCCCTCTTTGGTTGTTTCTGGTGCTTAATTGCCTCTGGTTTTAAAACTCCTTTCCCTGAAGCCACATTAGTGGGTAATCAATAGGGAAAAACCACAAGTGAACTGCACTCAAAAAAGTAAAATCCCTTTGGTTCCCTCTTGAGAGGAAGAAAAACATTCAATAAGCACTTAATGGAACCCGATTACTAGCAAATAATTCCTCAGAACAACGCTTTGAGGTAGGTTTTATTATCCCCACTTTACAGAAGAGGAAATAATAACACCTATTACGTATTAAGCATACACTGCATGCAAAGCACTGTTCTAATTACTTGCCATGGAATGTTGCGCTTATTCCATGGAACAATCCTGAAGACAGGGACTATCATTAATCCTGCTTTATATATTAGAAAACAGAGGAACGAGTGTGGTAGTGCAGGCCTGTGATCCCAACACTTTGGGATGCTAAGGTGGGAGGATCACTTGAGGCCAGGAGTTTGAGACCAGCCTGGGCAACATGGTGAAACCCCATCTCTACTAAAAAATACAAAAAATTAGCCGGACATGGTGGCACACGCCTGTGGTCCCAGCTACTTGGGAGGCTGAGGTGGGAGGATGGCTTGAGCCCAGGAGGTTGAGGCTGCAGTGAGCCTTGATGGTGCCACTGCCCTCCAGCCTGGGCAAAAAGTGAGATCCTGTTCCCCTGCCCCCCGCCAAAAAAAAAAAAGAAAGAAAGAAAAGAGAAAACAGAGACTTTGAGAACCTATTATTTTTGCCTCAGGTCGTAGAGCCTGTGTCAGAGACTCAGTGCAAACCCCGATTTGATGATTCCAGAGTGCAGCCCTAACTGCTGTGCTATGTTTTCTCATTCATTCATTCATCCATCTATTAAATATTTAGCAAGGGCTAACTATAAGGGCTTTGTGAAAGATGCTGAGATATAAGGTCAGTGAAAAATAGATATGATCCCTCCTCATGTCTGGCAGAGAAGACAAATACTGAGTAATTTACCCATTAATTAATTAAAATTTGCAACTATAATATGTTCTGCAGAGCCTATAATAGGGGAACTGACTTGGTCAGGGCAGTGGGAGACAACTGCCCTGTGTAAGAGTTGATTGAGCTCAGATCAGAAAAATGAATGGGCATTATCAAGGGGGAAGGACAAGGAAGCTTATTTTGTGTGTCTGGGAGGACAGGGCAGGGGTAGAGTTTGAGAAGTGGACTGTGGCCAACCACATAGGGTCTCACAGGCCACATGAAGGAGTTTGGACTTTATTCTAAGACCATGCAAAGTCTTGAAGAATTTTAAGTAGGGGGTGACAGGACCTAATTTGTCAGATGTGCATTTTGCAAATATTAGCTACATGAAAGGGCAATGTGGAGAGTGAATTAGAGAAGACAAGCGTGGATGAGGAAAGACCTGGTGGGGGCTTAAAGATAATGGGGATTGGAAGAGGGTGGTAGTGGGGTGGAGGTAGGGAAAAATAGTGGATTTGAGAAATAAGTAAGGAGTACAATTGGCAGGGCGCATGATGGATCAACCTGTACGCAGGAGTGTGATGTTTTTCTTCTGACACCAAATTGTTTGGGGTTTTTCCCACACTAACCACTAATTCTCCAGCTTGCCAACACCAACTGGGTATCCCGCAATTCAATTCAATTCTGAAATGTCAGTCACGAGGCCCAGGCCCCCAGGCTGCCACATTTCTGTTTGATTTGGCTACAAATTCGGGGGTGCCCATGACACCCCGAGATTCAATTTGCCAGAATGACTCACAGAACTCAGGAAAGCACTTTACTTACTATTAGTTGTTTATTATGTCAACCTTAAATAATGAGATTCAGAAAATAAGACTAAGTATAGAGTTTCTTTGAGTGCAAAGTTTGAGAATAGCCACCCAGTAAGCATTGACTCCAAAGGCATGGGGTGAGCATTCCAAACTGGAGAAGTTAAGGTTTCACTTCCACAGGCAAAGAGAGAGGAATTTTAGCAGGATTACAACATTTTCCATACAAGACCAGTGCGTATGTTACAGTGCTTTGATTGGTTATAGATTGCTACATTCCAAGGAAGATGACTTTATTACCCCCTGAGAAAGGGTGGTGATCTAAGTGGGGATCTAAGGGAGTCTTATCTCTGGTGCCATTTGGTCTTCCTAAGTAATTACAGAAAAAAAAAAAATAGGTGGAAGTTGCAGCTGCATGCCCCATGACTCAGGCTGCAGAGACCAATTCCTGTCAAGGCTCAGAATAACTTAAAGTTCCAAGAGCTTTAGGTTTGATTTAACAAAGCTTGAATAATAGTAATAAATAATATTATTAATCTCAAAATCCTGGGCTCAAGTGATCCTCCTGCCTCAGCCTCCCAAAGTGTTGGGATTACAGGCGTGACCCACCATGCCCAGCTGAATTATTTAATTTCACAGTTATAAAGGACACAGCTCAAGAATAGCCAAATGGAAGAGATACATAGGATCTCTACGTATGGAGGGTGGAGGTGTGGATGCCATGCCTTCTACCACCTTCCCAGCACCTACACCTGTTTATCAACCTGGAGGCTCTTCAAAACCCCTTGTTTGGGGGTTTTTATGGAGGTTCCATTATGTAGGCATGATTGATTAAATCATTGGCCATTGGTGATTGAACTCAATCTCCAGCACCTCTCTGGAGGCTGGGAGGTGGGGCTGAAAGTTCCAATCCTCTAGTCATGCCCTGGTCTCCCTGGTGACCAGCCCTCTTCCTGAAACTATCTAGGCTACCCCCATAGCACCCCCCGGGCCCCCAGTGGGGAATCATCTCTTTAGCATACAAAGACACTCATCACTCAAGAGATTCCAAGGGTTTTAGCAGCTCTGTGCCAGGAACTCTGGGCAAAGGAAAAATATTTATTTTTTATTACACTACAAGGGTTAAGGTAGACATCAAGGTGGACATCAGGACTGGTGTCCTGCCCTGGGCCCAGCCTCGGGCCAGTGGGCCTCCCAGCACCTGCCTGGCTACAAGGGTCCCTAGATGGGTACAGGGGTATCTTCCTCCTTTCCTTTCTTTCTCCAGGAGATTGTGACTGCTTTAAGCTGCGGCAAGAACATTGTGCCCATCATTGATGGCTTCGAGTGGCCTGAGCCCCAGGTCCTGCCTGAGGACATGCAGGCTGTGCTTACTTTCAACGGTATCAAGTGAGCCCCAGGGCCCTGGGACCAGGGGGGTAGGGTACAAATCACCATGACAGGCAGAGTGTGGGCAAACAGCTGACTAGCAGCTCCCTCTGCCCAGCTGTCTGAACCACATTGGCTCCTGTGCCCACAGGTGGTCCCACGAATACCAGGAGGCCACCATTGAGAAGATCATCCGCTTCCTGCAGGGCCGCTCCTCCCGGGACTCATCTGCAGGCTCTGACACCAGTTTGGAGGGTGCTGCACCCATGGGTCCAACCTAACCAGTCCCCAGTTCCCCAGCCCTGCTGTGACTTCCATTTCCATCGTCCTTTCTGAAGGAACAGCTCCTGAAACCAGTCTCCCTGGGCTGAGACAACCTGGGCTCTTCTTAGGAAATGGCTCTCCCTCCCCCTGTCCCCCACCCTCATGGCCCACCTCCAACCCACTTTCCTCAGTATCTGGAGAGGGAAGGGAAGTCAGGCTTGGGCACGGGAGGTTAGAACTCCCCCAGGCCCTGCCATTGGGTTGTCTGTCTCCGTCATGGGGAGGGTCCCTGCTCAGTTCTGGAGACACTGGAGTTGGGGTGGGGGTGGTTCTGCATTCCCTTCTCCTGCTGATAGCAGTCAGCTTGAGGAGGATGACGGAAGGCAGCCTCAGACAGGAATTAAGGCAATGCCCAGGCGGGCCTGGGCACTGTATTCTGAGCAAGGGCCTGGGCCCAGGAGCCAGCCAGGGATGAGTGCCATCATGGCTCTCCACTCAGACTGTGCCTGGCCCCTGCACTTACAACTTCCTGCCGCTCTGTGGCCTTGCCCTGTAATCACTCAGTGCCCTTAGCTAGCCTGACTAAGTCCCAGATCCCCTACAGCTTCCTTCGGTGTGGTATCTTTTGCCACATCCAGGGCGAGGGTTGAGGCAAACCAGCCCTCCCTCTGACTTCCTTGTCACTGCAGCCAGCTTTGCTGCACTTGCTGGTGCACAGGAGCCTCCTGTTTGGGCCTGGGTCTGGGCATGGGGAGGCCGTGCCTCAAAGCCCACCCTACCCCATGCCTTGGTGCTGTGCCTCAGGCTCCTTCCTGGTCTGGCCCAGCTGGCTTCCCCAGCCCCTCAGCCATCCAGGGCTACCCACTGCTTACTCAGGGACCAGGCAGCCCCCATGGCAGTAAAAGCAGCCTAGACAGAACCTGCAGCTCTGTGGAAAGAGGCAAAGTCCTGAAAAGGCAAAGGGTTGTCACTTAGGGCAGCTTCTCCAACTTTAACATGCATCCAAGTCACCTGGGAATGTTGTTAAAATCAGGAGATCTGGGGTGGGGCCTAGGACTCTGCATTTCTTACAGATTCCCAGGTGAGCTGATGCTGGTGGTTAAGGGTAGCAAATCTCTAAAGCACGAAGCCCTCACAAATCTTTGCCATTTCCCAAACACTCCGCTCCATGGTCTCCAGTCATCAGAGCAACTCTACCTGGTATTATCATCCCCATTTTACAGATAATGACACTGAGGCTCAGAAAGGTTGAGGATAAGCCCACTTTCCTGTCATTAGTGGCAGCCCCAGATCCAGACCTAGGCCTCCTGGCACCCAGTCCACTGGCAGTGGAATTGCTTTCCTGAGAATCATTCTGAGGCTGGGCTATTGCTTCTCCCTTGCTTCAAAGAATCTAGCAGCGGGGGATAGGATTTTGCAACAAAAAGCTGACCCAGAGGCCATACAGAGCAGGAATATCCCATTGCCCCCTCCTCCACTGGGTTCAGAGGGTAAGAAAGCACCCTCCAATAAACCCAGGCTCCAGGCCGTGGGGGCTGCTGAAGGCTCTTTCCCCGCAAGGGCCAGGTGTTGACACCTTAAAGCTGGCTGCGCCCCCAGCCCCACTCTTGGCTGTGCTGGCCAGGTGACTCCTAGTTCTTGGCCACATCATCAGAAAGTCAAAGGTCTCACTCCAGGTTTGGGGCTCCTTCCTTCCACTCCCCTCCCTGCCAGAGTCTGTCTTGGCCAGTGCCAGCCTCGATGCTTTGGTTTTGACCCCACCTGATCCTCCTTTCCTCATGCAGCACAAGTGCTCACCGGGGCCAGAGCCAGGGCATGGATATGACAAGCAGGGCAGCCTGGACACTGCCCTCACAGGACAGCGCCAATAACAATACAGTGTCTGAGTATCTCCAGGGGATGATTTCTGGCTCTTTGTCTCCAATCAGTCCCACTCCCTCCTGAGGTCCCCAAGGGCAGTATTCAGAGAGGTTTCCTGCGTTTTATTTCTATTTGGTATACCCTCCACTGTTGTCCACTGCCCTGTGTGGCCTTCTGGTTGACCTCTGCCCGATCTTCTGTCTCTCTGAGGGAATCAGAGTCCAGCATCCAGCCCCAGCTGGAACAGCTGAAGTCACAAGCCTCCTCTAAGCCAAGGCCAGTGTGTTCAGAGGTGACTGCCACCCATACTAGGACAAACACAGCTCAGATCACCAGGTCAAGCACCTAGGCCTGGCTTCTCCTGAGACAGAGGACTCAGAAGTGGCCTTTCCTCCAAAGCCTGCTCAGACACAGGTCTGTAGGGCCAGGGTGTTCTGCTTGGCTGGGCTGCAGCTGCTACCCCTCGGTTGGGGCTGAGTCAGCCAGATCCTCCCCCTACTTCTCCCCAAGGGCCAAGAACTGCTCAGGGACATTAAAGGTCAAAAGTCCAGCCACACTCATTCATCCTTTCCCCAGGCCCATGAAGAGAGGCATCTCATTGTAGAATGTATGAGGAAGTGGGAAGTATCTCAGAGAATCAGCTAAGTTTCCTAACTTGTCCATCCAAATGTGATCACCACGATTCAACAATTTGGGGCATTGCTGATCTAGCCGTTCCTAGTGGGGCTTGCTCAAGGTTGCACAGCGAGTCAGTAGAAGCCCTGGCTGGCCCCACTTGGTACCAATCCACCAGGCAGCTCAGGGCTCCTGCCCAGCCCAGCAGCTTCTGTTGTCTAACGTATGGCAGGCAGACTGGGAGCAGGAAAACAGAGGGCCCCAAAGCCCAAGGCACCAGAAGGTTTGTTTCAGTTTGCTGAAGCTGATTTGTAATGATTGGCACTCTTCAGCCAGGGGAGTGGGTAGGCCATAGCCAAGGATCGATTCCCCAACCACAGCAAAGGCAACACTCTTCCTCCAGAGATCACCAAGCCCCTCTTACCTCCCTCCCTCCTTCCCAAGGCTGGCACTAACCAGGTACCACATTCATTGTTAAGGAATGGCTGATGACTGCTACACGTGTTGGGAACCTGGTTGGGGCTGTGCAGTTTGGGCTGGAAGGAGAGATGCCAGCCCTCGTGCTGCCTCTGGTCCCTGAAGTGTCACCTCTCTCAGGACCTCTCCTCTGGCCTGTGGGGTTATAAGTGATGGATAGCAGAAAGGGAGAACTGACTCCTGTCCCAAATAGCTCCTCTGCCACCTGTCCTGCAGTGGGCCTGTGTGGGTTATGATTCTAGATCCTAGACAGAGGCTGGGTCAGCTGTGGATGGGGTGGTGCCTTGGTCTCTCTTGACTACCTCGTCCAAAGAGAGCACTGCCCTTAGACAAGAGTTGCTTGTCCTGCTGTGGGCTGGGCTTCCAGCTGCAGACCTCCAGTTGCTTGGTGTTCACTTTGCTCCTCTTGCCCTCTGTCTTCTGGTCCAGGCAGATCAGGGGCTCTGGGGAAACTGCTGGAACTCGAGGTGAGGATCAGCCTTTTCCAGCATCCTGTGAGAGACCAGAGAGAGAGTTTGGATTTCATGTGGGGAACCCTCAAGGCCTGTCTGGAGAAGTGACACAGGATTTACTGGGGTGGGCTGGTCCAGGTAGCTCTCCTGAACCTCCTCCTTCCCCAAGCTGAGAAGCTGAGAGCTGGAGGACAATATCCAGGGACATGGCTCTGGAAAATAACTTTTTTTTTTTTAAGAGACAGGGTCTTGCTCTGTTGTCCAGGCTGGAGGGCAGTGACATAATCATAGCTCACTGTACCCTTGAACTCCTGGGCTCAAGTGATCCTCCTGCCTCAGCCTCCTTAGTAGCTGGGACTACCAGTGCATACCACCATGCCTGGGTGATTTTTTAAATTTTTTATACAGACAAGGTCTTGCTATGTTGCCCAGGCTGATCTTGAATTCCCGGGCTCAAGTGGTCCTCCTGCCTCAGCCTCCCACAGGATCGGGATTACAGGCAAGAGCCTCCACGCCCGGCCATGAAATATAATTCTTAATATCATACAGGAAAAAGTCAGCGGGTCAAGCTAGCCTGTGGCCCAGCCACAACTAGCTGACAAAGCTTCCTGGCCTTCCCTTTAACACAGTTCTGCTGCCATAGTTCCATCTATAAAATGGGAATGGAGGGAAATAGGGGAACTGGGAGAGAGAACACAGCCTTGCCAAGCAGCAATGTTAGCCTGATCCTTCCTCCACCTAGCTCGCCATCTCGCCCTTGGAAAATGGCTCCTGGAGGATTAGGCAGCCATCTGCAAGGAGAGGGGCAACCTGGGACAAGACACCCAGAGGGTAAGGATTCCAGGAATGAAGCTGCCATTTCTGGTTGGGAGGAGAAGAGGAAACTTTTAAGAGAAAGGGCTCCATTATGAGCATGGGTTCAGGGCCCTGCATTACCCAATCAGAACAGCCGGGATGAGCAGGAGGCCAGCTCCCAGGAGGAAGGGGAACCCCTTCATAAAGTTCAGAGTGGCTGGGTAGAGTGAGTTGAAGATGCCGGAGGCCGTCAGCATGGCCAGGCTATTCACACAGGCCACAGCAGAAAAGAGAGCACCTGTGAAGAAATAAATACCATACTCTGGAGTCCGAAAGGGCCATATTCCAACTCTGGCACCACCACCTCACAGCTGTGTGACCGGGAGTAGTCACTTAACCTATGTCTCCCCTTCCTCACCAGTAAATCCTGCTACATCATGTACTGTGACAAGGATTCAGTAAGGTCATATGTGGACAGTAGCTGGCACAGAGGGGCTACTAAACAAATGGCTGCTATTAAATCCACATTAAAAGTACATGTGATCTGACAGAACCCAGCACATAAAAGAAAAAAAAAGTACATGTGATATTGTCTGATGAAAGCTTGATGGAAATGGCTTTTTTCTGGTTTATCCTCTTTGGAATCATCTCCTGTTTGGGATTAACTGCTGGTCTGATCAGTTCCAATATTCATAGCGGTGTCACCACTGAATAGCTTCTTATCCTTTGGGTTCCTGTTCCTCCTTCTGCTAAATAAGGATAATACCTATTTCCTAGATTGTGAGCAACATTAAGTTCACATGGAAATCACCCATCACTGGGCCTGGTCCCCTGGAAGTAGCTAGTTAGTAAGGGCTGTTCTTTTCTCCTGTTTCTCTTGACATCTCTGGGCACAGAGAAAGTGCTGGGAAAAAAAGTTTAGGTGAATGAATGAAGACACATGGATTCTGGGGACACCAGAACCCACAGTGGGCTCTGTATGGCACCAGAGTCTCTGTCATCATCAGATCCTCATTCCAGGACAGATGGAAAAAGATGAATGTTTCCAGACTGGGGCATAAAGACCCAGAGGCTGGAGAAGCTGTTCTTTATAGATATACCAGGAGAACCCACAGTTTACAAAATGTGCAACAACCCAACAGAAGTTGAGATTAAATTCTGTCACATCTAGAGGGGTCTGTGATGTCATCAAAAGCAAACCACCCACATCACAGATGAAGAAACAGGCCTGTGGCAGGGCTCGGACTAAAACCCAGATCCTGAGACCAGCTGCTTTTAAACACAGACGTAGGTTTGCATCCTAGCTCCACCATTTACTGAGTAACCTTGGGTGAGCCAATGTAACCCCCTGGGTCTCTGTTTCTTTATCTGTCAACTGTGGAAAATGAAACCCATGTCACAAGGTTGTTCACTTCTGGGCTTGTACACGCTGACCCCAGAGAAACAGGGAACTCTGGCATCACCACACCCATCTTACAGACGGAAAAGCTGAGGTCTGCAGAGAGTAAATCCTCTGCTCTGGTTATCTAGAAAGAACATAATTGTGCTCTGCTGACTGCAAATCCCAACTCTGCGGTTTGAAAATCCAAGGTGGCATGATCCTCTGCCCATTGTGGGCAATTTCACAGAAATGTGTTTGTTTTGGCCACTTACTTCTCCAGGGTGAGAGGGGGGAAGGCAAGCTGTTCCCCCAGCCATGGCTGCCCATCAGCCCGTTTCGGGCAGCACTGGACATGAGGAACCAGACACAGGTGGGTTCTGACACTCACCCTGCTCTGTCTCTCTCACCAGCTTGGAGAGTTTAGCCCGGATGACAGGTGTGATGACTAATGACAGGAAAAGCAACCCATATCCTGTGGAGAAACAAACACTCATCAGGAAAATGGGGCTGGGGAGAGGGGCGTCCAAGGGAAAGGCAGCAGAGCTCCTATCCATACCCCACGTGGGGCTTAGGTTAGACCCAGGAAGAACTTCCTTGATGGTGAGGGTGGGAAGACAGTAGTCAAGGAGGAATGGAGACTGCCCTTGTCTGGGCTTGGCCACCTGCTAGCTCTCATGAATGAATGCTAATTCCCATTGATTGCTTTCTTGTCTGAACCTCTTGTGGTCACAGCAGGCATCACCCACCCACTTGGCACTTAGTAGGGATATGGCAGGGCACAGAAAACAAGCATGGGCTTTGGAGTCAGCCCTGAGTTCAAAACCTGATGCCATTACATATTATCTGTGTGGCCTGGGGTACTTACCCTCTCTGATCCTGACTCCCTGTATGAGGAAGATAATAAGGCCTTCATCACAGGATGGTTCTGAGGCATAGGAGGCTGAATAATGGTGCCCAATGGCATCAGATTCATAGCCCTGGAACCTGTAAATACTACCTTATTTGGAAAATGAGTCTATGCAGGTGTGCAGTTAAGCCTCCTGAGAGAGCAGAGTTATCCTGGATTAGGTTGGGCCCTAAATGCCGTCACACATATCTTTATAAGAGGAAAGCAGACGGAGATTTGGCACCGACAGAATTGAGAAGGCACAAAGAGGAGGAGAGTCAATGTGAGCACAGAGGCAGAGACTGGTGATGGCCGCCCCAAGCCAAGGAATGCCAGCAGCCCCAGAAGCTGGAAGAAATGAGAAACACGTTCTCTCCTGGAGGCTTGCAAGGGAGCACTGCCTGCTGACTGCTTCCATTCAGCCCGGTGGTACTGACTTTGGACTTCTGGCCTCCAGAACTGTGAGAGAATATGTTTCTGTTGTGTTAAGCCCCCAAGTTTGTGGTATGTCATTACAGCAATCTCAGGGAACCAATACATGAGGTAAAAAGGTAACATCTATGAAGAGCATGGCATAGGGACACAGCAAATGGGAGTTCCTTTTCCCTTTGCATTCAGTTACTTACAGGCTTCCTGTTTTCTTCATAACCATTTCTCTCCCTGTGCGACTGCTGACTCCTCAGCAAAACTGCAAACTCCTACAGGACAGTGGATCCTCCAAAGAAGGTATACGATGAGGCATCCAGGGACCCTAGCAGTGTCAGGCCCCTCAAATCCCACTCTGTTGAGACCTCCCCCCGACCCAGAGCAATGACAGCATCTTTATCATCTCTGCATCCCCCAGGGCCATCAGCAGGAGGGAAAGGTTCCCTTCTGCTTAATTGTCAGACAAGCAGTTGAGTTAAGAAATCTGTGATTATTGTATTGTTGACTATACACAGCACATTTTAGGGCTCTATCAAAATAAATCTGTCCCTTTAAAAAAAGTTAACTAAAGCCGGGCACGGTGGCTCATGCCTGTAATCCCAACACTTTGGGAGGCTGAGGCAGGCGGATCCTTGAGCTCAGGAGTTAGAGACCTGGACTGGGCAAAATGGTGAGGACCCCATCTCTATAAAAAATACAAAAATTAGCAAGGTGTGGTAATGTGCACCAGTGGTCCCAGCTACTAGAGAGGCCAAGGTGGGAGGATCATCTGGGCCCGGGGGATGAGGCTGCAGTGAGCCATGATCGTGCCACTGCACTCTAGCCTGGGTAACAAAGCGAGACCCTGTCTCTAAATACATCAATCAAATAAAAATTTTAAAAAGTTAACTTCCTCATTTACTGGCCTGTTGACCCTCTCCCATCAAAAAAAGAAGGGGAGGAAGTGAGGAGGGAAAGGAGAAGGAGAAAGAGGAGAAGAGGAACTGAAGCAGGAATTTCATATCTGTGGTCCGAGAAGACTGGTTTTTAAAAAACCCAAAGAAGCTGACTAAGGGTATTTGAGGTAGGTCCTGTGATTCTTATCAGAGAAGTGAGTACCAGGCATTAATGGCATGGACTTTGTTTAAGAACATATGAATAGGCGGTGGGAGGCCAAGGGGTAAAGCAATTAGTGTATGAGCCACACTTTTGTCTTTTGCTCTATATTACTAACAATATTAATGGTTGATAACAGTGGGTTAATTACTTTAGCTACTGAAGGTCTATATTTTCCATGTATCAAAGATGGCATTTTTGAGGGATTTCTTAGTTGTCTGTTCTCCAGTGCAGGCTGGGGGCATAACTATGTTTCCAAAGACACAGGAATGAACCACATCTGGGGGCAGTGAGTGGCCGGCCCCCAGTTCTTACCCAGTGCCTCTGGGACAAGCTGTCCCTGAGCCCACACACTTTACCTGTGAACATGAGAGGCGTGATAGTGGCAAAGGCAAAGACCACCATCCCCAGGATGTTGAAGGCCAGGCCGATCTCAGCTACCCAGGCATCGGCCAGGCAGTACTGCAGGAGCTTCAGGGCCAGCAGGCTGGTGAGGTAGGGGAGATGCTGAGCTGCAGAACCATAGCCGATTAGTTTGGAGTCCCAGCAGAGGGGTGTGCTTAGTTCATAAAGGGTTAAGATGTCCTGGGCCCCAAAGTGCACAGTGATCACCACGAAGATGGCCAGTGAGTAGAGGGCTAAATGTTTCCTGGACTTCTCTGGGGCGGGAGCCACATAGAGCTGGACAATGGATCGGTGGTGACGGAACGTGAAGAGCCGGGTGGACTTTGGCTCCTTTAAGGTCTCACCAAAGCAGAAAGCTGCATAGAGAGTCATGGCTATCAGCAAGGCCAAGGCCAGCCAGAAGGGGTTGGCATAACCCTGGGCCCGGAGCCAGTGGCCCCCGAGGAGGCTTGCCAGCATCCCAGCCACCCCGATGCTGGCTTCCAGCAGGGCCATCCGGAAGGTGCGGCTGCGACTGGAGCTGACATCTGCCACGGACGCAAAGCTAGCAGCCAGAAGGCCACCGAAGTCGCCGAGGAGGGCACAAAGGATGCGACCCAGCACGAAGTAGCCGACGTGGAGCTGCAGCTGCACCACAAAAACGGACACTAGGGCCTGGAGCAGCAGGCCCAGCGAGGCCAGCACTAGCAGCGGGCGGCGGCCCACACTGTCGCTCCAAGCTCCCAGCAGGGTGGACGAGAAGAGCCCCACCAGGAAGCCGCCCACGTTCATGTAGAGGGTCCAGTGGGAGGTAAGGGTCTCCACTTCCTGTAGGGGCACAATGACCAGGGTGCGGTTCCTCACTCTGGGTTCCACAATCCCCAAATCCTCGCCATCCCGGGAGCTACAGGGATGAGGACTTCCTTTGGAGCCCTAAACCTCAGAGAATCTTAGCACAGCTTTCAAAATCTGCCAGTGGAGAGGGGGAAGGACATGGACCAAGGCCCCATTCCCTTTCCTTTCCCCCCCCTTTTGTTAACCTGCAAGGCCAGACTTTAGCTCAGCTTTTCGCATCCCACCCGCTGAGGTTCTCGGTCAGGCCCCTTTGCTCTGGTCCCGCCCACCATCCAAAATGCACCCTCCCTCCAGTTACCCGCCACTACCATTACGCAGGCCCCGCCCCTCCGCTGCCCCCACGCTCCAGACCAGGGCCCTCCACCTGCCAGGCTCCTCGCCGCCCCGCTACCTGCATGGTGGGGTCCGCGCTGCGGTTGCTGCAGCCCCCCCTTTGGCGGGTGCCATTGTAGCCGAGGTCGGCGCTGAAGCGGTGCCACAGATACTGCGTGGTGAGCGGGCCCTGCAGGACCAAGGCAAAGTTGGCCAGGAAGACCAGCGGCTCTACCGGGCCCCGGCACAGCACGGCAGCCGCAGGGCGGGCGCGGGGCTTTTCCGGGGGGCTCGCGCTCCCCTCCATGTGCGTGCGCGGCGGAGCTGTCGCCAGGCGGGCGGCGGGGCGCGCGAGCGACTCGCTGCCTGGGACCAGCGACGCGTGGCGTGGGGCTTGCGCTGTCTGCGCCTGCGCCCGGCGTCCCTCCTTAAATGTCCGGCGGGGAGGGGCCTGTGACCTGAGGCCACCGGACTCTCGCCGCGGGTGCACCTGGCTGGGCGTGGGCCAGCGAGGGGCCCGGCACCCCCAGCCCGCGGGATGACCTCACCTGTAAAGTGTGCGTAGACACCGCCCTGCAGCCCTCCCTCCCGGCCCAGACACACCACAGATAACAAGAATATCAACAATTAACATGTATTGACCACTTACTATGTGCTGGGCACGGTATTAAACCCTTTTTGTGCGTTGGTCTCCCGATAACTCTACAGGCTAGCCAATATTAACCATCGCTATCTACCGCTGAGGAAACGAGGTCATCGGGTACTCAAGGCAGAGCTGGAAGAGCACATGACTCCTGATGCTGCTGATGTTCTGCGCTGTAACAGAGAGGCAGCTGGAGAGGATCGGAGTGGGCTGAGCCCAGCTGCCTGGGTTGGAGCACCTAGGCTCTGCCACTACCTTCGGCATGCCACTTACCACCCTGAGCCTCTGTTTTTTCATCTGTAAAATGGAGTTGCTAACAAAACATGTCTCAAAAAGTTGTGGAAAAGCAGTGTCTGGTATATTCAAAGTGCTATTATTGCTATTAACAGGCTGTCACGTCTGGGAGTGGTGGCTCACACCTGTAATCCCAGCACTTTTGGAGGCTGAGGCGCATGGATCGCTTGAACCCAGGAGTTCGAGACCAATCTGGGCAACATGGTAAAACCCTGTCTCTACAAAAAATACACAAAAATTAGCCAGGCGTAGTAGCAGATACCTGTAGTCCCAGGTACTCGGGTGGCTGAGGTGGGAGGATCAATTGAGCCCAGGAGGCAGAGGTTGCAGTGGGCTGAGATCGCACCACTGCACTCCAGCCTGGGTGACAGAGCAAGACCCTGTCTCAAAAAATATAAAATAAAAATAAAATAAAAAACAAGCTGTCACTTGCTCCACTCCTGCCCTAGGATCTTTTCCTGGGAAACTAGTCTTGTTTCTGGGGTCAGGCAGGGCCTGGCTCTGCAGTTCCCTTAGAGAAGATGGGGGAGGGCCTGGGAGGTCCTTGGGTGTGAACCTATGCTCCTGGGTGGCTCCCATTATAGGAATTAGGCCAGAAGGCAGTCACCTGCTCTGCTGCTGAGGAGGTCAGACCCTGTCTGGGCCTCTGTTTTATTGCCTGTAAAAAGGAACAGCATTACCTTCCTTACTCCCCTATCTTTCATTCATTCAGCTCATTTACTGAGTGCCCCTTACGTGCCAGGCACTGTGCTGGGGGACTCCGGGACCACAACAGGAAAGGAAATAGACAAAGCCCTCACCAGGCCCGTTAGTTTCTAGAATGGTGGGAGAGGAAAAATAGTCAAAGAATCCTACTAATTGATACAAAATTCCAACCGTGGAAAATAGTTTTGAACTCCAAGGGTGCTAATTCAGGGGCTGGAGGTAGGGGGAGCAGAATCAGGAAAGGCCACCTTCCCTGAGAACAGAGCAGCTGAGTGGGTTTCTGGAGGCAGGTCCTGACAGGCCTGATTCTTGGGAGGATGGATGGCTCCAATTCTGGCCACTGTGACTGTGCCTGGGCCTGTTGGAGCTTGTTAGCTACCCCACCTCCCCTGAGCCAGGAGTCCGAGACTCAGGATGGGTAGGTGCTGGCTAGATACTAGTGAACTGAATAACCTCCCCCTGCAAGCTGCCCCCACCTGTGGTCCCCTAGAGAGAGGAAATTCCACATTAAACATTCAAGCCTCTGGATTGGCTCCACTCTCCTCCCTCCCCTTCCAACTCCTCCCTACCACTTACACAAAAGCTTGGCCCAGTTAGGTCAGCTGCAGTGAGGGAGGGGTACTTGGCTAAATCCTTGGAATTATTTCTTAGATAAAGAACTAAGGCTAGGAGAGGCCAAGGTCCCTCATCAGGAATGGGACAGGGTGTGGCTCATCCCAGAGCCAGAGCCTGCAGTACCCACTAGGGTAGAGGTCTTTTCTAACTCCTTGAAAACAGCTGCAATCAGGTCACTGGCCTGCTCAAAACCATCCTGGGCTTTCCATTTCGCTCAGTGAGAGCCAAGTCCTTATGAGAGCCCTAAGGCCACCTACCTCTTCTCTGTCCCTCTCCCCTGCTTTGTCCCCCTCAATCCTTGTGCTCAAGCCATGCTGGCCTCCTGCTTTAGGGCCTTTACACTTGCGGTAACTACTACCTAGAATGCTCTTCTGGATATCTGCCTGGCCGGCTCCCTCACTTCCTTCAAGTCTCCACTAAAATGTCACCTGACCCTCCTATATAAGCAACTTCCCTCCTTCCTTGCTTCCTGGCACTCCCTAATCCTTTACCCTGTTTCATTTTTTTCCATAGTGTTTATCACCATCTGAATTATAACTTTCTGGTTTCTTTGTTGTCCATCTCCCTTTACTAGAGGTCATGATGGCAGGGACTTTGTTTTTTCATCACTACCATATCCCCAGCATCTAGAATAGTGCCTGGCGTGTGGTAGATGCTCAAAAGACGATCGCTGAATGAACTCTCAGTCTCAAGGAGAGGAGATTCCGCAGCTGGAGTCCCAGAGCATGTGGAGAGGGTTGCCAATGTTGAGCTGCACTGTGGAGTCCAGAGCCCAAGAATCTCCACCTAGAAGGAAGCTGAGAAATCACATCTCCACCCATCCAACCATTTAAAAGACAGGGAAACTGAGGTCCAGAGGGAAAGGTGACTTACCCAGAGAGAGCTAAAAAGTCCTGCCTGTCAAATTTCTACAGGAAAGGAGAAGCTATTGCAAAGGAAAAGATCTGTAGACTTATTTCCATCAGAACATAAAGCCTTAATTCAAAGGCAAATGACAAACAAAGTCATTTGTTTGTCATTAAAAGAAAGAAAAATCTTTCTTTTAAAATATGGCCGGGCGCAGTGACTCATGCCTGTAATCCCAGTACTTTGGGAGGCCGAGGCGGGTGGATCACCTGAGGTCAGGAGTTCAAGACCAGCCTCAACATGGAGAAACCCCATCTCTACTAAAAATACAAAATTAGCCGGGCGTGGTGGTACATGCCTGTAATCCCAGCTACTCGGGAGGCTAAGGCAGGAGAATTGCTTGAACCCGGGAGGTGGAGGTTACGGTGAGCCGAGATCATGCCATTGCACTCCAGCTTGGGCAACAAGAGCGAAACTCCATCTCAAAAAAATAAAATAAAATAAAATAAAATATGACAAAGGGTTACTATTTTAACTATATGTGATAATAACCTGAAGATCCCTCCCTCAGTAAACAGATAAAAACCAAGCACTGAGAGGTTGTAACACAGAACATGCATGTGAGACACACAAATGAGCTCTTCTCCAGCTTCTGAATAGTGAGAAAAACACTGTGCCTTTGATCTTGTTCTTTGCAGCCAACACATTAGCAATGATTTTGTTTAAAATGAGAATGCTCAAAGCTGGTAAGGCTACAGTGAAACAAATACTGCTGAAGGAGTGTAAATACACCCTTTCAGGAAAAAATTTGGTAGCCTTTAATCAAGACCCTTGAAGCCTCTAATTCTACATGTAGGTCTCTATCTAAAGGAAATAGTCTCAAGTACAGAAAAAAGCCTTATGTGCTAAGATATTCTCCCATAACATTATATTGACAAGAGTAAAAAAAAAAAAAAAAAGATAAACAACCTATGTGTCCAACAGTAGCGAAATGGCTGAGTAAATTATAGTCTATCCACTCCATGAATATGAGTCATTAAAATGATATGTTCAAAGAGATTATAATAATATGGAAAACTGCTTACATAATAATTTGTATGTAGAAAAAACAGAGAGCTTGTTTATGTGGTATGGTCATAGGCATAGAAAAGAATTGCACTGAGTAAAGACTGGAAACCATGGCACCAATATATTAACAGAAGTCCTCTCTGCGTGGTAGTAGGGTTAGGTAAGATTCTCTTTTCTTCTATTTAAAATGTTTTCAACCCTTCTGATATAAACAGATATAAACATATGTTTTAATCATGGAAAACATAAACATTTTAAAAATCTGATGATACTCCTCTCCTTCAAATGTATTCTGGCTCAATTGCCAAATATCAGCTTCATGCTCCTTGATGTTCTGGAGACATCACTAGGAGCTGACTTTTATTGAAGCAGGCAGCACCATACTGAGGGCATTACATACATTATCTTACTGAATCCTGACTACAGCCTTATGAGATAGGTATTACAATTTTTTTTTCTTTGAGATGGAGTTTCACTCTTGTTGCCCAGTCTGGAGTGCAATGGCGTGATCTCGGCTCACTGCAATCTCTGCCTCCCAGGTTCAAGCGATTCTCCTGCCTTGGCTTCCCAAGTAGCTGGGATTACAGGCATGTGCCGGGACACCTGGCTAATTTTGTATTTTTAGTAGAGACAGGGTTTCACCATGTTGGTCACGCTGGTGTCAAACTGCTGACCTCAAGTGATCCGCCCACCTCGGCCTCCCAAAGTGCTGGGATTACAGGTGTGAGCTACCGCGCCCGGCCAGGTATTATTATTTTTACAGATGATGTAACTACAGCATAGAGGGATGAAGGGAAATGGTTTTTCTCACTCTGGGTACAGGTTTTCTTTTCCTTACACCTACCTGTTCTAGTGCTTTCTGTTATTCTAAGCCTTAGTATATGTTAGTCTCTTTGCCAGTAATACCCTTCCTACTTTGCTTGGCCTATTCAGCTCCTTTTCATCCTTCAAAACCCACCTCTGTGTCTCACTTCTAGGCGGAATTAGTCATTGGCTAATATGTACTTCCACAATACTGGGTTCATACATTTAACCCTGGTTTTAAACTTAACCTGGTTATAAATATGTGTTCCCAGGTTTGTCTCCTCTTAACCCCTACCTATGTCCTGCCTCCAGATTTGAGGGCAGAGAAAATTTTTTTCACCTCTGTATTCCCTATCCCTGGGCTTGACATGCAATAAGATAAAATGTTAAATAACTTTGATGACATGCATCAACTCCAGTCAATTGATTGAATCTGTCTGGATTGCTACATTGAGATGGGCTATTTTTCCAGCTTTGTGGGAAGGAGTCCTGCGATTCATTCTTGATGTCTGCCATGGGCTTGGGAATGGTAAGTACTGGCACTAAAAACTGTGTTGTCCAACCCCAGGATATGTACTCAGTAAATTTTGAGAGGCTTTGGGGAAGTGCCTGGAAGTCATAAGGGTTTCTCTTTGCTTCCAGTTGGATAATGCCTACGAGAGGCTGTCTATACAACCACTGTGACAGAGAAGATTGCAACAGGGATTCTTCATCCAAACAGCAGTCTTATCACAGCCTCCACCCAAAACCTATGCCTCCTTTTTGCAAGAGGCCACTTACAGCTTCCAAAGAGCTCTTCATGATTTTAGACACTGAGAGGAAGGAAGGAGACAGCATGAGAGAAAAGCTATTTTCCTTTTTGAGATGTTGCTTCTCACATAGCAACCCTAAAAGTCAAAGCAGCATCCTTGTCACAACTAAGGGTGTTCCCAGCACTGAGTAGAAGCTGCAACTATGCCCCCATCGCTGTGAGACTTTGACCAAGTCCCTTTCTGGCTTCAATTTTCTCATCAATGAAATAATTTCTGGGCCTCTATTTCCTTGTCTGTGAAAAATGAAGTAATAATATCTACCTATGGGGTGGATGTTTGGGTCAAATGAGAAAATATGTATGGCTGTGAACTTTATGTGGCTGTGTCCAGGTGCCAGAGATGATGATTGCTGTTGAACTGGGCTTGAAGGTAGGAGGGATTTCACCAGAAAGAAGTGAGGCTGTCCCAAGTGAGAGGAAAAGTTGGGCCTTACAGAGGGATGCTACCCAGAATTCAGAGAAGTACAGGGCTAGAGGTGCATTAAGTGCATAAAGATGTCATTACCGCATGGGGGAGATTTCACAAAACACTTTCTGTCTTTGGCCTCCTGCCCTTGGTTTCATTTTAAACACTTTCCTTTTGCTAGAGCCTTTGCATCTATCCATCTATTCATTTAGCATCTACCGCCTGCCAGGCCCACTGCTAGGTGCTGAGGTTACAGACAAGAATTTACATAATTCCTTCCTTCTATGAGTCCTCAGGCTAGTGGGAAGCAGCACAACAAATCTCAAATAACAATAACAAAAGCATGCCGTAGGATGAATAATTTCAGAGAGAAGGTGTGTGTGTGTCATCAAGAGAAAGTCAAAGGATTCACAGAGGAGCTGAATTTTGAAGCATGAGATGGTAAAAAGGAGTCTCCAGGACAACAGAGAGAAGACATGATAAAGGGCTTTCTGTACAGTGGGAAAGGCAAGTTCTGAGAGACAGCAAGGACACCTATTTTGTTGGGGGTACTGAAGTCATCATAGGACACCCTGAAGGAAAATGAGCCAAGGCCTCATGTTCACAAAGCGTTTCAATTTTAGACATTCAGTCCCAGAGACTCACTCCCTAAATTGGTCTTTTAGTTGGAGTGTTTAGTCCAGTTACATTTAATGTAATTACTGATGTAGTTGTGGTTAAGTCTACCATCTTGCTAAATCTTTCCTTTAATTTAAAAATCTTTTTTTTGAGATAGTGTCTCACTATGTTTCCCAGGGTGGTCTTGACCTCCTGGCCTCAAGGAATCATCCCACCTCAGCCTCTCAAAGTGCTAGGATTATAGGCATGAGCCACAACACCCAGCCTTGCCAAATCTTTTCTTCTTTTCCTACCTGTTTTGTTTCTTTACTTCTCCTCTCTTATCTTTTGGGTGAATTATATTATTTCATTTCTGCCTTCTTCCCTTATGTCAAGGATTATAACCCCTTAAGTCCTGCCTGTATTAACTCCCCACCAATGCTTTCAAAGAAAGAAGAGCATACTTTACACAGTTTTGGCCGGAGGTGGTGGTTCACACCTGTAATTCCAGCAATTTGGGAGGCGGAGGCAGGCAGATCACTTGAGGCCAGGAGTTTGAGACCAGCCTGGCCAATATGGTGAAACATTGTCTGTACTAAAAATACAAAAATTAACCAGGCTTGGTGGCACGTGCCTGTAGACCCAGCTATTTGGGAGGCTGAGGCAGGAGAATTGCTTGAACCCAGGAGGCAGACATTGCAGTGAGCCGAGATCATGCCACTGCACTCCAATCTGGGCAACAGAGAGAGACTCTGTCTCAAAAAAAAAAAGTCACACAGTTTTAACTGGTGTCCCAATTTCTATAGTTCTCTATGAATATATTTACTCATGGGGACCCATGGGGCAAGAAAATATATGTGTGTATGTATAAATATATATGTATATATTAATTCTGTAATTATGCTGTGACTAATACAGCTAAGTAGCATTATATTGTGTGTTACAACGTGTTAATTTATTAAACATAAATATTTAAAATATGCTATGAAAGCCTGTCTTGGCAAGTCTTTATTTTTAGTTTCTCTGGATTCTCAAATAAGAAAAATGGCCCAGGTCTCTTGATCTCTGGGAGACCCTGCAGGAGCGCCTCCTGGCTGACACAGTTTGGGGGTGACATAGAGGGTAATGTCTAGGGATTCCATTTGGTCTCAGGAAGGATATCTTCTGGTCAGGCCCTCCCTCCAGTCCCAGGCTCAGAAGCCCAGCTGTGAAGCCCTGGAGCACCTGACTTTTTTTTAGTGCACCAGAGAACTAAACTCAAGCAAGACGGGGGTGCAAATCAGAAGGCTCTTTTCTAACACGGGGTTTCTATTCGTAGGCTGTAATGGCCACATCACTTATCTAGGGCTGCCTATTCCCAGTGCCAGGGAAATAGAAGATGGAAGCAGGGATCGGGAAGGTGCTAGGTGAGCCGCAAATCAGAGCCAAGGGACGGAGGATGATTTGCAGTAGGGAGAGCAGGCACAAGGAAAGCCACCGCTGAGAACTGCCCTCTAGGGACTGAAGTGTTGTGGCACTTCCTTGGTGGTGTTCCTGTACCATACTTTCCTATGCTGACCATGTACATACATTCTTTTTGTAGGTCTGTCAATAGTGCTGATCAGTAATAGTTAGTTTTTAGTTAGAGAACTGCTGTGTGCCAGCCACTTTACATATATGATCTCTTATCCTCATTATAATTCAGTGAGGTAAGTATTGTGATCCCTGCTTTATAGATGAGGAATTAGGTTATGTGGCTTGCCCAAAGACACACAGCTAAAGGGTAACAGAGCTGATATTCAGCCCATGTCTGTCTGACTCCAAAGCCTCCACACTTTGTACTCTCAATAGTTCACAGACATGTGACCCAGGGGTTGGATATGGCCCACAGATGTGTTTTGTTTGATTCACACTTGTTTTCAAAAAAATAATCGGCTCACATCGTGTATTTTAAATTTTGAATTAGTTGCCAACATCTAACAATTGGAAGATTCATATGAAAAATCCAGGTTTTTGCATTCCCTTGAAAATTCAGAAATGATGGCAACATTCACATCAGGCAATACCTTGCTGAAGTTGGGAAGGGACTGTCCCCTCCCTTTAGCTGTGGGATATGTTCTCCACTTCACCACTCCCCCACTACCCACCTCCACTCATAGAGGATGCCTGGTCCTATAGGTTTTCGAGCTTGCAGCCCCTTTCCTGTGCTGTGCTGCTGCCTGGGAAGAGGATCCCAGGTTTCTTAAAGGGCGTGGACCAAGGCTTTCTGAACATAAAGCGATGGAATCACTGTGACACAACACCAAGCTACTATTCCAAGCATCTGAAAAGCATTCTGTTTTCTCCCATTTTAGGCCGATTTAATTAGCGATAAGGAACACCTTAGTGGCCAGCCCACTACAATCTGGTACTGCTATACTTTATAGCCATGCGGAGACAGTGTGAGGCTGAAGAAGTCAAGAAGTCGGCAGGGGCCAGGTGATGCCTCTAAGGAATTCAGTTTGTTGGGTGTTTTTTGTTTTTGTTTTGGTTTTGTTTTTGTTTTTGTTTTGAGATGGAGTCTCTCTCTTTCGCCCAGGCTGGAGTGCAGTGGTGTGATCTCAGCTCACTGCAACGTCTGCCTCCCAGATTCAAGCGATTTTCCTGCCTCAGCCTCCCAAGTAGCTGGGACTATGGGCGCACACCACCACACCCAGCTAATTTTTGTATTTTTAGTAAAGGCAGGGTTTCACCATGTTGGCCAGGCTGGTCTCGAACTCCTGACCTCAAGTGATCCACCCGCCTTGGCCTCCCAAAGTGCCAGGATTACAGGTGTGAGCCACCGCGCCTCACCTTCAGGAGTTCAATTTGGATCTTACTGAGATTGAGGTGCCTGTGTGATGTCCTGGTGGAGGGGGCTCCAAAGGGCAGCTCTACCCAGAGCTAACAAGGATGGGCAGCGCTAGGAGCCATCGGCATATGTGTGATAGAGCCTGGGAGTAGCAGACCACCCTGAGAGGATATGACAAGGGACAGAGAGCCTAGGCAGGGGTCAGTAAGGAGCACAACCGTTTCGGGATGAAGGGAGGAAGATGGAGCAGGCAGAGAGGAAGAAGAGAAGCAGCAGAAGGGAGCATTAAACCAAAAGGAGAGAATTGCAGATGAGAGTGGTGACATGCCAGGTACTACAGAAAGAGGTCTAGGGAAACGTTGGCAATTGAAACTCAACAGTGGTCACCCCAGAAGTTTCAGCAGGTGAGATCTTTTTTTAAAAAAAGGAAAAAAATAGAAGTCAGATCACAATGGGTTAAGTCAGGATCAATTGTACATTTAATACTGAGGAATGAAGCAAAGGTGCCTCTTGATAAGGTAATCCTTAGAGACTCCAACAAGCAAGATGCAACACATTCTGGGATGAGAGTAGCTCTTCTCTCAAAGGTGGAACTGGGGTGCACTAGGGACAGGCAGGCCTAATCTTTATGGCCAGTGCAATCTCAGGGAAGCATATCTGAGGCTGAAACCCAGTCAGGGGTAGTGAGAAGGCAAAAGGTGCAACCCCGCCCAGGCCTAGCTGGTTAGGTGGATGACAGCAGCAGACGCACTCCCCAGGTGTTAACCTGTCCAGGTAGCCAGCTACCCTCCATGGGCCCAGAATTGATTTTTTCATGTTTAACTCCGATGCTCCTAAGCCCCCTGTGGTAGGCTAAACTGGCACAGCCTCACAGCCCTGCCTCACTTGAGGCTGTCCTGTGGTGCCTTCTCCGTTTTAGCTTTTCTTTTTGTCTTTTTTTTTTTTCCCCGAGACGGAGTCTTGCTCTGTCACCCAGGCTGGAGTGCAATAGCATGATCTCAGCTCACTGCAACCTCCACCTCCTGGGTTCAAGCGATTCTCCTGCCTCAGCCTCCCGAGTAGCCGGGATTACAGGCGCTTACCACCACGCCCAGCTAATTTTTTGTATTTTTAGTAGAGACAGGGTTTCACCATGTTGGCCAGGCTGGTCTCAAACTCCTGACCTTGTGATCCGCCCGCCTCAGCCTCCCAAAGTGCTGGGATTACAGGCATGAGCCACCACACCCGGCTCACTTTAGCTTTTTTTACGCAGTTATTTTGACATTTGGCTGACATTTGCCCTTATTTCATGAGAGTGAGTGGAAAAACGGAGAACACTGGGGCCGACTCTAGTGCTGATATCTTTCAGGTAAGGATAGGAAGTCAATTATGTTTGCAGCTGCAGCCATGCCACTGTTGCTCTCTAACCCTGAGCTTCCTCTAGCTCGCCGAGCTACAGCCCAAGGAGAAGGATAAAGGAGGACTCTATACAAGGAGAAGCGAGTGAGTAAGGAGGTCTCTATACCATGGCTGATACAAAGCCAATTGCCTGAAATTGACCTGTGGTAAAGCACCCAGGGAGCTACTGACTACAAAAGCCGCTTGCAAGAGTGCGCCCTCTACTGCAGAGATGAAGAAACCCTATCCTTACAGGCTTGCCACTGTGGCACTCCGGGAACGTAGACATGCTCAGAAGTCCACCAAACCTCTGATTGCAAACTTCCCTTCCAATGTCTGGTGTGAAAAGTTGCTCAGAACTTTAAAACAGATCTGTGTTGGCCGGGCACGGTGGGCTCACGTGCCCAGAGGCACATGCACCATTACAGGTGGCTGGTGCCTGTAATCCCAGCAGTTTGGGTGGATCACTTGAGGCCAGGAGTTTGAGACCAGCCTGGCCAACATGGTGAAAGCACGTCACAACAAACAAACAAACAAAAAACAGATCTGTGCTTCCAGAGCGCAGCTATTGGTGTTTTGCAGGAGGGAAGTGAGGCCTGTCTGTTTGGCCTTTTGAAGACACCGAGTTGTGTGCAACCCATGCCAAACGTGTAACAACTATGCCAAAAGACATCCAGCTAACACACTGCCTACGTAGAGAACGTGCTTAAGAATTAACTATGATGGGAAACACTTCATTCCCAAAATATTTTTCTCTTCTTCCTATTACTGGTAATTCTGAATGTCAGGTTTTTTTTCCCATAGGGTCTTAAGTATATGATTGAGAGTAGAAAAATAAGGGAGAGAAATCAATTGGCCGTTTTCCCATTTTCATCTGTGTATGAGTTTTTAGTATAAATGCAGGGAGGTAAAGCATCAATGCAAGTCAGAATGTTTCAGTGAACAAGTTTTAGCAGTACAACTTTATAATAATTATAAATAAACCTGTTGGCCAGGCACAGTGACTCATGCCTATAATCTTAACTCTTTGGGAGGCCGGGATGGGAGGATAGCTTGAGCCCAGGAGTTCGAGAGCAGCCTGGGCAACATGGTGAAACTCTGTCTCTACAAAAATTACAAAATTAGCTGGGCATGGTGGTTTATGCCTGTAGTCCCAGCTACTCGGGAGGCCAAGGCAAGAGAATTGCTTGAGCCCACGAGGTGGAGGTTGCAGTGAGCCAAGATCACACCACTGCACTCCAGCCTGGGCAACAGAGTGAGATTCCATCTCAAAAATAAAAATAAATAATAAAAATAAATTAAAACTAATTAATTAAATACGAAGAAATGGGAATGTGAAATCTCTAACATGGTGAATTAAGGATTTTTTGAAAGTCCACCTCAGGACTACTGGTGTGAACTAGAACACAGATGAACACCAACATAGGATTCTTCTAGGAGCCCTAATTCTCGACCTTGTTTGCAGTGGTAGTTTGCTGCTGCCAGTGTCTGGTCTTCCTTTCCAAGCCTTGTACCTTGTCCCTCTCCCTCCAGAGTATTTTTTTGTTTTTTGTTTTTTTCCCAGGCTGGAGTACAGTGGTGCAATCTCAGCTCACTGCAAGCTCCGCCTCCCAGGTTCATGCCATTCTCCTGCCTCAGCCTCCCCAGTAGCTGGGACTACAGGCACCCACCATCACGCCCAGCTAATTTTTTTGTATTTTTAGTAGAGATGGGGTTTCACCATGTTAGCCAGGATGGTCTCGATCTCCTGACCTCGTGATCCACCCCCCCTTGGCCTCCCGAAGTGCTGGGATTACAGGCGTGAGCCACAGCGCCTGGCCCAGAGTCTCTTTTTTTTGGAGACGGAGTCTGGCTCTGTCGCCCAGGCTGGAGTACGGTGGCTCGATCTCTGCTCACTGCAACCTCCACCTCCCAGGTTCAAGTGATTCTCCTGCCTCAGCCTCCCAAGTAGCTGGGATTACAGGTGCCCGTCACCACGCCCGGCTAATTTTTGTACTTTTAGTAGAGACGGGGTTTCACCATATTGGTTAGGCTGGTCTCAAACTCCTGACCTTGTGATCTGCCCGCCTCAGCCTCCCTAAGTGCTGGGATTACAAGCGTGAGCCACTGCTCCCAGTCCCAGAGTCTCTTACAGTGCTTTTTTTTTCCTTTTTTCTTTTCTTTTTTTTCTTTCTTTCTTTTTTTTTTTTGAGACGGAGCCTTGCTCTGTCACCCAGGCTTGAGTACAGTGGTGCCACCTTGGCTCACTGCAACCTCCGCCTTCCAGGTTCAAACAATTCTCCTGCCTCAGCCTCCCAAGTAGCTGGGATTACAGGCGCCTGCCACCACACCCAGCTAATTTTTGTATTTTTAGGAGAGACAGGGTTTCACCATGTTGGCCAGGCTAGTCTCGAACTCCTGACCTCAAGTGATCCGCCTGCCTCGGCCTCCCAAAGTGCTGGAATTACAGGCATGAGTCACTGCGCCTGGCCTCTTACAGTGTCTTTATGGCCTAATGAAGTATAAACGTGTGGATTGTGCATCCTCAGAGAGAGGAAGATGGACCTCTCATAAAAGCACATTATGGCCAGGTGCAGTGGCTCACACCTGTAGTCCCAGCTAATTGGGAGGCCAAGGTGGAAGGATCACTTGAGGCCAAGAGTTCAAGACCAGCCCGGGCAACACAGCAAGACCTCATCTTTAACTTAAGAAAAAGTTAGCCGAGCATAGTGGTTTGTGCCTGTAGTCCCAGCTACTCAGGAGGCTGAGATGAGAGGACCACTTGAGCCTGGGGAAGTGAAGTCGAGGCCACAGTGAGCCATGATCACACCACTGCGCTCCAGCCCGAGTGACAGAGAGACCCTGTTTCCAAAAAAAAAAAAAAAAAAGCGAGGAGCGCCTCTGCCCGGCCAGCCACCACATAGTCTGGGAAGTGAGGAGCGCCTCTCCCCGGCGGCCCAACAGCTTGGGAAGTGAGGAGTGCCTCTGCCTGGCCACCCCACCATCTGGGAAGTGAGGAGCGCCTCTGCGTGCAACCCTCCAAGTGTGAAGTGGCAGCCTTGTGTGTGGTCTTTCTGCCCTCCCCAAGTTTGCATTTTCGACATTAAAGTTTACTTTTAAATTAAAAAAAAAGTTCACTATGTCAGACGCTCTAAAAATGAACAACAGTGAACAAATACTCTGTCCTCGTTTTTCTTTTTGAATGTGTGTATCTGAATCTCCATTCAAATATATACTTTACCTGTTTGCTATTATAGACTTGAATCACTCTCCAGATGTGTAAGAATGTTAGTTGTGAGTGCAAGGATCACTCACAATCTGCCCTGGGGATCCTACAGGTTATGTGGCGAGAGCGGGCTGATCCCTATGAAATAAAGAGAACCGTAAAAACGGATGTGAGCAGTTATCCAGCTTCTGGATAGTGGAATATCCTCTCACTTTTCCCTGTATACATATTTTAGGAAACTGCAAGTCATATTACAAAAAAGAATTAACAACAAAGAAATATAAGTGACCCAAATGCAGCAAGAATAATAGCAGTAGCTAATGGTTAATGAGTATTTATGGAGTAAACATTGAAATATCTCAACTTATCCTTATAAAACCTTACATTCCCTATTTATAGAGGGGATACAGAGGCTTACAGAGATTGAGGGACTTATCAAGGGTACTGTGGCTAATTAAGAGTCAAAGACAGGACTGGAACCCCAGTCAGTCTGCATGGAAAGCCAGACTTCTCGCTCCTGCCCTCTGCTGCCTCCCAGGCGCGGAGAGCTGTTGGACAGCCAGCCCATTACCGAATCCTTTCTCAAGCAAAGAAAGCTGCGTTCACTTTCCTCTTGAAAATTTTCAAGTCACTAAAACTCATCAACACCCACATCACAATCTCCTACTCATCAATTGTCTACAAAATTCCTGCTGAAAAATCAGCATCAGGGTCTGAGCGCAGTGGCTCACACCTGTAATCCCAGGGTTTTGGGAGGCCGAGGTGGGAGGATCCCTTGAGCCCAAGAGTCCAAGGCTGCAATGATCATGCCACTGCACTGTAGCCTGGGTGACAGAGTGAGACCCTGTCTCTAAAAAAATGTTTTTAAATCAACATCAGCAAGTCCTTGTTCCCAACCTGAAAATAAATTTCTTCTGTCTCCTAAGATGAGAAAATGAGAATTGAGTGATAAGAAACTGCCCTAGAAACTTAAACTTTTATTGTTGCTACTGTTTACTCCATCTTTAACTTTTATTTATTTGTTTTGTTTTGTTTTGTTTTGTTTTGAGAGAGTCTCACTCTGTTGCCTAGGCTGAAGTGCAGTGGCACGATCTCGGCTCACTGCAACCTCCGCCTCCTGAGTTCAAGCAGTTCTCCTGCCTTAGCCTCCCCAGTAGCTGGGACTACAGGTGCATGCCACCACGCCTGGCTAATTTCTTTTAATATTTTTAGTAGAGACGGGGTTTCACCATGTTGGCCAGGCCGATCTCAAACTCCTGACCTCAAGTGATTCACCCGCCTCAGCCTCCCAAAGTGCTGGGATTACAGATGTGAACCACCAAGCCTGGCCTAACTTTTATGATTATTAAAAATTTTAGGCCAGGCTCAATGGTTCAAATCTGTAATCCCAGCACTTTGGGAGGCTGAGGTGGGCAGATCTCTTGAGCCCTGGAGTTCGAGACCAGCCTGGGCAACATGGTGAAACCTTGTCTCTACAAAAAAATACAAAAAAATTATCTGGGTGTAGTGGCGCACACCTGTAGTCCCAGCTACTTGGGAGGCTGATGTGGGAGCATTGTTTGAACCCAAGAGTTCTAGGTTGCAGTGAGCCGTGATTGTGCCACTGCACTCCAGCCTGAGCAACAGATCTAGACTCTGCCTCAAAAAAAGAAAAAAAAAATTCTAGCATACGCAAAATAGAGTCATGCAATGAGCCGTCATATATCATCACTTATGTTCAACAGTTATTATCAAAATATTGCTACAGATTAATCTATTTTTCCCTTTGCTCAAGTATTTTAAGACATGCCAAATGTCATGGTGTAGTGTCATTTCACTGCTACATACTTTAGCATGCATCTCTAAAATATTAATATATAGACATTTTCTTCCATAAACACAGTGCTGTTACCACACCTTAAAATTTAACAATTCTTTGACACGATCTGATACTGGGTACTCAATAACTGTTTCAACAAAACATCTTTTTATGACTGGTGTGTTTGAATTAGACTTCAAACAAGCCCACGTGTTGCATTCTAAGAGCACTTTAAGGCTCTTCAATCTCGCTCTCTCTCTTTTTTTTTTTTTCTTTTTGAGATGGAGTTTTGCTCCATTGCCCAGGCTGGAGTGAAGTGGCATGATCTCAGCTCACTGCAACCTCTGCCTCCCGGGTTCAAGTGATTCTCTTGCCACAGCCTCCCGAGTAGCTGGGATTATAGGTGTGTGCCACTATGCCCAGCTAATTTTTGTATTTTTTTTAATTTAATTTAATTTTTTTTCCTAGACGGAATCTCACTCTGTTGCCCAGGCTGGAGTGCAGTGGCGGATCTTGGTTCCTACAACCTCTGCCTCCTGGATTCAAGCAATTCTCCTGCCTCAACCTCCTGAGTAGCTGGGATTATAGGTGTGTGCCACCATGCCCAGCTGATTTTTTTGTATTTTCAGTAGAGACAGGGTTTTGCTGTGTTGGCCTGGCTGGTCTCGGACTCCTGGCCTCACTCAAGTGACCCGCCTGCCTCGGCCTCCCAAAGTGCTGGGATTACAGGCATAAGCTACTGCACCTGGCCCCTGTTTGCTTTTTAAAATAACATTGGCTTGTTATAGAAATAATCTGAAGATTTACTAAAAAATCATGTGCACACTGAATAATACTCAGTGTAAAAATTACTCATGAAATTTATATTATAAATAGGGATTTTATAGCATTTTTTGAGCTCTAAGAGTGGATTCCATCATATGATATGTAAATCTATTGCTCAACTTTTATATCCTTGACTTCCACAGTATATAAAAATAAAAGCACTGCCCATAGTAGAAAAATGTATCCACCAGAGTGGCCCGAAATAGGAGGCATCTGGGAAATGGAGATCAAAGGGAAAGAAAGAACTTGGTAGTTCATCCATTCCAGGGTAAATTACCTGGAATGGAATTTACCATTCTGGGTGATTTGCATGCAGTCAGGCAGGCACAAGCTTTCACTTCTACAGGCACCTCGGATTCAACAGCAGACAAGACAGTCCCTTGTGAGCAAGTTGCTCAAAGTTTTCATAAATATCCTTACAGATTCCCCGGCCACCCACCTGCACATCTTCATCTTTCTTCTCCTTTGGTGACCTCTGATGACCTTCTGGCCTCCAGGGCGCTTGATGGACTGGCACATGCATGCAGGTCCCTGGGAAGATCTATTCAGGCTTTTTAAAGTTTGATTCCCACTGAGAGTTAACACGTTGGTGTTTGGACCTGTCAGGCAGTCCCTTATGAGTTTGATTACTGTGTCTCAGCCTCTGAAAACCAAACACAGTCTAGCTGTCCTGACAAAGTAGCATTTGGGAGCCTAGACCTGGGTGTCCAAGGTTCTGCTGCCATAGACAGAATGGCTTTTTTACAAGACTAGTCACTCCCTCCACCCTCCAAACTCCACCAAAACATCTTATCCTGGTGAATGAGGCCTTCTGTGACCTCTTCTCTGCCTCCCCTCACCCTTATTCCACCACCTCAGTAGCTTTTTCATTGTCCTCATCCCTGTCCCCACTGTCACTTCACCATCCCAGACCCTCCTTGGACTATTCCAACTAACCCCTAACTTGTCTCATATATTCTACTCTATTTTATTTTTTTAACAGAGTCTTGCTCTGTTGCCCAGGCGTGCACTGGCAGGATCTTGATGTGCCCAGGCGTGCACTGACGTGATATGCAATGGCATGATCTTGGCTCCCTGCAACCTTTGCCTCCCAGGTTTAAGTGATTCTCATGCCTCAGCCTCCTGAGTAGCTGGGATTACAGGCATGTGCCACCACGCCCAGCTAATTTTTTGTATTTTTGGTAGAGATGGGGTTTCACCATGTTGGCCAGGCTGGTCTCAAACTCCTGACCTCAAGTGATCCACCCACACGGGCCTCCCAAAATGCTGAGATTACAGACATGAGCCACTGTGCCTGGTCTTGTCTCATATATTCCAGACTTGCTCTGCTTCCAAATCTTTCTCCATGGTAATCTATTAAAATGCATCTCGTTTTCTTACTCCGCTACTTAAAAACCTTCGATCGTTCCCTTGGCATGATATCTGAGGCCCTTTCCGGTCTGGTGCCAGCTCCCTCACACTTTGCCCCCACTCCATGCCAGACACTATGCCCACTGCCCATCTAGTCCAAGGGCCTGCTACTGCCCCCGCCTAGAAGGCCCCATGCCCACGCCACCTGCCTGTTTGCTGGAAAAACTCTTTCCTGCTCAACCTTCTAGACTCGCCTTTGGATACCTCCTGCTCCCAGAAGCCCATTCCCCGTCCAGAACAGGCAGTGACACAGAGCCCTGTACTTCCCCCATCGGAGTACTAGACTGTTACTTCTCCGAGGAGAATATGTCTTGCCTCATCTAGCAGTGCCTGTCATGCTATGATTAATAGCTGGATAACTGAAAAAGTGATATTTTAGGCAGCATCAGGCTGGGCACAGTGGCTCATGCCTGTAATCCCAGCACTTTGGGAGGCTGAGGCAGGAGGACCACTTGAGGTCAGGAGTTCAAGACAAGCCTGGCCAACATGGTGAAACCCCATCTCTATTACAAATACAAAAGTTATCCAGGCATGGTAGTGCACACCTGTAATCCCAGCTACTCAGGATGCTGAGGCAGGAGGATGGCTTGAGCCCAGAAAGTAGAGGCCGTAGTGAGCTGAGATCTCGCCACTGCACTTGAGCCTGGGTGATAAAGCGAAAAGCTGTCTTAAAAAAAAGAAAAAGAAAAAGAAAAAAAGACCGCATGGCTTCTCTGCTCCAGGCTGAACAACTCTGCTCCCTCAACCACCCTTCCTTTGATGGAATTCCCAGATTTCTCTCCAACATGGGCTTTCTTGCAGACGTAGCATGAGCTTCACCTGACTCGTTCAGGTTCTGTGTCCCAATTAATGAAGGCTTAACTGGGGAGAAGAGGGCACTCTCACTGCCTTGGTGGCTCCTGCATGCAGTATCATTCCCGGGACCCTCCAGCTCTCTCCTCGCTCTGCTCCTGCATTCACTTCACAACGTGGCCCAAGTGCAGGTGGTTTTGGACCCATTTTCTGGCCTATGCATTTATTCCTTAGATGTCATGTCACCATCTTAGATTTAGCCCATTTGTAACATTTAATGTTCTCTACTTGCAAGGGGAATAGCAACAAATTCTGGCTGTGTGTGGTTTTTTTGTTTTTTTTTTTTGTTTTTTTTTTGTTTTTTTTTTTTTTTTTGAGGAATTTCTTTGAATGGTAGCTCTCAGAATACGAAGAATGTTGAACAACCAGGACACAAGTAGGACAGGAAAGAGGATCATTCTGGGAATCCAGGTAGCAGGAACCACCCAACACACTTTACAGGATGCTGCTATCACGAGGCATGCGCTCTAACTCTGTTCCATCACTCGACCCAAGATGGCAGTTCTGGGAACTAGAGAGGCTGGCCGGCCGGCCTGCGTTGCATGCCTGCCCCTTGGCAAGGAGGGAAGCATCTTGACGACAGTTCCTGCAAGGCTGCAGCCAGTGGGGCAGGCAGAGCGAGATGCTGCTATCGAAAGGTGAACAGATTGTTATCAGGGGAAAACGTTGCTATCCATGCTGATATCTTTATGTCATACCTCGAGCAAATTCTGAAGATGAAGGAAGCCGGGATGGGGAAGATTTAGTGCATTGTGCAGGGTAAGTGTGGTCAGGCTCTGGCAGAGTCTGTTCGTGGCTTGCTTCTGAGCAGCAGAGCCCTGCGGCAGGTAATCCTGAAGGCAGCTGTGCAGCCAGAGTGTGGCTGTATTATATATTATACGGCATATAATACATAGAACATCCTGTCTGGCAGGGCATCCTCGGTGGCTCAGTACAGCCACCAGACGAGTGAGCCACCATGCCTGTTGCTGTCTTAAAATATGACTTTTTCAGTCATCCAGCTATTATTCATAGCATGACAGGCACTGCTAGATGAGGCAAGACATATTCTCCTCAGAGAAGCAACAGTCTAGTACTCCGATGGGGGAAGTACAGGGCTCTGTGTCAGTGCCTGCTCCAGACAGGGAATGGGCTTCCGGGAGCAGGAGGTATCCAAGGTGAGTCTAGAAGGTTGAGTAGGAAAGAGTTTCTCCAGCAAACAGGCAGGTGGTGTAGGCATAGGGCCTTCCAGGCCGGGGCAGTAGCAGGCCGGGGCTACATGGGGAGTGGGCATAGTGTTCAGAGCCGACCTCACCTGGGGACAGGCTAGGACTTATGGAGTATATGTGGGTTCAGTGCTCACCACCCCACAGATAATGCCAGGGACCAGGCTTCGGCAGCAAGACGAATTCCAATGTCCACAGCTCGGGAGGCTTCCCCGCTTTTTGCTAACTGGGAGCCTCAGCTGCCTCCCTTTTCCTTCTCTCCTTGGGTCCTCATGGACTTCCTCCAGACCTGGCCCAGGCTGCTTGTTTCCCTCCTGGTGGCCACGCCTGGTACCACAGTGCTCTCCAACACAGGGAAAAAGTCCCCAACCGGCAGATAGGGACCCAGCTGTATACATCTGGAAAGTGAGCCAGTATTAAGCAGGCATATTTCCCAAAGACTTGTCATGGCACAGATTTGGTTTTTGGTGGGTTGACTTATATAATGACGAGTCCTGTAAACTCGAGTCCTGTGAATGAGCAGTTACATCTAGCAAGCCACGTTCCAAGTCACCTATGTAGAAGTACAGGCACCAGGACTGCCCTAGGATGTTGCAAGGATCAGACTGTGCTGGTGGTGTCCCTTCAAGGGACCAGACCCTCAGCCCTGTGGGGCTTTACGCTGGGACAAAAGGTACACACTATTAAAGTGTTAGCCTGTCAACATTTCACATGCCCTCCCACCAGGAACTTCCTTCCCAGCACACACCCCTTTGCTGGGGTTTCTCTGATCACTCAAGACCTCTCACTCTCTCCAGACTTGACTGCCAGCACTTCTTCCCTAGACCCCCATCAGCCAGCCAGCCACCACCTGCCATGCTTAACCCCCATGTATTGGGTATCCCCAGAAGTCAGGCTGTACCTTATTCCCCAGGAAAACAAAACAAAACAAAAAAAAAAAACAAAAAAACAAAAAAAAAAAAACAAGAAGAAGGCTGGTTGCAGTGGCTCATCCCGGCACTTTTTAAAAAATTACCTGGGCCGGGCACGGTGGCTCATACCTGTAATCCCAGCATGTTGGGAGGCCAAGGTGGGTGGATTACCTGAGGTCAGGAGTTTGAGACCAGCCTGGCCAACATGGTGAAACCCCGTCTCTACTAAAACTACAAAAATTAGCCAGGTGTGGTGGCATGCATCTGTAATTCCAGCTACTCAGGAGGCTGAGACAGGAGCATCGCTTGAACCTGGGTCACAGAGTTTGCACTGAGCCAAGATGGCGCCACTGCACTCCATCGTGGGGAGCCGAGTGAGACTCTGTCAAAAAAAAAAAAGAAAGAAAGAGAAGGAAGGGAGGGAGGGAGGGAAGAAAGGAAGGAAAAAATACATGAGAACTGCAGGAGATTACTTTTTACTGCAATATGCAATTTACTGAAGACACGAACTGCTCACATGGAGACGGTTAGCACCATATGGTATTGTAAGCAGATACTCACACGCTTGAGCTCATCACAATAGCAACAGGAGGTGGAAATAATTACAGTGGTATAGTCTGTGCTACAGTTAATTTTATGCAGTTATGATTTAATACTGCATCCTTACATTTGTTTACATTTCTCTTGACCGCAAATGGCAATGGCACTGTGTATTATCTGTGTGTACATATTTCGATAAATGTTAACTTTTGAAATAGATTTGTGTATATTTCATCAAAATATTTATAGAGAACAATCTGCATACAAGAGAACCCATACAGTTAAAATTGTGCTGTTCACAACCGAGTTAGGTGGCTCACGCCTGTAATCCCAGCACTTTGGGAGGCCGAGGCGGGCAGATCACTTGAGGTCTGGAATTTGAGACCAGCCTGACCAACATGGAGAAACCCTGCCTCTTCTAAAAATACAAAATTAGCCAGGCGTGGTGGCACATGCCGGTAATCCCAGCTACTTGGGAGGCTGAGGTAGAAGAATTGCTTGAACCCAGGAGGCAGAGGTTATGGTGAGCCGAGATCACGCCATTGCACTCCAGCCTGGGCAACAAGAGCAAAACTTCATCTCAAAAAAAAAAAAAAAATTGTGCTGTTCAAGGGTCAATTTATAGAGACACACAATTGATTTTTTTGTGTTTATCTTATATCCTCAGTGTTGCCGAAGAAATTACATTGTTTGGTTTTGAAATATTGAAATAACCTTGCATGCCTACAGTTAACCTCTCTTAGTCACTGTGTATAATTATTTTGTATATTGCTGAATTCTATTGCTATTTAACATTTTAAAAATAGGCTGGGCATGGTAGCTCATGCCTGTAATCCCAGCACTTTGGGAGGCTGAGGTGGGAGGATTTCCTGAGCCCAGGAGTTCAAGGCCAGCCTGGGCAACATGGCAATACCCAATCTCTTTAAAAAAATTTTTTTAAATACATTTGTTTTTGTTAGAGATGGGGGTCTTGATCTGTCCACCCAGGTTGGAGTGCGATGGTGCTCTGATAGTTTAGTGTAGTCTCAAACTCCTGGGCTCAAGCAATCCTCCTGCCTCAGCATTCTGAGTAGCTGGGACCACAGGTGTGTGCCATCATGCTTAGCTAATTTTTAAATTTTTTTTTTTGTAGAGACAGTATCTTGCCATGTTGCCCAGGCTGGTCTTGAACTCTTGGCCTCATGTGATTCTCCTGCCTCAGCCTCCCAAAGTGCTGGGGTTACAGGTATGAGCCACTGCACCTGACCCAAATCTTGAAAACATGTATTTAAGGCCGGGTGTGGTGGCTGACACCTGTAATCCCAGCACTTTGGGAGGCTGAGGCGGGCAGATCACCTGAGGTCAGGAGTTCGAGACCAGCCTAGACAACATGGTGAAACCCCATCTCTACTAAAAATACAAAAATTAGCCGGGCATGGTGGCAAGTGCCTGTAATCTCAGCTACTCGGGAGGCTGAGGCAGGAGAATCACTTGAACCCGGGAGGCAGAGGTTGCAGTGAGCCGAGATGGCACCACTGCACTCCAGCCTGGGTGACAGAGCAAGACTCTGTCTCAAAAAAAAAAAAAAAAAAACCATGTATTTAGAACTCTACCTAGAGATAAAGAATATTGCAAAATAAACTTTGGTGCTTCACCTGACCTCGTTTTGGGACCATGTTGTGGACAAACAACAGTCTAACAACCAAAAGTGTCTAAAGTAATTCTAATTTTTCAGAGATCCCCTTCATAAGCCATAGGAATGTCTCTTATACTTCCCACCCTCAAGATGGTTGTATTAGACAGGGTTTTCCAAAGAAACCGAACCAATAGGAGATACATAAATATAAATATAAATATAAGTTGTGTGTGTGTGTGTGTGTGTGTGTGTGTGTGTGTGTATGTGTGTGTGTGTGGAGAGAAAGAGAGATTTATTATAGGAATTGGCCCAAATGATTACGGAAACCATCAGGTCCCATGATCTACCACCTGCAAGCTGGAGAATCAGGAAATCTGAGGGTATAATTCGGGTTGAGTATGAAGGTATGAGAACCAGGAGCACTGATGTCCAAGAACAGGAGAAGAGGAATGTCCCAGCTCAAATAGAGAAACTGAATTCACCCTTCCTCAGCATTTTGTTCTTTTCAGGCCCTCAGTGGCTTGGATGACGCCTGCCCACATTGGTGAGGGTGATCTTCTTTACGCGGTATTTCAATTCAAATGCTAATCTATTCTGGAAACACCTTCACAAACACACCCAGCTATGTGGACATCCCTTAGCCCAGTTAAGTTGATATAAAAATTCACTGGGCACAGTGGCTCACACCTATAATCCCAGCACTTTGGGAGGCCGAGGTGGGCAGATCATGAGGTCAAGAGATCAAGACCATTCTGGCCAACATGGTGAAAACCCCATCTCTACTAAAAATACAAAAATTAGCTGGGTGTGGTGGCACGTGCCTGTAGTCCCAGCTACTCAGGAAGCTGAGGCAGGAGAATTGTTTGAACCCGGGAGGTGGAGTTTGCAGCCAGCCAAGATCGTGCCACTACAGTTCAGCCTGGCAACAGAGCGAGACTCCTTCTCAAAAAAAAAAAAAAAAAATTAAGCATCACAGAGGTGTTTTTAATAAGTACTCCTGGGTCAATTGAAAGTCCATAGTCCATTCAGAAAAAAAATATTGACTTCTACATTACTCCTACAGAGAAATCAATTGTAGATAAATTGTAAATGGTACGATAATAAAGCTCTTTTTTTTTTTTTTTTTTTTTGGGACGGAGTCTTCCTCTGTCACCCAGGCTGGAGTGCAGTGGCGCAATCTCGGCTCACTGCAAGCTCCACCTCCCAGGTTCACGCCATTCTCCTGCCTCAGCCTCCTGAGTAGCTGGGACTACAGGTGCCCGCCACACCGCCCGGCCTTTTTTTTTTTTTTTTTTTTTTTGAGACAGAGTCTCACTCTGTTGCCTAGGCCGGAGTGCAGTGGCATGATCTCAGCTCACTGTAACTTCCACCTCCTGGGTTCAAGCTATTCTTTTGCCTCAGCCTCCTGAGTAGCTGGGACTACAGGCATGCACCGCCACACCCGGCTAATTTTTGTATTTTTATTAGAGATGGGGTTTCGCCATGTTGGCCAGGCTGGTCTTGAACTCCTGACCTCAGGTGATTTGCCCTTCTCGGCCTCCCAAAGTGCTCAGATTACAGGTGTAAGCCACCATGCCTGGCATAATAAAGCTTTTTAGAAGAAAACAGGAGTATGTCTTAATAGCCTTTGAGTAAGCAAAGATTATTTCAACAGGACACAAAAAGAACTTTTATTCTTCACAAGATATCCTTAAAAGAGTGAAAATGCAAGCCATAGAATAGGAGATATTTGTAGTACATTTAACTGACAAAGAACTCATATTCAGGATATCTAAAGAACTAAAAATCAGTATGAAAAGGATAGAAAACCCAATTTTTACAAATGGGCAAAGGACTTGAACAGACACTTCACAAAAGAAAACATCCAAATGGCTAAAAAACATTAAACATTGTACAATCTCATTGATCACCAGAAGTACAAATTGAAGCCGCAGTCCAATACTACTACATCTGAATGGCTAAAAAAAATTTTGTAAAAAACAGAAAATGTCAAGTATTGACTAAGACAGCCAAGTATCTAGAAACAACCCAAATGTCTATCACAGGTAGAACAGACAAATAAATTGTGGGTATTCACACAATGGGATATCATACAGCAAGAATGAAGGAACTACAACTAGGCAGTGCCCAGCTTAGGTCCTGTCCTCTCAGCCCAACCCCCGGCAGAAATAGAGCCCCTTTTCCCAAATGGTTTCCAACATTAGCATAGTTTCATTACATGGAGATTTTGTATTTGCAAATTCTCCTACTTGCTAAAATTTATGTGTGACTCAAAATTAATACTCTTGACACTTTCTCAGCATTTTGGGGTCATTCAGGGTCATATACAATGTAGTGAAAATTTGAGTTATCCAATACACATTCCCAGCTGAGGTCAAACAAAGCAACACTTTGCTGTCTTGTTTCAGCTCATAATGTAAATATGTCCCTCAAGGTCTATTTAGTGCCATGGTTTTTACATTTTTGTGCTTTTTGTTGGTGATTTCACTGTTTTATTTATTTTTTTATATGTTTTTGAGACAAAGTCTTTCTCTGTCACCCAGGCTGGAGTGCAGTGGCATAATCACAGCTCACTGCAACCTTGACCACCTGGACTCAAGATATCCTCCTGCCTCAGCCTCCAAAGTAGTTGAGACTACAGGCACACTCCACCACACCCAGCTAACATTTTTATTTTTTGTAGAGATGGGGTCTTGCCACATCTTGAACTCCTGGGCTCAAGTGATCCTCCCACCTTGACTTCCCAAAGTGCTGGGATTAGTGCTGAGATTACGGGCATGAGCCACCATGCCCAGCCCTCTTTGAGCCACTTGATATCTACCAATAACTTTCTTTCTGCTTAAATCAGGTAGAATAGATGCTGTGGATCACAATTAGGAACCAAGCCTAACAATAGAAGATCCAACAGTTGCTAATGGATCATATCTACTCCACGTGGAAGAATAGGAAAACCTGGACTCTCTCTCTCTCTCTCAGGTCCTTCCTGTCAGCATTTACGCATGCTAAATTGATCTCATCTTTTAAAAAATTCTCTTAGCCATATACTCTCCTCCACCCCATTCTCTCCTACTTGTCTCAAATAGATAGATGATAGATAAATTTGGCTTTGTTGTGTTTTGCTTTTTTATAAAAGTAAACCAAATTCAGAGGACAGGCTAAACATCATCTGTGTTGACTGGACACAGATGAAGAGTGAATTAGTGAAATGAAGAACTGAAGATAGAGCTGAAGAAATACTCAGAATTCAGCACAAAGGCAAATAAAATAGAGGTATAAAACCTACAGGATAGAATAAAGTATGAAGTCTAACATAGGTCTACTCTGAATTCTAGGAGGAGCGTCTAGAGTAGACCTTTTAAAAAAATGTTTAGAGACAGAGTGTTGCTATGTTGCCCATGCCCAGCTCTTTGCAGAGGTATTGGCTGAGTCGTTTCCAGAATTCATGAAAGACGCAAATCATTCAATTCATAGGTCCATGTAGGATAATAAGTGATCCTGGAAAAAAGGTTTGGGATGAAAGAAGGAGTTGTGTGCCAATGAATTGATAAGCAAGTAGGTATATCAAACATTAACTGCACAAAAGATAAATAATAATGTTTAACTTGAGGGAAGCTATGAAAAATAACTAGATAGAAATAAGATAATGGACTATATGAGACAAAAGGGGATGATTGGTATGAGGAGAATGGTAGAGAACTTGAATAATTTTAGATTTTAGATAAAGTATGCATGTCAAATGATTAATATTCTAAAAGAGGGGAAATAGAGTTTATAACCTCCAAACCAAAGAGGGAGAGGAAGAATTAAATTTGAAAAGTAAGATATTTCCAAGTTAAGATGCAAAATCAACTAATCTTCCAAGTTAAGGTGCACACACAACTAATCTATCTCACTTCCAACCAAAAGCCCCAATTTAAAGTGGTATATATAATATATATATAGTATATTATTATTATACAATATATATTATATTATTATACAATATATTATATGGTATATATGTATATATAATGTATATATAATATAATATATATATATATATATAATATGTATGTATATATTTGAGACTGAGTCTCACTCTATTTCCCAGGCTGAAGTGCAGTGGTACAATCTCAGCTCACTGCAACCTCCACCACCTGGGCTCAAGCAATTCTCCTGCCTCAGCCTCCCGAGTATCTGGGACTACAGGTGCCCACCACCACACCTGGCTAATTTTTGTGTTTTTAGTAGAGACGGGATTTCTCCATGTTGGCCAGGCTGGACTCGAACTCCTGACCTCAAGTCTTGCCTGCCTCGGCCTCCCAAAGTGCTGGGATTACAGGCATGAGCCACCGCGCCTGGTCTCAATATATATTTTTAAATATTTATTTTTAAAAAATTAATGGAAGGGAGAAGAGTTGGGGAAGGGAAGACAACAACAGTAACAGTTTGGAAGACATGAACATATGGGCCAAATGACTTAACAACATAGAGAAGAATTCTGAGACAGCAGTGGGCCACCAACCACATTCTCACCATAGAATCCTCAAAATACTTAGTAATTGGAAACTACAGGCAACTCTAAAATTGGAGAGGGTATGAGAGAGGAATTTAAAATAAGGAGGATTAGGTAAAAGCTGAGAAGTAGTTAGATGCCAAATCCCCTCCAGTATTCCACACCATGGCAGTACTGCCTCTCCTAACCCTAGCAGATGACTGGGGGATTATTCTTGAAAGAAGGAACAACAGAAGGTCTCTGCCTGGAGGGAGGCTGATGAGCACAGCTGAAGACACGCTGCAAGTTGGGATTATGTGACTGTAGACATACTGAAAGCTAAGACTTCCCCTAACCCTTTTCTGCCACTGGGCTCCCAGAATGCTAAAGTGAAACCTATATCCTTTAATTGGAAGATTAGAAGAGTCTTTTCTGAGGAATATGAACAGTCACAGAAAAAAGACCCAAAGATACAGAAACTTTGGGTTTCCAAACAAATGACCAATCCAGGTCACCACAGTGAAACTCACTGTGACTTCATGGACTCAGAGTATCTAATTTTTCCCCAATTCTTTTTTTTTTTTTTTTTTGAGATGGAGTTTTGCTCTTATTGCCCAGGCTGGAGTGCAATGGTACGATCTCAGCTCACCGCAACCTCCACCTCCCAGTTTCAAGCAGTTCTCCTGCCTCAGCCTCCTGAGTAGTTGGGATTACAGGCATGTGCCACCACGCCCGGCTAATTTTGTATTTTTAGTAGTGACAGGGTTTCTCCACGTTGGTCAGGCTGGTCTCGAACTCCCAACCTCAGGTGATCTGCCTGCCTTGGCCTCCCAAAGTGCTGGGATTACAGGCGTGAGCCGCTGCACCCGGCCACTCTCCCCACTCTTAATCATAACAAAATGACCATGGATTATGAGATAAGCCTGGACCTGAGATAAGCCTCTAACATTGTAGGGAGGGACTAAAGCAAACAGGAAAAGCACTCAGAAGAAATAGAAACTATACAAGAAAAAAACCTCCAAATTTCCAAACAACCCTGTTATTAGGCACAGTGGTACACACCTGTAGTTCCAGCTACTCGTGAGGGCTGAAGTGAGAGGATCCCTTGAGCCCAGGAGTTCGAGACCAGCCTGGGCAACATAGCAAGACCCTATCTCAGCAAAACAAAACAAAAAACCTGTTTTTAATGTCATTAGAGAGATAAGAGAAAATATTACATCTATGAAACAAGAACAGGATGCTATTAAAAAAAGCATTAAAATAATAAAAAAAAGTGGTAGTAGAAATGCAAAACTCGAGAGAAAGTTGAGGAAATCCCTAAAATACTAAAGCAAAAAGAAAAGATGGGAAAAAGAGAGAGACAGCCCAGGAAGCCCAGAATCCAAATAATCCAAAAAGAGAGAAAATAAAAATTAAAGGGAAGAACACATCAATGAAATTATTCAAGAAAATGTCTCAGAATTGGAGGATGTAGATTGACAGAACCCACAGAATGTTCAGCATAATTGTTAAAATAGACCCACTCCAGTGCATATTATTGTCACATTGTAGGGTCTTCAAGACAAAGAGATAACCTTCAAGTTTCCCAAATGAAAACAAAAAAGCTTTCACAAGAAGATCAGGAACCAGAATGACTTTAGAATTCCCAGAAGAGATACTTGAAGCAGAAAGGCAATGAAGCAATAACTTCAAAATTCTGAAGAAAAATTATTTCCAACCTCGAATTCATTTTTGGTTTGTTTGTTTGTTTGTTTGAGACAGAGTTTTGCTCTTGTTGTCCAGGCTGGAGTGCAATGGTGTGACCTTGGCTCACCGCAACCTCTGCCTCCTGGGTTCAAGGGATTCTCCTACCTCAGCCTCCCGAGTAGCTGGAATTACTGGCACCCACCATCATGCCTGGCTAATTTTTTTTTTTTTTGGTACTTGTGTAGAAAAGGGGTTTCACCATGTTGCCCAGGCTGGTCTACAATTCCTGACCTCAGGTGATCCACCTGCCTCCGCCTCCCAAAGTGCTGGGATTACAGGCATGAGCCACCACACCCGGCCACATTCATATTTTATTCATCAATTTTGGACTTCAGCTATCAACTTCGTATTAGAGTATAATTTGAATACAATATAACTATACTGGAAAGATTTAGCTCTCTTAAATCAAATAAGATTATATTATAATTTTAAATTAAATCAAGATTCAGTGTTTACATTAGAATGTTCATGCAAATATTCATAGTTGGGTAATGTATATGATGATTATGATTCCTTTCTTAGTTTTGGCTTTTTCCTAAAGTTAATAATTGCCTAGTGTTTTCATTAGCTTGGTTTCCTTTGTATGTATCACTAACCCTTCTCACACCATCTAAGAGCCTCTTGAGAGCCAGGCCCGGCAGCTTGAACCTGTAATCCCAGCTACTCAGGAGGCTGAGCTGGGAGAATAGCTTGAGCTAAGGAGTTTGAGACTACCCTGGGCAACAAAGTGAGACCCTGTCTCTAAAATAAAAATGAACAAATAAAACATTTTTTAAAAGCCTCTTGGTACAATTTTCCAAAAGTTTAGTCACATCAGGTGATCCATCACTTCCATATCATTTCTTGGAGAGCTTTATTTTCCTCCATCAAGGAGACCTTGAATCTTCTTCAATCTAGGCTAGTTGATCTCTGGACATGCTGCACTGCTAGGGTCTTCCCTTGTTATCGCCTTGTAATACTCTTTCCCTTTTTCCTGAGTTGGGTTTCATGCCTTCCTCCTTGACTTACTTCTTCTTTTTTTTTTTTTTTTTTTTTTTTTTTTGAGACAGAGTCTCACTCTGTTGCCCAGGCTGGAGTGCAGTGGCAGATCTCAACTCACTGCAACCTCCACCTCCTGGGCTCAAGTGATTCTCCTGCCTCAGCCTCCAGAGTAGCTGGGACTACAGGTGTGCGCTACCACACCCCGCTAATTTTTGTATTTTTAGTAGAGACGGGGTTTCACCATGTTGGCCAGGATGGTCTCCATCTCTCGACCTCGTGATCCACCCATCTCGTCCTCCCAAAGTGCTGGGATTACAGGCGTGAGCCACCGCGCCCGGCCGATTTACTTCCTTTTTGTGGGTCACATTCACTAGCAGAGGGCATGGTTATTATAACCCTCAATTACGTCCACGTGCCTCATGAGTCACACTGCTCCAACGTGAACAAGCTGTCCTCTCTGGAGCACAAGCGTCATCTTAGGATCTGCCTTTGTCATCATTCTGGAAATTCCCATACCTTCCCTTCTGTGTCGTATCTCTTATTTCATGCATCTACTTGCTGTTTCCTAATTTATACTCTCATTTTGGTAGAGGACAACTTCTAATAGCTTGTCGAGAAAGGGTGTATGAAGTAACTTCTGAGATATTGCATATCTGAAACTGTCTGATTCTACCTTCACACTGAAGCAATAGCTTGTTTGGTTAAAGAATTCGAGGTTGGAGGCCGAGCGTGGGTGGTTCGCGCCTGTAATCCCAGCACTTTGGGAGGCCGAGGTGGGCAGATCACCTGAAGTCAGGAGTTCCATACAAGCCTGACCAACATGTAGAAACTCCGTCTCTACTAAAAATACAAAATTAGCTGGGCGTGGTGGCACATGCCTGTGATCCCAGCTACTCGGGAGGTCGAGTCAGGAGAATTGCTTGAACCTCGGAAGCAAAGGTTGCAGTGAGCCGGAATCGCGCCATTGCACTCCAGCCTGGGCAACAAGAGTGAAACTCCGTCTCAAAATATATATATATATATACACACACACACATATATACTATTTAGAAACAAAGATAATATAAATATAAATGTCAAAATAAATGGTGGAAAGAGTTGGAAATGGCTGATGTTGAGGAAGGTGACTAAGGGAGTGAAGAGGGGTGGACAGGAAACTACCATTTTTTTAAGCTTCTCAGAATATTTGGGTATTTAAATGTCTATGATGTAAACACACCTTCAGCTTGAACTTGAAGGACAGAAAAATATATAACAAGCAAACACAACTACAAGGACAAACTGACAAGGATACTTGACACAGATTAACTTCCATCCTTATACGAGACTTTAGCACACATTTATCAGTAAGTTATAGATCAAGCAAATATAAAATTCACAAAAAAATGAAAAATGTGAGCAACTTAAATTTGATTTAATATACATTATATCTAGAACACTATAAAAAATTCAAGAGTACATATTTTTCTTAAGTATATATGGATTTTTTTTTCTTTTTTTTTTTGAGACAGAGTCTCACTCTGTCACCCAGGCTGGAGTGCAATGGCACGATCTCGGCTTTGGCTCACTGCAAGTTCCGCCTTCCAGGTTCACGCCGTTCTCCTGCCTCAGCCTCCCAAGTAGCTGGGACTACAGGTGCCCGCCACCAAGCCCGGCTAATTTTTTGTATTTTTAGTAGAGACAGGGTTTCACCGTGTTAGCCAGGATGGTCTCGATCTCCTGACCTCGTGATCCGCCCACCTTGGCCTCCCAAAGTGCTGGGATTACAGGCGTGAGACACCGCGCCCGGCCTATACGGATAATTTATAACAATTGGCCATGTATGAGGCAACAAAGTTTACCTCAAATTTAAAAAATCAATAGTATACTGATAATATTATCTAACTATAACACAATTAGGTCAGAAGTCAAAAACAGAAAACTTTCAAAACTTCCAATGTAGAAACTCTATAGACGAGGTTAGCAAACATTTTTTATAAAGGGCCAGTTATTAACTGGAGCTATTATTAAAAATTAAATTACACACATTTAAAAATAATAAATAATATTAAAAACAAAGGTAATGAATACTCAAAATCACCACTTCTTAATTATTTTATATTTTACTATAACGTATGCTTTTTTTTTTTTCTTTTTTTGAAACAAGGTCTCTCTTTGTCACCCAGGCCGGAGTGCAGTGGCACAACCATGGCTAACTGCAGCCTCAATCTCCCAAGCTCAAATGAGCCTCCCACCTCAGCCTCCCAAGTAGCTGGGACTACAAGCATCATGACAAACTGAGTGTGCCACCACACTCAGCTAATTTTAAAGTATTTTTTGTAGAGACAGGGTCTCACTATGTTGCCCAGGCTGTTGTCCAATTCCTAGGTTCAAGCGATCCTCCTGCTTCAGTCTCCCAAAGTACTGCTGGGATTATAGGTGTGAGCCACCACGCCCATCCTAATCTGTGATTTTGAGTTTATTTACATCTATCAATTGTATCTGTATTGTGAGAATACTATTATTATGGTATACTATTTTATTTCAATTTTTATTATGGTAAATTATGCATAACATAAAATTTACCATTTTAAGTATGTTTAAGTGTACAGATCAGTGGAATTATATACATTCATAATGTTGTGCAACCATCACCACTATCCATCTCTATAATTCTTCTCAATTTGTAAAACTGAAACTCTATACGCATTAAACAATAACTTTCCATTCCCCTCTCCCACAGCCCTTGGCAACCACCATTCTACTTTTTGTCTCTATGATTTTGACTAGTCTAAGTACCTCATATAAGTGGAATAATACAATATTTACCCTTTTGTGATTGGCTTATTTCACTCTGCATTATATCATCAAGGTTCATTCCTATTGTAGCATATTGCAGAATTTCCTTCCTTTTTAAGGCTAATATTGCATTGTATGGATATATCACATTTTGCTTATCCATTCGTCTATCCATGGGCACTTGGGTTTCTTCCGTGTTTTAGCTAGTGTGTGAATCATGCTGCTATGAACATGGGTATACAAATATCTCTTTGAAACCCTGCTTTCAGTTATTCTGGGTATATACCTAGAAGTAAAATGGCTAGATCATATGGTAATTCTGTTTTTAAACTTTTTCTATTTTGAGATGGGGTCTTGCTCTGTGGCTTAGGCTGGTGCACAGTGGAACAATCATAGTTCACTGCAGCCTCCAATTCCTGGCCTCAAGTGATCCTCCTGCCTCAACCGCCTGAGTACATTTTTAATTTTTTGAGGAACCACCATACTGTTTTCCACAGCAGCTGCACCATTTTATGTTCCCACCAGCAGTGCAGAAGGGCTCTAATTTCTCCGCATCCTTGCTAACACTCGTTATTTTCTTTTTCTTTCTTTTTCTCTCTCTCTTTTTTTTTTTTTGTTTTTTGTTTTTGTTTTTGTTTTTGTTTTTTGAGACAGCATCTCGCTCTGTAGCCCAGGCTGGAGTGCAGTGGCGTGATCTCGGCTCACTGCAACCTCCACCTCCCGGGTTCAGGGGTTCAGGCAGTTCTCTAATTCTCCTGCCTCAGCCTCCCGAGTAGCTGGGATTACAGGTGCCTGCCACCATACTCGGCTGATTTTTGTACTTTTAGTGGAGATGGGGTTTTACCATGTTGGCCAGGCTGGTCTTGAATTCCTGGCCTCAAGTGATCCGCCTGCCTCAGCCTTCCAATGTGCTGGGATTACAGGTGTGAGCCACCATGCCCGGCCTATTTTCTGTTTTATCTTTCTTTTTTTTTGTTTTTGTTTTTTTGTTTTTTTGAGATGGAGTCTTGCTGTTTTGCCCAGGCTGTAGTACAGTAGAGCAATCTCGGCTCACTGCAACCTCTGCCTCCCGGGTTCAAGTGATTCTTCTCTCTCAGCCTCCCGAGTACCTGGGACTACAGGCACACGCCACCATGCTCAGCTAATTTTTGCATTTTTAGTAGAGACGGGGCTTCACCATATTGGCCAGGCTGGTCTTGAACTCCTGACCTTGTGATCCACCCACCTCGGCCTCCCAAAGTGCTGGGATTGCAGGTGTGAGCCACCATGCCCAGCCTATTTTCTGTTTTTTAAATAGTAGTCATCCTAATGGGCATGAGATGGTGTGAGACAAAGTGGCAAATGTTTGCCTCTGATCAGCCCCTGCCTTGAGAAGCCATGATTTCTCCTTCTGCTTGTCAGCCCAACTTCACAAACCCTTGACTCAGCAACTGAGCGTGGCCCTCTGGAAGAACGCCTTGAAGACGACAAGCAGAACAGAGCACAGGCTCCCACATCTCTTCCCTGAATCACTGCATTTTTAGAAAAAGTAAGTTCAAAGATCCTAGCCCTTGCCTTTTCCTGTACGTAAGATAGTGTCCAACAGGATTAATGATTATGTCAAACTTTGATGAGATTTTGCTGTAACGTAACTTCTGAGCACATTTGATGTAACTTCTGAACACAGGCAGAGCCTCCCCACCTGATACCTAAACTGTGGGCTGAAACGCTGCTTTGAAGCAGTCTAACAAAAACTCTTTGACTCTCACGGTTGCAATCCTCAGTAAGACTCTGAATAAAGCTAACTTTTAAGCTGATTTTTTTCTTTGACAGTGATATCTCGTAGTTTTGATTTGCATTTCCCTAATAACTAGTAACGTTGAGCATATTTTCGTGTACTTACTGGCTGCTTGTATATCTTCTTTGGAGAAATGTCTACTTAAATCGTTTGCCCATTTTTAAATCAGGTTGTTTGATTTTTTGTTGCTGTGTTTCAGGAGTTATCTATATAATCTGGATATTATTATTAGTAGTAGTATTAGTATTAGTATTTTGAAACAGAGCAAGACTCTGTCACCCAGGCTGGAGGGCAGTGGTGCAATCTCGGCTCACTCCAACCTCCGTCTCCCAGGTTCAAACGATTATCCTGCCTCAGCCTCCCAAGTAGCTGAGATTACTGGCACGTGCCACCACTCCCAGCTAATTTTTATATTTTTGATAGAGACAGGGTTTCACCATGTTGGCCAGGCTGGTCTTGAACTCCTCGCTTCAAGTGATCCACCCCCTTCAGCCTCCCAAAGTGCTGGGATTACAGGCATGAGCCACCGCACCTGGCCTAGATACTAATTTTTTATCAGGTATTTGATTTGCAAACATTTTCTCCCATTCTGTGGGTTGCCTTTTACTCCGTTGACAGTGTCTTTAATGCACAAAATGCTTTTATTTTTATTTTTATTTTGCTTTATTTATTGATTTATTTTTTGAGACTGGGTCTCCTCTGTTGCCCAGGCTGGAGTGCGGTGGCGCAATCACAGCTTACTGCAGCCTCAACCTCCCAGGCTCTGGTGATCCTCCCACCTCAGCCTCCTGAGTAACTAGGACTACAGGCATGTGCCACCACACCCAGCTAATTTTTTTGTATTTTTTGTAGACAGGGTTTCACCATGTTACCCAAGCTGGTCACGACATCCTGAGCTGATGCACGATCTGCCTGCCTCGGCCTCCCAAAGTGCTGGGATTACAGGTGTGAGCCACTGTGCCTGGCTTATTTTAATTTTCTTTAAGTTTGATTTGTCTATTTTTTCTTTTGCTGCCTGTCCCTTTGGTATCATATCCGAGAAATCATTGTTAAATCTAATGTCATGAAGCTTTTACTCTATGTTTACTTCTAGGAATTGTATTGTTTTAGACCTTACACTTACTTAGGCCTTTGATACATTTTGAGTTAATTTTTGTATATGCTGTAAAATGGTCCAACTTCATTCTTTTGCATGTGAATAGCCTACATAATGGTGTGCTATTGAGCATCTCTTCCCAGCTCTGTATTCAGTGGTATCACATTGATAGCTTGGAATCAGACATAATGGGAGTATTTACACAATAGTAATTGGCAAATACTACAAAACGAGACTTTTTTTTTCAGGGATCTACTTGTTAAATGTTTATCAGCACACCATTGGATGTACAACTTTGAATTGCATCCAAAGAATAAAATGGAGTGAAGGATGAATAGATGCATGTTAAAGCAAATATAGTAAAAAGTAGAATCAAGATGGGTATGTATCATATGTTCACTGTTCCATTATTTCAACTTTGTTTTATATTTGAAATTTTTCATACTAAGATGTTGGGAAAAGTAAAGTGGGGAAAGGCAGCAAAAAAAGAGAGACACTTTATTTTTTTATTTTTTTTGAGATGGAGTTTTGCTCTTGCTGCCCAGGCTGGAGTGAAATGGCGCAATCTCGGCTCACTGCAACCTCTGCCTCACAAGTTCAAGCAATTCTCCCGCCTCAGCCTCCTGAGTAGATGGGATTACAGGTGCCCACCACCACACCCGGCTAATTTTTTGTATCTTTAGTAGAGACGGGATTTCTCCATGTTGGCCAGGCTGGTCTCCAACTCCTGGCCTCAGGTGATCTGCCTGTCTCAGCCTCCCAAAGTGCTGGAATTATAGGCATGAGCCACCATGCCCAGCCAAGAGACACTTTATATACTAGGGGAAAATGATATAAAAGATGCTTGACATCTCATAAGTAGTAACGAAGGCCAGCAAACAATGGAACTAATTTTTATTTTTTTCAAGAGAAAGGTTCTCACTATGTTACCCAGGCTGGAGTACAGTGGCTATTCACAGACACAATCATAATGTACTATATCCTTGAACTCCTGGGCTCAAGGGATCCTACTGCCTCAGCCTCCTAAGTAGCTGGGACTACAAGCACGCTCCACCACGCCCAGCTTGGAGCTACATTTTTAAAGTGCTGAAAGCGGGGAAAAAACCGTCAACCCAAAATTATATATCCAACAAAATTATCCTTTAACAATGAAGGTGAAATAGTGACATTTTCAGTTAAACAAAAGCTGAGATAATTTGTCACTTGGAGACTGCACCTCAAGAAGTGGTAAAGAAAATTATTCACACTGAAGATAAATTATACTACATTATACAGATCTACAGAAATAAATGAAAGACATTGGAAATGGCAAATTTGTAGGTAAATACAGAAATTATTTTTTCTTTTCTTAATCTCTTTTTAATATATTAAAATTCAGTTATCCATAAAAGCAGTAATTTAATCTGAAAGTAAAACACAAGAAGCAATACTAGAGTTTGTTTAATATATTATGTTTTAGCTTTGAAAGCCATAGAAATCAATTATCCCAGTTTTCTTCCTATAAAAGACCATTTTTCCAAAGCCTTATATGAAAACAATTTTAATTTGAATATAATGACAGATGATATTTCATAATATTTAAAATATAAAGTGAAGTCAATGACTCAAAAAAGTTATCACTGCGATGAGTTTGAGGGGAAATTTCATCATTTATATCATAACAGATATAAAACATAATGGTACAACTTTTTAGTGCTTGACAGGAAGGAATCATGATTTTAAAAAAGGTCAATATGAAACACTTTAATCATAGTAGAAATATCTACCATTTGAAATGCATCCATGCTCTTTAGTATACTCACATTAAAGTATATTTATTTTCACATGTGTTATAACTGCTACCGCAAAGGAAAAATATTGTCTTATTTTCCAAGAAATACACACAGAACATTTTTTTCTTCATGGAACTAGTGCAAACCAATATAAGATCTAAATTCTTCACATAATATGTAAAACAGGAGAAGTTCCTCAGATTGATTTTTTGAAGTCTAGAATGCTGGCACTTTCCAAGTAGGCAACAGTTCATTCCTGTAATCTGGCTCAGAGCTGCTGCTGACTATGGACCTGGAGCAGCAAACATGATTTCTTTTTAAGTTTCTTCTTTTCCACTGGTGTTTTTCTATTTATCTGTGACCAGGTCACAAAATAGCTCATTAAAGTTTAACTTTGAGCCGGGCGTGGTAGCTCACGCCTGTAATCCCAGCACTTTGCGTGGCTGAGGCGGGTAGGTCACTTGAGGCCAGGAGTTCCAGGCCAGCCTGGTCAACATGGTGAAACCCTGTCTTTACTAAAAATACAAAAATCAGCCGGGCATGGTGGCGGGTGCCTGTAATCCCAGCTACTCGAGAGGCTGAGGCATGAGAGAGAATTGCTTGAACATCACTTGAGCCTGGGAGGCAGAGGTTGCACTGAGCTGAGATGGTGCCACTGCACTCCAGCCTGGGCGACAGACTGAGACTCTGTATTAAAAAAAAAAAAAAGAAGTTTAACTTTGACCTTGCAAAAGGTTCTAAAAGGCACAGTTATACCACTGTCTGCCTGTTCTTTGCCAACTACTCACTCATCTCCAGGTCACATTTATTCCCAACAAAATCATTGAAACATCTTCTGTGTCCTTAACCTATAAAATCTGTTCCTTCAGGTCCTGTAAGTCATTAAACATGGACTGAGCTGTTATAGAATACACTAGTGTGGCCAGGCGCGGTGGCTCACGCCTATATTCCCAGCACTTTGGGACGCTGAGGCAGGCAGTTCACGAGGTGAGGAGATCGCGACCATCCTGGCTAACACAGTGAAACCCCGTCTCTACTAAAAATACAAAATATTAGCTGGGCGTGGTGGCAGGCGCCTGTAGTCGCAGCTACTTGGGAGGCTGAGGCATGAGAATGGCGTGAACCCAGGAGGCGGAGCTTGCAGTGAGCCCAGATTGCGCCACTGCACTCCAGCCTGGGTGACAGAGTGAGACTCCGTCTCAAAAAAAAAAAAAAAAAAAAAAAAAAGAATATACTAGTGCAGGCCAGGCATGGTGGCTCACACCTGTAATCCTAACGCTTTTGGAGGCCAAGGCGGAAGGATCACTTGAACCCAAGAGTGTGAGACCAGCCTAGGCAATATAGTGAGACTCCGTCTCTACAAAAAATAAAGAACTAGCCGGGCATGGTTGTGCACATCTGTAGTCCCAGCTATTTGAGAGGCTGAGGCGGGAGGATCCTGTGAGCTAGGGAGGTGGATACTACAATGAGCTGTGATCGCACCACTGCGCTCCAGCCTGGGCAACAAAGTGAGACCTGTCTTTATAAAAAAAAAAAAAAAAAAAAAAAGAGAATATACTAGTGCAAACCCTTGGCTATTCTTCATACACAAATCCCTCATTGCTGTAAGTTGCTCTGTCCCTGCTATATCCAAGATTTTGAGCATGCGCTATTGGCAATCTTCTTCAATTTGCTTTTGGCAGGAATCTTCTATCATTGGATCATATTTTTCAACAAAAATTCCCTGAATAAACTAAATTGTCAGAGTAGACTTCCTAACACCTCCTGAACCAAGGACCATTAGCTTGTACTCATGCATGTTAGGGTCTGTTTAAATACTGACAATCTAGTAAATGCCATTGAAGGTGCTGTGGGACACACATGCTTTTTTTTTTTTTTTTTTTTTTTTTTGACAAGATCTCCCTCTGTTGCCCAGGCTGGAGTGCAGCGGCATAGTCATAGTTCACTACAGCCTCAAACTCCTGAGCTCAAGGGATCCTCCCACCTCGGCCTCCCAAAGTGCTGGGATTACAGGCTTGAGCCATCTCTCCCAGCCCTCACACTCTTATACACAGGATAACCGCCCTGTGGGAATCTATTCCTATCTCCTTCCCCTCCTCCTCCCACCTCTCAACCGTGGCTTCTGCCCCGGCTCTGCATGGTGATGGCCTCTGGAGCACTGGTCTCTTTTCACAATTTTTATAAAGTATAACTATTTTTTAAAAAATTAACAGCTTTGTTGAGCTATAATTCACACACCCTACAGTTTCCCTATTTAAATGTACAATTAAATGGTTTTTAATATTTTCACAGAGTTGTGCAACCATCATCACAGTCAATTTTAGAACATTTTCATCACCCGCTGCTATGAACTAAATTGTGTTCCCCCCCCGGAATTTGTATGTTGAAGCCCTAACCCTCAGTATCATTGTACAGCAGTTTCCTCTTACAGTATAATGGCACAGAAAGTAGTTTTACTTTCTTCAATTTTAGTTACCCGTAGTTAACCATGGCTGAAAATATTACATGGAGAATTCCAGACATAAACAATTCATGGGCCGGGCGCGGTGGCTCACGCCTGTAATCCCAGCACTTTGGGAGGCCGAGGCGGGCGGATCACGAGGTCAGGAGATCGAGACCATCCTGGCTAACACAATGAAACCCCGTCTCTACTAAAAATACAAAAAATTAGCCGGGCGTGGTGGCAGGCGCCTGTAGTCCCAGCTACTCGGGAGGCTGAGGCAGGAGAATGGTGTGAACCCGGGAGGCAGAGCTTGCAGTGAGCCGAGATCAAGCCACTGCACTCCAGCCTGGGCAACAGAGCAAGACTCCGTCTCAAAAATAAATAAATATATAAAAAATAAATAATAAACAATTCATAAGGTTTTTGTTTTGTTTTGAAACAGGATCTCAGTCTGTCGCCCAGGCTGGAGTAGAGTGGCATGATCATGGCTCACCGCAGCCTCAATCTCCTGGGCTCAGATGATCCTCAGCCTCCCAGGTAGCTGGGACTACAGGCACATGCCACCACGCTCAGCTAATTTTTTGTATTATTTGTAGAGACAGGGTTATGCCATGTTGCCCAAGCTGGTCTCGAAGAATTGTGTGCCATTCTGAGTAGCGTGATGAAATCTCACGCCGTCCTGCTCCATCCCACCTGGGACATGAGTCATCCCTTTGTCCAGCATATCAATGCTGTGTATGCTACCTGCCCATTAGTCACTTAGCCACCTTGGTTATCAGATCGGCTGTTGTAGAATCACAGTGCTTGTATTCAAGTAACCCTTATTTTACTTAATAATGGGTCCACAAAGTGCAAGAGTAGTGATGCTGGCATATTGTTATAATTGTTTAATTGTATTATTATTTTTGTTAATATCTTACTGTGCCTGATTTATAAATTAAATGCTCTCGTAGGTACAAGAAAAATGTAGTATACATATGGTTTGGTACTATCTGTGGTTTCAATCATGCCCTGGGGGTCTGCAATAAGGGCGGACTAGGATATGTGGAGATGGAGTCTTTGACAGGTAATTAGGTTTAGATGAGCTCAGGAGGGTAGAAGCATCAGGATAGGACTAGTGCCTTATAAGAAGAGACACAGGAGAGCTTGTTCTTGCTCTTTTTCCACCATGCAAGGACACAGTGTGAAAAGTGGCCATGGGGCACATGTTCTCAGGACCTCCTCGAGCTGTGTCATGGGGGAAAAAAAAAAAAAAAGGAAAGAAAGAGAGAAAGAAAATGGCCATCTTCAAGCCAGGAAGAGAGCCCTCACCAGAACTCGACCATGCTGGCACCCTGATCTTGAACTTTCAGCCGCCAAAACTGGGAAGAAAGTTTCTGTTATTTAAGCCACCCAGTCTATGGTATTTTGTTACGGCAGCCAGACCTAACTAAGACACCCACCAAAACAAATAAACAAAAACAAAACCTGTACTTGTTGGTAGTCAACTCCCCTTTCCCCAGCACCTCCTCCACAGGTCTAGGCAACCGTTGAACTATTTTCTGTCACTACAGATTTTCCTATTCTGTACATCTCATAAAAATGGAATCATACAGCTTGTGGTCTTTTGTGACTGGCTTCATTCACCTAGCATAATGTTAAACAAAAAATAACATTGTATTTTGGGGTTTACAATGTATGTATAAATAAAATATATGACAACAGTGTTACAGAAGAAAGAGAAGTAAACAGAATTATATTATTGTAATTCTACATAGGCTGTATATTTTAATAACTAGCTCAACCACTAAAAATAAAAAGAGGCATAACTAAAAAGCCAATAGAGGAAATAAATAAAATAGAGTTCTAAAAATATAATCAGTTAACCTAAAAGAAGGAAAGAAAGGCGAATTGATGTACAAATAGACGGGATAAATAAAAAACAAATAGCAAGATGTTAAACGTAAATACAACCATTTCAATAATTACATCAAGTATAAATGGACTAAGCCATTCAATTAAAAGGCAAGAGATTTACAGACTGGGGGAAAAAAAGACCCAACTATTTGTTATCTACAAGAGATGTACTTTAAATGTAAAGACACAGATCAGTTGAAAGTAAAAGGATGGAAAAAGGATATAACATGCTAACTGGAAGCATAAGAAAGCTAGTGTAACTATTTTAATATCAGATAAGGCAGACTTCAAGACAAGGAGTATTGGCCAGACACAGTGGTTCACACCTGTAATCCCAACACTTTGGGAGGCTGAGGCAGGAGGATTGCTTGAGGTCAGGATTTGAAGACCAACCTGGGCAGCAGAGTGAGACCCTATCTCTACAATACATATATTTTAAAATAAATAGATAAAATAATTGAGACAGGGTCTTGTTATGTTGCTCAGGCTGGTCTTGAACTCCTGGACCAGCCTGAGCTGGTCCCAAAGTGATGGGATTACAGGCATGAGCCACCACACCCGATTTCAATTATTTAAAAAAAGAAAAGACAAGAGTGTTACCAGAAATAAAAAGAGACATGACCATAATGACGAAACAGTCAATCCTTCAGAAAGCTATACCAATGTTAAACATGTTTGCACCTATAACAAAGATTCAAAATATATGAAAAGGCCAGGCACAGTGGCTCACACCTGTAATCCCAGCACTTTGGGAGGCTAAGGCAGGCCGACCACTTGAGGTCAGGAGTTCGAGACCAGCCTGGCTAACATGGTGAAACCTCGTCTCTATTAAAAATATAAAAATTAGCCAGGCGTGGTGTTGCATGCCTGTAGTCCCAGCTTACTCCAGAGGCTAAGACAGGAGAATCGCTTGAACTCAGGAAGCGGAGGTTGCAGTGAGCCGAGATTGCGCCACAGCAGACCAAGACTGTTTCAAAAAAAAAGACAAAAACAAAAAATATATATATGAAGAAAAACTGACAGAGCAAAAGGGAGAAATAAGCAAATTCACAACTGTAGTTGGAGATGTTTACACCTCTCTCAATAATTGATGGATCAAGTAGATAATAAATCAGAAAACATAGATGATTTGAACAATTCTAACAACAAACTTGACCTAATTGACATTTATAAAATGCTATTTACAGCAACTGCAAAATACACATTCTTTTCAAATGCAACTAGAATGTCCACCCAGATAGATCATATTCTGGTCCATGGTCTATTTATTGAAGCTCGACAAATTTTACCAGATTTTTCATGTGGGATGAAGCCAACATGGTCCTCTAAAGGAAATTTATAGCTTTAAATGCGTATATTAGAAAAGCAAGGGGCTGATAATCAGATAGGTCTTAAATTAAGAAGTCAGAAAAAGAATACTGAAAAAAAAAGAAAGCAAGCATGTTCCCATGCTTCCACCAGGGAACACAAGAATGGTTCCATTGAACTGGAAGTTGACACTGTCTCCTAGACTTTTGGGGCTTTTCTACCATTGAATAATCAGGAAAAAGATGAGATCAAAATATTGGATCATTATTGGTTATTGATCCTGATTTTCAAAAATGTGAAATAGAAGAAATAGGGTTGCTGCTGTACAATGGGAGCAAAAAAAAAGAGCTACTTAGAATCTAGGGGAATATCTTGCAGATGGCTCCTAATATCATATTTAGGGGTTAAAAGTTAATAGAAAGCAACCTCATAAGGGCACCAAGGGCCCAGATTCTTTAGAAATAAAGGTCTGGGTCACACCACCAGATGAAGAGCTGCTGGGCTGAGTTGCTGGGCTGAGCTGCTGGTTGTGAGCTAAGAGAGCATGGAATGAGTAGTGGAAGGAGGAAATTACAAAGATCAACTCTGGCCTAGCGATCAGTTGCATAAATGAGGACTATAGTATGCACCCATATTTTCTTATTTGCTGTGTTGACATTTTTTATGAATTTTCCCCATTTTATAAAAATATTTATTTTTTGTTAGTTAACTTTACAATCTATTTGCAGAATACCAAGGCAGGACTATGACAGAATTAAAAGAAAATGGGACATTACCCAGAGATCCTAGTCTTGGAGCTAGATGCAGTAAGTCTTGGGGCTTTCAAATGTCCTCCTATGGGGGGAAGAGTAAGTTCATTTTCATTTGTACACAGGATAAATAAATTATGAGTTAGAAGAGTTTGTTGTTATTGTTTTGGGAATTTAAATATGAAAGCAGATGTTGGGCAGCCAAGGGGAGGAGTGCAGTGAACATGCATCATGCTTTGTGTATCTTCTGAATAGGTTTTCTATTTGGGGAAAACTAGGATCTTTTGAATAGCTTTCCTATTTGGGGGGCATTCCTGACATTATGCAGTTCATCTTACCAACAGAGGAGCTAGAATTTCTTTTCCCTTGCTGCTAGAACTCAGGCTGTGACTGAGGCTCTATACTATTTTTTTAACTTTTATTTAGGTTGAGGGGTACCTGTGCAAGCTTGTTATATAGGTAAACTCAGGTCACAGGAGTTTGTTGTACAGATTATTTTGTCACCCAGGTACTAAGCCTTGTACCCAATAGTTATTTTTTCTGATCACCTCCCTACTCCCATCCTCCACCCTCAAGTAGGCCTCAGTGTCTGTTGTTCCCCTCTTTGTGTCCATAAGTTCTCATCATTTAGCTCCCACTTATAAGTGAGAACATGTGAATTTGGTTTTCTGTTCCTGCATTAGTTTGCTAAGGATAATGGCCTCCAGCTGCATCCATGTTCCCACAAAAGACATGATCTCATTCTTTTTATGGCTGCATAATATTCCATAGTGTATATATACCACATTTCCTTTATCCAGTCTGTCACTGATGGGCATTTAGGTTGATTCCATGTCTTTGCTATTGTGAATAGTGCTTCATTGAACATTCGCATGCATGTGTCTTTATGGTAGAATGATTTCTATTCCTTTGGGTATATACCCAATAATGGGATTGCTGGGTCAAATGGTAGTTCTGTTTTTAGCACTTTGAGGAATCACCACACTGCTTTCCATAAAGGTTGAACTAATTTACACTCCCACCAAGAGCGTGTAAGTGTTCCCTCTTCTCCTCCACTTCACCAGCATCTGTTATTTTTTGACTTTTTAATAATAGCCATTCTGACTGGTGTGAGATGGTATCTCATTGCGGTTTTGATTTGCATTTCTCTAATGATCAGTGATATTGAGGTTTTCTTCATATGCTTGTTGGCCGCATGTATGTCTTGTTTTGAAAAGTGTCTGTTCATGTCCTTTGCCCACTTTTTAATGGAGTTGTTTGGTTTTTTTCTTGTAAATTTGTTTTAAGTTCTTTATAGATGCTGGATATTAGACCTTTGTCACATGCATAGTTTGTTAATATTTTCTCCCATTCTGTGGGTTGTTTGTTTACTCTGTTGATAGTTTCTTTTGCTGTGCAGAAGCTCTTAAGTTCAATCAGATTCCATTTGTCAATTTTTGCTCTTGTTACGATTGCTTTTGGTGTTTTCATCATGAAATCTTTCCCTGTTCCTATGTCCAGAATGGTATTGCTTGGGTTGTCTTCCAGGGTTTAGGGCTTTAATTCATCTTGAGTTTATTTTTGCTTATGGTGTAAGGAAGGGGTCTAGTTTCAATCTTCTGCATATGCCTACCCAGTTCTGCATATCCCAGCACCATTTATTGAATAGGGATTCCTTTCCCCATTGCTTGTTTTTGACAGCTTTGTTGAAGATCAGATGGTTGTAGGTGTACATACTTATTTCTGGGTTATCTATTCCATTCTGTTGGTCTATGTGTTTGTTTTTGTACCAGTTCCATGTCATTTTGGTTACTGTAGCCCTGTAGTATAGTTTGAAGTCAGGTAACATGATGCCTCTAGCATTGTTCTTTTCACTCAGAATTGCCTTGGCTATCGGACTCTTTTTTGGTTCCATATGAATTTTAAGATAGGTTGTTTTTTTTTTTTTTTTTTTTTGAGACAGAGTTTCACTCTTGTTGCCCAGGCTGGAGTGCAATGGCGCAATCTTGGCTCACTGCAACTTCTGCCTCCCAGGTTCAAGCAATTCTCCTGCCTTAGCCTCCTCAGTAGCTGGGATTACAGGCATGTGCCACCATGCCTGGCTAATTTTTTGGTATTTTTAGTAGAGGCAGGGTTTCTCCATGTTGGTCAGGCTGGTCTCCAACTCCTGACCTCAGGTGGTCCGCCCACCTTAGCCTCCCAAAGTGCTGGGATTACAGGTGTGAGCCACCGCGCCCGGCCAAGATAGTTTTCTCTAGTTCTGTGAAGAATGTCATTGGTAGTTTGATAGGAATAGCATTGACTCTGTAATTGCTTTGGGCAGTATGTCCATTTTAATGATATTGATTCTTCCTATGCATGAGCATGAAATGTTTTCCATTTGTTTGTGTTATCTATGATTTATTTGAGCAGTGTTTTGTAACTCTCATTGTAGAGATGTTTCACCTCCCTGGTTAGCTGTATTCCTAGGTATTTTAATCTTTTTGTGGCAATTGTGAATGGGATTCCGTCCCTGATTTGGCTCTTGGCTTGGCTGTTGTTGGTGTAAAGGAATGCTAGTGATTTTTGTATGTTGATTTTGTATCCTGAAACTTTGCTGAAATTGTTTATCACCTGAAGGAGATTTGGGCTGAGACTACGGGGTTTTCTAGATGTACAATCATATCATCTGCAAACAAGGATAGTTTGATTTCCTCTCCTCCTATTTGGATCCCTTTATTTCTTTCTCTTGCCTTATTGCTCTGGCCAGGACTTCCAATACTGTGTTGAATAGGAGTGGTGAGAGAGGGCATCCTTGTCTTGTGCTGGTTTTCAAGGGGAATGCTTCCAGCTTTTGCCCATTCAATATGATGTTGGCTGTGGGTTTGTCATAGATGGCTCTTATTATTTTGAGGTATATTCCTTCAATGCCTAGTTTATTGAGAATTTTTAACATGAAGGATGTTGAATTTTATTGAAAGCCTTTTCTACATCTATTGAGATAATCAATCAAGATTGCCCTCACCAATCTATTGAGGCCTCGAACAGAACAACAGGGCAGAGTAAAGGTGTAACAAAACAAAACAAAACAACAACAACAAAAAACTTTGCTTTTCCTATTTTCTACTCTCACTCAGTACAATATTTCTGACATTGGATGTGTGGAGTTATTTTCCCCACACACCAAGCAGTCAATTCTCTGGTGGACATCAACTGGATGGCCTATAATTCAATTCAATTCTGACACTATCTGCCTGGAGATAGTGTCAGATCCTACAGGTTGAGGGCTCAATCCCACAAGAATACCCCCCATTTCAGATACCAGTCACAAGTAATAAGTTGTCATCTATACTTCTGACCAATCAGATATAAACTGGGGTTTCTACCATCTCCTTCTCAGGTTCAATTAATTTGATAAGACAGCTCCCACAGAACTCAGGAAAATACTTACAATTACCCATTTATTTACTTATTTGTTTATTTAAGTAGTCATCATCATTGGATACCCATTTATTCTAAAGAATATCACGGCCAGGTGCAGTGGCTCATGCCTGGAATCTCAGAACTTTGGGAGGCCAAGGCAGGAGGATCAGACCAGTCTCAGGAGTTTGAAACCACCCTGGGCAATATGGCAAAACCCCATCTCTACAAAAAATAAAAAAATTAGCCAGGCATGGAGGCACACACCTGTGGTCCCAGCTACTCATGAGGCCGAGGTGGAAGGATCACTTGAGGCCGGGAGGTTAGGGATGCAGTGAGCCAAGATCATGCCACTGCACTCCAGCCTGGGCAGCAGAGCAAGGCCCTGCCTCAATAAAATAAAATTAAAATTAAATTAAATTAAAAGGGATTTCACAAAGGATACAGATGAGCAGCCACATGGAAGAGATGCATAGGGCAACGCATGTGGGAAGAGCACGGAGCTTTCATGCCGTCTCCAGGCTCACCACCCTCCAAGCACCTTCAACATGTTCAGCTATTTGGAAGCTCTCCAAACCAATTCCTTTTGGGTTTTTATGGAAGCTTCATTGTGTAAACATAATTGATTAAATCATTGGCCATTGGTGACCAACTCAAGCTTTAACCCATCTCCCCTCCTGAGAGGTTGGGGGTGGGAGTGAAAGTTCCAACCCTCTAATCATGCCTTGGTTTTTCTGGTGACCAGCCCCTATCCTGAAGTTCCCTGGGAGTCGTCAGCCGCCTCATTAGGATACAAAAGATGCTCTTATCACTGTGGAGATTCCAAGGGTTTTAGAAGTTGTGGGCCAGGAAACAGGGACAAAACCAAATATATATTTCACAATATCACAAACAGGAAATTCTCTTCCTCTCTTCTTGAACTGGGACATCCATCTTCTCCTGCCCTGGGACATCAGAGTTCCCGGTTCTCAGTCCTGCCAGACTACTGGACTTACACCAGAGCCTCCCAACCTCCACCCCCTCTCATCAGGCATCCTTACTTGGACTGGGAGTTACATCATCAGGTCTCCTGGTTCCCAGGCCTTCGGGTTCAAACTGAATTACACGCTGGCTTTGGTCAATGAAAAGAGTCAAATCCTATAAAATATTTAAGGAGGTTTATTCTGAGTCAAGTGTGAGTGACCAAGGCCTGAGGCACAGTCTCAAGAGGTCCTCCCAACATGTGCCCAAGGTAGTTGGGTTACAATTTGATTTGATAAATTTTAGGGAGATGTTAAGACATCAGTCAATACATATGGGTTAGGCCAGATGCCGTGGTTCACGCCTGTAATCCCAGCACTTTGGGAGGCCAAGGCGGGTGGATCATTTGAGGTCAGGAGTTCGAGACTAGCCTGGCCAACATGGTGAAACGCTCTCTACTAAAAATACAAAAATTAGTTGAGTGTGGTGGCGCACGCCTGTAGTCCTAGCTACTCGGGAGGCTGAGGCAGGAGAATTGCTTGAACCCAGGAGGCAGAGGTTGCAGTGAGCCAAGATTGAGCCACTGCACTCCACCCTGGGAGACAAAGTAAGACTGTCAAAAAAAAAAAAAAAAAAAAGCAAAGAAACATTTTCACGTAAAATATTTTGATTTCCTTCTATTTCTGTTATGTGATGTTATGCCACAGTCAAGTTGGAAAGTACACTACATTATATAGGGTTAAATAAAATCCATCTGATGAGATTTTATGGTTTGTAGGGCATAACTCCTCAGGTCCCTTGGATAAGAATTTGGGCAAGCAAGGAAAAAGGTCAGAGTTTAGCCCTCACCTTCCTGGTTCTCCAGCTTATAGATGACAGATGGTGGGACTTCTTTTTTTTTTTTTTTTTTTTTTAAATTTATTTTTTTATTGATAATTCTTGGGTGTTTCTCACAGAGGGGGATTTGGCAGGGTCATGGGACAATAGTGGAGGGAAGGTCAGCAGATAAACAAGTGAACAAAGGTCTCTGGTTTTCCTAGGCAGAGGACCCTGCGGCCTTCCGCAGTGTTTGTGTCCCTGATTACTTGAGATTAGGGATGGGTGATGACTCTTAACGAGCATGCTGCCTTCAAGCATCTGTTTAACAAAGCACATCTTGCACCGCCCTTAATCCATTTAACCCTGAGTGGACACAGCACATGTTTCAGAGAGCACAGGGTTGGGGGTAAGGTCACAGATCAACAGGATCCCAAGGCAGAGGAATTTTTCTTAGTGCAGAACAAAATGAAAAGTCTCCCATGTCTACTTCTTTCTACACAGACACGGCAACCATCCGATTTCTCAATCTTTTCCCCACCTTTCCCGCCTTTCCATTCCACAAAGCCGCCATTGTCATCCTGGCCCGTTCTCAATGAGCTGTTAGGCACACCTCCCAGACGGGGTGGTGGCCGGGCAGAGGGGCTCCTCACTTCCCAGTAGGGGCGGCCGGGCAGAGGCGCCCCTCACCTCCCGGACGGGGCGGCTGGCCGGGCAGGGGGGCTGACCCCCCCCCCCACCTCCCTCCCGGACGGGGCGGCTGGCCGGGCGGGGGGCTGACCCCCCACCTCCCTCCCGGATGGGGCGGCTGGCCGGGCAGAGGGGCTGCCCCCCCACCTCCCTCCCGGATGGGGCGGCTGGCCGGGCGGGGGGCTGACCCCCCCACCTCCCTCCCGGACGGGGTGGCTGCCGGGCGGAGACACTCCTCACTTCCCAGATGGGGTGGCTGCCGGGCGGAGAGGCTCCTCACTTCTCAGACGGGGCAGCTGCCGGGCGGAGGGGCTCCTCACTTCTCAGACGGGGTGGTTGCCAGGCAGAGGGTCTCCTCACTTCTCAGACGGGGCGGCCGGGCAGAGACACTCCTCACTTCCCAGACGGGGTCTCGGCCGGGCAGAGGCGCTCCTCACATCCCAGATGGGGCGGCGGGGCAGAGGCGCTCCGATGGTGGGACTTCTCAGCCTCCATAGTTGCATGAGCCAATTCCCATAACACATCTCTTTATACATGTATACATTTGTATAAATAGACGTGTGTGTGTGTGTGTGTGTGTGTTTATAGTCTGTTTCTCTGGAGAACGCTGACAATACAGCTTCTCAGGAGTAATCATAAAGGAGGTCTGGTACCTAATGCTGAGCACTGTTGGTGTAGACAGTCGTAGCAGTGGGGTCTGTGCTAGAGAAGCCTTGTGGTCTGGTTTGAGTATTGTTAATGGTAGCAGAGGCTCTAAGCCTGAACTCTGGCTGTCCCAGGGATTTTTCAAAAGACTTAATCAATTATTTTCTGCTAAAACTAGTTACAGTAAAGTATGTTATTTGCTATTAGGAATGCTAACTGGGCCAGGCATGGTGGCTCACGCCTGTAATCCTAACACTTTGGGAGGCCGAGGCTGGCGGATTACGAGGTCAGGAGTTCAAGACCAGCCTGGCCAACATGAGGAAACCCCTTCTCTACTAAAAATACACAAATTAGCCAGACGTGGTGGTAGGTGCCTGTAATCTCAGCTACTCGGGAGGCTGAGGCAGGAGAATCACTCGAACCTAGGAGACAGAGGTTGCAGTGAGCCAAGATCATGCCATTGCACTCCACCCTGGGCAACAAGAGCAAGACTCCATCTGAAAAACAAAAAAAAAAAACAAAAAAAAGAATGCTAACTGATACACACTGAGAGTTTTGATTGTTGTTGTTGTTTTTAATTACAAAAATAGAATCACGGTCAGAGTCAGTGGCTTACGCCGTAATCCCAGCATTTTGAGAGGCCGGGGCAGGAAGATTACTTGAGGTCAGGGATTTGAGACAAGCCTGAGAAACATAGCAAGATCTCCTGTCTCCTCAAAAAAAAAAAAAAAAATGTTGGCTAGGCATGGTGGCTCACGCCTGTAATTCCAGCACTTTGGGAGGCCAAGATGGGCAATCATGAGGTCAGGAGATTGAGACCATCCTGGCTAACACGGTGAAACCCCGTCTCTACTAAAAATACAAAAATTAGCCGGGCATGGTGGCACGTGCCTGTAGTCCTAGTTACTCAGGAGGCTGGGGCAGGAGAATCACTTGAACTCAGGAAGTAGAGGTTGCAATGAGCCAAGATTGCACCACTGTACTCCAGCCTGGGCAACAAAGCAAGACTCTGTCTCAAAAATAAATAATAAATAAATACTGAAAAAATTAGCCAGGCATGGTGGTGTGCACCTGTAATCCCAACTACTTGGGAGGGTGAGGCAGGAGGATTGCTTGAGCTCAGGAGTTCAAGGCTGCCATGAGCCATGATCATGCCACTGCATTCCAGCCTGGGTGAGAGAGGAAGACCTTGTCTCAAAAAAAAAAAAAAAAAAAAGCAATCATTTTGCTGCATTCATTTAAGAGTGTACTGATGTACTGTGAAGATTCCTCCATGTACCTTCATATAGGCCGTTCTTTTTAATGGCTGCATAATATTTCATTGTACAGATACTTCATAATTTATATATGTAATCCTTAACTATTAAAAATAAAGTTTTAATGAATATTCTTGTACAAAAAAAGTTTGGACATTTGAATAAGTCTGCAGGATAGATTTCCTAGAAGGAAGATTCCTGAGTCAAAGGAATTTGCATTTAAAATTGGGATAAATCTCTCCCTCCCCCTCCCCCTCCCCCGCTCCCTCTCCCCATGGTCTCCCTCTCCCTCTCCCTCTCCCCACCGTCTCCCTCTGATGCCGAGCGGAAGCTGGACTGTACTGCTGCCATCTCGGCTCACTGCAACCTCCCTGCCTGATTCTCCTGCCTCAGCCTGCCGAGTGCCTGCGATTGCAGGCGTGCGCCGCCACGCCTGACTGCTTTTCGTATTTTTTTGGTGGAGACGGGGTTTCGCTGTGTTGGCCGGGCTGGTCTCCAGCTCCTAACCGCGAGTGATCCGCCAGCCTCGGCCTCCTGAGGTGCCGGGATTGCAGATGGAGTCTCGTTCACTCAGTGCTCAATGGTGCCCAGGCTGGAGTGCAGTGGCGTGATCTCGGCTCGCTACAACCTCCACCTCCCAGCCGCCTGCCTTGGCCTCCCAAAGTGCCGAGATTGTAGCCTCTGCCCGGCCGCCACCCCGTCTGGGAAGTGAGGAGCGTCTCTGCCTGGCCGCCCATCTTCTGGGATGTGAGGAGCCCCTCTGCCTGTCTGCCCAGTCTGGAAAGTGAGGAGCGTCTTTGCCCGCCCGCCATCCCATCTAGGAAGTGAGGAGCGCCTCTTCCCGGCCGCCATCTCATCTAGGAAGTGAGGAGCGTCTCTGCCCGGCCGCCCATCGTCTGAGATGTGGGGAGCGCCTCTGCCCCGCCGCCCCATCTGGGATGTGAGGAGCGCCTCTGCCCGGCCGCGACCCCGTCTGGGAGGTGAGGAGCGTCTCTGCCCGGCCGCCCCGTCTGAGAAGTGAGGAGACCCTCCGCCCGGCAGCTCCCCCGTCTGAGAAGTGAGGAGCCCCTCCGCCCGGCAGCCGCCCCGTCTGAGAAGTGAGGAGCCCCTCCGCCCGGCAGCCACCCCGTCTGGGAATTGAGGAGCGTCTCCGCCCGGCAGCCACCCTGTCCGGGAGGGAGGTGGGGGGGTCAGCCCCCCGCCCGGCCAGCCGCCCCGTCCGGGAGGGAGACGGGGGGGTCAGCCCCCCCACCGGCCAGCCGCCCCGTCTGGGAGGTGAGGGGCGCCTCTGCCCGGCCGCCCCTACTGGGAAGTGAGGAGCCCCTCTGCCCGGCCACCACCCCGTCTGGGAGGTGTACCCAACAGCTCATTGAGAACGGGCCATGATGACAATGGCGGTTTTGTGGAATAGAAAAGGGGGAAAGGTGGGGAAAAGATTGAGAAATCGGATGGTTGCTGTGTCTGTGTAGAAAGAAGTAGACATGGGAGACTTTTCATTTTGTTCTGTACTAAGAAAAATTCTGCCTTGGGATCCTGTTGATCTATGACCTTACCCCCAACCCTGTGCTCTCTAAAACATGTGCTGTGTCCACTCAGGGTTAAATGGATTAAGGGCGGTGCAAGATGTGCTTTGTTAAACAGATGCTTGAAGGCAGCAGCATGCTGGTTAAGAGTCATCACCACTCCCTAATCTCAAGTACCCAGGGACACAAACACTGCGGAAGGCCGCAGGGTCCTCTGCCTAGGAAAACCAGAGACCTTTGTTCACTTGTTTATCTGCTGACCTTCCCTCCACTATTGTCCTATGACCCTGCCAAATCCCCCTTTGCGAGAAACACCCAAGAATGATCAATCAATAAATAAATAAATAAATAAAATTGGGATAATGGCTGGGCACGGTGGCTCATGCCTGTAATCCCAGAACTTTGGGAGGCCGAGGCAGGTGGATCACTTGAAGTCAGGAATTCAAGACCAACCTGGCCAATGTGGTGAAACCCTGTCTCTACTAAAAATACAAAAAAAAAAAAAATGAGCTGGGCATGGTGGTACACACCTGTAATCCCAGCTACTCAGGAGGCTGAGACAGGAAAACCGCTTGGACCTGGGAAGCAGAAGTTGCAGTGGGCCAGAATCCTGCCTGTACTCCAGTCTTGGCAACAGAGCGAAACTCTGCCTCCAAAAATAAAAATAAAATTAGGATAGTTACTGTTTTGTTTTTGTTTTTATTTTTTGTTTCATTTTTTATTTTTTGAGATAGTCACTGTTAAATTGCTTCCAGAAAGGTCATACAAATTTATAGTACCACTCAAAAGTTAGCCCATTTCCCCCTGCAATCACCAATTCTTTAAATTTTTTTCTAATCTGTTAGGCAAATAATGCTTTATTCGACTATTGCTGACATTCAGTAGCTTTTTTAGGTTTATTGGTCATTTAATGTCTTCTGCAGATTGCTTGTTCAAATCCTTTTTTCTTTGTTTTTTTTTTTTTGAGTCGGAGTCTGGCTCTTTCGCCCAGGCTGGAGTGCAGTGGCACAATCTCGGCTCACTGCAAGCTCCGCCTCCCGGGTTCACACCATTCTCTTGCCTCAGCCTCCCGAGTAGCTGGGACTATAGGCGCCCGCCACCACCCCCTGCTAATTTTTTGTATTTTTAGCAGAGATGGCGTTTCACTGTGTTAGCCAGGATGGTCTCGATCTCCTGACCTCGTGATCCGCCTGCCTCGGCCTCCCAAAGTGCTGGGATTACAGGCGTGAGCCACCGCGCCCAGCCTCAAATCCTTTTTCCTATTGGACTTTCAGCCATTTTCTTAGTGATTTGTAGGAGTTTTTCATATTTTATATATACTTTGCTTTGGCTCTTCCACATATTTTTCTTCCCAGCAAGTTCGTGTCTCAACTTTGTTTAAGAGTCTTTAGTCTTAGAGAAGTATAAAATATTTGTTATTAGGTACAGTTTAAGTCTTGCATTTCAGTTTGTTTACTTCTTTGTTTCAAAAAGGACTTTCAGGGCCTATGAGACTACACAAGATGAATAAGTTCAGGCAAGGGCAGACTAAAGGTGGAATATAAAGATGTGGCCCCAAGATAACTTAAAAGCCACAAACGCCTCCAATCTGGGCGGCACAAGTTCATGCTTGGTCAGGAGGGTTGATGCCTTTGTTCAGGGCACCCTGATTGGGGCTGGCACTGTAGCAGCGGCTTGGAGATACTGCTCACCTGTTAGGTGCGTAGCTGGGCTGCCCGGTCCCACCCATCCCTGGCCATGCCCCCACCCCACCCTCAAGCTGCGCCTGGGCTGGGAATCCTGTGGTGGCCCATGCCTCCTACATGTGACGCCCATGCCTCCTGCGTGTGGCTCTGAGAAATGACATCGCGTTCCAGGCAACAGTTTGTCCCAGGGCCTGTATATTGTTTGGTGGTTTTGGTTTTTGTTTTTCTGTGACCGAGTTTTGCTCTTGTTGCCCAGGCTGGAGTGTGATGGAGCTATCTCGGCTCACTGTAACCTCTGCCTCCCAGGTTCAAGCAATTCTCCTGCTTCAGCCTCCCAAGCAGCTGGGATTACAGGCACACACCACCATGCCCGGCTAAATTTTTCTATTTTCAGTAGAGACGGGGTTTCACCATGTTGGCCAGGCTGACACGGCTCCCAGTTTGGCTTACTTTACCAAAGACCCACTTTCCCAATCTCTAGCTGCTACTAAGACCTTAAACATCTCCTAGGATAAGAGTTATGACACAGGGCTCCAATGAACTCTTTTGGTTTTCTGTTTTGTTTTGTTTTTTGAGACGGAGTCTTACTCTGTCACCCAGGCTGGAGTGCAATGGCTCTGTCTCAGCTCACTGCAACCTCTGCCTCCCAGGTTCAAGCGATTCTCCTACCTCAGCCTCCCGAGTAGATGGGATTACAGGCGCCTGCCACCACACCCGGCTAATTTTTTATTTCTTTGGTATTTTTAGTAGAGGTGGGGTTTCATCCTGTTGGCCAGGCTGGTCTCTAAGGCTGGTCTCGAACTCCTGATGTCAGGTGATCCACCCACTTCAGCCTCCCAAACTGCTGGGATTACAAGCGTGAGCCACCACGACTGGCCCAATGAACTCATTTAAAGGAAGAAAGCTGAGAGGAGAAATAGAGAACTTCTGCCTCTCTGTGCCTCCAACTCCAAATAGGTCTTCGGCTGCAGGTAGAATTTTAACAACCCAAGAGGCTCTTTGGAAGGCTGGCTCTTAGAGGATTGGGGGAATCCAGATTTTTTGTGTGGGGGCCGGGGGAATCCAGATTTGAATGAGGTACTTCTTTGATCAGTGAAGCTGGGTTAGGTGTTGTTAAATATCCCATGACCCACTAAATATGGATCCCAACACTTAGCATGGTCTTTAACTGCATATTTATTTTTGTCATTATTTAATAGTCTGTCTCCCTCACCAAACCATAAACTCCCCTAGGTTTGTCCCCATTGCCCAGCATAGTGCCTGACACCCTAACACATAGTTAAGAGCTCAGTAAATGTGTTTTGTTTGTTTGTCTTTTCGGGGTTATTTTTGAGACAGAGTCTTGTTCTGTCTCCCAGGCTGGAGCAAAGTGGCACAATCTTAGCTCACTGCAACCTCCGCTTCCCAGATTCAAGCAATTCTCCTGTCTCAGCCTCCCAAATAGCTGGGACTACAGGTGTGCACCACCATGCCCAGCTAATTTCTGTATTTTTGGTAGAGACAGGGTTTCACCATGTTGGCCAGGCTGGTCTCAAACTCCTGATCTCAAGTGATCCACCTGCCTCGGCCTTCCAAAGTGCTGGGATTACAGGCATAGGCCAACACACCTGGCCACTCAGAAAATGTTTGTTTAGCAAATGATGGTTGAATGGATACATTCTGCTCACCAGAGATTTTGATAGACTCTCACTCAATGATAAAGCCCAGTAACTAAATAGCACCAGGAGCACACCTGTAATTGAACAAAGTTAGGTTTCTTGACTTGCTGCAGTGAAGGAGCATACACCGTGGGGGACTGCGGGATGTCTTAGTAAGAGGCAGTGAGGATGGGCTTGTTTGGAATTGTGCTGGGTGATTTTGGAGGGTATTTAAGGAAGCAAGAGTTTGTTCTGGGTTGAGCACTGTCGGGAAGCAAGGGCAATTTGATCATTGGGCATCTTAATAATTTTTATCTAGGAGGTAGGAGGGTCCAAGCAGGGCTAGAGTTGTCGTCGGTTAAAAAAAAAAAAAGAAAGAAAATGGTAGTCACTCATGTTTGCCAAGGGAGAAGGATGCTTGGTCATTTTGAGTGTCATAGTGTCCTTGATCTTGCCTTGTTCTATCATGGTCACAGAGAAGCCTCATCTGATGTCAATATTCTGTGATATTTTGTCATGTTCAGCAAAGAACATGACAGCCTAGCTGTTGGTTGCCAGGCCAGTAGGGTGACCACCCCAGTTTACCTGGGACCAAGGGCTTACCCAGGATGCAGGACTTTCAGTGCTAAAACTGGGAGAGTCCTGGGAAACCGAGGACAGTTGGTTACCCTATGGGCCAATTGCAAGCTGTCAGGATTTTTTTCTCTCTCATTAGGTATAATGATATTAACACTTCATATGGTACTTGTCAAATGCTCCCCCAGTCACTGAAATACACAGTATATGTGTAGACGGAAACATTTTTTTTTTTGAGATAGAGTCTTGTCCTGTCACCCAGGCTGGAGTGCAGTGGCACGACCTCAACTCACTGCAACCTACACCTCCTGGGTTCAAGCAATTCTCCTTCCTCAGCCTCCCGAGTAGCTGGGATTACAGGCATGCCCACCATGCCCAGCTCATTTTTGTAATTTTAGTAGAGACGGGGTTTCACTGTGTTGCCCACGCTGGTCATAAACTGAAGTATGCTAACACACGCATGCATGAGTCCAGGATACACACTAACTTTCATAAATCCATTCACACAAACACACATACTACAAACAAATACATATGCACCATACATATGTACATATATATATCACAAACCCTACGTACATATACATACATGTACCTAAACACTCATACGAATGGCCCCAAAATAAGTATACATTTAGGCCATTGGAGAGATAGGGGAGACTACCCCAGGTAGTAAACCCAGAGGGGACCATTAAGTGGGCCTGTCTGATTGATACTGGGATTAGAAAGGAAAGTTGAGGCAGATTATGGAGGAAGGACTTTGAATTGCAAACAAAAAGATGTTGTGATGTCATGGAAAAAGCCCTGGAATTGGAATTGAATGATCCTGAGATTATATCACAGCTCTGCAACTTACTAGCTGTGTGACCTAGGTCAGTTGGCTTAACCTTTCTGTGCTTCAGTTTTCCTATCCATAAAACAGGATGTTGCAGGGATGTAACTAAGTTCTAGAATGTTGTAGGTGCTTAATCACAAGCCACAACTGTTGTTAGTGTGAAGCATATGTGGAGGCTAAAGGTATTTTAATGGAGCCTTGACCTCCCTAAAGTAGTGTTTCAGTGGAGAAAGAAGTACCTTTTTTTTTTTGTTTTTTGAGTCAGAGTCTCACTCTGTTGCCCAGGCTAGAGTGCTGGTGGTACGATCTCGGCTCACTGCAACCTCCACCTCCCAGGTTCAAGTAGTTCTCCTGCCTCAGCCTCCTGAGTAGCTGGGATTACAGGCATGTGTCACCATGCCCAGCTAATTTTTTTGTATTTTTAGCAGAGACGGGGTTTCACCATGTTGGCCTGGCTGGTCTCGAACTCCTGGCCTCAAGTGAGCCTCCCGTTTCAGCCTCCCAAAGTGCTGGGATTATAGGTGTGAGTCACCATGCCTGGACTAAGAAATACCTTTACATACACCATCATCATCCCATTTGAGGCCAAGAGACCAAAGCCCAAAGAAGGTAAAAGTATTGGCCCTAGGATTGGGTATGGAAGCTGCTGGCATTGCAAGGGGTGTCTAGGAGGAGATGTGAGTCCAGCCAGGGCTAGGAAGGCTTGCTCAGCAGGGACTCTGCCGACCCTGAGCCAGGGAGCTGTTGTGCAGAATTCCTGAGGAATATGAGATTTTATTTGCATGTTATGCAAAACAGGGCCACATTTTGCCAGAAAGCCACTGTTCAGGGCCCTTGCCATCATCTGTGCCACCCAGCATCTCAATGGGCCTTTCCTCTTAGCGGGGCACAGGTGCCAGCACCCTCAGCAACCTTTTGGTATTGCCAAGGAGGGGCTCAAGGTTGCCAGAAAGAGTGCTAAACTGGCAGTTGAAGGATCTGGGTTCAAGTCCTCACTTGGCCACTTACTAGCCATGAGCCTTGAGCCAGTCATGTTCCTTTTCTGAGGCCTGAGTTTCCCCCTCTGTTCAATGATAATAGTATCAATTTCAAACAACATGATCCGAGTTCAATGCAAGAATGAGTGTGAAAATGCTTAGCTGGGGCTTGGCCCACAGTGGGGACTCACTAATGTTGACAAATTGTTAAAGTAAAATTAATAGAGGGAGACCCCTGAGTTCTAGGCCAGGATGTGCCAAATGTGTGTGACCTTCAAAAGTCTCCCAACTTCTCCGAGCCTCAGTTTCCTCAGCATGAAATGAAGAAATTGGCCTGGATCATCTCTAGCCTCTTTTCCAGCTCTACTCCCCAGCACTCTGGGATGGGAACTATCAGCGTACCTTCCCTAAGGGCACACATACAGTGTTCAGGGTGTCAAGGTTGGGGAGAGACACAGAGCGTGGATGCCCTTCTGCCCTAGGGACCTGTAGGCTTTGCAAATTAAATGGTAAGAGGCTCCACTATGACATCTTGGTGAAGGAAGAAGGTCAGTATGTGTGTATGGGGTGGGGGAAGGGTAGAGTACTGGATGCTTGAAAAGGGGACCAGGGGATCCATCTGTCAGTCATGTGTGGTCGATCTGTCAGCCACCACCATCGTTCAGACCCCTGTTCCAAGAAGAGCACTGGGCACATGGAGTGCTGCACACGTGGCGGTCCGCATTGAGCTACCCACCCAAGGTGCGTGATTCAGATCCCAGCTCTGCTCTCCAGACTCCCAGCCCCGCTGGGGGCATGCCAAGGACAAATCCTTACCACCAAAAGTAAGTATGGTCTGTGCCAAAAACCAGAGCAGTATGTCCTCAAAGGGGCTTGGGAACAGTGTCATCAAGATGGGCCACAATATCAGGCAAGGGTGGCAGGTGGGAGCTGCTCCTGAGGGATGAGAAAGTTCTCCTCCTGGAGGGAAAAGGAGGCAGGCAACACAAGCCGGAAGTCAAGGCTCTGTGCAGCCAGGGAGGGGAGAGCGTGGGAGTCCCAAGGATGCTGAGCCAGGGGGGTGCACGCCTGTGCCTGTGGAAGTTGGAGAGTGGAGTTGCAAGCAGAGGCTGAGGAGGAAGGGGAGGAGAAGGAAATCAGCTTTTGCTCAGGGCCGAACGCGTGCCAGGCACTCTTCATGAATCTTCTCACATAAACCGCGCACCTTCCAGGTATTTTTCCTATGCTCATTCTACAGATGAGGAGCTGAGACTCGCAAAGACCAGGAACAGGTGGCATAGGCAGTGGGGAGCAGAGCCAGGGTTAGAAGTGGGGTCCAGAACCCCAGGACCCCCTCCCCACCTCGTCTGCTTTGAAGCTCCTCCTAGGCTTCCAGGAGAGGAGGATTCTTTGGCAAGAGGGGAAGGACTAATGAAGCGTCGCTCCTCTTCCAGGCAGCCTTCCCAGTCAGGCAGCTCTTCTAGTCAGAGAGCTCCACGGTTCAAACAGTGCAGAGTAGCTCAGCTTATCTTATCGCCACACAACCCAGGGCAACATGATTCAACCCTGCTGCTTTTGGTGAAAGGTCTTTCACAGAAACTCTGCTCATCACAAACATGGGCTCCCTTGGCTCCCTGTTAGGCAGAGTGTCTTCCCTGCCTCCTTGCCTTCAGGGTCAGAACATATGACAGGAGGGAGACTTTGTCACTATCACTGCCACTGTGGGGAGAGGCTTGGTCAGAGCACTGCTGTGATTTGTCAACAGCACTTAATCTCTTGGGAAAATAAACTGAAGCTGAACTCTCTTAACCCTGAGATTTAAGGGACCCTGGAGAAGGGCTGCATCTGCCCACTGCTGGCCACTGAGAAATGACAATCGCTACTGTTTATGAAGTGTCCACCCAGGGCAGGCCCTTTGCATAGTGTTTCTAGTTTGATGTTTCTAGCATCAAATCTTCTCTCTTGACTACATGTCCAGTTTTCCCCTGCTTTACAGAGAGAGAACTGAGAAACATTGCATTCAAAGCCAGATCTGTTTGATTCCAAAACTCTGTGTTTGCTGAATGAATGAATACATGGGTAGATAAGGAATGAATGGAATCAGGTTCAGGGACCCAAAGATTGGAAGCCAGCATTAATCTTACCACCTCCTCCTATCTCTAGGGCCTCCTCACAACATTGAGCTAGGTGAAATCAGCTTAAAATAAATACCAAACGAAAGTTTAAATAGAAAACAAAGAGAGAAAGAGTCCTCAAAAGAGCTGGGCATGTGTCATCTAAGGACACAATCGACAGAATAAAAAGGCAACCTACAGAATGGAAGAAAATATTTGTAAACCATACGTCTGAGAAGGGGTTAATATCCAGAATATATAAAGAACTCTTACAATCCAACAACAACAAAAAACAAGTAACCCAATTTAAAAATTAGCAGACGGTTTCAATAGACATTCTCCAAAGAAGATATACAAGTGGACAAGTATATGAAAAGTTGCTCAACACCACTAATCACTAAGGAAATGCAAGTCTAAACCACAACGAAATATCTTCTCTGCAACATTCCAATTTTAATATGTGGGCTGCCGAAGCAAGCACAAAACCACAATGAAACACCACACACCCACTAGGATGGCTGCTGTTTTAAAAAAGACAAAACACTCTTCCTAAGCCGGCGCTCGGCAAGTTCTCCCAGGAGAAAGCCATGTTCAGTTCGAGCGCCAAGATTGTGAAGCCCAATGGCGAGAAGCCGGACGAGTTCGAGTCCGGCATCTCCCAGGCTCTTCTGGAGCTGGAGATGAACTCGGACCTCAAGGCTCAGCTCAGGGAGCTGAATATTACGGCAGCTAAGGAAATTGAAGTTGGTGGTGGTCAGAAAGCTATCATAATCTTTGTTCCCGTTCCTCAACTGAAATCTTTCCAGAAAATCCAAGTCCGGCTAGTACGCGAATTGGAGAAAAAGTTCAGTGGGAAGCATGTCGTCTTTATCGCTCAGAGGAGAATTCTGCCTAAGCCAACTCGAAAAAGCCGTACAAAAAATAAGCAAAAGCGTCCCAGGAGCCGTACTCTGACAGCTGTGCACGATGCCATCCTCGAGGACTTGGTCTTCCCAAGCGAAATTGTGGTCAAGAGAATCCGCGTCAAACTAGATGGCAGCCGGCTCATAAAGGCTCATTTGGACAAAGCACAGCAGAACAATGTGGAACACAAGGTTGAAACTTTTTCTGGTGTCTATAAGAAGCTCACGGGCAAGGATGTTAATTTTGAATTCCCAGAGTTTCAATTGTAAACAAAAATGACTAAATAAAAAGTATATATTCACAGTAAAAAAAAAAAATAATGAGTATTGTTGAGGCTGTGAGGAAATCGGAACCCTTGTGCGCTGTTGGTGGAAATGTAAGATGGTGCAGCTGCTGTGGCAAACTGCATGGCATTTCCTTAAAAAAAAAAAAACGAAACATAGAGCTACCAGATGATCCAGCAATACTGCTTCTTGGTATATATCCAAAAGAATTGAAAGGAAGGTCTCAAAGAGATATTTGTACACCCACGTTCATAACAGGGTTATTCACAATAGCCAAAAGGTGAAAGCAACCCAAATGTCTATTGACAGATGAACGGATAAACAAAATGTGGTATATACATAGAATGGGATGTTATTCAGCCATAAAAATGTTGACACATACACAAAATAGATGAATCTTAAGGACATTATGCTAAGTGAAATACACCTTTCACAAAAGACAAATAACCATATGATTTCATTTCTATGAGGTACTGAGACTAGTCAAACTCAAGGAAACATAAAGTAAAAAAGTAGTTGCCAGGGACTGGGGGAAGGAGGAAATGAGTTGTTTAATGAGTATAGAGTTTCAGTTTTGCAAAATGAAAAGTTCTGAAGTTGGTTGCACAGCAGTGTACATATACTTAGCAGCACTGAGCTGTACACTGAAAAAGGTTTCAGGTGGTCATTAAAATGTGTGTTTTATCACAATGTTTAAAGAGAGCTGGGCCTGGAGACTTAGAAGGAGAAAGAATGGGCCTTGCTACTTGGTGATGCAAGAAGGTGGTTCTTGGACTGATTGTGTATAAATGAGCCTCGGATCTCTTTTAGGATCAGAATACTCCCTGGGTCCCTGCCCAGCCTCCAACAGGGCTGGCTCTGGAAGGGTTACTCCCTATCTCCTCATCACGGTCTTGATGGTAATGAAAATCCATTCACTTCTCTGCCTGGTGGTCTGACCAATGGCCCCTATATGTCCGGCCTGAAGCTCCGGGGACTAGCTCCAGAACATGCTGGAAGGAGGGCTTGGCTCTCTGGCGTAAACCTTACAAATTATCTTATGGGCATCCCATCCACCCATCTACCCACCCATCCAGCCATCCATTCTTTCAACACGTACTTGTTGAGTACCAGCTCTGTGCCAGGTCCGTCCAGACAGTCTGTGCCCGGAGGGAGCCTGTAGTCTTGTGGGGGACAGAGATGGGTTATCAGGAGAATGCAATGCAGCGTGACATGTGTTTTGATATCTAGGGCACTTTGCAGGGGTCCTGATCCTGTCTGTGATGAGAGTTCACAAAGAAAGTTCGGTCTTAGGGCTTGAAAGGTAAACAAGACTGAACCAGTAGGGTAAGGAGGAGGAGTCAGGGAGAATATGCTTAGGAGAAGCAAGAGCGTGGGAACTGCCTGGAGATTTTACAAACTGCAGGACCCAACTGAGGATCTGAAAACAATTGAGTCTGGCATATTGTTGACTGCAGGCAGGAGTGGTGAGGGCTGAGGCGAAAGAGGAAAGGGAGAACTGGATCTTATAGGGACATTTAGGCACCTTTTGAGCACCTCGCGAGTTGCAGAGGGGGGTGGATTTGAACACGTATAAAACAAATTTTGTGGCTGGGCACAGTGGCTCATGCCTATAATCCCAGCACTTTGGGAGGCTGAGACGGGCGGATCATAAGGTCAGGAGATTGGGACCATCCTGGCCAACATGGTGAAACCCGGTCTCTACTAAAAATACAAAAAATTAGCTGGGCGTGGTGGCACGCATCTGTAGTCCCAGCTACTCGGGAGGCTGGGGCAGGAGAATCACTTGAACCCAGGAGGAGGAGGTTGCAGTGAGCCGAGATCGCGCCACTGCACTCCAGCCTGGGCGACAGAGCAAGACTCTGTCTCAAAACAAAACAAAACAAAACAAACAAACAAAAAATTTGTGGACCCAGTTGGAGAGGCAATGGAAGATGAGGGGAGTGGTCAGAGCACCTGGAGTCGGATTTGGGGTCTGGGATTCTCAGAGCTGTAAACACGATGCCCAACCCCCGAGTCCACCGTTCCCCAGGGCATGCCAGCCACCCAGGAGGGGCACTTCTTTTCGAGGGAGGGTGGTCTTCTTGAAAACAGCCCAGGTGCCTCCCTAGCCCCCCTATCCTGTGATCCTGTCTGTCCTTGAGAACATCCCTTCTTCTTCAATCAAGGATTTGATGACTGTCCCTGCCCACACCCTATCTTCTCTCCTCTAGGCTGGGCAGTCTCAGGTCTTAGAAATCATTCCTGATGCTCCCTAATATGTCCAGCCATCCTGGCTTTCTAGGATCCCTGGAGTTGTGCCCCTGTGGGCCCCAGGCCCAGCCTGCACAATGCTGGGTTGCCTCAACGGCCCCTGTCTTAAGGCCTGCCTCACATGTTCAGATATAAACTTCCTAAAAGCCACCTTTGTGACCCAGCCCCAGCTCTATCTCCAGCTTATCAGCCACCTGCTTCTGAGGACAAGCTGGCTCTTGCAAGCCAGAGACCATTTCCTCTCCCCCAAGGACTTGCAGCCAATCTCCGATAGCCCTGTCCAGGAGAGGCAATGGACAAAGTGCAGGGTAGGTGTTTCCTGGTAGTGACTCCTTCCTGAGATAGTACAGAGACCCATCACAGGGAAGGCCCCAGCAAAGACTGAAGAAGCCAGCCAGGCAACTACCGTATGTTACTCACAGTTCATTAGGAGCCATGCAAAAAACCACAGTTATCTGCTGCATTAATTAAAGGAGAAGGGGGTGGGGCAAAAGGGAATATTGAATAAGACCTGGCAGAGTGGGGCCCTGGCCATGACTCCCAGGCAAAGGGGAAGTTTTTGTAATGAATATGACAGCTGGAGTCTTCCCGCTGGCCTTGGGAATTCATCACTGCTTTGAGATGAATTCATCACTGATGGGGCCTGGCTGCTGGTGATGCAATAGCCCCCCAGTGCTGGGCCTCAAAAAAGAATCAAAGAAGGTCCCAAAAGCCTATGTCTTAGAAGAGGGCTGTAGGGGGAAGCCAGAGGGTCTCAGTAAAACATTGAGTTTTGTCCCAGCTCCATCAAAGGAGACCAGAGAATGGAGGGCTGAGCCAAGGGCACAGCCTTCCTGGAAACAAATCTGCATTCTCTCTGTTACTCACAAGGTGTGTGACTCTAGACGAGTAACCTCACTGCCCTGAGCCTACATCACAGAATTGGTATGGAGAGTTAGGTAAACTGGGATGCAGATTTTACACATGGTGAAGCTGGGCCTGGTTTTTTTTTTTTTTTTTTTTTTTGTGGCTCCTTAAAAGCCTCAGGCCATGGGAGAGGCTTCCACCAAGGTGAGATAGAATCGGGGCATTGTCCTGAGTGTCTGAAACCCTTTGTCTCTCCCTGTCCTTCCTGGCTCTTGCTTACTTTGCCCTGGGCAGGTGGCAGGCCACTGTGTGGGAGTGAAGGAGCCATGCCTGAAGGGGGGCTGGGGTGGCTAGCCTGTACTCTGTTACTGTAGCATCCCACCAGCCTGGCCTCGCTCCAGGAGCCCTCGAACTGGATCCCTCTGACCTCTAGGACCGCCCTGCAGAAAGCACCAGGGGCCTTTCTCTAAAAGATCCACTGGCTCCAGGAGTGTCTCGGTGGCATAACAGCCCAGGCCATGCTATGGTACACCTAAAACTATAGTTATCAGCTCTTAATCCTGTCCCCCGCAAATCCACATTCCAACCACGCAGAACCTTCTGTTCTCTAAACGTCCCCACGCTTCTGCATCTCTTCCCAGACTGTCTTCGCTGCCTGAAACATTCTCCCTGATACCCCGCCTCCTTATCCTAGCACACACGGATCATCATACTCTGATAACCTCAGAAACATGCATTGACCTTCAACTGCGTGCAGTCAGGGTGAGGAGGGGTGAGGGCGCCAGGAGACTGAGGGTCTGGCCAGAGATAAGACCCACAATTTCTTCCAAACTACAACTTGCTCCGTTCAACATACATACACACACACACGCATGCACTTGCCACCCTCCAGGCCTTCGTTCACTCTTCCCTCTCCTTGTGCCCCTTCCCCTATCACCTCGTGCCAAGTAAGACTGAGCTCTCAAGCCTTCGCTCAGATGCCATCTCTTCCAGGAGCCCTTGCCTGGTGCCTTTCACCCAGAGCTTCTGCCCTGGTTTGGACCTCCCTCAGGATACCCATAATGCATGTGTGAATTCTGGCTGGCTCCATGTCCTTTGGCCTCAGTTCCCCCATCTGTTAAATGGAATAGTAACACCTAACCCATGGTGTAGTTACCGAGTTGATGAAGTACAGTAACTGACTTGTACTAAGTGCTGAGCAAATGTCAGTCTTTACCACCAGCAGCAGCAGCAGCATTTTAATCTCTGTATCTTTAGCACTGAGCACAGGGCTGAATACATAATTGGTACTAAATACTTGCTTGGTGGAGGGATGGATGGATGGATGGTTGGATGGATGGATGGATGGATGGATGGATGATGGATAAATGAGAGATCTAGTATGTTTCCAAAATAAGAGACAATCTTTGCTGGGGGGCGAGGGGGCTAGGAAGAGCCTGAAAGAAACTAACCTTCATCGTACACCTGCCATGCATCAAAGCTCAACATATATAAGTTGTCTAATTTGAGCCTCACAATAGCAAGATATTACTGCAGAATAAGGAAGTGGCTAATTCTGAGAGGTTAAGTCGGTGGATCAGTGTCACACAAGATGTAGTCAGGACCAGGGACTTTGATGGTCCTCGATACCTGGAAGGAGGAGGAGGAGGACTTGCTCCAGGCCTTAGCTACTGTCAATCTTAGACTGAAAATTCCTAGGGCATCTCTGTGGGCAGGGCAGGGCCACCCCACCCAGGCTGTCACATAAAGTGCTCAGCTGAGAACCTAGCTTTGGAGAACAGCAGAAAGGAAAGGCCGGGCCAGCGGAGGTGGCTTGGGGGCTGCCTGTGGAGGGTGGCTGGGGGACTCTCCTTCCTTCTCCAGCTCCTCCAGCACCACCCTCAGCAGCCTCCAAGAACAGAAGGAGTTAACGCTGGGATTAACTTCTTGAAGGAACCTGAAGTTTTTTAATCCTTGTTCTTTCCTCCTTCCTTCTCCCTCTCCCTTCCTGATCTTTACTCCGCCTGTGGGTCCCTCCTCCTTACTCTCACCTCCCCAACTCCAAAAACACTCTGATTGCCAGACTGGGTCAATGGTTAACACTCAACTGGCTTTATATAAGCCTGCCACCTGCCTGCTTGGCTGCATCTTTGGTCCTTCTGTTACCCAGCTCCTGGAGGCAGTGGCTGTAGCAGCCCTTGCTGCTCCACACCATGGCCACCTGCTGGCAGGCCCTGTGGGCCTATCGCTCCTACCTGATCGTGTTCTTCGTGCCCATTCTCCTGCTGCCTCTGCCCATCCTCGTCCCCAGTAAGGTAAGGACTTGGTGTTCTGAGCACAGATAACTCCAGGGGGCAGAGGAGGGACTGTCTGGGCCGGGGTTGGGCATCCTTAGGATCCAGCATAACTTCCTCACTGCCCCTGCCCTGGAAGTGAGGCTATCGCCCCCTGCTCCTCCTGAGGACTGAGGGCTAGGAGGTCAAAGGGGCTTTTGCTTGGCACCCAGTTGTAGGAGCCCAGCGTGAATTACTTAGGTGGGTTTGCAACCTACTGCCCTAGGAAACAGGAAACCAGTTCCATCAACAAGATGCAAGGGGGGCAGATGGAGCTGATCTACCTACTGTGTGCCCACCTAGCCCTGGACTGGGCTCCATGGCGGCTGAGATGGGCTGGCTGTGGGGAGGGGACGGCTGGGTAAGCAGCAGCAGAGTGAAGAGGGTTGGAAGGAGAATAGGAGAAAGCTGGCTGCAGGCGGTCTGCATCTTTAAGAGCATAAACAGGAAGAGAAAGAGTTCACCTGTGGATTCAAGGGCTAAGTCTGTGGAGGAGGAGGGGTGGGAGTTGGAAGAGGGGACCGCTGCAGGTAGACAGCACAAAAACTGTGCCCTGGATGGAGGGGGAGCTGGGCACAACCAGGCGTCACTGCCTCCTCCTCCGCCCCCAGCAGAAGTCATAACTTCATCTCTCATTAAATCAAGCCGCCAATGCCTGCCCTGCCCTAGGCACCCAGTAACCTTTTCCACCATCTTAAGAGGTCAGGCCTGACTGTCCCATTTGACAAATGGGGAAGGTGAGGTTAAGTCACTTAGTCAAAGTCCCAGGGCAGATCCAAGTTTCATGGAACTTGGATATTATACACTTTTGGGCCCCACTCTGTAAGAAAAAGGACACAAAAGTATTAATCTGAAATTAGTTTGGGGCTTTGGGAAGGGTCCAGGGGGAAGGCCTTGAAGTTCAATCTTCAGTCAGTCGGCCTCTGGCAAATCACACAGCTGGGAGGTTCAGAGCTGGGGGTGTGATCTGGTGCCAAAGCATGTCTTCTCTCCACCCTGCTGCCTCCTGCCCCACCCCACACCCCCAGAACTGCCCATCAAGCCATTTTCTTCCTTTTGTCATAGATAGAGAAATTGAGTCAGACTTTTTTGTTCATGGTATCCCAAAGGGGTGAGAGACTGGGGGTGATAGTGGCACAGCCCCTGGGCCCCTGACACCTGGTCAGTAACAAGGCCCAGCTGACCTTTGAGATGACCTTCATCTCAGGCCAAAGCCGGTGGCATCTCAGTGCTAGGGACCCATCAGATGGGTTTTCCGACAGGCTGGGGCAAGTGTGTTAACCCCAGGAGGGAAGCCAGACAGGGATTTTGATTTCTTCCCAATTCCCCTCGACCTGGGGAAGCACAGCACAGAAAGATTCAGTAACTTGCCCAGGTCACACAGGAAATCCTGAGTCAGTGCTAGAAGCCATGCCTGTTGGTGAGACTGGGATGTGTTAGGAGCCCCTGTCTTCTGTGCACCGTATCTGGCCCTGCTACCTGCCTCTGGCTCACAGATGCTGCCAGCCCCATCCTGACTCTGGTCCTGTCTAGGAGAGGCCAGCCCCTCTCAAGGACTTTGCTCCTGCAATTGTCCTCTCACTCTCCTACAAGATAAATATTTCCTCTCTGCCTGATCTCCCCCATCCACATACGGAGGTGCTGTAATATCTCTCATCTTAAACAAACAAGAGCTCTCTTTCAAGGCCACGCTCCTTCCAGGATAGTGCCTCTTTCTCTGCTCTCTCTCATAACAGGAAGTCTCAAGACACTGTCTACACCACAAGCGCACTTTCTCTTTTGTCAGCTCCCATCTCCAAGACTCAGATCCCATCAACTTCCTTGTGACCAAACCCTGGGCCACCCTCACATTCCTCAGTCCCTCGGCAGCATTTGTCACAGCTGTCACCCCGTCTTTGCCGTGCTGTCTTCTCTTGGCTTTGGTGACACCTTCTCCTGGTTCCTGCCCAGCCCTGCCCCTTCCCACCTTTCCTGACTCTGAGGTTCCTTCTCCATCTGACTCTGAGGTTTTCCAGGGTCCCCACTTCCCCTAGCTGATCTTATGCCATCTCGTGCTTTAAAAAGCATCTCTATGCCAATGAGTTATCAATCTGTAACCCCAGCCCTAAACTCTAAACTGGTATTATCCAATGAACACCAGCCATCTCCCTAATTGAATATTTTCTTTGTAAGCAGGATAAGCAGGTTACACTTTTCCACGTCCAAACCAAAACCCTTCCTGCCCTTCTCCAGTTGGCTTAGGCATCAAGAAATGCTTCAACCATCTACCTTGCTGCAACAGCCAAAAACTCGGGGGCATTCTTGATTCTTCTCCTTCCCTCCTTTCCACGTGCAGCAGAAGGTCCTGCTCATTTGATACCCCAAAATACTCTGAATGGAGTCACTCCCCGCCCTCGGATCCACTGTCTCCCCGGTCATTTCCCATGTGTCCCACTCTGCTCAAAACCCTACATTGGCCAGGCGCAGTGGCTCACACCTATAATCCCAGCACTTTGTGAGGACGAGGCGGGAGAATTGCTTGAGCCCAGGAGTTTGAGACCAGCCTGGGCAACATAATGAGACCCCACCTTAATTTGAAAAAACAAACAAACAAAAAAACCCTACACTGGCTTCCTGTCAAACTTAGGATAAAACCTCTTCAAGCAGCCAGAAGTCACCAAGGCTCAGCCCTGGACTCCCCAGGCTCCCTCCCCCTGTGACCCACCTCTCGCTCACTCTCCCCCACCCTCACCAGCTTTCTTTCTGCTCCTCACATTGCTCTGGACTGCTCTCCCAGATACCTCCTTCCTGTTTTTAGGTTTCAGCTTAAATCCACCTCCTTAGAAAAGCCTTCTCTGACCAACCCCAGTCATTCTTGGGGAAAAGCCCTGTTCTTTTGTTTATAGGGTGTTTACTCTCTGAAATCATCTATTTGCTTATTTTTTACTTCCTCTCTGGCTTCCTGCACTAGAATGTCGGCTCCGTGAGGACAGGGACTTTGTCTTGTCCCATGCAGAATCCCCAGTGCCTGGCACAAAGTAGATGTTCAAAAAATACTTGTTAGGCCTGGCGCAGTGGCTCACGCCTATAATTCTAGCACTTTGGGAGGCCAAGGCAGGTGGATCACTTGAGGTCAGGAGTTTGAGACCAGCCTGGCCAACATGATGAAACCCCGTCTCTATAAAAAAAAACACAAAAATTAGCCAAGCATGGTGGTGCACACCTGTAATCCCAGCTACTCGGGAGGCTGAAGCAGGAGAAACGCTTGAACCCAGGAGGAGGAGGTTGCAGTGAGCTGAGATCACGCCATTGCACTCCAGTCTGGGTGACAGAGCAAGACTCTATCTCAAAAAAAACAAATAAAAAACACCCAAGTTTTTTGTTTTTTTTTTTTTTTTTTGAGACTGAGTCTCACTCTGTCACCCAGGCTGGAGTGCAGTGGCACAATCTTGGCTCACTGCAAGCTCCGCCTCCCAGGTTCATGCCATTCTCCTGCCTTAGCCTCCCGAGTAGCTGGGACTACAGTCACCTGCCACCACGCCCGGCTAATTTTTTTGTATTTTTAGTAGAGACGGGGTTTCACCGTGTTAGCCAGGATGGTCTTGATCTCCTGACCTCGTGATCCGCCCGCCTTGGCCTCCCAAAGTGCTGGGATTACAGGCGTGAGCCACCATGCCCGGCCACCCCCAACTTTTTGAATGAAGAAAGGAAGGAATGTGCACACAGTGGATCCTGACCTGCATCCCTGTTGAATCTCTACTCTCTGTAATGAGTCCCCAAGCTTAGCCCCATGGCCCTGGCCTCCAAAGGGGGAAGAAGGAGCCCCAGCCTAGGCTCAAATTTGTGCCCATAATAATAATATTGACATTTGTTGAGTATATTTTATGTGCTTGACATTATGCCATGCACTTCAAAGCATTGTTAGATCATTTATTCCTTTCAAAAGCCTATGTGTCGGGCTGGGCATGGTGGCTCATGCCTGTAATCCCAGCACTTTGGGAGGCGGGCGCCCAAGGTGGGCAGATCACCTGAGGTCAGGAGTTCGAGACCAGCCTGGCCAACATGGTGAAACTCCATCTCTACTAAAAATACAAAAATTAGCCAGGTGTGGTGGCGCATGCCTGTAATCCCAGCTACTCGGGAGGCTGGGGCAGGAGAATCGCTTGAACCCGGGAGGCGGAGGTTGCAGTGAGCTGAGATTGTGCCACTGCACTCCAGCCTAGGAGACAGAGCAAGGCTCAGTCTCAAAAAATAAAAAAAAAAAGCCTATGTGTTACATGAGGTTACTACTACTATCTCCATTTTACAGACATGTAAACTGAGGGCCAGTGTGGGGAAGCAATTTGCTTAAAGTCCCAGCTAGGAAAAAAGTTTGAACTGGAACCTGGTGTTGGAGTCTCTGCCTGAGGCTCCCTGGGAGGCCGGTGGTGCCCCCGCTGTGACCCACCTCTCAGGCCATCCTTTCTCATGTCCGTCCAGCTGTCAGTCAGTCCTCCCACCATACTTCAGTCCAGCATATCTGTTGAGCTCTTGCTCTGTGTCAGGGGTTACCAAAAGGAATACAGATGTTCCATTCTCAAGTTGCTTATAGTCTATAGGAGGAGACAGGTGTTTACACCACACAAAGGTTCAGCCAGAAGGCTGCAGAGCTCAGAGGAGGGAGCAAATTCTTCCAACTGAGTCAAGGGAGAATCTGAAGGAGGCAACATTTGAGTTGGGCCTTGAAGGTTGGTGGAGTTTTAACAGTCAGAGGCATCAGCAGAACAGGTGAATGGAACCACAGGAGGAAAGATGTAGGGGCCAGGAATAGTAGGGTGTGTTTGAGGGGTGGCAACAGAACCTTGAAATGCTAGTCACTCTCTGGTGGTCCCAGCAGATGGGGAACAGGAGGGCCTGGGGTCTTCCTGCTCTCCCAACCCTGCAGCCAGACATGGAAACCTTACATCCATTCAAATGTATTCATCCAACCATGCATTTTGTTAGTGAACATAGAACTCAGTACTGTGTGACAAGTACTGTTTGGGTGTGTTGGGAAGAGAAAGTGGGAGGAGTGGGGAGACATACAAAAAGCAGAAACAATGCAGCAGGCTATGACCACAGCCTGGGGAGGGCTGCTCTAGATGGGGTCAGGGAAGGCCTCCTGAGGAGGGTGTTCCAACACTCTGGGAGGTCAAGGTGGGTGGATCGCTTGAGTTCAGGAGTTCAAGACCAGCCTGGGCAACATGGCAAGACCCTGTCTCCTCACTAAAAAAATTAGCCAGGTGTGGTGGTGTGTGCCTGTGGCCCCACCTACTTGGGAGGCTGAGGCAGGAGGATCACTTGAGCCCAGGAGGTTGAGGCTGCAGTGAGCCATATGGTGCCACTGCACTCCAGCCTGGGCAACAGAGCAAGACTCCTATCTCAAAAATAAATTCTCTATAGTCAGCCAAGCACAGCTCTGGGTAAAGAGCCATCCAGGCAGAACAAGCAGTAAGTGCAAAGGCCTGCAGATGGGGAGAGCTTAGCAAATTGAAGGGATTAAGCAAGGCCAGTGTGGCTTTGGGGGCTCGAGTGAGGCCTTAAGAGGCCTCACTAGATTGCTTAAGTCAAGTTTAGAGAAGAGGGTTGAGGTCAGCCAATGTCAGCCCTACAAGGCTACAGGGAGGAGTAGGGATTTTGTGCTGTGAGCATTAAGGGGTGAATAACTTACGACTCAGGGGTTGTTCAGCTAGTAAGTTACAGTCACAACACAAACACCTCCCAGGACCCAAAGGCATCTGTAAAAACAGTCTCCTAGTGGCTCAACATTGGCCAGGACAGAATTCAGCTGAAGTCAATATTGCATTTATTGTAAGGCCAGAAGGCAGAATTTCTTAATCTGAATCACTGGCCCTTTTAGAATGCATAAACATTACATGTGTTTGAATTTTAAAATCTGTGTAATTAAGGCTGGGAGTGGTGGCTCACACCTGTAACTCTTGCACTTTGGGAGGCCAGTGCAGGAGGGTGGCTCGAGTTCAGGAGTTCAAGACAAACTTGGGCAACGTAGAGAGACTTGTCTCCACTAAAGATCAAAAAAGTTGGCTGGGCGCAATGGCTCATGCCTGCAATCCCAGCACTTTGGGAGGCCGAGGCAGGTGGATCACCTGGAGTCAGGAGTTCGAGACCAGCCTGGCCAAGATGGCGAAACCCCATCTCTACTAAAAATACAAAATTAGCTGGGCGTGGTGGCACATGCCTGTAATCCCAGCTACTCGGGAGGCTGAGGCAGGAGATTCTCTTGAACCCAGGAGGCAGAGACTGCAATGAGCCAAGATCACGCCACTGCACTCCAGCCTGGGCAGCAGAGTGAGACTCTGTCTCAAAAAAAAAAAAAAGGGGGGGTCAAAAAAATTAGCTGGGCATGGTGGCGCGTGCCTGTGGTCCCTGTTACTTAGGAGAACCAAGGTGGGAGAATCACTTGAGCCAGGGAGGTCAAGGCTGAAGTGAGCAGTGATCATGCCACTGCACTCCAGCATGGGTGACAGAACAAGGCCTTGTCAAAAAAAAAATCTGTGTAGTTAAAATACTCTTAGTGCAAGCTGTTCCTGAACCTCAAAGGCAGGGACTTGGATGATTCACTTCGGGCATGAAAACTATACAAGGAATTTGGACCTCTGTTCTGGGCCCCACCTCTACCTTTTGAGATTTCTTGGCCCTCAGCTGAGATAGCAGAGTCCAGTGAACAAAACATGGATTTTGGAGCCAAACAGGTGTGGGTTCAAATCCATTCAGCAGCGTGTACTGCCGTGTGACCTGACCGAGCCTCTTCAAACCCTGCCATCTCTAAGGGGTGTTGTGAAGATGAGCTGAGATAGCACACATATACGTAGAGTACCTGGCACCTGGGGCTTGATAAACACTTGCTCCCTTCGCCCTCTGCCTCTTATCTGAATTCCTGGGCCCCTGGAAAACACAGACTGGTCTGGAGCCCTGTGTGGATACCTCACTTCTTCTCCATTGCTCTGTTCAAATGGGCTCTTGTGCTTAGGAGGGCCTCAGATGTTCCCACCTATAGAACAGGAAGGAATGTCTGGTCACCCACCAGATTGGTGAGCTGTGTCCCTAGGAATACCTGCAGCTGTGTGGAGGTAGTTTTTCTAGCCTCTGGGATGCCTGGAAATAGGATAAGAAGAAGGACCCAGCCTCAAAGGCCAGGGGGATCCCTGGCGTAGAGTCCCCAACTTGGATTTTGCCCAGATTACTAAATCGTGTCCCTGTTTATCGGCACCTGCTAGGTGAAGGCCAGGAATGGGAAAGTAAGTCACCCTCTTCGACAGTAAAGTTTCCTGGATGTAATCCAGCAGCGAGGCTCAGGGCTGTCACAAGGATCAAATTCGTAGAGGAGCTTGCATTTTGCTCTTTAGTGCATACAGGCAGGGCTGGCCCTGGCCCAGGCTGTGATATCAGGACTCTTCTCCCCACTTTTGTTTTCTCCAGCACTCAAAAATTCATTGTTCCCTTTGGCCTCTTAAAACAGAAGCTGATGCAACAAAGTCATTCACATCAAGGTGTGCAAATCAATGAAGGACACTTGAATGAGAACAAGCAAAGGGTAGGAAGAGTCACCGCCATCACGTGCAACTTGAGGCAGGCATGGGGTGGGAAAGCTTTAGAATGGTCAAAAGGGAAGGCTTCCAGTGCATGCTGTTGGGCACAGGGAAGCCATAGGCGGCTAACTAGAAGCAGCACCCCAGGTGACTGGTTAGGGGAGCACATTTCGCTTTCTGGGCTTGGTCCTGAGTTGGAAGTAGGAGTAAAGAGTTTGGGGCAAAAATCAGGGGAATTGGCAATCATCGAGCAAATCCTGAGTGTTTAGGGCTTACTGCTGTAGAGGTTGTCGTTTGACTTCTCGGCTGGTTATTACAGAAGTTGTGAAACATATTTTTACATATGAACTGGCCATTGTCCCCTTTGTATATTCAGTCCTCAAAGAATTAGGCATTTGGCATCTGCCTATTCTTCCTGGAAGAGACTTCCATCCCTCCACACTCTTTCATGTTTTTGTTTGTTTGTGAGATGGAGTCTCACTGTGTTGCCAGGCTGGCCTCAAATTCCTGGGCTCGAGCAATCCTCCTGCCTCAGCCTTCCATGTAGCCACACACCACTGGACCCAGCACCTTTTCATATTTTAATAGCTGTGTTTATTTATTTGTTTAGGTTTTAAAAGTTAAGGGTTTGTTTGTTTGTTTGTTTGTTTGTTTTGAGACAGGGTCTCACTCTGTCACCCAGGCTGGAGTGCAATGGTGCAATCTCAGCTCACTGCAACCTCTGCCTCCCGGGTGGTTCCGGTGATTCCCCCACTTCAGCCTCCCAAGTAGCTGGGATTACAGGCACATGCCACCATGCCCAGCTAAGTTTTTTTGTTTGTTTGTTTGTTTGTTTGTTTGTTTTAGTACTTTTAGTAGAGACAGTGTTTCGCCATGTTGCCCAGGCTGGTTTGAACTCCTGGGCTCAAGAAATCCTCCTGCCTCAGCCTCCCAAAGTGCTGGGATTACAGGTGTGAGCCACCGCACCCAGCCTATTACCTGTATTTCAATAAAATTGGTTTCCTTTGTAGTCTTATGTATTTTATTGGTGCATTTAAAAACATTATTCTAAGACACTGGAATGCTTCATCAGGCTGCCAAGGGGATCCTGGTACCAAAAAAAGTGTACAAACCCCTACATCAGAAATTTCCCTGAATGCATACAAACACTTGCACACAAATTTTTTAAACCGCGTGTGGTAGTATCTGTGTAATATTTTATTAAACCACAAGTCTGACCATGCCACTCTCTCTCTGCTTAAAACTCTTTGAGGCCTTCTCTCTTTTTCTCCCGTCTTCCAGACAAATTCCTAGATCCTCTCAGGGCAGACAAGGCTCTTTCCAAGAATGCATCTTGATCTTTTATGTCTCATTCTGTTCTACATTTACTCCCTCACCCCAACCCCCTTTGCCCACTAACTGAACTCCTACTCACCCCTCAGTACCCGCTCAAGGTTCCCTCTCTGGAAGCCTTCCTCAACCCAAACAAAAGGAGGCTCAGGGACGGGGCCCCTTCTCCTCTGAGCGCCATTCTTCTGGACTCTGCTTTACAGGTGCTTGGCAGGCTGCCACCCAGTGCCTCGCCTTGCTCCTGAGACCCGGGAGTGCTCCTGCCGGCAGCATGTCCACTTGCTAGGGGCAGAGGGGCAGTGGGAGTGTCCCCCATGTGCCAGCCTGTCCCCACCCTTGGGTTAACCTTCAGTCACCAGGAGGAATAAGGTGTGACACCTCTGAGACTGTGGGCACATGTGCTGCTGCCTGACAGTCACAGGCTGTACTGTGCCAGTGACAGAGGCCATGATGCCCACAGGTCCCACACCTGCCACACACCCCGGGTCCGGAGTCTGCCCTGGACTCCTTGGCACCTTCACTTCCATTTGTGCCTCATGTAACCTCTCTGGTTCTCCAGAAGCCCAGGAGCACATTTCTCTCCCAGCACCAACCCTGCTATGGGCTCACAGGCTACAATGCTTTAAAACTTATTCCTGGCTGGGCACGGTGGCTCACACCTATAATCCCAGTGTTCTGGAAGGCTGAGGAGAGAGGATTGCTTGAGCCCAGGAGTTCAAGGCCAGCCTGGACAATATAGCGAGACCCTCATCTCTACAAAAAAAAAAAAATTGTTTTAATTAGCTGGGTGTGGTGGCACATGCCTATAGTCCCAGATACTCAGGAGGCTGAGGCAGGAGGATTACTTGAGGCCAGGAGATCGAGGCTGCAGTGAGCTGTGATCACATCACTGCACTCCAGTCTGGGCAACAGAGTGAGACCCTGTCTCTTAAAAAAAATTTTTTTTAAAAAAACCTTATTCCTACATTTGTTAGCTCTCTTCGTCCTTACAGTAGCCCAGTTAGGTGGATGTTTCTGTTATCCCCATTTCCAGATGAGGAAACTGCATAATGGAGATAAATGTGTTTACAGCAGCGAATGCTTGATGTTTCTTACCAGAAAAGCTGAGAGAGGTTAAGTAACTTGCCCAAGGACACACAGCAGTAAAGCGGGGACTCAGCACTCAGCATGTGCCCTGGACATGTGCTTTCCCACTACAGAAGAAGCAAGCTGCCTGGCTTAGGGTTTGGAAGCCCCTCTGGGGGTTTCTGTCTTCAGTCTGCCCTTCAGGCCAGCCCACACAGGCACTCAGACTCCCCGAGGGCCAGCGCTGGGCCTGACTGATGCCTGTACCCCTAGGGCCCACGTTCATTCACCCACTCATTCAGTGTCAACTCTGCTAAATAGATGCCAGGCACCTCGCTGGGGTGAGCAGAAACAGACTTGCACCCTGCTCCCTGGAGGGTAGAGTCTGACAACAAAGATTGATACTCATCTTTTAGTCCCTAAAACTAAATGTTTAATTGCAGACTATGATGAGTGCTATGCAGAAGAGGTACAGGGACTTAGAGTGTGAAAAATGGGAACTATATCCCCTCCTGGAAGCCAGCCTGAAAAATCAATATTTGAGCTGAGATCTCAAGAACCAGTAGATATCAACTACGCAAAGTAGGGAGGGAAGAGAGGTCCAGAGAGAGGAAATCGTGTGCAGAGGCCCTGTGGCCAGAGGGAGGATGCAGTATTTGAGGAACCCACAGAGGGCTGGTATGGCCAGAGCAGAGAGAGTAAGGGGGAGAGTGTTAAGACATGAGGCACAGACCAACTCTAAACTTAGGTTCCTGAAAGCACTAGGAAGCCACTGAAGAGATGTGAGCTGTTTTGAGATGAGTGTGTGTGTGTGCTGGGGGAGGGGAGGTGCAAATTAAACAGATTTGTGCCTTGAGATCACTCTGGCTGCAGCAAGGAGAAAGGATTTCAGGGTCAAGAGAGGAAGCTGGGAGATGAATAAGGAGGCTTTTGCAGAGGTCTTGCTGAGACTTGGACCAGGCTAGTGGTCCAGAGCTACAGAGAAATAAATGGGAGCACTCAAGGGGCAGAACCAGCAGGACTGGGTGCATGGCCCAGAGAGGGTATTTGTGGAATGAGTGGCTGATGAACAGGCAGGAGACCCAGGGTCTGCCTGAAGTGGGCTTCCAGTCACAAGGATTGACTGCTGGGTGGAGAAGAGTGAGGATCTGAACAGGGTGACTTCCTTGGGGGTGGGGGTGACACCAGTGGGAAAGGAGGCTTTACAGACCAGGCCAGCACCTGAAAAAGAGAGACAGGCTAGATCATAGAGGAGAAAGAGGCTACGCCCCCGTCCTCAGGAGCCCATAAACAGATCTTGAGAGGAGAGTAGCTGCTACAGTCAAGGAACAGAGCTGGGGAACAACCACCCTGCTGGCCTGGGGAAGGAGGAGGCAGGGCCAGAGGTAGAAAGAAGAGCATTCGCCACCAGGAGAAAACTCTTCCCTGCTGGTTTCTGAGCTCCAGGAGGGGCCACCAGGGACTGTGGTGCAGGCCATGCCTTGCACAACTCCATATGAGAATGGCGACCTGGACTTGTGCAGTGCAGCAGTCCTGGGGAGCAGCCAGTGGCCAGCGTGTAAACCAGCTGAGTCCAATGCCATAGGCTGTCAGTTGAACTTGGCTGGCCTAGGTTCCATAGAGCTGGGTTGCAAGGCAGAGAGCACTAGAGTGACCTGGAAGGATAAGGCTGATCCCCAAATCCCCACTTCTAGAGCTGGGAATACTGACCTTGTAATTGGATATACTGTGTGCCTAAGAAGAAAAGACCCCTAGGGCTCTGCCCTCAGGGAGTGCCCGAGAGTACCTGACCCAGGGGGCCTCTCAGAACACTGACAGCTCCTCAGTCTCAAACCCAAACCCTCTAAGCATCAACAACTGTCAACAAGGCAAAGCTAGACCTCTCTGAGTCTTGGTTCTGCCCTTTTCAGAAAATTACTTTGAAATGCACAGGCCAGGCACAGTGGCTCACACCTGTAATCCCAGCATTTTAGGAGGCTGAGGTGGGAGGATCACTTGAAACCAGCAATTCGAGACCAGCCTGGGCAACAAAGCAAGAACCATCTCTACAAAAGATACAAAAAAAAAAAAAATTAGCTGGGCGTTGTGACACATGCCTGTAGTCCCAGCTATTTGGGAGTCTGAGGCAAGAGAATTGCCTGTGCCCAGCACTGGAGGCTGCAGTCAGCCTTGATCACATCATGAACTCCAGTCTGGGCAACAAAGCAAAACCCTGTCTTTAAAAAAAATTTTTTTTAATTAGAAAAAATAAGAAATAAAATATACAAAATAAAATGCATGGGATTACAAATAAACCAATTATTTTGAAATACAGGTATCAAAATATGGAAAAATAAATTGCAGCTCAGAAATAGATGTACTTCCTTGCTAGTACATTAGGTAAGATCTAAAGTTGGTATAATAACTACCAAAATTTCAAAATAATGATGGAGGTAAACAGAATGTCGAGAGCTATTCTGAAACAACTGCAACAACTTATCTGGATCGGTGTCTAATAGCTGATAGCCACAGTCAAATATCTGTGACCAAGTCACCAATAATGCCATTAATAGCACTATGATTTTATGTTCATAACCTTAGTTCGATGTTCTTGAATAGATAAAATAGTTTTCCCATTTATCTTCATGGATTCTCAGAACTCCATGCCCCAGTTAAGAATCTCATGATGCAGGAAGAACAAATCAGCGAATTGTGCTCCAGCTTGACAGGCTGCCTAGGAGGTGGGATGGGGAGGCAGGGCCAAAGCCACCCGGGGTTAATGAAGGCTTCTGGATGGAACTTCGGAACAGGTCTTGTGTTTTGATCTGAGACTGAGGACACCCTCAAATGCAAGATGTTTAAAGGGTTTGAGACTGAGGAGCTGTCAGTGTTCTGAGAGGCCCCCTGGGTCAGGTACTCTCGGGCACTCCCTGAGGGCAGAGCCCTAGGGAGATAGAGAGGAACCCATCACAGACATAGGCAGCAGGGAGCAGGGAGCCATGCATCAAACACACTGGAACACATGGAGGCGAGTCTGACTTTTTTTTTTTTTTTTTTTTGATACAAGGTCTCACTCCAGTTGCCCAGACTGGAGTAGTGCAGTGGCGTGATCTCAGCTCACTCCAGCCTCAACCTCCTGGGCTCAGGTGATTTTGCCACCTCAGCCTCCCAAGTAGCTGGGACTACAGGTGCTCACCACCACAACCAGCTAATTCTTGTATTTTTAGTAGAGACTGGGTTTTGCCATGTTGCCCAGGCTGGTCTCAAACTCCTTTACTCAAGTGATCAGCCCCCCACGGCCTCCCAGAGTGCTGGGATTACAGGCGTGAGCCGCCATGCCCAGCCTGGTCCGATTATTAACAACTCCCTTTGGAGTATGGAAACAGGGTCTCAAAGTGACATGCTTAACAGAGCCCAGCCACAGGAAGTGGCAGGCCCTGGGGAAGATAGCTCTGGATTCAGAGCCCCAGCTCATTCTCCCTACACTCCACTGGTCACAGGGAGCCTGAGGCTGAGGACACCCTCAAATGCAAGTGATCATGCTCAGGGTAGCAGGTGAAAGCTGGGGCCCGGGAAGCAGATGTCCTGGCTTCTCCACTTACTATATGTGTGACTTTGAGGCATTTTTGAAATGTATTTACTCCTTTCTTTTTTCAGCTGTGAAATGTGAACAATAGTTATTACCTCTGAGAGCAAATAAATGCAACTTGTAAAAGCATTTGAAGCACATAGAATATGACGCCTGGCACAAAGTCATCCTCCAATACTTATACAGAAACTTCTTCCTGAATCAGCAGAGTGAGCGCAACCCCAGCCCTGCTCCTTGTCTCTGGCCAGAGAGTTCTGGGTGGACAGGGTGGAGGACACCAGGGTCCAGGAGGGCTGGCCCACCCTTAGTCCAAGGGGAGGGTAACTGGCCATTCAGTCATTGCGGGTGAGGAAACACTGGCATCAGCAGAATCCTGCTGGGGGAGGAGGGGGCTGGGTTTCTCTGTCTGAGGGTCAAAGTGGCCCCAATCCTGGGGCTGATGAGTTTGTCTCCAGGATGAAGAGAGGTAGTAGAGGTTTGGTGGAAAGAGAGCTTGGCTTCGGACAGATTTGGTGGGGCTATGTGCAGTTGGGCAGGCTACACACTGCACAATTACTGGGGCACCATTCACACAGACTACAAGGGGAGTGCTCTTAGGTAGTGCTTGAAAGTTACCCAATCCCAATCCTTTATCTGAGTTCCATCCAGGCTCTGCCACTTTTTTTTAATAGTTCTGTGACCCTGAGCAAGCTGTTTACCCTCTGAGCTCATCTATAAGGTGGGACCCCCACACCCACTTTAATGGCTGTTATGTTTTCATGTAAACACAAAAATGACAATACTAAGTTCCTAAGAGTTGCTGAATAAATAGCAGCTGCCTCTTCCCCCAGGCCACCGCCTACTCCCACCTCAGGGACCCTTCCCAAGCTTTAGGGTACTAAGAGTGTGAGCTTAGCCTGTACGAGGTGGAGAGGACAAGGACAGGGCAACTGGGATGGGCAAGGGAGGAGGGGGTCCCCAGCCCCATTGTCCAACAAACCCCAGCATGCGGCCCCTTCCCTTGGCAAATAAAGAGTGGGCAGGTGCCCGGCCCCTGGAGAGGGGATACGGGTGCCCTCTCCTGGCTAATGATTCCCCAGCCCTGGGAAGCCTCCTGGCTAATGATTCCCCAGCCCTGGGAGAGGCTCTATAAGGGGGGTGGGCCTCCATTCTTGCCCCAGGTCCCCTTCCAGGCCTGAGGTCAGGCTTCTCTAGACTTGGGGGCTTCATGCAGGAAAGAGGGACTTCTGGTACTCAAAGACTCACAAGACTCAGCATTGCCCCACAATTCCCTGCACAACACAAGCATCTTGGGGGAAACTTCACATAGCCTATAAATGTAAATTGCTCCTCTGGAGTTGTGTAATGCAGCAGCCAGACCAGGATTGCTAGAAAGGATGCCACAAAACCGACTCTGTCTGATGGAGAGCTCACTCCTAGCAAAGGGAACAAACACTAAATATCCAACAAACAAACATACTCTTGCAGCTTGTGATAAAAGCCAGGGAACGCCAGGGTGCCAGGCAAAGGTCCACATTGCCCAGGTCCTGCTCCTTCTTCTGGCAGCCCCCATCTCATCTTGGGATCCTCAGCTGGGCCCCTGCAATCCCACTGGGCTGGATGGGGACTGGTAACCAACTCCAGACTCTCCGAAGTGGCTGGCTTGTAATGTCTGGGCTCCCCAGGGTCAAAGACAAGGTGATATTGAGTGCCTTGCTTTGCTTTTTATTTGCATTTTGAAATGAGACCTTGGGCTTGGGAATCAATGACTGTGGGTTTCACAGGCTCTCCCCAGGCAGTCACAAATGGCCTGGTTTGTCTGACAGACAGGAGGTGGCATAGCTCTGGGACACAGGCCCTCTGACAGCTCTGCCGCTTCTCTCCCACCTGCAGGAGGCCTACTGCGCGTATGCCATCATCCTCATGGCGCTCTTCTGGTGCACTGAGGCCCTGCCCCTGGCCGTCACTGCCCTCTTCCCCTTAATCCTGTTCCCTATGATGGGCATCGTGGATGCCTCTGAGGTGAGCCCCATCCATAGGAGAAAGCGTTCTGGGCAGTGCGGGAGGCCAGGGGGTGGGTTCCCTCAGCCCTTGTTGACAAAGGAAGCCTCACCATAGGCAGGGCACATGGATTAGGGGTTCCTGACTCTGCATGAGGAAGAAGTCAGCTAGAAGGCTGCGGGCTGGGGTGGGGAGGGGTGCAGAATTAGTGCTGCGAGTTCATTCAAGGTGAGAGTGATTAGCCAGCCGTAGGTGGGAGGTGGAAGGCCTAGTGACACAGAAAAGGGGCCTTGAGGGCCAGCTAACACACTCATATACTTCTAGTTCAGTGGCTCTTGAACTTGAACAGCATCGGAGTCACCTGGAGGGCTGGTTAAAACACAAATGGCTGGGTCCAGAGTTTCTGATTCGGTAGATCTGGGGTAGGGCCTAAGCATTTTATTTCTAACAAGTTCCAGTTGGTGGTGATGATGCTGGCCCAGGGATCATACTTTGAGAACCACTGTCTAGTTTTTAGAAACCGCACTAAAGTATCTATCTCCCAGTCCATGGCTTGAAACATGAATGGAATCACGGTAGATTATCTCCCAACTAATTATTCCTGAGGGGAGATAAAGTGAGTTTGACAAGAAGAGGGGAACCTGGTTGATATTAAATGATAGATAATCCAGGCCGGGTGTGGTGGCTCATGCCTGTAATCCTAGCACTTTAGGGGGCCAAGGCGGGTGGATCACTTGAGCTCAGGAGTTCGAGACCAGCCTGGCCAGCGAGGTGAAACCTCATCTCTACAAAAAATACAAAAATTAGCCAGGCATGGTGGTGCGTGCCTGTAGTCCCAGCTACTTGGGAGGCTGAGGTGGGAGGATGGTTTGAGCCAAGGAGGTGGAGGTTGCAGTGAGCTGTGATTGTGCCACTGCATTCCAGCCTGGGCAACAGAGCCAGACCCTGTCTCCAAAAAGTTAAATTTATTTTTTTTAAATGGCAGATCATTCAGAGACCATTTCCATCCAGTTTCGAGAGCCCAGGGGAATGCCAGTCTGTGGGAATGTCAGTGACTGCATCCCATAACCTCGGGGGCACCGTGGGAGACTCCAGGGTCTTCCCGCCGCTCAGCCATGTCTCCACCTGCCAGGTTGCCGTCGAGTATCTTAAGGACTCCAACCTCCTGTTCTTCGGGGGGCTGCTGGTGGCCATCGCGGTGGAACACTGGAACCTGCATAAACGCATCGCCCTCCGTGTCCTCCTCATCGTTGGGGTGCGGCCTGCCCCGTGAGTTCCTCCTGCAAACCAGCACGGGAGAACCTGACGAGGAGATATTCTGGGCACCCAGTCCCTGAAGGGAAGCTGGAACAGCAGTGTGTCTGTCTGCCCATCCCTAGGCTAATCCTGGGCTTCATGCTGGTCACGGCCTTCCTGTCCATGTGGATCAGCAACACGGCCACCTCAGCCATGATGGTGCCCATCGCACATGCCGTCCTGGACCAGCTGCACAGCTCGCAAGCCAGCAGCAACGTCGAGGAGGGCAGCAACAACCCCACCTTCGAGCTCCAGGAACCAAGTCCCCAGAAGGAGGTGACCAAGCTTGGTGAGAAAAATGAGGCTAGACTCTGCCCCAACCCCTTGGTTCTTGGAGAGAGTCTGAGGGTCTGTCCGTTTCGAGGGCTGGTCATCTTGGAGCCTTTGGGGAGAGAAGAAAGAGATGCAAGAAGGACAGTGACCAATTTGTTTTTCCTTTTTTAAAAAATGTCAAGTACCCTGTTTTGGGAATCCCCTCATCCCTGGGCAAACCAAGATGCTTGGTCACCATAGCAAGAAGAGAGCTGGAGTCTAGGTGAACAGTCCAAGGTCTAGGCTCCATTCTTCCTGAGTGGTTTGGGTAATCCTCGTTTCCCTCTCTCAAGAGAGAGGTCAGATCATAGAGTGTCCAAGGGTGCTCCCAGCCTGAGACTCTGGGGAATGCTGGGCCCCTCAGGCCTGGAGACATCCTCTGTCCTCCTTCCAGCCCCGGTCTGGGCTGTTCACAGACAAGGTACCCTGGAGGGCCTTGCAGCCCTGGCCCCGTTCCCCAGAGCTGGCCCTGTACCTGCCCCCACCTGGGCTCTCCCTTGTTCCCAGATAATGGGCAGGCCCTCCCTGTCACGTCTGCCTCTTCGGAGGGGAGGGCACATCTCAGCCAGAAGCATCTCCACCTCACCCAGTGCATGAGCCTGTGCGTGTGCTACTCCGCCAGCATCGGGGGCATCGCCACGCTGACTGGCACCGCACCCAACCTGGTGCTGCAAGGCCAGATCAACTCGTGAGTGACAAGGGGTGGGCCACCTTGGGGGATCTGCACATTCACTGGGAGGTGAATGGGGCTGGGCAGTTCTCGGGGCAATGTCACACGGCAGCCCATGTTCCTCCTTCAGGCTCTTCCCCCAAAACGGCAACGTGGTGAACTTCGCCTCCTGGTTCAGCTTCGCCTTCCCCACCATGGTCATCTTGCTGCTGCTGGCCTGGTTGTGGCTGCAGATCCTCTTCCTGGGCTTCAAGTAAGTGGCAAAGTTGGTGAGAGAAGCCCAGGTCCCTGCCCTTAGCCCTGGGAGCTTCCAGTTGGGTGCAGATGTGGAAAATGATATTATCACCATCCCAATGAGAAGGCTTCTCCCTCCCAAAGCCCCTCTGTGCACTTGGACCCCCATTTGAGGAAATTACTGGGTAGAGAGTATTATCCCATTTCACAGATGCGCAAATTGAGGCTTCAGGAGTGGTTCGCAACTAGATTTGTCAGTGCTGGGGCTGCAAACCAGGTCACTTGATGCCCCTTCCCATAATGGTCCACCGTCCTTTGATAGGTGCTTAAGGGGCACACACTGAGCATGGTTAGTTACAGAAGCACCTGCTGTGTTCCTACTGTATACTGGGTTGTGTGTAAGGCACTGAGAATACTAGAAGGCACTGGGCACAGTCCCTGTCCTTGTAGCCCATCAGGTGGATGATGATATGGTGGGGTCACGACAGAGGGAAGCCCAGATGCTGCAAGAGCACAGAGAACACAGTGTCTAGTTCAGCCCAGGTGAGTGAAGATTCCAGAACACCATGGAGGAGATCATGCCTGGGCTGAATCTTGCAGGACTAGAAGTCAGCCAGGTAGAGAATGGGTGAAGAAATTCCAGGCAGCAGGAGCAGATTGCACAAAGCACAGAGGCAAGACAAGACGTGTTCGAGGGAACTCTAGTTCTGCAGGACTAAAACACAAACAGCAAAAAGGAGCATCAGGTCATGAAGCTGGAGAAGTAGGCAGGGGAAGGTTCTGGAAGCTCTTGTGTGCCACCTAATGAAGCCAAGAGTAATAAATAGATTTCATTCCTACTTCCACCAGGTTCCTGGTAGTCACTGTTTGGAGCTCTGAGTTGGAAAATCATAGGAGACCCTGCTAAGGCTCAGTTAGTATCAAGTCTGTGATTGATTAGTGATGTCTGCCATGAATACGGGATAAGAGTGGTGGTATGAGTGTTACTGTGGTATTAATTATAATTTGCCCTTCCTGCCCAGGCAGTGGAGAGCCCTTGAAAGTTTTTAAGCATTGCTGCTGCACTTTGGAAAAATCACTTGGGCAAATGTAAGGAAGCTGGATTAAGGTTGGGAGCTGGTACAAGGCAAGGTGGTAGTAGAAGAGGTCAGCACAGTGCCAGGCACCACAGGGGAGTCAAAGATGTGTGAAGTGTGGTCTTTGCCCTTGAGGAACTCACAGTCCAGCAGGGAGGTTGAGATTTACCCAAGTGGAAAGTTAAATGTCAACACAAGTTAAGTCAGCAGCAGAAGGAAGTGGGCTGCAGCCTACTGTGCCTCTGAGGACAATGCAGGTGGGGCTCAGGCTGGCAGGGGATAAGCAGAGAAGGCAGAGGAGGGAAGGGAGGACTTCCCGAAGGCTGTTGGAGGAGAAGAGCTGTGAGCCAGGGCAGGAAGAAGTCCCAGGGTCTGAGCTGCTAGGTCCTCCTCACCCTGGGCAAGGGAGGGTTCAGCACCATAGAACCCCTGGAGGAAAAGGGGCTCAATGGGGCAGGGCCAAGCATGGAGAATAAGCAAGAACTATGGCCTCTAAAAGTCTTCTGCTCCTCCTCCAGAACCTCAGGCGGAGCTGGGGCCTGAGTGTAGTGACCCTGAGATGCCCTCTGTGGGCCTCAGCCTTTAGATGGTAGGCACTCAGAGCCCCTTGCTCCCTGCTGGAGCAGGCCCCCCACGAGCTGCCCCGTCCCTCTGCCTGCAGCTTCCGGAAGAACTTTGGCATTGGGGAAAAGATGCAGGAGCAACAGCAGGCAGCCTACTGCGTCATCCAGACCGAGCACAGGCTGCTGGGCCCCATGACCTTTGCAGAAAAGGCCATCAGCATCCTATTCGTCATCCTGGTGCTGCTCTGGTTCACCCGGGAGCCGGGCTTTTTTCTTGGCTGGGGCAATTTGGCTTTTCCCAATGCCAAGGGGGAGAGGTGAGAGTTGCAGGGGTTGGGAGGAGGACACATCTGGGGCTCACATGCTCGGGAAGGAGGGAAGGGTATAGGGCCCCCATTGCAGAACAGGAGGTAACACTTGGTGGGGGATGAAGGTTCCCCAGGCTTGTCTATGGGAGAGGCTCATCTCCACCACCCTCCACCCTGTGGCCCTGAGCAACCCCAAGCGGCTAACCCAGCCCTCCCCGCGCCCCCTCCACCAACAGCATGGTGTCCGATGGGACAGTGGCCATCTTCATCGGCATAATTATGTTCATCATACCCTCCAAGTTCCCAGGGCTGACCCAGGACCCAGGTAAGCACCTGGACTGGGGCAGGGAAGGGTCTCCGGGCAGCCCCTGCCTTCAAGTATGTAATGTACCTTCCACCACACTTGGCAGGAGTAGGCAAAGCCCAGAAAGGCTGGAGCGACTTGCCAAGGGCACAGGGACTCGGAGACAAAGTTGAGATGTTGCAGAACTGAGGGTCCCCTCCTGCACGCGTTAAGCTCCAAAAGGGACCCACACAGGGAGCCCGCAAATGGAGAGGGGAAAGGCCTGTTTGTTCTTTGGTGACCCATCCTTCTCTGCTTGGGAAGTAGAAAACCCAGGGAAGCTGAAGGCCCCTCTTGGCCTCCTCGACTGGAAGACGGTGAACCAGAAGATGCCGTGGAATATCGTGTTATTGCTGGGTGGTGGCTATGCCCTGGCCAAGGGCAGTGAGGTGAGAGGCCCCCAGCCCCCTCCTCAGCCTGTGTGAGGGTGTCTCTGTGGCAGGGAGAGAGGGGGCCCTGCTTCTGTCCCACAGAGGGGAGACCTGGTCCCCACGTAGGAGCCTCTCGGGTAGGCAGAGCCTTTGCAGCAGCTGGGAAGACTTAGGTTAGAGCCCTCATGTGGGAGGAAGAAACACAAGCCCTAGGGACCTCTTTGTTCAGTTCTCAAAGTCCAAGGGAAGGCAGGATTCTCTGGTGGGCAGAGCCTGTTCTCAGAGACAAATGCCATCCCACCCCAGCCCTTTGCCCGCTGCCAGAGCACACAGTAGCATCAGCACCAAAGTAATTGGGGGTTGTGTTGACGCGGTCTGCCCTCCGCAGCCACCAGGGGGCACCATGATCACACCCACCCAGGCTCTGGGGACCAGAACATCTTTCCCCAGAGCCTCCATCCAAAAGAGGGAAATCCCTGACACGGCATCCCTGGGCCTCCGTGTTCTGGCTCAAACAGAAGGTGGCTGCCCAGGTCAGGGATCGGTGCAGGGGACTCCTGGGTCTGTGGCATGTTCATCCACTGACTGTGCCCAGTCCTGTGCTAGGCGCTGGCCCCACTGAGCGAGATTAAGTCCCACCTTACAGCCTGGCATTCCAGACGTGGGAAGGCAAGACCTCGGAGCTCTTCTGACCCTGTGGACTGTCCCTGTCCTCCCATTAGCCTCTTGCAGCCTCTGTCAGGGTCCTCCCCCAACTTTCCCTCCCTGCCAGGAGCAAGGTTCCCTCTGCCCCAAGCCACTGGACTGGAAGGGGCAGGAAGAGGGCTAAGGTTGTCCAGGGACCTCCTGAGAGAGGTCAGGAAGGCAGGAGTCAGTGCGGTCAAAGATTTTTGCTCCCACCAAGCCCCAAATTTCCCAAGAAGGCCCTTTGGCCCCCTCCTAATTTCTCATCTGCCCCTTCTTCCCACACCCAGCTGTTCTTCAAGAGCAGGAAAGGGCACCCCTTGGTCTTAGCTGGGTCCTATCATCCCTTTAGAGCTGTCTTTGACTCTGAATACCAGGGAGATGTTAGCAGGAGCAGGAGCCTCATAGAGCCTCGGCAGAAGACTTGGGGGCCCAGGCAGCCTTGCCTCTCACATGCCATCCTCCTCTGCCCACAGCGATCGGGCCTGTCAGAGTGGCTGGGAAACAAGCTGACCCCACTGCAGAGTGTGCCAGCTCCAGCCATTGCCATCATCCTCTCCCTCCTGGTGGCCACCTTCACCGAGTGCACTAGCAACGTGGCCACCACTACGATCTTCCTGCCCATCCTAGCCTCCATGGTGAGCTGGCCCTCAGAAACACCTCCTCCAGGCAGCCCGCCTGCCTGCCCCACCAGGGGTTCTGCCTGCTGGGCAGAGTATCCTGTCTTTGCACCTCCTCTTTTCCTTTTCCTGAAGAGGACCCCTGAGTTTCCATCCTTCTCCAGGCTCTTGAGCCACCTTGGGCCCCAAGGCGCTTTGGCCCCTGACTCACCCCGTCCCTCATGATGTCACCCCTGGAGTATCCTGATGGGGATCCTGGTGGCCTCACCCACCTCCCCACCCCAGTCCCTGTTCTGGTCATTCCTGAGGTGACGGGGTGAAATTGCTCCCCGAAGCGTCCCAAGCCCCTTCCTCCCCAGGCGTGTTCCTGCAGCCTTTGATGACACCCCCGGAGCCCCTTTGAGATCAGTTTTATGGGCCCCTCCCCTCACCACACCCCACAAGGCAGGGCAGCACACTCATTCCCTCCAGAGAGGTCAAGAGGCCCTTCCAGGTCACCCAGTGCCTTCTGGGAGAAGAGGTGGGCTCATGACCAGAGAGTGTATTAGGGTACAGGGGTTGTTCCCCAGAGAAGCAGGAGAATTGGGGGCCATGCCCCTCCCTCTGGCTTGGGGACCAAGTTCAGCTCTGCGCCACTGCCTCCCACTCCAGGCCCAGGCCATCTGCCTCCACCCTCTCTACGTCATGCTCCCCTGCACTCTGGCCACCTCCCTGGCCTTCATGTTGCCTGTGGCCACCCCGCCCAATGCCATCGTCTTCTCTTTCGGGGACCTCAAAGTGTTGGATATGGTAAGTGGCAGGGAGGCCTGAATGCCTCATCCCTCCTTCCTGCTCTGACTTTTCATCTTAGTGAACCACAAAGCAGCTTAAAGCCACTGAGAGTCTCAGAGTTGAGCGGGTCCTCATCTGGAATGAAGGTGCAGTTGGGGAGGTTGGGACATGACCTCTCAGTGGTGGCATCTTCAGGCCCTGCCAGCCCCAGGCTATGTGAGAGGGAGGGAAGTGGGTGGGGAACATGGGGAAGGCTCCAAGGTGCCAGGCACCCACACTCAGGGAGATGAGCTCAGAGAGAACAAGCCCAGGGCCCTGGAAGCTCAGGAGGAGCGCCCCTTTCCCCTGTTAGCACAGGGAGTAAAGCAAGGGGCAAAGGCATTGGCTATGCTGCAGGTTAGACCAACGGGAGGACTTCCCAGAGAGAATTTTGCTGGTAGGAGGGCTCCTGTGCACCCCCAAACACCTGGGGACTTGGGGGCAGTCCAGCCCAGTCCCTGCTTAGCCAAATGGACTCTCCTCACACCAGGCCCGGGCAGGATTCCTCCTCAACATCATTGGAGTCCTGATCATCGCACTGGCCATCAACAGCTGGGGCATCCCCCTCTTCAGCCTGCACTCTTTCCCCTCCTGGGCACAGTCCAACACCACAGCCCAGTGCCTGCCAAGCCTGGCCAACACCACCACACCAAGCCCCTAGGCTGGGGCACAGCCTGGCCATGCCCAGGAAGACCCACCCCATTCCCACTCCTCTGAGCCCGGAGGGGACACCCCAAGCTCCAAGCTCCAAGCTCCAGGCCAAAGGCTGAAAGGCACGTGTGTACATAATCTCTTGCGTGTCTGTAAGGAAGGGGTGTATGCTCAGTTTCCTATGTGCTGGAATAAAAGGTGTGTGCATGTGTGTGTGCGCATATGTGTGCGCCTGCATGGATGTGAGGGGTGTGTGACGTGAGGCTATCTGAGGGGGGCTGTGTGCATGCACATGATCCTAGGTATGTATGTTGGACAGTGCACACGTGTGTGTTCACAGACAATACAACATGCCCTCTCTGGTGCCCCAGGTCTTGGTATCCCCAGCTTAGTGACCAGACTTACTTGCACTGTATTTATTGAAATTCAGGCTTGGAGTGGCCTGGGAGGAGGGCCTGCCAGCAGCTGCCACGGGAACAGCCTCTGGGCTGTTAAAGTCACATTAAAGTCTTTTTCAGTAAAGTCTGGGATGGTTTTTCATGGCACTCTCCAGGGCTAGTCCCCAATGTGGTTCAGACCCCAGGTTGGGGGAGTCCAGAAGGAGGGGGCCTGGCCTTTGTCCTATATGCAGCCCCCTTGGCACCCCTCCCACCCAGGGGGGAAGGTAATGGCCGGGCATCCCTGCCAAGGCCCATCAGAGTGGGCGCAGCCACCTAGGAGAGCAGCACTGACATCACTGGGCCTGGCTAATTGGGAGCTGCCAGTCCCTGCGTGTCTTTGGGAAAACCAGCTTCCCCGTTCCCAGAGCACTCCCTGGGTATTTACATAAAACCCTCTGCCCCTGCCAATTCCTCATCGACCCTTCCTCCAGCTGGAAAAACCGGTCCCACCAGGCCAGAGAAGGCAGGCTGACCTGTGCTGGGTGCCCAGAGGACCGACCCTCATCCTGCAGCACAGCAACAGGCTGGAAACTGGCATGGCCTTCAGAGTCCAGGACCAGAAAACTTTGGATGATTCCGCCTCCCCCACCCCACCTCCACCCGGCCTCCCCACACTCCCCCACCCCACATCCTCATGGACTCCAGAGTTTTCATTTATCTAGCAAGGTGGGGGTGGGGATGGGGAAGAATGACACCGTATCCATCGTTCCATCTGCGAGCCAAACAGCCCTTCCCTGCTGGAAGTTCATCTTTGTGTTGATGCTAAGTCTCGCCCACTGTGGACAGTGGCGTGTCAGCCTTGAGTTCATCCAGAAGGAAGCTTCCTAGAGTCTCACCCCATCCCCTCCTCCTCCAGTGGGACAGAAAAGAGATATTTCTCATCACCTTCATGCCCAAATGAAAAAGGGGGCTGGGCTGTGAAGAGAGAAAACCAGAAAGGATTTCCTTCTGGATCCCCCTGGGCCGGGCTTTCACTGGGTCCTCCCAGAGCTGGGGGTTGGAAGTGCAGTTAGGAGGGGGCACTGCGTGGGGGAGTACGTGGCTGTCCCCAGGGGACAGGGGGTCCTGACAGGACACGCCAGGCATCCCAGAGAGCCAGGAGTGTCAGGCGGGTGGCTCCAGCCCCACCCTGGTCCCCCAGGCTGGCATTCCTCACTCATGAAGCACAGCCATAAATCACAGCTCCCACTCAGACCCACAGGAGGACCCCCTCCCACCCACCAAAGCCCCAGGCAACAGTCCCCTGCATTGGAAACGGCTGGCCCCAGAATGTTGGGGCTCCCCCAGTGGCCTACCCACAATGCAGTGGCTCCCTAAGGAGCAGCCCAGCTCCATCTGCAAGGAGGACCCTCTGCTGCCACTTCCTTCTGGACCCTGGCTGGGGAAAAGGAGAGTGTGCTTCTCAGGGTGCACATGCCCTGCCCACTGTTCTCGGCACACTTCCCCCTCAGTCCGGCTCAGAGAGGGTCAGGTGTGGACTGAGATCACACAGCAGTCCCAGAAAGTGAGCACCCGGTTGGCCCTGCATTCTCCAGGAAGGAGGTGGACGCCAGCCAGCCTGAGGGTCGACAGTTTGGCTGCGGTGGATGCCCTGGCAGAGCTCTGGGGCCAAGCCTCCCCTAGGTGCTCAGAAAACACCCTCTTTAGCAGGCAGGAGGGTGGACAGGCAGCAGGTGGCACCTGTCGGCCTAATCACCATCATTAACTGGGCAATAAAGCGGCACGGCCTGGGCTAGTCTTTGAAGGAAGGGCCCGCCAGCCAGGTCAGGTTTACACAGGCAGCCCGGCAGCTCGGCTCCACACACACTCCAGGCTGCGGCAGGTAGATGGGCCCTGCTGGGACTGAGTCTGCAGCCTCGCTGCCCAGGCACCCACACCCCATCATTGATGGCTTCTAGGAAGTTAGCAGTGAGCTTTGGGTGTCTCCTACCAGCTGGACTTGTGCGGTGCTGGGACTCAACAACTTCTGCGGTAGTGAGCATCCCATTGCTAAGATCAACAAGTCTGGAAGTGACTTGAGGACAGTCTGCCTGATTCGAGCTGTGTCCCCAGTTCCTCCACAGGGCCTGGCACAGCAAATAGTGCATGAAGGAGGAATGTGTGGGAACTATACGGGAGCTTCTTGCTCCCAGAGGGAAGCTGGACACGCTCCCCTCCAAGCCTCTTTCCAGACTGCCGTGTGTGGAGTGCTGTGTGACTTTGAGAAATATCTTGACCTCTCTGGGCCAATGTCACCTTAAGCTCAGCAGATAGGCCCAGATTTCTGAGCCGACCCATAGTGTTCCCCTGACCCTGTCCCCTGAGGTCCTGGGAGTGTCCCTGTTTCCCTACTCCCTCCTCCTGCCAGCCAGCACCAGCCCTCTATGGCAACCACAGGGCCCAGGGATAGGTGGAGCTTGTTAGGGAGCTTGTGGAGGCAGGAGCAGGGCTGTCCACACCACTCTCTGAGTTCACCTGGACCTGGGCCCCGGCCAAAGTGCGCTCTAGAGGTTAAGGTCATTGGCCCCAGAGTAGGCTCCTTGGGGGCGCAGGCCATGACTTCCTATCTCCTCACAGTCTTGGAGGGGAGGCTGCTTTCTGAAGGAGGGAGGGAAGGGTGGAGGAAGCTAGGGAGTGTTGGGTCAGGGGTCGAGTAGAACTGGGTGGGTGAAGTTCTGGTGGAGTACCAGTCTCCAACCCTGCAGCCTCCACCCCAGTTTGGCAAGGGAAGGGGAAGGGGGTGTGCAGAGGAGAAGGCAAGGAAGGGAACAGAGCAGCCTAGTTGGAAAGAATGTGACGGGGACTCAGAAGAGTGCTCTGAAGGGTGGAAAGACCCACAAATGTGTGTACGTGGAGTCACAGATCCTTGGGTACCCACAGAACCCATAGACACATGCACAGACATGGATACCCGGGAACACACAGTTACACACATTCACACACAAACACTCATGCATACAACATTACAGGCTCTCACAGCCTGAAAGACACACAGGACCACCCCCAGAAACACACACAGACATACACAGCCACAGCCACCTGTACACACACAGTCGCTCAGACGCCTCCGCACCCCGTGTCAGACCTGAGTGTTCTCGCTGCATGTGGCTACCCACATTTAGACACAGATTCTGGCACGGACATACCCAGTAGCACATTACAGCTCCACAGACTTCAGGCGCACCCATGGTGACACGTGAAAGTGAGAACACAAATGTAAATACGTACACACTCATGCAGAGGTACACATGTACTTACACAGACACTGACACCAGTGAAAACACACACACCCCAGCATTGCTTCTCCCACCTCCACAGCAGGAGGGATTAAGACAAGAGGTGAGAAGCCCTCCCCACCCAGCAGGACTCTGTGTTCCTCCCCCACCGACCCCCCCACCAAGCTCTCAGATTGGAAACTCCCTGGATTTCCCAGGGGGTCAGCCAACCAGAACAGGCTCAGACCTCGGCCCAGCTGCCCCGCCACACGCCCTCCACAGCTCTGGGTGCTTCTCCATCAGCCACAGCCAATGAGCTGTCTGCTCTTCCCCAGGAAGCTCACCCTAATTAACCCCAGATCTCCCCACCCCTTCTTTGACATGTGGTCCCTGGGCCTCAGGGCCTCATGGCAGCTTTGCTTGGGCCCTGTTCCTCTGTGGATGTTCTTCAGTGTCTTGCACACCAGTGGAGTGAGACTTGGAAAGCAGCAGGCTCAAATCTTGGGAACTCACTTTGGAAAAGCAAGTCCAGCCTGCATGAGCGGAAGCAGACAGAAGATGGCCAATCCAGATGCAGGGTTCAGGAAGGGGTCCCCCTCCTCCATCACATTGGGGCTCCCAAGGGTGGGCACATGCTCTTCCTTCTTCCTAGCGTCCCTAGGGTCTTTCCCCAGACTGAAGCATAGCAGACATGGGCCCCAGGGATTTCCATCCCCAGCCAGGGCTGTTTTCTGGCCCAAAGCAGCCCAGCCCTGGGCACAGCTCAGCAGCATACAGTGAACTGCTTCTGACCTCCAGTATTCAGAGGGACAGAGCTTTCTCTGGCCCCAGCCTGTCTAAGCATCTAGCTGCAGCTCCTCCAGGCCAGAGCCCAGCTCAGCTCCATCTGAGGACCTGAAATGAGGGTGCTGGAGTGTGTGGGACCAAAACTCCAGACAAAAGTCCTTTCCCAATACTGCAGCAGCTGGAGTTGAGGCTAGACACCAGGACAGACTTTCTGGGCCTAAGAGAGAATTCTGGAGGGCTGGTGTGATGAGAGAAGGAGGGGATGGTCCTATCTAGAGACAGAGGAGAAACACCTCACAAATCCCCTTTCAGTCCAAGGACTGTGGCAATCCCAAGGTTCCTGTTTCAACTCCCAGACTGCATGCAATGAGGAAGTCATGCTTCCCAAAGGAAAGAGGGAGCCAGAGCCAGAGCCTACACCCATTCCTGGGGCAGAGGTGGATCCTGATTTGGAAGAGAAAGAAGTTCATCTCACCCGCCAGAAGCAGTCTCACTGTGGGAGGTGATAACTACAGTCTCTCCTGGGCATCCCATCAGGGCCTCCCTGAGACCCTTGGCCCCTGAATTAATTTGCATTTTCTTGATTTTTAATGAAGTTGAAAATCGTTTCACTTGTGTCTTGGCCGTTTGTATTTTACCTGTGAATTGCTTGTGTCCTTTGCCCATTTTTCTGTGAAATCATCTTTTTATTTATTTAGAGGAGCTCCTTATATATTGTGGCTATTAACTCTCTATCTGTTACATATGTTTCAACACTTTCTTCCAGGCTATGTTATGTCTTTTAACTTTGTTCATGTTACATTTTGCTCTAAAGAAATTTACAGTTTTTATTTAGTCAAATCTGTCAATGTATTCCTTTATGGCTTCTGCATTTGATGTCATGTTTAAAAATGCCTTTCTCCACTCCATAATCATAAAAATATTTCCTATATTTTTTCTATTTGTTTGTATGATTTTCATTTTTACATTAGATTGTTAATCCATCTAGATTTTTTAATGTACAGTGTGAAGTAGGATTTAACTTTATTTCTTTCCAATGGAAAGTTCATTGCCCCAACTCCATTTATTAAATTTTTTACTTGCTACTTTAAAATACTTTACAGTCCAGATGTCGTGGCTCAAGCTTATAATACCAGTGCTTTGGGAGTTTGAGACCAGCCTGGGCAACAGAGCAACACCCCATCTCTACAAAAAAAAATTCTTTTTTAACTAACTGAGCATGGTATAACTGTAGTCCCAGCTACTGGGGAGGCTGAAGTGAGAGGATCACTTGAGTCCAGGAGGTGGAGGCTGCAGTGAGCTATGATCTTGCCACTGCACTCCAGCCTGGGCAACAGAGCGAGACCCTGTCTCAGAAAAATAAAGTAAAATACCCTACTATTATATATCTATTTTAAAATACCTTGTTATCATATTCCCATTTCTCACAAATATCCAAGTTTATTCTGGACTCTATTATCTTCCATTAATTTATTTATTTCTGTATCAAAGTTGCAGCTTTAATTATGGAAGCCTTATTGAACATTTTGAAAACTGGCAGGGAAAGTTACCTCTGTTAGTCTTCTTTCTCAAAAAGCTCCAAGCTATTCTCATGTATTTACCCTTCCCCCAAACTATAGAATCAACTCGTCAAGTTTAGGGGGCAAAAAATCCTTTAGACTTTTGATTTGAATTACATTCAGCTTCTATTTAGAGGAGAACTGACATCCTTACAATATTATATTCAGCCTTCCTGTTGTTGCTGTTTTAGAGACAGGGTCTCTCGCCTTGTAGCCCAGGCTGGTGTCAAAACTCCTGGGATCAGGCGATCCTCTCACCTCCCGAAGTGCTGGGATTACAGGCATGAGCTACCATGCCTAGCCTTTTTTTTCTTTTTTACTTTTTTTTTTTTTTTTCAGCCTTCCAGTTCAGTAACATGATATGCCCTTATTTTTTATTCAGGTCTTATTTTATGTCTGTCAGTAAAAATGTATTGTTTTCTTCATGTAGATTTCATGCATTTCTTATTAAGTTTATTCCTGGATATTTTGTATTGTTATTTTTGTGAGCTAAATCTTTTTGTCTCCTTTTTTTTCTTTCTTTTTTTTTTTTTTTTTTTTTTTTGAGACAGGGTCTCACTCTGTCCCCCAAGCTAGAATGCAGTGGCTCACCGAAACCTCTCGGCTCACTGCAACCTCTGAATCACTGGCTCAAGCAATCCTCCCACCTTAGCCTCCCAAGTAGCTGGGACTACAGGCGCGTGCCACCCCACCCAGTTAATTTCTGTATTATTCGTAGAGACAGGGTGTTGCCATGTTGCCCAGGTTGGTCTTGAACTCCTGAGCTTAAGAGATCCACCCGCCTCAGCCTCCCAAATTGCTGAGGTGTGAACCACCGTGCCCAGCTATCTCCTATTTTAATTGGTTGTTTTAGCTGTATAGAAATGGTTTTGATTTTTATACATTGATATATTCTGCTATCTTACTTCATTCTCTCATTTGTTGTAATAGTATTTTAGTCGATTCTCTTCGATTTCCTAAATAAGCACAACATTTGTAATTCTTGAAGGTTTTGCATCCTTCCTTCTTATATTAATGCCTTATTTCTTTCTCTTATTGTACTGGTTGGGGCTTTCAGAATAATGTTCATTGATAACAACCATGGCAGCCTTCAACTTACAACTTTTGTGGTTTTCTGTGCCCAGAGTATCCATACAGAAATATCTGTGAGTCTAGAAATAACAATTAGCTCTGTGTACATCAGATAGAAGCAGTTAGCAAACACCCAGGTCTTGATAGCTGCCCTTTCACTGTGAAACTCCGTAGACTATTAGGGTTAAGGGAGCAGAGCTTTGACTGCTACTGTGAGTCCCAGAGAAAGGTGGATTGAGTCAGGGCCCCTCTCCTAACCCCAGAACACAATTCTTATACTGGAGTGGGCATGCCAGCACGTCCTCATTTCTTTCCCAGCACCACTGGCCTTGGTGAAGAGAAAGGAGCCACTTGTTTACTGAGCATCTACTATATACAAGGGGTTGTGCTGAGAACTTTAGACATATAAATTTATTTAATCCTCACAACCACCCTGTGGGTGAGTATTACTCCCTTGTTAACAAATGAGGAAACTGAGGCTCAGAGTGGGGAGTATGGAAGATCACACAGCTAACCATCACTTACAAATGGGTTCATTGCTGTCTGCCCCTGCATCCTCTTTTCTGAAATGGATATTTAGTACAGAACATTTTCCGCCTCCACTAAGAACTCTCTAAATGTTTTAGCATGCTCCACACTTGTGCCAGATGACCACCACTGTGCCCCGGCCAGGGTTGATATTACCTCTCTCCTTGGAATGAGATAGTCACTGGGGAAGAGCTGACTTGTCCATACCCTCAGGCCAGAAGCCAAATCCCAGAACTTGCTGGGCAGCAGTGCTGGTACTAGGTCCTTAGAGCCTTTAGCTCCAGGAAGAGACACAAGTGGGCTTAGAGGCCAGTGCAAGGGTCAGGGAGATGGAGGAGGGAAAGAATGACCAGGGACAGGAGACAAGGGGATGGAGGGCAAAGAAGATGAAAAGGAAGCAGAGAGAAGGAGGTGAGGACAGGGTCTGGGGGAACAGCAGAGAAAGCTGTCAGGGAGCAGGGACAGGCTCCAGGCCTGAGTCCAGCTGGGACCAGGGAAGCCAATTCCTAGGGCTTCACCCTCAACATGAACTCTAAGGGGCCAGAGACCAGGGCAACAGCCACTCAGGTTTCTGTTTCTATCCTCCAAATAATGAAGAGTAGCCTGGGATGAAGACACAGAACCAGGGAGCCCCCATCTCCACCCCCACAGACACCCACATGCTCACACAGGACTAGGTTGCTGACCCACAGCAGAGACGTGTGCACAGACATGAGCATGTCAACACACGGACGACACACGGGCCTGGGTCCGGGGACACAGAGACACAGACACAGGGGAAGACATGCAGACACACGCCCACCCAGGAGACAGATGTACAGACCCAGGGAGAGATGCAGACAGACTCGCATGTATCTGCCCCTGAGGGAGAGGGAGATGGGAGTCACCAGCACATGCTCCAGTGGGTGCACACGCCCCCACCCACAAGGAGACACCCTCGAGGTGCTGCGGGAGCTGTGGAGAGACAGACAGATGGCCGGCCCCATGGACAGACAGTTCCCAGCAAATCTGTGCTAATGCTTGGCCCTTGAAGGGCCCAACCTGTCCATGCCGTGCCTCAGAGAACCCTGGGCTGCCACCCAGCGCTGTTCCCCAGAACCTCATGAGTGGGCTCCATGAGCATACATGTGGCGGCCAGGCTCTCCTGACACACGTGCATGCTCCAACAGGCCTGTGCCCCACCTGTGGGTGGGGGGGCGACATCTCCCTTCTGGAGTGCAGGCGGGGGCCACGGGACAACCCCCTCCTCTACAAGCCACAGGCTGTGCGCACTGGCAGGGACAGGGGAGGGGGCCTGGGCTAGCTCAGGAGGAGGGAGGGGTTGGGGGGCCAGGGTGCGGCTGGGGCGGGCACGGGAGCCGGTACCTGTCAAACAAGAGCCAAGGAGCAAACTAGCTTCTTAGTCACCTTTCTCTTCTCCCCGTTTTGGCGCAGCCCCTCCGGGCAAGGGGAAGCTGATATCATAATTATTGGCTCACCTGGCAGCTGCCTCCCCTCACCTGATGTCAGCACAGACACAGGACGGCCGAGCTGACGGACTGACAGACGGACAGAGCTCCTGGCCCCCCAGACCCGGGCCCCCACGCCGACCTGCTTCACTGAGCAGGTAAGAGGAGCCCCGGCCCAAGTCAGCCGTGGAGGCCAGCAGGGCCGGGCTGGGGCACGGGGAGGGCGTTCGCCTTTTTAACGGGGCTCAGGAGTGACGGGGAGCACCCAGGTTCTCACTGCAGCTCAAGGGAGACTCAGAATTCGGGTGAGTGCCTGGAGGCCAAGGGGCACCCCTTCCCCCACCTCCCCCTCCAGTTCCTTTTCTAGGTTGTCCAACTTTAATCCCTCTTGCTGTGGTGTGGGTCTCATTCTGGTGTGTGCTGGATTTTGTGTGTGTCTCTGTGTGTTGGAGATGCGCTCACCCACCCTGTGCTGGGAGGAAATGAGGACTCAAAAGTGTTAGATCTGGAAAACTAGAGCTGAAAGGCAGGGGGCCAAGTTCTCCATGTAGTGGTTTTCCAGGTGAAGAAGGGAGAGCCCAGCTCTGGGAGCTGGGGAGCACCAAGGGTGTGTGCAGATCAAGGAATTGCTCAACATCTCCACGCAGCCTGGGCTGGGGTCTAGATGCCTGGGCCCATGCAGAGGCCTGGGTTGCAGAAAGGAGATGGTGCACCTTGTGGCGAAGCAGACAGGTGGCAAACAGGTGCTGTGGCCATGAGTTGATGCTGGGCTTAGGGCAGAGTCGCCTCCTATCCCCAGCTCCATTTCTCTCCCGCAAGACCCCTAAGGCAGAGTCCTGGTGAGCAGAGCTGGGCCAGGCAGGGAGCCCTGAGGCCTTTGGGGCCTAGAGTTGGGGGCGTGGGAAGTGAAGGCCCTTAGGGAAGTGGCCGAAGCAGCAGGAAGCCCCTGCCAGCTCCCCCGACTCCTCCCCACCCACTACCCGCTCAGATAAGGTTCTGGCATTCCCCGTGGAGTCCCCCAGGCCCTCCCTAAATATCCAAAGAAGCCCGTTGGATGAAGAGTAGACTCTAGCAAGTGGGCGTGTTTGCCTCTTCTCTCGGCACCTACAGGCATGGGGGATATGTCTGGATGTGCTTTGTGGCAATGCACAACTGGTCAGTGGGAAGGGACCCGGGCGGAGGGGCTCATCTTGGGAAGTCATCCTATCCATCCCCTGCCCCTATGCCAGTCATTGCCCACATCGGGCAGGGCTGCCCCTCCTAGTTTTCCTAATCCCTGAAGGAGAAAATCTGGTCAGTTTCCTCACAATCATGAAGTCCTTCCTGGAGCCTCTCTGAAGTCTTTACTGCTGCAGGGTCCAGCTCTGCTTGCCCGGTAGCCTTCTTCCTCCCGCACTGAGGAACACTAGTTCCTCGGATCCGAGGGCGGCGTTGCACTGCAGTCCTGTCCCCACCGGGCTTGGCTCAGAACCTTTTACCATCTTGCTCATTCCCTGACCACAAGACACAGGCAGTACAAGGGCACCCCGAGTGGATGGGGGAAGGGGCAGGGCCTCCTATCCTGGTCCCTTTCTCTTGTGGCTCTGTGAGGGGTCCAGGGTGAGCCAGGCAGGGACAGAGCCAGGCTGAGTCCTGGAGAGGGGCAGACGGGGTGAGGGCTGCCCCAGGTTGGGGATCCTCAAAGGCGAAGGAGCCACAGGGAGAGGCGCATGTCCTCCCGGCTCCCCGCCCAGCCCCGCCCCGCCCGCGCTGCCTGTGCGAGCTCAGCTCCCGGCTCCAGGGCCTGCCGAGGCACGCTGCACCCCCAGGCCCGGCGCCTCACTCACTCCCAGAGCCAGAAACCTGTTCTCCCGGGAATGCCAGGGAGTTCTCAGAGGACTTTATTTCCCAGGGGCTCAGGGAGCCCCAGAATCTTCTGGACCAGTGGGTCCTGGGAAACTAGAGAAAAATTAGGGGGCTTAGGACCCCTCCCTGCTCCCCAGCTTTGTCTCATCCACGCACTGACGCCACATTGCCTCCAACCAACAGCCGTCTTCACCGTGAGAAGGCTTCATCGCGAGAAGGCTTAGGAAAGTTAAAGACAAGGGGGAAAGCCCACTGGTGACATGCACCTTCTGTCATGTGCCATCCGTTGCCTCAGGGAAAGCCTTCCTTTCCCCCCATCCCCCAGACAGTCCCATCTGGCCTCTAAGAAAGCAACATATCGCCTCTTTCCTTGGACTCTTCACCTTCTCTAGCTAGGAAGTCCTTCCTGATGTCTAACCTCTCCCTTTCTGGCTTGAGTTGACACCTGGTCTTCATGGACCAGCAGAACCCCCATTGCCTGCACAGGGCCCAGGCACATAGGCAGAGACTGTTCTAAGTCACAATGAAATGCCCTGGTTGCTTGGGCGCTGGCAGGGACAGAAAGGCCCCACTCTCGCTGCGCCTCTTATTCTCTCTGACTCCACATTCTGACGAAGTTGCGGTCCACTTCTGCCTGCCTCCCCATCTGCCCATAACAAAAGGATGGAGGGGACCGAGGTCCTGCAGGTATGCCCTCCCCTCTGTCCTTCCAAATCACAGCCTGCCATCCCTGCTGTGGCTGGCAGAGGGGAGTTCAGGAAACCAGGATTGGCTTCTGCAGCAGGAGTGACTGACAGAGTTCAGAGAAAGTTCTCAGCATTTTAGGTTGAGTTTGACTGGACTATGTGACCACAGGAGGTGGTTTCCTGAGTGGAGAGGCAACCATTGATCTGGGGTGGGTGGGGTTGGGCTGGCAACATGCCCAGGAGCTGGGGAAGGATGAGAGGACCTCCAGGAGCTGGGGAAAGACAAGATGACCTCTGGGAGAGGGCCTCCCAGAAGCACGAACCACATGGTTCCAGAATACATTGGGTCTTTCCAGCTTATTCATCTCCATCCCCTGCCCCTCCCTCCCTCTCTGTGCCCAACTCCAACCTCATCCCTGACCCTTCCACCCGTCTCTGTCTCTTTCCCCATCATAACCTATCTCCATTCCCACCTTCAATCCCGCCCAGCCCCCTTCCTACTCATCCCCGTCCCCAAACTTGCCTCCATCACCACCACCCCATCCTGCTCCTTCCTCCTTACCTCATCTCCTCACTCCCACCTCCAACCACACTCCTATCCCCATCTCCACCTCCTGCTCCATTCCTCAGGATGGATCTCCTCCTATGTCACAGGTTCCCTTGGAGTCTAACACCCCTCACCAGCATCCCCGCCAGGTTCTGGGGTGTCCCCCAGGTTGTCTGAGCATTGAGGAAAAGCCCAGAGCCATGCCAATAGACAAAACGAGCAGGACAAGATCATCCCTGGAGCAGCCCTTAGCTTCCTCATCCTATCTGGGCCGTAAAGGCTGGATGCTCACCAAACAGTAAAAATGAGTTCAGATGCAACAAGACAAGTGGAGGGCTGGCGCCCAGACAGACCTCCACACTGCGGGCATGTGGCAGTGAAGCGGGGATGGAGAGACACCCTCATAGAGCCCCAAAGCGGGGCCGGGGCAGGCTTTCTCAGGGGGCTGGGAGCGTAACTGATCCTATCAGGCATGGCGGGCCAAGGAAGAGGGGGCATGGAAGCAGGAGCAGGGATTTTTAGGGTTGATTAGGAGTGCGCATCCCCGGGTCTCTACCCTGCCTGTGGCCCTTGCTTAGTCAGCTCAGATTAATGGGGCCAGGGAGAGAATTCGCTGAATCGTGATCTCTTGGGGAACTTGACTGGAGAGCCAGCTGTGAGTCATGGAGAAAAGGGAACCTGTGCTCTCACAGCTACTCTAGAAGCTTCCAGGGGTAGGCAACCCTCCAGATCCTCCCATCCCCTTCCAGAATGCAACAGAAAGCCCACTGCAAGGTCTGACCCTCGCCCTCCACCCCATGCTCACAGGAGGATGCACTGTCAGTCAGCTCCAAATCCTGCCCTCATACACCCTCCGGGGCCTTCAGGGCTCCCCCCACTGCCTCTGACAAACTACAGCACAGAGACACACATACACACAGAGACACACACACACAGAGACACACACCCAGACACATGCACAGAGATACATACATGCACACACGCATACATATATACATACAGAGAGACACACACAGAGACACACACAGACACACGCGCACGCACACACACAGAATGAGAATGGGGTGCATCCCTGGAACCAGATTGCCTGGAGACAGTTGGAGGTCCCACTTACACTTGTAAATTCCATAGCCATGTCCCGGACTGCACCAGCCCATCAGTCTCGGAAGGCATAGAATGTACATGAGGAAGGACACACACACACACGCACACACACGCACACACACACACACACACACACACACACACACATCGCTGTGATCAGAAAACCCAATTATCAGACTCTGCACTTAGCACCCCTCCTCCACGCAGGCCCAGAGTGACCACAGCAGTCTTCACTGTCAGTGGGGGCAGTGTCCCCAGCTTCCTCTGGAGAGGGTTCCTGGAGCCCACGTTGGGCACCAAGAGCATGTGGCTTCATAGAGGTGGCTCTGCTTCTCTGTGCCTTCCCGCAAGCGTGGTCAATCTGCCTAAAGTGGGAAGGGTTTTGGAGAAAAAATTATTTGGGGTGGCAATGCCAAATCCAGTATGATCTGAGGGTGGTCAAGGGAGAAAGATGGCAGCTGGAGCCAAGGAGCTGGATGGGCTCAGGAAAATGCCCCCAGAGCCTGCCCCTTCTCCAGGGACATGATTAGGTGCTGAGAGCTGCTTCCCATAGCCCCAGCACCTGGAGGAAGGAGCAGCGCACAGATGCCTGCATAGCAGGGAACAATCTCTCCCACTGGTGGGACCTCGGTTTCCCCATCTGTCAGATAAAGAGGGGCTTGGGTGGGAGGGCCTCCCAGTGCACTTCTCACTTCAAGGCTTAGTAAGTTCAAGGAGATAACCACCTGCCCATCCCCTGTGCAAGATGGCATTGGGAGAGGAGGTGCACCAGTATGTATTTGCCTTGTACTAAATCTGTATTATTAGTAGTGGTGGCAGAATTAATATCCTTAATAATAGATTGGTATTAATGAGCAGTTCTGATAATGATATGTACAGAATGTGAGAGGCCCCTGGCCCAACGGACAGTGGGATCCTGGGCCATTTCTTTGCCCCCACTCAGGTGGACAGGCAAAGAGCGAGCGCACCAGCAGGACGAGGGCCCTCTTGACCATCCCCCTGGGGCACACCCCTAGGAAGGGCAGATGTTTGAAGGTAAAAAGATCTCACTCAGCCCCATCCCACTCCTGAAATCCTACAGGCCTGGGACCCCAGGGGAGGAGGCAGGGGCACCAGACAAGCTGGTGCTGGTTTAACTTCTGAGGATTTTGACATTCTGGTTCTCACTCGGTCCCCAGGACAGCCAGATGAGGTATGTAGGGCAAAGATGAGGACTCCATTTTATAAAGGAGGGAACAAGGTTTATTCTCATGACTAGCCCACACCGAGAGCAGAGCTGGGAAAGGACCCTCCTGCAGTCCTTGGTCGGGAGGACTCACTGTGAGGGAAAAGGGGGATTCTGTAGGGAAGCCAGGATCTGGGCTCAGTGAAGGCGTCCAGAGATTATAACGCCAGGTTACGGGGGAGGTGAGACCAAGCTCCAACATCCCTGTTGGTCTCACAGATCAAATCCTCTGCTGCCAATCACTGCCACAGCCCAACAACTCCAAAGCCAATTACCTACACAGCCCACAGGAGGCTGGGGGTGGGACCATCGGGCTCAGCCCTGGGTGACTTCATTACAGGGGTAGGACTTCCGGGCCACAGGGACCCAGAGCTAATGAGTGCTTAGAGGTCAGCCACTTCATCCCATACCCCAGCCCATTTCTCCATCCCCTTCAGCCAGTGTAGCTGGAGGAAGCTTGTTGAGGAGGGATGAAGGCAAGGCTTCACAATCTGTGCAAAAGCCTCCTGGTCCTTCACTCATGCCCCACCTCATCAGCCATTCTTTGGCCCTTATCACAGCTGGGCAGACTGAGGATTTCAGGGAACTTTCTTCTCTAGAAACCAATGTCTAAGGCCTCAGATCACTGCTTTCTGAACACTGCCCCCTGGAAGGATCAAGCAGGCAACAAGTTCCTCCTTCTCAAAAGTCCAGCTTTCCAGTCAAGCCCTGAGTGGTTCTAGGCCACCTTGTCCACCTCCAAGTCCTAGGTCAGGCCAGTTCTCACCATCAGACTCAGCCATGGCTTCAAAAAATCCCTGGGAATAGGTGAGCACCGTGGCATGCACTTTTAGTCTCATATACTCCAGAGGCTGAGGCGAGAGCCTAGGAGTTTGAGACCAGCCTGGGCAACAAAGCAAGACCCCATCTCTAGAACCTGGGGAAGGTGGAGGTGGGAGAACCTTCTCCTTAAACTGCCTGTCCAAGGGGGTTTTATGTTTTTGGAACTGGGAATTCCCCTCCCCCACTAACCTTGGCGGGGCAAGCTTGCTGACCTTGCTTCTGGGAGCAAGATGTTGGGGTAGGCTCCCAGCCTCAGAGCCTGGACTCCAGAGTAGCCAGGGAGGCAGGAGGGTGGAGGAGGCAGACCATGAATGACACCCACAAGTAAGAGCAAAAGATCCCTGGAGGCCGAGGATGCTTAGGTGGGAGGTCTCTGTCAAGGAGCATCTAAGGAGTAGGAAGAACCCAGTAGGGCTGATCTCTCAGACTAGCAGAGGAGAGAAGGGGTCCTAGTAGGTATGTCTCAGAAAGGAATGGATGGAAGCTTTGAGGGGTAGCATTTCTTGTTTCCTTGAAACCAAACACCCCTTTCTTTCCATCTACAAAATAAACATCCCCAGCTTGGCCAACATGGCAAAACCCCATCTCTGCTAAAAATACAAAAGTTAACCAGACTTGGTGCTGCCCGCCTGTAATCCCAGCTTCTTGGGAGGCTGAGGCAGGAGAATCGCTTGAACCCAGGAGGTGGAGGTTGCAGTGAGCCAAGATTGCACCACTGCACTCCACCCTGGGTGACAGAGTGAGACTTTGTCTCAAACAAACAAACAAAAAAAACCAGAATAAACATTCACGGGTAGGTCAAGGACATCCATCCATCTATCCCACTAAATATTCATCCTTTACACTACAGATACTCACAGAAATAAAAATACTTAAAATAAAAAAATAAAACATTCATCTATCTGTCTGTTGATTTGTCCATCTGTCCAGCTTTCCATCCATCAATCTCTCCATCCGATGATCTGTCCATTCATCCAACTGTTCATCTTTACATACATAAATACATCTATCTATCCACCCATCCATCCAGAGAGGTCAGGCTCTAGTTGGCCTCCCCAGGGCTGCTAGGAAGGGCCTGTGGTCCTGTGGCATTTATGGGGCATGTGACCTGCCTGCCTGGCCTGGGGAGACAGCCCCGCCTCAGCCCTCGGGCAGGGGGCCGGTCCAGGCATGTGGGAGTATTTATACCTCGATGGAGGCTCCTGGGGAGCTGCAGGCTGAATGACTCCCCGAAGCGGTGATGGTGGCCATGACCCAGAGCCCACTGTGAGTGCTTGGATTTGGCTCCTTTGGGGCCATGGCTGGGTGGCAGAGGTTAGAGAGGGGCTGGAGAGACGGGAAGGTGCCCAGAGGCAGCCAGGGATGGCGAAAAGGAAGGGGTGCTGGGCAAAGGAGAGTGGGAGACTGGTTGCTGTTGGAGTCAGGCATCTGAAGCAAAGCTGGGACCCTCCCTGCAGAAGGGATGAGTCTATTGCCCTTAAAGAGGCTCTGGTGGGTGGCTTGGTGAATGGCAGGAAGGACAGGACAAGAGGACTAAGATTACAATAAATAGGGATTAGAGATCTGGAAGAACCTCCAGGTCGGCCCAAGGCTCAAGTGCTTTTCCAGGATGGGCGTACTAGGCAATGCTCTGGGACCAGCCTGCTTCCAGAGGCACATGGGAATGCTGAAGAGTCTTTAGGAGAAGCCTGATTTGGGGACTGGAATGACTCAGCTGCAGGTGTCGGTGGCTCACATGGAGGAAAGCGTCACCTGGGGGACATGGTGGCTTTTCATCCTTTGTTCTCCCCACTCCCCTCCCTGCCCATTCTGTCCCTACCTGCTCTGTACTTGAGTCAGATCTCAAGGCAGGGGCACGCAACCCATTTTCCGAAACTGATGCTGGGTTAAGAGCCAGGGAGGCCAGAATTTTGCCCTCAGAACTTCCAACATTGATGGGGAGAAAGGAGCTAGAAACCCCCTCTTTCTTGGCATTCCCAGACCCCGAGTTTCCTTGGGTGCCCAAGCCTCAGGCAGAGCCCCCAGGTCCTTCCCTGCCACCCCCATAATTGCCGAGCTGCTCCAGGGGACCCCTCCCAGCAGCCTGTCGGGTGGAGCCCTGGGTGGGGCTACAGGCCAGCACCCGGCCGGCCGAGCCCCACCCCTCGTAAAACATGCTGCCGCAGCCAGCAACAGAAACCATTAAGGTGGAACTGAGCCGTCCCCACCTCACTCATAAAGAGTGGGTAGGAGGCCGCCAGGTGGGAGGCAGCAGGGAGCGTGAAGAGAGCCTGGGGAGGACCCTTGGTGCCCCAGGCCTGTCTGTCCCTGTGATTCAGTTGCCCACAGGGGAGGCAGGGACAGACCCTCCCAAGGAAACCTCCAACGTCGCCCCCACCCACCTTTCAGGCTTGAGCAGGGAGGCTGAGGCGTTACCAAGGTGGGGCCGTGTAGCGTAATGGTTCAGCATGCTGGCTTTGAAGCCCGGGTTGGAATCCTGGGGAGCATAATATACTAGCTGAGTGAACTTGGGCAAGTCAGGTTAACTTCTCTGAGTCTCAGTTTCCTCATCTATAAAATGGGATGATAATACAGCTCCTCCTTCCTGGGGTGTAAAAACTCAGCCAAGTCTTCCTGATCTCCTTGAGGATGTCCTCAGGGGCGCCCCACATAAAGGCAGAGGAGGGGTGAGGTCCCTGCTGACAGCTCTGTGGGCCAGATACACCTTTACAGGGTACATATCTCCACAGGGTACACACCTCTATGAGGTACACACCTCCACAGGGTACACACTTCCACAGGGTACATACCTCCAAAGAGTACAGAGTACATACCTCCACAGGGTACACACCTCCACAGAGTACACCCCTTCATAGGTGTACACATCTCCACAGGGTACACCCTCCACAGGTGTGCACATTTCCAAAGGTGTATACACTTCCACAGGTGAACATACCTCCACAGGTGAACACACTTCCACAGGGTACATACTTCCATAGGTGAACATACTTCCACAAGTGTACACCCCTTCACAGAGGTACACCCCTCCATGTGGTACATGCTTCTACAGGGTACACACTTCCACAGATGAACATACCTCCACAGGCTACACATCTCCACAGGTGTACACCCCTCCAAAAGTATAGACTTCCACAGGTGTACACACCTCCACAGGGTATACAGTTCCATTGGTGAATATACCTCCACAGGTGTACACTCCTCAACAGGTATACACCCCTCCACAAGTATACACACTTTCACAGGAGTACACCCCTCCACAGTGTACATACCTCCAAAGGTGAACACCATTCCCCAGGTGTATACACCTCCACAGATATACATACCTTCACAGGCGTACACACCTCCACAGGGTACACACTTCCACAGGTGAACATATCTCTACAGTGTCCATACCTTCACAGGGTACACATTTCCACAGGTATACCCTCCTCAACAGGTGTACACCCCTCCACAAGTATACACATTTCCACAGGGGTACACACCTCCAGAGGATCCATACTTCCACAGGGTATACAACTCCACAGGATCCATAACTCCACAGGATACACACCTCCACAGGATCCATACCTCCACAGGGTACACATCTCCACAGGGTACACACCTCCACAGGATCCTTACATCCACAGGGTACACATCTCCACAGGATCCATACCTCCACAGGGTACACACCTCCACAGGGTACACACCTCCACAGGATCCATAGCTCCAAAGGGTACACATCTCCAGAGGATACACATCTCCACAGAATCCATACCTCCACAGGGTACACACCTCTACAGGGTACACACTGCCACAGGATCCACACCTCCACAAGGTACACACCTCCACAGGTTACACACCTCCACAGGATCCATACCTCCATAGGGTACACACCTCCACAGGATCCATACCATCACGGGGTACATGCCTCCACAGAGTACATACCTCCACAGGATCCACACCTCCACAGGGTACACACTTCCACAGAGTACACACCTCCACAGGATCCATACCGCCACAGAGTACACACCTCCACAGGGTACACACCTCCGCAGGATACACACCTCCACAGGGTACACACCTCCACAGGATCCATACCTCCATAGGGTACACACCTCCGCAGGATCCATACCTCCACAGGGTACACACCTCCACTGGGTACACACCTCCACAGGATCCATACCATCACGGGGTACACGCCTCCACAGAATACATACCTCCACAGGATCCACACCTCCACAGGGTACACACTTCCACAGGGTACACACCTCCACAGGATCCATACCTCAAAAGGGTACACATCTCCACAGGGTACACACCTCCACAGGATACACACCTCCACAGGGTACACACCTCCACAGGGTACACAACTCCACTGGGTACACACCTCCACAGGATCCATACCTCCACAAGGACACACCTCCACAGGGTACACACCTCCACAGGATCCATACCTCCATAGGGTACACACCTCCGCAGGATCCATACCTCCACAGGGTACACACCTCCACAGGATCCATACCATCACAGGGTACACGCCTCCACAGAGTACATACCTCCACAGGATCCACACCTCCACAGGGTACACACTTCCACAGGGTACACACCTCCACAGGATCCATACCTCAAAAGGGTACACATCTCCACAGGGTACACACCTCCACAGGATCCACACCTCCACAGGGTACACACCTCCACAGGATACACACCTCCACAGGGTACACACCTCCACTGGGTACACACCTCCACAGGATCCATACCTCCACAGGGACACACCTCCACAGGGTACACACCTCCACAGGGTACATGCCTCCACAAGATACACACCTCCACAGGGACACACCTCCACAGGGTACAGGGTACACACCTCCACAGGGCAGACACCTCCACAGGATCCATAGTTCCATAGGGTACACACCTCCACAGGATCCATACCTCCACAGGGTACACACCTCCACAGGGTACACACCTCCATAGGGTACACACCTCCATAGGGTACTCAACTCCACAGGGTACACACCTCCACAGGGTACATACCTCCACAGGGTACATGCCTGCACAGGGTACACACCTCCACAGGATCCATACCTCCACAGGGTACACACCTCCACAGGATCCATACCTCCACAGGGTACACACCTCCACAGGGTACAGACCTCCACAGGGTACACACCTCCACAGGATCCATACCTCCACAGGGTACACACCTCCACAGGGTACAGACCTCCATAGGGTACACACCTCCACAGGGTACATGCCTGCACTGGGTACACACCTCCACAGGATCCATACCTCCACAGGGTACACACCTCCACAGGATACACACCTCCACAGGGTACACACCTCCACAGGATACACACCTCCACAGGATCCATACCTCCACAGGGTACACACCTCCACAGGATCCATACCTCCACAGGGTACACACCTCCACAGGGTACAGACCTCCATAGGGTACACACCTCCACAGGGTACATGCCTCCACTGGGTACACACCTCCACAGGATCCATACCTCCACAGGGTACACACCTCCACAGGATACACACCTCCACAGGGTACACACCTCCACAGGATACACACCTCCACAGGATCCATACCTCCACAGGGTACACACCTCCACAGGGTACACACCTCCATAGGGTACACACCTCCACATGGTACACACCTTCATAGGATCCATACCTCCATAGGGTACACACATCCACAGGGTACACACCTCCGCAGGGTACACTCCTCCACCAGGTACACACCTCCACAGGATTAGCCTCAGCATCTTTAGATGCAAATGGTCCCAGGGCCTCGTTTGACTTATAGAGGAACTGAAGTACAGAAAGGGGAAGTGAGTTATCCAACATCACACAGCCAGCACAATGTCTCCTGGCTTCCACTCCTAAACGGCCCCCTCTGCCTGAGTCCTAAGGAGCCAAGAGAAGGCTCTCTGAGAGGTGGGGAGATGTTGATGGGTAGAGCGGGCGCAGGCCGGCTGTTTGTGAGAAGGGCACAGAGCAGGAATGCAGTAATGATGACTGTTGATCCTTGATGATTATTGATCCTGTTGTCAGCCTTTCTGGGAAATTTCTCACTCGTCATCCCCTCTACTCAAGTCAAAGGGCCGTTTCTTTCTTCTCTCTGATGCCAGGGCAGATCAAGTCCACCTCTTCCATCCCCGCTCCCCAAGGATCATGGCAGGCGGAAGGTGGCCAGAATGCCCAGACGCTGAAAAGGTCTTTGGTCAAGGTTTTGCCAGGGGTGCCCTCCTGGAGAGTGAGCATCTGGCGGTATGGTCATGGCTCTCAAGAACTGAGAGTCAGATGTGGTTTTCAGTCAGCTGTGTAACCCTGCGCAGGTCATTTCTTCTCTCTGGGCCTCAATTTTCTCCCCTAAAAAAATGGGCTTGATGACCTTGCTCCCCTGACAGTGGTGTGTTGGTAAATGTTCACCAGTCAGCTTTCAAAAGTAAATAAATCATAATGTTTAAAAAGGCTCTGATTTGTAGGATTTGCTAATTTCCATGGGCAAATACTCCCACTGTGGCTGATCTCCACCAATTTCACTGGATATGGAGTTGGGAAGAAATGGGCACAATTGGCTCTCATGAGCCCTTGCCAACTGGCTCTGCACACCATTGCCCCCTACCCTCTGGGGCAAAGGGAGGATAACATGAGACAAGAGATACAAAAGTGCAGAGGGGCTGGGCGCGGTGGTGCACACCTGTAATCTCAGCACTTTGGGAGGCTAAGGCGGGAGGATCAGTTGAGCCCAGGAGGTCGAGGCTGCAGTGAGTGATGATTGTGCCACTGCACTCCAGCCTGGGCGACAGCAAGACCTTGTCTCAAAAAAAAAAAAAAGTGCAGAGGAAACTTCAGAGTGCACTGCAGATGTGGAACTGCGGCAAAGGGACCCCAGGGCACAGTCTGCCAGTGAGAGCCTCAGCCTCTAGTCCAGGAAGCAGGTGGTTGTGGGTTGTGGGTACCCATATTGAGGGGCAGTTCATGAGAGTGATCTGGAGGAGCTCCCGGAATCTGAGAAGGCAGGAGAGCTGACTGGGCCTCCTGTGCTGGTATTTGCTGATACTTGCACACACATCCCATCCAGTTCCAGTGCTCCCTGAAACTGGAACAGGCAGGATAAAGGTTGGACCTCTATGAAAGATCCCTTCTGAATGCAGATGTCAGCCCCAGGACACTGGGGCCAGCAGAGAGACCTCCCGAGAGATCCAAAACAAGAGAGTCAACCCCCCTCCTCTCCACATAAGTCCCAGAAGTTTCTACAGACACTAGCTCTACCACATGGGAAAGGCGGAAATGACCTCTGAGGCCAGAGAGTCAGGAAGAGGGAAGTTTAGCCTCTGCCAATGGGAGAGGACAATGTCAAGGACCTGGAGGTAGAAGGTAGGAGAAGGCAGGAAAGGGGAGTTCCCTTCCTGATGCTCCCGATCCCCCCACCCCCATAACTCAGGCCTTAAACAAACTCTGTCCCACTGCTAATTATTAATAATAGCTATCATTTATTGAGCATGTACTATGTGTTAAGCTATTTACAAGCAATATTTTATTAATCCTCCAGAGAGGTAAGTATTTATTAGTCCTATTTTACAGATGAGGAAACTGAGGCATGGGGAAGGAAGTTAAGCATCATGCCCAACCAAAGTCCCACAGTTCCTGCGATTCAAATCCAGCCCTGACTCCAGGTCGTCCAGCTTCAGGGGTTCTGCCGGCTACTCCAGGGAAGGGTCAGGGCCAAGGCAGCCTCATCCAGGTTCCTGCAGTGAGCCCTTCCCAGTGATGGACAGGAGCCCCTCATAAACACCAGTCAGAGGGCTTCTGACCAGCCCCTGAGGACCCCCTCTCTCCTGGGCCGTGTGGCCTTAGGAAAGTCACTTTACCTGTTCCCTGGGTCTCACTTGTAGAATAGAGCTTTAGCTGCAACCAAGGGGGCATCATGGTCACCAAATCAGGAGTCCCCACTTACAAAACCTGCCCAGAGGAATCCCAGAGGACCAGTCAGGAACCTCTGCATCCTTAATGCAAATTAAGGGGTGGGCCTCTGAACTCTGCATAACTTCCTTGGTTCTCATCCTGTCCCCGGGGGATTGGAGGAGGTAGCAGGGTGGTTTGGCCAAGCAAGGCTATGAAAGTCATGGCTGTGAACTGAAGCCTCTGTTAAGGCCTCTGACATACAGGAACTTGGCTGGAGCTGGAGATGATGTTCTGGAGAATAGGGAACAGGTGCAAGAATGGGGTGAGGCCGACACTGCGGGGATCATTCTGGGCAGGCCAGACCCTCAGGAGGTGGTGCAGGCCTGAGCTGGAGTTCAGAGAGGCCTCCCCAGGTTCACATCTGCAGGGGAGCAGTGCTGGGGTCTGAGGCCAGGCTGAGTGAAGGCCAGGCAGGCAAGGAGGGCTAGCAAGGGCAGCTGCCACCTGGGGCTGGGTCTTCAGCCAATCGCCCCAGGACTGCCAGGCCTGAGGCAACGAGAGCATCAGAGAAGCTGTAGAGCCTGGGGCCAAAGGCCCCTGCAGCCACACTTGGCCAGCAGTGGCCAGATGCATGACACATGTCCTCGAGCATTTTCCCTGTGCCAGCACCTCGTGCACACCATCCTCACGATGACCCTGCGAGGTGGGTCTGTGTGCCCCATTTCTCAGATGCGGAAAGTGAGGCACAGAGAGCTACACAGTTTGCTCAAAGTCACACAGCCAGAAAGTGACAAAGCTGGGGCTGGAATTCAGCTGGGCTTGACTCCAAATCCTTGCTCTAAAACACCGTGCTACCCCACCTGCAGGGAGGGGAGTGGCCACCCTCCCCAGGTTACAAAGCCTGAGATCTGGCGGGGAAGAAGGGCCCTCGGCCTCCCATTTGGAGCTGGAGAATGCCAGCCCCCTGCACCAAGCCCCCTGCACCACCTCCTGAGAAGGCAGCTCTGGGCCGGGGTGAGGTGTGGCCTCCAGGCAGGCCCGAGCTCTCCAGGAGGAGCTGTCCAGGGAGCAGGAGGCAGTGATGCGGAGCGGGAGGTGGGCTGCCCCGCACCTCGGGCCCCATGCCTGCTCCGCTGTGGTGTCCCGTTACGGCCAGCTCGGCGCTTCCCTGGTCACGCCACATTTAGCATTGCCGAGTGAGCAGGCGCCAGGACATCAAGAAGGGGTGGTGGGGACTCTTGAAGGGGCGGGAGAGCCTCCCACCAGGCCCCCACCTAGACCCCGGCTTCCAGCCCCTCCACCACTGATCCCCTGTGGGATCTTTGGGCAAATCCTATGGGACTTTGGGCAAATTGCCTCCCCTCATTTTCCCTGTTACCCTGTCTGTCAAATGAGGCTTATTGATGGTTTATTCAGCAAAGATGTGCCAACCCCAGCCTGGGTACCACGGGGCCAATGAGGCCACCTCTCCCTCCCAGAGCTCCGGAAAGAGCATGGCCTGGGCACAGCACAGCTGCCCTGCTCTGGCTTGAGGGGGTCTTGGGTAGAAGGAGTGAGTGTACACCTCATGCTTTTCTTGATGCCTGGCCTCCCAGCCTAGCCTACCCCAACTTTGACACCCACCCAATGAAGAAACCATAAGCAGAGTGCAGAGTCTGCAGTCGGACAGACCAGAGTTCTTGCCCCTGGGCGACTTGGGCAAGTCACATAACCCCGCTGAGCCTCAGCATCCTCATCTGGAAGGTGGAGTCAATAATGCTCCTTCCTCTCATTGTTCTAATAGATCAATGAGAAAACCATCCAAATTGTTCACACAGTGGCCAGCCCAGAGCAGACCCTCAGCAAACTGTAGCATTTATCAGAGGCCACTTGGGCAAAGAGAAGTACATTTAAGAGGAATTGCTCTTGCAGGTGGTAAAGGAAGGCAAAAAGCTGAGGATAGTAAGAGTGAGAGGCCGGGCACAGTGGCTAGGCTGTAATCCCAGCACTTTGGGAGGCCAAAGCAGGCAGATCATCTGAGGTCAGGAGTTGGAGACCAGCCTGGCCAAAATAGTGAAATCCCTTCTCTACTAAAAATACAAAAATTAGCCAGGCATGGTGGCATGTGCCTGTAGTCCCAGCTACTCTTGAGGCTGAGGCAGGAAAATCACTTGAACTCAGGAGGTGGAGGTTGAAGTGAGCCGAGAGCATGCCACCGCACTCCAGCCTAGGCAACAGAGGGAGACTCCGTCTCCAAAAAAACAAATAAATAAAAATAAAAACAAAAATACAAAAAATAGCCAGGTGTGGTGGTACAAGCCTGTAGTCCCAGCTACTCTTGAGGCTGAGGCAGGAGAGTTGCTTGAACCCGGGAGGCAGAGGTTGCAGTAAGCCAAGATGATGCCACTGCACTCCAGCCTGGGTGACAGAGAGAGACTCCATCTCAAAAAAAAAAAAAAAGTGAGAACCACACTCACAATAATATTCATAATGAGAACTGGCATTTATGGGGCACGGACTGTGCACCAGGCACTGTGCTGAATGCTTTCTGCGCATGATTTTGTTTGACACTCACAACATCTGTGTGAGGTGGGGCCTGTCACTCTCCCAGTTAGATGATGACGCTGAAGTTCAGAGAGCTTTGCTGGCACTGCTTGAGAGGAAGGGCCAACCCCGGCTTTGAGGCCTGAGTCCTCTTAACCACCCCACTGTGTTAGGGACAGGGTTCCCCTATGATTGCAGAAGGTCTGAGCAGAAAAAGCCCTCCGATATCATGTACCCAAGGCTCTAGGTCTTCATGGGGAAACTGAAGATCAGAAAGGGGCAGTGGCCTGCACAAAGTCACAGGTTAGAGTTTGGAGGACACAGGTGGAACAGCACTTGCCAGGCGCTGCAGTGTGGGTGGTGACATCGTCAGGGCCCGCTGGGCTCACAGGGCCTCCAGGCAACCGGGGGCCTTTGGGTCCCCAGTTACACACTGTGGTCACATCAGCCAGGCTGACCTGAGGGTCACTGCAGGACCAGCCTCTGCTGAGGGCTGGCTCACCTGCATGGAGGGGGTTGCTCCCACCCCAAGCATGAGTCTGACCCACGCACCAGCTCACTCTCCCCTCAGGACCACCGACTTGCCCAGTCACTGAATGGAGACCACCTGCTGTGGTCACCTTGCCAGGCCCTTCTCTGTAGACACAGGAGACCGATCTTGAGGAGCCAGAGGCAGAGCCCAGCTGGGAGCCGGGGTTTCACTGGTCAGTCGGTCAGTCTCTGCAGCTGCAGCCTGAGATCAGCCAAGCCCCTCCTGAGGCTCCTACCTGGCTCACTTTGCCCTTTCTCCACAGGGGTCTGATCTCTCTGCTCTGCTTTTCCAAACTATTTCTCTTTCTCTCTCTCGCTCTCTGGTTCTCTCTCTCTCTCTCTCTCTCTCTCTCTCTCTCTCTCTCATCAGATGGCTGACTGGAGGCAGGGTCCCAGCCCAAGGATGGGGTTGGGGTGGAGGTGGCGAACCTGGGTTGGTCCCCACTGGATGCTGGTCCTCACTCTCATGGCAGACGGCTTTCTTTGAGGCCAGGACTGGGTGATGGTGTCGCTACCCCCGCCGCAGTCTGACGTCACGCTGCCGGGCCCCACCAGACTGGAGGGCGAGCGCCAAGGGGACCTCATGCAGGCACCGGGCCTCCCAGGCTCCCCTGCCCCACAGAGTGTAAGTACCCGGCATCTGGGCCTGGGTTTAGGCCAAGGCCTGCGGCTGCCCAGGCAACAAGAAGACCAGTCACCTTACCGCCCCCAGGGACCTCCCAGGGCCTGTCTTGTCCCCTCCACCAGCAAACAAGTCCTCAGGGACCCCGAGATCCAGAGGGGTCACTCCTCATCCCTTCAGTCTGAGCCTGTCCCAGGGCTGTGAGCCCCATCAGATTTGGGGTACCCCAGGTTTCATGGCAGGGTGCCCTCATGAAATCGGGGCCAAGGGTAGGCTATTTCTTCTCCACCATTTAGGGTCTTCCCAGAGCTCAGCCATAGACCCCCTTTACCCCAGAACAGAGTAGGGTCCCAGCCAGTCCCCAGGCCTGGTTCAGCCTCCACTCACAGGCTCGCTACTCTCTGTCTACCCAGAAGCATGCCGGCTTCAGCTGCTCGTCATTTGTGTCCGACGGCCCTCCAGAGAGGACACCCTCACTGCCCCCACACAGCCCCCGCATTGCGTCACCAGGGCCCGAGCAAGTCCAGGGCCACTGCCCAGCCGGCCCCGGCCCTGGGCCCTTCAGGCTCTCACCCTCAGACAAGTATCCTGGCTTTGGCTTTGAGGAGGCCGCAGCAAGCAGCCCTGGGCGATTCCTCAAGGGCAGCCACGCGCCCTTCCACCCGTACAAGCGGCCTTTCCATGAGGACGTCTTCCCAGAGGCCGAGACCACCCTGGCCCTCAAAGGACACTCCTTTAAGACCCCAGGGCCGCTGGAGGCCTTCGAGGAGATCCCAGTGGACGTGGCGGAGGCCGAGGCCTTCCTGCCTGGCTTCTCAGCAGAGGCCTGGTGTAACGGGCTCCCCTACCCCAGCCAGGAGCATGGCCCCCAAGTCCTGGTGAGTACTAGTGGCCAGCGAGTGTCCCATCTTCCCACTGTCCCAGTTCCTAGCAGCCTAGAAAGAGTCAGACCTCTGAGACCAAAGTCCCACCTTCTCTTTGCAGACCTTGCCACTCAAGACCAGAGAGTTGGGGCCTCCTGGTCAGCTGGGGAGGGGTGTTGGCCTGGCCAGCATGGAGGGGGGCAAGTGGGGGAGGTAGGCCAGGCTAAAGAAGCTGGCAGCTTCCCAGAGGCTCCTGAGTCAGGATTCCAGTGTGTGACTTCTCACTGTTTGTTTAAATGTCCAGAAACTCCAGCCAGACCTACACACCCATATGCAAATGTGACAAGAAAAACACATTCCAGAGGCCAAGGGAAAGGGTTTGGGGAGGAGCCATAGTACACAGTTTTTCCCTCCCCAGCCTTAGCATACAGAGTTGAGAGAGGACTTTAAGTGTGGAGGGACCCTTCCTGGCCCCATTCTTTGCCCAGAGTGGGGCCTGGGTGTATTCCTGGAAATACCTTGGAAGGTTAACATGTCCTTCCATAGCCTGACCTCCATAAGCGGCGTGACCCTGGACAAGTCTTAACGTCTCTGAGCCTCATCTGAAAAGTAAGGTCAACATTACCTGTCTCATGGGATTGTTGCTTAGGGAAGATAAAAGCTAAAGGGAATTTGCTCCCTGCTCCCCCGCTCTGGTTTGGAGGTCCCTGAGGCAGTGACTGAGTGGGCGTAGCCTCAGCAGTGCCTACTCCACATGCCCACCAGCCCCCCTCACCTCTTGCTTTCAAACAGGCCCCCATTCCAGCCCCAAGCCACCCCAACAAAGGCTTAGAAGGAAGATGGAGAAGGCGGTTGGGTCCTACCAGGTGTGGCCAAAACAGGACTTTATTCTGGCCCTTTGACCACTTCTTCTCAGGCCCCTTAAACATGACCACAGCCTACAGATAGGGCACCATCATCTCAGCTACTGCCCCCAAACCTCCACTCAATAACAGCTGCCAATCATTCTGCCAGGTGCTTTCTTTCAAGTGCCCCCATTTAATCCCCTCAACAACACTCTAGAGAGTTCCCACCATACCCGTGTTGCAGATGAGGAAACTGAGGCTCATAGAGGCCAAGTGACTTGCCCAGGGTGTCTCCTAACCTGCAAATGGTGAGGCTGAGATTGAGTTCACACCCTTGCCCTCCCACACATGGAGAAGAGCTCCAGAGACACACAGGTATCTGGTCGACTTGCTGGGTGACCTTGGGCATATTGCTTCCCCTCTTTGGGCTCAGCCCCATCATCTGTCAAATGAAGGGGTTGGACACAAGTGCTCTTGGCCCTTCTAGGCCCGAGATTCTATGATTATGGCAATCTCTGCATCAACAACCCCAGGGCACACCCAGAGAGAGGTCACAGCTGATTTGCCCCTCTGGGCCCAGATGCTGGTTTCCCAAGGCCCCTGGTAACCCCAGGAAGTGCAATCCGCCTCCTCCAGGGCTTGTCCACCTTCCGGGGCCTAGCTGCACACCCTCCTGTCCGTACTCACCGGAGAGCTCTGCACTAGGCCCTGGGACTCTGTGCCGGCCTCTCACACATGGGAAGGCGGAGTCTGGCCATCATGGCTAGCAGCAGCTGCAGGCTCCCCATGCCCAGTGTGAGAGCATCCACAGGACTCACGCAGGCCAGCAACTGTGCAGACTCCCTGGAGCAGGGAGCAAAAGCTCTGCATCAGGGATGGCCAGGAGTCAGAGCGGAGAGGAGTTACTAGCCCCATTCAGAGATCCTGCTGGAGCTTCCTGGGGCTGTACAGAGGAGGAAACAGAAGGGACCCAGGCCCACAGCTGGACCAGCCTGTCTGGCCACTACCCATGCTCCCCTCACCATGGATCCTCAGGGAGAGTTCTGGAGCTGTGACCTTTTCCTGGTGTCCTTTGCACACCTACTCAGAGGGTCTGAGACCTCTGAGTCAGGCGTGTCGAGTGAGGTCAGCACCGTGCCTTTGTGCTATTCCAGAAGATCCCTGTCCCTACCCCAGCACAAGTCTCCCTGACTTCTCAGGACAGCCCAGCCTCAGCCTCTCCCCTGCCGTGAGGGGAGGCGTAGGGACTGCTGTCAGTTCCAGCCCCGGCTCTACCACTAAATTGCTGAGTTCCCTTGGGAAAATCTCTGCCCTTCTCTGTTCTCTGTTGTTCTCCAGGAATAAGCTTTGGGGGAAGCAGAATAGGGGTTGCTTTTATGTAAGGTTCAAGACACAGGAAAGAGGAAGGGAGAAAATAAGGCCTAATCTAGTCATCTGCTTTCTCTTCCAGCAGGGTTCAGAGGTCAAAGTCAAGCCCCCAGTTCTGGAGAGTGGTGCTGGGATGTTCTGCTACCAGCCTCCCTTGCAGCATATGTACTGCTCCTCCCAGCCCCCCTTCCACCAGGTGGGTCTGGGGCAAGTGGGCCTGCTTCCCCCAGGTCTGAGGATATCGTGTGTGTGTATGTGGTGTGTGGGTGTCTATGTGATGGCATGTGTTCACCAGGATAGGCAGATAAGGACAGCAGGGCCCTGAACCTTAGGCTTGGCCACAGCAGGTGGCGGGAATAGTTAATGGGAAGAGAAGCAATTGCCCTCCTCCAGGGGTGGGCTTGTCTGAGTCCCTGGCAAGGCCTGAGAGGCCTCAGATAAGAGTGTGGGGCTGAGATGGAGGCAGGGCTGTGATGTGAGCCAGAAATGGGGGAAGGAGGAGAGCTGCCCCAGACAGAGAGAGGGGCAAAGAGGAGTGTGGTGTGAAACACAGGCCGAGCAGGTCGAGGAACAAGGGCTTCTGTATAGTCAGCCACCATCTTGCTATGTGACCTTGGCCTCCAACTTCTATTAGCCTAGAAAGGGTGGGCACCCAGTGTGGGCTTAGGGGACCTTCCCACCCAGAGGACTCCAAGTCCCCATCATCTTCAGCCCTTTCCTCCTTTCCCAGCTTCAGCTCCTCCCAAGTGTATAGGATGCCAAGTAATTGCCCCACACTGGCATGGGATGGAGGAGTTTTAAAGGAGAAAGAAAAGAGCCCCAGAGCAGCCAGGCAGCTCCCAGGAGTCACCAGGCAAGACAGAGCAAGTGGCTGCCCAGCGCCCAGCTCCATCCACCTGCAGCCTGGCACTGAGACAGGCCCTGCCTGTGGAGCAGGTTCTGCACCCGGCTCTCTGGCACTGGCCCTGATCTCAGCCAAGCCAGGGAGGAAGGCAAGGGAGAGGGGCTGGGTCAGACTGCTGGCTTTGCAGGGAAAAGAAAGAGATAGAGGGAAGCAAAGAGAAGGCATGAGAGGACATCCTCTCTGCCATGAGGGGCCTGGGTGGAATGACCGAAGCTATCCTGAGGCTCATGGTCTGACCCAGGGTAGAGGATGTCCCTGAGGCAGGGACAGAGATTGAGCCACAGAAGGACTAAGGGGCCACCAGACCTTAAATGACCTCACCATGCCTGGCCCTGCTTTGATGGCCTCTGCAGTCTGCACCCCCTCTCAAGATGGCCACACCCAGGGCTTTATGGAGCCTGGACCGAGGTGACTCAGGCACTAAATGTCTCTTGGGTAACCTGGAAAGAGCTCTTCAGCCTGGAGCAGCTGGGGGAGTCAGAGTCTCCTACCCCCATCCCCCATAAAACACCATCCGTGGCACCGCAGCCACTCCCTTTGCCGTAAAACCACCTCCTACCCCGACCTGTCCACCACCATGACTGGCCCTTTCAAAGAGCCACTGAAACTCATAAAAGGTGGCAGTGCCCAGCAAACGCCCAGGCTGGACATCCTGCTTCCGGCCCAGCTGCTCTGGGAGATGCACAGGCACTGGGAGCACCTTCCTGGAAGGGTGCAGGGGCCGAGGGCTTCACTTCATACTCTCCCTGCAGGGTCCCGTCACCATAGCAACCAGAGCATCAAAAGGGCTGAGAGGAAGGAGCTGGAGGAAGAGGGTTTTAAGGCCTCTGAGATCCTGAATTACAGGGTGTGGATCTCCTCACAGCCCCTCAGACAGCTCTGCTTTGGGGGTGATGGGGCCCATGACCCAGGAGGGAAGAATCTGGCCTGAGCCCCTTCTCTGGATGTATATAAATGGGGAGGAGGGCCCTCCTGGGAAAGGCTGGGTACCATGCAATCACTCTGCCCCTTTTGACCTCCTCAGTACTCGCCAGGTGGTGGCAGCTACCCCATACCCTACCTGGGCTCCTCACACTATCAGTACCAGCGAATGGCACCCCAGGCCAGCACCGATGGGCACCAGCCTCTCTTCCCAAAACCCATCTATTCCTACAGGTACATTTCCCACTCTCCAGGGATGGGAGGAGGAGGGGAGTGAGAGGGCCCCTGGGAACACTGAGGCATGGAATCCTCTGGGTCTACCAGTAATGGCAGCAGGTGGAAATCATACCAGTGGGCTTCCAGAAGATGCTGGAGAGAGGGTTCCTGCATGAAGGCAGGGGCATAGACTGGATCAGCTCTGACCCTTTGTCTAAGCCTGGGGAGTCATGTCTGTGACTTGACTCAGCAGATGCTGGTGCCATGTGATGAGCCTGCCAAGGTCTCACCTCCTAGGGCCCAGGGCCTGGATCTGAGAATTTAAGGGGGATGCTTGCTGCCTTCCCTGTGCCTCCCCGGAAACAGACGGAAGCCCCCCTCAAAGCTCTACTGGAAGGAAATGGGGGATGAGGCCTGCAGATGTGACTCGGCTATCCACCATCTGCCAGATCTGGTGGGACTTCTCTGGGGCTGGGTTCTTAAGTGTCAGCAGACCCAGCCTGTCTGGGAGACCCTTCCATCTGTCCTTTCATTCATCCAACCAACAGTGACACTTGGCCAAATATGTGTCAGGCCCTACATGGGATCGGGTCATCAGCTAGTGTGAGCTGAGGGGAAGGGAGAGGAACTTAAGCATCAGCCAGGAGTGCAGAGAAGGGCTTTGTGAAAGGCAGGATCATTCACTGAAAGACATACACGCAGCTCTTGGAGTCCAGCAGAAATGAGTTCAAGACCAGCTGTGGAACTGACCAGCATGAAACCTCAGGGAAGTTACTTAATCTCTCTGAGCCTCTATTTATTCCTCTTTAAAAAAAAAAAAAAATGTCAGGGGTTGGGGGCAAGGGGAGGGACAACGTTAGGAGAAATATCTAATGTAGATGACGGGTTGACGGGTGTAGCAAACCACCATAGCACGGGTATACCTATGTAACAAACCTGCACGTACTGTACATGTATCCCAGAACTTAAAGTATAATAAAAAAAATAAAAATATAAGACTTTTAAGATTCAAAAGAAAAAAATGTCAGGGTTTGGGGTAGCAGTTCAGGCTGTTGGAAGGATTAAGTAAGAGAATGTAGGTACTGTGCTTGGTACATTGCATAGGCTCAAGAAACCTTAGTTCCCTCCCTACTCTCCAACATTCATGCAATTGGCTGAGGACTAACTAGTAATGACAGCTTCCGTTTAATGAGTGCCTTCTATGTGACAGGCACCATCCTTAATCCTCACAACTCTGAGGTAGCTATTACTTTCTTCACTTCAAAGTTGAGGAAACTGAGGTTCAGAGAGGGTAAGGCATTCACCCAAGGTCACACAGCCAGAGAGTAACTAGGCCAGGATGGCCACCCAGGTTTCTCAGATTCCACAAGACCCTCGCACGTCTGTAATTCCTGACTTCCGTGCTCACTTCAATGGACACCTTCTCATTCCCTTCTCTTTCACCTCCAATCCCATAGAGCCTCTCACCAGGGGTGGGGGGCTTGGGGTGGGCTCAGGACCCAGTCAGAGGTTCGGACTCTCAGGGGCTTTCTCTTTCTTCAGCATCCTCATCTTCATGGCCCTTAAGAACAGTAAAACTGGGAGCCTTCCCGTCAGCGAGATCTACAATTTTATGACGGAGCACTTTCCTTACTTCAAGGTGAGCCCAAGATTCCTCCCCATCCCATCACCCCCAAGTCCTGGACAGGCCAGGCCTCTCTGAGCAGAGGCTTCTGTCTGGAGGTGGGAGAAGAATTAGAACGAAAGCCAGGAGAGGGCTTACCCCCACCATGCTTTCCGTTGTCTCCACCTCAGAAGGACAGAGTTCCTACAAAAGGTGCTCCAAGTGGGGAACAGAGAGCCCAAGTGGCTCATCCAAGGTTGCACAGCAGACTGGAGTCAGACCTTCTGCTGGGGAAGGTGGGCAAGGTAGCACCGATGGGCCTCAGGGAGCATCCACCTACCCCAAGTGGGAAGAGAAAGTTGGAGAAGAAATAAGACACTATTGCTACCCCGACCGCTGGGATGCTGTGGGGCTGGAGAAGCTAGTCAGCCACGGTGACTGGGAGGTCGGGGCTGAAGAAGCCATTGCCTTCCAAGGTGAGATTAGGATCTATCTCTGTGGGTGGCAGGCTCAGCTGCAGTTCTGCCAGAAAGCGGGGTGTGGGCTTCCCAGTCTTTGAGTGTCCCAGGCTGGCTCACCTGACTCTCCCCCAACCCCTTGGGCAGAATCTCATTTCTATCATTCACAGAAGGCGCTTCTGGGAGCCTTACCCAGCTCCCTCTCTAGAGGCAGGACAGGGGCTCTTCTCCCAAGGTGGACAAACACATCAGACAGGGTGGTCCATTCCCCTAAGGTCGCACAGTAGATGGGATCAGTTACTGGATCAAGCTATTTGGCTTTGCACACCCCTCTCTGCGTGCCACCTAGACCCTCCAGCACAGACCCCCTTCTCCTGGGATGGGTATCAGGGAGACCAGAGATTGTGTGTGAGGAGTGCCTTCTCCAAGCCCTAGTAGACACAAATCTCATCTGTCACCCAGGCAGTGGGCAGTTGCTGAGACCCGGGTAATCCAGAACTCAGCTCCACCTGCCAGGGGGTGATTCCTGCCCCCACCATCTATGGTCCTGCCTGGGGATAATTTGACGCTTGATGTTCAAATAAGTTTATCCTGCTGGGCTGCCATCAGATGAGGAGTGGGCAAGTTGGCCGGAGTGGTCTGTCCAGGAGTGGAAAAGTGTGTTGATCCACCAGAGGTTCTGGAAGGGAAAGAGGGAGGGAGGTGAGTCGTCCCTGGAATTCAAGAAGCATCAAAGCCTGAATTCAGGGCTGCCCTCCATACCCCAGCAGGTCAGGGGCTGAACTCTCCCTAACCCCTAAAGCTTTTGGAGGGTCTTCTAGGGTTTCAAGGGGCCAGGGCAGAGAGAGGGAAAAGCCCAGTCCTCTCAGCCTTCCTTCCCCACCAGCTCCCGGCCTGGCCCCCACCCCTCCCCGCATCTCATCTTCCTGGCTTAATTATTTTTCCTGGGAGCCATGTAATCCCTGTTTTATGGGGCTGAGGAGTGAAGAGGTCTAACAGCTTTTTGTTCCCTTTGGTTCTAGTTGTTGCTTTTAGCCACTTGCATCACTCCCTCACTCCTGAGTTTACATTTGATCTCAGAGAGAAAGCATCTGTGAGGATGGGATGGGCCCCAGATTGTGAGGCAGGCCCTATGGGGTGACCTGGGCAGGGCCCTTAGCTGGGGGACAGAGTTGGAGGCTAAGCTCTGTCACTGCCTCCTTGTGTGATCCAGGGCTAGGCCCTTTCTTCTCTGAACCTCAGTTTCCCAGTCTGTAAAGTGGGTCAGATCCGTTGGCACATAGATTCCTTCTGACTCTGACAGTTCCCCTGTGACCCACCTAAGGAAATTCCTTAGTTCAAAGATCCCCCACCTCTTTCCATCTCTCACTTCCCTTTTGAAGATCATTTTTCTGGGCAAGGATAGACTGGACCCTGGAGTGGCCAGCACTCATGCCCAAGGCAGCTGCTGTGGGCATCCCATAGCCCCATGAGTCAGGGATGTGGGGCTGGGGAAGTGTCCAGCCACTGGACATAATTGTTAGTGCTGACCATCCCTCTTCCAAACAGGAAGTGGCTGGGGTGGGGGCTGCCCTGGCATCCCAAAGTCACAGATTCATGGGGCCATAAAAGGCCCCAGCGCCCATTAACTCCGCCCATGGGGCAACGTGGCCTTAACTCCTAGTGGAGACTGTGGTGGGAGTCGAAGGTGAATCCCTAGTTGGCTGGTCTGGTGGCTCAAGAATCCTCCCTGGTGACCCTGGGAGCCTTAGGGGTCATCTCAACCAGCAACCTGCCCCAGGCCAGCTGCCCCCAAGAAAGGCTGCACCAGGTCCTGCCAGCCACTTGGAGTGACGCTGGCATCAAGACCCAGTTCTGCTGGGCATGATTCAGCTTGGCTGCTCCCTGGGGCAAGTGAGCTGAGGAGGAAGGAGTGGCCGCCCCTCATTAAGCAGAAACTTTGGGCTGAAAGGGGGAGGGGCCAGGGAATGAGGGCGAAGGAGCCCCACCGGCCAGAGCGAGTGCCCTACCCACAGTCAGCCCCTGCTGAACTCAGGGCTGTCACAGAGCCTGGAACAGAGCTGGAGGTGGGCGGGCAGGGGGCCCACTGGCACTCCCGCCACCGCCTCTCACCCAACTGAGTCAGCCTAATGGTTTTTACAACCCTCCCTGGGCACAATTACCACACTGGTGGCATGACCAGGCCTCCTAATGGGTGTTTATTCTATTGGCACGAGCACCCCCCCCCACTGCCTGAGGGCTGGCCTCCCCACCAGGGCACGCCCCCTGGGCACACTCATGCAAACACTCACACCCACACATCATACGATCATGGCTACCCACAGTCACACCCAGAGAGACTTTCTCACACACAGCCATCCTCACAGTCGAGGAATTCATGGACCCATGAAGGAGTATCCAGGAGACGTTGCTTATGCCAGGATGACACACTTAGGGACGTATGCACATGCTCATACGCACTGTCCCTTCATATACCAAACCCACTTAGACACACAAACATATGTGCAATGCACACACCGCACACACCCAAACACTCACCAACCTCGCCCATCTTTCTTTTCTCCCAAGTTAGTCCCAGAGGGGATAAGGCAGACCCAGGAGAGGAGCATTCTTCCCCTAATTCCCCTGTCTAAAGCCAGCCACAAGACCTCAGAGTAATGAGTCCCCCTTCCACAGAGGGGTCCAAGCACAGGCATGGAGACCCAGTGGGGAGTGGCTCAGCTTCAGATGGGAGAGTGTTGTGGGTCAGAAGGCCTCTGTAGCGCCCACCAGCCCTGGCTTTCCGAATCACCTCGGCAGTCCTCTGAGGGGTCAGGAAGGGATGCGGGTGGGATGAAGGCAGATTTGAGATGAAAATAACTTGGGGTCAAGGTTCCTGTTCACCCGTCCCCTACCACCAAAGGGTACCAAGCAAGGGATGGGTGCTGAGGAGGACAACAAGCCCCAGAGTGGGCGGCAGCTCTGTGCCCAGAGGAGAAACAGGAGTGTTCTAGAACCCAGACCTGAAGCCCGCTCTGGCTTCCTGAGCCTGGCCTGAATGCTTGTCTTGCTCTGTTCCGGCAGACAGCACCCGATGGCTGGAAGAATTCTGTCCGGCACAACCTATCCCTCAACAAGTGCTTCGAGAAGGTGGAGAACAAATCAGGAAGTTCCTCCCGCAAGGGCTGCCTGTGGGCCCTCAATCCGGCCAAGATCGACAAGATGCAAGAGGAGCTGCAAAAATGGAAGAGGAAAGATCCCATTGCTGTGCGCAAAAGCATGGCCAAGCCAGGTGAGGCCGGCCGGGCCACGCAAGGAAGGGCCCAGGGTACTCATGAGCCAAAAAAAAAAAAAAGAGAGAATCAGAGAATGAGGCAAGGCCCCGAGTAAGGGTTCCAGTCTGGGGAAGACTGTGGAGGAGGGAGGTCTCATGGTGTTCTTTCTCTCTTGGGCCTTTCAGAAGAGCTGGACAGCCTCATTGGAGACAAGAGAGAAAAGCTGGGCTCCCCACTCCTGGGCTGTCCGCCCCCTGGGCTGTCCGGCTCAGGCCCCATCCGGCCCCTGGCACCCCCAGCTGGCCTCTCCCCACCACTGCACTCACTCCACCCAGCTCCAGGCCCCATTCCTGGCAAGAACCCCCTGCAGGACCTACTTATGGGGCACACACCCTCCTGCTATGGGCAGACATACTTGCACCTCTCACCAGGCCTGGCCCCTCCTGGACCCCCGCAGCCATTGTTCCCACAGCCGGACGGGCACCTTGAGCTGCGGGCCCAGCCAGGCACCCCCCAGGACTCGCCTCTGCCTGCCCACACCCCACCCAGCCACAGTGCCAAGCTACTGGCCGAGCCTTCCCCAGCCAGGACTATGCACGACACCCTGCTGCCAGATGGAGACCTTGGCACTGACCTGGATGCCATCAATCCCTCACTCACTGACTTCGACTTCCAGGGTGAGCTGGGGGTGGGAAAGGGAAGGTGGGACAGGACTGGAGAGGAGCACCTGGCAGTGGGACTCATCTTCTCCAAGTCTCCAGACTGCAGCCTGCAAGTGGCTGGGTTTCTGGTCAACTGAAGCAGAGGAGGCTGGACCTGGCAGGGGGAGCTTCCCACTTGCTCTCTGCCATCCAGAGAATGGGGAAAGAGGGATGTCCTTGCCCCTGTCTCCCTCCTCCTGGTGCTCCAAACATGGTCCAACTGACCTCATCATCAAACCACTCTTGGCAGGGCACAGTGGCTCACGCCTGTAATCCCAGCACTCTGGGAGGCTGAGGTGGGCAGATCACCTGAGGTCAGGCATTCGAGACCAGCTTGGCCAACATGGAGAAACACTGTCTCTATTTAAAAATGCAAAAATTAGCTGGGCATGGTGGCATGCACCTGTAATCCCAGCTACTCGAGGCTAGAGAATCACTTGAACCCGGGAGGCGGAGGTTGCAGTGAGCCAAGATCGTGCCACTGCACTCCAGCCTGAGTGACAGAGCGAGACTCCGCCTCAAAAACAAACAAACAAAAAAACCACTCTCAGCTCTGGAGAGACTGCAAAGGGCTCCGTGTTCTATTCTATACTCGATTGTGAGTGACCAGTAGTCTGAACATTCTCAGATGCATTTGCATTTTATCAGAGTTCATCTTCTAAAGCAGAAGGAGAGAGACTCTACCCTAGAGGAAGAGTCTCAGAGCTGGGCAAGTCCTGGAGAGATTTGGAGATAGGAGTTTGGGGAGGGTTCTACCCATTCCACTCCATCTTGGCTGCTCCGTCTCTGCAGATGGCTAAGCCCACCCATTCCCGTCTAAATTCCAGTGCATCCCAGGCCCTGATACTGGCCACAGGAGGTTTGGAACGGGGTGACGACCCAGGCCTCAGACTCTGTGTGCACAGGGGTGGGGGACATTCACAAGCTGATGGAGGCAGCCTGTCCTCAGAGAGCTCCCAACCCGATGGGGAGACAACCCAGGTTTAGGAAGCTATTAGAAAAGTGCACATAGATCCTCAGCCCAGTCCAGAAGTGGGGAGCAGGGCTCAATCAGCCTCAGAGGAAGCTATAGACATGTGGGATACGAAAAACATTTACTTGATCCCCTGCTAGGCATCAGGCATCAGGCTGGCTGCTCTCTATGTGCTTTCTCATCTGGGCCTAGAGGATAGGAAGGATTATTAAACCTGCTTCATGGAAGCACACAGAGGCTTGAGAACTTACTCTAGGTCACTTAGCTAGAAAGAGGGAGAGTTGGGACTGGAACCCAGGCAGCCAAATCCAATCCAGGGTTTAGTCAGGCCCTCTCTCTCCAGAGCTTGCAGCCTGGATACCCAGTGCAGGAGCCCCAGGCCCTGGTCAGCCATGATGAGGGTCCACAGGTGGCAGCACTGTTTGCTCCTCGGACTCAGGTGTGCATCCTGGCTCTGCTCCCATTCCCTGGGCCCTGCAGTGGAGGAGACCCAGGGAGCCATGCCCATCCATCCCATTAGGTCCAGAGTACACTGCCGGAAGCTGCTTGATCTGGGCTGCAAATCTACCTTCCTTGGGAGACTGGGCATGAGCCAGGGTTCACTCCCAAGTGCACAACATTGGCATCCATGCTGTCAGCCTGTCAGCAGGCATCAACCCCTCCCCAATGCCCACCCCCCAAAAAGAACCACAGAGGTCATCTAGATCGACGGCTTTCAGATTGTGCTACACGGGAGGAGGAATCTGAGGCTGAGAGGTTCAGCAACTGCCTGGGGTCACAAGCTAGTGCCAGGCTCTGTTCCCAGCACATGTCACCCTGACCCCTGCTCTCTGCAGCATGTGAAGATTGACAGGGAGGAGGGGCCAGACAGGGCTCCTCCGGTGCCTCCCAGTGACACCTGTTCTCTCCTTCCCCATCTAGGAAACCTGTGGGAACAGTTGAAGGATGATAGCTTGGCCCTCGACCCCCTGGTACTGGTGACCTCATCCCCGACATCATCTTCGATGCCACCACCCCAGCCACCACCTCACTGCTTCCCCCCTGGGCCCTGTCTGACAGAGACAGGCAGTGGGGCAGGTGACTTGGCAGCCCCGGGCAGTGGTGGCTCCGGGGCACTGGGTGACCTGCACCTCACCACCCTCTACTCTGCCTTTATGGAGCTGGAGCCCACGCCCCCCACGGCCCCTGCAGGCCCCTCTGTGTACCTCAGCCCCAGCTCCAAGCCCGTGGCCCTGGCATGAGCTGTGCCCAGCTTCGTCAGCTCCAGCGTTTGCCTGGTCTGGAAGTCCTGGCCGGCCGCCCACATCGGGCTCACCTTAAAGGTCAAGGAAGGAAAATACTACCTGTCCCCTATGCCACTAAGCCAACGTGTGTGTCAGCTGGTAGCTGGGGGCGCAGAGGACATCACCTGGGGTGCTGCCTCTCACACATTTCTGCCACGTGGTGGCCCAGCTCCTCACCCAGGGCCCCCAAAGAGCAAGCGTCTGGGCAAGAGGAAAATGCCCTGTCCCTAGCTCACACTCATCCACACTTAAGCCCTCGTGCACACACACAAATTATTCAGATGTACACCCACCCACATATCTTACAGCCAGAGGAACCAGCACTCCATCACTGAGAGCCCGACTTCGTTTCTGGGGCAACTGAGAGCTGAGCGCTTTGCTTACCAAAAGCTCAGGGCCCTGTGCCAGGCCAAAGATCCCCCCAGACCCCCATTCTGACATCCACATGCTCTGCAGTCCTGGCCCCCTCGTCATTTTCTTTCCCAGAAGCGCCCTGTATTTATTCCCCCATCTTCATCCCAACAGCCCAGCAAGAAGGAGGAGACAGAGAGCTCCTCCCTGGGTTGTCTGTGGACCCCCCCAGGAGCTGCTAATTGGCAGCACCCACTCAGCCATTCTCTACCCATCCTTAGTACATGCTCTGTCCAGCTTTCCCCAGGGTGACATACAGAAGGGGCAACATCTACCCGGGCACCAAACTGAGCCCAATTCCGAAGCAGTGTTTGGAAAAGCCCTTGCCCTCGGAAACTTGAACATGTCCTTTTTCCCCAGTCCCGGGTGCAGGAAGGGCCCCCTCCAGGTCACCACAATCTCACTCCTCCTCCAGAAAGAAAAGTTCACATAGTTTAGGTCCTGGCTTAACTCTACTTATGATGGTTCAACTTACACTTTTTCAACTTTAAGATGGTGCAAAAGCAATACACATTCAGTATGTTCCTCGACTTAGGATGCGGTTATGTCCGATAAACCCATTGTAAATTGAAACCACCGAAAGTCAAAAACCACTTTCGACTTACGATGTTTCCCACTCACGATGGGTTTCTCCGGATGTAGCCCCATCATAAGTTGAGGAGCACCTGTTAGTTACTTCCAACTGTCTCAGGCAACCTGGGCATTCAGGAGAAAAGCCTGGCACAGGGTGACAGGGAAGCACCCATGCAAAGCACCCCCGCTTTGACTGCTTGGCAGACCTAGGGTGCCCGGGAAGCACAAGGGATACCCTTGGCCCTGCGGGGTGTGGCCCAGGTGCCTGCCATGAGCCTGACCCCATCGAGGGGGAACCTCAGCCCACCCTGGGCCTGGGGGTGACAAGAACTTCCACAGGTTGGCCCCAGGCTTATAGGAGGCATAAGCAGATCCCGCGATGGCTTGTCATTGTCCCCTGTCCTGGAACAATAAAGCAAGTGCCTTGTGGTCTCACTACCAAGCTTTCATTTCTGGCCCCTCTCCCTAAGCAAAATGGCCAGGCCACACTGATGGCAGATGCCCTGGGCCTGTGACGTCCCTGTCACCCTCACCCAGAACTAGGAAGTTTCTAATCCAAAGAGTGAGGCATCTAGGAAAACTTCTTGACCCACTGGGGAGGCTGAGGAGCAGGTGAGCAGGGCCTCTTCCCAGGAGAACTTCCAAAGAGATGCAGGGAAGAGGCTGCCCTGGCCAGAGGAATGGAGGGGATGCCCTCCCCCAGACCCCTTGCCTCTGAGGTCTGCCCACTCCCTCTTTGCACCCCCATCTCCTCACACAAGAAGGAGTTGCTGCCCTGTCCAAACTGTGCCTTTCTGCTTCCAATCTGTCCCTGGCTGAAAGAGATGCCAAGTGGTTTGGGGCCCTGAGTTCCACAGGTGACAAAATGGAGCATGCCCTGGTGCTGTGTGCACTGCTGGTCCTGGAGAGTGGTCTCTGGATGGTCAGGGGCTCACTCAGTCCCACTTCAGACTCACCCCCTAGGTGTCACCTCCAGGTGGGGTTGGTGTCACCGCAGCACTGTCTCAAGAGAGATGGGGCAGATGTGGGAGCCAAAAGCACATACATGATCCCCAGGTCCCAGAGCAGCCACAAGTGGTGTCTCTGCTTAGAAAGCTCTTCTTGGATGAAGGCTGGGCACGGTGGCTCACGCCTGTAATCCCAGCACTTTGGGAGGCCCAGGCAGGCAGATTACCTGAGGTTGGGAGTTCAAGACCAGCCTGGCCAAAATGGTGAAACCTCATCTCTACTAAAAATACAAAAATTAGCTGGGCGTGGTGGTGGACGCCTGTAATCCCAGGTACTCAGGAGGGAGGCTGAGGCAGGAGAATCGCTTGAACCCGGGAGGCAGAGGTTGCAGTGAGCCGAGATTGGACCACTGCACACCAGCCTGGGCAACAGAGTGAGACTCTGTCTCAAAAAAAAGAAAAGAAAGCACTTCTTGGATGGCTAGGCACAGTGGCTCATGCCTGTAATCCCAGCACTTTGGGAGGCCGAGATGGGTGGATCACTTGATATCAGGAGTTCGAGACCAGCCTGAGCAACATGGTGAAACCCTGCCTCTGCTAAAAATACAAAAATTAGCTGAGTGTGCTGGTGGGCACCTTTAATCCCAGTTACTCAGGAGGCTGAGGCAGGAGAATCACTTGAACCTGGGAGGTGGAAGTTGCAGTGAGCTGAGATTGTGCCACTGCACTCCAGCCTGGGTGACAGAGTGAGACTCTGTCTCATAAAAAAAACAAAGCTCTTCTTGGGGCTGGGCCCAGGGGGCCAGCCAACACCTACCTCTGAGAGGATAGGTCTGCAAAAGACCCCATAATAGAACCCCACCTACCCCAGCACCCGCCCCAGCAGAGGCTGGAAGGCTAGATGCAGGGCTGGTGGGCTGAGGTAGGATAGGGAGTGGGGAAGGCATGGCCAGCGGGTGCACCCAAGAGGAAGGCCCACCTGCCCCAGCCTGGCCCTGGCTGTGTAGGAAGCAGGTGCAGGCTCTTTGCCAAGACCTCAGGCGATGTTGCACACCAGCTCTGTCCAACCCTGGGCCTGTGTCTTGATGACATCCAGGCCCCCAAACACAGGGCAAATGTTTCCTGGGAGAATCCTATTGGGACCCATTTGCTTGCCTCGGGTCCTGAGACTCTGAGAGCTCAGACAAACCTGCCTTATATACCCAGGCTAGGCCATCTCCTCCAGGAGACCCTCTGTCAAAACTCTGGCCAGTGGGCACATTCAGCACACCTGTGTGTGAACTGGCCCCTAATGCAAGAAGACAGGTAGCAAGCAGGTAGGACTTGGGTCTAGTTTTGTGTGTGTGTGTGTGTGTGTGTGTGTGTGTGTGAGAGAGAGAGAGAGAGAGAGAGAGAGAGAGAGTGTAACCAGGCCCTCAGACTTTTTTTAACTGGGCCTCAGTTCCACCCTGAAATGAGCCCCACACTCCCACTCATATGCTGCCCCCTGCTGGCCACCCCATACCAAGCATATAGCCATTATTAGAGTGAGCAACCATCTTTTTAATTTTATTTTTCTAAGTAAATATGGGGTCTCGCGATGTTACCCAGGCTAGTTTTGAACTCCTGAGCTCAAGTGATCCTCCCACTTCAGCCTCTGTTAGGTGCTGGGATTACAGGCGTGGGCCACCGCACCCACCTAATGTTTGTATTTTTTGTAGAGGTAGGGTCTCACTATGTTGCCCAGGCTGGTTTCAAATTCCTAGGCTCAAACAACGCCACCTCCTTGGCCTCCCTAAGTGCTAGGATTACAGGCATGAGCTACCACACCTGGCCAGGGTGAGCAACAATTTGTCTGAATGGATGCAGCGTCTTCAAGTCCGTTATTTGGAGGGAATTAATCCTTTTGCTCAGGGATTCTAAATGTGAGAGATCTCAAATGGATTAGAATTCCCAGGTCAGGAACTTGCATGAAAAAGTTACATCTTCATTTTCTCTCATCCTTACCTGAAATCTAGAATTTCCCTCTATTGTGAATGTCAGCAACAAATCACACTAGCATTGGCAATACCTGTGACTTTGTCAATAGAAATCACAGATATTTTGTAATTGTATTATAGATAGTACAAAATATGTACAAATATATACACATGCACACACATATACACACACATAAAGTAATTTGTCGCTTAACAACAGACATACGTTCTGAGAAATGTGTCCTTAGGCAATTTTGTCATTGTGCAAACATCATAGAGTTTACTCACACGAACCTAGATGGTAGAGCATACTGCACACCTAGAGGCTCTATGGGATAGCCTATTGCTACTAGGCTACAAACCTGTGTGGCATATTAGTGTGCTGAATTCTGTAGGCAATTGTAACACAATGCCTATGTGTGTTTCTACAACACATAGAAAAGGTACAGTAAAAAATACAGTATTGGCCGGGCACGGTGGATCACACCTGTAATCCCAACACTTTGGGAGGCCAAGGCGGGCACATCACTTGAGGTCAGGAGTTCAACACCAGCCTGGCCACCAAGGCGAAACCTCATCTTTACTAAAAATACAAAAAATTAGCCAGGCGTGGTAACACACGCCTGTAATCCCAGCTACTCAGAAGGCCAAGACAGGAGAATCTCTTGAACCCAGGAGGCAGAGGTTGCAGTGAGCCAAGATTGTGCCACTGCCCTCCGGCCTGAGAGACAGATCAAGACTCCGTCTTAAAAAACATATATATATATATATATATATATATATATATACAGTATTATAATCTTATGTGACTGTCGACATATATGTAGTCTGTCATGACAGACACATCGATATCTAGTGCATGATTGTAGATACACACACACACACACACAGTCATCTCACAGTGGTTCCAGGGCCTCCCACAAATTCCAAAATCCATGAATGTGCAAGTAAGTCCCTGATATAAAATGATGGAGTATTTGCATATAACCTACACACATCCTCCCGTATACTTTAAATCATCTCTAGATTACTTATAATACTTAATACAATGTAAATCCTTTGTCAATCATTGTTATACTGTACTATTTAAGGACTAATGACAAGACAAATGTCTGCACATATTCAGTACAGACATTTCTGATGCACAGTTGGCTGAATTCACAGATGCGGAACCTATGGCCAATTGTATATAGTTTTTAATACATAAAATAAATAGGATAGGCCTGGCAGGGTGGCTTACGCCTGTAATCCCAGCACTTTGGGAGGCCAAGGCAGGAGGATCATGAGGTCAAGAGATCAAGGCCATCCTGGCCAACATGGTGAAACCCCACCTCTACTAAAAATACAAAAATTAGCTGGGTGTGGTGGCATGCACCTGTAGTCCCAGTTACTCGGGAGGCTGAAGCAAGAGAATCGCTTGAACCTGGGAGGCGGAGGTTGCAGTGAGCCGAGATTGTGCCACTGTACTCCAGCCTGGCAACAGAGCGAGACTCTATCCCAATAAATAAATAAATAAATAAATAAATAAATAAATAAATAGGATAACAATATATTTTATGTTCCTAAAATCCTTTTTATTGTCCATAGGCTTTAGCAGACTGACAACAAGAGAGTCTGTGACACATAGAAAAGTAAAGCAAGGGGCTGGGCCTGTAATCCCAGTAGTTTGAGAGGCAAAGGCAGAAGGATTGCTTAAGCACAGGAGTTCGAGACCAGACTGGGCAACATGGCAAAACCCTATCTCTACAAAAAATTAGCTGGGTATGGTGGCACATGTAGCTTCTGTAGTCTCAGCTACTTGGGAGACGAGGTAGGAGGATTGCTTAGGCCCAGGAGTTTGAGGCTGCAGTGAGCCATGATTGTGCCACTGGACTCTGGCCTGGACAACAGAGCGAGACCCTGACTCAAAAAAAAAAAAAAGGGTAATGTCCTTGCTTTAGTTGCCAGATGGTGGGGAAGTGGAGGGTGACTCTTAGGGGAGGGGCCAGGCTAGGGCGGCCTGGGACAGCAGCTTTTTAACAGCTGGAAGGGAAGATCTTAGTATTTTAACCACTGGTTTGGCAGTCCCAGTGAGCACCTTGCCGGCCAGCCCAGGAGGGCACGAGCTGTGGGTTTCCCTGTGGTACTTGGGCTTTCCTTCTCTACCCAGGGGCAGGATCCTCATGACACCCCTAAAGAGTCAAAGCAGGCCAGGCACGGTGGCTCAGGCCTGTAATCCCAGCACTTTGGGAGGCCGAGGCGGGCAAATCACCTAGGTCAGGGGTTCAAGACCAGCCTGGCCGACATGGTGAAACCCCGTCTCTACAACAATACAAAAATCAGCCGGGCATGATGGCTGGTGCCTGTAATGGGTCCAGCTACTTGGGAGGCTGGGGCAGAAGAATCACTTGAACCCGGGAGGCAGAGGTTGCAGTGAGCCGAGATCATGCCATTGCACTGCACCCTGGAGATCATGCCATTGCACTTCACCCTGGGCGACAGAGCGTGACTCCTTCTCAAAAAAAAAAAAAAAAAAAAAAGAGTCAAAGCAAAAATGACTGGCCCATTTCAGAGACAAAAGGGAATTGCCCCTTCAAGGTCAACAGCTCATCAACATCAGAGCCAAGACTAGCCCCACCTCCACCCTGTCTTCCTCCCAGGCAGCCTCTAGGTTCCTAGGGACAGTGCCAGGAACTAAATGCAGCAAGATGTACCATTTGCAATAGGACTAGTGCCAGAGGCATGAAGACTTAAAAGAAGGCATGGGGCCAAGGCTTTTCCCAACCTAGGCTCCTCCAAGCCCAAGGAACGCAGGCCTCTTTTCAAGGTGAGTGCCAACTGGGTGCCTACTTCAGAGATGAGAACCTCAGAATAGGGACCCTCCTCTCTCTCTGAAGATGGAAGTGCAGCAGGCCCAATCTAGAACCTCAACCCAGTTTTACTTAGCAGCTGCAGTGAGTAGAACTATTATCAGGGTATTGGGAAAAGGTCCTCTTCCTTGCTATACCTTCTCTGCAGACTTGTAACCCCATAAACTACAACAGCAAAATCACCCCTATACTGGCCTTTCTTTCATACCTGTACAGCCTCATCTGCAAACAAATCCCTCCCTTCCACATTCTTGTCCTCATTCTCCTTCTTTACCTTTGTGGCAACTGATAGTTCCTGCCCACTTGCTTTGTGATGAAATTCTTTCCTCCAAAACATGGCTCTGCTCCCACCTCCCTGGAGGCTCACTCCTCCTGTCTCCATTGTTTCCTTTCCTTCCGCCCTGCTCTCAAACACTGGCCTTCCCTAAGGTGATACATTCTCGTTCAGGCACCCTCAATTAGGGGATGGGGATTTGTATTATAATAGCATTGTTTGGGAGAATCCCAGTAATTGCAGGACATTTGGCATTCCTAAATAACAAGAGTGTCAGTGGAGGACCCCATGATCTCAGCCACCATCATAGCTTCAGAAATCACCTTGTGGCCGATGGCCTCGACAATCACCACCTCCAGCCCTTATTCCCCTCCTGGTCTTAGGGCCCACCTTTCCTGTCTTCTGGTAATTTCCTCCATGCCACAGCATGTCCCAGTCTGAAGTCACCCTCTCCTGCTGGCATCCACCTTGATCCAACCTGCATTCCCAAACCCAGTGATGGCACCTGTAGCTACCCCAGCACCCAGGCCACAAACCAGGCAGTCAGCCTCACCTCCTCCCTCTCTCCAACCCACTCATCCAATCAGCCACCACTCCTGAGGATCTCACCTCTTAAAAATATCAGTTTCACCTGTTTCTCTCCATCTTTGAGGATACTGACCTAATTCAGTTTCTCTTTCTCTCTCACCAGATTCCTGCAGCACCCTCCTCATCCTCACTGCCCCCCTGCCTTTAGTATGGTAGTGCATGGAGCCGGACTGCCTGGATTCAAGTCCTGGCTCTGCCACTTCATAGCTGTGCAACGTTGGCTGGGTACATTAACCTCTCTGGACCTACATTTTCTGTAAAATGGGCATCATAATAGTGCCTTCCTCAGAAATGACCATGTTTATGAGTTAACACATGTAGAGCACCCAGCCTGGCACTCAGTAAATCTTGGCTATTAGTGTCATTCTTTCCAATCCACCATTCACTCAGCAGCCAGAGATAATCTGACCAGGTCATGCCCACTTAATCCTCCACAGGGGCTCCCCACTTCTCAGAAGCCCTGCTCCTAAGGCTCTGCCAATCTGTCTTCTTTTCACATCATATTGACTCTTGAACACACCTAGGCTTATGCCCATAATCCTGGCACTTTGGGAGGCCAAGGCAGGAAAATCCCTTGAGCCCAGGAGTTTGAGAGGGAGACCCCATCTCAAATAAATAAGTAAACAAACAAACAAACACCTGACAAATCTTGCCTCTGAGCCTTTGTTTATGCTGTTCCCTGTGCCTAAGCACTCTTCCCCATCAATTTCCATCACAAGCACCTGCTCCAGTGCTACCTCCTCTAAAAATCCTCCCCAGAACCCTCCACACAGAACGACTCTGATTCTTGCTCTCCGTGTCCCCAGTCCTTTTTTTTTCCCTAGGGACGAGTATGTGTTCCTTGTGTCTCACTCATTTCAGAATTCCCAGAATTCAGTGCAGATCCTAGCTCCACCCCACTTCCCCCAGCAAGGGCTTCACAGAATCAAGCTGAATGCCAGCACTTCTGGGCCTCCTAGGGCCAGAGCTCCTCAGCCCAGAGGGTGCGTCAGCTCTGGGCATATCTGAAGGAGGGCCTGAAACTGTAGGGTGTGCTCTCTGCCCACCTCAGTTCCTGAATTTCCTCCATTAAGCAGCCCCCTCCTCTGAGTCTGGGGTGGGGGTGGAGGCTGAGGGCAGTGTTATGTGCAGGGCTACCCAGGCATGGGGGCTCCCCAAGGCAGCTGAGGGCAAGGAGATGGCTCCAGGCCTTAGCCAAAGCCCTGCCACCGTCTATCATGAGGGCTAAAAACACAACCCAGTGGTCCTAGTGGCCTCTGGGGTTCAGGGAAGGTAGCGTGGAGGACAAGGCCAAACCCCCACCCCCCACACCTTCCCCTTGCACCCTGGAGTTCAGGGCCTTTGTTTCGGCCTCTGTTCTGCCAGGGTTGGCTCTGACTTTGGGCCAAAGCTTCCCCTCTCAGGGTCTGGGTCTCCTTCATCACAAGAAAGACCCTCTCCAGCTCCATCATGTTCTAAATGCTGACTCTATATGGTGTCAGGGTACAGAGAATCAGGGGACAGGAAGACTAAGGGGTGAGAGTGCACTGGAATGTGGGAGGTAGGAGAAATTTTTACTGCCTTAAGCACATTCCTGCCTATCCCTGCTCCCTTCTTTGCCCATACACACAGAGGCTGGCCACACCAGAGAACAGAAAAGGAAAAAGTTTATTGAAAACTATATACAGTTGGTCCAGCTCCTACCATGGGCTGCAATCTCAGCCAGTCCCTCCCACACCTTAGGCAGTGTCTTGGCCCCTCATGGGGAGGGATGGGGCTAGGCCTAGGGCCCAGACTCCCTTGGGTGGCTTGGCAGCTGGAGCCCACCGTGGATCTTTGTAAATTTACAACTCTAAATGGCCTGAAGGTAGTGGGCAGGGGACAGGGAATGGATCCCTGCCTGATCTAGTCACAGCCTTGATAGGGGAACACTATTCTGAAACTTGGGCCCAAGTAGGGCCCAGCTAAGTTGTCCGGAAGTCCTGACTGCTCCTCTCACAGGCCTTCCTAGACGTGGAGGCAAACAGCCTCCCTACGACCCCACCCCATGTAGCAGGCCGCATGGGCTTCATGGGCTTGACTGGGGACACCAGGTACCCTTCCTCCCAACATTGACTCAGGGTCCGGAGCTCCTGGAGAACTCCCCAAGCAGAGGACTTGGGGTTGAGGGGTGAGCGTTGGGGAGGTCACAGCTCCCAGCCCAGAACTGGAGCCTCCTGGGGTCAGGGCAGCCGTGGGGTCAGGGTGTCCCGCTGTAGGAATAGTCTGCTTTATTGTGCATCACCAGCCGGTCATCCACGAAGTAGAAGCTGTCAGACTGGGTCTCATACGGGTGGCGGATCATCTCGCTGACTGCAAGAGAGGCCCAGCCAGGCCGGGCAAAGGTCAGGAGCTTGAGTCCCGCCACTGCAGGGGCTTCAGGACTGGGGTACAGGGACAGCCAAACAGCCTGAAATATCCCCAGCCTCTTTCTCTACGGATGATATGGGAATGGTGGCAGACACAGAAGAGCCCCAGGGTGGGGAGAAATGGGATCAGACCCACAAGTCCCTCTCCCTCCCGCAGCTCAGTCTCTAGACGCCCCCACTTCCCCACTCCCAGAAGACCCTGCCCGCGCACTCAGCTCCTCGGAGAGAGGGGGGAAGTCGTAAATGTGCTCGCAGGTGTTCTTGCTGCTGGGGATGCAGAAGCCAAAGTGGAAGTCGAAGCTTTTGAGTAGCTGGTTGCGGAAGTAGTGCCTCTCGATCATGCGGAAGTTGTTGACAGGCTTGTCTCCCACTGTGAACTCCACCCTGAGCAAGAAAAGGAGGCAGGGCTAAGTCTGTCCTTGAAGTCAACTAGCCAGCCAGGCTCAGGACAGGCCACCCCTACGAGAGGCTGAGAAGGGCCCACTCACACCCTCTCCCTCACCCCCACCACCACCCATAGCCCAGCGACTCACGTGGCTCCCACCTGCCTCAGGCGGAGGAAGGCAGGCGTGAACTGGTAGCGGACAAAGCGCCCAGCATTGGGGTCCAGGTCCCGCCGGTTGATGGGCAACCGTTCTGCAATGTACCCCAGCTGGGGCTCAGTGGGCTTCAGGCTGGGCCCTTGTCCACCCAGGGTTCTACCCTTGGGTCCCCATCTATCTGATTTTTTTTAAACTCCCCAAGAAATTCCGGGGCACACTGAGGGCTCAGACCATTGGCCAAATAGTGCCACCTAGGGGTTCTAGGTCTGCATGTTCCCAATCGCCACTGTGCTTCCCCGGGCCACAGGATGCTGAGGCCTGGGACCCGTAGGACTGCAGTTCCCAGAGAGCCCTGCAGAGGGCAGGTTGGCAGGGACCGAAGGGGTAGGGCTGACCTCGCAAGATGTCCAGCCTCAGAAACATATGGGAAGGAAAAGAAAGGGCCCCCCTGCCTGCAGACTCCTGAGAATGCTGGGGTCCAAGCCCCAGCTCTGTGGACTCCTCTGTGGCCCAAGGATTCCCTGGGCAGCCCACTCCGCAGCTCCTATCTGCCTCCCCATCAATGGCCCACCCAGCCCACTCACCTGAGACTGGGGGCTTCTTGATTTCAAAGAGGACAGTGCCTGAGTCCATGTCCCGAATCTTAAACCTGACAAAGTCGATCTTGTAGATATTCTCCTCAGGGGAGCAGAGGTAGTCTAGGGGAAACAGGCAGCTGAGCAAGGAAGGGGCCGCAAAGCCCCTGCTGCCAGGTCAGCTTGTGTGGGACCCCAGAGTAGCTACCATCTTCTCATCCCTGGGATCACTGCCCTCTGGAAAGAGGGACCTCAGTCCCTGCCCTTGGGGTACACCCCCAGTGTGGAAGAGACATAACTCCGCCATGGGGATCTAACAGGGGATAAGGAGTGCCATCCTACTGGTCTCTGGGGGCCAGGGAAGGGCAGGGCAGAGAAGGGTAGAGGACAAGGCCACCTCCTGAACACTCTCTCTCCCACTCTGGAGTTGAGGGTCCTCATTCTGGCCTCCGCTCTGCCAAGGCTGGCTAGATGACTTTGGGAGAATTAGGTATCCAGCCTGGTGGGAGCCTCTCTTCTCATATGGGAACAACTTCCTGCAGTCTGACCTGTCTCTTCTACTGCAACTCAGTGTATCAACTTCTCTGGTACCCTGCCTTTGAGAACCACCTGTAAAGGGGGCCACACAGCTCTGTCTTGGGAGAGTCACTGTCCTTCTCTGGAGGATACTCCTACCCTCACCCCACAGCTGCCCCTGGCATGACATCTAGATGTATCAGGTGAGGCTGATGTTAAGGGGACTTTCCCTGATATGGGTGGGGCTGGGGCAGGTGAACAACCCCTTCCCTATTCCTCCTCTCCTCCAAACCCCCTCCTCTCAGTAAGAAGCTTACACCAGCCCAGCTCCCTTAAGCAGCTTAACCAAAGCTCTGCTGACTCAAGCCCAGAGCCTGGGATATGGCAGGTGGGAGGAGGCCAACTTTGCTCTCATCCTTTGTTGATCTCCAAATGGGAGGAAGTCTTAGCAAGCAGAGAGAACCCCCTTAGAGGTCATTTACGCAGCCCTGGCTATGAGCCACCACCATGGAGAAAGTAGTCCTGGACCCCCATAGAGAAGAACACAGGCTAGGCCAGGAGGAGGGTGTGGCAGGTGCAGCAGTGGGTGTGGAAGGGGTAAGGGGAGTCCTCAGGCCCAGGAAGGGAACCAAGAACAGTGGGAGGCCCTGCCTGAGGAAGCTCAGGGAGCTACAGGGCCTGATCTAACCCTCACAGCTCTTGCAGCAGCAACTTCAAGTGCTCAGGGAGGCCCTGGCAACAAAAAGAGCTGAGAGGTGCAGGGAGGGACTCGTGCTGTCAGCCTGCACAGCATCACATCCTCCCCTGGTGGCCCACAGAGGCCTGGAAATCACCCTCCAGGCCCCTGGGCCACCTCCTATTCCTCTGGGGCAGGAACAGGAAGTGAATATAAAGTCATTTTCTCTTCCCCAGGTCTGCTTCTTCCCCAAGCCTGACGCTGTCCCCTCCAGGAAGCCCTCCTGGCAGCCATCTGGTACCCTGGGGCCCAGCATGGACTTTATACAGCTTGGGGAAGAGGCAGGGCCCTGAGTCTACTACAGCCCACATGTGGGGTGGGGAGAGAATGGAAGTGGGCAACCCCTATCTCACCCCATTCACCCTATTTTCACAGAAAGTAAGCACCAGTATAAAGACATAGAAAGAAGGTACAGAGCATAGGGAACGGAGGTGGCAGAGTGGGGAGCAGGATCCCAGTGCCCAACTCCCAGATCCCTGTAAGGCCTTCTCTTCTCCCATTCTCCAACTTTTGGAGCCTCTCTCATTTGGGAACAACTTCCTGCAGTCTAACCTCAGTCTCTTCTACTGCAAACTCAATCTATCAACCTCTCTGTCCTTAGAAGAAGTGAGGAACACGGATATCTATGGCTCAGAACACCACGGCCACTCCTTCTCTTCTAGAAAGGATGAGGCCTGGGACCCAGGGTCAGGTCAGAATAAGGGGCAGAGTGGCCAAGGGCTCAGAACACAACTGCTCTATTCCTCTCAGCCACAAATAGCTTCCTAAGCTGGATTCAGGGCCCAGTAATCTGGGAACAGCAAACCTCAGACCTGCATGATTAGGGTCAGAAGAGACCAGGCAAGGGGTGCCAGGGTGGAAATCCCTGGAACTCTGTTCTCAATTCCTGCACAGGAAGGGGTTCTCATGAAGCCCTTTCCTCTACTTACCCTTCACAGATGCCCCATCTCTAAGGGCTATGAATTTCCTCCAAATTAGGAGACAAATGGTGGTACATGAGCTGGAAGCTCCCTCTAGTTGCAAAATAAACCCCCAAAGTTACTCAGGACTCAGTCAGTCTGAGAAAGTTCTGCCCCAGAGCTAAGCTGAATCCTAAATGCTGCTATTGCAAATTGTAGCCCAACTGGCTTCAACATCAGCCTGGTCCAGCCTCCCTCTCTCCATTGATGCCTGCTTGGGCAAGGGAGCTCAGTACTCTGGGGGCCCAGCTAAGAATGGCTGCTGCCTAGCTCAGTAAGGAGAGAGGAATTGGCCCCCAGGGACCCAGGAGCACAGGCTCAAGGCTGTCTCCCCTCCACAGCTCTGTCTGGGAGTCCGGTGTTCTGCTGCTTTGGAAGCTCTAGGGCTCAGGTCCACTCCAATACATGCCCCCCATACCCACAGAGAGGCCCCCCCCAACAGTTATTCTCACAAAGGGGGCCAGGGCAGGTTGCTGGTGAATGTGGCCAAGGTGGAGAGCCACTGTCTCTCCATGCACCTTTCATCCTTTGAGGCTCATCCAAAGCCTCTGCTATGAGGTTTCCTAGCCCTCGTTCCCTGCCTATGATGACCCCCTCCCCTGCCCTGAAAGCCAAGTTGTTTGACTCCAGGCAGCAGCTATGAGCAGCCCTGTAGGGCCCAAAAATACTACTGATCAAAGAGCCCAATGTACACAGCATGCATAGATGCCAGGCACTGTACAGAATCAGAGGACTTATCTTCACAATAATCTTACGAGAAAGGTATCATTATCCCCATTTTACAGATGAAAAGACATGCTCAGAGAGGTGAGGTTACTTGCCCAAGGTCACACAGACAATTATATGGCAGAGTTGGAACTCCAACCCAGGCAGTCCAGCTCAGAAACTCTTAACCACAGTGGAGACCAAGCCTCCCTTGATGACAGAGCCCCCAGAAGAGGACAGGTGCTAGTCCAGGCTTGGAGGGACATTATGCCACTCCCCATGAGAGGAACCACAGCCAACACACTAAAGCTGCCTGCTCAGTTTCTTTCCCGGGGAAGAAAATGGCCCAAGTCTTCCTGGAGGATCAGGGTGAGGGTATTAATGGTTGGGGAGACATGAAGAGTCTGAATGCCTCCCAAGTAACTCAGCCTCCACCTAGCCTCCAGCGTGGGGGCTGAGGACAGGCTGCACTCAGCCCCTCTCTTCATTAGTGCAGGGACGGGCCTCAAAGCGCTCTGGAGACTCCACAGCTACAGGGCTATGGTTGCAGCTGCTGCCGCACGTACCTCCACGCTGGGAAAAGGGGACGGGCCCCTGGAAAAGGAAGGAATAAATCTCGAAAGGGAGAAGAAGGAGGCACAGAGAGAGATCAAGGGAAGGGGGTACACAGAGATCTCAGACCTGGCGGCAGAAGGGAGAGCAGGGGACACAGGAGAGGGGACTCGGTGGGGGAGGGGAGGCGGGAAAGGGGGCGGGGGCCAGGGCTTGGCGCGCCGGGAGGGCCCCTCGCACCCTCTCCCCTTCCCACCCGCGGGCGGCGCTCCCTCGCGGGTGCTCACCACCGGTGATCCGCTGCAGCCCCAGCACGTCCTCCGGCCCGATCGGCTGCTTCCTCTGCAGCGGCCCCGGCCTGGGCCCTGGGCCTGCGTCCGGCTCCGACTCGGACCCAGATTCGGATTCCGCAGGCGGCTGTGGTATGGGGGCCACGCTCTGGCCCGAGGGCCCCGGAGCGGACTCCGTCGCCGTCCCGGCCCCACCGCCGCCCTTCTTCACCTTCATGGCCTTGCGGGGCCGAGGCTCGCCTGCTGCTGCCGCCGCTGCCTGCGCCGGCTGGAGCCGGGGGAAGTGGGAGCATCCGCAGCCCCGCCCCCGGCCGGGGCCCCAGGTACTGCCCCGCCCCGGCCCCGCCCCTGGGGTGGGCCCTGCGCTGATCCCGCCCGCCGCCCGGCCCAACCCTCCCGAAATGCGACGGGCGCGGGGGATGGGAGTCGGGGTATCCTGCCCTGGGCTTCATTCTGTTTTTCTAACACTTTCTTGTACTGGTACTAGTGGGGTCCTGACTACCTCTCCGCTTACTCATTGTGTTCCAGCCTTTCTGCCCGTGAGTTCCAGGCTCAGGGTCTCTGCTTGGATGGTCTTCCCCAGATGGCCTCTTTTCTCCTAGTCACAGCTCAAATGTCATCTGCTCAAAGGGCCTCCCTCACACCCAGTCTGAAGTCCTTCCCCCTCAGTCACCATCTGACCAGCCTGTTTTTGTCTTTCTAATGCATTATGTGAAATTATTTTTATTTGTCCGCTGACTCTTCCCCCTGAAAGCTCAGCTCTGTGAAAGCACTGGTCCTGCCTACTTTGTTCTCTGTAGGACCCCTGTACCTAGCAGAAGGCTCCCTGCAGCTGGTGCTCAAGACTTTTTTTTTTTTTTTTTTTTTTTTTTTGACCTGATGAATTAGTATCTCAGGTAAAAAGCAGATGCTAACAGCCTTGGGCAATCCAGCTAGGAAGGGCACATGGCCACGTGGAAGCAAAGTGGACCTGTGGGCACAGGAGGACAAACACCAGGAAACTGTTACTTACGCGTGAATGCAGAAAGAGTAGAGCTCAGACTTTGTATCATTCCAATTCATATTCAGCCAGTGTTTATTAAGAGCCTACTACACGCCAGACACTTTACATGCTGATCACATTTACTCCTCACAACCATCTTGTAAGGGAGACATCATCAGTGCCATTTGAACAAATGAAAAACTGAGGCTCAGAGAGATTCAATACCTTATCCAAAGCTCTCCAGACAATAAGTGCAAAAACAAGGATTTGAATTCAGGACTGTTTGATTCCAAATCTGGAACTTTCTGGAACCTCTGACACACACACACACACACACACACACACACACACACAGCACCATGTCCTGAGCTGCTGCCTCCTGGACTCCCGCCAGACTGCACCTGACAGACAAAGCCAACTAGGAGGGAGGGGAGTGAGGGAGAAGGTCCCACAGGTGACCAATGCCTGGCCCCTTCATGACAGCAGGGGCTAGGGCTGTCCCACAGGGACTAGAGAGAGGTGTGGAAGGCAGGGACTTTCCCATAATGCTCCCTCCTCTCAGTGCACAAGTGTGCTATGTTGAGAAATGGGGCAAAAGAACAAACAGTCCTTGCCACAGAGGGAGACAGGCAGCAGCCTTATCAAACAAGATAAGGAGACCCGGATGATGTGCCTTTTGAGGCCCCTGGTGGTGGAGGAGGATTGAGCCAGGTGAATGGGAAAGGAAGAAAAGATGAACCCATCTTGGAGTGTTGTACTTTGGTTGCTGGAGAGCCAACAGTGGAGACTGGAGACAAATATTTAAGTCATTCCGGCAGGCCCCATGTACGTGCCTCACAATCTAACACCGCCCACCTTGGCCAGAAAGGAAGGCTTCCTATGGAGGTGCTGCCCTGCTCAGTCTGTCTTCTCAGGCTTTCTCCAGGACTTGCGGGTCTCCAGGAAGATCTTGACCAGGGACAGGAGGATGGGCACAGCCATAGGCAGGAAGAGTGGGATGTAGATGGCAAACTTCTGGTCATCAGGGAAATAAAGGAGGTGGAGGAGTGACGGGTCAAAGAAGGCAAGCTCAGAGGATGTCACAGCTTCCTGGCTGGCGACAAAGGCAGATGCCAGGTGCCCAGACGCCAACTCTTCTGCCGACTTCTGGACGGCAGCTACAGCCTTGTACACCTAGGAAGGAGAAGGGACAAGAGGGTATACCAGTAAGTCCTAGGCATTGGTGGAAAGGGTGCTGGGCCTTACTGTGCCTTCCATCTACCAAGGAAGATGCCTGGAGTTCATCCAGGATCTATGGAAGTCTTTCTACAGGGATATGGTTTATTTTCCTAGGGTCAGCTTGAAACCTCGCACTCTCATCTGCACTCCTGCTTGGGGGCTGGTACTGCCGTCTAGAGGAAGGCTGGGACACTAAAGATGGCAAGCCCACACATACCATGGACCTCACAGGCTCTCTGGTCTCACCACACTCTGGCCCTCTCTGGCTACTCCAGTCCCAAGCTGCAGAATCCATCCCCTGCCTGCTTACCTCAGATGCCACGTCGTCCTTAATGACAATGTTGCTGATCTTGCCCAGAAGCTGCGCCAGGGAGGTAAGGGTGGTGGTGGCTGTGGCCAGGTTCTCCACTGACCGAGCCCAGAGCAGCCGGTCTAGCTCCCAGGTCATTAGCCCTTCACTCGTAGGCCCTGAAAGCAGGCATTTTGGAGGCAGCTGGGGCTGAGCAATCCCAAAGAGCAACCTGTAGGAACATCGGAGTAAGATCAAGGTGGCTGAGACCACAAGGCGGGAGATCATGGCTAAGATTTCTCAAATATCTGTCCTGAGCCAGTGATTTTCAATCTTACCCAGAACCATAGGGGTTAAAGGGAAGTACCTCAGGGTCTTGGGGGCATAAGGGGCAACACCAAACAAGTTGGCCCCAAACGCTGCTTCAACAGGTGTTTCTGCTTTTACCTGTTTCTACATTAGATTTCCAAGATCTTGTTTTTTAAAAAAAGGTTCCATGGCTAAAATACTTCTGATAACACCAACTCAGTTTAATCCTTTCACCTTTTCTACCCTCTCTTTGAACAAATGGGGCCAATGGGACTTAGCATTAAGGGATGATCCAGGACTGCCTTTGCCAAGGCACATGTGCTGTGCTTCTCTAAGCCTGCATCCGTGAGAGACACTGCTAGTCAATCAGAAGAATACTCTTTCCTAATGAGCCCAGATACAGCCTTAGAATCCTCAACACAGAGCCTCAGGCAGCCACTCTCAATCCATCAGGCAGCATAAGAATTAACAGCTATTTTCTTAAGCAGCCCTAATCACACTCCATGGACCTGACATTCATGAGTCTATTTTTCTTAAAACTGGTTTTGCTGGCTGGGCACAGTGGCTCACGCCTGTAATCCCAGCACTTTGGGAGGCCTAAGCGGGTGGATCACGAGGTCAGGAGTTCAAGACCAGCCTGGCCAAGATGGTGAAACCCCGTTTCTACTAAAATTACAAAAAATTAGCCAGTTGTGGTGGCGGGCACCTGTAGTCCCAGCTACTCGGGAGGCTGAGGCAGAGAATTGCTTGAACCCGGGAGGTGGAGGTTGCAGTGAGCCAAAATGGCACCACTGCACTCCGGCCTGGGCAACAGAGCAAGACTCCGTCTCAAAAAAAAAAATAAATGATTTTGTCACCTACTAGTCCTTCTTAGAAGGATGATGGGATCCTTAGAAACTTTTCTTGGTTTCCCTGGGGCTCTAGGCACAGCCAAGATATCCCTGCCAGGTAAGACTTGATTCCACTTTGCAACTCCCCTCTACAGCCAAGGAGACTATGTCCCCAAGTGGATCATCCAGGACCTCACCGCAACTGTGCCAGGAACACCTCCATCACTCGCACCATGTCCACCTCGACTCTCACTGGCAGCACTGAGGCATTATAGGTTTTGGAGTCAACATTATATACCTGAAAGGGGGAATGAGATTGCCACAACATCATACCAGGCCCTTGCACAGCTCTGCCCTAGGCACTCTGGAGAGAAAAGGAAAACATATTCTGTGCTCTTTAGAAGCTATAAACCTCATGGTATAGCTAATATTTTTTGAGTACCTACTACGGAGAGCATTAAATACATTATCCCAATTACCCCCTTGAAAGTCCTGTAGAACATATTTTTTTCTTATCCCATTTTAGAATTCTCCCCCATGAGAAACTTCCAGTCTAACAAGGGAGACAAGGCTCCCAACCTTGCAAGACTCCCACAAATAAGGCGAAGATCTAAGATGGACACAGAATGATCCTAGGTAAGGGCAAAGGGTCACAGTATAGAAAACACTGGCGGAAACAAAAGTGGGGCCGGCAGAAGAGGGGCATGAGCACATAGCACCCTCACCTTCCTGGTGCCTGCCCCTCCCACAGGCTGGGCCATGGAGGACACCAGAAGGAAAACAGAAGGAACACAGTTTCAGGGACACCTGCCTGTCCCAGAAGCATGGGCTCTGGGGTCTGCGTAGTGTGACTATTACCATAATGCCACCCCAGCGGGGACTATGGAAGGCATTGGTGGCCACTGGAGCGCCATCCTTGTCCTGAATGTACAGCGGTGAGTGTGCAAGCTCAGGCACGTAGAGTAGAAAGTTGAGCACAGGGTACAAGGAGGCAGCACTGGATCCTGTGGTATAAAGGGAAAGCAGAATATCAAAACATGCTGGACCTGGACCTTAGTCCCAGGTCGGCCTCTAACTTGCTGGTCACTCACTCTGGGACTGATTCCCCAACTAACAATCATTAGGATATCCTCCTGTCCAGGGTGTCTCTAGTAAAGGGCTTCAGAATGTTCTCCCGAGATGTGCCATACCGATGGAAACATAGTCCTTAGCTCCAAAACACCCCCGAATTCTCCCTCCTCAAAGGCCCCTTGACTGTCTACGACAGCTTTCTTGGCCACTCCCACAATGTACCCATATTACTACAGATAGTTTTATGCAAACCAGAAATCTGACCTTATGTCAGTTCCCTGCTTAATATCCCTCAATCACTAGCCACCCATATCAGGTTAAAGTTCAAACTCCTTAACATGGTCCTTTATGACCTGGCTCCTGCCTGCCTAACCGGCTTCATCTTTGGTCACTCACTCACATTTCAGCCACACTAAACTACTCTGAGCTTCCTGAATGCCTAAGCTCTCTCACTTGTCTGCATCTAAGCTCACAGTTCCCTTTGCCTGAAATGCCCTTCTTTTCTCTACTCAGCACTGTCATAAGGTAGTCCCTCAGTCAATGTTTGCTGAATGAATAAATGAACGGAGGAATTTTCTAAGGCCTCACATGCCACCCCCTCACAATCCTTGGGCCACACTAGCCTGCCTCTGGTATCTGAGATTCCACAATTAGATATACTCACTTTGGTTTGCCTGTGTTACAGTTCTTAGTCACACCTCCTCTTCCTAGTTTCCACCCGAAAAATGAAAAACTCTAATACTAGCTTCAAGGTTATTCAACCTCAATCAGCAGAACTGTCAATTCAAATTCTGCCCTCAAGTACTTTTGCTGTTGTCTTTCCTATGTGTGTGACAGCCTCTCTCCTAGATGGCTTTTAGGGAGATAGACCCAGCCTAGTCATTCATTTGTAAAAAGTGCTAGGAATCACGTTTAATAAATGCTTTTGGATATGATAGGTGTGAAGATGGAGATATCAACAGAGCATCATGAAAAAGGAACCTAGGGCTCAGGCATAGTGGCTCACGCCTATAATCCCAGCATTTTAGGGGGCTGGGGTGGGAAGATCACTTGAGGGGAGTTCAAGACCAGCATGGGCAACATAATGAGATCCTGTCTCTAAAAAAAATTTTGAAAATTAGCCAAGTGTAGTGGCACATACCTATAGTTCTAGCTACTCGAGAGGCTGAGGTGGGAAGACCACTTGAGTCCAGGAGTTGGAGGCTGCAGTGAGCTATGACTGTGCCACTGCACTTTAGACTGGGCAACAGAGCAAGGCCTTGTCTCAAAAAAAGAAAAAAAGGAGCCTCAATCTCCACAGTCTCCTCGGACCAACCCAACCTGGGAACCATCACTGTATATAATCCACCTCCAACTCCTGTCCCCTACCCAGCTGAGCCGTCAGGGTCCCTCCCTAGCCTGGCAGAAAAGAAAGACCCTCATCCTTAGGTGCTCACCCAGCCGGGACTCCACTGGGTTGATGACATGGGGGAGGCTGTGCATGTCCAAATAGTAGCTGGAGGAAGCTGAGTCAAAGCGGGGATTCACCCCCAACATTGCATAGTAAAGAATCTGTAGAGCAAACAGGGAGTGGTTACTTTGTTTAGATTTATATTCTACTTTCTCCCAAAAAAGATTTGAGGTGCCTTAAAAAAGACACAATCAGGACAAGGCAACATATAAGAGACAAAATCAGGGCTGAGAGAAAATAATTGCAGAAGAAAATAGCAAAGCCAAGGGTAAACTGAATAAACTAAATACGTGCTTTAAAAATCACGTATTTTACCAGGTTTCCTAACAGTCTACACAAAGAGAGAAACAAAGAACAGCATAATTCAGTGTCTACAAGATCAAATCAAGCCAGTTATTCAGAAGCAATTACTCCCACTAGGAAGACCTGATAAAAATTTCTCCCACGTGTTTTCCCTACAAGGAGACAGCGTGATACAGAAAGCTACATTCTTCACATCTTTTTTTTTTGAGATGGAGTCTCACTCTGTTGCCAGGCTGGAGTGCAGTGGCACAATCTTGGCTCACTGCAAACTCCACCTCCCGGGTTCAAGCAATTCTCCTGCCTCAGCCTCCCGAGTAGCTGGGACTAAAGGTACGCGCCACCATGCCCAGCTAATTTTTATCTTTGTAGAGATGGGGTTTCACCATGTTGGCCAGGATGGTCTTGATCTCCTAACCTCGTGATCCGCCTGCCTCAGCCTCCCAAAGTGCTGGGATTACAGGCGTGAGCCGCCGCACCTGGCCCTTCACATCTTTATTGTTACTACAATAACAAATTTCAGGAAGCATTTTTCTAAAAACTAAATTCCTTAAGAATGGCTCTGCTGGGCTCCATCACTCACACCTGTAATCCCAGCACTTTGGGAGGCCAAGGCAGGTGGATCACGAGGTCAAAAGATCGAGACCATCCTGGCCAACGTGGTGAAACCCCATCTCTACTAAAATACAAAAATCAGCTGGGCAAAGATCAAGACCATCCTGGCCAATGTGGTGAAAACCCGTCTCTACTAAAATACAAAAATCAGCTGGGCATGGTGGCACGCACCTGTAATCCCAGCTACTCAGGAGGCTGAGTCAGGAGAATCGCTTGAACCTGGGAGGCGGAGGTTGCAGTGAGCTGGGATCACACCACTGCACTCCAGCCTGGTAATAGAACAAGACTCTGTCTCAAAAAAAAAAAAAAAAAAAAAAAGATGGGTCATGGCATTAACATCTAAGCACAATTGGTGAGTACAGGTCTAGAGGGAGCTATAGGAAGGTGGTTTGTTAACAAGCACTGACAAACTCTCTCAATAGGATGCCAAGGAAGTAAAGACACCAGAATCTGCCCTCAATGGATGGATGGACACAGACAAGGGCACACACGCACCCCCAGTACCCACCCTTATGACACTCACATACATATACACACAGGAAATTCCTAGCAAATCAGCAAGCTCTAAGAGATGGAGGAACAGACTGCACTTGTAAATATGTATAGACATTGAAAAGGACTCCTCAACTTGCTCCCGGTCTCACCTGAGAGTCCACAGAGAAGTTGCCAGCGGCACCGAGGGCATTCAGGAAAGGTTGCACATAGCGCCGGACAGCCCCCTCAATGTCCCAGTAGACATCATGGGACTTGGGGTCTGGGTTGAGTAAACTGAAGGTGATCTCATAGCCTACAGAAACAGGAGTCAGGGAAGTCAGAGGCTCTTGTGGATCAAAGAAGAGGGGCAGCCTGTACTCCCAGCTGAGCTGAACTTGTTTCTCCTCTGGAATGGGGCTGCTTTCCATCATGGAACCAAAAGGAGGACAAAACTGGGATGAGGAACACTGAGTAAGAAAAAGCTGCCGGGCGCTGTGGCTCATGTCTGTAATCCCAGCACTTTGGGAGACTGAGGCAGACGGATCACTTGAGGCCAGCACTTCAAGACCAGCCTGGCCATCATGGAGAAACCCCATCTCTACTGAAAATACAAATATCGGCCGGGTGTGGTGGCTCACGCTGTAATCCCAGCACTTTGGGAGGCCGAGGCAGGCAGATCATTTGAGGTTGGGATTTCAAGACCAGCCTGGTCAACATGGTGAAACCCCGTCTCTACTAAAAATACAAAAATTAGCTAGGCATGGTGGTGGGCGCCTGTAATCCCAACTATTCAGGAGGCTGGGGCAGGGGAATCGCTTGAACCTGGGATGCGGAGGTTGCAGTGAGACAAGATCACGTCACTGCACTCCAGCCTGGACGACAGGAGGCTCCGTCTCAAAAAAAAATAAAATAAAAATAAAAATACAAGAATTAGCCAGACATGGTGGCATGCACCTGTAATCCTACTCAGGAAACTGAGGAGTGAGAATCACTTGAACGTGGGAAGCAGAGGTTGTGGTGAGCCAAGATCACGCCACTGCACTCCAGTCTGGGCAACAGAGCAAGACTCTGTCTCAAAAAATAAAATAAAATAAATAGGCCAGGTGTGGTGGCTCACACTTGTAATCCCAGCACTTTGGGAAGCCGAGGCGGGCAGATCACGAGGTCAGGAGATCGAGACCATCCTGGCTAACACAGTGAAACCCCGTCTCTACTAAAAATACAAAAAAATTAGCCAGGAGTGGTGGCGGGCACCTGTGGTCCCAGCTACTTGGGAGGCTGAGGCAGGAGAATGGCGTGAACCCGGGAGGCGGAGCTTGCAGTGAGCCGAGATAGTGCCACTGCACTCAGCCCAGGCAACAGAGTGAGACTCCGTCTCAAAATAAATAACTAAAAAAAATAATAATAATAATAATAACATAAAATAAATAAGAAAAAAATTGAGACTAGAGAAGAAAGGAGAAAGAAGTTGGCATGCAGATTTCCCTCCTGCCCCATGTAATTCATTTCCTCTCCCTTCATGTGGCAGAGCCTGGTGCCCTACCCAAGCTGGACTTGAGAGGCCGCCTCTTCTCAGCGCTCCACTTGTCCTCTGGAAGGTGGTCAGCCAGAGCAGCAGCAAGCACATCCTCAGTCAAAGACATGGCCTGGGCCACCTGGACTATGCGGCGGCCAATGATGTTAAAGGCCTCCCGGTGCATTATCCCCCGCACCACTGCTGTCCTCTTGGGCCCAATGTAGCTCATCATGTCCTGTGGGGGTGAGCAAGAGACAGAATGCCCATGGCTCAGAAAAGAAAGCCAAAAAGCACCCTGGCTCCTACTGTTCCGAATCTGCCCCTTTGCCAATGACCAACAGGTTTGCACCTCTCTTGAGATTCATGAGCTATTAACTCAGCATTTCTGAGCTATGAGTATATATTGAGTATTTTCATTTGTCTCCGTTCTCTTCTTTTTCCCAGTTGACATGGGTCCAGGCAGCATCTAACTCTTCAGGGGCTGGTAAAATGGTGAAATGGAAACTCAGAGATGGCATGCTGAGCAAGAAAAGCGGAATAAACAGACAACTGGAGAGTCTGATATAAAAATGGCACATGGCAAAGAAACAAGTATTCATAATAGCATTATTTCTAACAGTAAAACCTAGAAATAATCCAAATGTCCATTAGCAATAGAATGGGTAAATTATGTTTATGTTTATACAATGATACATAGATTCAACTACATAATTATGGATGATTCTCTCACCAGGCTCTGCCACATGAAGGGAATAAAATAAAAGTGGCAGAGGAACATGTGTTATAAGCCACCATTTATATAAATTCAAAAATGTAAAATTAAATACATTGTTTACAGAGATACAGCATATGTGATCAAACTCTAAGGAAAAGCAAGAAAATTACAAACACAAAATCTGGTTGCCTTGGGCCAAAAGGGAATGGAGTATAACCATGGAAGTACACACCGTGCTACTGCACTGCAGTTTGTGAGCTGGGGGTGGGGATGGGGACGTTCATTAACATTTTCTTTAGTGCTTTTATAAAAATTAAATATTTGATTATAAATTTTCTTTTTGAGACAGAGTCTCACTCTGTCGCCCAGGCTGGAGTGCAGTGGCACTATCTTGGCTCATTGCAACCTCCACCTCCTGGGTTCAAGTGATTCTCCTGCCTCAGCCTCTCGAGTAGCTGGGACTACAGGCACCCACCACCACGCCCGGCTAATTTTTGTATTTTTAGTAGAAATGGGGTTTCACCATGTTGACCAGGCTGGTCTCAAACTCCTGACCTCAAGTGATCCGCCTGCCTCGGCCTCCCAAAGTGCTGGGATTACAGGCATGTGCCACCGCACCCGGCCGATTCTTGTATTGTTAGTAGAGATGGGGAGTGCAATGGCATGATATTAGCTCACTGCAACCTCCACCTCCCAGGCTCAAGCGCTCCCCCTGCCTCAGCCTCCAAAAGTAACAGGGACTACCACATCCAGCTAATTTTTTTTATTTTTTGTAGAGATGGGGTTTTGCCATGTTGCCCAGGCTGGTCTTGAACCCCTGAGTTCAAGCAAACTGCCCGCCTCGGCCTCCCAAAGTGCTGGGATTACAGTGTGAGCCACCAGACCCAGCCAGCATTCTTTATTAAAAATATGTGGAGGACGGGTGCGGTGGCTCACGCCTGTAATCTCAGCACTCTGGGGGGCCAAGGCAGGTAGATCACAAGGTCAGGAGTTCGAGACCAGCCTGACCAACGTGGTGAAACCCCATTTCTACTAAAAATACATTACATGGCACATGCCTGTAATCCCAGGTATTCAGGAGGTTGAGGCAGGAGAATCACTTGAACCCGGGAGGCGGAGGCTGCAGTGAGCCGAGATCCCGCCACTGTACTCCAGCCTAGGCAACAGAGCAAGACTCCGTCTCAAAAAAAAAAAAATTTTTTTTTGGAGAGTTTTCTGTAGCAAATGGAAGAAATGGGTAGCAATGATGCAAGAAGGAGGTGACCCAGGAGTCCACGAGCTGAAGGGATAAGGCAAAGTCGCAGCCTCTCTGTTACCTTACCTGGGGAAGAAGTGAGGAGTGTTCAGATATCACGTACACAGTCAGGGAGCCCTCCGCTTGTTCCTGAGGCTCATCTAACATGGCTTCTGCCTCTGGGGGCAAGAACAGGTGGTACACCAAGAGCAAAACACCATTCCATCTCCCCCCAGCCCCAAAGAATGCCTAACCCACCCCTTCACTCACATTCAGCTGACACAGTGGTCAGGCTTGGGTAAGCCAATCAACCTCTCTGGCCCTCAGTGGACTGGGCTGAATCCCACAGTTCCTCATTCCCAGCATTCCAAGAGAGGTTTTGGAAGTAAGCCAAAGCATGGGAACTATGCACTTAGAGATCAGAAGGAAAAAGAGGGCTTCACATTAAAATGGTGTGCTCATCCCTTCCCATACCTTGCACACTGCCCGATGACAGGGCCTCCTCCTCATGGTCCAAAGCCCTCCGATAGGCCTTCTGGAAACGGCATTTGATTTTCATTTTGTCTGGGAGGGATAAGAAGTAGCACAATGAAAAGGGCAAGCATCATGCCTCTGCCCACCTTCCCAGACCTAACACTGTCCAGCATCTGAGGACAGCAAGATGGCTGTTTACAGAAAAAGACCAAGCAGCTGCAGCCAACTCTAATGATTTCTGCATAGATGATATCAAACACATGACACCCATTTCGCCCATCTGCCGCAGCTCTTGCCTTCACCTCTGCACACACTGGTCCTTCAGCGTGAAACGTCTTCCCACTGGGAAATCTATTTCAATAGTCATTACATTAATAGGCAAAAGGAGAAAAACTGTATGGTCATTCCAATCACTGCCCCAAAATAATTAAATTCAGTGAATGTTCCTGATAAAAAACAAAATACACAGGCTGGGCACGGTGGCTCATGCTTGTAATCCCAGCAATTTGGGAGGCCAAGGCAGGCGGATCCCTTGATCTCATGAGTTGGAGATTAGCCTGGACAACATGATGAAACCCCAACTCTACAAAAAATACAAAAATTAGCCAGGTATGTGCCAGACATGGTGGCTCACACCTGTAATCCCAGCACTTTGGGAGGCCAAGGCGGGTGGATCACCTGAGGTCAGGAGTTTGAGACCAGCCTGGCCAACGTGATGAAACCCCATCTCTACCAAAAATACAAAAAATTAGCTGGGTGTGGTGGCAGGCGCCTGTAATCCCAGCTACTCGGGAAGCTCAGGCAAGAGAATCACTTGAACCCAGAAGGCGGAGGCTGCAGTGAGCCGAGATCACACCATTGCACTCCAGCCTGGGCAACAAGAGCGAAACTCCATCTCAAAAAAAAAAAAAAAAAGGCAGTTATGGTGGTGCACACCTGTAGTCCCAACTACTTGGGAGGTTGAGGTGGGAGGATGACTTGAGCCTGAGAGGCAGAGGTTGCAGTGACCTGAGATGGCACCACTGCACTCCAGCCAGGGTAATAGAACCAGACCTTGTCTCAAAAAAATAAAAAATAAAAACCACACACTTAATGACAAAATATTAAACATAATTCTGTAAAGTTAGTAATAAAACAAGGATGCCTGCTATCTCCTCTATTCTCATTGTTATTCAGTATTGTTCTTTCTAAAGTTCTTGACCAATGTAATATGTGAAGAAAGAGAAAGAAAACTTAAAAGTATTGGAAAGAAACAGATAAAATGGCCACTTTGAAGTAGCATAATTATTTCTCAAGAAAATCAGAGAACCAACTGAAAAACTATTAGAACTAGCAACAGTTCAATAAGATGACTAGATACAAGGATATGCAAGAATCAATACCCGCATAAATACCAGCAATATCCAATTAGAAACATCTTTTAAAACCTCAATCACATTAACAATAAAGTATAAAAATACCCAGGAATAAATGTATAAAACTATAAGAAGAAAACTTCAAGACTTTACTGAAGGACATAAAATATCTGAACAAAATGGAATAGCATACAAGGCCCCTAGATGAATATTATAAAGATGTCATATTATAAAGACTATTATAAAGATGTCAACTCTCCCCAAATTAATATATACATGTAAGGCAATCCTGAAGGGATTTTTTTTGCCTCCTGAAACTTGACAAGCTAAACCTAAAATTTATTGAAAAAGTTCCTCTTTTCTTTATAAAAGAATTCCAGGTCATACATTTCTTCCAGAAAGAAGAAATGACAGAATTGTAAAAGTCACTAATTTGGCCAGGTGTGGTGGCTGATGCCTGTAATTCCAGCACTTTAGGGTCCGAGGTGGGAAGATTGCTTAAGCCTAGGAGTTTGAGACCAGCTCGGGGAACACAGTGAGACCCCGTCTCTACAAAAAATTTAAAAACTAGCTGGGGCCAGGTGCACTGGCTCACGCTTGTAATCCCAGCACTTTAGGAGGCCAAGACAGGCGGACTGCTCGAGGCCAGGAGTTCAAGACCAGCCTGGCCACCATGGTGAAACCCCGTTTCTACTAAAATTACAAAAATTAGCCAGGCATGGTGTCTGTGCACTTGTAGTCCTAGCTACTCAGGAGGCTGAGGCAGGAGAATCACTTGAACCCGGGAGGCGGACGATGCAGTGAGCTGAGATTGCGCCACTGCACTCCAGCCTGGGTGACAGAGTGAGACTCTGTCTCAAAATAAATAAATAAATAAACAAATTAAATAAAATAAATAAAAAATTAGCTGGGCACAGTGGCACATTCTTGTAGTCTCAGCTACTTGGGAGCTTGAGAGCTTGAGGTAAGAGGACCACTTGAACCCAGGAGTTCAAGGTTACAGTGAGCTATGATTGGGCCACTGCACTTCAGCCTGAGTGTCAGACCCTATCTCAAAAAAAAAAAAAAAAAAAGGACCCCTTGTCTACTTTTTCTTTTCTTTTTTTTTTTTTTTTTGTTTTTTTGGGTTTTTTTTTGAGATGGAATCTGGCTCTGTTGCCCAGACTGGAGAATAACAGTGGGATCCCGGCTCACTGCAACATCCGCCTCCCCATTTCAAGCAATTCTCCTACCTCAGCCTTCCAAGTAGCTGGGATTACAGGCATGTGCCACCACACCCAGCTAATTTTTGTATTTTTAGTAGAGACAGGGTTTTCCCATGTTGAGCAGGCTGGTCTTGAACTCCTGACCTTAAGTGATTTACCCGCCTCAGCCTCCCAAAGTGCTGGGATTACAGGCGTGAGCCACCGCGCCCAGCCTACTTTTTTTTTTTTTTTTTTGAGACAGAGTCTCGTTCTGTCTCCCAGGCTGGAATGCAGTGGCACAATCTTGGCTCAATGAAACCTCTGCCTCCTAGGTTCAAGCAATTCTCCTGTCTTGGACTCCAGAGTAGCTGGGACTACAGGCACACACCACCACACCCAGCGAATTTGTGTATGTTTAGTGGAGAAGGGGTTTCACTACATTGCCCAGGCTGGTCTGAAACTCCTGACCTCAAATGATCCACCGCCTTGGCCTCCCAAAGTTCTGGGATTACAGGCGTGAGCCACTGTGCCTGGCCACACACCAGTAGTCCTACCTACTTGGGAGGCTGAGGTGGGAGGTCTGATTGAGCCTAGGATTTCAAGGCTGCAGTAAGCTATGATTGAGCCACTGCACAGCAGTCTGGGTGACAGAGTGAGACCCTGTCTCTAAAAAAAATAAAAATTAAAAAAAGCATTATCTTGTGACTGCTAATGAAATGGATTCCATGATCAAATAGATGCTAAAAATATGTAAAAGGTTGATGAGAAACTCTAAAATATAGAGATCAGGCTGACAATACCTGAACTCACTACATAATCTTTGCATCACCCAAAATGGAACAACTAGCCATTAAGTGCTTCAGGATACAACACAATAGGAAGTACACTGCACCACCTACAATGTATTCTCATCCAAAAAATTGAACCTGGCTTTAATCAAACCACTAGATCTAACTCCCAGTTTATAAGGAATATGGATGCTAGAGGAATGAGTTAAATTAAACTGTGAGGAAGCTACTCGCCAAATCCCAAATGTGAGATGTTCTATAAAACAAATGACCTGGTTTCTCCAACAAATCAATGGTGTGAAAGAAATGTATGGGGGTAGGGTGGGGGGAGCTGACATAAAATAAAAGTGACAAAAAGACAAATGCAACTTATTGATCCTGATGGAATAAACCATCTGTGAAAGGATACCTTGGAGATAACTGGAGAGATCTAAATACAGACTGAGAATTAGGTGATATTAAGGAATCACTGCTAACTTAGTTAGGTGTGACAATGGTAGTCATGTTTAAAAAAAGAAACAAAAAACCTTCAATGGCTTCCCTTCTTATCTAGAATAAAAGCCTAGAATGCAAATTCTCACAGTGATCTACCAGGCCCTAAGTGATTCAGCCCCCTTCTACTGTTCTGGTTTTATTTCATTTCCTCTTTCTCTCTTCCTCATTCACTCCAGTGAAGCCACAAGGAGATTCTCACTGCTCCTGAAAGGTACAACACTTGCTCTTAACTCGGGACCTTAGACATGCTTTTCCCTCTGCCAAGATGCTCTTCCCCCAGATATCTGCACAGTCTATTCCCTCGCCTTTTAGGTATTTACTCGAATGTCCTCTTTTCAATGAGACCTCCCTTGTCCACCCTATCTAAAACTGCAATCCCCTCCCATTCCTCAAGAAAATTCCCTCTCCTCCTGTCCTGCTCTATTTTTCTTCTGTCACCATCTAACATACATTTGACTTACTTGTCTTTTTTTCTTTTTTTTTTTGAGATGGAGTCTTTGTCACCCAGGCTGGAGTGCAGTGGTGGGATCTTGGCTCACTGCAACTTCCACCTCACAGGTTCAAGCGATTCTCCTGCCTCAGCCTCCCAAGTAGCTGGGATTACAGGCGCCCGCCACCACGCCCGGCTAATTTTTGTATTTTTAGTAGAGATGGGGTTTCACCATGTTAGCCGGGCTGGTCTCAAACTCCTGATCTCAAGTGATCTGCCTGCCTCGGCCTCCCAAAGTGCTGGGATTACAGGTGTGAGCTACCACATCCAGCTTTGTCTTTTTTATTGTCTTCTTCTTGTCTGTTTTGTTCACTGCTATATCTCTAGTAACTAGAACTGTATCTGACATAGCTACAAAGTAAATACTTGTTGAATAAATGAACAACGCTATTACTATTTCCGTCTAACAGATGAGGAAACCAAGGTTTAGAGAAGTTAACAACCTTACTCAAATTTACACAAATAAGTGGCAGAATAAGGCTTGAATTCCAGCTCTCTGATCCCAGATTCTATACTCTTGGTCACCCTTTATACGTGTTGCCTATACTATACGTTTACAGTATACCCATATTACTGAACACTGTGTTATCAAATATGAAGAAATCCATGATAAACTGAAAACAATCAAATTTCAAACTAACTTGTGAGGGATAGTCCAATTTTTGTTTAGAAAACAAGAAGTTTGGCTGGGCATGGTGGCTCACGCCTGTAATCCCAGCACTTTGGGAGGCCGAGGCTGGTGGATCACTGGAGGTCAGGAGTTTGAGACCAGCCTAGCCAACATGGTGAAACCCCGTATCTACTAAAAATGCAAAAAATTAGCTGGGCGTGGTGGCAGGCGCCTGTAATCCCAGCTACTTCAGAGGCTGAGCCAGAAGAATCGTTTGAACCCAGGAGGCAGAGGTTGCAGTGAGCCAAAATCGTGCCATTGCGCTCCAGCCTGGGCAACAAGAGCGAAACTCCATCTCAAAAAAAAAAAAAAAAAAGAAAGAAAACCAGAAGTTTGTGTGTGTACAGAGGCTGAACCATACGAAATATCATTTTTTTAAAAAAATGTTTTAACCAGCCGGGTGCGGTGGCTCACACTTGTAATCCCAGCACTTTGGGAGGCTGATCACTTGAGCCCAGGAGCTCGAGACCAGCCTGGGCAACATGGCGAAACCCTATCTCTACTAAAAATACCAAAACAAATCAGCTGGGTGTGATGGTGTGCGGCTGTAGTCCCAGCTATTAAGGCAGGTGGGCTGAGATGGGAGGATCGCTTGAGCCCAATAGGTCAAGGCTGCAGTGGGCCCTGATCGTGCCACCATACTCCAGCCTGGGCAACAAAGAGAGACCCTTTCTCAAAAAAAAAAAAAAAAAAGAAAAGAAAAGTTTTCACCAAGGCTAAAGAACTAAAAAAGTAAATGGCACACAGATGCCTCATGCTCTAGACTCAGCCCAAATCTCCAGTCATTCCCAGTCTTTCACTACACATTCCAGTAAGGCAAAACTGCTCATAGGTCCCCCAATATGCTGATTCACCCCGCCACACTTTCACACAGGAGTATAGTTTGTTGGTTAAAAGCTTGAACACTGGAATCAGTCAGGCCTGGATTTAAATCCCAGTTCCATCTCTTACTAGCTGTGTGACCTTGCACAAGTTAAATTCTCTAAGGCTCAGTTTCTTCATTTATAAAATGGGGATCATATCATTAGAAAGGATTAAATGAGGCAACACATATAAAATGCTTCACCTAGTTTCTGGCACACAGCGAGCAACAACTATCAGCTATCCTTATACTGTCTCATGCTATTAACTTTGCCTGAAATTCTCTCCCTCCTTTTCCCACTTAACCTGAATTCCTACACATCCTTTAAAAATCCGACTTAAGAATTACATCTCTCAAAACTTTCTCTGCCTTTCTTTCCTCCCAGATGGTTAATACTCTTTACTAAGTGCAATCTCTGTTTCTTGTATACTTCTACTGTAATTTATTTTATCTTTCTCCCCTACCTATGAACATCTTGAAACCATTATCAATTTCTTATTCATTCCTAAATTCTTGGTACCTAAAAAAAAGTACCCCAGTAAAGTGTTTAATGTTAAACTGAATAGGGGCTGGGCGCGGTGGCTCACGCCTGTAATCCCAACACTTTGGGAGGCTGAGGCATGCGGATCACCTGAAGTCAGGAGTTCGAGAGCAGCATGGCCAACATGGCATAACCCCGTCTCTACTAAAAATACAAAAATTAGCTGGGCGTAGTGTCGCGCGCCTGTAATCCCAGCTACTCGGGTGGCTGGTGCAGAAGAATCGCTTGAACCCAGGAGGCAGAGGTTGCAGTGAGCCAAGATGGCGCCACTGCACTCCAGCCTGGGCGACAGAGCGAAGCTCCGTCTCAAAATATAATAAATAAATAAACAAACAAACTAAATAGGGCCTATATGCAAATCCAATTTAATTTCAAACTCTGTGTTCTTTCCACTATATCCCACCTCTTCCCCTATACCCTGATGGGCATCAACTGCTTCCGATTAGGTAGCCTGTCTTACGAGTAAAATTGCTATTTAGTGACTGTGAATTTGAAAGTAGTTTTTTTCTGACCAAACACACTGTTCATTCAGAGGTCTTTCAACAGTAAGTTTTTAACTGCGTTTATGGTACACCCCCGCTCCTCCCACCCAACTCAGCTCTGAACTGAGCTCAGAGGCGAAAAGCAGCCCTGATCCCCAGTAACTCACATTTCAGAGGAATCTCTCTTTCATGCACAACGGTGAAGGGCAGCTTCTCCTGGTCGTCCAGGGGCACTGACTCCCGCGTAAACACGACAGTGACAGGCACCATGAGGCGGAGCTACAGGAAGGAGCATCAGGGCCGTCACTGAGTCTCCACCTTGCCGGGGGGGCTGTCCCCCGACCCTCCCGCACAGCAGTCTCACCTGAAGGGCATTCAGGCCACTGATCTGGGAGTAAGGCAACGAGGCCCGGTAGGTCTCCGTGGTCTTCCACCAGAGCGGTAGCCCCAGCACGATGGCCACCGCAGCGAAGAAGAGGGCGGCGCGCTTGCCCCGGGCCACCTCTGAGGGCATGGGGAACCGACTGAGGCGCTGGAAACGGGCTAGGGTACCGGCCCCATCCCCGACGCGGAGAAGCCCCAACCACCGGCCTCCAGGGGCCCGCGTTCATTGGGATCTCCGTGCGAAGGGACCCGGCCCAAGCCTGAAGGGAATCTCGTCTGAAGAGACCCCCGAGCCCCCCGTCCGCGGGACCTCTCGCACACCACAATCCCCACCCCTGCTATTCCTCCCTTGCCATCAGCTAGCTGCAGGCCCCCCACCCGAAGCCCACCGCACCTAGGTGTGTAGCCGCAGCCCCGGCGGCCGCCATGCTAGCTTCCGGCTGCTCCGGCCACCGTGGGGGCAGAGCTTCGTGAGCCTCACCCAATCGGAATCTCTGCAACGAGGGGGCAGGACCGCGGCGGTGATCGGGGCCAATCGCGAGCGCTACTCCAGACCCGCAGACGGGAGCAAGCGGGCGAGGGGTGGGAGGGCTCCGCTGGGAGCTTCGCTGGGGATCTGAAAGGAAGTCACCCGGGCGCGGAGGGACAGCCTAGGGGCCGTGCGGGTTTCGGCGCTGCTGGAACGAAGTTCCCCGCTTCCCTGTAGAACACACTTCTAGCCCCGCAATCAAGAGCGCAACCTCTGCAGTCCTTAAATACTAGCTGGGCAACTACAGGCAGCTCCGAGGCTCATCTGAAAATGGAGATATTTACATAAATGAGGCCGTTCTTGTAAGGAGCCTGGCACACGGAAAGCCCTCAACGTCAACTGTCACGGTCTTATTATCCTTATCGTAGAACTCCTCTTAGGGTGCCCTCTCCTCAAAGCCTCAAACACGGAGGTAGCAAGCTAGTATGTTTTAGCACAATTGGCTCTCTCGCTATTTTAAAATACGTTTTAATTCATTTCCAACTTGGAAAACTCAGAATACTTCACTTAAAAATCTTGAAAAGTCATGAGCCCAGACTCTAGATGCTGATCACTGCGGTTCAAATCCTGGCTTCATCACTTATTAGGTGAGTGATCGTGAGAAGATCGTTCTGTGCCTATCTGTGCCTGTTTTCTCTATTAAAATAGGGATGATAGTAATAGTACCTACTTTATAGAGTTGTATGAAATGTGTCAGTACATATAAAGTGATTAGAACAGGGTTGGTGCTATGTGCAAGCTATTTTTGTTATTATAAAGTCAGGCCACACAGGGTGGAGCATTTGTAGCCTCCCCAGTTGACACAGAACACACGCAGCTTGTTATCTCTTCTTTTTATCTGCTTAGACCCAGGTTCTCAGCCTACCTCACAACCCAGCCCAGTGGTTAAAGTTCAGCATCAGGCCTCACCAGAGCTGTCCTTACCCAGACCCTCCAATTGGCTCCCTTTGTGCCCACTTCTACCCCAAATGAAAATGGGCCATAGCCCTTGGCAACCTCCTAGATGCCCTGCTCAGCCCTGGCAGCCCGCAGAGCCTTGGTTTTCCTCTTTGGGCGGGAGTCCAGGTGCTCGCTTGCCCTTACTGGTGTGGCTCACCCTAGTGGAAGGTACCAGGTCCCAGCTGGGCTTAACACTGCGAGATGGGAGAGACTCCCACCCACTCTTATCCCAGCCTGTCTTGCTGCCTCCCTGCTTTGAGCCTTGCACAAATCTGCCTTCAGGAGTTGCCAGTTTGGCCTCACTCCATACTTCTGTAGCTGCAGCCCAGTGCCACTGATGTGGCAGTCCCTAGAAGACTTGCAGTCTTCCTCATTGCCCCACTCCAGACTTGGACATCAAGAGAGCAAGAGCCTGAGCTGGGGATGGTGACTGCATGTGCCCTTCCTCCATAACTTGAAGCCCAGTAAGACTCAAATCCCACCCTCTCCACCTCCAGAGTCAGAGGGCCCAGAGATAGAATTAGCAGAGATCAGAAACTGGGAGGTGGGAATTTGATGTGTAAAACAGACAGGCAAAGTAGAATGTTTTGCTACCATTTATTTGCTGTATGGTATGTACTCAAGGCATGAGTCAGGGCTTCTGTACTACCCTCTGATCCCAGGAGACAGGGCAGGCAAGAAGGAGAGCCCAGGGAGAAGCTACCTCATCATGGGAAAATTGTGGGAGCTGGAAGAGGTAGGGGGAGACCCAGCCATCCTGTTCTGACTTCTAGCAATTTCTTCTGCCCTCAGTCATGAGGGGCTCCCTATCCTCCCATCCTATGGTCCCAGGTGCAGCAATGAGAGAGGGGAAGGGAAGAGAGAAAGGAAGACAAGTTGGTGCCAGGTGAAGGCATCTCTGCTCTGCATAGCTATTTGGCCCTGGCCATGACTACAAGCAAAAGTGGGTGCAGATGGCTGGGCCAAGGGCTGTGGTATGGAGTGGATACTCAGTAGGCATGGTTGGCAATGTAGAGTGACTGTGCTGCTGCTCCACCATCTTCTCCACTGCCTTCATACTTGCCCTGGGCTGCAAGCCCATTCACCTGCAAAAGGGAGCGTGGAGTAAGCAGGCTGAGCCAGCCCACAGGTGCCAAGCCCTGCCCAGGCTATAGCCTCTGGGTGCTGCCCCCACCCACCACCACCTGTAGCTCCCAACCTCAGCCCGCTTGATGAACTCCTCAGTGGCAGCCCCAGCATTGTCCCGTTGCCCTCGCCAGGCATTGAGTGCAGAGGCTTGCAGGGCACGCCCATAGGAGAAGGTAAGCGCCCAGGGTCGGGGAAGGGGGCAGCGGTTGATGGCATTGAGGTTGAATGATGCCTCTTCTTCGCTCTGACCCCCAGACAGGAAGGTCACTCCTAGTGTGGAGGAGAGAAGACAAACTGACTGGTCACTCCCAATTTTTCCAGGATAGGGAACCCCTGAAGGCCACAAGAAGGACCTGAAGATGGGCCTTAGGGATAGGAGCAGGTTAGGGAGCTGGGTAGTACCTGGGACAGCTGGGGGCACAGTGCGACGCAGGGCAGTGACAGTTGCCATGGCAATCTCCTCTGGGGTATACTTGATGGGACAGGCATGGCCCGGGGTCACCATGTTGGGCTTGAGCAGGGTCCCCTCCAGGTATACATGATGGTCACTCAGGGCCTTGTACACAGCAGCCAAGACCTGGGTGGGGATTAGAGGAGGTTTACTAAGGGTCTGGGCCCCCACTGGTTACTGCTCGATGCTCCCTATGTAGGGGTAGATGGGCACAGACTGTGAGGGCTCAGTACAGGCTCAGATCACAGGCCTGTGCCGGGATGAAGTGAAAAAGTGCTAGGGGAAAGTGTGCCTGGATCTAAGCTGGGGGTTCTGGGGAACAGACACTCCTGCCGAGCTGTCCCTGCAGTATGTTTGTGTGCCCAGGTGTGGACTCACCTTCTCTGTAACATACTGACAACGTTTGAGGTCGTGGTCTCCATCAGGCAATATTTCAGGTTCCACAATAGGCACAATGCCATTCTGCAGGCAAGAGCAGAGATGCTTGGGAGGGGCAGTAGGGGAGATGAAGAAAGCCTTGTGACTCTCTCCCCACCAGGCATACAGGGCACCTAGCTCACCACCCTCCCAACACACACACCTGCTGGCAGATACTGGCATAACGGGCCAGCACGTTGGCGTTCTCCAGAATGGCAAGTGCAGAGGGTGTACGCTCACTGATTTTCAGCACACAGCGCCACTTGGCAAAGTCAGCACCATCCTTCTTGTATTGGGCACAGCGTTCTGAGAGCCCATCCAGCCCTGCAAGCACAGTGCCAACCTCATTACTCTGCCCCTCTTTTACCAGCATCAACTATCTAACACCTCTTTGGTCCTCAAGCCCACCCATCCTATACCTTGAGTGGTGGTTTCTCCATCAGTCCCAGCTAGAGGCACCACACCCTTGTCAACCTGTAGAGGAAGTACAAGCAGAGGGTTGAATCCAGGCAGGATTCTCCTTGCTACCCCTCCTACACAAGCTTATTTTCACACCCAGCTTCCATTCAGAGCAGGGCCAGGGGCTGCACCTTGATGCCCACGACGATGCCCTTATCCTGGATGGTTCGGACGAAGGGAACACCATTATCATCTTTCTGGTAGAGGGTCTCATGGAAGAAAATGACGCCTCCAATGCACTTTTTCACACGGTCATCAGCACTGAACAGGACCTGGCGGTACAGCCGGCGGTTCTCCTCTGTGTTTTCCACCCCAATTTGGCTCAGCCGCTTGGCCATGCTGCCTAGGGGCAAACAAAGAGAGGCAGTGAGAACATCCCCAGGGTCCCCTAGCCACCTGTACCCTACCTGGCTACAGATGTCCACTTACCTACAGACTCATCCGCAGCCAGAATGCCTTTGCCCGGGGCTACAATCCGCAGGGCAATGTCAGACAACTCCTTCTTCTGCTCAGCAGAAAGGGCTGGGTACGAGTGAGGCATGGTGACAGCTCCCTGGAGTGGAGACAAGATAAAAAAGCCAGACCTCACCCTCTGCTGCCTCTCCTGGCCAGATGGGCCAAATGGCCTCCCCATCAAGCAAGGGGCTGGGAACAGGGCAGCAGTCCTTGGCATGAGTCCTGGGCATCAAGTGGCACCAGTCCTTCTGACAGCTAGCAAGCTTAGGGCTCCAGTTCCCACATCTCCTTTTGTCCCTGGTAGGCATCCTTCCCAGCCCTGGGGAAAGATGCAGGGTGGGGGTGGGGAGGTGAGCAGCCCTGAAGCCACAGCTCTTCTGATAAATCTGCTGCCCAATCAAGGATGCCAACCCTTCTTTCACTGAACTTGGTCCCTTGTTGAGGTAGGCAAAAGTCCTGGCCTTTCCAGCTTCCCTTTTCTCATCCTCCACAGGACCCCTAGGGAAAGTGTACTTACTTCCAAGGCTTCAGAATGAGGCAAAAGTACTTATTGCCACCCTCTTCTCTCAGCTTCTAGAGGAAAAGGTTGGAAGAACAGGTAGGGAGTAGGAGTGGCACAAATACCAGTCACAGGCTCCTGCAGCTTCTCCTTTTCTGTACTCCAAACCTGCCTGCCTATGCCTATTGCCTATTCCCACCCAGTACCAGAGGTTGGCCCCAGTGGGGCTGCAGTGATGTAGGAAAGAGGGCCCAGCGGGTCAGCTGTGTTAGTGTGTGGAGACTAGGGCTAGTGACACCTCCGGGTCATCTCTGTGCCCAGGAAGCACTTCACCTGTTTGGCAGGAGGATAGCAATAGGAAGCACTTCAATTCCCCACAACTCAGACACCCAGACGGGAGGGCAGAGGACCAAGGCTGAAAGGAGTAGAGAGCCTGAGAGAGAGATGAGACTGAGGGGAGCTAGTGGTGATGCAGGCTAACCAGTCAGCGGGAGAGACCTAGACCGGGGGGCAGAGAAGGCGGGAGAACTGGAGAGAGGACCTAGCCTAGGAGGAGAGGGAGCAGGCTGAGAAGGAAATGCTCTGGGTAGGAGAGACAGACTCCAAGGAAAAATCCAACAAGTAGAGGAGGATTTGGGATTGGAAAAGCTGAGGTCCAGCTGGGAGAGCTGAAGAGGGATAGAACAGAAGAGGTTGAGCCATGGGGTTTCAAGTACGCGGAAAGGAGCAAAGATGTTAGGAAAGGGTCGAAAGGGCACATCCCGGAGTCCCAGGTAGCAGGACGAGGATGGCAGGGGAAGAGCCAAGGAAATGAAGCGGAGATGTTGAGTGGCTCCCGCCTTGCCTGGCCTTACCTGTGCGCAGCCAGTTAGCAGCCGCAGCCACAAGCACAGCTCGGGTTCTGATCCGCAAACAGATGAGGCTGCAGCCCTGGCTCCCTCTGGTAAATGAGGCTGCGGATGTCGCAGAGCTACGTGACTCCTCCGGGGGCGTGGCCTGCATGCCCCGCCCTGACCACACCCCCTCCCCAGGACTGGTGTCCGGGGCAAGACCACGCCCTCAGAGGCGGGGCGGCGAGGTGGAGTGAGCGCCCCGCCAGGCATCCGTGGCTGTTAGGGACTGCCCTCCCACCTCGGGGAGCCTGGCCATGACCTTGCGTTCATTTCTGCCACAATCCCTTTACCACGTGCCGGGCACTTGCTGGATGCTGGGGATTAAGCTTAGTCTGGTGAAGAGGAGGCACCAGAACAGTAACAACAGGTTGAGTAGGTGGGGCAGAAGCATCTTCAAGGTGCCCAAGTTCAGGGCAGGAAGTAATGAACTGAGCTTCTCTGTCCTCACCCCCATATTTGCCAGGGTATACCCCCGAGGGGGCTGGGGAAAGTAAGAGAATGAAGCCTTTCTGTTTCCTCCAGGCGGTGAGCCAGGGAACAAGCAGTCCAGTGCCCAGAGTTTTGGTGAAAGCAGAGGAAGGGAGGAAGGGCAGGCAGCCTTGGCTTTGGATGCAGCAGGAGGTGGAGAGGGATCTATGGAGGGTGCCCAGGCAGGAGGCCCAAGCTGCTTCTTCCCTGACTTCATCATCCGCCCCCTCTCACCCAAAAAGTAAGATTCCGTAAGCTTGGAGAAATTCATTAAATACACTTTATTTAAATAGCATTTATCTCAGTTGGCTCTATGCCAGTTGGTCTTGGTATTGGGGTAAGGGGGTATTGCAGGTAAAAAGAGGTGAAGCAGATTCTGGCTTTCAGTTTCTTAGCTCAGAAATTCCAGCAATCCCTGTAGTTCTTTGCATCCCCTCACCACCTCTGGAATAGAGAGCAGGGTCTGGGAAGAGAGGCAGAAAACGCAGCTCAGGACCACAGACTTAAGGCCCAGGGCTCCCAGCCCCAGGAGGCAGCCGCTGAATTAGAGGGGAGAAAACAGACACCACAGAGAAGCCTGCAATAGTGATTCAGGCCCAGCTCTCAGCACAGGCTGGGAACCAGATCTGTGCTCATTAGTACCTCCTGGGGCCAGGCCTTGTACCAGGTTCATTAGTGATATCACCTCCCTCCTGCCTATACCTTATAAATATGCTGAACAATGTCATCTAGTTTTTCTAACTCCTTGTCAGAGCGCCGAAGGTTCTCCTCTAGGATATTTCTCTAGAAAGCAAACAGATTTTATAAGTCCTATGCATAAAAGAGCAAACTTGGTAGGACAGGGGAAACATGGCGGGGCATTTGTTAACGATGGTAGGAAATGGCCCTGGAATGGCATGGACATTCTTACATGGCTCTGGAACTTGATCATGAGTTTTTCCTTCTCATTTTTCATCTCCAGGAACATCACTCTCAGTTTGTCCACCTAGAAATATGTCCAGATCAACAGGGGTACAGCCTGGGGTCCCCACCTGCTGTCCAGCTCCTCTGTTAACTCTGAGTCACCTCCTGAGAGAGCCACACTTTCTCCTGGATCCAATTGGTGGCCATAGGCTGGCAGTTGGAGTCCAGCTGGCCTGCCAGGGCCTCCTGGAGCACTTTGGTCTCTGTCTCCGCACGCCGAAGTGAGCGGGTAAGGTGGGTCACCTCCTCTCTAAGGCTCTGGGAATGAGAATGGAGAGGTGTCCAATAGGACATAAGGATAGACAACATGTGGTGAACAAAAGCAAACCATTTCTCATACTTGGGATCCTGGCTGACCAGTAACACAGAAGGCAAAGGCCTGGGCATGATGGTGAACATACTATGAGCTCGCCACTCTTGTCTATCTGTTCTAGGATCTTCTCATTCTGCTGCTGTATCACTTCCTGGAGCTCCTTTTCATTCTGTGAGGGAAAGGGAGGTGAGAAGACACATGAAGAGCTGGTCTCTTCACAGCCCTTGCCAGGAGGTAGGAGAGAGTGCCTGACCCATGCTTAGCCCACATGGGACCAATTGATATCACGCCAATTCTTTCCCCAGGGCCAAGCCAGGCAAGGCACATTTCAGTGTTGGGAGAGCTCTGCTAGAGTTCCTGACTTCTCTCCTGAGTCAGCCTGGGAAGACAGGTCAGCCCATAGCTGACATGTGAAATGTCTGACCCCAGGAAGGGCAAAACTAGGGCAGTGGTTGGAAAATCCCCACCACCCAGATTCCTGGAGAGATAATGGCTCCCAGTGGGCCAGTAGAGCTGCCCCAGTTCTTCATCGCCCCACTTCTAGGTCCCTCCTTCACCTTGTAGCGCAAGCACAAGGCCTGGTTCAGCTTCTCTATGTCTGCTTCTTTTGCCTTCTGGACTTCCTGATGCTGTTCTTCCTGGGCCTGCAGCCTAGCTTGCAGCTCACAACTGAAGGAAGGAAGAATTTAGCAACATTCCTGTCCTCTCAGGGATCAGTTGGACCCTTGGCATAAGAGGATGTCTCACTGTCCCTCTGTCACCAAAACTGCATCCCACTCACATTTTTCGCTGCAGAGTCCTGATGGCTTCTTCTTTAGACTCTTGTAGCAGGGAACAAAGACTCTGAAGCTCAGTAGTCATAATACTCATTTCTGCCAGGCTCTCCTCCATGCCTGGGGTCTCTGAAAGAGAAAGTCCCAGATAGAGGTCTAGCCTTCCAGCCCTGGAAGGAAGGAGTGTATAGCCATCATTTCCACAACTCTTATCCGTGTTCCCCACCCACAGGATTTGAATGTCTGGAACATTACAGATCCCAGAAGGCAGAAATAAAATGAGCCCAAGTAGAATTGAGGTTTTTAGAGCAAAGCACTTCTCACTGCTTTCGTCTTTACTCATCACCACCAGATTTTCTAGAAATGAGGCAGGATCCCTGGAGCCCCTCCTAACCTGCGGGCTGAAGGGAAACCATTGATGCTACTCGGGTGAAAGCACTCTTGTCACTTCCAAGCAAGGGCACAGGAGTTGATTCTGGCTCTAAGAGAAAAACCAATAATGGGAGAGGGCCCCTCTGATGATCCAGGCAGGGGTCTACCATAATGGAAGCCAGGGTAAGATAGACAAGCCCGCTGGTGGACATCTTCAACAGCAGAAGATATCAGGAGCAGCGTCACAACTTTCCCACCCCCAAATCCCAGGGCCTTTAACCTTCATCTGCCACTGCTGTCAAGATGCTTCCCAGGAAGGTCCTGTCATTAGGCAGAGGGTGTTCCTGGGTGGGAGGACAGGCTGTACTCAGCAGAAGGGTCTCTTGTTCAGTCTAAGGGCAAAGAAGAAAAAATAGCTGCTGTTCAGGTCTAGTGAACTCCTGGGCTTCCAGGTAACTCCCAGCCATCTCCTCCAAAATGCTGTTCCACCTATTATCTCAATTCTCTATCTTCAACTTCTCCATTAGTGCCTTTCTCTGAACATGTTTATATTCTTAAGCCTCTCCAACAAAAACAGCAGTATTTTAAAAACAAACCTAAACAAAACAAAACAAAACCCTTCTTCTTACCTTAAATCCCCTTTTAGCTACTGCCTTTTCTAGAAAGAAAGGAAAGAAAGAAAAAAGAAAGAAAAAAAGAGCCTATACTTCTTGTTTATAACTCTCACCATCTATTGACTCCCCAGCCCACTACACTCAGGCTTCTCCCCTGTCATTCCACCTAAATTCTTGTCATTTGGTTCACCAATGGCAGCCTTACTTTCAAATGCAATGCATATATTTCAGCTCTTGTTTTACCTGACCTATTTGATATTGATGACCACATTGTTCTTTTAGAAACTTCCTTTTCTTAGCTTCCAGGACATGAGTCTCTCTCCTTTAAAGGCAGGCCCCACACCTTTCTGGTTATTTCTTCTCTATTCACAGGTCCTTCCTTAACTGCTGGATCCTCTGGGTTAAGTCCTTGGCCCTAAATTTACTCTAATTCATTCCCAGGGTGGCCTTGCCTTGGGAGCATCACAAAAACATCTACTTCAAACTTCCCTTCCACATGAATGACTCTTCCATCCCTCTCTCAACTTTTTCCCAGTCTTTTTCCCAGTCTGCAGACTCAAAGGCTAACTGCCTGTGAAGAATCTACCAGAAGGTTCCACAGTCAATCTGTCAACTTAGTATGTATGAAGCTGAGTTCACCATTTTCCCTGTGCCCTGATAGGGAACACCCTATCAAAAGTCTGTTCCTACTCCTGTATTTACTATTCTAGAGCAGGGAGAGGGAAGGCTAGCAAATTGTGGCCTACAGGTCAAATCTAGCCTGCCAACTATTTTTGTAAATAAAGTTTTATTGGAACACAGCCAGACCCATTAATGGCTGTATCATCTATGGCTGCTCTTGAACTACAAAGGCAGAATTGAGTAGTTGAGACAGAGACCATATGGCCCAAAAAGCCAAAAATACTTATTATATGGCCATTTATAGGAAAAGCTTGCTGGCCTCAGTCCTGAAGTAGCTGTGCTTGTGGCTGCGGCTGCTAACTGGCTGCGCACAGGTAAGGCCAGGCAAGGCGGGAGCCACTCAACATCTCCGCTTCATTTCCTTGGCTCTTCCCCTGCCATCCTCGTCCTGCTACCTGGGACTCCGGGATGTGCCCTTTCGACCCTTTCCTAACATCTTTGCTCCTTTCCGCGTACTTGAAACCCCATGGCTCAACCTCTTCTGTTCTATCCCTCTTCAGCTCTCCCAGCTGGACCTCAGCTTTTCCAATCCCAAATCCTCCTCTACTTGTTGGATTTTTCCTTGGAGTCTGTCTCTCCTACCCAGAGCATTTCCTTCTCAGCCTGCTCCCTCTCCTCCTAGGCTAGGTCCTCTCTCCAGTTCTCCCGCCTTCTCTGCCCCCCGGTCTAGGTCTCTCCCGCTGACTGGTTAGCCTGAGTCACCACTAGCTCCCCTCAGTCTCATCTCTCTCTCAGGCTCTCTACTCCTTTCAGCCTTGGTCCTCTGCCCTCCCGTCTGGGTGTCTGAGTTGTGGGGAATTGAAGTGCTTCCTATTGCTATCCCTCCTGCCACACAGGTTGAAGTGCTTCCTGGGCACAGAGCTGACCCGGAGGTGTCACTAGCCCTAGTCTCCACACACTAACACAGCTGACCCGCTGGGCCCTCTTTCCTAGCAATCTAAGGATCATCATTCACTCTTCTAACTTACTCTCACATCAAATTGGTCACTCTTACATCAAATTGGTTCTACTGCCTCTGCTTCCTAAATATCTATTGAATCCATTCACTCCATCCTCTCCTTTCTACTGCCTATAAAACTGCCATTATTTCAAGCCTTCAAAATCTGGCCTCCTGCCTACTTCTCCAGTGTTGTCTCCTGCCTTGCCCCACAGAGCTCTCACGCTGCAGCCATGAAGAGCTGCTTCCCATTCCTCAGACTTGCTGCATTCCATATGAGCAGCATCTTGCCTTGTTCATCCTCTAGTCCCAGCACCTAACCCAGGTTTTATAAGGTAGACACTATAAAAAAGAACACATCATGTACTATGTGCATGACTTTCTACGTACGACTCTCATATGTAGTCAGATGAAACTTTCATACACCGTTCCCTCTGCCTAGTGGGACTTCCTAAATACCCTCCCCTGCCCCACAAACGTCTAAACCTCAAGACTGTACCCAAGGTCAGCTGCTTTGAGAAGGCATCCTAATTCTCGAAGGCTGAAGTGGTGCTCCCCTCTCTATCTCTCACAGTGGTCCATGCAGACCTCTACCATGATCATAAGTCAAGATGACAAGTTTACATCTGTTTGTCTTCCATGCTAAACTGTAGATTTGATGGCATTTCCTGTGCTCGGTACCCAGTTGGGGAAGAGGATCAGGTCATAAGCAATTGCCAGATTTTAGGATATTTGTTGTGCCTTATCTGCTGAATAAGCTAATTACCTTTGTATTCTGAATGATGTCAACCATTTATTGTTTAGTGCACACTGCAGGGAGGCCAAAGAAGGCTATATTTCTGCTTTCTTGAAACATAGTCTGGTTGAAGAGACCAGGTATCCAAGGAAAATTAATACAAATACAAAAGAAGAGTAAGTTCATGAGAAATATGGCAGAAGAAAAGATCACCGGGTCCACATGATTTGATTTGGGAACAGTTCAAAGAAGGTAAACCAGGGAAGATTTCTTTTTTTGTGGGGGAAAGGGTTTCACTCTCACCCAGTTTGGAGTGCAGTGATACAAAAAAATTAGCCAGGTATGATCATGGCTCACTGCAGCCTCAACTTCCCAGGCTCAGGTGATCCTCTCACCTCAGCCTCCCAGATAGCTGGGACTACAGGTTCACAACACTACACCTGGGCTAATTTCTGTATTTTTTTGTAGAGATGGTTTTCACCACGTTGCCCAGGTCGGAAGGGAGGATTTTAATAGAAAAGGCATTTCCAGTTTGAAGAAAGAATAGAATGAATGTGGGAACAGCCAGAGTCTGGGTTCTGGGGATAAAAATGGGGACATGTGTGTAGCATACAGGCAGTCTAGCTGGGGCAAAGTGTTCATAATAGGGAGATAGGAGACAGGGGAAGAAAGGTTTGAGCAACAGGCTAATGAGGTCCTGTAGGTAACTGAAATCATAAAAGGTCACAGTTAGAAAAAGAGTAATGTTTTAGGAAGACTATCTGTAAAATAAAGATACAATTGGAAGAGAAGAGAAGGAACCCCAGGATCCTACCTTCTCCTTTAGTTTTGTCTGTAGAAAGAGAGTCAGGCTCTGTAGTTGCTCAGTCAGCAGCCCTAGCTTTTGAGAGTACTGCCGTGTTTTCTCCAGATCTTGCTCCTGGTTATCTGCTATGGTGCTGGCCAGTTTAGCCCTGAAATAAGGAACAGGGAAGATGACCAAAGACCAAATTACCTTCTCTGAACGCCTATCCCAAATCCCCACAGAGCTGCATTAAAGGAGAGAAACAAGAGGCTCAACACTCACAGTTCTCTTCTTGGAGATTTTGGCTTCTAGAAGTGTTCCTGAGAAAAAAATAAGCACTTAGGGGGAAGTACAGAAAGTTAGAGAACTTACGTTAGGTTCTCTACAGTGTCCTTGAGGTTCTCACACTGCAAGCTGCGCTCCCGGAGCACTTCCAGTGTGGTTTTCAATTGACACTCAACCTGACCCAGCTCCAGGTGAGCAACCTGATTCTCCTGGTCTGCAAACTGGGAAGACAAGAGAAGGAGCAAGACAGGGAGGGAGAATTTTAGTGCCCTGGGTACAGAGGCTTTTTCTAGTTCACAGTCTCAAACCTTACCTCAACACTATCAGGCAAGAATCACACTCCTGAGGCTTACCAGCTCCCTTGGCCCAAGCCATATTCCTTACCTCCAAGGTCTCTTTCAGGTCCCGCACCTCTTTGGCCAGGACAGCTTGTTGCTGCTGCAGTTCTGCCTGCATGTGTTTTAGTGCCATCTCTTCCTTTTGCCATCTGCCAGAGACAACATATTAGATCCCATTTGGTCCTAAATCCTGGATGCCTACTGCCACAGTACCCCGTTAGGAACTCACTGAGCAGCCTGCTCCTCATTGCTCTGGGTAAGCTGGCAGAGTAACTCATCCTTCATAGCCAGGTCCTGGGCACAATGGGTATGCTGACTCTGTAGCTCTTTTAGCTGGCTGTCCATGTTGGCCAGAATCTGCAACTGAGCCCGGAGATCTAGAACAAAAGTATCCTAATGACACCATGCGGTCAGCAGGCTAGAAACTCCCCAAACTTCTGCTCCAAAGCAAGTGCTCCTGAGTACTTCCTTGCTCTAGTGCCACACTCCAAGCCTTAACAGGGCTCAAATGCTTACATGCATGCATACACACACACACACACAAACACCTGTTGCTAGACGACTGTTTTCCAACTCCAGTTGTTCTGTTTGGCCTTTGCACTCCTCTAACTGGGCAGAGACTTGTTCCAGCACCCTAGAAACCTAGGAAGAACAGATGGTTTTCCTCCTATAGTTCCTCCTGAATCAATAATCCCAGGACTTGGTCCAGCTTCTCTTTCTGGACAAGACAGAAAACTACCTTGCTCCTGGGCATCAACATTGCAGAAAATAAGGTTGATCCTCAGGAAAAAGTAGAGACAGGAGAAAAGTTGCTGAAGTAAAGATGCTGAAGGGCAAAGGAAAAAACTGCGCTTAAGGCCATCTTACAGCTAAGAGACCTTACTGGCTGGCCTCCAAACCCACAGGGTGAAAAGAAAACAGATCCAGGGTAAGAGGCTAATGGTATCACACATTAGGAAGGAAACCAAGCCTAAGCAGTCCCCACTCTTGGTTTGTACCTCCTGCTTTTCCTCAATTGCCACATCACGTTCCTGCAGGGCTTGCTGGCTCTTGACTGTGAGTTTCTCTGTGAGTTGTCGGGACCGACTCAGCAAAGCTGTCCATGTTGTATACTACCAGGGGAAGCAAGCAGGTCAGTAGAGCACACTTGAGGCAAAGCTCACAACAGGACTTGATGTGAGTAAGGAATTAGTTATGATGGTCCCAAATACTCACATCCAGTTGCATGGACCTCCAGTCTTGTTGCAAGGTAGAAGTAAGACTCACTGTCTGCTGAACCAGCTCTTCTTGCTTGGCATGAAGCCCTACCTACAAAAGAAAGATTGCCTAGGCGGGAACCCCTTCCCTTTGGATACAGCAAAGTGGGAGTATGCAACTACCCTCCCAGTCTGTCAGCACAGACCCCAGGAAAGAAAATGCCCTTAAATTACCAGTTGGGTCTGGGCATCCTTCAGAAGGCCTCTGAATTCCCGCATGGATGCTAGGTCCTGTTCCAGCTGGCTGATGCGCTGGCTGGCGTGTGCACAGAAAGCCTCCAACACTATCTCTGCCTATTGAGGGAAGTGGTTGCAAGGCCACAGTGGGCAACAGGGGAGCCAGCACAAAAAGATGTAACCATGACACCTCAATAGATCAGTTCTTTACTGCCCAGGGCAGGCAGTTCTTAGGCCACCCATCTGTGTCTAAAGTGCATTTGTGTTCCTGCAGGAACCTTGAGGTGGAAACCTCCCACATCCAAGAACAAATGCCTGTCACCTTACCGCATCCTTGCCTCTGAGAGCCATTTCCTCTCTGTGCCTTGCCTCCTCCCTTTCTGCTTTGAGGCTCTGGAGCTTTGCCCTCAATTTCTTCAGCAAATCAAAACAGCAACAGACCAATGTTTCTGCACGCCGAGACTATATGGTAAGAATCAGTTAATGTGTCTGGTTCCTCTTTATGGCTTTTAGTCCCACCACAGGCCTCCACCTCCATCTTCAGGCTGCTTACCTCCTGACTCACAGTAGTCTTATCTTCTTCTAAATGCAACAGGGATAGGTGAAGCAAGGATATCAGCTCTTTAGAGATAAGCACCCATGATTGCTGTAGAGAAAAAAATGGGTAGGTGAGATCAAATAAAGTCACTAAGCAGGAAACAGGGGCACTGGGGAGGAAAACCGCTAACCCCAATTCCAAGCTCCGCATAAGGAGATGTACTTTACAAATGTTTGGAAACCTCCCTTCACCACCACGACTTAGTATCACCATCTACTAACCACCCAGGATTCTCCATTCTTCATCTTCACAGGAGACCCAGTGGTGGTGTAAGGTCAATCATCACTTACCATGACATTTCTGGCCTGCTGTAGGGCCTGTCCCATCTCATGGCTCTCCTTAAGATGCTGAAGTTTATTAGTTATCTAGCCAGAAAAACAGAGTTGTTCCTTGTTTTGTTTGTTTGTTTGTTTTTGAGACAGAGTCTTGCTCTATCATCCAGACTGGAGTGCAGTGGCACAATCTCAGCTCACTGCAACCTCCACCTCCCAGGTTCAAGCAATTCTCATGCCTCAGCCTCCCAAGTAGCTGGGATTACAGGCATGCACTACCACACCCAGCTAATTTGTATATTTTTAGTAGAGTCGGGGTTTCACCATGTTGGCCAGGCTGGTCTTGAACTCCTGGCCTCAAGTGATCCACCGACTCGGCCTCCCAAAGTGCTGGGATTACAGGGGTGAGCCACCATGACCAGCCAAGTTGTTCCTTTTGAGTAGGCAACATGTACCACCAGCACCTCATTCTTCCTCCCACCCAGTGAGTTATAGGAGCCTTTCCTATTTTATTTATTTTTTATTTTCTGTAGAGATGAGGTCTTGCTATGTTGCCCTGGCTGGTCTCAAACTCCTGGCCTCAAACAGTCCTCCTGCCTCGGACTTCCAAAGTGCTCCTGCCACACCCAGCCACCTTTCCTATTAAAAGCAGAAGCAAAGTACTCAATTCAATGAAGCCAAGTCAGAAAGAAAAATCCACAGGTAGGTAAAAAATTTCTTTGTTTAGCCAGGCACAGTGACTCATGCCTGTAATCCCAGCACCTTCAGAGGCTGAGGCAGGAGGATCACTTGGGTCCGGGAGTTCAAGACCAGCCTGGGCAACACAGTGAAACCCCATCTCTAAAAAAAAAAAAAAAAGGCTGGGCGCGGTGGCGCACACCTGTAATCCCAGCACTTTGGGAGGTCAAGGCGGGCGGATCACCTGAGGTCGGGAGTTCGAGACCAGCCTGACCAACATGGAGAAACCCCATGTCTACTAAAACTACAAAATTAGCCAGGCGTGGTGGCACGTGCCTGTAATCCCAGCTACTCCGGAGGCTGAGGCAGGAGAATCACTTGAAACCGGGAGGCAAGGTTGCAGTGAGCCGAGATTACGCCACTGCACCCCAGCCTGGGCAACAAGAGTAAAACTCCGTCTCAAAAAAAAAAAATTTTTTTTCATTAGCCAGGCATGGTGGCACATGCCTATATTCCCAGCTACTCAGCTGGATTGAGGTGGGAGGATCCCTTGAGCCCAGGAGGTAGAGGCTGCAGTGAGCCATGTTCGTGCCACTGCACTCCAGTGTGGGTAACAGAGTGAGACCTCGTCTCAAAAAAAAAAAAAAAAAAAAAAAGGATGAACCAATTTATATCCTGCAGATAAATAGAGTATGCTTACCAGCATTACCTATTTTATTCTTTGCTATTGAGTCACAAGAAAATGGCATCTCACTGTTCAATTTGCATTTTTTATTGCCAATAATGCTAACCTTCTTAGGTATTTATTCATCATTTTTACTTTCTTAATTGTCTGCTCATTATCCTGGGTCAGATAGATAAAACTCATAGTATGCATAGAGTAAGTAGGTATGATCTCAAAGGCAGTAGAACCCCAGAAGACAAGTTCTAAGAGAAAAGTGGGAGTCTTCATTACTGAGGCAAGGCAGCCATCATCTGGGGGAAAAGTTACTACTGGAGCAGCACTGCTGATTTCTTGGAGTTCATGGCTCCCTTCCCCAGCAAAGCAGTTATCATTCACTGCTGCATCGTGAAATAAGGCACAGAGTAGCACATGAGCTTGGATAGGGCTCACATCGTGCTCAGCTGGACAGTCAGGCAGGTGATGAGATTAATGTGAAGGAGGCAGCCAGGCAGCAAGGACATGGCATGCTGATGGAGAATGGCTAAAGGTATGTCATTTCCCCTCTTTGGTTCTGCTTCAGTGGCCTACAAAGGGACCTGGCAACCTTCAGGGGAAGAGGATGCATGGCAGATTCAGGGATGGGAAACAAGGTCAAGAACAAGAGGAAAGGACACAAAGATAAGAAAACAGGAGGGAAATTGAACAGCTGGAGGAACATGGAGCTTATGGTTTCCAGGATTTTTGGCAAATGGTAAGGTCATTACTTTGAGGATATTTTCAACTCAAAGGAGGTCTCTGCACATTTGGGGACCATCTCTTCTTAGCAGCAGCCACCTATTATCTCAACAGCCACAATGGTGAGGTGCTATCAATTCCTTCACCTGCCACCATTCCCTTCCTTCTTAGGCCTGTGTTGTAATACAATCCTCTAGAACATTGTTGTTGTTGTTGTTTGAGACAGCCTCACTCTGTTGCCCAGGCTAGAGTACACTGGGTGATCTCGGCTCACTGCAACCTCTACCTCCTAGGTTCAAGCAATTCTCATGCCTCAGCCACCCAAGTAGCTGGGATTACAGGAGTGCACTACCATACCCAGCTAACTTTTGTATTTTTAATAGAGATGGGGTTTCACTATGTTAGCCAGGCTGGTCTCAAACTCCTGGCCTCAAGTGATCTGCCGGCCTCAGCCTCCCAAAGTGCTGGGATTATAAGCGTGAGCCACCACATTGGGCCAACAGTGGTCTTTTAGCTACTTTCCTCTAATATTTCCTGCAAAAACTAAGTACCCTTAAGTTTAAATTGTTGCAAAGGCTGTAATGTCCAGCATATTACCAATATTGACAATTTAAAATAATTTTTTTTTTTTTTGAGACAGAGTCTTACTCTATCCTCCAGGCTGGAGTGCAGTGGCGCGATCTTGGCTCACTGCAACCTCTGCCTCCCGGGTTCAAGCGATTCTCATGCCTCAGCCTCCCAAGTAGCTGGAATTACAGGTGCCCTCCACCACACCCAGCTAATTTTTGTATTTTTAGTAAAGACGGGGTTTCGCCATGTTGGCCAGGCTGGTCTTGAACTCCTGACCTCAGGTGATCCTCCCGCCTCGGCCTCCCAAAGTGTTGGGATTACAGGTATGAGCCACCATGCCCAGCCTAAAATAAAATTATTAGATTACTCTTAAATATATCCAGTGGCATAAATACTACATACACCAAAATGATGAGATACCTAGTTGCTATCTTTTAAAAATACAAGAAAAAGCTCTTCTTAGCAGTCAGAAATTTTATTATGTCATCCCTTTTTCTCTTTGAACATATATTTTTTATTTTTCTCAGAATTTCAGCCTAATGTAATATATTTTTATGCTTTAAAGTATGTTATTAGCTGGGCACAGTGGCTCACACCTGTAATCCCAGTGCTTTGGGAGGCAAAGGCTAGCAGATCACTTGAGCCCAGGGGTTTGAGAACAGCCTGGCCAACATAGCAAAACCCCATCTCTACTAAAAATACAAAAAAATTAGGTAGGTGTGGTGGCATACACCTACAGTCCTAGCTACCCAGGAGGCTGAGGTGGGAGGATCACCTGAGCCAAGGAAGCTGAGGCTTCAGTGAGCCCTGATCGCAACATGGTACTCTAGCCTGGGTGACAGACCAAGAAACTATCTCAAAAAATAAAAATAAAATCTGTTATTAACCATCATCTCTGCAACAACAATGAAAGTTCATCTAAATTTAAATTAAAATTTCCTTTAAATTCCTTTGACCGGAAGGCTTTAAAGTGAAAAAGCTTTCTTTAGGATAGAGAAATCTTTTAATCAGTTGTATATTAGTCACTGTAATATAATTTCTAATAAAATAAACATGCTCGGCAAAATTTAATTGGGAATCACCTATTAATGAAATCGATGGAGATTCCTTCCCCTTATTAGTTCGTATATCTGTGGATTACTATAATTCCAGCAATAAGAAATAGTTCAGCAACAATTCGTGACTCTGTTTTTTGAGGCAGGGTCTGGCTCTGTTGCCCAGGCTGGAGTGCAGTGTCAAGATCTCAGTTCACTGCAGCCTTGAACTCCTAGCCTCAAGTGATCCTCCACCTCAGCCTTCCAAGTAGCTGGGACTACAGGCACACACCACCACACCCAGCTAATTTTTGTATTTTTTTGTAGAGATGAGGTTTCACCATACTTCTCAGGCTGGTCTTGAACTCCTGAGCTCAAGCGATCCTCCCACCTCACCCTCCCAAAGTACTGAGATTACAGGGGTGAGCCACTATGCCAGCTGACTCCTTTCCATTCTGACAGATGTAAACACTGAGAAATCTTCTTCACATAAACAACAGGGGCCAGGCGCAGTGGCTCACGCCTGTAATCCCAGCACTTTGGGAGGCTGAGGCAGGTGGATCATGAGGGCAGGAGTTCGAGACCAGCCTGGCCAACATAGTGAAACCCTGTCTCTACTAAAAATACAAAAATTAGCCGGGTGGGGTGGCATGCGCTTGTAGTCCCAGCTACTCAGGAGGCTGAGGCAGGAGAATCGCTTGAACCTGGGAGGCAGAGGTTGCAGTGAGCCGAGACCAGGCCATTGCACTCCAGCCTGGGTGACAGAGTGAGACTCCGTCTCAAAAAAAAAAAAAAAAAAAAAAAAACTAAAAGTATAATTGGATTGCTTGTAACACAAAGGATAAATGCTTGAGGGGACAGATACAGATACTCCATTTTCCATTTTCCATGATGTGATTATTGACCATCACATGCCTATATCAAAACATCTCATGGACTCCATGAATATATTTACCTAACTCTGTAACCACAAAAATTAAAAATTATTTTAAAAAATGTTTTAGGCTTATTCATAATTTTTCTTAAAATATTAAATATAGTCTACCAATGCAAAAAACGAAGAAAAAGAATACTTGTGGAAGATGATGATCTAAAAACCAATTCCTTTAAAAGTTTCCTTGCTTGCACTCCTTTGGAAAGTTCTGATGTACCCCAGGGGTAGAGTGACTACCCACAGCTTTAAGGGGATTTTCCAGATCCTCAGCTTTTTTGTTTTAAGAGACAGGGTTTCACTGTCTTGCCCATGATCATAGCTCACTGCAGCCTTAGCCTCCTGGGCTCAAATGATCCTCCTGCCTCAGCCTCCTGAGTAGTGAGGCATGCAAAACCATATCCAGCTGATTTTTTAAAAATCTTTTGTAGGGATGGGATCTCGCTGTGTTGCCCAAGCTGGTTTCAAATGCCTGGCCTCAAGCAGTCCTCCCACCTTGGCCTCCCAAAGCAGTGGGATTACAGGCATCAGCCATTGTGACTGCCCAGATTCTCAGCTTTTGCAAATGTTCTAAGTATAAGCCTGTGATAGGAGTCCCCTTTGCCCTCTGGCAGCTTCTCAGCTTAAATTCCAAGGATCCCCACTGGGATCCCTCAAGCTTTGAGAGGAACCTTCTTACCCCACTGTGAGATGTGTCAGTCTGTGTGCTACTGTCCTGGGTTTCTGGGTGAGGGACAGCCAGCTGGCTCTTCCAGTCCCGAAGCTGGCGGGAGAGAACCTCCAGAATGACAAGAGAGCTCAGCAGGTTATCTTCCAAGTCATGTCGAGACAAGGCAGTCAGATCTGGAGGCCGGCTGCAGCAGAAAGAGAAGAACATGACGAAAAGAAAAGGAGGGGAAGGGATGGGAGGGGAAGGTCCAGGGTAATGGAACTCACGAGGTGCAAGGACATAGGGGCGCTTACCCACACAGGAGCTGCTCTGTCTCAGAAGTACTGTGCTTGGTGCCAACCAGGCCTGTCTGGGATGTGTTTGTACTCTTTTCCTGTGGTGCTGAAGGAGTAAACCAAGTCCCCACCGAGCAAGTAGAGAAAGGGGTAGTGCCAATTGCAGCATCCCGAAGCATCGAGGGAAGGGATAAGCTTTGGCGGAGATTTTCCAGCATGACGGAGGTATTTACACCTTTTTCCAGCCAGGCCAGTGGGGACATCCAAGACTCTGTATCAGAGCCAAGAATCCTACCAACATCTTCTACTGCTGGGCCTGGAGCTTCTTGGGATTCCATTTCTACTAGATTTGGTGTCAGGCATGTGGACAGAATATCTTCCACACTTGAGACAAGTGCTTGATCTTCTGTTTCAGACTCCTTAGGATGTGTGGGAAACCTCATTTCTCTTTCCTCCATAGCTCCATGCTCTACAATTTCCTCCTCTGGGTCCACATGATTGACACGGAAATCTGCTGCCAAGGCAGTTGAAGGGGAAAGCCAGAGAACAGAGGAAGGCAAGAAGGCGTTACTTTCAGAAGGTACTAAGTCCTCACGCACAGCCTCAGTTCTACTGCTCAGGCTTTCCTTGGAGCAATGTAGTTGTTCAGAACAGGGATTTGGTGGAGACTCCTCTAAGAGATGGGACGGAGATTCCTGAAAGATAGGTTTCTCAGATACAGCAGCAACTTCTGAAAACCTGTCTCCCATGCAGGGTGCCACCTCCTCTCTCACCAGATCGTCTGTTCTCAAAGGTCCATTTAAAGATATGCTGTTTGTCTCTGCCATGGTATCTAAACGGGCCTCAAATATCATGTCTTGTTGCTGCCCCAGTGGAGATGGTACAAGGACGATGGTTTTAACCATATAATTGCCCAGTGGGTCTACTGCTTCCTCAGACGTTTTAGGAGTAGAGCTAATTTGGGGAATTGGATCTAGAGGCTGCTCATCTGATTCATGCTGACAAGTTTCTAGCCACTTTGAGGAATGACTGAAATGTTCTGAAGATAAGTCTGTCCTCTTGTTATTTACAAAATCCACTGGAGATGAGTTGTTGCTGCCTTCCTGCCAAAGGAAACAAAAGTAGTTGTCTAAGGCAGTCAATTCAGTTCCCGACATACAATTACAGGTGCAAGATAGTGCACTCAAAAAAGAAAAGAATTCTTACTACCTCTGCTTAGGTAAGAACTTGGCTAATCTTTGTTGCTCATATAGAGACCCAATAGTAGGGAAAGAAAAGCTGCTAAGCCATTTTGGGTCCTTCCAAGTGAACCAGCCTACATTATAAACAGGCTGAGAATATAGATCCATATCGTGGGCAGATGGTAGCTTGAAAGTGACCCCACTCATCTCCATTCTGAACTCTAACGCACTTCTAGATGAACAGATAGGAGGGGTCCATAGGGTGTGAGTGAAGGCTTAAGCTCTGTCAGAATCTAGAGTTGGTACAAGTTCTTCTCCCTCTCGGCTGGGCGCAGTGGCTCACGCCTGTAATCTCAGCATTTGGGAGGCCACAAGCAGGTGGATCGCTTGAGTTCAAACCTCATCTCTACTAAAAATACAAACATTAGCCGGGCATGGTGGTGCTGATGTGTGCCTGTAGTCCCAGCTACTCAGGAAGCTGAGGTGGGAGGATCACTGAAGCTCAGGGGGCAGAGGTTGCAGTGAGCCAAAATCGTGCCACTGCACTCCAGCCTGGGTGACAGAGCAAAACCCTGTCTCAAAAAAAAATAAATAAATAAATAAAAAAGGTAGACCCTAACAAAACAGAGCTGCTGGAAGACACAGATGATAATCTGAACAACAACAAAAAAAACGAGTACTTAAGCTTTAACTACAACATAAATACACACACAAAGACATTTTAGAAATAATAAATATTATTTTAAATAAAAAATGTCAGTAAAATGAATTGAAAGAGTAAATTATTAGAGTTGAAACTAGAATTACTGGCCTGGACAAGTGGAAGAAATATCTTAAAGCAAAGATAAAAATATAAAGAAATGTAAATCTGAAGAAAAAGCTAAGAGAATTAGAAGATAAACCCAGGATACCTAACAGTTAAATAAAAGAAATTCCAGAAGAGAACATATATACATGAGGCGCTGATTAACAAATATTAGAAGAAAACTACCCTAATGAAAGACCTGAGTTTGCACATTAAAATGGCTCACCAGTTTCTAAGCAGGACTGACTAGAAAAGATACATGCTAGACACATAATTATAAAATTTCTGTGCTACAATGAAGAAAAAACTATTCTGGAAGCTTTAGATAGAAAGTCCAATTATTTATTAAAAAAATAATCAAACAGACCGGGCGCAGTGGCTCACGCCTGTAATCCCAGCACTTTGGGAGGCTGAGGCGGGCGGATCACGAGGTCAGGAGATCGAGACCATCCTGGCTAACACGATGAAACCCCGTCTCTACTAAAAATACAAAAAATTAGCTGGCTGTGGTGGCGGGCACCTGTAGTCCCAGCTATTTGGGAGGCTGAGGCAGGAGAATGGCGTGAACCCGGGAGGTGGAGCTTGCAGTGAGCCAAGATCGTGACACTGCACTCCAGCCTGGGCAACAGAGCGAGACTCCGTCTCAAAAAATAATAATAATAATAATCAAACATATGAAATTTCTCATTTATATTAGTGGATGAAACAAAACCAAGGTTAGGTTAAAAAGGGCTTCTGATATTCTGGTACTGTCCTACTTACTGACCTGGGTATTAGTTACATGGATGTGTACTTTATAGTAATTTGTTATGCTGTTATGTTTTATTGTAATTTCATGTATCTTACTTTAATTTTGAAATTATTAAAAGGTATGATGGCTCACACCTGTAGTCCCAGCTATTCAGGAGGCTGAGGTGGGAGGACTGCTAGAGCTCAGGAGTTCAAGGTTGCAATAAGCCAAGATCACACCACTGCACTCTAGCCTGGGTAACAGAGCAAGACCCTGTCTCAAAAAAAAAAATAAAAAAGACAGGGCATGGTGGCTTACACCTGTAATCCCAGCACTTTGGGAGGCTGAGGCGGTCAGATCACAAGGTCAGGAGTTCGAGTGCAGCTGGGCCAACATGGTGAAACCCCATCTCTACTCAAAATACAAAAATTAGCTGGGCATGGTGGCGGGTGCCTGTAGTCCCAGCTACTCGGGAGGCTGAGGCAGGAGAATCGCTTGAATCTGGGAAGCAGAGGTTGCAGTGAGCCAAGATCGCGGCACTGCACTCCAATCTGGGCGATACAACAAGACTCCTTCTCAAAAAAAAAAAAAAAAAGACAATATAAAGATGAGTGTGTGTGTGTGTGTGTGCATATATACAAAATAGACACACATAAAGAGATGTATGAAAGAACTGTCAAATATGACATTTATCTAAGATACCAGAAATATTTCTTCCTTATACATTTATATATTCAAATGCTTCAAACAATTAATATCTATTAATAATCAAAAATTTACAAAACAGGCCAGGTGCAGTGGCCCACGCCTGTAATCCCAGCACTTTGGGAGGCCAAGGAGGGTGGATCACTTGAGGTCAAGAGTTTGAGACCAGCCTGGCCAATGTGGTGAAACCCCGCCTCTACTAAAAATACAAAAAATTAGCCAGGCATGGTGGCACGCGCCTGTAATCCCAGCTACTGGGGAGGCTGAAGCAGGAGAATTGCTTGAACCCGGGAAGCAGAGGTTGCAGTGAGCCGAGATCACACCACTGCACTCTAGCCTGGATGAAGGAGTGAGATCCTGTCTCAAAAAAAAAAAATTAGGCCGGGCGCGGTGGCTCACGCCCGTAATCCCAGCACTTTGGGAGGCTGAGGCAGGCAGATCACGAGGTCAGGAGTTCAAGACCAGCCTGACCCCCAACATGGTGAAACCCTGTCTCTACTAAAAATACAAAAATTACCTGGGCGTAGTGATACATGCCTGTAATCCCAGCTACTCAGGAGGCTGAGGCAAGAGAATTGCATGAACCTGGGAGGCGGAGGTTGCAGTGACCCTAGATGGCACCACTGCACTCCAGCCTGGGTGACAGAGCAAGACTCCGTCTCAAAAAAAAAATCTGCCAGGCGTGGTGGCACACACCGTAATCCCAGCTACTTGGGAGGGTGAGGCAGGAAAATTGCTTGAATCCGGGAGGCAGAGGTTGCAGTGAGCCAAGATTGTGCCACTGCACTCCAGCCTGGGCAACAGAGTGAGACTCTCAAAAAAAAAAAAATTTTTACAAAACAAAAATAATTGCTATTTTATTGGGGAAAAACCCTTTTCATTGTGTAGCTGACTGCATCTGGAGGTAGTAAGCCCAGCAGTTAAGAGGGAAGGAGAATTCGATTTCAATCTAGTATTCTGCTATTGTGATTAAATAATTATGGTTAAATTCTATAAGTTCAGGCTGGGCGCCATAGCTCACACCTGTAATCCCAGCACTTTGGGAGGCTGAGGTGGGCGGATCACCTGAGGTCAGGAATTCGAGACAAGCCTGGCCAATATGGCGAAACCCCGTCTCTATTAAAAATACAAAAATTAGCCAGGCATGGTGGCACGTGCCTATAATCCCAGCTACTAGGGAGGCTGAGGCAGGAGGATCGCTTGAACCCAGGAGGCAGAGGTTGCAACGAGCCAAGATCGTGCCATTGCACTCCAGCCTAGGGAACAAGAGCAAAACTGCATCTCAAAATTAATTAATTAATTAATAATCATAATAAATTCTATAAGCTCTATAGAGCTAATTTCCACCTAGTACTTATTTATTTTTCATCTTAAGCTGTACTGTCTAATATGATAGCCACTAGCCACATGTAGCTATTGAAATTAAAATTAAAAATTCAGGCCGGGCACAGTGGCTCACGCCTATAATCCCAGCACTTTGGAAGGCGGAGGCGGGCAGATCACCTGAGGTCAGGAGTTCGAGACCAGCCTGACCAACATGGAGAAACCCGTCTTTACTGAAAATACAAAAATTAGCTGGGTGTGGTGGCACATGCCGGAGGCTGAGACAGAAGAATCGCTTGAACCCGGGAGGCAGAGGTTGCGGTGAGCCGAGATCGCGCCATTGGACTCCAACCTGGGCAACAAGAGCGAAACTCCATCTCAAAAAAAAATTAATTAAATTAAATTAAATTAAATATTCAATTATTCAGGCCAGGCACAGTGGCTCACACCTGTAATCCCAGCACTTTGGGAGGCCGAGGCGGGCGGACCACTTGAGGTCAGGAGTTTGAGACCAGCCTGGCCAACATTGTGAAACCCTGTCTCTACTAAAAATACAAAAAATTAGCCAGGCGTGGTGGTGTGCACCTGTAATCCCAGTTACTCAGGAGCCTGAGGCAGGAGAATCGCTTGAGCCCTGGAGGCGGAGATTGCAGTGAGCCAAGATCACGCCACTGCACTCCAGCCTGGGTGACAGAGCAAGACTCCGTCTCAAAAACAAAAAAATTCAATTCTTCAGTCACCTCAGCCACGTTTTAAGTGCTCAATAACCATGTGACTAGTAGTTACCATGCTGGACAGCACAGATTATCAAATATTTCCCTCATCCCAGAAAGTTCTATTGGACAGTAGGTATTTTGCAACTCTTTCAAGAAAGACTGCTATGCTATCATCATACTTCTGTTACTCAGGATGTCATCTGTCTATACACTCTTCTTTCCTCCTCATACCTATTTTATTGATATCCCATCTCCTTCCAAAAATAATTCATATGCATGAAAATGAATAGATACGATTAATGAAATAACAAAGTCATGGTCAAAAAAGAGGAAGCAAAACTTCCTATACAGCTATAACAGTAGCTGTATGTGATGATCCAGTTTGGCCTTGAGCTTTCTAGAAGGCAGAGCAAGAGGGAAAATATGGTAAACTACATAGTTCTCATTATCAGAAAGAAAAGGATAGCAATTTCTTCAGGAAGACAATTTTTCCAGGCAGTTAGTCCTAAAGCCTTTCTTGGAGGAATCTTATACAGGAGTCAAGCTGCTTCCTTGACAAGTTTTGACAGCAACTGAAATGCAGTTTCTACATGGCTACGTCTCTCAAAACGTTTAACAAAAGTACAAATCAGTGAGGGCAATTCTGCAAGGAGCTAGTTTAAACTAAGGTGATTCAAGTACCCTACCTTCCAGTGGTGTAACTTGATCCCAGGAGAGTTCTAACTACCTCCTAGAGTAAATGGATATTGCCTCAATCTTGCAGGTGACTGACCTTTCCGTAAGTGACCCCATGTTGGAGGAAGAGCACTAATCAGGGTGGTAGGATTTCTCAATAGTTTGATAAAGGTCGAAGGGAGGAGGAGGAGGTAATAAAAACTAACAGCTAAACAGAGATTCAAGTTCTCACTGGATTTCCTTTAACCACCCTAGGGCACCTCTCTGTTGGCCTGAATAGCTGTAAATGGATGTCACCGACGTAGAAGACTTCATTATCGTTATTAATTATTGTAGCCCTGGCCCTCTGTTCCCCTGAGCTCTCACCCTGGGCAAACAGCCCAGTCGAGAAGCTGTCCAGGCGAATCTCACCTGCAGCCCCAGCTTGCACAGTGATGGGGTCAGCGAGGAGCAAGCGGGGGATCTTTTTCCAGAGTTGGTGAGGGCACCGGGCTGCAGGGTAAGTTCACGGAGAGGAGTTCTCATAGATGGTTTTCCCTGAGAAAGAAACCAAGAAAGAGGGCGAGTGTGAGGAAGCCTGGGTTCTGCCAGCCCGCCCCTCCTCCCTCCCTAAGAAGCCCAAAATGCGATTAGAAGAGTACGCTCGCACCCTAGTCGCGCAGGAGCAGCAAGGCGAACAAAGACTCCACAAGCCCCCAACCCCGGGCTCGACCCAACTTTCCAGGACAGTAGACACGGCCGGTGCCCCCGCGACAGCAGCCCGGCCCAGTTCTCTCCGCCAGAGATCTCCCGCTTACCGTCTGGGGCGAAGGCGACAGGCTGAGGCTCAGTTTTTTCACTCGCCACATCTTCAACCAGAAGGCAGGCCTATCACGTCTCAGACCAAGTCGAGGACGCCATGTTCACCCGCCGTCTGTGTTTGAACCTGCTCTGCGCTTCCTGGTTGGCTGCTTCAGGCGCGCGCGTACGCTCGGGGGTAGAGCCCGGGGGGCGGGGCCCGCGTTGACCACGCCCCCGGCCCTGCCTGCCCCTCCGTTGTCGAGCGTTTTCCGCTGACGGAGCCCTCACCTCAGACACCGGCGGTAGGGCTGGATGCGGGCCCGGCCCAGGACCGGTCTTCTGTCCTCACACCGGGGAGGACCACGCAGGTAGCTGGAGAGTCCAGGAGTCCATCCCTCCTGCTTCCAGCGGACCTCCTCACATCCATGGTGTTCATATCCAAGTTGTCTCCGTGGATGGAGAAGAGGAATCCTCTCCCTAGGTCTCCCTCAGTCCTCTCCAGCCGCAGCCTTGACGGGAAAGAGCCGGCCAGGGAGTCTAGAAGCCGAAGCGGTGCCGAGCGGCTTCCCTAGGCTTGGTGGGCCCGCGTCCGGGACGGCCCGGGCCGTGGTTCTCGACCTGGGCTGTAATGTCTCCAGAGTTTCTGGGCTTTTCCTGGGACTTACTCAGGCCGGCTACCAGTTTACTGGGCTAACCGCCTACATGTATTGAACATTGAGTGTGTGCCTGGCGCTATGCCGAATGCCGTGTAGTAGCTCATTTAATGCGCATAAGGACCTACGTAGTGAGAAATACTATAAATATCCCCATTTGTGACAGGAAGGAGCTGAGTCAGAGAGACCGTGTGTAATTTGCTCAGCGTCACACAGATAGTAAACGGCAGAGCCGCTCTTCCTCCCTGTCCCGCCAGCTCCTGCCTTCTGCTGTCTTGGATCTCCTATGCACGGGAAACCTGTTGAAGGTAGGACAGCCGAAAGGTCAGTATTCAGAGTGAGCCGTTTGCGAAGGTGTGTGTGCTTTGCACACTCACGGCGCCCTGTTTACACTCTGCAAGTCTTAATACATAGGGGGAAAGCAGCAGTCCAAAGAGGAGGAACTATGATGTTATAAACTGCAGCGTCCTCAGGGACGGGCTCCTCTAGCATTGTGTTGTCCAGTACGTTAGCCCTAGCCATAGTGGCTTTTGAGCACTTCAGATGTGACTAGTCCCAGTGGGAATGTGCTATAAATGTAAAACACTGTACAAACTGGATTTCAAACACGTCGTATGAAAAAAAGAATGCAAAATATCGCCAGGTGCGGTGGCTCATGCCTGTAATCCCAGCACGGAGGAGACAGAGGCAGGAGGATCCTTTAAGCCCAGGAGTTCGAGACCTGCCTCGGCAATATAGTGAGACCTATGTCTACAAAAAAAAAATTTGGGCCGGGCACGGTGGCTCACGCCTATAATCCCGCACTTCGGGAGGCCGAGGCAGGCGGATCACCTGAGGTCAGGAGTTCGAGACCAGCCTGCCCAACACGGCGAAACCCCGTTTCTACTAAAAATACAAAAATTAGCCAGGTGTGGTGGCACACGCCTGTAATCCCAGCTACTTGGGAGGCTGAGGCAGGAAGAATCTCTTGAACCTGGGAGGCGGAGGTTGCAGTGAGCTGAGATGGCACCACTACACTCCAGCCTGGGTGACAGAGCTAGACTCCGTCTCAAAAAAAAAAAAAAGTTAAGCCAGGGGTGGCAGGGTTGGGGGCACACACCTATAATCCCAGCTTGGGAGGATCGCTTGAACCTAGTTCAAGGCTGCTGTGAGCTATGATCATCCCACTGCACTCTAGCCTGGGCGACAAAGCAAGACCTTGTCTCAAAAAAAAAAAAAAATATATATATATATATTTTTTTTTTTTAATACTGTTTACATATTGAAATATTTTAGGAATATTGGGTTAAATAAAATACATTAAAATTAATTTTCTTTTGAGACAGGGTCTTGCTTTATCACCCAGGCAGGAGTGCAGTGGTGCAATCATGGCTCACTGCAGCCTTGAACTCCTAGGTTCAAGCAATCCTCCTGCCTCAGCCTCCTGAGTAGCTGGGACTACCGGCATGTGCCACCACGCCTGGCTAATTTTTTATAAAGACAGTCTCTTGCCATATTGCCCAGGCTGGTATTGAATTCCTAGGCTCAAGCGATCCTCCCATCTCAGCCTCCCAAAGTGTTGGGAGTACAGTCATGAACGACCCCACCCAGCCTTTTTAAACTTTTTTTTTTAATCTAATTTTTTTTTTTTTTGAAACATGGTCTGGCGCTGTTGCCCAGGCTGGAGTGCAGTGGCACGATCTCACCTCCCTGCAACCTCCACCTCCTAGGCTCAAGCGATCCTTCTGCCTCAGCCTCCCAAGGAGCTGGGATTACAGGCATGTGCCACCACGCCTGGCTAATTTTTGTATTTTTAGTAGAGACAGGTTTCACCATGTTAGCCAGGCTAGTCTTGAACTCCTGAGCTCAGGAGATCCACCCGCCTCAGCCTCCCAAAGTGCTGGGATTACAGACATGAGCCACTCTACCCGGCCCCTCTTTTTACTTTTTGAATGTGGATACTAGCAAATTAAAAATTACTTATGTGGGCCAGGCACAGTGGTTTGGCTGATCTTGGCTCACTGAAACCTCTGCCTCCCAGGCTTAAGCAATCCTCCCACCTCAGTCTCTTGAGTAGCTGAGACCATAGGTGCATGCCACCATGCCCAGCTAACTTTTTGTGTTTTTGGTAGAGACGGGGTTTCACCATGTTGCCCAAGCTGGTCTCCAACTCCTGAGCTCAAGCTGCCTGCCCGCCTCGGCCTCTGAAAGTGCTAGGATTACAGACGTGAGCCACTGCACCTGGCCTATTTAAATTTTTTTAAAAAAGCTTTGACAACATTTCTACATTGAAGACTCTATCAAACAAGTAACCAATAAATTGAGATTACTAATTTATTACATCAATGAGCAAGTGAACAAATGAACAGATTAATATGTAATAAAGTAACTTAGGTTAGAGATAAGAAATAATGAGTAGAGCTACAAAGATACTTTTCTAGAGGAGTATAGGATTGGTGTTGACTAATCTTAAATTCTTACAAAAGATAACATGAAATATAGAATTAAATATCCATTACAAGTGAAGTCTATCAGATTTCTTTTTTTTGAGACGGAGTCTTGCCTCGCTTTGTCACCCAGGCTAGGATTAAAGGCACGTGCCACCACACCTGGCTAATTTTTATATTTCTTTAGTAGAAACAGGGTTTTACCACGTTGGCCAGGCTGATCTCAAACTCCTGACCTCAAGTAATCCACCTGCCTCAGCCTCCCGAAGTGCTGGGATTAAAGGCGTGGGCCACCACACCTGACCTCTTTCTTTTTTTGAAGCAAGGTCTCTGTCACCCAAGCTGGAGTGCAGTGGCATGATCATAACTCACTGTTTCAATTGGCAATAATCAGTAATAATTGTGCCTCGGATAAACCTTACTGGCTATGATACTGCCACTGCCCAAAGCTGATTATAGGTCACTGTAGCCTCGACCTCCTGGGCTCAAGTAATCCTCCTCAGCCTCCCAAAGTGTAGGGATTATAGGCATGAGCCATTGCACCTGGTCCTGATTTCTTTTAGATTAAAAAAAAAAATCAGAGCATATAAACTTAAAAGATCATTTCAGATTGTATATTGAAAAAAATGAAAAAAAAAAATTTTTTTTTTTTTGAGACAGTCTCACTCTGTCACCCAGGCTGGAGTGCAGTGGCACAATCTCGGCTCGCTTCAACCTCTGCCTCCCAGGCCCAAGCTATTCTTGCGCCTCAGCCTCCTGAGTACTGGGATTACAGGTACACACCACCATGCCCAGCTAATTTTTATATTTTTAGTAGAGACAGGGTTTCACCATGTTGGCCAGGGTGGTCTCAAACTCTTGGCCTCAAGTGATCCACCCACCTTGGCCTCCCAAAGTGCTGGGATTACAGGCATAAGCCACTGCACTGGGCCTAAGGGAATTTTTTTTTTTTCTTTTTGAGACGGACTCTCACTGTCACCCTGGCTGCTGGAGTGCAATGGCGTGGTCTCGGCTCACTGCAACCTCCGCCTCCCGTGTTCAAGCGATTCTCCCACCTCCACCTCCCTGGGACTACAGGCACGTGCACCACACCTGGCTAATTTTTGTATTTTTAGTAGAGACAGGGTTTCACTATGTTGGCCAGGCTGGTCTTGATCTCCTGACCTCGTGATCCGCCCACCTCGGCCTCCCAAAGTGCTAGGATTTACAGGCGTGAGCCACTGCGCCGGGCCAGGAATTTTTTTAATTTTAATTTTTAATTTTTGTGAGTATATAGGTGTATATATTAAGTGAATTTCATGTGAATATGTAAAAGGTATAAGTCAGTGACTCTGAATGGAGGTGGAGGGAAGAGGAGGAGAAAATGCCTTCCAGAGATAATCACATCAGAACTGGATGAAAGAGTCCGTGCTTTTTCTTTTTTTTTTTTTTTAATGGGAAAGGACTTCAATATTTTATTTTATATACTTTCTTTTTTTTTTTTTTGTGGGTTCCTCTCTTTTTTTTTTTTTTAATTTAATTTTATTTTATTTTTTATTGATCATTCTTGGGTGTTTCTCGCAGAGGGGGATTTGGCAGGGTCATAGGACAATAGTGGAAGGAAGGTCAGCAGATAAACAAGTGAACAAAGGTCTCTGGTTTTCCTAGGCAGAGTGTTTGTGTCCCTGGGTACTTGCGATTAGGGAGTGGTGATGACTCTTAACAAGCATGCTGCCTTCAAGCATCTGTTTAACAAAGCACATCTTGCACCGCCCTTAATCCATTTAACCCTGAGTGGACACAGCACATGTTTTAGAGAGCACAGGGTTGGGGGTAAGGTCATAGATCAACAGGATCCCAAGGCAGAAGAATTTTTCTTAGTACAGAACAAAATGAAAAGTCTCCCATGTCTACCTCCCTCTACACAGACACAGCAACCATCCGATTTCTCAATCTTTTCCCCACCTTTCCCCCCTTTCTATTCCACAAAACCGCCATTGTCATCATGGCCCGTTCTCAATGAGCTGCTGGGTACACCTCCCAGACGGGGTGGTGGCCCAGCAGAGGGGCTCCTCACTTCCCAGCAGGGGCAGCCGGGCAGAGGCGCCCCTCACCTCCCAGACGGGGCGGCTGGCCGGGCGGGGGGCTGACCCCCCCACCTCCCTCCCGGACGGGGCGGCTGGCCGGGCGGTGGGCTGAACCCCCCACCTCCCTCCTGGAAGGGGCGGCTGGCCGGGCGGGGGGCTGACTCCCCCACCTCCCTCCCGGACGGGGCGGCTGGCCGGGCAGAGGGGCTCCTCACTTCCCAGTAGGGGCAGCCGGGCAGAGGCGCCCCTCACCTCCCGGACGGGGCGGCTGGCCGGGCAGGGGGCTGACACCCCACCTCCCTCCCGGATGGGGCAGCTGGCCTGGCGGGGGCTGACCCCCACCTCCCTCCCGGACGGGGTGGCTGCTGGGCGGAGACGCTCCTCACTTCCCAGACGGGGTGGCAGCCGGGCGGAGGGGCTCCTCACTTCTCAGACGGGGCGGCTGCCGGGCGGAGGGGCTCCTCACTTCTCAGACGGGGCAGTTGCCGGGCGGAGGGTCTCCTCACTTCTCAGACGGGGTGGCCGGGCAGAGACGCTCCTCACCTCCCAGACGGGGTCACGGCCGGGCCAAGGCGCTCCTCACATCCCAGACGGGGCGGCGGGGCAGAGGCGCTCCCCACATCTCAGACGATGGGCAGCCGGGCAGAGACGCTCCTCACTTCCTAGATGGGATGGTGGCCGGGAAGAGGTGCTCCTCACTTCCTAGGTGGGATGGCGGCCGGGCAGAGACGCTCCTCACCTTCCAGACTGGGCAGCCAGGCAGAGGGGCTCCTCACATCCCAGACGATGGGCGGCCAGGCAGAGACGCTCCTCACTTCCCAGACGGGGTGGCGTCCGGGCAGAGGCTGCAATCTCGGCACTTTGGGGGGCCAAGGCAGGCGGCTGGGAGGTGGAGGTTGTAGCGAGCCGAGATCACGCCACTGCACTCCAGCCTGGGCACCACTGAGCACTGAGTTAACGAGACTCCGTCTGCAATCCCGGCACCTCGGGAGGCCGAGGCTGGCGGATCACTCGCAGTTAGGAGCTGGAGACCAGTCCGGCCAACACAGCGAAACCCCGTCTCCACCAAAAAAATACGAAAACCAGTCAGGCATGGCGCCGCGCGCCTGCAATCGCAGGCACTCGACAGGCTGAGTCAGGAGAATCAGGCAGGGAGGTTGCAGTGAGCCGAGATGGCAGCAGCACAGTCCAGCTTCGGTTCGGCATGAGAGGGAGACCGTGGAAAGAGAGGGAGAGGGTTGGGCATGAGAGGGAGACCATGGAAAGGAGGGAGAGGGAGAGGGTTCGGCATGAGAGGGAGACCGTGGAAAGGAGGGAGAGGGAGAGGGAGAGGGAGAGCTCTATTTTATATACTTTCTCATGTTGTTTTAATTTTTTGTTTTTGTTGTTCTGATAGAGTTTCTCTCTTGTTGCCCAGGCTGGAATGCAATGGCACAATCTCAGCTCACTGCAACCTCTGCCTCCCGGGTTCCGTGCTTTTTCAAATTATAAAAATTATACTTTCTCAAACTTTTTTTTTTTGAGATGGAATTTCACTCTTGTTGCCCAGGCTGCTGGAGTACAATGGCGTGATCTTGGCTCACTGCAACCTCCGCCTCCTGGGTTCAAGCAGTTCTGCTGCCTCAGCTTCCCGAATAGCTGGGATTACAGGCATGAGCCATCACGCCCAGCTAATTTTGTATTTTTAGTAAAGACAGGGTTTCTCCATGTTGGTCAGGATGGTCTCGATCTCTTGACCTTGTGATCCACCTGCCTTGGCCTCCCAAAGTGCTGGGATTATAGGCGTGGCCTTTTTTTTTTTTTTGAGACGGAGTCTCCCTCTGTCGCCAGGCTGGAGTGCAGTGGCGCAAGCTCAGCTCACTGCAACCTCTGCCTCCCAGGTTCAAGTGATTCTCCTGCCTCAGCCTCCCAAGTAGCTGGGACTCCAGGTGCCCACCACCATGCCTGGCTAATTTTTTGTATTTTTAGTAGAGACGGGGTTTCACCATGTTGGCCAGGGTGGTCTCAATCTCTTGACCTCGTGATCCACCCACCTCGGCCTCCCAAAGTGCTGGGATTACAAGGGTGAGCCACTGCGCCTGGCCCTCTTCTTTTCTTTTCTTTCTCTCTCTCTCAGTCACCCAGACTGGAGTGCAGTGGCCAAATCATAGCTTCAGGTTATGATCATAACCTGGAGCTTCTGAGCTCGAGCAATCCTCCCACCTCAGCCTCCTGAGTAGCTGGGTGGTACAGGACCACCACATCTGGCTAATTTTTTAATATTTTTATACAGACGAGGTCTCACTGTGTTGCTCAAGCTGTCCTGGAAGTCCTGGACTGAAGTGATCCTCCCACCTCGGCCTCCCAAGGTGCTGGGATTACAGGTGTGAGCCACCATGCCCAGCCAAAACCTTGATTTTTCTGTCACCCCCTCCACTGCACCCTGAGAATCACTGCTGTAAGTAGACTACTGAAGAGAGTATGTTGAAAATGTTCTCATTTGGTAAGAAGTAATTCCAACTACATTCACGTGATTATGGTCTCTAAACTAATATGACCTAGGAGAGAGACCCTAGTGACATTATGTTAACCATTTCTTAAGGACCTTAAACCCTAGTGACATTATGTTAACCATTTCTTAAGGACCTTAAACCCTAGTGACATTATGTTAACCATTTCTTAAGGACCTTCGCCCACTGTGCTGCTGTGGCCACAAAAGCCATATAATGTTGGGTGACCTGAATATCAATTAACACAGTATTATAAAATCCTCTGCATCTGCACTTTGAAAAAGCATCACAGGGCTGGGAGCAGTGGCTCACGCCTGTAATCCCAGCACTTTGGAAGGCCAAGACGAGTGAATTACCTGAGGTCAGGAGTTTGAGACCGGCCTGGTCAACATGGTGACACCCCGTGTCTACTAAAAATACAAAAATTAGCTGGGCATGGTGGCAGGCGCCTGTAATCCCAGCTACTTGGGAGGCTGAGACAGGAGAATCACTTGAACCCGGGAGGTGGAGGTTACAGTGAGCTGAGATCGTACCATTGTACTCCAGTCTGGGTGACAAACTGTACTCCAGTCTGGGTGACAAGAGCAAAACTCAGTCTCAAAAAAAAAAAAGAAAGAAAAAGCATCACAGGCCAGGAACAGTGGCTCACACCTATAATCCTAGTACTCTGAGAGGCCAAAGCAGGTGGATCACTAGAGCCCAGGAGTTCAGACCAGCCTGGGCTACATGGCGAAATGCCATCTCTTAAAGAAAAGGAAAGGGGAAGGGGAAAGAAAAGAAAGGATATGAATAAATTGCCTTATTTATTTATATAAATAAATAAATTTCAGCATCACAGAAATCTGAACCCATACCCCACAATTAAGAACCAGTGGTTATTTTACCCTCATTTTATACACCAGGAAACTAAGATCCAGAGAGGTTAAAATGACTTATTAAAGAAGATGAGAGCCTGGGCGTGGTGGCTCACGCCTGTAATCTCAGCACTTTGGGAGGCCAAGGCGGGTGGATCATCTGAGGTCAGGAGTTCCACACCAGCCTGGCCAACATGGCGAAACCCCGTCTCTACTCAAAATACAAAAATTAGCCGGGCGTGGTAGCATGCACCTGTAATCCCAGCTACCCACGAGGCTGAGGCAGGAGAATTGCTAGAACCTGGGAGGCAGAGGCTACAGTGAGCCGAGATTGCGCCACTGCACTCCAACCTGGGCAACAGAGCAAGACTCCATCCCCACCAAAAAAAAAAAAAAAAAAAAGACGATGAGATAGTTATTGGTGGATCCAGGCATCAGATCTCCTAAATTCCAAACAAATGCTCTTAACTACTATTTTGGAAACCATTAATTCCTATTTTTAGTATTCAGAGTTTTTATCCAGTGTGCAGTTCTGGTCATCACAATTTTTAAAAAGTAATAAAAGTGTCTAAAGAGAAACAAATGAGATAAAAGGATAAAGGATACATTGCCTTATTTATTTATATCCCAACCTTATTACAAAAAGGCTTACAAGATGCAGATATTATAGTAATATAAAACGATTAAAACTTAGAAAAATGAGAATAAGGAAAATAAAAGTAGAAAAGGAAGACAGAACCAAGAACATGACTAGCATACAAAATACATAAACACTTGCTGAAGGTAGACCACAAATTGGGCTCTAAATGGTCTAGTATCAGTACAAACAGAAAAATACAATCAGCTGAATATTTAGTGTCCTTAAGGTAAAAACCAAACAGCAATTCAGGAAAAGCATAACTGGGTCCAGAGAAAATTTCTCCCACGCATTCTTAAATAGAATATTATGAACTGTTACGATAAACACCCTTTACAGTATCCACAGCAATTAAATTTATTTTTTTCCTGAGACAAGATCTCACTCTGTTGCTCAGGCTGGATGCAGTGGCACGATCTTCACTCATTGCAACCTCCATCTCCTGGGTTCAAGCAATTCTTCCCCCTCAGCCTCCTGAGTAGCTGGGACTACAGTGTGTGCCCTCATGACCAGCTAATTTTTGTATTTTTTGGGGAGAAACGGGGTTTCACCATGTTGGCCAGGCTGGTCTCGAACTCCTGACCTCTGGTGATCCGCCCACCTCAGCCTCCCAAAGTGCTGGGATTACAAGTGTGAGCCACCACACCTGGCGAGCAATTAAATTTCATAGAGATTTTCATATGGATTACCAAAGTCCAATCCAGAAAAAGCAATTCTGCAGAGGCCAATAAAATGCCAGCTATGCATGGGGAAATCTGGCTCAATCTAGAGACAAAATTAATAAATAGAACTAAAGAGTACTCTCCAGACTGTCTTTTGTCTAGAGAGATTAGATGTAACTAAATAATATGGTCTAGATTAAAACTTACTTTCCCTTCAAGTCTCAGGACAAAAATGAAAATTGTGAGAAATTAGTTTAAGAAAAATGAAAAGAAGTCATAAAGGCCAAAACTGTATACAAATTTAAGGTCCAGATGATTTTCCTTACTAAAGGAAAAGGTTATTGAGATATGTCTCTAACCTTAAATCTTTTTTTTTTTTTTTTTTTTTTTTTTTTGAGACAGAGTCTACCTCTGTCACCCAGGAGTTCAATGGCACAATCTTGGCTCACTGCAACCTTGGCCTCCAGGGTTCAAGCAGTTCTCCTGCTTCAGCCTTCTGAGTAGCTGGGACTACAGGTGTGCAACACCACACCCAGCTAATTTTTGTATTTTTTTAGTAGACACAAGGTTTCACCATGTTGGCCACGCTGGTCTCGAACTCTTGACCTCAACTGATCTGCCCACCTTGGCCTCCCAAATAACCTTAAATCTTAAGGTTGATGCATGCCTCTTAATCTCTTGGTTTGCCCATCAGAAACTGAATCATGGGCTCACTAGGAGAAATTGTCAGTTTAAAAATCCTATGCTTTTCAAAGAGGTTTTATTTTGGATAACTGTTGCAATTATAGACCTAGAGAAGACATTTAACCCACCCATGTTTCAGTTTCTATTTTCTTCCTCACTAGATTATTTTATTCACTTTTCAATTTTTAAAAATTAGATTTATTGCAGACTGGCCTCAAGCTCCCAGACTATATTTTTTAGCTGCATTATTTAGGGGTTGAAATGCCAGCTTTTGAGACTTTTGAAAAATTCACAGGCTGGGTGTGGAGGCTCATGCCTGTGAAGGTTGCAGTGAGCTGAGATCGTGCCACTGCACTCCAACCTGGGTGACGAGAGTGAGACCCTATCTCAAAAAAAAAAAAAAAAAAAAAAAAAAAGGGTCTGGTGCAGTGGCTCACACCTACCTGTAATTCCAGCACTTTGGGAGGCCAAGGCAGGCCGATCACTTGAGGTCAGGAGTTTGAGATCAGCCTGGCCAACATGGTGAACCCTGTCTCTACTAAAAAATACAAAAATTAGCTGGGCATAATGGTGTGCATTTGTAATCCCAGCTACTCGGGAGGCTGAGGCATGAAAATCACTTCAACCCAGGAGACGGAGGTTGCAGTGAGCTGAGAACGCACCACTGCACTCCAGCCTGGGCAACAGAGTGAGACTCTGTCTCAAAAAAAAAAAAAAAATTCATATTGCTTCTGACAAGCCTATTAAACACATCAATAGCACCCTGGGAGCCCATGAAGTATTATTATTGCTCAAGAAAGGAAACATGGCAGAGAAACAAGCAGAAGCAGCTCTGGCTGACAGCCTGAGGGTAAAGAGCACTGGAGAAGTAAAGAAAAGGAAAAGGTCACCACCCTGATCTGACATGTTGAATTGAGAGGTAGGTTGTATGATAGGGAAGGAATAGGGCCAGCTGTGGCTGCCAGTAGCAGAATGTCCAGGTTGGAACTCTGGTCTAAAGCCTAGGAGAGCAGAACGGTAAGAGGCTACAAAATAAAAACAAACTGGATTATCAAGGTGGTCATACTGAGTAGGCAGGGATGGAGATCTTCAGGCTCCCAGCCGGGCCCCAATTTACAGTAGAGAGGCTCAAGCAGGGATAGGGTAGAGCAAGAAGGACTCCAGATCACAGTCAAAGTCGTCAAAGGGCATGGTCTCCGCTGAACTGGGCTGGGTAGCTTGTGTCTCCGTGACAAAGTTCACTGGCTGCTTCTGTAGGAGCTCTGGGTCGAAGGCCACACCCCGAAAGAAAGGGTGGACCTGGAAGTGATGCAGATAACGTAGACGATGGAGGGGGTTCTGGCATAAGAGCTGAAGGAAAATAGAGCATGAAGGATGAGTGACTAGGACAGGACAGGCCTGAACAGAAAGGATGGAAAAGAAGAAAGAAGTTCATGGAGCTGTGGAGGGTAGGAATAAGAACCCTGAAGAGTAGATGATTTGTAAAAGAGGGAGAAATAGAGGCTAATTTGGGGCAAAGGTGGGAATAAGGAGCTGTGCTTGTGAGTTTTCAGATGAGTGTACAGTGTTCCACTCTCTCAGAAGGGACCTCTCTGTTCTAGATGGGGAGGAGATTTGGGGGACCAGGAACTTAGGAATGTGACTCAGTACAGCTTAGATGGCAAGTAGTTAGGTAGTTAAGTTGGAGCCCCCTCAAAAAAACTGATGAGAGGAATGGGGAAAAATCACTTTAATGAAGGCAGGAGAGCATTAATGGTTTCGTAGCCAAGAAGGAAAGCAGTGCTCATCCTTACCTCATGGAGCAGGAGTGAGAGGCCCTGGTTAAGAGAAGCTGGGATCTCAGAGTCACTGTGGGTCACACTTGCCAACATGGCCACATGATCTCTCTCTGCAGCCACTGGAAACTGAGTTAAGAGGTAGGGAGTGGAGGTAGGGGTAGGGGTTCATTCCTTAGTAGGAATACGGCAAGATTTCCTAAGGTCTTCCTTCTTCCCACCACAAGGCAAAGCTCTTCTCTGCCCAAAACTACTACTATTCTCTCACCTTTCCAGTCGCCAGAGAGAAAAGCAAGACACCCAGGGACCACCAATCAGCAGCATGGTTGTAAGGTCCTCCACTTAGGACCTCTGGGGCTACAGATTTCAAAGATACTCATCACAGACATCCTTTAGCTATCCTCCTGCCCAATGCTTACCCATCAGCTTTAACCTCTCTCACCCATGTACTGAAGAGTGCCACAGATAGTGTAGGCTTGAGCTCCCTGGGGCACGTGGCGGGACAGACCAAAGTCTGTCAGTTTCAGATGGCCTATGAAAGAAGGTAAGGCAACTGCACCACTGTTCCACCCATCATCAGCCATGATTTATTCCCAAACCAAAGTACCTCTCATCCTGGGGCTAAGGAAGGAAAAAGACTTACCTCGTTCATCTAGAAGAATATTCTCCATCTGAAAGATCACAGGTGAGAAGTAATTCTTCCTCTTCCTTTCAACTCTCTTTCATCATGTATACACCCCAGCTGAAGGTGATGCCCTACTCAGCACTCAAATCTATACTCAGAGAGCCCTTCCCCAAATCCTTGGCACCCATGGGGGCCCCAATGTCTACAGTTCTCAGCTCCCTAACTTCTTGGACTTGTTGGCACTTCTTATTGAGACTCTTTCTCAGACAAAGGGAAAAAAGCACTTAACTCTACCTTCACATCTCGATGCATGATGCCCAAGTCATGGAGATAACCTGTGGATAACAAGTATGGGGTATGCTGCAGCTTTTCTGTCCTTTCCAGTTTCCCTAGTAGCCCTCATCCCATCCCTATCCTATTCTTTAACTTCCATTATTAATATTAATTTTTTACTCTCCTTCTTCCGAACTTAAATCTTCCCTCCCCATTTCCTTTACCACTGTTTCACTTACACAGTACCAGCACCAACTCGGCAGCAAAGAGACGGATGGAAGCCTCAGGAAAGCAGCCAACAGCCGACCAAAGGGAGTACAGATCTGTGCTGCAGTAGCTACACACTGCAAAGCCAGTGTGGAGCTACATACATTGCCAGAAGTCTAGGCAATGTTTGGGAGCTGCAATGCCTGGGCTCAAGGCATTGTAGGCCTCCTGCCCAAACTGATACCACCTGCTGTTCCCCTCCCTTTGGGACAGAGAGGTGCCATGAGAAGGGGGACAGAGCAAAGGCAGAACAAGCCAAAGAGGTAATCTCAGGTGGGGAACATGGTACAAAGACCCTGGGGGATGAGGAGAGAGTCCAGTCACTCACTAATGAAAAGGTGCCGTTTTCCCTGCCAGCTGTCCCCCAAGCTGTGTACAAAGGGATGGTTGATCTGTCGCTAGGAACAAAGAAAACAGGAAGTTAGGGAGGAACAGGGTCATTGAGAATAAAGGCAGCTGAGAAATCAGGTTTTACCCAGATGTGCAGAGGGGGAACTGCTGCCTCACCTCTCAGTTCAGAGGAACTCAATATTTGGAACTGACTATCTGGTAATCCTAGAACCAGCAAATACTAAGGAATACACTGGGACATGCTTCAGAGATTTCCCTAGTAGGACATGGGAAAACTGTGTTGAGAGCTGATACTTTTCCCAGGATCTACTTTAGTGTTAAACTAGGCTGAAGCAGATGGATGAGGCAGAACCAGGAAAAGAAGGTGGGCAAGAAAGGTACTTTCCCTACCTGTGGCCTAGCTCTTCCCACAATCCTTTCCAGGACTCTGTGCATACCTGGATGCTAACCTCCTCTTTGCACTGCCTCACGGTATCCCTCTGTAGGACCTTTACCTTGGGCACCACCTATAAAAGGAGAGTAGTGATGACTCATAGATAGTGCTATTGAATTGTTTATTCCTCCCAACCTCTCTGGAATCAAGATTGGAAACAGAGACTAATGTGGTATCTACGCCCCTACCTTCACTGCAAATACAGCTTTCTGGGTGCAATCTAGCACCTTGAGGACAGTTCCAAAGGAGCCTTTAGCCACGAGGCCTAAAATCTGTACAGAGGAATGGAGAACAGGCCAGTTGAGACTGGTCATTTTTAACTTCTCCCAAAGACTGAGACCCCACTCAGGGATTCCACTGACTTACCTTCAGCTGCTGCTGCCCCCTAATGGGCCTAATGGGAAACTCTGGTAGAAAGAGGTTGATGAACTGAGGCACTGGCCACTCTGGCAGAGGCTTCTCTACCAGTACTGGGGCTGGCTTTAGGGATTCCTGGTGCAGATAGTGGTGCCCCCGTAGTTCCCAGAGTTCTTCCAGATCTGACCTGATGGTTCCCAAACCTGTCCAGAGGCTCTTCCAGCCTCGGGCCCAGGGACCCCGGATGTTGCCACCCTGCTGAGAACCAAGGGAGCCACTCTAAACTTTCTGCTCCTGAGGCATAGCAGGTTCCACCCATCTTACTAGGCACTCCCTCCCCTTAAGTCTCAACCCCTAGAGGTACATTTTTGAGCATGAGGCAAAATTCCCATTACCCTTGCTTTGTGCTAAGCCCCAGATTTCCTGGGCACAATTCAAATCCTCTAGGAAAATAATTGTTGGACATTTTCACCATGACGCATTAAGAGTACAGCCTGCACCTCAGTATTGGGCTGTGATGCTTTCATAGTACAGCCTCCCTGCCCCACCCCCACATTGGGTAATCACTTCCATGCTCCTAACCAGGAACTTCCCAGGACTCAAGCCCATGTCTCCCTCTCCTCCCCTCAGTAGGCTGCCAGAGCCCCACAGCCTACCTTGTGAGGGACAGCCACCCGGGTGTGTTCCCCCTGCTGGGTGTGCTGCCCCTGCCGACAGCTTACTGCTCCCATTCCCAGCCTCTGCCTCCTCTCTCTGCTAAATCTGCTGTCCCAGTTATATAAGCAATTCCTCTCCCTGATGCTGCGTGACACGAGCCCCGCCTCTTCCAGTCTGCAGAAACCCATCAGCATGGGGCCAGAGTCACACTAGGACTAGAAATTTCTGTGATACAGCTTCAGGGCAGAGGAAGGAAGGGGCCACCCTCAGAGTGGCAGCTGCAGGATGTTCTGGGTTGATGAGGGAGGAATACACAGATTGAATGCATGCACTCAACACACACACACAAAAATGAGCATCAAATTTAAAATATCTTTTTTTTTCTCTTTAAATCATTTTGCCATTCTCCAGGGTATATCCTACGGGGAAGGGTAGGGGACCCATGGCCAGCCCTGGCTCCTACTGCCATCCTCCCAAGTGAACTTAGCACAGAGACTGGGGAGGGGTTGACCCCCACTCCAGAACACCAATACCTCTTTCAAACATGACAGTGGAGTGAGGATCAGAGGATCAGCCCCCTCCCGTTTCCTGGCACAGAGGAAGGACAGTTACACTTAGAAATATATATATAATATATATATATTTATATATGTCTATAAAAATTTATCACACTTGATCAGGACTATCCCCCTACCCTTTCACTTGACCCCAAGGGAATAGGGTCCTGCCCTGGGCCCATTCCCTGGGTCTTGCTCTCTTGTTGCCTCTCTGGCCCTGAGCCTGATCAGTGTGAGACAGAACTCAGCATTACTGTCCACCATGCCCTGCAGCGAACAGACCAGGTGCTGAAGAGTGATGCCTATGGGCTCTGACACCCACAAATCCTCGTGGATAACGGGAAGCCCCTCCCACCCCACAAGTCCCTGGAGCCTGAGCCAGAGTCAGATCCTGTACTGCAGCCACTCGAATCGCCAAATCATTTGCGCCTGCCAAAGATGGACTTCTTGCCAGGGTTCTTGTCGCCCACACTTAAACCAATGAGGAGCCGGGCTTTCTCCTCCTCTTCCTGCTGTTGCATGTTCAGGTCCGATTTAGTTTCTAGCTTTCCCCGGACCTCAGAGCCTGTTGCAGACTTCAGCCTTAGCTTCTCTTTGATTACCTGGCAGATTGGAGAGGAGTAAAAGAAAATGTAAATATTAGTGGGCAGGCAGAATAAATCAAAATGAACCAAGACAATAAAGATTTATTAAACACATCCAAGGCACAATGGGGCAATTCACATACAATGGTCTCTGCTTTCAAGAAGCTTACAGTCTAATTATAACCCCTTCTAAACTTTAGGTTGTGTTAGCTCTCAGTTCCCTAAAATCAATGGTGCTATACGAAACACTCAGTAAACACTGAATTTAATAATCTGAGTGAGGTCATGGAGAGGGTAGGCATAGAAGCCACTCACTTCATGCACCTGCCCCTTCCCAAGGATATTTATTCATGGATTCTAAAATGAAAGGCTCCTGAAAAGAGGATCTGCCTGCCAGCCCCATTAGCCAAACAGCCATGAGCCCTGGCGGGATACCTGGGCAACCAGGGCTTTGCGGCTGTCCCTTTTGACAGCCATGGCAAAGTCTAGCCATGTCCATGTGTTGTTGTGGTACTCCAGACAGGGCAGCACCAGGTTAAGGTCACCCCAGTCCACACTGTTCTTCTCACCCTGTAAGAGGAGGGGGAGGGGAAAGAAAAAAAGAGGGGTGGGGAATACATCAGCTGCCATTTTGAGTCCCAGCCAGCCACTTGAGTGCCAAGTCCTACAATAGTAACCTACAGATACTGATTTCCCCTTACCTCAGCCTCGTAATGATGCTGACTCTTGAGGGGAGCAGAGGGAACAGCAGATTTATCACCCACAGCTCAGCATCACAAACAACCTAGCTGTCTCCCTGTATAGAATCTCTGATCTTATCTGGTTCCCTTCCCACCCTGTTCTACAAAGTGCTTGAGAGGTGCAGACCTTGTAGCTGACACACAGTGGAACCTGTGGAATCTTTATGTAGATGAAGGAGTTGTTCATGGCAGCTCGCTCTTTCATCTTGTCAATGTCATCCACAGGGTGCTAAGAAAGGCAGGCAAGGAGTGTGAGCCCTGAATCCATCAGAAGAAACTCAGGACCCCAAACATCTCCCTCTTCTTTTATCCCTAGAATGGACTTAGAGGAAACCGAAGAAATCCCAAGCCACACCAAACAGGACCTCAAGACTCTCCCATTTTTCTATCATCAGGGGCATGTTTGGTACCTCTGGCGATTTGCGAAATGACCTTCTGACCCCAGAACTCCGAGTCAAACCCTGTGCCACACCCTTCCCAGGGCCCAGTGGTACTGCATCATCTGTTGCAATCAGCTGCCGAGGCTTCACCACTGGTATTCCTATGAAAAAGCAAGTGTACCAGCTGTCATCCATCCTCGTTCTGAAGTCTCAGCTGTCTTTGGGGTTGCTACCCTATTCTTCTGGGGCTCCACCATAAAAGTTCTCACCAGTAGTCACCAGTTTGGACTTATCCTCTTCATCACCAACTTCATCATCTTCCACACTTCGGCCAGGAAAGAAAAAGCCCATCATTCTGTGGAAGAACTGGTGTGTCAGCTGGATGGTGAGAGGCACCACATTTACCTAAAAAGGAAAAAGATTCAAGAAGCAATTAAGCTCAGATACCATCATCAGTTTACCTACTCCTAATATCGTGTAACACACAGGTGGCTTTTGAATGTCCCTTGTTCCCAGGTCCCTAAGGGACTGCTTACTAACCTCAAAATGCTCCTTAACAGAGATACCCCCAACAGGGGGCCGAACTTTGCTGAAGAGGCGGAGAGCTAGCTGTCGCCCAGACTGGCAGGAGCTCTGGGGCCGCAGTACTACCTGTAGGATAGAGAGTAAAGAAGAGCCCAACCCAATGTCCTTCCTGCCATAAAGCAACCCACAAATCCTCTGCAGAATGAGAGGAGAAGCAATGGTACTGCTAAGCTGGGCAAGCTTTCACCCTCTCAGATCACCACATTGTTTTCCATAGTGGATTTATACTGAAGGGCCGTTATAAATGCCCCGTGCTAAAAACATGCAAATGGACTAGGAAAGGGGAAAAAAGACTTGCCTTATAGACAGCATTGGGGAGGAGGTTGTTCATGGTAAACCAGCCCAACTCCAGAAGATGTTCTGCTGTGTCATCAGACTTATTCACCTATAAAGACAGATTTTGCCCCATCTACTATAATAAACCTTTCTCAGAAGTCTACTAGACAATTGTTATGTATCCAGTTTGTTTTCAGGCTCTACATATGCCTAATCCCAACCTTGAGATCTCCTTCAAACTCATACAATCAACACTCTTTAATCCAGTGTGTCTCATGGGCACTATTGTCCAGGACACTAAATGCTGGTAGTACTATCTAGCCATTGTGACATTAAAAAATGTTCTAATTCATTTCCAAACGCCTCTGGTAGGAGAAAGTAATAAATAATACTGCCTTCTTTACGTCAATGGCAGAAAAGCTGAATGTCAGTATTAGAATATTCTATTCCAAGCTAGACATGAAAGATTATTTGCCTCTGGGCCATACTTCTAGGGATCATCTTCTTACTCAACAAGAGAAGCATCTGATCAAACTCACCTGTATCTGTATCTTATTTTTATTTTTTTGAGACAGGGTCTCACTCTGTTGCCCAGGCTGAAGTGCAGTGACACAATCTTGGCTCACCGCAACATCCATCTCCTTCCTGGGTTCAAGCGATTCTCCTGCTTCAGCCTCCTGAGTAGCTGGGCTTACAGGCACACACCACCACACCCAATTTTCTTTTTTTTTTTTTTTTTTTTGAGATGGAGTCTTGCTCTGTCACCAGGCTGCAGTGCAGTGGCACGATCTCGGCTCACTGCAACCTCCACCTCCCAGGTTCAAACGATTCTCCTGCCTCAGCCTCTCAAGCAACTGGGACCACAGGCGTGCACCACCACGCCTGGCTAATTTTTGTATTCTTAGTAGAGATGGGGTTTCACCATGTTAGCCAGGCTGGTCTTCAGCTCCTGACCTCAGGTGATGCACCTGCCTCGGCCTTCCAGAGTGCTGGGATTACAGGTGTGAGCCACCGTGCCCGGCCTATCATATATGTTTTTAATTATTTATTTTCTTTTTTAGAGACAGGGTCTCACTCTGTTGCCCAGGCTGGAGTGCAGTGGTGTGATCACAGCTCACTGCAGGCTCGAACTCCAGGGCTCAAGCAATCCTCCTGCCTCAGCCTCCCAAGTAGCTGGGACCACAGGTATGCACCACGATGCCCAGCTAATTTTTAAAATTTTTGTTGAACTCTTGACTTTAAGCAATCCTCCCACCTCAGCCTCCCAAAGTTATGGGATTACAGGCATGAACCACTACACGTGGCCTGTATCATTTTTTAAAAATTATTTTATTTCTTTGTTCATTCTTACTCTCCCCCTATGGCATCAGAGCTATATGTGTATCATTCATTATAAACAGATATATCTAAGGAAGCTCTGCTCATTAATATGATTAATGAGCTCGTTAATATTAATGATACTATCATTAATAATCATACAATAATTAACCCCCTTTTATTTCTCTTTTATGAGTTAGACTCCTAAGCTAGGTCAATGTCTCTCAATACAGCTGCCTTTGTGTGACCATATACCCCAGATACCTTGCTGTAGAGGAACCTCTGCAGTTCTAATTCAGCAATTCCCAGCTGTCCATCTTCCTCTGTCAGGCGCCACCGTGCCTGAGCAAAGTAAAACTCAGTGCGACGGACCACACTCACATCTTCTTGCTGCTTTCGCAGCTCCATCTTGTTAGCCCGCTGCAGTTGGAAATCCTTAAAACACCTGTAAGTGGACAGGGGAGCCAAAGCCAGTAAGGGAAACAGCACATGGGTTGGGGGTGGGATAGAATGCTCTAGAATGATGCAGGAGGTAAACCCAGAAATTAACCTATTCTGGGTTAGCCAGTCCCTACATTTTTTTCACTGAATTTATTGCTCCTGACATTCTAGGTCATAGGAGCACAAATCCCATCTTTCAGCTCTATAGCTTCTTGATAAAGTAGTGTCTTCCCACTAATAATTCCTACAATTTTATCTGCAACTGTATACTGATCAACTTCAAGACATTTTCATATGTTTATGTCAGGTTCATTAAAAAAAAAAAGATATTTTCAGTTCAGATGCATAGTATCAAGGCCACCAAAGTGATCTTTCAGCTGGGTGTGGTAATCCCAGCTCACGCCTGTAATCCCAGCACTTTGGGAGGCCAAGGCAGGAGGACTGCTTGAGCCCGGGAGTTCCAGACCAGCCTGGTCAACATAGTGAGACCACTTTGTCTCTAAAAAAAAAAAAAGTGATCCTTCCCAACTACCCATTTTCTTATTCAGGAAGAGATGTCTGAACCTACTCCTACATCAGCCTTTGATAATGCACACTAGACCTAAAGACAGTCAAAACATGGGCAAGAAAGAGAACTGCCTCTAGCTGGGGCACTGGAAAAGGGCAAGGAAAGAATGCTGGGGCACCTGATGAGGATATTCAGTTCTTCACTTTCCAGCTGCAGGTTGGCCTTCTCCTGGTTTAGCTGCAACTGAAGCTTCTGGTTCAGGTCAAGCAGATTCTCATTCTTGCTGTCATCCTGCAAAGACTAGGGAACCAGGATAGAAACTGAGAGACCGCCCTCGTTCTAGGAGACTTCCTGGTTCTCAAACTATCTATCTGCAGTGACTACCTTCATGATAGAATACATCTGCTTCTCCAGCTGTCGTATTTGGGCCACATGCTGCCGCACAGCCTCCTGCAAATGCAGTATGCTGCTGCGTTGCTCCTCTGGATTGCTAGAGATCTCAAGCTGGAACCTGACCCGTTGCTTCTTCTCACTATGTTCCTAAAGGAATGGAAAGGGAAATGAATATGATTTTTAAGTAGACAAGTCTTGTAGTAAAGTGAAATAGAGAAAGGAGAAAGAAATGGGGGGGGTCTCTTCTAGAAAGCTAACCTTTATCTGTCACTGGTAATAGCAACAGTAGTAGGTCAATGCAGAAAATGTGGCAATGTGGATTTCACAATAGGTCAGGCCCAACAGGATGGGATGGAGGTGGAAGCAGGGAATAGTAAATGTTTTTAGAGGTGTCTAGGTGACTGAGTAGAGAAATGACTAGGAGAAAACAATCAGGCAAACAAGCCCTACGGTCTGAGAGATATTCAGGCCTTTCCTAAGTAAGTGGAATTTCAATTGTCACTGCCGACTAAGAGAATCTACCAACCACAAGGCCCTTTTTCAGTGTGAAGCATGGCTTTTGTTACAGAAGCCCAAATAAAGCACAAAGTCTGGGTGTTCCTGTGAGGCTAACCAGCATTCTACAAGGGCCCATGCTCACCTTCCGCTTAGGTTCTACATGGAGCAGCAGGTTGTTGACAATGTCCAGGATCATGGCATACTGAGCTGGGTTGGTGGAAATTTCCAGCTCATGGTGGATAAGGGTGAAGGTATCCACAGCCCCTAGATAATTGTTAGCAGCTAAATAAAAGGCTCAAGTTTCTACCTAAATATCTACTCCATCTCTTAACCCACATTTGGAACCACCCCACTAGTCAACCCCACAGAAAGGGTGAGAGTTGCTCATGGGCAGAAACATGTTTACTTCAGAATCATAAACAATGCCCATTCATCCCAGCTCCCTCCAAGAATAGAGGTTATTTTCTCATAGCAGAACTTACAAAAAGTAGAGCAAAGTGAAATGTTAATGCCAGTGCACAGTGGATTTTTAATAACTCTACTGTCTCAAAACCACCAAGGAAATAACTACTTTCACAATTTCTCTAGTCCCTTCCTAAAAGCCTTTCAAGCCCTGAATACCTTCCTGCTTCTTTAGGAGATCTTCCTTTTCCTGGTTCTCAAGAACTTCAGGTGGCTTAATCTGAGTTGCTAGTTCAGGATCAATGTCATGGCTGTAACTAATATAGTACATTCGGCAGTTGCAACGCGAAATGATCCGCTGGACTTGCTGGGCTTGCTGTGCCTCAGCTGGCTGGTTCCAATCTGGGAAGAGGTGGGAAAGAGATAAGAAAAAGACATTCTCAATAAAGATAATGTGAGAGCCTCCCAGCTATGTCTCAGAAACTCCAGAAACACTGCTTTCAACCCAGCCTAGCACAAAATGGTCCTACTCCAGCATACACTGACGTTAAGAATAGGTAGGGAAATGAGGTCCCTTTGGGATGCACATCTGCTCCTAATCATTTGATGCAGAGGAGGGGGAGGGCTGACCTGTGGTTGTGGTAACCATGCCGCCCACTGCCTGCCCACTCTCCATCAGCTCCTGCACAGAGTCCAGACTACGCTGCCGGTGCTCCTCGATATTCTTCACCTGAAGAAAGAGATGCAGGCAACTTTAGCTCCTGGGAAAAGAGTGGCTTGTCCTGGACAATTGGGTGACAGATCTCCATGTTTCAAGTAGTTACACTTACTATCTGGACCTCCACTGCATGGAATAGCTTGAACCATATCTCCCAGGATAGAGGACATACTTGTCTCATTCTCTTGCCCCAGTCTACCCAAATTCTCCAACCCAACTGAGTTACATGCACACTTTGCCAGGCCCACAGGTCTCGAGCCAGAAAAACAATGAGAAAGGTTCAAATCTAATCATGTCATGGGCAAAATATCTCATTAAAAAAAATGACTTTCTCACACATTTTGGTATTTGTTCCATTTGTGTTCTTGCTTTTTCTATCTTCAGATAGATAACCACTCTGACAATGTTGCCATGGGCGAAGGGAATTGAATTATTTTTATTCACTCTGCCAAGCTGAAGTCAGAGTGAATAACATTGAGTGAGATGGGAAGACCACAGCAGATGGTGGATCTGACAAGTCTCAAAAAAATATAGGAAAGGCCAGATCAAAGTCCCTTGTACCTAAGCCCAAGATGTTCCACTCTAATGCTAGTATCGCAGCCTGAGGGGGGCGGGGGGAAAGAGTTCACCCACAAAAGAAGGCATGCCTAAAAGCAGCAGAGGTGCAAAAAATGCCAGAAAGATCCTGATAGCTCATCCATTCTACTTCTGCATGGGTAGTTAACACCTGTGCTTACCTCCTAAGACTACTGATAAAGAGCACTGCTTGTCTGAATGAACCACAGCTCTTATATATCAGCATGACTTCTCATATTACCAACAACCGGTCCCTTACACGGCTTAACATCTGATCTAAATGCTCATTACCTCTTATTACACTTGAGGTTGCCTGGATTAAGCCCTAAGGTCCTTGATAAAAGAAGCATCAGCCAGGGAGGTGAAAAGAGGGATCAGTTTTATCCCCACTAAGTAGAACTGCAAATGGACTTATCACTGTGGTCCTTACCAGATACAGCTAAATCCTGTAACTCATATAGGGGGTGTACCATGCCCAGTACAATGTGGACACTTAACACCTGTTAAATAAGTAATAACGCACAATATTGCCTAGGCATATCTCATAATCAATAGACTCTCCAATAATTCTGATGATATTATATCTTAGAAGTTACAGGGTAAAATATAACCTGGTTCAGTTTTACCAAGAAGCTGAAAAGAAAATTAACAACCACGCAATGCAAAGACAGGCTCCTTCCCTTGTTTCTGCCAACTGCTCACAATCTCACCATCTAACAAAAACATTATCTTGGCTGGGTGGGGTGGCTCACGCCTGTAATCCCAGCACTTTGGGAGGCCGAGGCGGGCGGATCACGAGGTCAGGAGCGTGAGACCAGCCTGGCCAACATGGTGAAACCCTGTCTCTACTAAAAATACAAAAATTAGCCGGGCATGGTGGGGCACGCCTGTAATCCCAGCTACTCAGGAGGCTGAGGCAGGAGAATGGCTTGAACCCGGGAGGCAGAGGTTGCAGTGAGCTGAGTTCGCGCCATTGCACTCCAGCCTGGGCTACAGAGCAAACTCTGTCTCAAAAAACAAACAAACAAAAAAAACAAAACCACATTACCTTGCCACACACTTAGACCTCCCCAGACATACTGACTTAAAAAAAAAAATAAGAGTACTTTCCACCTGAATAAAGCTTTATATTTTCAAAGCACCTTATGTGATCCTTTCAACAATCTTGTGAGGGTGAAGTATCAATTCCATTTCACGATTAAAGGTGACTTGTCCAAGAGCTCATGGCTACTATAATGGGAAAGCTATCATTAGAAATCACATAACCTGACTCCTAGGCAGTCTTTCATTCAACCTCACTGCCTTGCTGAAATAACCAATCAGTCATTTTCATGAGAGGACAGAGAAAGGGCAGATAGTGAACTTACTGAAAATTCTCAGTCACTGCCTGTTTTCTTGGCTGCCTGCTGATTAGTGTGAACATTAATAGGGATCAGCAATCTTAAAAACAGTTCCAGTCCATTTTATACGAGTTCTGAGAAATGAGAGTTTCTTTTGCAATGAAATAGAACACCATGAGGAAAAAAAAAAAAAGCACTACATGCTTCCAGACCAGAGATTGCCCACATTCAAGGTGTTATTAGCCTCATTATTCTGCTAAGCTAGTAACAGCAGGTTACTGTCAAGAATCTTCCAGCCATTAGAAAGTCTACGGAAAACCAGGAATATAATGGGCCTTCACAAACTCACTGACTAACCTCTAACCAGAGCTGTCGGCCATCCTGCTCTGTGGGGCTGCTTTCAGTGGTGGCAAAGTACTGCATGCCATCCAAGAGGCAAGTCCAGGATGTCTTTTGCTTCAATGTATCACCATACCAGGCTGGATGGTGCTGGCACTGCAGCAGTTGGGCTTTGGCAGCTGACACAATGACACAGCCTTCTGTCTCTGCTCCACGAAGAACCATCTATGCCAGAGATAGAAGCAGAGTTAAGCTACCAAGGACGATGAGGTTAGTGAGCACATTGTATCAACCACTGCAGCTAGGTCTAATGCTGGCTTACCAAGTAAATTTTACTGGCTTTTAGACATAGAAGTGATTACCTATGATACCTATGAGAAGGCCAAATTTTTTGGAGCTCTATTCACCCATTCATATTTAGAGGTGGGGGAAGGGGAACAATATGATCATGATCTAGCCTGATGTTGAGGTAACTTGTAAAGAGAAGGTACCTGACAGTTGACCAATTCAATAAGGCAGTTTCGGTTGTATATGTCATCCGTCTGGCAGGCAGCAATGCCACACAACTGGTCACTCATGCCTGATTCCTCTTCTGTGAACACTACAAACCTATCTGTCTCTTCAATTAGCTTCTGCAACATGTAAGCACCTGGCAGAGAAATAGGAAGCAGGGAAAGGTCACAGTCTCAAAGGGAAAGACTTTTCCCTTTCCAGAGCCAAATTGATCTTCCCTCAATTTATCTGGCTAGGTAAGAGCTTAGAATACATCCTCCCAAACCTAAAACTCTAGCCCAGCCCATCCCTTGACCCATGAAGGCAAAACAAGGGTTATTTCACTTTCCCTTCAATTTTAATAAAAGTAACAGATTCCCAACAGAAACTTAGAAATGCTAGGTAACATTTTTTTCTCTTAGGTATTACTCTATGATCTCTCCCTTACCCCCATTTTATTTCTTTTTTCATTTCATATTATTTTACATGTTATTTGACCACTCTTTTCCACTTGAAACCACTCTCTTGCCATCAATGTCATTATATTCTCTGAGGTCTGCTGCTTCCCCTGATTATGTCTCCAGGCCCTCTTCCTTCTCCCAGGTCTAAGCTCCTCAGATCCATCCTTGGCATGTTCCCTTCTCTTTCCTACTCTTTCTCTTAATGGGTTTGTCTAACAGAGTGTATGGTTAAGAGCACAGTCTCCAGAATCAGACTAGTCTGCCTGTATTGTGACCTTGGGCAGTCTGCCCTCTTTGCATCATAGTTTACTTGTTTGTAAAAGAGTAACTCTCTCATGAGATTGCTATGAAAGTTTAACGGGGCCAGGCGCGGTGGCTCACGCCTGTAATCCCAGCACTTTGGGAGGCTGAAGTGGGCAGATCACGAGGTCAGGATATTGAGACCATCCTGGCCAACATGGTGATACTCCATCTCTACTAAAAATACAAAAATTAGCCAGGTGTGGTGGCATGCACCTGTAATCCCAGCTACTTGGGAGGCTGAGGTAGAAGAATAGCTTGAATCCAGGAGGCAGAGGTTGCAGTGAGCCGAGATTGCACCACTGCACTCCAGCCTGGTGACAGAGCAAGACTCCGTCTCAAAAAAAAAAAAAAAAAAAAAAAAGAAAAAGAAAAAGAAAAAGAAAAAAGAAAAAATGGAAAAATACATAAAAATATTCTCTTACCTCTATGCTGAAATTCCCAAATATCTATCTTTAGCCCTAAGCTTTTAGACTCTAATTTCCAGCTGTTTGTTAGACATTATATTGATACCTTACTAGTGACGCAAATTCAGCATGCCCAAATGTGAACTCAACAATCCTACACCTCCCAAACCTGTTTAGTCTCAGGCTCTATTTCTGATATTACTGTTACCATCATGCCAGTCATCAGGCTCAAAATCTAGTCGTTATAATTTTCTCCCTTAAACTCCTCCTTCCAACCAGTGGTCAGTTCACCCATATGCATCTTAATCTTTCCATCCATCTTATCTCCATTCCCACTGCCTCTACCTAGTTCTAGCCCTCAATGCTTTTTTTTCTTCCCTTGAGATGGAGTTTCACTCTTGTTGCCCAGGCTGGAGTGCAATGGCGCAATCTCGGCTCACTGCAACCTCCACCCCCAGGTTCAAGCAATTCTACCGTCTCAGCCTCCCGAGTAGCTGGGATTACAGGCACACACCACCATGCCCAGCTAATTTTTGTATTTTTAGTAGAGACAGGGTTTCACCATGGTGGCCAGGCTGGTCTCAAGCTCCTGACCTCGTGATCCATCCGCCTCGGCCTCCCAAAGTGCTGGGACTACGGGCGTGAGCCACCATGCCTGGCCCCAGTTCTCAATGCTTCTTACTGAGACACCATGATAGTTTCCTAATTTGTCTCCCCACCTCCAGTTTCTTCCTCTCCAATCCTCCTACACACTACTCCCAGATCTGTCTTCATAAAAGTAAAACAATGACACACCCATGTTCAAAAACATTCAGTAGTTCACCACTGCCTACTGTACAAGGACCAAAAACTACTTAGCCCTATATGAAAGGTCTTTGATGATCTACCCCAGCTTTCCTTTCCAGTCCTTTCTCTCACTCCTCTCCCTTAGTTACTCTCTGTCTACTAAAAGAGACTGTTTACTCTCTGTGATACTGTGAAATATATATTTGGTCTTCCCTGCTTCCTGGCATATAAAATCTAAAATCATTAGTGCCTCCTAAGTGATGTCTTTTTGTGTGCTGAGTTGACTAGTTGCTGGCAGCCCCTAAGTAGCTTCCAGATGGTGGCTGGTCACTGGAAAGACCCAGGCAGGATTAGAGGGTTATAATTTTCAGCCCCCCACCCAACCCACACTTCCTGGGAAGAGAGGGGCTGAAGGCTAAGTTAATCACCAATGGCCAATGGTTTAATCAATCATGCCTACATAATGAAGTCTCCATTAAAAACCCAAAAGGACAGGGTTTGGAGAGCTTCTGGATAGCTGAACACGTAGAGGTTCCTGGGGCATAGCATGCCTGCCTGGGGAGGGCACAGAAGCTTCCCGCCACTTCCCATACCTCGCACTATGCATCTCTTCATCCATATCCTTTGTAATACCCTTTACAGTAATCCAGTAAACATGTTTCCTTCAGTCCTGTGAGCTGCTCTAGCAAATTAATTGAACCCAAGGAGGGGGTTGTGGGAACCCGTTTATAGCCAGTTGGTGAGAAGCACAGATAAAGCAACCTGGAGCCTGTGACTGGCATATGAAGGAGAAGGGCGGGCTTAGAGACTGAGTCGTCAACCTTTGGAATCTGATGCTGTCCCTGGGTAGATAGTGTCAGAATTGAACTGAATTAGAGGACACCCAACTGGTGTCCACTGCAGAATTAATTGCTTGCTTATTGGTTGGGAAAAATTCCCACACATTTGGTCACAGAAGTCTTCTGTGTCAATTGTTTTCGAGTGAGGGAATAGAAAAAACACTTTTGAGTTTGGGTTTTTCCACTCAAGACTCTGCTTTGAACGCACTAGGCTTTCAAACTCCACTCCTACTCAGATTATTCCCTCTGCATTGATTGCCCTTCTACCCCATTTCTACATGTTCAAACCATACTAGGCTTTCAAGGCCTGGCTCAAATGCTACTTCCTCAATAAACCCTCCCCTGATGGTATTCCCCCCTTCACTCCTGTCAGCAATACCTCCATTTTTTTTTTTTTTGAGACAGAGACTTGCTCTGTGGCCCAGGCTGGAGTGCAGTGGTGCGATCTAGGCTCACTGCAAGCTCTGCCTCCCAGGTTCATGCCATTCTCCTGCCTCAGCCTCCCAAGTAGCTGGGACTACAAGCACCCGCCACCATGCACGGCTAATTTTTTTGTATTTTTAGTAGAGATGGGGTTTCACCGTGTTAGCCAGGATAGTCTCGATCTCCTGACCCACCCACCTCAGCCTCCCAAAGTACTGGGATTACAGGCGTGAGCCACTGCGCCCGGCCCCATATTCTTTTTTTGAGATGGAGTCCTGCTCTATCACCTCCACCTCCTGGGTTCAAGCGAATCTCGTGCCTTAGCCTCCCGAGTAGCTGGGATTACAGGTACTTGCCACCATGCCTGGTTAATTTTTTTTGTATTATTTTTAGTAGAGATGGGGTTTTGCCATGTTGGCCAGGCTGGTCTTGAACTCCTCACTTCAAGTGACCCACCCACCTCGGCCTCCAAAAGTGCTGGAATTACAGGAGTGAGCCACTGTGCCCATCCAACTCCCATTTTCTTTTATTTCTCTCTTATGGCATTTACCACTTTGCTTCTTTCCCTTACTCATCTTGTTTTGGCTCCAACACTCCCCTTCTGATTCTCTTCTGGCCATAGGACCAGACCATTTAATGCCCCAACATCACTGTTACTTAATATGTAAGACTTAGGTGGCCTAAGAAGGAAAAATAATAGTTTCACTTCTTTACCTAGATAGAAGCACCATGACTCAGTCCTTTTAAAACTCCTGTCCAAGCCCATATCCATGTTCTAAACCCAAACCCAAAAAGTCTCATCTCCCCGAGCTTACCTCCTGATGACCCCTTATCAGGTTGTCCACTGAAGCTGGGAGTGTTAACACGAGGTGGGGCTGAGGCACTAGTTGGGACACCCCGCTTTGGCTTTTTGGCTGGCATCTGTGGATCAATCTTTAACCCCTTCAGGGCCTCAGTAGAAAGATTACGTTTGAGTACAGCTGCCTTTTTGTACCCATCATATAACCCAAAGGCAATGTCTCGATTGGTAGTTGTCCAGGAAATCCGTAAATCTACTAAGTGCAGCTGATGTGTATGAAAGGTAGGATCCCCATCACGAGCAGAGAGCTCCTAAGAAACAGGAAAAGGACTTCAGGGTAGCATGGAAATTGCCCCCAGTGCCACAGAGGCAGTGATAAAAGTTTGTTGAATAAGAAACCTGTTGGCCAGATGCCATGGCTCATGCCCGTAATCCCAGCACTTTGGGAGGCCGAAGTGGGCAAATCACGAGATCAGGAGTTTGGGACCAGCCTGGCCAACCTGGTGAAACCCCATCTCTACTAAAAATACAAAAAATTAGCTGGGCATGGTGGCTGGCACTGGTAATCCCAGCTACTCAGGAAGCTGAGGCAGGAGAATCGCTTGAACCTGGCAGGTGGAGGTTGCAGTGAGCCGAGATCACACCACTGCACTCTAGCCCAGGCGACAGAGAGAGACGCAGTCTCAAAAAAAAAAAAAAATTCACTGGGCGTGGTGGGGAGACAGACCCTGGAGAAGAAAAACTAAGTGGTCTTGGCTTTTATATTATATTACATTCAAACTATACCTACTGTATTTTATTCTTTATCAAAAAACGTTTTCAGAGTTCCTCTAAAATTTTTTTTTTAAGAAATGGAGTCTATTTTGTCCAGACTGGTCTTGAACTCCTGGCTTCAAGCAATCTTCCTGCCTTAGTCTCCCAAGTAGCTGGGACTACGGGCACAAGCCACTGTGCTGGCCCATTTTATTTTTTAAATATATTTATTTATTTTTATTTATTTATTTGAGACAGAATCTGGTTCTGTCTCCCAGGCTGAAGTGCAGTGGTGTGATTTTTTTTTGAGACAGAGTCTCACTCCATCACCCACGCTGGAGTGCAGTGGCATGATCTTGGCTAACTGCAACCTCTGCCTCCCAGGTTCAAGCGATTCTCATGCTTCAGTCTCCAAGTACCTGGGGATTACAGGTATGTGCTACCACACCTGGCTAATTTATTTATTTTTTATTTATTTATTTATTTATTTTTTGGAAACAGAGTCTCACTCTTGTCGTCCAGGCTGAAGGCAATGGTGCGATCTCAGCTGGCTGCAACCTCCACTTCCCGGGTTCAAGCGATTCTCCTGCCTCAGCCTCCCGAGTAGCTCGGATTACAGGCACCTGCCACCACGCCCAGCAAATTTTTGTATTTTTTAGTAAAGATGGGGTTTCACCATATTGGCCAGGCTGGTCTCAAACTCCTGACCTCAAATGATCCGCCCACCTTGGCATCCCAAAGTGCTGGGATTACAGTCGTGAGCCACTATACCTGGCCTAATTTTTGTATTTTTAGTAGAGACAGGGTTTCACCATGTTGGCCAGTCTGGTCTCAAACTCCTGACCTCGACTGATCCATCTGCCTCAGCCTCCCAAAGTGTAGGGATTACAGGTGTGAGCCACTGCACCCAGCCTTAATGGTGCAATCCTGGCTCACTACAACCTCTGCCTCTTGGGCTCAAGCCATCCTCCTACCTCAGCCTCCTAAATAGCTAGGACTACAGGTGCATGCCACCATGCCTGGCTAATTTTTTTGTATTTTTTGTAGAAACACGGTTTCACCATGTTGCCCAGGCTGGTCTGGAACTCTTGAGCTCAAGGGATCCACCCACCCTGGCCTCCCAGAGTGCTGGGATTACAGGCATGAGCCATCACACTTTGCCTATTTATTTCTGAGATGGGGTCTCACTCTGTCACCCAGGCTGGAGAGCAGTGATGCGGTCATGGCTCACTGCAGCCTCGATTTCCCAGACTCCAGCCATCTTCCCACCTCAGCCTCCCGAGTAGCTGGGACCACAGGCACATGCCACCACACCCAGATAATTTTTTGTATTTTTGGTAGAGACAGGGTTTCCTCATGTTGCCCAGACTGGTCTCAAACTCCTGAGCTCAAGCAATCCACCTGCTTCAGCCTCCCAAAGTGTTGGGATTACAGGCATGAGCCACCTGAGCCCAGCCCCCACTGTTTTTTTTTTTTTTTTTTTTTTTTTGTATTTTGGAGACAGCATCTTGCTCTGTCACCCAGCTTGGAGCGCACTGGTGTGACCTCGGCTCTCTGCAACCTCCACCTCCCGGGTTCAAGAGATTCTCCTGCCTCAACCTCCCAAGTAGCTGGAACTACGGTCATGTACCACCATTCCCAGCTAATTCTTTTGTATTTTTAGTAGAGATGGGGGTTTCACCATGTTGGTCAGGCTAGTCTTGAACTCCTGACTTCAAATGATCCATCCGCCTTGGCCTCCCAAAGTGCTGGGATTACAGGCATGAGCCACCGCACCCAGCCCTCCCCCACTGTATTTTAAATGACTTGAGAATTTCAACTTAAAATCCTTCCCTAATTGGGGGAAAGGCAGTACCAATTTTTTTTTCAGTGTTAGGAAAAAATTTTACTCTATTTCCTAAAGAGTAACATACTATTTTTAGGAGAGAAAGAAAAAGTATTTTCAAAAAGAAGGATGCTGATACAGCTAAACCAAATGAGTTTGTCATAAAGTAATGACATACATGCTTGGAATATATGAGAAACCTTACCAGGGACTTAATCTGCAACCTACTCCTATGGACTTTACTGTGTTCCCCCCAAATTCATATGTTGAAGTCCTAACCCCCAATGTAACAGTATGTGGAGATGGGCCTTTGGGAGGTAATGACATAAGGTCACGAGGGTGGGGCACTCATGACAGAATTAGTGCTTTTACAATAAGAGAAACCAGAGCACTCGTGCACACTTGTGCTCTCTCTCCCTCTCTGCCATGTGAGGACAGACACAAGGCAGCCATCTGCAAGCCAGGAAGACAGCCCTCACCAGAACCCAACCATGCGGGCACCGTGATCTTGGACTTCCCAGTAGCCAAAACTCATAAATAAATTTTTGTTGTATAAACCTCCCAGTCTCTGGTATTTTGTTATGGCAGCCCAAGTAGGCTGAGATACCTACTAATATAAATAAGGTAATAAAGAAAGTGTGTCAGGGAGTACCTCCTCAGCTGTGCGATTGCTATGCCGTTGGTAGGTGAGGGAGGACAAGCTCAGCAGGTGGGTCTTTGTTACCAAGGGATCAAGACAGTGATCAGCATTCTCTTCAGTGGGTGAGGCCATCAGGTGAACGGTCACCTGACTTAGGTCACTCACCATCTGGGTAACACTCCAATCAGAGATAAGGCGCCGCATCACTGTGCCTGCTGAGAAAAAGAGGCACACAGAGACCATGCTGACCAGTTCAGAGGATAGTGTAAGACAGAGATGGAGGAGGGGAATGGAACTGAGAAGGGAAAAACAAGGAACAGGATAGGAGAAATGAAAGGAGTCTTTCATTTTACCTTGAGGTATAAGCCGCTGAGTCCCCCGAGTGAAGACATGGCCCTGACTGCACTCAATCTGGATGCCCCGTTGCTGGGCAAATGAGGCCCAATAATGTACCTGGCAACAAGAGAGCATAACATTAACAAAGGATGGCATGAGAGGGATGATTAAGGGACTCAATATGAGAAACAAGAAAACTAGAAGCAGAATAAAGTGAAGATGTCAGCAGGGACATCAGTGCCTTACCTGCAGCTGGGGAAAGAGGGCTGTATAGGAAAGTTGCTTGTAGTGCTGACCAAGTTTCTTCTTGCTGGGTTTCAGGTTATTGAAGAGCTTTCCCCTGCAGATAGGCCTTGTGACACTTGTCCAAGTTGCCCAGAAGTTTTGCATCCAGCGCAGGGTACTACTATATAGCAGAATTCGGGGCTGGGATATTGCTGCAAAGAGAAAGACAGACATTTCCTAGTTATGGATGAAACACAGAGGTAAAGCTAAATCCTTCCCTTGCTGCAGGTTGTAGAGGTTTAAAAATCCAAAATCCAAACAGCACCTAGCCTCACATTCAGCATCCCCAACTCCCTCTTCTTTCAAGGATCTAAGCTCTCTGCTTTCCCCTACTGCTATGGTCTAAATGTTTGCATCTCCCCAAAATTCATGCTGAAATACCCCTAAGGTAATGATGTTAAGAGGTGGGCCTCTGGGAGGTCACTAGATCATGACGGTGGAGCCTTCATGAATAGGATTAGTGCCCTTTTAAAAGTGGTCCAAGGGAGCTCACTGACTCCTTCCACCATATTAGGACACAGCAAAAAGGCACCATCTATGAGGAATGGGCCCTCACTGACACTGAATCTATCAGCTCTTTTTGATCTTCGACTTTCAAGCCTCCAGAACTGTGAGAGATAAACGCTTGTTGTTTATAAGCTACCAAACTTGTGGTATTACTGTTATAGCAGCCAAAAAGGACTAAGACACCAACCCTTTCCCCTGCCAAAAAACAAAAAAAAAGGTCCTAACCTAGATTCTCCCTTGCCCTTCTCCCCTCCCCTCCCCTCCCCAGAGGGTCAAGCTAAAGTCCCCAGCATCCATGCCCGTCCTCCCAAGCCCTTCCTCCCCACTGCCCCAGGCCCAAGCCTCACTTCCACTGTGCCGAGTCAGATCCATCTTGATGGAGAGATTGAGGTTCTCCGAGCGAAAGGCCCGGTAGGAGTCATGAAGCTGGCCCAAGGGCACCTCAGGCAGGAACTCTGGGGCCCGCAGAGTGACACTATGGTGATCATGGGGGTTCCCATGGCACAGCCACTGCAGGTCCAGTGTCATGCAGAGGTCAGGCAGGTGAAGGAAGCAGCAGTCGTCATACCTGCCTCACAATGGAACCCCAGCCCTCAGTGCCCTGGTCACTCACTTCCCCTTGGCTCTTCCCCCTCCCTCCAACCTGAGCCCCTCATCCCATGGAGGACCCTCCCTTCACTCCACTCACTTAGAGGCTGTTCTCACGTTGATATCCAAGTCACCCTTGAACACAAACTGACCAGGTTTCCAATGAAAAGACAGGTGGCTCCACTCCCAGTGCATATTTTCAGTTGTGTTGTATGGATCCTATGACCACCCCCGAGAATTTGGTGAGATATAGGTAAGAAAACCATCCTCATCTCCCAAATCAGCACCTGTCTCTCTTCCCACATGTGCTATACAGACCTCAACCATACCATCCTGATAGGATAAAAGTATCATGACACCCCTCACCTCAGTGGCCAGCTGGTGCAGGTTCGCCTGTTCAATGTCCATGTGCCAGTCTCCATGGAACAGAAGACGGCTCTTGTCCCACCAGGGCAAAGGTGGGCTGGGGTCAGCTGAGGGCTTGGTCAAGAGGTCCACACACTGGCCAATTAGTGTCCAGGCTGGATCCCAGCATGGGCCCCACACCACTGTGTACTGGAATATTTCCGCTGGGGTAGAGGAACAAAGGCTATAACTTGTTCACAACATTACCCCTCTCTTCCTCCTTCACTCCAGAAGGGTCTCAGCTCACCTCCCATTTCACCCATCACAAACGTCCCTCAGCCAAACCAACTGCCTCATCTCTACTCACAGTGAAAGTCATGGTAGAATTTGAGTGGGGGCATGTTCCTCTCCACTGCCACGTTACCCCACGGAAGCCCCAAGTGCAAGATCTGACGCCGACGGGAGCAAGGCTGACCACTCTGCTCGGTGCCCACAAGTCGACCCATTAGCCGCCAGTCACGGATCTCAAACAGGTACCGTGGATAGTCCCTGATCCGAACTGTTACCAGAGGAAGGGTACACACTGGCTACTCAGGGGCAGTCTGAGCACTCTCGGGCCTATCTTTTTCCTCACCACTATTTTACCCATCTATATTTACAAAGTCAATTGAGAGAACAAGGGCAGGCAGTTGACACAGCAAGCTGAAAAATGACAGTGACCCTGGAGCAGGTGGTTAAGGGCATAGCACTGAGATCCAAGAGACACAATAACCTTAAAGATGACTGTGTTAGCTTTCCCTTTATGTTAGCCAAGCAATTTCACGGTGAAATTCAGGAACAAAGAAAGGGAAGGGAAGCCCACCCATCCCACTCCACCCACCCAAAACGGCACAGTTCCCAATATAACCTAGTTCCTCTGAAATCACTGAGAGCTCCCCAGAGCTCAGCGGGCAAACACGGGGTCTGCAAATAAAGGAAACACTACTTACCCAGAAAGCTCTTGACATTGCACTTGAGCATTCGACACCACTGAATGACAAGATCTAATCCCTCAGGGGGAAAAGGGCTGCCTGGATCAAGCTCTTGAACCTGTTCTACCACATGCTCAGGACCATGGAAGGAGGCATCTGCCAGAGCTACCAGTTCTAGCCCTGCTAAGCTCCAAGTAAGCAGTGCCCGGCGCATGGGTGTGTTGCCATAGAGACGACGGGAACGCTGGATGTAGATTTCAATGTTTTTGCGTTCCAAAGAGGCATAGAGCTCCTCAATTTTGCGGGCAGGCAACAACTCCCCATGCTGCTTCCGAAGGGCGGCCACTTTAGCATCCAGTAGCTGTAGTCTTTTGGCACTCTCCTTACTTTCATCCTTCATCAGCTCGTAGTTATCATGAAGTTTCACCTCAAAAACATCATCCAAGAAAACCCATGAGAAGTGCTCAACCTTTAAGAGTAGATCAGGTGGGAGTGGGACAGGGCTTGGAGAGGCCCAAGCACGAGTCCCTTGATGTAGTCCCTTCAGCCACTTCTGAACTCCCACAGCCTCATCTAGAGTTCGAGAAAAGTCATACTGATAAGGAAACTCCACCGAGACTGAGCCGAAAGAGAGGAGCCAAACACGGTTCCGGAGGGTCTGCAGCGCAGGGAAGGGGTTCCGGTGGAGGATCATCTCTTCCAGCTCAGGTAGCAGCTGCACCTCCACCTCCTTGAAGTTGAAGATACTATTGCCATCAAAGCCAGCAGCCAGCTCTGGACAGTATGCCTGCAGGGAACCTCCATGCCGGCTCAGTGACACACTCTCTGCAGCCAGGGTAATGAACTTGTCCTCAGCTACAAAAGCTGTGAGCTTGGCTGTGCTCACCTCCAGGGTTAGGTTTAGCAGCCGCTTTGGGGGTAATGGCTCAGGGGCACGGCCTTCTAGCTCAGAAGTAGTTCCTGAAGTCTCTAGTGCAAGGGATGGTACAGTCTCAGGAAACACAGTGGCTCTTAGTAGGTCTCGGCACTGTAGAGTGGCCAGGACATGCTGGTACAGGTACATGTGATCTGGGGGGCTCCAAAGTAAGGTCAGCCCTGCACCACACTGAACCTTTAGGGAGCAGAAGAAAAGGATCTGTCAATTACCATGTCACAAAACAGTAGAGATGGCAAGGATTATGACACATGCACACCTGGCTCAAGAACCATCTCCACCCAGAAGTTGTTCCTGAGTAATCACATTAATTACTGCCTTGCTTTGTTCCTGTTAGCACTAATGTGCTGAGCTGACAGTTGATAGTGTCTGACATTTAAGAGCACTTATACTTTTTAAGTTCTCTTCAACTGGATTCTAAATTGTCTGAAAATAGGGGCCATGTGTCTTAATTCTTTGGTATCTACCATAGTATACTCAGTATAGACAGCAGGTACTCAATAAATCATCTGGCTTCATGTTTCTGCTTATGAGTTACCTTTCTATCAGCAACTACACTGTCTAGTAACCACTGCAACAGTCAACTTGAAAAGGTTTCATGAGTTGATTGCATCAATTTAATTCTCAAAATATAGCATAATAAAGTACTGAGCACACAAGTCAATATGGCAGCTGACTTACGTAAAAGTATGCCTCAAGGAGAGAGTAGTGTCTTTGTCAGCTTCTGAATAGCTAAGTGGACAGAGAAAAGTAAAATTCCAGGACATAAAATTCTCAAGTTCTAGTCTCTAAAAAGGAAACTCTTCAGTTTCCAAAGGACGGTGAAGTCTGACAAGGAGGAACTAACGCCCCACCCTCCTCCTAAGAGGGTCCCATGTCCATTTGTTACCCTGAGGATAAAGATACTGGAAAGCCTCTCAAAACCTGCCAGTGCCTCTATCTTCTGACTCCTTCCAGTCTTTTAATGGGCCGAGGGCTTCAGCAAAATAACACCAGATCATTCTTTTTAAAAAGCCCCTTATTTTTCAGAGATGCATAGTGAAATATTTATAGTTGAAATTATATATGTCTGATACGTACTTACCTACTTCAAAATAATCCCAGAGCCTGAGGCAGGGGAAATTGGTGACAGTATAATTAAAAGAAGTTGGTCATGAATTGGTAATTATTGAATCTTGGTATACAAAAGCTTATAAATTCTCTCTAGTTTTGTATGTATTTTAAATTCCACAAAAAGTTAAAAACATACGAGCTAGAAAAAATAAAGAAGATCAGGTGTCATATTTCTCATGAAACCAGTTTCACAACATGAGTTAAAAAGAGAGGCTGGGCGTGGTGGCTCACACCTGTAATCCCAGCACTTTGGGAGGCCAAGATAGGAGGACTGCTTGAGCCCAGTAGTTTAAGACCAGTCTGGGCAACATGTGACACTCTGTTTTGGGAAAAGACAAGAAAAAAAAAAAAAAAGACAGAGAAAGGCTCTAAGCTGAGGAAAAAACCAGCCTGGCCCCACCTCTCCACAGGAACATTACCTCCAGAGAGCGGATGCTGCTGTGATAGGTGATGGAGAGCATGGAAAGGCTGAGCACTGGGGTAGGGATGTCAGGGGCCTTGCAACAGGGTTGCATCTTCTCCGTGACTGATTTCACCAGCGCTAACACAAGTCCTTGAATCCCCACAGTGGACGTCTCTGCACTGCCCAGGATAGTTAGGGTGTCCAGTCGTACCTCTGAAGCACCTAACAACCAGAAACCATGTCAGCCTTGGTTCCCGGCTCTCAAAGGGCAACAATAGTCCTCACTCGCCTTTCTCACTTATTCCCTTAACTATCTTTATTCCTCATGCCTCCCTAAGTTCATTTCTTAGGTTTTAAGTAAACTTTCCCTTTCCCATCTTAACCTAACTAGATTCGGCAGAATCAAAGTTGTTCCTTAACTCCTACAAATTGCACAGAGACATACCATTTACTCTCTAGAACTAAACACACAAGGAAATAAAAAGTTATATGGATCTCTCTTGACTAGATCAAGGCTTTTTCTTATATGTCTTGCTTAGTACTTGCCTTTCATAAGCCCTTAAGAAATACCAAGAAGTCTAATATTTATGCAAGACTTTCAAGCATCTCGTGCCTCTAATTTAGAAAAATTCCAGATAATCAGCTTCATTAAATGAGGAGCAGACTAAACCAACATAATCTGCTAAGGTTACACACTACACACTTCAGTATATTTATTTACTTATTTTATTTTATTTTTTGGAGACAGAGTCTCGCTCGTTTGCCCAGGCTCGAGTGCAGTGGCACCATCTCAGCTCACTGCAAACTCTGCCTCCTGGGTTGAAGTGATTCTCCTGCCTCAGTCTCCCAAGTAGCACACTTCAGTATAGACTCCTTGTCCCACTTACCAACCAAGGCAGAAAGGGTAAACAAGTTCATGTCTTCGACCTTCAAGTCCACCTTCCACAGTAATGACACAGATTCCCCAAATGAAGAGTGCCTAGAGACAGCTGACTTCCCAGATTGTGGACCCATCAGGGATAAGATACGAGACAGACATTGGGCACAGGTATCTGATGCTTCCACCTGAAGTCCTCGAATGGTACAATCAAGAAAAAGGGTATCTGACTGGGTGCTGGACAGGCCCAGAGGCTGGTTATAGCTACCCTAGAGAAGAAGCAGACGGATCCCATTAGAAGTATGCAGGCGCACAGTTTTATAATGCCCTAATGCACTTCCTGCTGCATTAGGATGCTCAGCGCTCTGACGCATGACAGGATGAGGAAAGCTGTGCAGGCCCCTATTCACCAAAGCCCTCACCTACCTGTAGTGTGAAGGAGTCCAGAACAAGTGCCTCACCCCAAACATGCATATTGGGTGGGTGTGGCGCCCGCTGAATGTGGGAGTCACTGCCCACACGCCAGCAGAGGTGGTCCACAGTTAGGACGCCCCGCTGATGGATGCTTTGTGGCCTGAGGTGCTGGTAATCTGAACAAAGGTGAGAAAGAGGGATTGCATGGAGCCACTGTGGCCATCAATTGGGCCTAGCTCCACTAACGGACAGATTCTTGTTCCTATTCCATCTGAGAGCCTTACCCAGAGAGATAGAATTGAATCCCAAGGCAAAAGGTGGTGTATCTCCAAGTTGAATGGAAATGTTGACATTGGAGATGGAGGTGCTAAAGATGATGGGAGCCAGGATTTGGGGGAAGGTTCTGCATAGGAACAAGACATCATTGTTTGGTAAGAAAAGAACTGCAGCTTCCTATCATGGAACAGTTTCTGAAGCTCTCACAATCAGAGTGAGAATTCAGAGTTTTATTGTGATTCTTAGGACGAGACACACCTAGAAGATAAAAGGCTGAACTCATCAGTTTATTGCTACTCTTAATGGTAATCTGCAGGAACCCCAAAAGGATATTAGGTTGACTCATATAAAATTATCATTTTCATAGGCCAAATACAATGAACACCAGCAATACTATACGCTTGAACCTAAAATAACCAAGAAGCATCACTTCTAAACCATAACCTTAAGTTCTCTGTGCAGCACAATAGAAGCACTACACAAAGACATGACTGCCACCTTACAATCAAAGGCAGGCAAGACAAAGACATTCCTTATCATTTAAGTTCAGTTCAACAAACATTTATTTTGTATAAAACACTACACTGAGCACCGAGGACATAAAAACAAAGAGGACAGCATTCTGCTATCAAGGAGTCTAGTCTAATGGGAAAGATATATAAAACAGGATTGCTGTTGAGACTCGGATTTGAGGAGGTCAAACAACCAAATACATATTTAACACAGGATGCCAATTTGGACCAAAAGAATCCCAGAGAATCCAACTGACAAGAAGGTGGCTGAAAAAGATCAGACTGACCTTTTTTTCCTTTGCTTTAGAACAGGTGAACTAGACCCTTGGGTTTCCAGTGCTAGCAGGTGCAGCCAGTGAGAGAATTCCTGGTGCCGGTAGTGAATGATGCAAGTGTTCAGAACTAGGGAGGCTGAGAGGTCAATGGTGGTCACCTGAAATAAGAAGACCAGAACTGTGGGTTTGGGTTTTATTTCACAAACTCAAAACGAAATAATGTAGCGGGAGAATAGAGAAAGGAACAATTCTTGGTACCACAATCATCACACCTGCACACTAGCCTTGAGGGAGTTGAGGCAGACAATGCGTTGGCGACTCTGGGACAACAACAACCCATCTGTAAGAGGCCAGAGGACAGATCAGAGGAGAGCACTGGAAGGGCAAGAGGTAAAACTGGGAGAGGGTCAGAAGCCGGCAAAGGGATCAACAGACTGTCATCAAAACTTGTGAGCTGGGGCTATTTTCTCTCAGTATGTTCCCTCCTTCCACTCCCCAGTTACACTGAGATTAGATTAAGGAGACCATATGGGGCATGAGCAAAGAGAGTATCTAGTCCTCCCATTCTCGCTCAGTACCAGTACCCCGACCCATGAACCTTCCAGCAGCAGTTCAGTGCTCATCTGTGCCATATCAGAGTTTGCTGTGAAGCTTCGAAGGGGCAGCTGATCCTCATCACGGTGGTACAGGAACTGCAGCAGCTTCAGAGTCCAAGTCAGGTGCCTGGACCGAGACAGATTCCAGCTCAGGAAGATGTGGAATGCCATTCCTACTTCTTTTACTTTTATTTTTTAAAAGTAATTATTTTTTGGCCAGGCGCAGTGGCTCACTCTTGTAATCCCAGCCCTTTGGGAGGCCGAGGCAGGGGGATCACGAGGTCAGGAGATCGAGACCATCCTGGCCAACACAGTGAAACCCTGCCTCTACTAAAATACAAAAAATTAGCCGGGCGTGGTGGCACGTGCCTATAATCCCAGCTATTCGGGAGGCTGAGGCAGGAGAATCGCTTGAACCTGGGAGGCAGAGGTTGTGGTGAGCCAAGATCGCACCACTGAACTCCAGCCTGGGCAACAGAGCAAGACTCCGTCTCAAAAATAATAATAATTTTTTTAATTTTTCCCACACTACATGGATGTAACCATTTCTACTTCCTTTCTCCCCGTAGACAAGCTCAGCAAATACTAGGCTGGTTACAGAGATACCAACATACAGCTCCCACTATCACTCTCCCATCTTCTGTGTCAGGAGAGACCTCACCTCTTTTGACTATTCATGGACAATACCACGCTTGTGTTCTCCATCTTAACCTTGACCTGGTCTGGCAGCTGCTGGAGAAGGAATAGGCCAGGCAGAGTTGGCTCAACTAAGTTTTCTGTCACCTCTGAAAATATGAATGAATAACGTAAGAACCATCAATTCTTAACACTCCCAGTTCTCCCGAAATGCCCTGGCCTCTATGGTCAAATCCTCCCACATAAAGTAGGCTAAGCAAATGCCTAAGCTGGATGGACCATAAGGCGAATGCCCCAGAGATCCAGGCACCTGCAGTACTTCTTTCTCCAGTCTCTAAAAACCTAAAGAGTACAAGGAGCAGGTTGGTAAATGAAAAGAATGTGGACCTTAGGGCCAAATAATTTAAACATCATTTTTACTACTGACTGCCTGTATGACTTCAGTCAAGTTACCTAGCTAACCTTCCTAGGCTTCAGTTTCCTTATTTGTGAAATGCTGAGGATTTAGTTAGAGAATATACAGTCATCCTTTGGTATCCTTGGAGCTTTGGTTCCAGGACCCCCTGCAGATACCAAAGTCCGCACATACTCAAGTCCAGCAGTTGTCCCTGTGGGAACTCATGTATACAAAAAGTCAGCCCTCCATATTGGTGAGTTTCATATCCTGCAAATATTGGCATTTTCCATCCACACTTGCTTGTGGATGCGGAACACACAGATATGGAGAGCCAACTGTATTTATTGAAAAAAATCCACATAAGTGGATCCGCACAGCTCAAACCTGTGTTGTTCAGTGGTCAACTGTATATAAAACACATAGTACAAGGCCAGGCATGGTGGCTCACGCCTGTAATCCCAGCACTTTGGGAGGCCAAGGCTGGCGGATCACGAGGTCAGGAGATCGAGACCATCCTGGCTAACACGGCGAAATCCCGTCTCTACTAAAAATACAAAAATTAGCCAGGCATGGTGGCGGATGACTGTAATCCCAGCTACTCAGGAGGCTGAGGCAGGAGAATCACTTGAACCCAGAAGGTTAAAGGTTGCAGTGAGCCGAGATCACGCCATTGCACTCCAGCCTGGGTGACAGAGCAAGACTCCATCTTTTTTTTTAAAAAAAAAGGAAAAAAAAAAAACCCATAGTACAGGTCTAACTCATGATAGGTGCCCACTCAATGCTGGTTCTGCCACTCAGCACAAGCAAATGCCCTATTTCCTCTAACTATCCTTAGGGTCAAAGTCCATGGTGACTAGTGAATCACATCTAAATAAGCAGTGAGACCACTATTTTTTCTACTTCCAAAACAAACCCTGAGAACAAGGCAGCCAAGAAGCTCAATCACTGGGGCTTTACCTGAACAGGGAACAGGCTTAGATGCTAGGCTTGGGCCCTGGCACAGCAGTTGGCTCTGGAAGAGGCCCTCATGCAGTTCAGCATGGAGTGTCCACACATCCACAGTGATAGCAGTGAGATGCCGACTGCTAATGCCCACCTTTAGACACAGGTCCAGGGCCAGTGAAAGCTCCACTAGGCAGGTGTCCTCCTGTGGGGATGATAAGCCTCTAAGGTGTATGTAAGAAAGTTTGGAAGTTTTAGGTCAAAATGTGGTGATCTGGAACACTGGGTACTGACTTGAGGGAACCCCCTAAGGTCAAAGAACCTAGGATGTAAGCCCTAAGCTCCTTCACACTTTACGCCCAGGAGGAAATGAGGCATCTGAATGATCATGGCATACTTACCAGCTGACCACTCTTTAGAACTTTGCTGTTGATCTTACATAAGCTCACCTCACAGATTAGCCTGGGAAAGGAAAAAAATTAAGAGCACTTGGCCTTGCCGGGCGCGGTGGCTCACGCCTGTAACCCCAGCACTTTGGGAGGCCAAGGTGGGAGGATCATGAGGTCAGGAGATCAAGACCATCCTGACTAACACGGTGAAACCTCATCTCTACTAAAAATACAAAAAATTAGCCAGGCGCGGTGGCGGCCGCCTGTAGTCCCAGCTACTCGGGAGGCTGAGGCAGGAGAATGGTCTGAACCCAGGAGGCGGAGCTTGCAGTGAGCCAAGACCGCACCACTGCACTCCAGCCTAGGCAACAGAGCAAGACTCTGTCTCAAAAAAAAAATTTAAAAAAAAGAGAACTTGGTCCCTTTCCTCACCACTTACCTCCAGTCAAGCTCTGGTGGCTAGAAGGGACAAGGCAATTGGAAATGTCTAATCTTAGCATCTCCTCCAACTGCACAGAATGAGAACTTAACACCTTGATAAGGAGGCCCTGAAGCAACTCTGAGGCAAGAATAGGACGGCTAGATCCTCTGCTCCCCAGTGCTTACCTTTTCCCATCACTATCCAAAAGAAATCTGCTTCTACTGATCTGAATATGCCATAAGGACTCAGAGGTATCCACCTTGAGAACCATGATGTTTATAGCATCTACATGAATGGAGAATAGCTGGAAGGAAGAAGCAAGGATGAACAATAATTAATGTTAAGGAACTGCCCTTCCTTTCCAGATGAGAAAGAGGGGCAGCTCTTAGCATTATGCCCTAAAAACAGAAAAATCTACCCATAACTCCAAAGCCAACCATGCCAAAGTACAGTCCAGGATAGCAGGAGAAGTTGTCTCACTTGGCAGAAGATCTTCAATAAGGATGGGCTGAAGGACAGTTCCTTTTGATCCACCCCAGCGCTCTGGGAGAATGGGGCAGACAGGTCAGAAACTTTCTGTAGGTCCGTTCTGATACGCACTTCTCCAAAGCACAATGCCACATAGTGTCTGCCCAGAAGAGAAATCTCACTGCCACCAGGTCCATCCCTCCCATAGCAGTCTATTCCCCACCCTCACATTCACTTTCTCATCCTTCCTAGAAATATAGCTCAAATCACAGAGATTAGTTTCATAGCAGTTATCAATATCTTCCTCACAACACAATGGCACCCAGGCTAACAGGAAGACTTCAGCAACAACCTCCCTTCCTCCTTGGATTGTGATGCCTCTGCAGAAGAGTGTCACTCTGCAAACACCAACTCCAAAGTACTCTTCTAGGGGAGAAGTGAGAATATAGGGTACTCACGGAAGATCATGGCTAAGGAGTTTGCTGGAAATCCACAGGTTATCAATTTCCTAAAACAGTGAGGGAGAAAGCTCTGTGTGCTAGCTGCTAAATAAGCCACGAGCAGCTTGACAAGCCAGGAAATGTTCTGGATTATTAGAATTTCTCTTTCATAGCCATGTTGCCTTGAATCCCATCTTAAATTAGAACAGTAAAATCTTCGATTTCCTGTTATCTTTCTTCTGTATCTTTGTTATGTGCCCTGGACACTCTGTGTCCTACAAACATTTTTAACTGAACAACTTGCAGCGTTCTCCAACTAGCTCTAAGATCATCTTGGCAAAGAAATGGCAAGGCTGGGATTAACTAGAAAAGCCACCAGGATTTCTATTTTTAAAAAAAGGAAATTAAGAGTTTAAATTCAATTGGATCAACCCTACACACATATCCAGAGTTTCCCAGAACTCACCACTGTTTGCTGGTGTTGCTGAAACTTAAGACTGACATTCTGGATCCAAAAAAAGCGGAAGGAGCCAATCTTTAGCTCCGCCTGCAGCTTCCGCTGACACCACTTGGTGGCCAACCGGACCACAAGCCACCTGCAGAAAAATTCCTGTTAATTCATAGGACCTTTTTCCAATGATGGTTTCCCTCACCCCTTGCTGGTCTTTCAAAGCCTTGCAAAAGGTCGTTCCTGAAACTGGATCTGAGCAACTCTCCTTTCTTCCAAAGCACCACTCTGTCATATACATTCAGCCACGCTGATCAAGATCCTAGCTCCCGACTGACCCCTCCACCCAGATGAAACCAGAAACTGCACCCTCTAAGTTGAAGACAAAAACAAAATCCCTCAAATTGTTATGAATCCCAGAGGCAGAGAGAGAAGACCCCAGCAAGAGTCAAAGCGGAGGCGGCTCTGTCACATGTGCCATCACACTCCCCAGAGGGTCTGTCTGTCTCCTGCTCCCACCCTCCAGACAGGTATCCACGAGAAGGCACTTTGAGGTCAGACCCGGCAGCTCGAATGCTGTTCTCCCCAGACCGATGCTGCAGGTGCCCATCGCGCTTGGCGAAAGGGACATGCAGGGGTGGGTGGAGGGGGAAAGGGAAGCCACTGAACCAGGCCCCTTCCTCACACTCCTATTCAGTTCCTGGCCTCAGCATTTCCTCAGACCCCGCCCGCTTCCTCAGTCTCCCCAACTCGCAGCCCATCCCTGGGAGCTCGGGCCACGCGCCTCCTCACGATCCCTCCCCTCGCCGCGCGCCCCCTCCCTCCACCCTACCCACTCTGCCTCACGCGCCTCAGTAAGGCGCGCGCCCCCTCCTCAGTCTTTCTTCCTCCTCTCCGCCCCCTCCCTCCCGCCGCCGCCGCCGCCGCCGGCGCGGCCGGGAACCCTCACCGGCCTAGAAAGAGGGCGCTAAGCGCAACTAGCAGCAAGACCAACAGCGCGGAGAAGAACAGAGGCATTTAGGTCCGGGTCCGGCCCGGCTTGGCCCCGGCCCCCGCCATGCCGGGCCCCGACGCCGGATCCGCGCAGCACCGCCGCGGGCCGACCAGCTGCGCGCGCAGGAGCAACGCTGAGCGAGGACGCGCTGGTGCGCACACGAGCCCCGCCTTCCGCAGCCCGCCAGCCAACCAACGGCCTCCCACCCCAGTCCCGCCCTGTCCTACGACGCTGCAGGGCCGACGGGCTGCGTGCGCGAGGAGCGGGCGTGGTTCCGGGAGGAGGGCGAGGGGGAGCGGACCAAGAGCTGAAACACGCCCCGGGCGCACACCACGGTGCCCGGAACCGCGGGGCTCGGGGACCCGCGGGGGTCGGAGTCCGGGCCCACTACCTGGGCTGGCGGTGGACCTGGCTGACTCATTTCGGTCCGGGGAGCTCACTTTGAGGGGAGTTGGAGTCCGCCTAGCCACTTAGGCCTGGACTCAGGGTTCTGCGGAAGTTACACCCCTGGTCAGACGTGGTAGCACTCCCATCTTATTCAAGATCCTGTTTGAAAATTACTGAGGCAGAAACTAGGAGGTAATTAAAAGGCCTCAAAAATCTCGCCTCATTCCATCCACAGAGGAAACTAATGAGGTTTTGTTTTTTTTTTCTTTGAGACAAGGACTCGCTACGTTGCCCAGTCTGGTCTCGAACTCCTGCAGGCTCAAGGGATCCTCCTGCCTCAGCCTCCTGAGTAGCTTGGACTAAAGACGCGTGTCACGGTTCCTGGCCAATGAGTTTTTACTTCATTTACTGTTTGAACACTGTTCTGGTCCATCTACTTATGGCACGAACTGGGCCCTGATGGAGGAGAGGAGGAGATACTGCAGAAGTAGTGAATATTGTTCTTGCCCTTTAGCAAAAAATAGTTTATCTGGGAAGCAAACATAATTACATAAAGTAGACAATACATAGTCAGTTTTGCCTGCTTCCTTCTGTGTAGTTTATCTGGGAAGCAAACATAATTACATAAAATAGACAATACATAGTTTTGCCTGCTTCCTTCTCTGTAAAATGAGAGAACAGGACAAAGGTCCCTCAGCGTTACTGTGCTAAGGATCAGTATCTGAATGATGATCTACTGATACAGCACAAGCTAAGGAAATCCTGACGGTTTCAAAATAAGTATTATGGAGGAGGTCATGTCTCTTTTCATACCCCTTCGCTCCCACGTCCTAATCTCCATATATATCCTTCAAGATTTTACTCAGAGCCTCTCTTTTTGGCTCCCTCAGATAAAACACCATTTCATCTTTCACCTGTGTGTTGCCCGAAGTTGCTTTCACTCCTCTGATTGTTTCCTCCCTTATCTATTCCTCTCTTCAGTGATTTCACATCTCCCCAAGAGCTCCAGCGCTGCTGTTTCAAGGTCATACTTACCTCTCAAGCACTGTATTTGCGTCATCTTCCTCGTCATCTGCAGCCTTCCCCCAGGGTATGTCCTCCGAATGCTCTGGGAAGGCCCAATTCACTGAAAACCTCTGTCCAAGTCAAGGAGGGGTGCCGTGCAACACGTATCCCTACTCTGGTTCATCTTATCCAATCTGTTTATTGAACCAAGATTCCTGTCACTTCCTTCCTTCTCCCTTGACTATTACCGGCCCTACTCCCAGCCATCTCATAGCCTAAAATGTTGATTTTATGATTTGTCTATTTCTTTCTGGAGAGATCTTAAGGGATCAACACAAGTGAAGTGGAATAAAGGCAGGGAGTCGGGGGTGGGGGGTGGTTGAGGCAACAGTGGGGCTCAACTAATTCATGGCCTCCATTTATTGAGACCACAAGCCCTTGTAAAAGAGACCAAGTCTTTTAACGTCACGGGCCATGTTTGGCACAGAAATGGTGTCTCTAAATGTTCAACATTAACAAAACAAATAGAAAAAAAAAGAACAAAACCCGGAAGTTTCTAAAAATAAAAAAAGCCTGCTAGTCACTGAAATTCCAGCAGATGGCAGCCATCTCCGTTCACCAATACCATGATTGGAAGCTACAGGAGCAAATTTTCTGCAATTGACACAGGAAAGGAGGAAATCAGGTAGGCAGAGGACAAAAGTAGTTTTCTATCCACCTTTTTAGAGAGATATATCTACGTTTGTCCAAAAAACAGGATTTGTTTTCCAAAAGCTAAACACAATCGTAGTGCACTTAAAAAAACCTGAGTCAGAAACAGCTGGATTCCTATTCCAAAATGATTTATTAGTTTTAAGAATTCAGGCCGGGCACGGTGGCTCACACCTGTTTTCCCAGCACTTTGGGAGGCCAAGGTGGGCGGATCACAAAAGGTCAGGAGTTCAAGACCAGCCTGGCCAATATGGTGAAACCCCATCTCTACTAAAAATACAAAAATTAGTCAGGTGTGGTGGCGGGTGCCTGTAGTCCCAGCTACTCAGGAGGCTGAGGCAGGGGAATCACTTGAACCTGGGAGGCGGAGGTTGCAGTGAGCCGAGATTGCACCACTGCACTCCAGTCTGGGCGACAGAGTGAGACTCCATCTTAAAAAAAAAAAAAAAAGAATTCAGGCAGTAGGCCAGGCATGGTGGCTCACTCCTGTAATCCCCAGCACTTTGGGAAGACACAGCATAAGGATCACTTGAGCCCAGGAGTTCCAGACCAGCCTGGGTAACATAGTGAGACCTCATCTCTACGATAAATCAAAAACTGACACAGGAGGATCAACTTGAGCCCAGGAGGTCAAGGCTGTAATAAGCCATGATTGTGCCCCTCCCACCTAGGTGACAGAGCAAAGAACTTGTCTCAAAAAAAAAAAAAAAAAAGAATTCAGGCAGTTACTCAACTGCTGCACTGATAAAAATGCAGTATTACCCTATATGAATTCTGTGAAGATTAAATGAGGTAAGATCTATAGGCCGGGTGCGGTGGCTCACGCCTGTAATCTCAGCACTTTGGGAGGCTGAGGCGGGCGGATCATGAGGTCAGGAGATCGAGACCATCCTAGTTAATACAGTGAAACCCTGTCTCTACTAAAAATACAAAAAAATTACCCTGGCGTGGTGGCGGGTGCCTGTAGCACCGGCTACTTGGGAGGCTGAGGCAGGAGGATGGTTGTGAACCCAGGAGGTGGAACTTGCAGTGAGCCGAGATCGCGCCACTGCACTCCAGCCTGGGCGACAGACCGAGACTCTGTCTAAAAAACAATAAATAAAAAAAAAGATCTATAATATGGTACCTAGTATTTAGCAGTGAATAAATACTGGTTCGTTCTTTCTACCCCTACACCTTTTTCTCATCTGCAGTAACAGATACAAAGCAAACATTTCACTGGCTATTTATTATGCTGTATTCTCTGAGAGTTTTTAGCTATAATTAGTCAAAGATCTATTAAAGATGAGATGCCTGGAGAGAAGTCAAAGTAGAGGGAGAAAAGGTTTGTATGCAAGAAAAGCTCTTAAAAGGGCCCACATTGGAGCTTCATAGCGTCTCCAAAGAGTCTTAGGACTCAAAGGATTAAGCAGCTAATGAAATAGCACACCTAATAAATAACAACACAGTGACTCATAATAAAATTATTGTTTTTATCATTTTGGAGAGAGAAAATAGGGGGAAAATCACATACATTAACAGTCCATGATGCCAAGCTCCTGAAGAGTAAAAGTTTCCCAGCTAAGAGGGATGTTTCCCTCAGTTTGTTTTATCAGTACTAATAAAAAGCATCTGCCCCTTTACCAGCAAGTCCTCTACTCAGAAAGAACTGACCCACGCAAGTCTGGGAGAGTGACTAGTTCAAATGTGCAGGGCTGAAGCTTCCAAACACAGCCACTATTTTCTGTTGTATATCTTCATCTCAATGGTGACATGGCCACTGCCCAAGGAACTTGTGGCAGGGATCCCAAGGTGAGGCAGCAACAGATGTCTGTGAACATTGTGCGTTAACAGTGGCTCAGAGCCTCTAGATTCACAGCTCTGCATGGTGGGCTTCTGCCTTCAACAACTCACTGGGCTTCATGAAGATGCCTTCCATGGCTTTCCAGTAGTTGTTCTGACTTGGCTGGGCCATGCCATGCACCTCTTTTTGCCCACTGATAGGTCGACCATATTGTTCTCCTGTGACAGACAGCAGTACCTCAGTGGAAGAGTGTTTGAACCGCACCTCACCATCTCTCACCCAGTAGGGTCCATTACAGAGCACTGTCCAGTCATCCAGATAATCACCTTCACCTTCCTCACCAAAAGCACTCACTTCCTAGAAAATACAGAAGGTAGTAACATCAGCATGGCTGACAAGGGCTTGAAAAGGGGTGGGAGGCAATGGGAAGAAAAAGAAGGCCACCTTGAAGTAAAAAATCAGAGGGGCCAGGCTTATGCCTGTAATCCTACCACTTTGGGAAGCTGAGCAGGGCAGATCACTTGAGCCCAAGAGTTTGAGACCAGCCTGGGCAACATGGTGAAACGCTATCCCTAAAAAAAATACAAAAGAAATTAGCTGAGGTCAGGAGTTCAAGACCAGCCTGACCGACATGGAGAAACCCTGTCTCTACTAAAAATACAAAATTAGCTGGGTGTGGTGGCACATGCCTGTAATCCCAGCTACTCGGGAGGCTGAGGCAGGAGAATCGCTTGAACCCGGGAGGCGGAGGTTGCGGTGAGCCGAGATCACACCATTGCACTCCAGCCTGGGCAACAAGAGCAAAACTCTGTCTCAAAAAAAAAAAAAGAAAAAAAAAAAAGAAATTAGCTGGGCATGGTGGCACATGCCTATGGTACCCAGCTACTACAGCTATCACCTAAGTCCAGGGGATCAAGGCTGCAATGAGCTGTGATCATACCACTGCACTCCAGCTTGGATTACAGAGCAAGACCCCATCTCAAAAAAAAAAAAAAAATTCAGCTGCTTTCCAGTGTTGTTATTTTATTTATTTATTTATTTATTTATTTTGAGACAGAGTATCGCTCTTGTTGCCCAGGCTGGAGTGCAATGGCGCAATCTCGGCTCACCACAACCTCCGCCTCCCAGGTTCAAGTGATTTTCCTGCCTCAGCCTCCCTAGTAGCTGGGATTACAGGCATGTGCCACCATGCCCGGCTAATTTTGTATTTTTAGTAGAGACAGGGTTTCTCCATGTTGGTCAGGCTGGTTTCGAATTCCCAACCTCAGGTGATCCTCCCGCCTCAGCCTCCCAAAGTGCTGGGATTACAGGCATGAGCCACCGTGCCCGGCCACTCCAGTGTTGTTTAAACCATGAACCATGGAAAAAGACGAAAGACATAAAGGACATAGGAGGAAAAAAATTCATTGCTATAAGATTATGGTCCATGGTTCTTATCTGAGTCATGGCATCAAAAAGAAAGGAAAAAAAAAAGATTATGGTCCAAACACTTATTTTGCAATTAATACTATAATTGCCTTATATTTTCTATTACAGTGTTAAAACAGAATTTCTTTTTTTTTTCTTTTTAAGAGTTGGGATTGTGGCCAGGTACGGTAGCTCATGCCTGTAATCCCAGTAATTTGGGAGGGCGAGGCGGGCAGATCGCCTGAGGTCAGGAGTTCAAGACCAGCCTGGCCAACATGGTAAAACCCCATCTCTACTAAAAATACAAAAATTAGCCAGGTGTGGTGGCAGGCGCCTGTAATCCCAGCTATTCGGGAGGCTGAAGCAGGAGAATCGCTTGAACCTGGGAGGCGGAGGTTGCCGTGAGCCGAAGGTTGCAGTGAGCCGAGATTGCACCACTGGACTCCAGCCTGGATGACAAGAGTGAGACTTTGTCTCAAAAAAAAAAAAAAAAAAAAAAAAAAAACAGTTAGGGTATCTTGCTCTGTTGCCCAGGCTGGAGTGCAGTGCCTCAAGTGGTCTTATGGCCTCACCTCCTGAGTAGCTAAGACAACAGGCATATACCACCACACCCAGGTAATTAAAAGTTTTTTGGTAGGCAACTGTGTTGCCTTGGCTGGCCTCTAACTCCTGGACTTAAACGATTCTCCCCACTTGGTCTTTTAGGGTGCTGGGATTACAGGTGTGAGCCACCGTGCTGGCTTTAAAATACTTTACTTTTTTGAGACAGCATCTCGCTCTGTCGCCCAGGCTGGAGTGCAATGGCACAATCTCGGCTCTCTGCAACCTCCACCTCTTGGGTTCTCATGCCTCAGCCTCCAGAATAGCTGGGATTACAGGCATGTGCTACCACACCCAGCTAATTTTGGTATTTTTTAATAGAGATGGGGGTTTCACCATGTTGACCAGGCTGGTCTCAAACTCCCAGCCTCAAGTGATCCACCTACCTCAGCGTAGTAAAGTGCTGGGAGTACAGGCATGAGCCACCACATTCTGCCCTTAAAATACTTTATATCTCTTGTTATTTGACTTTAAATATTACTGCTTCATTCTCTTAACTAGATTTTAAATGACCTGATGACAAGTTCAAAAGGGAATGGACTCTGGGAGTCAGGCTGACCTTGAATCTCAACTTGATCCCTTCTTCTGTAAATCCTTTGAGCCTTTGTTTTCTCCTCTATAAAATGATCACAATATCACCTTACAGAGCAACTGTGAGAATTAAATGAGATAGCAAATATTAACTGAGCAAAACATAGCAAGTTTTCTACATTCTTTTCTTTCTTTCTAATAAGGCAGTGAGAGAGAAAGCAAGTTCTCTATATTCTACTCCTCATCTAAATCCCATCTTCCTTAAGGCCAAATATTCAGTTTCTATACGATGGCAATTAAAAAATTACTGATTATTTCAGAAGTGTGTGTGTGTGTGTGTGTGTACACTCTACTTGATAAAATTGTTCCCAGGAGGGTACCAGTATGTAATTCTGATACTGCTATATTTGTATACTGGAACTGAACTGAAGTTCAATACATGGATGGCAGATGGTAGGAACAAGGTATCTTACTGTTGGAGTGGGAATTTACAAATTAGCACAGGGAGGAGGCTAGGACGATCTATGTGGTAATGGATTACAGCTAAAGACATCAATAAGAACACTAGCCAGGCACAGTGGGGCATGCCTGTATCCCCAGCTACTTGGAAGGCTGACGCAAGAGGACTGCTTGAGCCAAGGAGTTCGAGGCTCTAGTGCACTATCATCACACCTGTGAGTAGCCACTGCACTCCAGCCTGAATAACACAGCAAGAACCCATCTTAAAAAAAAAAGAAAAAGAAAAAGAAAGCTCATTTAACTTAATATATGTAGATACAGATGGCTATGCAAATAAAAATTTATAGATATGTAATATATACACGAGTAAGCACACACAGGTAACAATTCTTTATTTTTTTAATTTTTTTTTGAGACAGAGTCTCGCCCTGTCACCCAGGCTGGAATGCAATGGTGCAATCTCGGCTCACTGCAACCTCCGCCTCCCAGGTTCAAACGATTCTCCTACCTCGGCCTCCCAAGTAGCTGGGATCACAGGCTCCCGCCACCATGCCCAGCTAATTTTTGTACTTTAGTAGATACGGGGTTTCACCATGTTAGCCAGGCTGGTCTCGAACTCCTGACCTTGTGATCCACCCACCTCTGCCTCACAAAGTGCCGGGATTATAGGTGTGAGCCACTGCGCCTGGCTTACAGTTATTTATTCTGTCAAGTGAGAGGGCCTAAAAGAAACACTCCAGTAGCAACAAGCTTACATAAGGCCTAGAACTTGGTTTTAATATCATTCTCCAATAAAAGGAAGCAGAGCTCCTTGGAGAAACAGCTGATTCTAGTACTGGAGCAAGAAATAAACAAGATGAGCCTGGAGCATCTTTTGGTGCCAGAAAGGAAAGAAGTGCTTTAAAGTGCAGGCACATATACACAAAAACACAATGGGATACTGCCAATGGACACAAAGCCAGCTGAAAGAATTCCCAATGGCCAAAGTTGGAACAATTTGAGCAACAAAATATAGTAGCATTAGATTATAACGAAGTATAAACTATCCATAAGTTTATACTAATGTAAATAACTGAATAAATAAATAAATTGGGGAAAAGAGACAAATCCCCAATATGGAAAAATCCCAAATAAAATATGTAGATATTCCACCCTAATGTAGACAGAGTATAACTCTCCAGTCTGTAAGAGTGAAATGCACATAGTGACTTTCTTCCAAAAAGTGCATGGAAAGGGGGAAAATGAAAAGAATAACTTTACAGGAGAAACCTAACGAACAAACACTACTTCAGCCAGGTAATCAAGGTCCACATCAACAGTCATAAATCATAAAGATAGTATGTACCCCTGATATGATGGGATACAAATGGCACTTTACCTCTGTGATCTTCCTCCCAAACCCTTTATAAGTCCGGTCTAATCACAAGAAAAACAAATTCCAACAGAGGGGCAATCTACAATACACCTGACCAGCACTCCTCAAAGCTGTCAAGGTCATCAAAAACTAGGGAAGCCTGAAAAACTGTCACAGCCAAGAACAGCCTAATGAGACATGGCAAGTATATGTAATGTGGTATTTTGGAATGGAAAAAGAACATTAGGTAAAAACTAAGGGACCGGGCACGGAGGCCTCACGCCTGTAATCCCAGCAGTTTGGGAGGCCAAGGTGGGTGGATCACAAGGTCAGGAGCTCGAGACCAACCTGGACAACATGGTGAAACCCCGTCTCTACTGAAAATACAAAAATCAGCCGGGCGTGGTGGCAGGCACCTGTAATCCCAGCTACTCAGGAGGCTGTGGCAAGAGAATAGCTTGAACCTGGGAGGCGGAGGTTGCAGTGAGCTGAGATCGCGCCATAGCACTCCAGCCTGGGACAGAGCGAGACTCTGTCTCAAAAAACAAAACAAAACAAAACAAAACAAGGGAATCAGAAAAAAACTATGGTCTTTAGTTAATAAAACTGTATCAATATTGCTTCATTAAATATAGCAAATTTACCCTTCGAAGGTAAGATATTAATAGGGAAAACTGCATACAGGGGCTGGGGACAGGGAAGGAGTCATTAAGGTGTCCACATCCCCTGACAACTCAAGGCTTAAAACAGTGGCACAAGGCTGGGTGTACTGGCTTATGCTTGTAATCCCAGCACTTTGGGAGGCTGAGGCAGGCAGATAGCTTGAGCTCAGGAGTTTGAGACCAGCCTAGGCAACATGGCAAAACCCCGTATCTACCAAAAAAAATACAAAAATTAGCCAGGCATGGTGGCGTGAGCCTGTAGTGAGGGCTGAGGTGGGAGAATTGCTTGAGCCCAGGAGGCTGAGGCTGCAGTGAGCAAGATCACACTACAACCTGGGTGACAGAGCAAGACCCTGTTTAAAAACAAAAAACAGTGACACAAAAGCAAATCTATTTTCCTAATGTAACTAGTTAGCATCATTAAAAAAAAAAAAAACACTGCAAGTTGGAAAACATTGGGTTTCTTTATTGCAGAATATCAGAACTTATGATATGCTGATGTATACCCAGTCTGTCTGTCCTTCCCATTTCTTGATTTGGTTTAGTTGTTGTCTCCACTTTGACCAGAAACAATTTTCTTCACACTTATAAAACAAAGCCGGCTGGGTGCAGTGGCTCATGCCTATAATCCCAACACTTCCAGGAGGCAGAGGCGGGTGGATCACCTGAGGTCAGGAGTTCGAGACCAGCCTGACCAATATGGTGAAAACCCATCTCTACTAAAAATACAAAAATCAGGCCAGGCGCGGTGACTTGCACTTGTAATCCCAGCACTTTGGGAGGCCGAAGTGGGCAGATCACAAGGTCAGGAGTTCGAGACCAGCCTGGCCAACACAGTGAAACCCCATCTCTACTAAAAATACAAAAAAAAAAATTAGCCAGGTGTGGTGGCACACGCCTGTAGTCCCAGCCACTCGGGCAGCTGAGGTGGGAGAACCGCTTGAACGCAGGAGGCAGAGGTTGCAATGAGCTGAGACCATGCCATTGCACTCCAGCCTGGGTGACAGAGTGAGACTCCATCTCAAAAAAATAAAAATAAAAACAAAAATTAGCCAGGCATGGTGGCATGCGCCTGTAATCCCAGCTACTTGGGAGACTGAGGCAGGAGACTTGCTTGAACCCAGAGGCGGAGGTTGCAGTGAGCCAAGATCATGCCACTGCACTGCAGCCTGGGTGACAGAGTGAGACTGCGTCTCAAAAACAACAAAAACCCACACAAAAATAGAGCCATTTCCCCAGGTCTGCACAAAAGAGAACATCTACACCTAGAAAAGAAACATTTAAGAACCAAGAGATCAAACAAGCACCCACTGAGTAATGCAGAGCAGCAACAATCCATCGAAAGCCACCTCACCTGGTTTCCAGAAAGAGGTGAAGTGAAGTGGTGACTATGGAGGTTTCGGCCAGTGTTGACATGTGTCAGCCGGATGGGCTGGCCACACTTGATGGGGGTTCCCCTCTCACACACTGTGGCACTCTTCCCCCGTATCCTCCAGTAACTGTTGCTGTCATCCACAGAGGTTACACCTGTCACTGACTGCTGCCCACTACCTGCAGTTAAGAAAAGAAAGGCAACTCTCTTTCTCTGCCATGGACAACATGCTCAGAGACAGAAGCTTGAGTGCGCTCAAGATTCACCTTCACCTGTAACCCACCACCATGACCAAGGAAGACACGCTGCTGGAGGTGTAATGGATATTAATACTGCTCTACAAGAGACTGAAGACCGCCCTCAGCCATGATGGCCTAGCAGGTGGAACCTGCAAAGCTGCCAAAGCCTTAGACAAGGGCCAAGCCCATCTTTGCGTGCTTGCATCCAAATGTGAAGAGCCTATGTATGTCAAGCTAGGGGTGGCCCTTTGTGCCGAACACCAAATCAACCCAATTAAGGTTGATGACCTTAAGAAACCAGAGACATGGCTAAGCCTTTGTAAAACTGATAGACAAGGAAAACTTTGTAAAGTGGTTGGTTGCAGTTGTGTCACAGTGAAGGGCTACAGCAAAGAATTTCAGGCCAAGGATGTGACTGTGTACTTCAAATGCAAGAAATTAACAAATAAATTTGGTACCCATTCCTCAAAAAAAAAAACAGCAAGTGAGCTCAGCCTCACCCTTCTTGCCTATGGCCAATATTGTGCCGTGTCATTAAACAGGTAAGAAGGGGTGGGGAGAAAAATGCTATGCTTGGCAATATTTTTTCTTCTACAACATTAAAATATTTATAAAAAATACAAATCATACTGGGCGTGGTGGCTCACGCTTGTAATCCCAGCACTCTGGGAGTGAAACTTGACCTCCCAAAGTGCTGGGATTGATGGTGAGCCACTGTGCCCAGCCTTTTTCTTCTTTTAAATAAAAAAAAAATTTTTTAGGCTGGGTGTGGTGGCTCACACCTGTAATCCTAGCACTTTTTGGGAGGCTGAGGCAGTTGGATTGCTTGAGCCCAGGAATTCAAGACCAGCCTGGGCAACATGGCAAAAACCCATCTTTACTAAAAATACAAAAATTAGCTGGGTGTGGTGGTGGCAGCCTGTAATCCCAGCTATCTGGGAGGCTGAGGTGGGAGAATCGCTTGAACCCGGGAGGTGGAGGTTGCAATGAGCCAAGATCGCGCCACTGCCCTCCAGCCTGGATGACAGAGCCAGACTCCGTCTCAAAAAAAATAAATAAATAAACTGTGTCCACGTAATACTAGTTACTATATGATAAAGTATACTTAAGGGTATGTCATATCAGAAAATTCTAAGAATTTGCATCAAAGGATATCCAAGGCACAAATCTATGTGAGTTTTTTGAGGCACAGGCAGTGGTAACCTATACACACTAGCCTGGATAGCCCCTAATGTGTCTAATCACATAATTTTAACATGTTTGTAATATTATTCATGTTCATTAACTATTATGATAAAAATTTTTGTATTTCACAATTAAAATGAGACTATGTTGCCAACTTTAAGCAGCCATTACAGCTCCCAACTCCCATAAGTGGTCAATTATTATAAACGTATTATTTAAGCAAGGCACGGTGGCTCACGCCTGTAATCCCAGCACTTTGGGAGGCTGAGGCAGGCAGAACACAAAGTCATGAGTTCGAGACCAGCCTGGCCAATATGGTGAAACCCCGTCTCTACTAAAAATATAAAAATTAGCTGGGCGTGGTCGCATGTGCCTGTAATCCCAGCTACTTGGGAGGCTGAGGCAGAAGAATTGCTTGCATCCGGGAGGCGGAGGTTGCAGTGAGCCGAGATCACACCACCGCACTCCAGCCTAGGTGGCAGGGCAAGACTCTGTCTCAAAACAAAAACAAAAACAAAACAAAAAATGTATCCTTGGAGGTCTGGCACAGTGGCTCATGCCTGTAATCCAAGCGCTTTGGGAAGGTGAGGGGAGGATCCCTTGAGTCCAGGAGTTCGAGACTAGCCTCAGCAACATAGCAAAATGCAGTCTCTAAACGTACATATATATATATGTATTTTTTTTTTTTGATACAGGATCCCTCTTGTCACTCAGGCTGGAGTGCAGTGGCACGATCACAGCTCGCCACAGCCTTGACCTCCCAGGCTCGGGTGATCCTCCTACCTCAGCCTCCCAAGTAGCTGGGATTTCAGGCGCCTGCCACCACACCTGGCTAATTTTTCTATTTTTTGTAGAGATGGGTTTTTGCCATGTTGCCCAGGCTACTCTCGAATTCCTGGGCTCAAGCAATCCAACTGCCTCAGCCTCCCAAAGTGCTAGGATTACAGATGTGAGCCACCACACCCAGCCTAAAAAAAAATTTTTATATTTAAAAGAAAAAAAAGAAGCTGGGCACAGTGGCTCACCGTCAATCCCAGCACTTTGGGAGGTCAAGGTGGGCAGATCGCTTGAGCCCAGGAATTCAAGACCAAGCCTAAGCAACTGACAAAACTCCATCTCTACAAAAGATGCAAAAAATTAATCAGGTGTGGTGGGGTGCACTTGTAGTCCCAGCTACTCAGGACGCTGAGATGTGAGGATTGCTTGAGCCCAGGAGGTCAAGGCTGCAATGAGTCGTAATTGTGTCACTGCCAGTTACACGGGTAAATGTAGCCAACTATCAGCTCCTTTCATGACTTTATTATATCTTTTTTCAGAAAAGGCAAACCAAGTCTCCCTTCCTACTTCTGGTTACTGCCTTACAGCTCTCTGGGTCCTCACAGCCACGCTTCACTAAACCATGGTCTACATTTTGTCTCCTACATTTTCTGCTTTCTATTCAACCGTTCACTTCTTCCTCCAAATCCTTATACCTTGGGATTATCCAAAGTTCTATGCCTGGCCTTCATCTGTTTCTACCTGTAGTTTTTTTTTTTTTTTTTAGTATTTATTGTTCATTCTTGGGTGTTTCTCGGAGAGGGGGATGTGGCAGGGTCACAGGATAATAGTGGAGAGAAGGTCAGCAGATAAACATGTGAACAAAGGTCTCTGGTTTTCCTAGGCAGAGGTCCCTGCGGCCTTCCGCAGTGTTTGTGTCCCTGGGTACTTGAGATTAGGGAGTGGTGATGACTCTTAACGAGCATGCTGCCTTCAAGTATCTGTTTAACAAAGCACATCTTGCACCACCCTTAATCCATTTAACCCTGAGTTGACACAGCACACGTTTCAGAGAGCACGGGGTTGGGGGTAAGGTTATAGATTAACAGCATCCCAAAGCTGAAGAATTTTTCTTAGTACAGAACAAAATGGAGTCTCCTATGTCTACTTCTTTCTACACAGACACAGTAACAATCTGATCTCTCTTTCTTTTCCCCACATTTCCCCCTTTTCTTTTCGACAAAACCGCCATCGTCATCATGGCCCATTCTCGATGGTCGCTGTCTCTTCGGTGCTGTTGGGTACACCTGCAGAAAGGCTGTCACTTCACACTTGGAAGACTGCACAGCGGCCAGGCAGAGGCGCTCCTCACTTCCCAGACGGGGCGGCCGGGCAGAGGCACTCCTCACTTCCCAGACAGGGTGGCCGGGCAGAGGAGCTCCTCACTTAACAGACTGGGTGGCCGGGCAGAGGCGCTCCTCACATCCCAGACGATGGGAGGCCGGACAGAGGCGCTCCTCCCCTCCCAGACGGGGCGGCCGTGCAGAGGCGCTCCTCACTTCCTAGATGGGACAGCCAGGCAGAGGTGCTCCTCAACTCCCAGACGAAGGGCGGCCGGGCAGAGGCGCTCCTCACATCCCAGACAATGGGCGGCCGGGCAGAGGCGCTCCTCACTTCCCAGACAGGGTGGCGGCCGGGCAGAGGCGCTCCTCACATCCCAGACGGGGTGGCGGCCAGGCAGAGGCGCTCCCCACTTCCCAGACGGGGCGGCTGGGCAGAGGCGCTCCCCACTTCCCAGACGGGGCAGCCGGGCAGAGGCGCTCCCCACTTCCCAGACAGGGCGGCCGGGCAGAGGCGCTCCCCACTTCCCAGACGGGGCAGCCGGGCAGAGGCGCTCCCCACTTCCCAGATGGGGTGGCGGCCGGGCAGAGGCGCTCCTCACATCCCAGACAGGGCGGCCAGGTGCTCCCCACTTCCCAGATGGGGTGGCCGGGCAGAGGTGCTCCTCACCTCCCAGATAATGGGCAGCCCACTTCCCAGATGGGGTGGCAGCCGGGCAAAGGCACTCCTCACATCCCAGATGGCGCGGCCGGGCAGAGGCGCTCCTCACTTCCCAGACGGGGCGGCCAGGCAGAGGCGCTCCTCACTTCCTAGACAGGGCGGCCAGGCAGAGACGCTCCTCACATCCCAGACAGGGTGATGGCCGGGCAGAGGTGCTCCTCACTTCCCAGACGGGGTGGCGGCCGGGCAGAGGCCCTCCTCATATCCCAGACGGGGCGGCCAGGCAGAGGCGCTCCTCACATCCCAGACGATGGGCGGCCAGGCAGAGACGCTCCTCACTTCCTAGACGGGGTGGCGGCCGGGCAGAGGCTGTACTCTTAGCACTTTGGGAGGCCAAGGCAGGCGGCTGGGAGGTGGAAGTTGTAGTGAGCCAAGATCACACCACTGCACTCCAGCCTGGGCAACACTGAGCACTGAGTGAGCAAGACTCCATCTGCAATCCCAGCACCTCGGGAGGCTGAGGCAGGCAGATCACTCGAGGTCAGGAGCTGGAGACCAGCCCAGCCAACACGGCGAAACCCCGTCTCCACCAAAAATACGAAAACCAGTCAGGCATGGCGGCGTGTGCCTGCAATCCCAGGCACTCGGCAGGCCGTGGCAGGAGAATCACGGGAGCCCCAGGCAGGGAGGTTGCAGCGAGCCGAGATCACGGCAGTACAGTCCAGCCTCGGCAACAGAGGGAGACCGTGGAAAGAGAGAAGAGACAAGAGAGGGAGACGGAGAGGGCTACCTGTAGTTCTTAAACAATTGTTGAGGGTCAGGACAAAAGCATTTGTATTTTTAACAAGTTTCTCCAGTTATTCAAATTAATCCCAGATAGAGAATCACAGTTCATTCTGGGCAATTTCATCTACAACCCTGACATCTTCAACCACAGTCTGTACAAGATGTTATATTTAATGTTGTATCTCAGGCTCAGCACAGATCCCTTTTCTGAGCTCCGGACTGAACCTGGTTCCCAAATCTGGCTGTCCATCAGAACCACCTGAAGAGCTTTTTAAACCTACAGATTGCTACTGCCAAGCCTCTGTCCACCTCCACTCTAATTCAGTAGATCCAAAGTAGGAAACCAAAACAAAGTAAAAAATAAGCCTGACAACATGGTAGGTGTTCACTGAATGGGTGCTAGAATTATTAAGACATCGCAGTGATGATAACTCATGTCCTTGCCTAGTCTGACTGATCAGATGGGTTTTGGGAATCATGAACCAGACTAGCCCACCTGACAGAACTCTTTCCTCCCTCAGCAAACAGCATCATCAGTCATTCAAGACAAAAATCTACCAGCTATCTTAGATGCCTCTCACATCTCACTAGCTGACCTTCATTCTTTTTTTTTAACTTTATCTTTTTTTTTCAGGCAGATAAGACTTTCTTTTTTTAGTCTGTTTTTATTATATTGTAATTTTCTTGACTGATTATCACCACCGAATCTCCTGTATGTAGTACAATTCTAGCCATGTAGTAGGAACTCATTAAGACCTATGCTGAATGAATCCACAAATAATTTATTACTAAACATTTTAATTTCAAACGCTAAAAAAAAAAAAAAAAAAAAGCAGTTTTCTCTGCAATTCCTGTCACTGCTCCAAGTTTCTTACAAGAAGGAGGTTAAGGTTTGGGTAGAAGGGGGCCAAAGATGGAAACTGAGGAGCAAGTGTAAGATGCAGAAGAGCTGGAAGACAAAGGGTTGTAGTCAACGAGTGAGCTCTTGGAGTTTAAAGTTTCACAGACAGTACTTACTGTAACTTTAAAATTTCAGACACAGCACTTACTGTAATTTTCTTGTCTCTAAAGCAGGCTTTGAACCTGGATAGATTTGGATAGAACCCCGACTTTGTCATTTGCTAACTGCAAGGCTTTGAATAAACGATTTAATTTCTCTGCGTCTGTTTCCTCATCTGTGAAATGAGGATAACAATACTGTCCACCTTACAACAATGTTAATAATCGGAAAAAGGACATAGGTAACGTGCCTGGCCTGTAGCTCACCAAATATTAGGTGGTGTTGCGATTAAGATGCCTTAGAACAATTCAGTTCTCCGACTCTCTAGACCTGAGGAACCTTCCCAGGGAACCCCTAACTTTCCCAGACCACACTGTCAGATATTCTATAGGCCCCGCCCCTCCAGAGCCTCCGAGTCCTCCCTAGCCCACCCGAGCCCGGTCCCCAGCATTACCTGACCCATAGCGCACGTCGTGTGAGTGCAGTCGGACGTTGTGGCGCGTATTGAGTAGCTTCACCACGGAGCCGCAAGTAACGACACCCAGGCTGGACGCTCCCACAGCGCTCCACAAACCCCCCAACAACAGCAGAGGTACTACAGCCATCCTAACTGTATCGCGGAGCCCCAAATCTTCGAAGAAAACTCGGCCCCTCCCCGGAACCGGAAGCTAATGGCGAAACCACGGAGAGAAGGAAGTGAAGAAGCCCGAGTCTGATCTTTATGGTTTATTTGACTAGAGCGGCCTGAGAAACCGGCTGAGCCTGGTTACTTACGATACTCTCGCTCTGTTCCAGGGGCTCAGTGACAGCTGCCTTCCTGAGCCGCTTCGGTTACCTTTCGCACCCACGAGACGAAAGCTTCCGAGAGCGGGAGAGAGAACAAGAAATGGCCCGCCCACTCCCGGTGACAGGGAGCCGGAAATGACGTAGCACGTTGACGCAGCAGCGGCGGCGGTGGCGGCGGAGGGGCCGTGCGGTGGGTCCGTACTATCTTTTCCCAGTCTCGGTTCGACGACTCCATTTTCCTCGGTGGGGGCTTAGCGCACTGGAGGAGCGGCGGGCTTCAGACAGGTAAAGTTCCGACTGGAGAGCGTGTTTCTCGCAGGAGTCAGGTGGGGAACCGGGCTCCTAGGGCCTGGTCACGTAAGGGAAGAGGCAGTGGGGAGCCGTATGCGGGAAGAAGGGGGAGCCTGGCCTTCCCTGCTCTATGGGGGGAAGGGGGAGGAAAGCGCTGTAGTTGCTCAGAGTCCGAAAGCTTTTCCCAGCCCAGTGACACCCGGAACCCGTGAATCGGGTGGCACGTTGAATCAACAGGCTTCCTGGCATCCCGTCCTTCTCTCCGCAGGTTTTTAAAACTGGGCCACGCAAAAGGATTGGGGATGGAAGGGACCTGGGGCTTCTGAGCCAGGATCAGGTGATCGAGTTGTTTGTTCTGGGGATATGAATCCTGTGGAGCTTTCAGCAGCTCGGCCATCAGGCTAGAGGGCGATGCCAAATTCCAGCTCTTTACATATTGCTGAATAATACAAATAGAACTTTTTGTAGATGGTTGCATCCTTCATCCCTTTCTAAAGATCGAAGGTCTTGTAGAAGTCCTAAAGCCCGTCCATTCTCTATAGATTCATTTCCTCAAACGTTTGCCAGAGGCCTATCATGAACATCAAAATTAGTTATTAAGTCAAAACTCCATCTTCTAGTTTCTACCTTTCTCCTCAGGCACTCCTTTGAACCAGCTGGAGAAGTTAATTTTCCTGGGTTGTTGCAAGAACTGATACTTATTTCAGAGGGCTAAGATCTCTGAAAATACTTCCGTGGAAATTCACTGTAATATCAAAAGTAACAAGGGTGTATGAAGCTACATCATTAATGAGCATTAGGGAGTGTAAACAATATTGAATTTGATTAATTTCTTCGGAAAAATGTCTGGTTCCACTGTTTATCTGGAAGTTACCAGTTTGTAAGTCTTCAGTGTTTTGATTACAGAAACATAACTGCTCTTCCATCAGCTGTGAATTTAGAGCCCTTTTTTACGAGTAATGTCCCTTTCACCAGTACAAGTACATTTTTATTCACTTGGCTTGTGTGGCTGCTAGATTGGATTAGCATAGCCTTGCAACTCTAGGAGGTTTTAACTTCATCAGGAGATTAATTACATCAGAAAGTGGTACCGTCTGGAGAGGCTTAGTCAAATTTTACAGTTCTTCCTCTGAAAGCCTACCTAGTGTGGTGGAAACATGATCTTTGTAGGCAAATACGTTTGCCCTGATTCTATATTCTTGACCTTAATAAATGGCACTACCATCAGTCCTGCCTGTAATCCTTGTCTTCCTTCCTGTCCACTATTTCCCAATAAAATCAGTCACCAAATCCTGTCTCTCCCTGAAACTGTTCCCATCAGCATACAAATTATGTTCTGGTATCCTTCACATCCCTCTCCAATTACCATGCCAATTTTTTAAATTTCCATTCATAGATTTCTACCTGTACCAACTCAGCTTTCTCAACTTTCATTCACTCTTCATTTTATACCAATCTGGCTTCTCTTCTGCCCACTCCATTTTTTTTTTTTTTTTTGTGGAGACAGGGTCTTGCTCTGTTGCCCAGGTTGGAGTGCAGTGGCCCCATCATAGCTCACTGCCACCTGGAACTCCTGAGCTCAAGCAGTCCTCCTGAGGCAGCTTCTAGTAATCAAGTGCCACCACATCTACTTTGCCCACTCCATTGAAGTTGCTCTTATCAAGGTCACCAGTGACTTCTATGTTGCCAAATCCAATGGATACTTTGTTCTCATATTCCTCTGTCTCTGCAATATTCAACATAGTTACTCCTGCCTCCAAACTTTCATCTTGGCTTTATTGACATTTCACTCTTGGATTTTCTCCATTTCTCCGGCTGTTCCTTCTGAGTCTCATTTGCTAGCAACTTTTGCTCTCTATCTAATGTCTAAATGCTGGGGCTGGTCGCAGTGGCTCATGCCTATAATCCCAGCACTTTGGGAGGTCGAGGTGGGCAGATCACTTGAGGTCAGGAGTTCACAACCAGCCTGGCCAGCATGGTGAAACCCCATCTCTACTAAAAATACAAAAACTAGCCGGGCGTGGCGACACGCCTGTAATCCCAGCTACTTGGGAGGCTGAGGCAGGAGAATCACTTGAACCAGGGAGGCAGAGGTGCAGTGAGCAGAGATCATGCCACTGCACTCCAGCATGGGCAACAGAACAAAACTCCGTCTCAAAATATATGTATATCTACATATGTTGGAATTCTCACAGGAATCCCGAGCCTTCTACATGCTTCCCTTTAGGTAACCCAGCCCCATGGCTTTAATTACCACCTGAAAGTTGGCAACTCCAAAGTTTAAATCTCTAGTCCAGCCCTCTCCTCTATGTTGCAGAATCACGCGTCAAAAATGCCTGTTTAATTATCTCCATTTGGATATTTCTTAGGCACCCAAAGCTAACATAACCAAAAGAAAGTTTTGGTTTTCTCATCATTGCAAACCTTATCCTCCCGTTTCACTGAGTGGTGCTCCTATCCGCAGGGTTACCAAAGATAGACCTCTGAGAATCATCTTTGTTCTTCTCCTTTACTACTCCTCTTCCCCAGTCTTTCAGTAAGTCTTGTCACTTCCACTTGCAGAATGTTTTTGTAATCTGTCTTCTATTCTCCATCTTCACTTTTACCACCTTATTCCAAGCCACCACCATCTTTTGCCTGGGCTACCACAACAGTATCTTCAGTTTTCCCTGGTTTCCACTCAGATCTTCCTCCAGTTCATTTTCCATGTAACAGAATTGGATCAGGGCAGATCATGTCATTTCCCTACTTAAAACTCTCCAGTGACTTTCCATGGCCTTTACGCCCTGCTTGAGCATACCTCTCCCTCATAGGCTGCTGCCTTCACCATGCTCTAGTGCCATCAGCCTCAGGACATCACCTATTATATACCATGTTCTTGCCCACTTTCTCTACTGGAACCTCTCCTCCTACTTCTACAGGTCATATCCTACCTATTGACATCTCAGCCTAAGTAAACTCACTTTAGATGAGATGAGAATATGCATTTCCTTCTTCGCTTTTAGAGCAAGGTTTATTTTATTTGTTGCCAATATGTCTCCTGCACCAGAATACGGGCATCCTAGGGGCATGGACCTAGTCTTGTACGTGCCTGGCATGTGGTAGGCACTCATTAAATACATATTTATGCCAGGCATGGTGGTTCACGCCTATAATCCCAACACTTTGGGAGGCTGAGGCAGGCGGATCACCTGAGGTCAGGAGCTCGAGCCCAGGCTGGCCAACATGGTGAAACCCCGTCTCTGTTAAAGATACAAAGAAAAAATTAGCTGGACGTGGTGGTGGGTGCCTGTAATCCCAGCTACTTGGGAGGCTGAGGCAGGAGAATTGCTTGAACCTGGGAGGCGGAGGTTGCAGTGAGCTGAGATCGTGCCACTACACTCCAAGCCTGGGCAATGGAGCGAGACTCTGTCTCAAAAAAACGTATATGTATATGTATATGTATTTGTCCTAGCTACCTGGGAGGCTGAGGTGAGATTATGGCTTGAGCCCAGGAGGTGGAGGCTGCAGTGAGATGTAATCACACCACTGCACTCCAGTCTGGGTGACAGAGCAGGACCCCATCTCAGAAAATAATAAGTTTTTGTTGGATTAGCAAGTAGATTAAGTTCAGTTCTACATTTAAAACCCTGCAATGGCTTCCCAGTGCCTAGATCCTTATGACTTCTCCAACCCTTATGAACCATTCTTCCTCTCCTGGGCCTTCTCTGTACCTGCCACAGTACACGTGTTGTGCTAGAAGCACACGTCTCTGACATCACTCCCCAAACCATCTCCAAAGAAGCCAGCTCCTCTGCTGAACTAATTCCTCCTTACTCTTAAGGTCTTTGTTTAAAGTCACTTCCTCAAAACCAGGTTAGGTTGTCTTATTACAGGATCCCATGCTATTCTTATCATCAATTCTCTAAATCAGGGGTCACAAACTAAGGCCTGTGAGCCAAATAAGGTCACCCCCATTCATTTACATGTTATGTATGCTGTGCTACAGTGGCAGATTTGGCCCTATAGAGAAAAGGAAAGGTTTGCCAACCCCTGTGCTAGAGCAGGAACTATGCGCTCCTCAATGTGTGTACCACAAGGTTCAGTAACTGTTAATCTCTCTTTGTGTTGCAGGGGTTCTGAATCTGGTTACATATTTCAGTTGTACTCTTCTTTAGCCCTTACCCTGTTTCTCTAAAGAAATGTGGAAAGAAAAGGAATACTTTTTTTTTTTTTTTTTTTGAGACGGAGTCTCGCTCTGTCACCTTGGCTGGAGTGCAATGGCATGATCTCGACTCACTGCAAGCTCTGACTCCCACGTTCAAGCGATTCTCCTGCCTCAGCCTCCTGAGTAGCTGGGATTACAGGCGTGCACCACCACACCCGGCTAATTTTTGTATTTTTAGTGGAGACAGGGTTTCATCATGCTGGCCAGGCTGGTCTCGAGCGTCTGACCTGACCTGAAGTGATCAGCCTGCCTCAGCCTCCCAAAGTGCTGGCATTATAGGCGTGAGCCACCGCGCCCAGCCGAATAAATAATATTTTTAAATGAACAAAATTAACTTTTTCTGTATTTTAACATCTTGACTTCATGTAATTAGGTTTTCAGGGTTTTTTTAATTACAAAGCCTTCTGAATTCCAGATTTAAAAGGACTTAAGTAGACTCTAAATACTTTTATCTATTAAACTTTTAGGTTTTGAAATTCCAAATTGGATATTCACTTATGGATACCTTTGGAATAGTCCTAGTCCCTTGCCCATAAAATATAGGATACAAGTGTAATCCCAGCACTATGAGAGGCTGAGACGGGCGGATCACAAGGTCAGGAGATTGAGACTATCCTGGCTAACACGGTGAAACCCCGTCTCTACTAAAAATACAAAAAAAAAAAAATAGCTGGGCGTGGTGGTGGGCACCTGTAGTCCCAGCTGCTTGGGAGGTTGAGGCAGGAGAATGGCGTGACCCCAGGAGGCGGAGCTTGCAGTGAGCCCAGATCATGCCACTGCACTCCAGCCTGGGTAACTGAGCAAGACTCCGTCTCAAAAAAAAAAAAAAAAAAAAAAAAGTGTGTGTGTGTATATATATATATATATATATATATATATATGTATGTGTGTGTGTATACATATGTATGTATATGTGTATATATGTGTGTGTATATATGTATATGTGTATATATATATAAATACGTGTGTGTGTGTGTGTTTTATATATATATATGTATATATGATACAAGACAACATGGAATGTCTTGTAGCTTAAACTCCACCCTAGACTTCTGGGGCTGTTCTCCAGAGCACCACGCCTAAATGTTTGCTCATGTTGCCTTTTTCCAGACTGTTTTCTTAAATCCTCTTTTATTCAGGCATCACCTTTTCTCAGATATTCCCCAACCTTCCCATTGCTCTCATAGTCCAGTTATATAACTTAACATAACCCTATTGTGCTTTGTCATAACGTTATTAACAAGTTTTTTGAGATAGATTGTGAACTCCACCAAGACTGTGAACTCCACCGGGGTAGGAAGCATATTTTACTCATTTTTATATACACAAGTCCCAGCACAGAGCTTGACTCTAAAAAAAAAAAACCCAGCAAATGTTAATTGAAGCTGCAAAGTGGAAGGAATTAACAGACTAGATCTCTTTTCACTCTGGTCTCCTCTTAATTGCCTACTACAACTTCTTGTTCAAAGGGAGGGACTGCAGAGGGCCTCCCTTGTGGCAATCTGATCCCAGTTCCATTCCTCTTCCAGCGAATGTCATGGTAACCACCAGCCTCTCCCATTGAGCCACATCTTGTTCTGCAGCTGTGCTTCTGACTAGAGAAACCTCTCCCTCCATCTCCCCACTGCCCTTCTAGACCTATTCCAGTTGCAAATTTAACTTACAGTGTGAGTATGGGGAAAATTTTAAGAGCATAAGTGCTAAATACAACATCCAAACTACATCAGGCTCATCATAGATACCATGTATTAATAATAATCATACACAAATAAATACATTAGTGTCTTTATTCTAGAGTAGTTCCCGCTTGTCAGTCTCAGACTGCAGTGCTACTGCAGTCTGCACATCTAGCTCCTGCAAGTTGCAGCAAGTCAGAATTGCTTCTGGCACACCTCTTATAACTGGAAGTCTTGGTATTGAGCTAGATTGGAGGCATTCCCCAGCTATAGCATAGTGTGTGCTTTATTGCTAACCTAGGCGATGGGAAGAAAGAGAACACAGCTATCTTTCCAAGCTGTGTGCAGCATGGAGCACCAGCTGCCCTTGAGACAGAAGAAAGCTGTTGTTTTCATCAGGTAGGCTGTGTGTTTCTCTGTTAAGTAGGCTGAGGGGCATCTGGTCTGCAGGAGCTGGCATTTAATTTGAAGATGTTGAGGCCTTAAAAGATTGAACTTGTGGGTCTGATAGCCTAATTAGAACAAGCTATGTGTGGGGGCTGCCGTACTCAAATCTGTTTTTAATGGCTCAGTTCAGGGCTGAGGGGGAGCAATGTCAAAATTAAAATTAGAGCTCTAGATTTAATTGGCAGAAGTTTAAGACTTTCACTTTTGGCAGTGCTCAAGCTAAATGACCTTAAGGATAGAGATCTTGGGGTCATGGGGGAGCATCACCCTAACCCCTAGGCTTACTATACCGCATCTCTTTAGGGTCTTTACAGTCACTCCTCAACTTTTTGGACTCAGGACCCCTTTATACTCTTAAAACTTATTTAGGACTTCAAAGACATTTTGTTTATGTGAGTTATATCCTTTGATATTTACCAGATTCGAAATTAAAACTCAGTGAGACATTTAAAAATATTTATTGATTTATTTTAAAGTAGTAAACAATAATACTTTTTATGAATAACAGTAGTTTTTTGGGTTTTTTTGTTTGTTTGTTTGTTTTGAGACGGAGTCTCACTGTCGGTGCAGTAGCACCATCTTGGCTCACTGCAACCTCTGCCTTCCAGGTTCAAGCAATTCTCCTGCTTCAGCCTCCTGAATAGCTGGGACTACAGGCGCCTGCCACCATACCCAGCTAATTTTTCATTTTTAGTGGAGGCAGAGTTTCACCATGTTGGCCAGGCTGGTCTCAAACTGCTGACCTCAGGTGATCGGCCTGCCTCGGCCTGGGGTTACAGGCATGAGCCACAGCACTCGGCCGAATAATAATAGTTTTTAAAACAAAACATTTTAGTAAGAATGGACTGGGTGTGGTGGCTCACTCCTGTAATCCCAGAACTTTGGAAGGTCGAGGCAGGTGGATCACTTGAGCTCAGGAGTTCGAAACCAGCCTGGCTAACATGGTGAAACTTTGTCTTAAAAAATAAATGAATAGCCGGGCGTGGTGGCTCACGCCTGTAGTCCCAGCACTTTGGGAGGCCAAGGCAGGTGGATCACTTGAGGTCAGGAGTTCGAGACCAGCCTGGCCAATATGGCCAAACCCCATCTCTACTAAAAAAAACAAAAATTAGCTAGACGTGGTGGCGAGCGCCTGTAGTCCCACCTACTCGGGAGGCTGAGGCAAGAGAATCGCTTGAACCCAGGAGGCGGAGGTTGCAGCGAGCCAGGATCGTGCCATTGCACTTCATCCTGGGTGAGAGAGTAAGACTCTGTCTCAAAATAAGTAAATTAAGTAAGAATGACATTCTTTGTTTTTTAGTACAATGTTTTAATGTCTGCTCTAACAGAATACAGCTGTGTTCTCATATGTTTTTGCATTCAGTCTGTTGTGATAACCACATGTCCTATAACCTCTGGAAAACTCCACTCTATGCTCCTGAGAGAACAGAGGGACTGGCCCCTGGACCACGCCCTGAAAACTATTGATAGATGTGGTACTGTCAACCATGAAGAGTCAGACAGACCTCAGCACTTACAGATGATAGTTTTGTCACCTTGAACAAATGACTACATCTCTCTGAGTCTGTTTCCTCCTCTGTTGAGAGAGAAGTGTGCTGTAACTCATAGGACAGTGTAGGGATTAATAGAATACTTGTTCTCCTTGATAGGGACATAAAATAGTAGGGTATTTGTTAGTGTCTGGCACTTGGTAGGTGTGTAATAAGCATTATTCCTCAGGGTACTTTTTAAAAAATTGCTTAAAATACCCAAGAGAGACCCATATTATTTTGATTGGGTTTTGTGTGTGTGTTGTGAGTTTATTGTCCAGTTCTCTTCCTGTGCCTGTTCTGTGTGTCTATTGTAATATATAAAACGATTTTATGGTCCTTATTTTCATATTTCTATCTCTAGGAGACATTCAACTCCTTGAAAATGAACAATCCGGCCAGGCGCGGTGGCTCACGCCTGTAAATCCCAGCACTTTGGGAGGCCGAGGCGGGCAGATCACCTGAGGTCAGGAGTTCAAGACCAGCCTGACCAACATGGAGAAACCCCCTCTCTACTAAAAATGCAAAATTAGCCAGCATGGTGGTGCATGCCTGTAATCCCAGCTACTCGGGAGGCTGAGGCAGGAGAATCGCTTGAACCCAGGAGGTGGAGGTTGCGGTGAGCCGAGATCACGCCATTGCACTCCAGCCTGGGCAACAAGAGCGAAACTCCATCTCAAAAAAAAAAAAGAAAGAAAATGAACAATTCTCTTCAAATCCCCAGCTCTTAGCAGAGTATATGTACATTGTAGGCATTCAGTTAGGTTTGTGGAAAGAATGGCATCTGAAACCTCAACCGAAAATTGAACATTCCCCCTCCCTCCTATACCTTCAGTTTTGTTTTCTTGAGTTTAGTTAATCTCAAGTTCATTGGTTATAGTATTGATTGAGCTCCGTAAGGGCAATTTTGAGGAGAATTAGAGCCACAGAACTTAAGGCACCTTCAGGTAGCCATTAGCCACCCTTCTCTTCTCTCCCCTCCCACTGCCATCTTTAACTGGGAAGATGGCAGCAATATGAAAACGTAAGTAGTTTATTTAACAGACACTTAACAGTTGCTAATTTGTTAGCAGCTAATTTGTTGCTAATGTGTTGCAGCACACCTGAAGGGATATAGCTTTTCTGGTGCAGAATCACAGAGTGCCTTGTAATGCCTCTTGTATTGCCATTTATGTTTTCATGATTTTTATTAGTCTCTCTATTGGATATGTTCTTTATCTTCCAGAAGCTTGTAGTCTAAGTGAGAGAAAGGTACATGGGATATATCCCATAGACCATTTTACTGGATGGGGTGAGGAGTGATGCTGAGTGTGTCAGCAGCCAGCTTTAGGGTTCCACAATGGAATCTTGTTGTGATGATGTGTGCTGTTTTTTAAGTCCTACTCAAGGCCCATCAAGCTCCATGTTACGGTTCTTGAAGATCCCTACTGTCGTTTCCAGGCTTTGGATGAGTCTGAAAGCAGGGAAGTAGAAGATAAAGTTGGGGTTGGTTGGTACAGAATTACAGAATGCTAAGGAAAATTAGGCTCAGGATTCAAATTCAAACTCAGGTTAACCCATCTTGAAACAATAGGTTCTTTCCCCTATGTCATGTAATATTCTCAACTATCCTGTAAGGTAGGTAGCGCTATTACCATTTTCCAGGTTAAGAAAGTGATATTCAGGCATGTCCAATAATTTGCTTAAGTTTATGTTTAGCCCGTAGGGTATGAAACCAGGATTTGATTTCTACTCTTGAGCCCAGCAGTCTTTCCATTTAACCATGTTGCATTTATTTTGTAGGACATGGAAGCCTTTCAAGATTTTTTGCCTGCAAGGGGAGTAAATGATAAAACTAGGCCCTTTTTGGACCCAAATGCTCCCAACCAGTACTCACACAAATTGGCTCAAGTTCATGAAGTATTTGTGTGTTTAATCTATTGAAAAGAGATTTTGCTTTTGACTTTGCTAATAAGTATGAATAGTGTATGTAAACATATGAAAGCACCTTTTATAAAGTTGGCACTTATTGTTTCCAAGCCTCCTAGAAGCAGATCACATAATCTCACTCTACCACCATATCCCCACTTAATTGTCCCTACATTAGTTTCTTTCCTCATTTGCCCATTCCTGTCTTCAAATGGTAAGTGAGGTAAAACTTTGGGGAAGAGAGATGATACATATACAAGTCTGGTATAATTGCCTTCTTTTTCTTTTTTTCTTTTCTTTTTTTTTCTTTTTTTTCGAGGCAGATTTTGCTCTTGTTGCCCAGGCTGGAGTGCAGTGGTGCAATCTCAGCTCACTGCAACCTCCACCTCCCGGGGTCAAACCATTCTCCTGCCTAAGCCTCCAGAGTAACTGGGATTACAGGCACCTGCCACCATACCCGGATAATTTTTGTATTTTTAGTAGAGACGGGGTTTCACCATGTTGGCCAAGCTGGTCTCGAACTCCTGACCTCAGGTGATCCACCTGCCTTGGCCTCCCTAAGTGCTGGGGTTATAGGAGTGAGCTACCACGCCTGGCCTAATGGCTTTTTTTTTTAAGACAGAGTCTCACTCTCTCGCCAGGCTGGAATGCAGTGGCGCAATCTGCAACCTCCACCTTCCGGATTCAAGAGATTCTCCTGCCTCAGCCTCCTGAGTAGCCTGGCTTTTGCCTTCTTTTTGAAAGTACGTATGAGGCCGGGTGCGGTGGCTCACGCCTGTAATCCCAGCACCTTGGGAGGCCAAGGTGGGCAGATCACCTGAGTTCAGAAGTTCAAGACCAGCCTGGCCAACGTGTTGAAACCACATCTCTTCTAAGAGTACAAAAATTAGCCAGGCATGGTGGCGCATGCCTATAATCCCAGCTACTCGGGAGGCTAAGGCAGGAGAATCACTTGAACCCAGGAGGTGGAGGTTGCAGTGAACGGAGATTGCGCCACTGTACTCCAGCCTGGGTGAGAGAGTGAGACGCCACCTCAAAAAAAAAAAAAAAAAGTACATATGAGAGAAGCAATGCTGGGAGGAATGGATAATGGAAGAGTTGGAACCATCAGATTCTTCTTTTCTTCTCCCCAAGTGGGAATGTTGAGTGGGCAGAGCAGTGGCAGGTTGCTAAAAGGCTGTTTGTGGGAAGGTTTAAGAGCCCTCTGTACAATCATGTGTCCGTTTTTTTATCCTTCACTCTTTTCTTTCCCTAGTTATCTTCAGGCAGAGTGAGAAGCTGCAGCAATGTCTGATTTTGTGGAAAGCGAGGCTGAGGAGTCAGAGGAAGAATACAATGATGAAGGCGAGGTGGTACCCCGAGTCACCAAGAAATTTGTGGAAGAGGAGGATGATGGTGAGGAGGCCCCAGCCTCAAGCTTCTCCCCACTATTGCTAAGCTTTGGATAGTTGGATTCTTGCTGATGAAAAGCTCAGGCTCAGCACAGAAGTTATCACACATGAGGTACCAGCTTGAGAACTTTCAGTCATTCTTAGCAGATACTAACTGAGCATCTGTCTGTATGCCAGGCACTAGGCCTGGAACTAGAAATATAAAACAATAAATATCCAGCTATTGTGGAGTTTACTTTAGTTGGGGGGTGGTTGATAATAAATCAGTAGATAAGTCTGTATATAATACTTTCTGCTTTTAGACCTAGCATTGTTGATATTTATTCACCTCGTTTCCTATTTCTCTGGCCAAGCCCAATCTTTAGAATTGTCAACAGAGTAGAACCACGAAATGACTTCAAAGGGGTAAAGGGACGTACAAGTTTTATCAAAGGAATTATGGCAAAAAAAAGGAATATAGCTGCTGAGTTTACAAACTGAGTAAAACAAAGTTATTGGTGGCTATAATAATCTAGTAATGATTTTGAGAAGCCAAAGTGACGGGGAAGATCATCCTGCCCAAAGACAGATGGTGAATGTAGGGGAAGAAAACATTCTTTCCAGATGCTGCTACTCTAAGTCAATGGCTATGTTTTGCATCTTTACATGAGGCAGAAGAGTTAACATGGCACCCAGGTCATTAGGTGCAGAGCAAATGGATAATCACATTAATCAAGTGACCCTGAACCTCTAGCCTGTTTTTCAGTCTCCATGCCTCAAACATGCATGTCTTCCAGATGAGGAGGAGGAGGAGGAGAACCTAGATGATCAGGATGAGCAAGGCAACTTGAAAGGCTTTATCAATGACGATGATGATGAAGATGAAGGGGAGGAGGATGAGGGCAGTGACTCTGGTGATTCAGAAGATGATGTTGGCCACAAGAAGAGAAAACGCAGTGAGTAGTCTGTCGTTGGCTCAAGTGAGGCTTGGGTGGAGGTTGCAGTGGAAAAGGGCAACCCCATCACCATGGGCAACACTTTGTTTCTTCAGCCTCTTTTGATGACCGCCTGGAGGATGATGATTTTGACCTCATTGAGGAGAATTTGGGTGTCAAAGTCAAAAGAGGAGTAAGTGTCATTCTTTGTCTTTTGTCCCTGGGGGTAAAGGAAAAAGCCCTGGAAATTTCAATGTCTGTGGGTGAGGAGGCACACGCAGGACAGTTTGGAGAACATTAGAGCACGGTGTTCGGTATCATTGTACTACGGAGCCTAGATTTGCATCCCAGATCTGGGTGCCTGTTAGAGAAAGTCTTGTCCAAGTTTCAAGGATGGGCTTTGAGGCTACAAGAGCATCACTCGGCATGTTCTTTCCCATCTCTCTTGGTCAGAGTAATTGTGGTGGGAAGAAGGGAGTGAGACTGGAGATTTGGTATCCGTATGCCAGACTCCTCAGATCCTGATAAGGCAGGTTTTCCCACCCCTAGCAAAAGTACCGGCGTGTCAAAAAAATGTCAGATGACGAGGACGATGACGAGGAGGAATATGGCAAGGAGGAACATGAAAAAGAAGCTATTGCGGAAGAAATCTTCCAGGATGGGGAAGGGGAAGAAGGGCAGGAGGCCATGGAGGCCCCCATGGCTCCTCCAGAGGAGGAGGAAGAAGATGATGAGGAGTCAGGTATGTTATATTGGGCAGGGAAGCCAGTGTTTGGATGGGTATTGGGATTTCCTGGCCCATGGGAACAGGATGGAAACCATTCTTTAGCTACATCCCCCAGCATTTGACACAAAGAAGTTCCTTTTCAGGAGCTTCCCTTCTCTGTTGCTCACTGGCCACTCACATAGTAGGAACCAAAGCAATTTAGTCCTGGCTCAGCCCCTGACTCTGAGCCCCAACCCATCCTTTTCCTACCCAGATATTGACGACTTCATTGTGGATGATGATGGACAGCCTCTGAAAAAACCTAAGTGGCGGAAAAAGCTTCCTGGATACACAGACGCGTGAGTGGGGTCTGGTACAAGGTGGGGATAAAGTGATTGAGTGGGCCCAGTCAGGAAGGAGGAGATCAGAGGCCTTTGCCAAAAATGGGGCATTCCCAGCTTGCAGCCATTTTGCTTCCCTGCCTCAAATAACCTCTACCAGGCAGTGATTTCAGACTGCTCCCGGAAGCCCTGGGAGCTGTCTCTGCACTCTAGGACTACTGTGGGATTGGAGTAGAGTCCCACATGGGCAAGGCTCCAGCATTCCTCTTCCGCCTACAGCTCCATGTTTATTCAATTATATATATATTGACATTCTTAATATATTTTTGTTGGAAGACAAATGCCCGCATCACAATTTACAAATTTGAAAGCTTTTGCCCTGAGGGAATACTGTAATGCCTTAGCAGAAGATGGGTCCACTGAGCAAGACATAGACCCGTCTGCTCTGTTGCTATTTGATTACTGTCACTCGAAGGTGCCAAAGATGAGCTTTTTAATCTTCCATATACAATAGTTTGCCCAGAAATATCCGCCAATGAAGCCTTTCGTCCACAGTGAATATGGTTATTTTGTTTACCTTCCTCCTAACCCTCTCAGTTCCCTTGGGACAAGTAAAGGATCTATGCAAGGGCTGCATTTCTCTCCTCTCACCTGAACCTGAGCCACCTGCCTCTTGCTGCCACCTACAGGGCCCTGCAAGAAGCCCAGGAAATCTTCGGTGTGGACTTTGACTATGATGAATTTGAGAAATACAATGAGTATGATGAAGAACTGGAGGAAGAGTATGAGTATGAGGATGATGAGGCTGAGGGTGAAATCCGAGTGCGCCCCAAGAAGACCACCAAGAAGCGTGTGAGCCGTAGGAGCATCTTTGAAATGTATGAGCCCAGTGAGCTAGAAAGCAGCCACCTCACAGATCAGGACAATGAAATCCGAGCCACTGACCTGCCTGAGAGGTTCCAGGTAAAAAACCACCAGCCTCTGCTCTTCTACCAATCCATAATTACCTTGTAGCCAAGAAATATTCTAGCAAAAGTCTGGCATTGAGTATCCAGCACAGGTTTGAACCTCATCTCACCTGGGGCCTGGGAAATCCAGCTCTTAGAGAAGGGAAGATAGACTCTACCTTGCTTACGGTTCTAGAAATACTGTTTTCTTTAGAAATCTGTGAAATGCAGTCTGGGTGCTGTGGCTCACACCTATAATCCCAGCACTTTAGGAGGCCAGGGTGGCAGATTGCTTGAGTCCAGGAACTCAAGACCAGCCTGGGCAACATAGGGAGATCTTGTCTCTACAAAAAATACAAAAAACTAGCTGGTTGTGATGGTGCACACCTGTAGTTTCAGCCACTCAGGAGGCTGAGGTGGGAAGATTGCTTGAACTTGGGAGGTCACGGCTGCAGTGAGCCATCATTGCACCACTGCACTGCAGCCTAGAAGCAGACCCTGTCTCAAAAAAAAAAAACCATGAAATGCTTATGGCCAGGCACGGTGGTTCACACCTGTAATCCCAGCACTTTGGAAGGCCAAGGTGGGTGGATCACCTGAGGTCAGGAGTTCGAGACCAGCCTGGCCAACATTGTGAAACCCCGTCTTTACTAAAAATGTAAAAAATTAGCTGGGCGGCCAGGCACGGTGACTCACGCCTGTAATCCTAGCACTTTGGGAGGCCAAGGTGGGTGGATTGCCTGAGCTCAGGAGTTAGAGGCCAGCCTGGGCAACATGGTAAAACCCTGTCTCTACTAAAATACAAAAAAAAAAAAAAATTAGCTGGGCGTTGACAGCATGCATCTGTAATCCCAGTTACTTGGGAGGTTGAGGCAGGAGAATTCCTTGAACCTGGGAGGCGGAGGTTACAGTGAGCTGAGATCGCGCCATTGCACTCCAGCCTGGGCAACAGAGCGAGACTCCATCTCAAAAAAAAAAAAATCAGCTGGGCGTGGTGGCGGGCACCTATGATCCTAGCTACTCAGGAGGCTGAGGCAGGAGAATCATTTGAACTCCGGAGGCGGAGGTTGCAGTGACCCTAGATCGCGCCGTTGTGTTCCAGCCTGAGCAACAAGAGTGAGACACCATCTCAAAAAAAAAAAATGCTTATTTCATGCCAGAACAACACTGGTATGGCATTTGTAGAACAATACTGGAAATGTGCACTTGATGATCACACGTTTCTGTCCAAAAAGGTATGTTTTTCTTAAGTGAGACACAAGATAAAGTCCGTCTCACCCTGTTGTCTTATCCACTCCAGCTCCGCTCCATCCCAGTCAAGGGGGCTGAAGATGATGAACTAGAAGAAGAAGCTGACTGGATCTACAGGAATGCTTTTGCCACACCAACCATTTCTCTCCAGGTACACAAAAAAGATCCTTAGGTTTTGACATGAACCAAAAGACACTTCATCAAGATGGGGAGCTCTTCCTCCCCTATTTCATACATCCGTGTGCCTGGTATTAGAAAACTGTGTGTATGTAGTCCCAACAAGTGTGTGTATATGAGAAAAATTTTTTAGATTTCATCTAGAAAGGTTATCCTTTGTTATTAAGCAGTCTTGTATGGTAAGACAAACCAAGTAAACATTGTCTTGCTATTTCTTTATTTTCCTACTGTAGGAAAGCTGTGATTACCTAGACCGAGGGCAGCCAGCCAGCAGCTTCAGTCGGAAAGGGCCCAGCACAATTCAGAAGATCAAAGAGGCCCTGGGCTTCATGCGAAATCAGCATTTTGAGGTAACACCTCAAGCTCTGGTGGCCCATTGGTGAGAAATTTAGTTAGGGGATGAGGGAAAAGATAATTACCTAAATGAGGTGGGAGCCCCCTTCCCGTATCCCCTATCCATGACTCAACAAGTGTTAGGACCAGCAGAGACCCTAGTGATCGTAAGAACAATGCTACCCTGTCTGCAGCTTTATTTTCTCCTATTGAGGAAAGCACCAGGCCCTGGAAGGGCTGTGAGGGAGGCCAGGCTTCTGACTGTTGAATTTCCTGGAGCTGTTTCTCCAGGAAGTCATTATCTACTGACAGAGGGGATCTTAGCAAATCTGTCTTCTCTGAGTGACTGCAGTCTCTTTGCCATCCTAGGTGCCTTTTATTGCCTTCTATCGAAAGGAGTATGTGGAGCCTGAGTTGCACATCAATGACCTATGGAGAGTCTGGCAGTGGGATGAAAAGGTAATGTAGATCCGTGGCCCCCAAGAGGTGTGGGCCAGGGAAGGCACCATTACTACCAGGATACCACAAACCCAAACCCCCCAGGCCTGTCTAGTCCTCCCCCACTAGGTTTCTGGTAAGGATCAGAGCAGCCTTGAGTCTCCAGGGCTGAACACAAGCTCTCATTCCTGCCCTACTTCACCTTAGTGGACCCAGCTGCGGATCCGTAAAGAGAACCTAACACGGCTGTTTGAGAAGATGCAGGCTTATCAGTATGAACAGATCTCTGCTGACCCTGACAAACCTCTTGCTGATGGCATCCGGGCTCTGGACACCACTGACATGGAGAGGTAAAACATGCGGTGTTTATTCCATTATGGGAAGCCCTCAGACCCCAAGGCTGGCCCTGCAGGAGCACTGTTAAACCTTGGAGAATGTGTAGCACAGGGCCCCATCCCTTAGAAATCCAACTTGTCAACCAGGCACAGTGGCTCATGCCTGTAATCCCAGCAATTTGGGAGGCCGAGGCGGGCAGATCACTTGAGGTCAGGAGTTCAAGATCAGCTTGGCCAGCATGGTGAAACCCCATCTCTACTAAAAATACAAAAAATTAGCTGGGAGCAGTGGCACACGCCTGTAATCCCAGCTACTCAGGAGGCTGAGGCAGGAGAATTGCTTGAACCTGGGAGGCGGAGGTTGCCGTGAGCTGAGATCGTGCCACTGCTCTCCAGCCTGGGCAACAGAGCGAGACTTCGTCTCAAAAAAAAAAAAGAATTATAGCTTGTCAAAGCCAGGCGTGGTGGCTTCTGCCTGTAGTCCCAGTTACTTGGGAGGATGAGGCAAGAGTATCACTTCAGCCCAGGAATTCAAGGTTGCAGTGAGCTATGATTATGCCACTATACTCCACACTGAGTGAAAGAGCAAGATCCGGTTTTTTTTTGTATTTTTAGTAGAGACAGGGTTTCAGTGTGTTAGCCAGGATGGTCTTGATCTCCTGACCTCGTGATCTGCCCGCCTCGGCCTCCCAAAGTGCTGGGATTACAGGCATGAGCCACTGCGCCCGGCCGATCCTGTCTCATAAGAAAAAGGGGGCTGGGGCCTGGCACGGTGGCTAACGCTTGTAATCCTGGCACTTTGGGAAGCCAGGGCGGGCGGGTCATGAGGTCAGGAGTTCGAGACCAGCCTGGCCAACACAGTGAAACCCTGTCTTTACTGAAAATACAAAAATTAGCTGGGCGTGGGGACAGGCGCCTGTAATTCCAGCTACTCGGGAGGCTGAGGCAGGAGAATTGCTTGAATCTAGGATGCAGAGGTTGCAGCGAGCCGAGATCGTGCCACTGCACTCCAGGCCTGGGCGACAGAGCTAGACTCCATCTCAAAAAAAAAAAAAAAGAAAGAAAGAAAAAGGAGGCCAGGCGCAGTGCCTCATGCCTGTAATCCCAACACTTTGGAAGACTGAGGTGGGCAGATCACCTGAGGTCAGGAGTTCAAGACCAGCTTGGCCAACATGGTGAAACCCCGTCTCTACTAAAAATACAAAAAATTAGCTCGGTGTGGTGGCAGGCACCTGTAATCCCAGCTACTCAGGAGGCTGAGACAGGAGAATCGCTTGAACCTGGGAGGTGGAGGTTGCAATGAGCCGAGATCGTGCCATTGCACTCCAGCCTGGGTGATGAGCAAAACTCCATCTCAAAAGAAGAGAGGCTGGGCGTGGTGGCTCACACCTGTAATCCCAGCACTTTGGGAGGCTGAGGTGGGCAGATCACCTGACGTCAGGAGTTTGAGACCAGACTGGCCAACATGGTGAAACCCTGTCTCTACTAAAAATACAAAAATTAGTCGGGTGTGGTGGTGCGTGCCTGTGATCCCAGCTCGCGAGGCTGAGGCAGGAGAATCTCTTAAACCCAGGAGGTGGAGGTTGCAGTGAGCCGAAATCACGCCATTACACTCCAGCCTGGGTGACAAGAGCAAGACTCCATCTCAAAAAAATAAATAAATACGATATGTTCTAGGGCTATCATGTGTCTTGGTTTTGTTTTTGTTTTTGTTTTTGTTTTGAGAGGAGTCTCACTCTGTCGCCCAGGTTGGAGCGCAGTGGCACGATCTTGGCTCACTGCAAGCTCCACCTCCCAGGTTCATACCATCTGCCTCAGCCTCCCAAGTAGCTGGGACTACAGGCACCTGCCACTATACCCTGCTAGTTTTTTGTATTTTTAGTAGAGACGGGGTTTCACCGTGTTAGCCAGGATGGTCTCTATCTCCTGACGTCGCGATCCCTCCGCCTTGGCCTTCCAAAGTGCTGGGATTACAGGCATGAGCCACTGCACCAGCTATGTGTCTTTAAAAAAGAAAAAAAGAAATGGTCTTTCTTCTGTTGCCTAGGATGGAGAGCAGTGGTGTGGTCACAGTTCGCGGCAGCCTCAACCGCCCGGGTTCAAGTGATCATCCCATCTCCAGTCTGGGCAACAGAGTGAGACCCTGTCTCAGAAAAATAATAACAATAGTAATAATAATTGGAAAAAACTGGTTGGGATCCCATTTTAGTTGGGATACTGCCTTTTGGGAATTGGACCTCTTGTAGCCAAATTGGGATATACCCTTTCTGCAGTGATGACTGAAACCTTATGTCTCTTCTTTTTCAGGCTCAAGGATGTCCAATCAATGGATGAGCTGAAAGATGTCTACAACCATTTTCTTCTTTATTATGGCCGAGACATCCCTAAGATGCAGAACGCCGCCAAAGCTAGCCGCAAGAAGCTGAAGCGTGTCAGGGAAGAGGGAGATGAAGAAGGTTAGTGCTGGAAAAGAAAATCCAGGAGATTTGATGGCCATGCATGATGGCTCACGCATGTAATCCCAGCATTTTCAGATGCTAAGGTGGGTGGATCACCTGAGGTCAGGAGTTCGAGACCAGCCTGGCCAACATGGCAAAACCCCATCTCTACTAAAAATACAAAAGTAGCCAGGGTAGGTGGCACATGCCGGTAATCCCAACTGCTCAGGAGGCTGAGGCATGCCTGAACCTAGAGGCAGTTGTTGCAGTGAGTTGAGATCATGCCACTGCACACCAGCCTGGGCAACAAACCGAGGCTGTGTCTCAAAAAAAAAAAAAAAAAATCAAGAAAGAAAACCCAGGAGACTTGACAGCCCATGGCATCTTGAAGGAGGCCCTTGGCTGGGTACCCTTTGAGGCTTCTCTCCTAATGTGTCAGATCCTTGGGAGTGATTGGAAACTAGAACCCTAAATCTCCCCATGTTTTCTTCCCAGGTGAAGGTGACGAGGCAGAAGATGAGGAGCAGAGGGGGCCTGAGCTCAAGCAAGCCTCTCGCCGAGACATGTACACCATCTGCCAGAGTGCTGGGCTAGGTAAAAGCTAGCTGCTTTGGGATTTAGGCATTCTAGCCTGAGCAAGGGGAGTTACCCAGAAAAAAGACTGGTAGGTAGGAAAAAGAAAGGCTATCTGGGTCAATCACCAATCCAATCCTGAACTAGCCTATTAGCTGGTCTTTAAAAATACTCCCTCTCCAAACCCATTCCCGCCCGACATGATGGTTCAGCCTCTCCCTAATTTCCTGAGATAATGGGAAACTCATGATTGGAGGGAGAGAGTCCAGTCTGTCTGTTTCTTCTGCCTTATAACAGCCCATCAAGTGTTTAAAATCAGTTTTTTCATTGTTCTTTGACTACCTGGTCCTGCTCATTTATGGCCTCTTTAAATTCCAGTGCTCTAGCTGGGCACAGTGGCTCACGCATGTAATCCCAGCACTTCGGAGGTCAAGGTGGGAGGATCACTTGAGCCCAGGATTTGGAGGCCAGCCTGGTCAACGTAGCAAAACTACAAAAAATACAGAAAAAATTAGCCAGGAGTGGTGGGACACACCTGTAGTCCCAGCTACTCGGGAAAGCTGAAGTGGGAGGATCACCTGAGCCCAGGTGGTTAAGGCTTCAATGAGCCATGATCACACCACTGCACTTTAGCCTGGGCAACAGAGCGAGACCGTCTCAGGAAAATAAAAAAGGCTAGTTCCCAGAATTCCAACTCCAGATTCTGAAAGCCAAGAGGTTTATCAGCCTATCTGCTGCCTTACCCTTCACTCTTCTGTTTGCTTTAGATGGCCTGGCCAAAAAGTTTGGGCTTACTCCCGAGCAGTTTGGGGAGAACCTGCGGGATAGCTACCAGCGGCACGAGACAGAGCAGTTTCCCGCGGAGCCCTTGGAGCTGGCCAAGGATTACGTTTGCAGGTAGGCATGCAGCAGGTGGCTGACAGGAGGAGGGGCCTGAGGACCACAACACCCTGGTCCTGTAGCTGCACCATTTTCCCCACAGCCAGTTCCCTACTCCAGAAGCTGTGCTAGAAGGCGCCCGCTACATGGTAGCCCTGCAGATTGCCCGTGAGCCCCTTGTCCGGCAGGTGCTGAGGCAAACCTTCCAAGAGAGAGCCAAGTTAAATATAACCCCCACCAAGAAAGGTAGAAAGGTGAGCTGGGTGAAGGGCTTTGATCCAAGATGTGCACCAGCTCTTTCTTTGATTGCCTGAGTTTCTTGCCTTCCACTTCACTGAGCTGTGTGTCTGAAAGCAGAAAGGCTGTCTTTTCTCCTGGGGCCTGGCCCAGCCCATCCGCAGGCTCATGATTCCCCCTTCATGTGTGCAGGATGTGGATGAGGCCCACTATGCCTATTCCTTCAAGTATTTAAAGAACAAGCCTGTTAAGGAACTGAGAGATGACCAGTTTCTCAAGATATGCCTGGCTGAAGACGAAGGGCTCCTCACCACTGACATCAGCATAGATTTGAAGGGAGTGGAAGGGTAAGCAGAGCCCTGGGCTGGCGACTCTCTGGGGAAGGCCTGATGAGGAGTCTGGTGGAGGGAAGGGCCCCTCAGGAGTGGGGAACCACAATTTCAGAGTTGAGCAGGCTGTTGTCTCTGGCTTGCTTAGAATGTTCATGGACATTGGGTGTCACCTTTTCTCCATTCCTGACACCATAGCTTTGTGTCTCTTCTCAGCTATGGCAACGACCAGACATATTTTGAGGAGATAAAACAGTTTTACTACCGAGATGAGTTCAGCCACCAGGTGCAGGAGTGGAACCGGCAGCGCACCATGGCCATCGAACGGGCTTTACAGCAGTTCCTCTATGTGCAGATGGCCAAAGAACTCAAGAACAAGCTGCTGGCTGAAGCCAAGGAATATGTCATAAAGGTGAGGACAGAGACTCATGATTTTTTTTTTTTTTTTGGTGACAGAGTCTTGCTCTGTTGCCCAGGCTGGAGTGCAGTGGCGCAATCTTGGCTCACTGCAAGCTCTGCCTCCTAGGTTGATGCCATTCTCCTGCCTCAGCCTCCCGAGTACCTGGGACTACAGGCGCCCACCACCATGCCCAGCTAATTTTTTATATTTTTAGTATAAAATATGTTATATTTTTAGTATAAAATAACATGGTTTTACCGTGTTAGCCAGGATGGTCTCAATCTCCTGAACTCATGATCTGCCCACCTTGGCCTCCCAAAATGCTGGGATTACAGGCGTGAGCCACCACGCCCAGCCGAGACTCATGATTTTTAGTCATATGATTTCCCCAAACTATAGTTGGGCATGAAGGAACCCCTTAGGAATAGTCCCATAGCTAATGGAGAAACACGGGGGGCAGGTGAAGCATAATCTGAGAGGGAATGCTAACAAGGCCACAGGGACCACCTCTAAGACCTCTCTGCTCCAGGAGCTTCTCCCCTCCCCCAGCCCCACTCATCCAAACATTCTTTGTTTATATCACTGTTCTCTGTATACACTCCTGTTTCCACAAGCAAGATATGCCTTCAGGTGGTAAGCCTGCCAATGGCTAGGAACATCTGCACATAAGAGTACACACCCTCGCACATGTGTGTATGAGTGTGTTTCCATAGCACTCTTGGTGAGCCTGATGACCATAATGTCATCATGTATGTAATACCTGTTGTGTCTCTTCCCTCAGGCCTGTAGTCGAAAGCTCTACAATTGGTTGAGAGTGGCACCCTACCGACCAGATCAGCAGGTGGAAGAAGATGACGACTTTATGGACGAGAACCAAGGGAAGGGCATTCGAGTCCTCGGCATTGCTTTCTCCTCTGCCAGGTAACAGCCTATTTTTGCCTCCCCAGCACCATCTCTTGTCTTCCTAATTTCATTTTTCTCTCATTCATAACTTCATATTGCTGATTATTGCATTCTTGTTTTTCTGTCTGTCTGGCAGAGATCACCCTGTGTTCTGCGCCCTGGTCAATGGTGAAGGAGAAGTGACAGACTTCCTTCGACTGCCCCATTTTACCAAACGGCGAACTGCATGGAGAGAGGAAGAGCGGGAAAAGAAGGCAAGTGGCTAGGACGAGGATACTAAGTGTACATCTGGAGTATGTCTTATGATTCAGTGGAGATAAGTGTTTACGGTCTAAGCAACATCCTATGCAAGACTGATTGTGTCTGATCTGGTCACTGACTTGTCCCCTGGGATGCCTCACTTCCATGAGCAGTAGATGGCACTCAAGTTATCTAGTACGGGATTTGCTTCTGGCTTGAGGCCAGTTCCTAGGCCTTGTGTGCTTCTGGAGTTGCTTTAACTGCCTCTTTTCTTACCAGCATCTGGGTCAGGCTGTTCCAGCAGCTGAAAGCTACTGAGGCATGAAGCCAGCCTTTTCCCTGCTTTAGCCTTTCAGGGTGTCTTTTTTCCAGGGAAAGAAGACTTTCAATTCATTTGGTTGGTATATTTCTGAATTTTGTTTATCCTAATGGTATCTGTAGTATCTTTCAGTTTTGTTAACAGAGCCCCATTCTTGAAAGAAAAACTTCTTAAGAAACAACTATTTTTTAAATTTTATTATTATCATTATTATTATTATTATTATTATTATTATTATTATTGAAACAGAGTCTTGCTCCATCTCCAGGCTGGAGCGCAGTGGCAAGAACTCACCTCACTGCAACCTCTGCTTCCCAGGCTCAAGTGATCCTCCTGCCTTCCAAGTAGCTGGGACCAGAGGCGTGCACCACCACGCCTGTCTAATTTTTGTATTTTTTGTAGAGACACGGTTTCACCGTGTTGCCTAGGCAGGTGTCAAACTCCTAGACTCAAGTGATCCATCTGCCTCAGCCTCCCAAAGTGCTGGGATTACAGGTGTGAGCCACTGCACCCAGCCCTTAAAATCTTGAAATGGAGATCAGAATATCTAATAGTCCTAACTACTCACATTTTAGCAAAAGTCACACCACAAATGAAATAGCCACAAAAGGAGGACATGCAGGAGTGTGAGGCAGTGGAAAGTAAATCATAAGAAACTGGACATCTTTAAGATGAAGGAAATCATACTTAACCATGTTGACCTTTTCAAAGGGCCCTCACCCAAAAGAGGGCAGCTACTAGTTCTTTGTTTTGCTTCATCAAAACTAGAACCAATGGCTAAGTATTAGATTTTGGTTTACAATAAAAAAGAACGGTTTCCTAACTTCATCCTTGGGACCTAGCCAGTGGCACCTGGTACCACTGGAGCGCAGTTCTAGTCAGTGGAATTATTAAGCAGAGGCAGGGTTGGCCAACTTTCAGGAAGAGGTGGGAATAGTTCCTTGGTAGCACCTTGGACCAGATATCTTCTGAAGACTTCCAGTTCTTACAAGATCTCCAACATAGGGAGACAGAATTTCCTGAAATCTTTACATCCTCAGAGCCATTCAGCTTCAATTTTCTTTCAATCCAGGCTCAAGACATTGAAACGCTAAAGAAATTTCTCCTGAATAAGAAGCCTCATGTAGTGACAGTTGCAGGAGAGAACAGGTAGGTAGGGATTAGACCACACCTGGTTTAAGGCCGTGACCCAACTCATCCCTTATTATTGAGTCTGGCATATGCCCATAACAGATGGGGCTTGTGCTTGTGCAGGGAGTGTCCCTGGGGATGTTTGACCTCATTTTCTTCAAAGCCCTTTCCTCCCCTACCTCTTCACCCCCAAGGCAGTCATGAGACTGTCCATCCCTAAGAAAACATATTCATTGACCAACACTCATCCCACCAGGGACGCCCAGATGTTGATTGAAGATGTGAAGCGCATTGTACATGAGCTGGACCAGGGCCAGCAGCTGTCATCTATTGGGGTAGAGCTGGTTGACAACGAGTTGGCCATTCTCTATATGAACAGCAAGAAGTCAGAGGTAATGCTGGAGCCTCACCCTTAGGGCCTGCCCAGGCAAGTGCTATTAATCCCAAAGAGATTAAATTGGGAAACAAAAGTTATCAGGGGCACAGGACTGTACCTGTGTACTTATCCATGCAGAAGTTCTCCGTTTTGCAGTTACGGTTCAGATTGGGAGTCCCAGAAATTAAATCGGTCTCAGGAAAAAAGATCCCAGAGAAGCAGAGAAAATGATTTAAACCAGAATGGTTTGGATTTCCTCTTGATGTTGTAGCTAAGGGGATTTTAAGGCCCTGCTGACCCTCGTTTGACTCTAGGCAGAGTTCCGGGATTATCCTCCAGTGCTGAGACAGGCCGTCTCCCTGGCCCGGCGCATCCAGGACCCTCTGATTGAATTTGCCCAGGTGTGCAGTTCCGATGAAGACATCCTGTGTCTCAAGTTTCACCCCTTGCAGGTGAGTAGGATTTGACAGGCAGGCTCGGGTGAAGGGAAAGGCAGAGTAACCTTACTCCTGCCTGCTGAATGTCCACAGGAGCATGTGGTGAAAGAGGAGCTGCTCAACGCCTTGTACTGTGAATTTATCAACCGAGTCAATGAGGTCGGGGTCGATGTCAACCGTGCCATTGCCCACCCTTACAGCCAGGCCTTGATCCAGTATGTTTGTGGCCTGGGACCTCGGAAAGGGACCCACCTCCTGAAGGTAGGATTGGAGTGAATTCAGAAATTTTAAAACTTGCCATTTCATTGAATATGAATATATACTTTGTCAGTATAATTTGACAGATTGGGAGGACCAAGGTCAGTGACTTGTCCAAAATCACTCAGCTAGTGAGAGTCAAAAGAGTCTGACTTCAGACCCAGTTGGCCAAAGCTGTGCCCTTCACTGCTGCTTGCACCACCACACCCAGCTAATTTTTTGTATTTTTAGTAGAGACGGGGTTTCACCATGTTGGCCAGACTGGTCTCAAACTCCTGACCCCAGGTGATCCACCCGCCTCAGCCTCCCAAAGTGCTGGGATTACAGGCATGAGCCACTGCGCCCGGCCAACTAGTGTTAACTTGTAACTTATAAGCCATACATTAGTTGTATATGGTCTTTGGTGTAGGTATAACATCATTTATTTGTTTATTATTTTCCCATTTAAAGCAAAACTTTTTTTTTTTTTTTTTTAATTTTGAGTGGTCGATAGCATGCTGTAGTGCTCAACTAGATACTGGGTGGGACAGAGTTTTTGTTATGAGGGTTTAATAGAGACTGGAACAGTCTGGGGAGGTGGGGCCTGCTTACTGCCCTGGCTCAGTCCAGCTCTCTCCCCCAGATCCTGAAGCAGAACAACACCCGGCTCGAGAGCCGGACCCAGCTGGTCACCATGTGCCACATGGGTCCCAAAGTCTTCATGAATTGTGCTGGCTTCCTCAAGATCGACACGGCCTCCCTGGGGGACAGGTGATGCCCTCTGCCTGGATGGGGCAGGAGGAATTCCCTTGTGGGCTTTGTTTTCGGGTTTCAGGGGTTAGGGCTATCAAAGGGCCACAAGCCATTTTAACTTAGGAAATGTTTTAAAGAAAAGGTAAGGAACTTTATTCAGTCAAGAGCCCCTGACCTATGGAAAAGATCGGTTCAATCATGTGAAACATTTTTCGTGTGAGAGAAACATAAAAAGTACCAGCTTAGCTTATAAATTAAGCATGGAAAACACAAGATTTTGTTCAGTAAACACAAACTTGCTTTTTTATTATTATGGTTTGTTGTGGCCAGATAAGGGTGGGAATAGCGGGGGCAATGAAAAAGGAGTTTGGGGGTATAAAGAGATAAGGAAGGGGGAGAGAGATTTGGTATGTTTTGAGATGATGTTATTAAGAGAAAGTTCTATTCACTTGGACTTTGGACTTCACTATTGACCTCTTCCTCTCCAGAAGTTATCAACTCAGTCTTTGGAGGATCTTTTCCACGGGCACATAGCTCCTCATTCAGTAATGGAAATCAGTGGGGAAATAGGCTTCAAGTTCTAAAACTTCATTTTCCACTCAGCTTTGCTGTAACACTCCACGAATAACATAGGTCCATGTGAGTGCACGGGCAAGACCAGCCTGGGAAGGCTTTATGGGGGAAAATAGCTATCAGCAAATTTTCAAAGGTTTTTTTCCCCTTTCTTGATTTATCTTATTATGAGACTCATATAAGTTCATCATATAAAATTCAACATATAGAAATATTATGCAGAAAGTGGAAGTCCCCCATAATCCCACCCCCCAGAGATAACTACCATAACAATTTTATGTATACTACAGTTTTTCTAAATTTTATTTTTGCTATGCATTTACTAACTACCCATTTACTACAAAAATGGGATCATATGGTTCATAGTGTTTTTGCAGTGCATTTTTCACGTATCAATATATTGTGGCCATCTTTCCATGTCAGCACACATAGATCTACCTCATTCTTGTTAATGGCTGTATAGTATTCCATTGTATGGAGGTGCCCTAATTTATTTAACCAGTTCCCCATTGGTGGACATTTGGGTTGTTACTAGAAGCTTATCGTTCTATATCCTGTTCCTTTTCTGCCTTTCCTCCAGCACTGACTCATATATTGAAGTCCTTGATGGTTCCCGTGTCCACCCTGAGACTTATGAGTGGGCTAGGAAGATGGCAGTGGATGCCCTGGAATACGATGAATCAGCCGAGGATGCCAATCCTGCAGGAGCCCTTGAAGAAATCTTGGAAAACCCAGAGCGACTGAAAGACCTGGACCTTGATGCCTTTGCAGAAGAGCTGGAGAGGCAGGTAAGGGACAGCATGGAAGGCCCGGCAGGAGAACCCATCCCAAGTGGCCAGGTTGGTAGGAGACTTGGGCAGTGAGTGTGCAGAGAAAGCCTGATACTGTTAGTATGGCAGACTTGATCCTCATCTCCCTGCCCTGCTCTACTGGGCTCCTCAAGGAAGTTTTTGGTCTGCTTGTTAAGGAGCCAGGGAAGTCTCAGAGATTGCCACCATAATTACAAGGGGCAGGAGGGAGTTGGGAGGATGTCAGTACTACAGTTTCCGTCTAGGCCCCCTTTCCTCCTTTCTAACAGCACAGCTTTGCATTTATCTGTGGACTCATTGGGGTTCCATAAAGCATTTTGATTACAGTGTTTCATGGCTAAGTTTGAAAACCACCTTTAGTAAATGTTGATGGAAAGAAAAGAAGAAGCCCTGACAGAAACTTACTCCCATCTGGAGAGGCCCGCCCCTTCCACGGGACTCCTTGAGGCTCAGGTTGGGGGGCAGCTGCAAGGCTCTTCTTGATGGGCTTCTTCCCCAGGGCTATGGTGACAAACACATCACACTCTATGACATCCGGGCAGAGCTGAGCTGTCGATATAAGGACCTCCGGACAGCCTACCGCTCTCCCAACACAGAGGAGATCTTCAATATGTTAACCAAAGAAACACCAGAGACCTTCTACATTGGTAAATTCTGGGGTCATTTTTTTATTGGGGGCAGGAGGTGTGTTTACTGTGTACATTCAAACCAAGCAGCAGTTCCAACAGATTGAGGCAGGTTTGTGTTGTACATGGGGAAGGCCAGGAGAGCATTTTAAAAGACTAAAGAGTCCTGGACTGGAAATCAAAACTGAATTTAAGGTCAAATGTGCTTCCAGTGTGCTATGGAATCTTCATGCAGTTAGTCTTCTTATAGGCTTTATTTTCCCCTATCATCAAATCAGGGGAACGGCCAGGCACAGTGGCTCATGCCTGTAATCCCAGCACTTTGGGAGGCCAGGGCAGGCAGACTGCTTGAGGCCAGGAGTTCGAGACCAGTCTGGGCAACATGGTGAAACCCCATCTCCACTAAAAATAAAAAATTAGCTGAGCGTGGTGGTGGGCACCTGTAATCCCAGCTACTCGGGAGGCTGAGGCAGGAGGATTCCTTGAACCTGGGAGGCAGAGGTTACAGTCAGCCAAGATAGCACCACTGCACTGCAGCCTGGGCAACAGAGCAAGACTTCATCTCAAAAATAAATAAATAAATAAAAATCGGGAAGAGTTCCCTCTTCAAGGATGGGAAGGAAGTCAGATATTCTGTCACTGAAAGGCTGGTGGAAAGAAGTGCTCTCCACATTCTCTGAGCCTGCTCCCCATCCTCTTTTCCTTCTTGCAGGAAAGCTCATCATCTGCAATGTCACTGGCATTGCCCACAGGCGTCCCCAGGGTGAGAGCTATGACCAGGCGATCCGCAATGATGAGACAGGGCTGTGGCAGTGCCCCTTCTGTCAGCAGGACAATTTCCCTGAACTAAGCGAGGTGTGTGCTGCAGCATTATCCTGCTCAGTGGATTTCCTTGGTTGAATGATCTCGGTGCCTAGAAGGGAATCAGAAATGAGGGTGTTCTAGATCATTCTCTCACCAAACAAGTACACAAAGAAGGAAGACGGACGGGAAACACACAGGTTTAGCATGAAGTCCCTTCTGAGAAGGCTGACATAGCTGGGCACGGTGGCTCACGCCTATAATCCTAGCACTTTGGGGGCCAAGGTGGGCGGTTCATCTGAGATCAGGGGTTCGAGACCAGCCTGGCCAAGATGGTGAACCCCCGTCTCTACTAAAAATACAAAAATTAGCCAGTTGTGGTGGCATACGCCTGTAATCCTAGCTACTCGAGAGGCTGAGGCAGGAGAATGACTTGAACCGAGGAGGCGGAGTTTGCAGTGAGCCGAGATCATACCACTGCACTGCAGCCTGGGTGACAGAATGAGACTTCATCTCAGAAAAGGAAAAAAAAAGGCTGACTTAGAAACTTCTTATGGTCGGCCGGGCGCAGTAGCTCACGCCTGTAATCCCAGCACTTTGGGAGGCCGAGGCGGGCGGATCATGAGGTCAGGAGATCGAGACCATCCTGGCTAACACGGTGAAACCCCGTCTCTACTAAAAATACAAAAAATTAGCCAGGCACGGTGGCGGCCACCTGTAGTCCCAGCCACTCAGGAGGCTGAGACAGGAGAATGGCGTGAACCCAGGAGATGGAGCTTGCAGTGAGCCAAGATAGCAGCATTGCACTCCAGCCTGGGCGAAAGAGCGAGACTCCGTCTCAAAAAAAAAAAAAAAGAAACTTCTTATGGTCGCTGGGTCAAAACAAAATGGCAGACAGGCATGGTGGCACGTACGTATAGTGCCAGCTACATCAGAGGCTAATTTGGGAGGATTTCTTGAGCCCAGGAGTTCGAGGCCAGCCTGGGCAACATAGCAAGACCCCATCTCCTTTTTTAAAAAAAGGGAGGGGCTGGCCGGGCGCGGTGGCTCACTCCTGTAATCCCAGCACTTTGGGAGGCTGAGGCGGGCGGATCATGAGGTCAGGAGATCGAGACCATCCTGGCTAACACGGTGAAACCCTGTCTCTACTAAACAATACAAAAAATTAGCCAGGCATGGTGGTGGGCGCCTGTAGTCCCAGCTACTCGGGAGGCTGAGGCAGGAGAATGGTGTGAACCCGGGAGGCGGAGCCTGCAGTGAGCCGAGATTGCACCACTGTACTCCAGCCTGGGCGACAGCGAGACTCTGTCTCAAAAAAAAAAAAAAAGTGGGGAGGGGCCAGGCCGGGCACAGTGGCTCATGCCTGTAATCCCAGTACTTTGGGAGGCTGAGGCAGTTGGATCACCTGAGGTCAGGAGTTCCAGACCAGCCTGACCAACATGATGAAACCCCATCTCTACTAAAAATATAAGGATTAGCAGGGTGTGGTGGTGAGACTCCTATCTCAAAAAAAAACACAAAAGGGAGGGGCCTCAGTTGCAGCTAAAGGGATCTAAGTTGGATAAACATAAAAGAGGATGGGGCACAGTCACACCAGTAATCCCAGCACTTTCAGGGGCCGAGGCAGGTGGAGTGCTTGCCCAGGAGTTCAAGACCAACCTGAGCAACATGGCAAAACCCTATCTCTACAAAATAAAATTAGCCAGGCTTAACCGGGTGCAGTGGCTCACGCCTATAATCCCAGCACTTTGGGAGGCCAAGGTAGGTGGATCACGAGGTCAGGAGATCGAGGCCATCCTGGCTAACACAGTGAAACCCCATCTCTACTAAAAATACAAAAAATTAGCTGGGCATGGTGGCGGGCGCTTGTAGTCCCAGCTACTCGGGAGGCAGAGGCAGGAGAATGGCGTGAACCCGGGAGGCAGAGCTTGCAGTGAGCCAAGATTGTGCCACTGCACTCCAGCCTGGGCAACAGAGCAAGACTCTGTCTCAAAAAAAAAAAAAAAAAAGATTACCCAGACTTGGGGGCGTGCGCTTATAGTCCCAGCTACTCGAGAGGCCAAGGTGGAAGGATCACTCGAGCCTGGGAGGTTGAGGCTGCAGTGAACCCTGATTGCACCACTACACTTCAGCCTAGGCAAAAGAGTGATACTGTCATAAGAAAAAGATGGCTAGGTGTGGTGGCTCACGCCTGTAATCCCAGCACTTTGGGAGGCCGAGGTGGGCAGAACACCTGAGGTCAGGAGTTTGAGACCAGCCTGGCCAACATGATGAAACCCCATCTCTACTAAAAATACAAAAATCCGCCCTGTGTGGTGATGCACGCCTGTAATCCCACCTACTCAGGAGGCTGAGGCACGAGAATCGGCTTGAACCCAGGAGGCGGAGGTTGCAGTGAGCCAAGATTGCGCCACTGCACTCCAGCCTGGGCAACAGAGCAAGACTCCATCTCAAAAAAAAGAAAAAGATTCATCTGATGGCCAGTGGTGCCAAGCATCAGCTATGAGACAAGGGACTTTGTAGATGGTCAAATTCTGTCTTGGCAGATGACTAAGTCATTGTGTTTTCAGATCATGGTGCAAGGTGTCAATGGTAAAAGAAATTACAACACCTCTGGGAGCTCTTTTCTGAATGAGCGATCTCCAGAATATTGATAATCAAGCTCTTCTCCTCATGCCCTCTTCAGGTGTGGAACCACTTTGACAGCGGTTCGTGCCCAGGCCAGGCCATCGGTGTCAAAACACGGCTAGACAATGGTGTCACCGGCTTCATCCCCACCAAATTCCTCAGTGACAAAGTGGTAAAGCGGCCAGAAGAACGAGTGAAGGTAGAGGACTGATTGTCCTAAGGTCGTAGTGCAATTTTCAGCTGCCCAGATCAGGTCTCTTTAACTTTGGGCTGTCCCCACCAGAAGTTAGGCTCTGTTCCCAGTGGCTGCTGGTGGGAAGTGTTTCAGGGAAGATTTATAACTAGTTGAAAGAAGCTAGGGTGAGAAGCATTTGAATGAGTAGCAGCTTTTGTTCACTGCCTTTGTGAAATTTCAGCAAGTTCCCAGTCCTTTGGGAGAGGGCTCTTCCTGTGTGGGAAGCTGCAGTTCAGTCCAGAGGGCAGGGCCCAGCATTACATGCTGTGAAACAGAAAGGCTCTGCCTGTTCTCCCAAGACCAGGCATCAGCGCTTTAGAGGGTGGGAAATAATGCATGGCACAGCCCCTGTGCACAGGGAGCCTCTGGATCCTCTAGGCAGGACCAGATGACACAGAAGGAACCTTGAGATGGTGTCTGTGGATAGGGAGGAAATCTCTAGGCTCCATTTCTGTTCTGTTATTTTCTGGCCATATATCATGCACCCACTAGATACCAGCACTGACATCGACATATGTTGTCTCTAATCTCACATGCTGATGGAAATGGAAATATTGTCTTTTGTCAGAGAAATTCAACTTTTTTCAGAATCACCCAGTTAGTGATATAGCTGATAGCAGCTCTGCGAAATTCACTGGTTCTGAGTGTTGTGAACCTCTGAGAACTATGACTTAGGAGGGCTGGGGAAAAATAGTTCTAATAAGTGAAGCTGGGGAGATTTTTCACAAGGAGAAGAGTGATGCAGAGTGACTGGCTTTTGCCACTACTTAGACAGAAGGGCTCATATCAAGGGTAAGATACAGAAAACAGCTATTATTTTGCTTCCCCTTCAAAAAGGGAAGTCAGGCCAGGCATGGCAGCTCACACCTGTAATCCCAGCACTTTGGGAGGCCAAGGTGGGTGAAGTCATTACTTGAAGTCAGGAGTTCGAGACCAGCCTGGCCAACATGGTGAAACCCCGTCTCTACAGAAAATACAAAAATTAGCCGGGCATGGTGGCACACGCCTGTAATCCCAGCTGCTCGGGAGGCTAAGACAGGAGAATCGCTTGAACCCTGTGGGTGGAGGTTGCAGTGAGCCAAGATCACACCACTGCACTCTAGTCTGGGCGACGAGTGAGACTGTCTCAAAAAAAAAGGAGGGGGGGTGTTGGGGGAGTCAACCTTTGATGGCACCTTGGGAGCAGTAACTAGGCAACTTCATGGGAGAAGAGAAGAGTGCCAGGGACAGGGTAGATCCAGCAGGCTTCAGCTGGTTTTCCTGCCCAGAGTGGAGGCATTAGTGCAGGGCTTGGCCTGTAGTCTACAGACAAGATTCCACCCCAAACTCCCAGTCTGCCATTCAGCAGCTGGCTGGCTTTGGGCAAGTCACTTTACACCTTACACCTTTCTGCCTGGACTTTGGTTTTCTCATGGGTGAAATAGGGCATCGGGCTAGATCATCTTTGTCCCTTCCAGCTCAAATGTTCTGTGGATCTAGGTGGGAATGACTGTTCACTGCCGCATCATGAAGATTGACATTGAGAAGTTCAGTGCAGACCTGACCTGCCGCACCTCAGACCTCATGGACAGGAACAATGAGTGGAAGCTGCCCAAAGACACCTACTATGACTTTGATGCTGAAGCTGCAGACCACAAGCAGGAGGAGGACATGAAGCGGAAGCAGCAGCGGACCAGTGAGTGTGCCTCCCACCATCTCTGTGCACCCTGCATCTTGGCAGTTCTCCCAGTGCAGGATTCAGGCCACAGGATGCACATGTGTCAGTCTCCCAGTGGAAGTGGGGACTCAGCTTTGAGGTGCTAAGGCCTGGAGATGTCATGAAAAAGTCATAGGTAGGGCTGGAACCCAGAGTCTCTTGGGTCACATTTTCTTTGCTAATGCCTTGTGACTCTTAAAGCCTCATTCTTTCAGTGTCCTAGGAGCCCAGGTGAACATGTCCTTCATATCAGCTAATCCAAGCCCAGAGAAGGTGAAAGAGTCTCAGAATCCCATAGTGGGTCAGAAATTAAGCCCAAACAGGGTGGCTCACGGCTGTAGCCCTGCACTTTGGGAGGCCAAGGCAGGAGGAGCACTTGAGCCCAGGAGTTCAAGACCAGCCTGGGCAACTTAGTAAGACACCATCTCTACAAAAAAAATTTTTTAAATAGCCAGGAGCCAGGTGCGGTGGCTCATGCCTATAATCCCAGCACTTCGGAGGCTGAGGCAGGTGGATCACTTGAGGTCAGGAGTTCAAGACCAGCCTGGTCAAAATGGTGAACCCCCGTCTCTACCAAACGTACAAAAACTACCCAGGTGTGGTGGTGGGCGCCTGTAATCCCAGCTACTGAGGCAGGAGAATTGCTTGAACCCAGGAGTGAGAAGTTGCAGTGAGCCAAAATTGCACCACTACAGTACAACGTGGGTGACAGAGTGAGACTCTGTCTCAAAAAAAAAAAAAAAAATGGCCAGGCGCGATGGCTCACGCCTGTAATCCTAGCACTTTGGGAGGCTGAGGCAGGCGGGTCGCTTGAGGTGAGGAGTTCAAGACGAGCCTGGCCAAAATGGTGAAACCCCATCTCTACTAAAAATACAAAAACTAGCCAGGCGTGGTGGTGGGCGCCTGTAATCCCAGCTACTGAGGCAGGAGAATTGCTTGAACCTAGGAGGGAGAAGTTGCAGTGAGCCAGAATTGCGCCACTGCACTACAACGTGGGTGACAAAATGAGACTGTCTCAAAAAAAAAAAAAAAAAAAGCCAGGCATGGTGATGTGCACCGGTGTATTCCCAGCTATTTTAGAGGCTGAGACAGGAGGATCGCTTGAGCCCAGGAGTTCGAGGCTACAGTGAGTCATGATTTGCCACTGGCACTCCAGCCCAGATGACAGAGCACCCCAACTCAATAAATAAATAAGAAATGAAGGCCTGGTTTGTCCTGTTGCTGCCAGCTCCTAGCCCCATCACCCAGTCTGTACTGCTTTTCTGCCCTTTTCAGCATACATCAAGAGAGTGATCGCACACCCATCCTTCCATAATATCAATTTCAAGCAAGCAGAAAAGATGATGGAGACCATGGACCAGGGTGATGTGATTATCCGACCAAGCAGCAAGGGCGAGAACCACCTGACAGTGACCTGGAAAGTCAGTGATGGCATCTACCAGCATGTGGATGTGCGGGAGGAGGGCAAGGAAAATGCCTTCAGCCTGGGAGCCACTCTGTGGATCAACAGTGAGGTGAGAGCCAGTGCCTGCCCACCTCCCATCCCACTCCTGCTTCCAGAAAGGTGCCCTTCAGGGTGCTTTCACCTGACATTAGTAACTCGGGTCATAGGTATTTTAGCTGTGCACAGCAACAAAACGGGAGGTGGTTTGCGGAATGAGTCATTTGATATCAATTTTATTTTGTCCCCTCCTTCCGTGTCCTCCAAATGTTAAAATAGTCTACCTAGAGAGAGCCAATGGAGGAAGAGGAGAAAATACACATATATACGCACACACATATATCAAGTTTCTCTTTTCTGTTTTCAGTGAAGAGAAATCTGGTGAATTTTCCTGTTGTTCCCAAGCACTAGGGGAGAATCAAAGCCAGGATTTAAAGGACTTTATGCCCTGTGAGCTAATATATCTGGACATGACACAGATGGATAAACTGAGGGGACTTTGCTATGGACTGAGAAGCCCATCCCCTCCCATGGTTTTTCTTCTGGATGGATTTGATCAAGAATCTCAGCTCTGGATATGACACATGGGGCCTTTACCTTCTTCCCACAGGAATTCGAAGATTTGGATGAGATTGTTGCTCGCTATGTCCAGCCCATGGCATCCTTTGCCCGGGACCTTCTGAATCACAAGTATTATCAGGACTGCAGCGGTGGGGACCGCAAGGTAAGCCCAGGGCCCTCTGAGGAATGACACTTGCCAATCACTTAAGGATGTACGCTTTCCCTTCAGTATAGGGGACACTCAGGCGGTGAAGGAAGTGTACATCATGTGTGCACCAGACGTTGTGTACCAAGCATGCTGCTATCCCAACCTCTCCCCCTCATTCTACCCCCAGAAATTAGAGGAGCTGCTCATCAAAACTAAGAAGGAGAAGCCCACCTTCATCCCTTATTTCATCTGTGCCTGCAAGGAACTGCCCGGCAAGTTCCTACTGGGATACCAGCCCCGGGGTAAACCCAGGTGAGCACTAGTGCTGAGAAGGTGCTGCCACTGGGGTTCATAGGCAGGCTAGAAGGCAGGGAGAGGCCCGGAGCAGTGCCCTCTCTGGCTCTGCTGGACTGCCTTTCTCCTCTCATCTGTTTAGAACAGAGGTGGAGGTTGGAGGTGGGAAAAGAGGGTGATGATTTCAAGGCAAAAAGGCAAGGATTCACATAAGAAGGGCGCTTTCCTTAACACCGTGAGAAAGGAGTTCCCTTCACCTCCTCTCCCTCCCACAGAGTGACAGGAGTCACCAGACACTCTTCACCTGATTGCAGAAACTGGGGGCCAGTACACTGGTCTCTCCTGTCCACCACCTGCCTCACCCTCACCAGGGCTTGCACACAGTGGCTCACTGTTGCTGTAATGTGCTCACTCCGCCCGCACTGAAGCGGTGGTCAGGAGAGCCTGTCTCCTGTTCTGCTCTGTCTCCTGCTCTGCCTGCTGCTCTGCCTGCTTCTGTGTGACTAACAGGCTGGCCTTCCTGAGGTATTCCTTTATCTGAGTCCCTCTAGCGCTTACCCTGAACCTAGAGGACAAAGTCCAGTTTCCTTAGACTGGCGTCTTTGTGTCTGTGATACAGACTGGTAATCACACTTGCTTCTCTGCCTAAGCCCTGCCCCCATCCTTCCATTGGCCTTTGGCCATGTGCACTTCTGCTTTTATCCCTGTACTGGCTTTACCTGATGCACAGCTCAGGCTGCATTAGTAGGGGCTCAGTGGCCAGATGACAGGAAGCCCTAGACTCTGTACCGTGTGCCATCTTGGGCACATCTGGAATATTGTGCTCATTTCTTGAGAAGCCTGTTGACTCACCAGTGTGCTTCCAGAGGCCAGCAGCCAGGGCTAAGTGGGGCTGGAAACTGTGTCCTGTGTGGAACAGTTGAGCAAACTGGTGGCGGGGGTGGGGGCTCTAACCAGGACCAGGTGCAGCATGATAGCTTCTGGGGAAAGGAGCTGACTCTCCTTGTGTGGCAGAATTAACACTTACGGAAGAGTTAGGAGGCAGGTGTCAGCCTAATAGAAATGAGAACTGTGTACTATGTAGCATTATCTGGTTGCCATTGATAGCTGGCCTTCATTGAGCACAACCCAGCTTTAGGCATTGTGGAACGTGCTCTGTGCATTCTCATTTATCCTCACACCCACCCCATAGGCTTCAGTGCTGTGGTCCTCACTGGACAAATGAAGCAGAGATTCAAGTTTGGTAACTTGGTGCAGCGTGTCATATGTGGTGAATGGCAGAGCTAAAACTAGAACTAGAACTGGAACTAACCCAGAGCCCCTCTTAACAACTATCTGCTACTCTCAGAAGTGTTGAACAAGGGCAGACTACCACCTTCCACAGCCACTGCAGAAAGATGCCTGCTTTAGGGGAGTTGCGATTTGCTGCTCTGGGAGGCCCCTTCCAACCCTGGCACTATGGGATCTCGGTCTCACTTCACCGGCAGTATCCTGCCTTCATACTGCAGCCCAGTATGGTAGCACAGCCTCCAGCAAGCCTTCCTCCGGCAGTCCGTATGCAGCACACAGAGGGCCACTGACTCCTTGGTCTTCAATATGTTCTGCCATGTGCTGCTCACCTCCCTTCACAGGCCTGGGGACTGGCTGTGTCATCTCTCCTTTCCCCTAGCACCCAGAATGGCTACTTCACATGGTGGGCATCTGTTCTGGTCGCTCTTGTGGTGGGTCCCAAGTGGTTTCTGATGCATGTTTCCTTCTAAAATCCTAGGATAGAATATGTAACGGTGACTCCAGAGGGATTCCGGTACCGGGGCCAGATCTTCCCAACCGTGAATGGACTGTTTAGATGGTTTAAGGATCACTACCAGGATCCTGTACCAGGTGAGTTCTGCTCTTCCTGACTTCAGGGACGTGGCTGGAGGAACACCTAGGACCTGACTCAGAGTAGTCCCAGCCTAGGGGACCAGGTGAGGAGTAGGCTGTCACTGCAGCTGTCTTACTCCTCCTGCAGCCTCCCAGCACCAGGAAGGTTCTCCATCCACTGTGCCTATGCAGCTTCCCTTCCTCCCTCTACCTACTTCAGTGCCCCTTCCACCCCCTGAATTGGGAAACCAAAAATAGGTTTCTGGAGGGATGTAACTAAATAATCACTTCCTGCAGGCATCACCCCTAGCAGCAGCAGCAGGACCCGGACACCTGCCTCTATCAATGCTACCCCAGCCAACATCAACCTTGCAGGTGAGGAGCTTGAGCCTGGGACTGGAGGTGGGAAGGATGGAGCTAAAGGGACTTTCACCTCTAACATGCCCCTCCCCACCTCTGTGTGCTTACAGATCTGACACGGGCTGTGAATGCCCTGCCTCAGAACATGACTTCACAGATGTTCAGTGCCATTGCTGCGGTGACAGGCCAAGGACAGAACCCTAATGCCACCCCAGCCCAGTGGGCCTCCAGCCAGTACGGCTATGGCGGCAGTGGAGGCGGCAGCAGTGCTTACCACGTATGTGGCTTGGGGAGGAAGCTCCCTGTGCAGGGTGGGGCCCATAGACTGCCCTCTCGCATTGCCCACAAGGGGCTTCACATGCACAGATGGGGCTGCCACGGCCTTGGTAACTGTCTCCAACAGATATTTCTTGTCCTTAGGCCCATTTGAAGGGGAAGAGGGTAAGAGAGGGCATAACCTTTCCACGGGCCTTTGGGATCTTTGGAACCCGCAAGCCACCAGAAAGTTGACATGGTCAGGACCAGTGGGCACCACTGTGTGCTCGGTGCTGACCTGCAGGCTTCCCACTGCTGGTCAGAAGCACATACTCAGTGGAAGATCATCTGGAAAGCTTTGCTGAGCCCACCCTTGCGCTTACCCAGAATTCACAGCAAGGCCAAACAAGCCCCACACCCATCCCTATTTAACTGTTCATGCCTCTCCAGGTATTCCCAACGCCAGCCCAGCAGCCAGTGGCCACACCACTAATGACCCCTAGCTACTCCTACACGACCCCAAGCCAGCCCATCACCACCCCTCAGTACCACCAGCTCCAGGCCAGCACCACCCCACAGTCGGCCCAGGCCCAGCCCCAGCCCTCTTCCAGCTCCCGGCAACGGCAGCAGCAGCCAAAGTAAGTATCTGGATGGTGGCACAGTGCAGGTCAGTGGTAGGGGCAGGTGTTGTCAAGAGGCCGAAAGGCTTAGCAGAGGCAGGTGCTCTGGATCCTCTGAGGGCCCTGACCACATGATATGCCAGGAACACTAGTTTCTGGGTGAAGACGGAAGAGGGCAGTATGGCAGCCAGCTGCTGCTGTATCTGCCTTATCCCAGTAGAGGGGCTGCTGCCCATAGGTATGAGGTTCCTTTCTGCAAGGGTACAGTGATTGGTGGGAAGACTTCCTTCTAGCAAAGTCCCAATCTCAACTTTTCTTCCCCTCCCAGGTCCAACAGCCATGCAGCCATCGACTGGGGAAAAATGGCGGAGCAGTGGCTGCAGGAAAAGGAGGCAGAACGGCGGAAACAGAAGCAGCGGCTGACACCTCGGCCCTCCCCCAGCCCCATGATCGAAAGCACCCCCATGTCCATTGCTGGCGATGCCACCCCACTCCTGGACGAGATGGATCGGTAGGGGGCCTGCTCCTCGGACTCTGGTTACCTCTGAGGCTGGGAAAGGCCTGGCTGCCCACTGCCTCCCTCCCTGCCCCTCCTTTTATGTCCATAAAGTGGCGTGAAGTGAGACGTTCTCTTTGGTGGTCAACCCGGATGGGTGACAGGCTGGATGGCCTTGTGAACTTGAGCTCAGTGTATGCTAGGCAACAATTCTCCCGCTCCAGACCCTCACCGACCACCTGTCCTGGGACCAGGCTGGGAGGGGAGTGTGGCAGGGAGGAGGAAGAGGAAGGTGAGAATGAGTAGAACAGTTTTGTATTCTACTCCCTACAAGCCATTTTGAACTTCTGCCCTCACCGGACTCTGGGCTGTGACTGGGGCACCAAACTCAGCACATGAGTCTCCCCTAGCTCTCGTGGGGAGAGGGATGCTATTTATTCAGTTTGGGGCAGGAGGGAGAGGAGGGAAAGTATTTCTGACCCTGATGCCAACAGCCGGGTGGCTGTCCAAGCAGGATTGCAGGGGACACAGGGAAGCACTGCCCAGCCCCTGCCTGGCTGCCCTTTCCCCCCTGCTGCTGCCACCGCTTCCTGCCTGTCATTTGAATAAACAGTGTTTCTATTGAGCTCTTGCCAAAGCCTCTCTCTCCAACTCTCCAGCTCTTTGAGGGGTGGCTTTCAAAGCAGTGTTTGGAGCTCCAAGGACTCCCCTGACTCCCTCTTCTGATCCATCAGAGGCAAAGATTCATAGACTAGAGGCAGCTTCTACATCAGACTGCCTGGGGCACATCCCTGCTCTACTTCCCAGCCGGGTGACCCTGTGCCAGTTCCTGCTGCCTTTCAGCTGGCTTTCTTACCTGTAACATGGAGATAGTGATACCTGCCTCATCAGCTGCTGTGAGGACCAAGGCAGCGTGTGCAAGCTCCTTGGCCCAACGCCTGGTACGTCGCAAATGTTACCCGGTATTATTACACCCACTCACTCACCCACAGCACAGCTGCCCCATCCGCCCATGCCTGCTGGTCTTCTCTGGCACCCTGGAGAAAGGCCACAAGTAAATCTGGATTTCTCAACTTGAGCCTCTGCCGTTCATCTCTTCCCTTTTCCCAGCTGGGCCTTGGTCTCTTGCAAGCTCTCAGCAGTAAGGTGTTCCTGCCCCAGGATGGGGCCCTGCTCACCTGCTCCCCTCCAACACACTGGCCCTGGCCCTTTGTCCCTGCCCCACTGCATTTTTTGTTCTGAACTCCTGCCATCCCTGTTTCTGCACAAGGGCTTCGTCTCACAGCTCTGTGAGTCAATGCTGGGAGAGTGGGGCCTCTGGCTCCCTTTCCTTTGCTTGGGGCTCAGCAGAGAAGTCAGAAAAGGCCACTGCTGCCCAGACGTGGCACACTCCCTCCCCTTGTTTTTCTTCATCAAGATCTGGGGGAAGGGGCCAGCTCTGCCAGGAACTCAAGTCAGCTCCCTTCAGCACAAAAGGGCTACAAGGGAGGAGCTAGACCACCAGCTGGGAAGGTCAGTCTCTGGTAGTACCACGAGCACCTTCTGCAGAGCCACTTAGAGGAGGGAAAGGCCAGGCACAGTGGCACAGAGTGGGTTAAAAAGTTCCGTTTATTGGGGGTATCGCTGCAGACAGTACTGCCTGTCCCAGAAGTGGATTTCACACAGACCAGTCTCTCGCAGCAGAGAGGGGAAGCCCTCCTTCCCACCCCAGATACACTCTTCCACCTTGTCCTAGCAGGTAGGAAGAAATAGGGCTGTGCCCCTTCCTTTCCCTCCCACCTGCCTTCCCATGGGCTTCCTTTGTGAAAGCTGGATTGCCTTTGAGAAACCCCTGCAGCCCTGAGCCCACCCCTTGCCCCGCAAGAAACAGCCAGGTTGGAGGGAGAGAACAGCAGCAGAGGGCCAGCCACAGGCTCGATGGCATTTATTCTGCACCCTGACCACCCTGGCCTCAACTGAGGTTGGGGTTTGATCCTGGGGGAGATTTTCTCTTGTTTACCTTCCTGGCTTGTGAGGGCTTTGCCCCTGTCTTTTTGGCCTGGACTGTGTTCTCTCTCTTCCTGGGCGATGATGATTCCACAATATCCTCGCTGGACAGTTCTCCCTGCCCCCGGCCATTGTAACTGTCCTCGCTCTCCAGCTCTTCCCGGCTTTCTGGGCTGGACTCGGACATCCTGGCCAGCTGTCTTGCGCTTAATGATCGGCTCACGTCTGGCGGGGAAGGCTCCAATTTAACCGGGCTTTTCTTCTTAGTCAACTGGCCTTTCTTGGCTTTTTTCTTCAGCTTTGCCTTCTCATCCATCTCCTCCTTGTCTTTCTCTTTTTCCTTTTTCTTCTTTACCTTCTTGATCACCTTGCTGCCCTGACCCTTCCCTGTGGGGCTCTCAGAGCGCCAGATGGTGATGGGCGCTGTGGAGTCAGGGGTACCAGTGGCCATGCTGGTGCCTAGGTCAGGGGAGGCGGTGGCGGGCCCCACCTGTGTCGGGATGGGGGGCTTGCTTTCCTCCTCCTCCTCTTCCTCTTCTTCATTTAGATCATCTGCCCCACACTCATGGTAGAGTGGATGGTGGATCACTGCCACAGAGACAGGTCTGTAGCTTTTGCACCTGGGAGAAGGGACAACGGGGGAAGTTTGACAGAGAGTGGGGGGCAGTGCCCTGTAGAGGCCCCTTCCCCATCAGCCCACCGGGGCTCACTCACCAGCCATACCGGAATCGCTCCACATGCTCCTCCTCCGGTGTGAGCTCAAAGCAAGGGGACTCGATGACATGGGAGCAGGTTGGGCCCGCGCCCCGGGAGCTGCTGCTATCCTCTGAAGAGTCCTTCAGCCTGCCACACATGGGACTCTCAGCCTGGCTCCCATCACTCCCCCAGGGACCCAGAGCCAGAAGCCTGAGGGACAGTGGGCTTCCGCTGGGCCTGCCTCAGGCCAACAGACCTCCTCCCCATTTCTCTTAGAGCAGAGCAAGGTGTGCAGAGCTGGGACTGGGCTGGCAGCACCAATTCAAAGCTGAAGAGGCAAACCAAAGGTTGAAGGGGAGACCACAATGAAAGTTCGGACCTGGCTCTGCCATGGGTCCCCCAAGGGGGCGGGCCCTCACCTAGAATTACAGTTGCAGTGGTTGACAGAGTGTAGGTGCAGGCTGTGGCGGACACAGTCAGAGGCGAAAGGGTAGATGATGTGCCCAGTGCACTGCTTGTGTCTCCAGCAGCACTTGTCAGGCTCCTTGCAGTCACCTGAGGGGGCAGGAGTCTGGGTCATCAGTAGCAGCCGCAGACCTCTGGGTCTTCCCACAGCTCAAGCTAAAACCTCACCAAATTCACCTGCCACCACCAGCTGTCCACCCCAAGAAGTGTTTCTGCTTCAGTAGTAGTAACTTGGCCGCAGAGTAACCCCATGTCCCAGCAAAGTGTCTGGTTCCATGTCTGATACACAGGAGACCCTTATCAAGCCCCCTGCAGTCCTGTGATTCCCTGTTACTTCTGTCCTCTCCCTCCAGTGGGAGGCCTCCACCAGCTCCTGCCTGCCCCTCAACCAGGTGCTGACAATGAGTGGCAGCCCTGCTCCACAAGGCGCCTGGTAGGAGAAGGCCCTCCTGCTATGGCACCCCACAGCCCCAGGAGCAGCAGAGCCGCAGCATCCTCAGTTCCTACACCTGCCCTGGCCCACGCTGATCTCTCACAGCCTGGCCAGGAGCTAAGGCCTGCATCATGCTCCTTAGCTTCTGACTCGTCCTTCCCTCCCCACTTCCCCCTCCTCCCTTCTCCTTCAAGCCCCTTTTTTTCTCCTGCCTGACACCTTTCTCACTCCCCTCCCTTCCCATGCCCCCTTCTTGATCCTTTCCCTGCTCTTCACTCAGCACCTTCCCACACTCTCCCCAGTCCCTAGAGCCCCAGGCTTTCGAATGACCCACCCCCAGCCTAAGCACCCTTTTAGGCAGCACAGAGACCACATCCCCTTTCCCAGGGCACAGGAAGAAGCTGCTGGGGTGAGAATTTGGGGTTAGGGAAAAGCCCTGGAGAAAGGCCCCCACCTCTGCTGCTCAGCTCAATGCCAGTCCTGAAGACAGGAGTTTCCCCGGTCTACCACCACTGCCTCACCTCTGACACTGCCTAAGGCCCGGCTGTCCCCTCAGGCCTCTATCTCAAAGGTAAGCCCATGAGGCGACTCTGCGCCTCTCACAGCCCAGAATCTCACTCACACGACAAAGGACAAGGGACCTTACCTCGGATTCCCCAGCACTCCTAGGGGAGGGAGGGAGCAGGCACTGGCTTGGGGTGCTGTGGCTGGGTTACCCTCAAACAGGCCGAGGATTGTGCCTTTGCCAGCCCCCACGAGGAGTGGAACTAGGGTGAGACCTCATACCGGCCACCAGCCAGGAATGAGCCCAGGCTGTGGGTGTGAGTCCAAGTGGCCTCACAGTGCAGCAGCTTGGCCTGAGGCTTACCCACATTTCTTCCTCCTTCCCTTCCCCACACAAGGCTGTGAAGTCCTGGGTCCTCACTACACTGCTGACCCATGGGTGATCTGTGTCTCTCTCCTCCCCTCTTGTACCCTTTATCCCCCGGGAAGATGAGGAAGGCATGGGTATGTGGCAGGACCCTGAAACTTCACCACCACCTTGGCCTTCCTCAGCACAGCTGAGCTGGGCCAAAGGGCAGCATAGTGGCAAAGTGCCCTGAACTTGTAGTCAGGCCTAAGCCCAAGTCGTGGGTCTGTCACTTACTAGCCGGGTGGCTTAGGGCAAATTTCTTTACTTCTCTGAGCCTTTAATTTCCTCATCCACAAAATGGGATGGTGGTCATACCAATTTTGCAGGGTTGTTGGGCGGACTCAATTCACATATGTCAAAGATACTTATGTGCCATAAAGTTCTATATAAACGAATGGGGTGATTGCGGCCTTGAGAAAGGGGTCCCCTCTGGCATCTGTAGGGGATGGGTTGAGGATGGGGCAGCTTCAGGACCACACTTCCCTCCCTCCCTGCCTCAGGACCAAGCTTCCACCAGGTGTCAGCTTTCCCAGGTGAGGGGTGATGAGGATCCCCTGGGTCAAAGGTCTCCTGGACCCACCTTCAGAGAAGGTAGACACATCAGTGCTGGACGCCACACCAGCCAGCAGATGTCCTCTCTCCCAGCTGGGTAACCTGTTTACATCTGAGAGAGCATAGAGTGGCAGTGGTGGCAGCAGCCCCCTCCCTGTGCCATTTATTCACCAAACATACCCCGAGAAACTCCACATGTCAGGCCCTCGCTGCATCCTGGAGATGCAGAGATTAAACAACAGTCCCTGCTCTTAAGGGGTTGCGGGGGGGGGGGGGGGGGTGGGGCTATGAGGGGGAGGGGAGAGGGGGAGGGGAGAGGGACACGGGAGGTTCATGACAGTAATGTGATGCAGATGCTGACAGGGAAAGGGTAGCACAGGACAAGGGCCACCTACCAGGACTGGAAAGGAGGACTGGGGACTATGGAAGACTTCTTGGAAGGAGCATCACTAGAGTTAGTGATGAATAGGAGCCAGCCAGGGTCTAGGCAAGGAGGGACAGCTCCAGAAACTGTCCCAGGGTGTGTGGAGCCTGGACAGAGGATGACCCTAAGCAGACCTCCAACTGGGGTGGCAGCTCCCTCAGCCATTAGCAGCCACAAGACAGTCTGCCCCTTTGCCTTTCCTTCCCACAACTAGCTTTATCCCTTGAGGCACTGGACTTGAGGTCTGCTTAAGGAAGGGAAACTGATTGCTTGGGGTCTTCAGCAAGCCTTCAGTGGCACTTGGTCATCCTCCTATAAGTCTCTGGTCAGCTCCTCCTCCTGTTTTCCACAGCACGGCAAGTACTCAAAATTTGTTAAATGAACAAAAGAATGAATGAATGACTTTAAGCACTTCCTGGAAACTCCTGCAACCACTGTTTCTCTCAGCAGATAATTTCACCGCCATTATCTGTGGACACTCCAACCCTCATCAACTTTGCTTGCCTGGGAAAAGGGTGTCCCTCCTTTCTCATGCCCAAAGCATCTATATTTTAGGTCCCAGCCAGAAGTGACACCTTCTCCTTCTTTACTGGCTTCTTTTTTCCCCCCTTACAGGCTATAGACATCATAAAACAAAACACTCTGTCAATCCTGTTTCTCCTACCACTGCATATCCCCCTTTCAATCCAAATTGATTAACTCATTCAGAGGACATATGTTGGGTGGCTTCCCTCGGCACTAGAAAAGAGGCCCAGTCCCTACCTTCAGTGAGCTCAGTGTCTTCACTTCTTTCTTCTCTTCCAGCCACCTGCAACATGGCAGCCATCCACCCCCCAATCTGAATAGCTTTGGCAAAGGCCACCAGCAGTTTCCCAGTAGCCAAATCCAGTGGGCTTCTTATCTCATTTGACCCTGTTTTTTGTTTTGTTTTGTTTTTTGTTTGTTTTGTTTTGAGATTGAGTCTCGCTCTGTCGCCCAGGCTGGAGTGCAGTGGTGGGATCTCGGCTTACTGCACCCTCCGCCTCCCGGGTTCAAGCAATTCTCCTGCCTCAGCCTCCTGAGTAGCTGGGATTACAGGTGCACGCCACCACACCTGGCTAATTTTTGTATTTTTAGTAGAGACGGGGTTTCACCATGTTGGACAGGCTGGTCTCGAACTCCTGACCTTGTGATCCGCCCTCGGCCTCCCAAAGTGTTGGGATTACAGGCGTGAGCCACTGCGCCCGGCCTCACTTGACCCTATTGACCAATGAATCTCCTTCTTCTGCAAACTGTTCCTTGGGCTTCCATGGCAGACCTCATCTTTCTCTTCCTTCTCTAACCAGCTCTTTAGTTCTTCCCTGTCTCCTTTGCTGTCTCCTCTTGTTTTGTTGTATGCCTTAAATTGGTGATTACAAGAGTTCTGACTTGGTCACCTCCTCAGAAGGCTCTACAAAAGCATGTCCTGGATAACTTCATCAACTTCCATGTTTTCAACATCCACCAATGAAATGACATAAATCTGTAATCCCATCATTTTGGGAGTCTGGGCCGGGCACGGTGGCTCACGCCTGTAATCCCAGCTCTCAGAGAGGCAAGAGGCGGGAGGATAGCTTGAGCCCAGGAGTTCGAGACCTGCCTGGGCAATATAGCGAGACCCCGTTCTCCAGAAAAAGGAAAAAAAAAAAAAAACGACATTTTGGGAGTCTGAGGCGGGAAGATCACAAGTCCAGGAGTTCGAGACCAGCCTGGGCAACATGGCAAAACCCCATCTCTACAAAAAATACAAAAATTAGCTGGCTTAGTGGTGCACACCTGTAGTCCCAGCTACTCAGGAGGCTGAGGTGGGAGGATTACCTGAGCCCAGGGAGATCGAGGCCGCAGTGAGCCGTGATCACGCCACTGCATTCCAGCCTGGGCAACAGAGTGAGACCCTGTCTCAACTAAAATATATGCCTTTGATTCTAAATCCCCACCACAGCCCCATTCTATGGATGAGAACACAGAAACTCAGAGAGGATAAGTAATTTGTCCAAACATACATTGTTAATAGACTGTAGAAGTAGGATTCAAACCCAGGTCTTCCTGGTTCCATAGCCTATGCTCTTTCAGCCCTGTCTACTTACTGTTGGCTGGGGACACACCCCTGTAAACAAAGGTCATTCTGTATGTGAAGCTCCACAGCCAAGCCTTTTTTTTTGTTTTGTTTTGTTTTTCTTTTGAGAGAGTCTGGCTGTGTCGCCCAGGCTGGAGTGCAGTGGCGGGATCTTGGCTCACTGCAAGCTCCGCCTCCCGGGTTCACGCCATTCTCCTGCCTCAGCCTCCCGAGGAGCTGGGACTACAGACGCCCACCACCATGCCCGGCTAATTTTATGTATTTTTAGTAGAGACGGGGTTTCACCGTGTTAGCCAGGATGGTCTTGATCTCCTGACCTCGTGATCCGCCCGCCTCAGCCTCCCAAAGTGCTGGGATTACAGGCGTGAGCCACCGCACCCGGCCCATAGCCAAGCCTTAAAACCACATTCTGCTTGAGTGAGCCGGCGAGGCAGAGGTTGCAGTGAGCTGAGAGAGCCACAGCACTCCAGCCTGGGCGACAGAGTGAGATTCTGTCTTATAAAATAAATCACGTTCAGCTCCATATGCAAAACCTGTCCTACCAGGCCGGGTGCAGTGGCTCATGCCTGTAATCTCAGAATTTTGAGAGGCCGAGGTGGGCGGATCACTTGAGGTCCGGAGTTTGAGACCAGCATGGTCAACATGGTGAAATCCCTTCTCTAATAAAAATCCAAAAATCGGCCAGGCATGGTGGCACATACCTGTAGTCCCAGCTGCTCTGGAGGCCAAGGCATGAGAATCGCTTGAACCCCAGAAGTGTAGGTTGCAGTGAGCCGATATCGTGCTACTGCACTCCAGTGTGGGCAGCAGAGTGAGACGGCGGGAAGGACAGGTGTTTTTTTGAGGCACAGTCACTTCCTACTGCACCTGCTTTTCAGCTCCAACACTACCAATTCCTCACCCTCTGGTTTTACTCAATCTGGACTCCACAGCCTCCCTTATCCACCCTGGACCCTAAAGTCATGCCGCTGGGACCTCAGCCAGGGTGAGGAACCAAAACTCCTCTGCCTTGCTGTTTCAGGAGCCACCATGAAAGAGACACACATGGCCAGGCGCGGTGGCTCATGCCTGTAATCCCAGTACTTTGGGAGGCCGAGGTGGGCGGATCACGAGGTCAGGAGTTCAAGACCAGCCTGACCAACATGGTGAAACCCCGTCTCTACTAAAAATAAAAAAAAATAAAAAAAATAGCTGGGCGTGGTGGCGCGCGCCTGTAATCCCAGCTACTCAGGAGGCTGAGGCAGGAGAATTGTTTGAACCCGGGAGGTGGAGTTTGCAGTGAGCCGATATTGCGCCACTGCACTCCAGCCTGGGCGACAGAGCGAGATTCCATCTCAAAAAAAAAAAAAAAAAAAAAAAGCACACATGCAGGGTCAGAGCCTGTTTACTCTCCACTCACTAGCTCCCCCAGAGCTCGGACACCCATCAGCTCTGTTTGTGAAGGAGACGAGGGGAGGAAGGACAAAGGGGGAGACGAATTTAGTAACTCTCTTCAGAGCTGAGAAAAGCAATCTGCTCTTTAGTTCCAGAGGACAGGAGGAGACCTCTGACCAGCAGCAGTCCAGAGTTCCTGCAGCAGGAGTGACTGACAACACACACAATGAATGAGGAGGGTGATAGGGTGAAAGAAAGTGGGAGGCTTATGGCGTCTTTCCCCGTGAGGCGTTAATCGGCGCACAAAGGCCTAACTCAAAACTCACAAGTTATGCTCATCTGTACAGAATCCTCCCCGTCCTGCGGGGCCGAGGAGCTCTCCTCGACCTCGAGGCACTGGGGGTGGGCACCAGAGCAGCCGAAAGGAGTAGGGTGGGAAGGGAGGGAAGGAGTAGGGCGGGAAGGGAGGGAAGAAACTAGGAGAGGAAGGAGGGAAGAGGAGGAAGCAAGGGAGGGGCAGTGCGCCCGCGTCTCCTTGGAAATGCCTCTCTGGCCTCGCCGCCGCGGAGGTAATTGTGATGCCACGGGTGGAACCCTCAGTCTCCTTGGTCCACCCTCAGGGTCGATGGAACCGCCCGCTCCCGCCCCGGCGTCCGGGTGGGCGCTGGTCCACGGGCTCCAGCCAAGGCCGGCGCTTCAAGGGCAGCGGCCTGCGCCCGGTGCCACCCAGTCCGATAGCCGAGCGTTCCAGCTCTGGCTGGAACCAGACTTCCCGCCCATCCCGCGGGCGACCCAGCAGGGCCTCAGGACCCCAGTCCTCAATCATTGGCCCGCGGCTCGACGCGAGCCCGCCCCCGGCCCTAGCTCCGCCCCGGCCCTAGCTCCGCCCCGGCCCAGCACTGGGCCCCGCCTCTCTCGTTGGTTTGCCCGTCTCCCTCGTCGGTTTGCCGGCTTCCCGCGTGCGCCGCTCGGGGTCTGCGAGCCGGGCCGCGCCCTCTGCCCAGCCCCTGCCCCGCCCCTCTTACCGCGGCATCTGCTCTCATCCCACGAGCGGGCCTTGGGCTCGGTCTTTTCCTTAGTCCATCTTTCAATTGTGAGCGTCGTCCTGACCCACATCGCTCTCCGCCCAGGTCTTCGTCTCTACAGGACTCTTGCGTGAAGTCCAACCCTGAGCCTCAGCCCGGCCGAGCCCTCGGCCCAGCCGTGAACTCCAGTCTCGGCTTCGCCCCCGCCTAGCCCCTAACCCCGCCTCATGCTGGCGCAGCCCCCGCCGGCCTCCCCAGCCCGGCTCCAGGCTGCGTAGTCTTCCCAGCTGGGTCTCAGCGTCAGCCGCGTTCTTCATCCGGGGCCTCCGGCGCCTCCCAGGCCCCTCTTTATCTCAGACCTTAACCTTACAGGCCCAGCTCTCACCACCCATCTCTGGTTCCAGCTTGCAGTCCAAACCCCAGATTTTCACCCTGCCTCCAGATCGTAGCCCCAATTCTTAGTGTTACAACGAGCCTTGCCCCCAGCCCCATTCTTAGCCCCGCCCCGGCCATTCTCTAAACCGCACACTCCCGTCCCGCTCCCCGCCCCACCGACCCTTGGGAACCCAGCCGCAGCCCCGCCTCTGCCCGCTGGCGAGAGAGCGAACCCCATCTCTACAAAAAATACAAAAATTAGCTAGTTTAGTGGTGCGCACTTGTAGTCCCAGCTACTCGGGAGGCTGAGATGGGAGGATCCCCTGAGCCCAGGGAGGTCCTGGCGTCGCCATTTCCCCTCCACCTTCCGGGCTTCGAGGTCCCTCCGCCTCTGGTGGAGCCCGGGCTTCCCCTTTCTCCGCCCACAGGCCTCTCCGAAGACCTAACTCCGGGCTGAGGACCTGATGTCGGCTCCCAGCCCCTGCGCCACCCCGCAGCGTTCCCGCCCCTGGCCCCCAGGGGACACCCTATTCTAGAGACAATACTGCCCAATAGAGAGTCGTAAGCTTATCCTGATAGACAATCTGGAGAACAGGGCAGGCTGCATTCATAGGAACCTCATCCCAGTGACACCCCTCACGCCCTCAGGTACAACATACACACTCTGCGCATGCATATATCACACACACACAGAATATACTCACCACACACAGACTAATACAACATGCACACGGAACACAGAACTCCCACACCCGGTGCAGCACAAACACCACACCTGGACTGTGGTGCTGGCTTCACACACATCTGTTAACAGGCAAGGCAAGGGTGAGGAGCCCAGTGCTGCGAGGGAACAGAAATGGAAAAAACAATCACAGGAGAGTGTGAAAAGAAGTTATGGCCATATCGACGACATTCCATGCACCACACCCCTCCATTTCTCTTGGCACCAGCTTCCAAAGCCAGGATGAAGAGGAGGAGAAAGGATGGGGTCCACACCTTGTTTTCTCCACCATCATCCAGGGGCTCTGCTGCTGCTACTATTGCTCTGCCTGATCCCCACCTTCACTTTCCTCCAGACCCAAGTCCGGAGTGGGTAGGGCTGCTGCCCAGACCCTCCTTCCCGTGGTAGCTCTAGAGAGTCTAGGAACTGCGAGGGAGGGGAAGCCAGGAGAAGGGAAGTGTGCAGAAAAACCAACCATCCTGGTGAGAATGGAACCAGGAATGGAACAGACAGAGCACTTGGCAACTGGGAGCCAGAATCTGCCTTCTAACTTGGACACCCCCTTAGCCTCCCAGGATGACACGAGGCCATAAGTCCTCCTTTGTTGACCCAGATGTCTGAGGTGCTTCCAGCTACTCTGGAACTCTGGGTTAGATGTCAACAGGGAGCCAGGGTCTTGGTCACCTTTCTTTCTTATAAAAGTTAATGGCATAAACAACCAAAAAAACAAACAAAAAAAAAAAAGAAAGAAAAGTTAATGGTTATAACTCCTGAGTTCAAGCAATTCTCCTGCCTCATCCTCCCAAGTAGCTGGAGTTACAGGCATGCACCACCACGCCCGGCTAATTTTTGTATTTTATTTTATTTATTTTTTTTTATGAGACAGAGTCTCGCTCTGTCACCCAGGCTGGAGTGCAGTGGTGCCATCTCGGCTCACTGCAAGCTCCGCCTGCCAGGTTCAGGCCATTCTCCTGCCTCAGCCTCCCAAGTAGCTGGGACTACAGGCACCAGCCACCACGCCTGGCTAATTTTTTGCATTTTTAGTTTCACCATGTTAGCCAGGATGGTCTCTATCTCCTGACCTCGTGATCCGCCCGCCTCAGCCTCCCAAAGTGCTGGGATTACAGGCATGAGCCACCGCGCCCGGCCTAATTTTTGGATTTTAATGGTGACGCGGGTTTCACCATGTTGGCCAGGCTGGTCTCGAACTCCTGAATCCAAGTGATCTGCCTGCCTTGGCCTCCCAAAGTGCTGAGATTACAGGCACGAGCCACCGCACCCTGCCTGGAAAAGTACTTCTTAAAGGGAAGGCAAGAAAAGGGTGAAAAAAAGAAAAAGATTCTCCAGTGGTGAAAATTTGGGTATAAGCACCAAGTAGGAGGACACGTGTGGGGAAAGGATCAGGGGAAAGGGCTCTCAAAGCCAGCCATTCAGACTTCACCCAGTGAGGGCCCAGTGCAGCCCCCAAACTGATGTTTCAGCTCCCAGCCTACCTGAACCTGCCCAGGGGCCAGGGATGGCCAGCACAGCATCCCCAGGGGACTCTAGTGCCAAAATGGCCACACAGTCATGCCCATTCCACATCCATCATCCCCAACAAAGAACTCCAGCCCCAAAGTGCTCGTAACAAAGAAATTTTAATGCATAAGGCACAGTGAGAGGCTGGAATCATTAAGCATCCTCAAACACAAAGGGCCCAGCAGGCTGAGCAAAAGAACAGAGACACTCTCCCTCACTACCACTGGGCGCCCTGGACAGTCCCCTGAGGAGTAGGGGGCATCCAGTCTTTGGCACGGTGCCTGGGGGCAGGAAGTGACTAGCATGATCCCAGCTACCCCTCTGTGGGAATACTGCCACCAAGAGGCAGCTCTTTGGTCTGGATAAAGTCAGTGCAAATGTCCAGGGGTCAAGCTCTGGAGGAATGAGGGTGGCACAGTGCCCTAGGGCTGGGCAGTCTCTGAACAGTCTCCTCAGCCCTCATGGGCAACATGTGGGCTTCTTCTTGCTGGCAGTTAGGTAGAGGTTGCTGTCATCACTGTTGATGCCTAAAGAAGGGTGGAAAATATGTGAAGCAGGGATTGGAGGCTCACTGTGCCCTCTGCCACCCTCAACCAGGCAAGCACTCACGGACAACATCCCCAATGCGTCGAGCCCCCGATTTCTCCAGCTCAGCCAGCACATTGGCCTCAAAGGTCAGTGCTGCCACACGGAAGAAGAATTCTCGGACATTCTCACCTGACACAGAGAGCAGATAGGTGCTCAGGGGCAGTGCTGGGTCTGGGGACACAGGGCACAGCTGGAGGTGTAGCAGTGAGAGGAGAGCCAGGCAAGAGTGTCACAGCAGAGCCCTAAAGCCTCCAACTCACCAGTGAGAGATGAGACTGCCCAGTACTCAGCCTTCATCTCCTGGGCCACCTGGAGGGCGTCTTTCTCCATCAGCGCATACTGAGCAGGGGTCTGAGGGAAGGCCAGAGTCAGAGGGGGGCATTCCCTCACCAAGCTGGGAAGTCCCCCCACTGGCACACTCACACTCAGATCCTTCTTGGAACCTACAAGGAAGAGAAGCACACTGGAAGGGTCATTCTCCTTCAGGGCATCGGCCAGCCACTGCCTGCCATGGGAGGTGGAAAGTAAGGGATGAGTGAGTCTGCAGGGCCCCTCCCACTGACATTCATAGGCCCAATTACCCCCTCTCTGGTCCTACATGCATTCTTCTTCTTCCTGACCACCCCTCTGTTCTGAACCCTCTCTTCCCGGAGCCTCCCATTATATTGCAGGATGCTCACTTACTTGGTATGTTCCAGAGATGCCACATCATTCAGGTTGAAGACAATGATGATGGCTGGAAGAGTGGCAGAAACAGCCCCAGGTTGACAGGGAAGACACTACTGCTCATTTCCCCAATCCTTCCAGCTCCATATGAGAAGCCATGTGCACTCTGAGACCCACCTACCCCACTTCACCCAGCCCCTTACCTTGAGCTCCTCTATAGTAGGTTGATGCAATGCATTTGAACCTCTCCTGCCCAGCGGTATCCCAACTGGAAGGAAGGAAGAGTGAAGCACAGGTATGTATCTTGGGGGGTGTGGGTGCTGGGGAGAAGGGATAGCTGGAAGGGGTGTGGAAGCACTCACAGCTGCAAACTGAAGGGAATGCCCAGCACCTCAAATCGTTCCATCTCGAAGTCCACTCCAATGGTGGCCTTGTAATTCTTATCAAAGGTGTCTTTGCAGAACCTGAGAGGGTACCAGATGCTGTGATCTGGAGCCAGCCCACCTGGCTAGGCTTGGCCCCACCCTGCCCAGCTCAGCTCCAGCACCCCCTTACCTATTAATGAGGCAAGTCTTCCCCACCGACAGGTCCCCCACCACAATGACCTTGGAGATCTTAAATCTGCTGGACACAAGAGTGGGCAAGGGGAGTGGGCACGAGCTCTTTCACCCTAGGGAGTTCCAATGCTCCCGACTAGGTCCAGAAAGGTAGCTGCACCCAGGCTGAGGGTATTATAGACACCAGGCATCCCAGGCAGCTGCGTGGACAGGTGTGCTGGGGAGGAGGAGTGTTTTGTGCTCCAGAAGCAGAGAGACATGAATTTGAATCCCAGCTCTCACACTGATTAGCTGTGTGACTTTGGACACGTTATTTAGCCTCTCTAAGCCTCAGTTTAAACATTTAAGTAAAGTTAGTATATATTTTACTGGGTCGTTGTGAAGGTTAAAATGAGATAAATGTCCTATATTCTAAGACACCCTCCCCCCCGCATTTTAATGTCTGAAATCAGGATATATCTTAAGTGATGGACTTTTCCATTCAATAAAGATGATAGTACCCAACACTGCCTGGCACACAGCAAATGCTTAATTAATGGTGCCAACTGTTATCAGTATTACCTTTAAAACCCACAATAAGACTCATCCCTGTAAGCACAGCCAGACCCCTGCCCTGGGGCTCCATGGATGCTATGTGGGGATCTGAGCAGGTGACCACCTTCCCATTTCAGACACCTTAGTCTCTACTCAGAAATCCAGCTGCCACCCTTCTACCCAACCCCATCTCATAGAACTCACAACAACCTTGTTGGGAGAAAAGGAGGGGATACAGGGGCTTAAAGAGGGGGAAATAACCATATAGCTGGTAGGGGCTGAAATGAAGCCCCAAGGGGGTGGTTGTTTACCCTCGCTATGACTACAGAGTTTCCTGGGACCTCCTCTCTTTGTTGTGGGTGTCCCTAACTCACCCCACGGTGCCTGTCCGGTGCTCCTGGCAGGCGCAGGTGACGCGGGGGTGGAAGTCTTTGTGCCCGTGCAAAGCGGCCTCCTTCCTCAGGCACTTAGTGGGAAGGATGGAAGAGAATGGAGCTTCCTACTCCTGGCCCTTGTCCCGCAGCCAAGCGGCCCGGGTAGGGGTGGAGTGCAGGGACCACCCAGAAGCACCAGGCCTAGCTGGGTGGCAGGGCTGGGCCCAGTCCTCTAACTGGTCTGGTGCCGCCTCCTCCTCGCCCACACCCCGGGCTGTAGACTGAAGCCCGACGTGGCCCCGGCGCCTACCTGGGGCAGCTCCGCCAGGACGCGATCCCTCCGCACGGGTGCCAGAATGTTCATCCTGCCTGCGGCCTTGCAGGGCGCCCTGAGAAGGCGCCGAGGCCGGATCCGCGTCAGCGACCCGGGCGCGTGGAGACCCGACGATCACCCGCGGCCGGGGTGTCCCGACTACAACTCGGGGCCACGGGGACCCTACGGGAGTCCGCGGTCTCGGAGACGCTACGACCACCGCGGGCCACGGAGATGAAACAATCACCCGGGGCCGCGGCGAGCCCAAAATCACCCGGGCCCTGGGCGTCCCGAAGATGACTCTGGGGCGAGGAGACTCTTCGGCCGCCAATTGGGGGCGGGGAGTCCCGTCTGGTGGGGGCCGGGCCCGCGCAGACCCTACGATTACGCGGGGCCGGATAGTTCCTACGATTACGCGGGGCCGGATGGTTCCTACAATAACCCGGGGCCGCGGAGACCCGACGTCATCTCGGGGCTGAGGCTGCCCTACCATTACAGAGCGGCCCGGGGGCGCGGAGCGGCCCCGCCACACGGGGTCAGTGTGGGCAGGGGCGGCGCTGCCAAGGCCCGCAGGCCGCTGGAGGAGGGGGCGAGGGGCCCAGTCCGGCTACAGGGCCTCGAGTCCCACTCCGCTCGGGCTCCGCCAACGCTGTAACACGATCCCCGGAAATTCCTGGAGAAGGGCCGCCCCCCGCCCCTCTCCTGGCGGCTCCAGGCCTCGCTGCCCGCCCTCGCCACCCCCTCCTCTCCACCCTTCTGCGTTGCCCCGCTCAGGCTCCCTCTTTTGACGCTTCACCGGGCACCAGGACCGCCCCGACCCAGGCTGGAGCCTATCCAGATAGGGACTCCCCAGGCTGCTCTCCCCTGCACCTCTATACCCGGCTGCGCCTTCATGGGGACCCTTACCCAGCCGAATTGGTGATGGGGAATCGGAGACTGCTGCGCAGCATCTGGCGATGCCAGGAACCAGCAGGGAGGGGAAAGGGGGAGAGAAGGGGCCCAAGGAGAGGCGGCGCTTCCCTCCTCAACTCCAGGCCTGGGAGGTGACTCATAGAGTCTGCCCCCTCTCGCCCTTCTGCCCTGGGAGGTCGGGGGTGAGGATGGTGGAGGGGAAGCGTGCGAAGGGGGTGCCAGGGTTAGAATGAGGTGCCCACCGAGGAGAGAGACGTCTGAAGTCTGGCGTCTTTTCCTTCAAGGCTGCTGTGTAGATTGTGAGGTGGGAGGGCTGAAGATCAAGTTCCCTCGAGGGAGGTTAAAGAAGGGCTAAGTGGACCCGGAAACTCTGCTCTTCGGGGTGGTCTCCGCTCTGGGAGGCGGGGACTCCCCTCTGGTATGGGTGTTCATTGTTCTGGCCCCATTGGAATCTATCCCCCAGGGACAACTCCTTTGTGCAAAGTCCTGCAGGATAGAAGAGGGGGCAGTGCACAATCAATTTCACCGTCAAAGGGGACATGTCTGGTTTTATGAAGGGAGAGGGAAGAAGAAAGGATCAAGTGGGGATGGGTTAGGCACACACCTTAGGAGAAGCGAACCTGAGTGTTAAGAAACCTTTCTCTGTGTCTGGAGCTGAATTTGAGGATGTAAAGATGACCAGGACACGGAAGGGAAGACTAGTTTAGGGCAGGGGATTGTGAGTGAAGTTACTAACCGGAAAAACTAGCGAATCTTGGAGAAATGTGTGGAATTTTCATAGAACTTCAAATGCATTATCAGGAAACGCAGTAAAACTTGACAGTATCAGTGTCGCAGGTAAAGAGGGGCAGGTGTGGCCGCCTTGTACTTCCTCTGACACTTCCCCCTCGTGACTCGATTATTTATTTATTTATTTATTTATTTATTTTGAGACAGGGTCTCACTCTGCCACCCAGGCTGGAATGGCTCATTGCAGCCTCGACCTCCAGGGCTGAAGCGATCCTCCCACCTCAGCCTCCCAAGGAACTGGGACTACAGGCACGCACCACCACGCCCGGCTAATTTTTGTATTCTTTTGTAGAGACAGGGTTTCGCCGTGTTGCCCAGGGTGGTCTCGAACTCCTGGGCTCGAAGCAATTCGTCCACCTCGGCCTCACAAAGTGCTGGGATTACAGGCGTGAGTCACCGCGCCCGGCCCTGACTTGATTTTTTTCTGCCACCAAATCACTGTGTTATTGATAAACCACATTCCTCTCTGGACCTCAGTTCGACCGAGCAAATCCTGCTCCAGCACTCTAGAACTTAGCTGTATCTAACTCCCGAGTCAATCCAAATGTGTTCTTTCCTCTTGGCAGCGTTCCTGCCTCCTGGCATGGCAATCCTCTTCCCTGAGACTGGCAGTTGCTCAAGATAGGAAGCTCCCGGGACCAGACCCGAGCGCCAGCCGGCTACGCCGTCCGCTGGCCTGAGCAAATAAACGCGTGTCTTCAAAAAACTACAATCCCCATGGTGGCACGCGCCTGTAGTCCCAGCTACTCTGGTGGCTGAGGCAGGAGAATGGCGTAAACCCGGGAGGCGGAGCTTACAGTGAGCCGAGATCGCGCCACTGCACTCCAGCCTGGGCGACAGAGCGCTCAAAAAAAAAACAAAAAACAAAAAACAAAAAACTACAACCCCCATGAAGCTTTAGTGCCTTTGAGGGGAGGAGTGGCGCATGTTTGTTCACGCACGAAAAAGAAATTAAACCTAACTACCGTTCCCAGAGGGCGCCGCTCTGCAAATTACCCAATCAGCTCTAAGTACAAAGCATCGCGAGTCTTTAGTGCTCTTTGGCGCTATAAGCCCGTGGGAACGAGCATTGGAGACCCTTTTCACAAGATGGCGCCGAAAGCGAAGAAGGAAGGTGTGTGTTGGTGATGGGGCCGCAGCTGGTTTACCGGGGATTGCCGCGCCGCAGAGCGAACGAATTGGGAACACGGCTGCTGGGCTAAGCCCTGAGGGCTCTGCTCCGGGGCTGCTCCCTGCGTTTCGGACACGCTGCAGTATACGTGGGCCGCGTGGGCCCAGCCTCGTGGGCTGAGTTCCGGTAGAGGGAGTTGGGGGGGGGCAACGCGGCAGGCATCATCCGCCAGGGAGGGCCAGACATTCGGTTCTGGGAAGCTACATGCATCCACTGGTTGGAGCTCCATGTCCCCGGGCCTGTAAGGAATTAGTGCCCTCAGCTTTAACCATTTTCCTTCTGGTTCATGTTCAACCGGGCTACATTACCCGCCCCTCTCTCCGCAGCGTGGTTTTGCGATGGGGTATGTGTAAAATTCGTAGGACATTTTCTGGAAAGTATCAAGCGTTCATTCAGTGCTACTTTGTTTCATAGTCGTATCCCTGGAGTTACTTAGAGTTGGTCGCTTTCGCCTCTGGTATCGTGCATATGATGGAAAAGTTTTAATCTCCTGACACTTGTGATGTCTTCAAAGGAACCACTGATGCACCTGTGGCCAGGGTGGCCCACTGCAGTTCTTGGGGCCGGAAGTGACCGATTTCTAAATCCCGCACCCACGTTTTCTTTCCTTTTCTCCCAGCTCCTGCCCCTCCTAAAGCTGAAGCCAAAGCGAAGGCTTTAAAGGCCAAGAAGGCAGTGTTGAAAGGTGTCCACAGCCACAAAAAGAAGAAGATCCGCACGTCACCCACCTTCCGGCGGCCGAAGACACTGCGACTCCGGAGACAGCCCAAATATCCTCGGAAGAGCGCTCCCAGGAGAAACAAGTCAGTACTGCCCCCTGTACCCATGAAAAGATTTGGGTATTCTCCATTGGTAATTTGGAAATTCACTCACTCTGCGTGATGGTTTCTCAAACGCAAATTGTGTCCAGTGTGCTTCTCTAATTGGAAGTATGAGGAGATTGTTTCTGCTGCATTTACAAAACTGGCAGGATCAGCCCAGAGGCCGGGCGCGGTGGCTCACGTCTGTAATCCCAGCACTTTGGGAGGCCGAGGGGGGGCGGATCACTTGAGGTCAGGGGTTCGAGACCAGCCTGAGTGACATGGAGAAACCCCGCGTCTATTAAAAATAGAAAATTCGCCGGGCATGGTGGCGCATGTCTGTAATCCCAGCTACTCGCGGGAGGCTGAGGCAGGAGAATCGCTTGAACCCGGGAGGTGGAGGTTGCGGTGAGCGGAGATCGTACCATTGCATTCCAGCCTGGGCAATAAGAGTGAAACTCTGTCTCAAAAAAAAAAAAACCCTGAGTCTCTCAAAATTTGTTAGGTTAATTATTGCTTCACATGTGGTCACGGTTTGAAAACTTATTTTGGGGGGAGTATAAAGTAGAATACAGAGATTCCTTGCTCATAGCTCCTACTGCTATCGGGAACAATCCTTGAGGGTGAGAACGTGGATTGATTCTTGATTGATAGTGGGGATTCCATTATCTGTATTTGGCAGTTATGGCCTGCTGCGGTGTATAGAAGCTTCTTTCCATTCATTTTCCCGAATTTTCATACTGCTCAAGGAACAGTTGGGGGGGAATGGGCAGAAGGTTGGGCACTTGAGTATTTGAGCTATCGGTAATAACTGACTTTTTAGGGAGCACAGATTTGAGTAGAGCCATGGTAGTAGTTAGTACCAATGGGTTTTTGCTGCTTCTACTCTTTCTTAACAGAAAAAGTGGATTGTGTTCATATAGGAAAGCAGTTCACAGACTGTCTTCCTGCCCCTCCCGCCACCAAGCTGGACCTAGAATCAAGTGTGACTTTAAATGGGGAAAGCTGTGTTACAGTTGTGCTTAAGCCACTGCTGTGGCTTAACCTCACCTATGCATAAGAATTTGCTCGTGGCTGGCCGGGCGCGGTGGCTCGAGCCTGTAATCCCAGCACTTTGGGAGGCTGAGGCGGGCGGATCACGAGGTCAGGAGATTGAGACCATCGTGGCTAACACGGTGAAACCCCGTCTCTACTAAAAATACAAAAAAAATTAGCCGGGCGTGGTGGCAGGCGCCGCTAGTCCCACTACTGAGTCCCAGGCTGAAGCAGGAGAATGGTGTGAACCCAGGAGGCGGAGCTTGCAGCGAGCCGAGATCCTGTCACTGCACTCCAGCCTGGGCGAAGCGAGACTCTGTCTCAAAAAAAAAAAAAAAAAAGGAATTTGCCCCTGGCCCGATTCTCCTGCCTCAGCCTCTTGAGTAGCTCGGACTACAGGCGTGCACCACCATGACCAGCTAATTTTTGTATTTTTAGTTGAGAGGGAGTTTCACCATGTTGGCCAGGATGGTCACGATCTCTTGACCTCGTGATCAGCCTGCCTCAGCCTCCCAAAGTGCTGGGAATACAGCCATGAGCCAGCACACCTGGCCCAGAGATGATTCTTTAATCACTTGAGGTTGTAAGAGCCCTTCAAGAGAAAGAAAATGCACAACGTTCTGCCCCTGGGATTGGGGCTTCAGGCCCTTAGATTTCAGGGTGCAGATGATGACACTGTAAAGCGACCAAAGTCTGAACAAAGTGATTGGTACCTCGTTGTCTGATGCACCTAGGCTCTCCTGGCTCTGGGCTCCAAAAGAATGGGCCCAGGCCAGGTGACCCCATTTTGCCTCTCCCAGGCTTGACCACTATGCTATCATCAAGTTTCCGCTGACCACTGAGTCTGCCATGAAGAAGATAGAAGACAACAACACACTTGTGTTCATTGTGGATGTTAAAGCCAACAAGCACCAGATTAAACAGGCTGTGAAGAAGCTGTATGACATTGATGTGGCCAAGGTCAACACCCTGATTCGGTGAGTTGGGCCTCAAGGGATGGGGAGCAGGCTGGACCAGCAGTCTGGAGCCAAAAAAACCTGCATTCCATGAAGCTTTTTGATGTTTAGGTAGTCCTGGTAATGCAGGACTACACGTGTAGTCCGAGCTATGCAGGAGGATCTCTTGAGGCCAGGAATCACCCATGATTGCCCCATTGTACTCCAGCCTGAGCAACCAAGCAAGGCCCTTTTTAAAAAAAAAAAAAAAAAAAATCCCCTGGACCTTTCAGCAGGGGAAAAAGGTTCCTTGACTTAAACTTGGTGTAGGTTTAGCAGTGTGTGTGAGCCTTGAGGCAGGAATTACAGGCTGCTTTAGTTACAGACCTTTGTGTGGACCTGAGGCTTTCTAGGACTTGATTGGGGGTTGGTCCTCATTTTCTGGGTCCCTACTTCTATTGGGAAAGGCAACTAGAGTGCGACACGTGGCAGATTACCTTGGTTTAAGTCTTAATGTGGCCTGTGGTGTTTCCCATAAGAGAATTGGCTTTGTGGCTTCATGGTGTCCTCTGGGCTAATGATGGAAAAATCATTATTGGAAAAGAATGACATGAACAAAGGAACCACTGAAGTGCCGGAGGACTGGAGGAGGAAGGGGGAGGGTGTGGGGGCAGTGAGGGTGGCAGGGACTAAGGCTTCCTTCTCTACCCTAGGCCTGATGGAGAGAAGAAGGCATATGTTCGACTGGCTCCTGATTACGATGCTTTGGATGTTGCCAACAAAGTAAGTTTCCTTCCTACAAACCCCTTAATGCTCACCCCTTGGGTGCAAATGATGCATATGTTAGCGACCAAAGCCTGATCTTTGCTGATTAGTCATAATTAACTGACTGCACCCCTATCCTTGACAAACCTTATCCTCACATTCCTCATTTTGCTTTCTAAAAATAACATTCCAGCTTAATCTTCATATTTCAACTCCAGTAACGAGGCTCCCTTTTGTTTTTCAGATTGGGATCATCTAAACTGAGTCCAGCTGCCTAATTCTGAATATATATATATATATATCTTTTCACCATATACATGCCTGTCTGTCAATTTCTGGTTGGGCTGGGAGGCCACACACACACACTGACATGACAGGGCTTGGGCAAGACTCCTGTTCTACTTATCCTTTTGAAATACCTCACCCTGCCACTCCACCATGTATGATCATTCCAGAGATCTTTGTGACTAGAGTTAGTGTCCTAGGAAAACCAGAACTCAGAACTTGCCTCCATGGTTGAGTAACAAGCTGTACAAGAACCCCTTTTATCCCTGGAAGAGGCTGTGTATGAAACCAATGCCCAGGGTTTGAAGGGTGTTAGCATCCATTTCAGGGGAGTGTGGATTGGCTGGCTCTCTGGTAGCATTTTGTCCTCACACACCCATCTACTATGTCCAACCGGTCTGTCTGCTTCCCTCACCCCTTGCCCAATAAAGGACAAGGACTTCAGAGGAGTACTTTCATTAGTGTTTTCAATAGTGTGGGCGCAGGCTCAGAAGGTGGAGAGGCTGGCCTCAGAGGACACCCAGGCTTGGGGCTAAGTCCCAGTGTCCATATGAAGCTGTTTCTGGCCTTGTCCGTTTTTGTTGTCCCAGGCTCTGTGCCCCTCACTCAGTCAAGAACTTGTCTTTGTGTTGCTTCTTGGGGACATGCTCAGGGCAGAAGTCAGAGCGGAGGAGGCGGGAAAAGTAGATTATGATCATCACGTCCAGCATGAGCAGGATACCCAGCAGGAAGGTGCCCAGGGTCCTCTGGTTCACATAACGCAAGAAGAAATGGGTGAGGTAGGCCTGAGGGGCCAGGCGGAAGAGAAAGTACATGACCAGGTTCACATACTTGTTAACCCGGTAGAGGAGATGATCCTGGGCATTACTGATTTTCATCATCATGCGAATGGTGAGGAAGATGTTGCTGACTTCCACCAGTAGTGTTAAGACACCCCCACCGACAAAGCTGCTCCAAAAGATGCCGGAGAAGAAGGCACCCATGGCCTAGAGGGAAGAAAGAATAGGAGTTAGGGAACCCAGATGCAGACGCTTTCCTGGAAGTTTGGGGGGTGTGGCTATCAGATTGAGGGCTGGAAAATCCCAAATTTCCCCCTGGAATAATAGTTTATAGTGGGTAAGATGCTTTGTTTTGTTAGTTCAACATTACTAGATTTTGATTGCTGCTCACAGCTGGCTGTGGGTGATGTTCAGTCTAAAGAGGCAGTGAAACCATGGGTTGCTGGCCTCAGTGAACAAGTACAGACTGCCAACCTCCAGCATCCTAGCATAAGAAGTAGCACACAGGTCGGGGGTGGGTGGTAAGAAAACACGGCCTTCTCCCAGATTCAGAAAGACGGAGCTGAGACTAGATTACTGACACCAGGCCTATACCACATAGTCTGCTTCTCTCTTACCATGACGTGATGGACAAGGTATTCCCAAGAGGCTCGCGTCTGTCCGCTAGCCACGATGTCCACCGTATCGTGGATGAAATACCCTAGTGGAGGGATGGGGCAAGAGATCATGAACTGAACAAGCAGCTTCCTTCTCCCTGTCCCCAATTTGCCTCCCGCTTCCTGGGCAAGACCTACCCGCAGAGAAGCAAACGAGCAAATAGCCAGAAAGTGACCACGCCGTCTCAATCTCCACTAACATGTCAGGAGTCTGCCATACACTGGAAAGGAGGGAAGAGGAGGCTCTGCATTTCGGCACCCTCAAGGACCATCAACTTCTCGGTTACCCTTCGCAGCCCCGGGGGATCCTGGGCTCGCGCTAGTGGCTGACTGGGAAGCTAAGAGTGGCTGGGCAAAACCCAAGAGCCTCCAGTTTCCCAGGGGCGATCCCCCTCCCCTGGGGCCACTGCGGCTTTTGGTTGGATAGGATACCAAACGGGATCAGGTGAGACTGCGTGGCCTCAGCCCGCCAGTGAGCGATGGGGGTAGTAACACAAGAGCCGGCCCCGGCTCCCCGCTCAGGATCCCCTGGCCACCTCATTTCCACAGTCGCTCACTCACCACAGCAGTGCCCAGATCCCCGACACAATGGAGTGAGCGAAGGAGACGAGCAGGTTGTGCCAGCGCCAGGTGCGCAGGGGGTCGGCGCGCACGTGCACGGGTAGGGGCAGGCGACAGAGCGCGCGCCGGAGCGCCCGGAAGGTCAGCGTGGCGCCCAGGAGCAGCGGCAGGGCGGGGTGCAGCAGTCGGGGCATGCTGGCCCTCCCTGCCGTCCGCCCTCGAGGCCGCCTCCTAGGTCTGTTCTGGGAACCGGGATCCCTCTCGGGCCAGTCCAGGCCGGCCGCCTCTCCCGCCGGCCGCCAGCCCCACACAGTTGGCGAAGCCCTCTAGGCCCCTTGGCTCCTCCTCGCCCTCCCTGCGAGGCCTCTGCCCCCGCCCCCAGCCGCCCGCGCCCCCGCCCCGCCCGCCTGCCCCCGCCCCGTCCGCCTGCCCCCGCCCCTCAGGCGCTGCTGCCGCGCGAGCCGGGTGTCCCCGTGGCCTCTCGGCCACCGGCCGGCTCCCGCGGACTTCGGGTAACTAGGAGCTGTGCTGGGGGCGTCGTCGCCGAGACACCCCTCGCTGGCGCCTCCCGACTGCCGACGGAGTCCCCGCTGCCCTCGCTCGCCTGGCCTCATTAACCCGCGTCCCCACTTTTCCCCGGGCCACCGGCTACCCCGCCCTGGGCGGGTACCGCGAGAGCTCTCTCCGCCCTCTACTTTCTGCGCAGAGCTGGACGGGACCCGACACGCCCACGCCCCCTAAGTCCTGGTCCTGGGGTGGGCTCCGGAGCCCCGCGTCCGACAGTGGTCTCCGTGCAGACCCAGTGCCCCTACCGCACCACTCGCAGTCTTCTGGCCGGAGTCCCGTGTTTACCTGTCCCTCCCGCGCCCGCGAGGTGGGCACTTGGGAACTGCTGAGTAACCCATCGCCACCTCTTCCCGCCGGCTCTTAAACTCCTGGGGCCGGGCGGCTGTCACAGTCCTCCCTCAGACAGTCCCGGCCCTCGGCCCGGCTCCCCGGAGGCTGGGCAAGCAAGACCTCCGATTTGCCGGGACAGCTGGAGTGACCCGCGCTCTCCAAGCCGGTAGCTTGCAGCAGTTGCGGCTCCTAGCCACTAGGTGTCAGCCTGCCCTCACTGTGGCGCGGGCTCCCCCTCCCGCCTCCGAGCGAGGCAGCTGCTTTCGGGGAGAGTTTAGGTATAAACTCTGGGCGAAAGGAGGAGCAGCTGAGAGCCAGCGAGGGAAGTTAAGCGGAGATGAGAGCGGGGAGGGAGAAGAGGGTAGTAATAGAGGAGGGGCGGGAAGAAGCGGGGGAGGGGAAAGGTGCTGCGGGCGGGAGGAAGAAGCCGAGAAAACCTGAGGCGCAAGGACCCAGGGACCAAGCCGTTTGAGTGTTTTCCTCCCCTATGGCTCCAAGGTTACACATTAACCCCTGTGGGACTCTTAAGTCAACCAAAGCCCAGTCGGTTTCTAGGTGAGAACACGGGTGTCCTGGGTGAGCGGCTTTCCCGCCCCTCCCCTTGGCTCACAGAGCTGCTCTGTCCGCCGGCCGACACCGGCCTGAGCCAGCGCCCTTCCAGCAGTCATTCCACGTGGGTGGGTTTGGATACCCTTGCGAGAGCCAGGACAGGGGCAGAAGATAAAACGCCCCTTTCCTCACACCCCTTGCCCACTCTGATACAGGGACGCTAACCTTCAGCTAGTGACCATCCTCCTCCTGAATACTGATGTTTTCTTTCTTTCTTTTTTTTTTTTTGAGATGGAGGCTCACTCTATCGCCCAGGCTGGAGTGCAATGGCACGATCTCGGCTCACTGCAACCTCCGCCTCCCAGATTCAAGCGATTCTCCTGCCTCAGCCTCCCGAGTAGCTGGGATTACAAGCGCGCGCCACCGTGCCCAACTAATTTTTGTATTTTTAGTAGAGACGAGGTTTTACCATGTTGGCCAGGTTGGTCTCAAACTCCTGACCTCAGGTGATCCGCCCGCCTCGGCCTCCCCAAAGTGCTGGAATTACAGGCGTGAGCCACCGCGCCTGGCCGAATACTGAGTTTTTCTAGAGCTCCCGCAGAGCAGGAGCCCGGGAGAACCTGGAATTAACCTCACTTCCGGTAAAGAGCCTAGCTGGTCACACTAACCAGCCCCCTGCCTCTAGGCTTTTGCCTTGAGCTCATTTCGGCGAAACCGCGGTCTTTCCTTCTCCCCTTGATGCTTTCAGGTACTGACCCACTACCGCCCCCATCTTCCCCCATGGGAAGATGAGCACTGAGGGCAGATTACCCTCCTGCAGCGCGTGTGTGAAAGGGGAGTTGAGAGTGCTGACGAGCGCGGCGCTCACTAGTCGGGACGGCCCGAGACCGTGTCATGTCCTCTTCAGGTGAATCAACTTGCACGACTTGGGATTTCCCCCGTCCCTCCCCAGGCAAACACGAAACCAACCCTGCTGCCTTCTCCCAGGAGCGCTGGTCTCGGTCGTTTTGGGTGTGTTTATCGTTTGCGTGCCAAGGAGAACCCGCTTTCTCCTGAAATAGCGTCACTCGTGGGCAAGAAGGGGGTCAATCTTCTCTTCCCACCCCTTCCCGGCCTGTGGGGTTTAACTCTCGGGAACGCGACATCCTTTTAGTCTAGCAAGCTTTACAAGGGCTGGGTATATGTGTGGGAGGGGCGGGTACCGTGCCCGCCATTGCGGGCGCGCCCTATTTTCTTGCCCTATTCTTGGACACTGCGTGGGGCAGGGTCGTGAGGGGAAAAGTGACGGCGTGTCGCAGCGGGAGGTGTGTGGTGCAGGCCCACAAATACGGACGCGTGGCGGAACCCACACCTAGGGCGCTGGCTCCGCCCCGCAAGCCGCTCGCCGTGAAGGGGCGGGGCCCAGAGTGGGTGGGTCCGCGCACGCGCCGCGTGGGGGACGGAAGTGAAACTCTAAGAAATGAGATGGAGAAGTACGAGCGGATCCGAGTGGTGGGGAGAGGTGCCTTCGGGTGAGCCAGGGCTCTGGGGGAGGAAACTGCTAGGGGATAGGGAAAATAAGCCCCAATTCCGCCCGCGAAGTCGCCGCCCGCCTAATCCCGCCCCAAGGCGTGAGCGCCACTCTGGGAAGCCCCGCCCAAGCTTCCGGTCCCAGTCCCCCGGGGAGACTCCGCCTCTACGGAGGCCACGCCCCTGACAGGCCCATTGCTCCGCCCACTGAGTTATGTTAGCTTCTTTATTCATTCGTTCAACAAATACTGAGTGCCAGCTATGTATGTCAGGCTTTGGCCGCTGGGTATATAGTTAGAACCGGAACGGGCGTGGTCTTTTCCCTCTTGGAACTTACTGACTGTGGGAAAGTTATACAATAAACAAAACATTATGAAGTAAGAAGTTATAGCAGTTATGAAGTGTTATTAGCAGGTTGTGAGGATAGAGTACATTACCAGTGAGAATACTTATATGAGATGGTCAAGGAAGAATTCTCTGAGAAGGGAGATTGCTTGCTTGCTTGATTGATTTTTAAGACAGAGTCTCCCTCTGTCACCCCGGCTGGAGTTCAGTGGCACGATCTTGGCACACTGCAACCACCACCTCCTGGGTTCAAGCAATCGTTGTGCCTCAGCCTCCCGAGTAGCTAGGATTACAGGCGTGCGCCACCATGCCCGGCTAAATTTTTTGGATTTTTTTTTTTTTTTTTTTTTTTTGAGGCAGTCTCACTCTGTCGCAGTGGCGCGATCTCGAGTGCAGTGGCACTATCTCAGCTCACTGCAACCTCTGCCTCCCTGGTTCAAGCGCTTCTCCTGCCTCAGCCTCCCGAGTAGCTGGGACTACAGGCACGCGCCACCATGCCCAGCTAATATTTTTTGTGTTTTTAGTACAGATGGGGTTTCGCCATGTTGGCCAGGCTGGTCTCAAATTCCTGACCTCAGGTGATCCGCCCGCGCCGGCCTCCCTAAGTGCTGGAATTACAGGCGTGAGCCACCGCGACAGGCCAGAAGTGAGATTTAAGGCCAAGACTTGAGGAATGAGGACCAGTAGTCTGCAGGTGAAGGGAGAACTTTTCAGGCAAAGGAAATAGCGTATGTGAAATGTCTCACATGGGAAAACAGAGCATTCAAGAAACCGAGAAAGACTAGTAATAGTTGGAATGTAGTGGGCAAGGTAGAGAATGGTATAAAATGTAATTGTCGAGGGCGGGGACTAGATTATGGCCTGATAACCTGAGATAAAAGGTTCATTTGCCACAAACGGTTTTGTTTTGTTTTTGTTTTTGTTTTTGAGACGGAGTCTTGCACTGTCGCTCAGGCTGGAGTGTAGTGGCAATCTCAGTTCACTGCAATCTCCGCCTCCCGGGTTCACGCAATTCTCCTGCCTCAGCATCCTGAGTAGCTGGGACTACAGGCACACGCCACAACAACCGGCTAATTTTTTTTTTTTTTTTTTTTTTTTTTTTGTGAGACAGAGTCTCCTCTGTTGCCCAGGCTGGAGTGCAATGGCACCATCTTGGCTTACTGCAAGCCCCGCCTCCCGGGTTCAAGCAATTCTCCTGCCTCAGCCTTACAGGCGTGTGCCACCATGCCTGGCTAATTTTTTGTATTTTTAGTAGAGACAGGGTTTCACCATGTTGGCCAGCCTGGTCTCGAACTCCTGACCTCAGGCGATCCACCTGCTTCTGCCTCCCAAAGTGTTGGGATTACAGGCGTGAGCCACCACTCCCAGCCACCAGGAAGGGTTTTAAAGAGGAAGAGTGATCCTGAGACTTGGCAGAGTTTTCTGAAAAGGGGCAGGGTGCAGTGGCTCACGCCTATAATCCTAGCACTTTGGGAGGCCGAGATGGGCAATTGCTTGAGCTTAGGAGTTAGAGACCAGCCTGGGCAACACAATGAGTCCCCCTGTCTACAAAAAAATAAAAAAATTAGCCAGGTATGGTGGCATTGGCATGTGCCTGTAGTCCCAACTACTCAGGAGGCTGAGGTGGGAGGATCACTTGAGCATGGGAGGTGGAGGCTGTAGTAAGCTGAGATGAGACCCCTGCACTTCAACTTGGTTGACAGAGTGAGAACCTATCTAAAAAAAGAAATAATACAAGAAAAAAAGAAAGAAAGGAAAGAAAGAAGGGGCCGGGCACGGTGGCTCAGGCCTGTAATTCTAGCACTTTGGGAGGCCGAGGTGGTTGGATCACCTGAGGTCAAGAGTTCGAGACCAGCCTGGCCAACACAGTGAAACCCCATCTCTACTAAAAATACAAAATTTAGCTGGGTGTTGTGACGGCTACTTGGGAGGCTGAGTCAGGAGAATCGCTTGAACCTGGAAGGCAGAGGTTGCAGTGAGCTGAGACTGTGCCATTGCACTACAGCCTAGGCAACAAGAGTGAAACTCTGTCTCAAAAAAAAATAAAAACAAAAAGGCCGGGCGTGGGGGTCATGCCTGTAATCCCAGCACTTTGGGAGGCCGAGGCGGGCAGGTCACGAGGTCAAGAGATCGAGACCATCCCGGCCAACATGGTAAAACCCCGTCTCTACTAAAAATAAAAAAATTAGCTGGGCGTGGGTGGCACGCGCCTGTAGTCCCAGCTACTCGGGAGGCTGAGGGAGGAGAATTGCTTGAACCTGGGAGGCGGAGGATGTAGTGAGCCGAGATCGCGCCGCTCCACTCCCGCCTGGCAACAGAGTGAGACTCCTTCTCAAAAATAAAAAAAATAGAAAAATAAAAAATCTTATCAGACCATTCCTCTATATTTTGTCTTTCTTTCTTTCTTTTTTTTTTTCTGAGACAGAGTCTCGCTCTGTCACCCAGACTAGAGTGCAGTGGCACCATCTCGGCTCATTGCAAGCTCCGCCTCCCAGGTTCACGCCATTCTTCTGCCTCAGCCTCCCTAGCAGCTGGAACTACAGGCGCCCGCCACCACTCCCGGCTAATTTTTTTGTATTTTTTAGTAGAGACGGGGTTTCACCATGTTAGCCAGTATGGTCTCGATCTGCTGACCTCGTGATCCGCCTGCCTCAGTCTCCCAAAGGCCTGGGATTACAGGCGTGAGCCACCGCGCCTGGCCCCAATTTTTTTTTTTTTTTTTTTTTTTTTTTTTTTTTTTTTTTTGAGACGGAGTCTTGCTCTATCTTCTAGGCTGGACTGCAGTGGCGCAATCTAGGCTCACTGCAAGCTCCGCCTCACGGGTTCACGCCATTCTACTGCCTCAGTCTCCCGAGTAGCTGGGACTACAGGCACCCACCAGCATGCCTAGCTAATTTTTTGTATTTTTAGTAGAGACGGGGTTTCATCGTGTTAGCCAGGATAGTAAGATTTTTAAATTGCATTCTGGGGCTGGGCATGGTGGCTCATGCCCATAATCCCAGCACTTTGGGAGGCCGAGGTGGGAGCATATCTTGAGGCCACGAGTTCAAGACCAACCTGGCCAACATAGTGAGACCCATATCTATAAAAAAAAGAAAAATAAATAAAAAATAAATGTCATTCTGGTTCATGTAGAATTTAGATTTGAGGGTGACAGGAGTGAAAGGGACCATTTTGGAGAGTTATACAGTATTTTAGGCGAGAAATTATGATGACTATAGGGCAAGGGCTGTAGAGAGGGCACAGAGAATTGGATGGATTTACAGTATTGCAGAGGTAGAAATAGGATTTGCTTGTGTGAAATGGAGGAAAGATTCTAGGGCGATTTTCTTTTTTCTTTTCTTTTTTTTTTTTTTTTTTTTTTTTGAGGTGGAGTCTCACTCTGTCGCCCAGGCTGGAGTGCAGTGGCGCCATCTCGGCTCACAGCAAGCTCCACCTCCCAGGTTCAGGCCATTCTGCTGCCTCAGCCTCCCGAGTAGCTGGGATTACAGGCGCCTGCCACCACACCCAGCTAATTTTTGTATTTTGGGTGGAGATGGGGTTTCACCATTTTGGCCAGGTTGTTCTCAAATTCCTGACCTCAAATGCTCCACCCACCTCGGCCTCCCAAAGTGTTAGTATTACAAGTGTGAGCCATTTCGCCCGGCCTAGGCTGATTTTCAAGTGTCTGTTTTTTTGTTGTTTTGTTTTGAGACCATCTCACTTGGTCACCCAGGCTGGAGTGCAGTGGCGCAATCATGGCTAACTGTATCTTCAATGTCCTAGGCTCAGGTGATCCTCCCACCTCATCCTCCAGAGCAGCTGGGACCACAGAGGCTTGCCACCATGCTCAGCTAATTTTTTTTTTTTTTTTTTTTTGCGAGAGTGGGTTTCACCATGTTGCTCAGGCTGGTCTTGAACGCCTGGACTCAAGTGATCTACCTGCCTTGGCCTCCCAAAGTGCTGAGATCACAGGCCTTAGCCACTTGGCCCTGCCTCAGGTTTCTGATTTTAGCAGTTTCTGATTTTAATAACTGGAGGATGATGGTAGCATTTACTGAGATGGAAGAGACTGAGCAAGGAAAGGTTTGGAGGCAGGAATCAAGAGTTTTATTTTGAATTTGTTAAAATTTAGGATGACTGTGAGCCATTCAAGTGGATATCTGAGTCTAGGGTTCAGAAGAGAAGCCTGATCTGGAGGTAAAAATTTGAGACTTAGATCAGCTTATAGTCCACTCATTCAACAAATACTTATTGACTGCCTATTGTGTGCTAAATATTGGGCTATGCACTGGGGTTATTGTGGTGAACAAGAATGTTGTAGTCCCTGCTTTTATGGAGACTAACCACAGAATTAAAATAAAATAATATGAATGGCTTCTATTCATTGAGCGTTTTCTTTGTGCTGGTCACTGCACTCAGTGCCTTACATGCATTTTCTCATTCCATCCTCTCAACAACCCTGGGAGGCCCATTTCATTTTCCAGACAATGATGTCACATAATGTATCAAACCAGATAACTAGTAAGAGGAGGCACCCAGATTTGAACCCAGGCAGTCTGTGGGAACTTAGAGATCAAGACTAACTTTACCTCACAGTGCCTGTGGTGAAACTGAAGTCCCACACAGCTTGTAATCAGTTCTCCCTGTTCCCAAGTTCAGTGTTCTGTGCGCTTGGTTAGATGACCTCTCAGTCTAGAACCCTCTTCCAAGAGACATCAGTCACTAGGCTGCACCGCCCTGCCTGATATGTGGCTGGAGGCTTAGCTGGTAACCTGTCCCTGTCCTCCGTATCCCTAGGATTGTGCACCTGTGCCTGCGAAAGGCTGACCAGAAGCTGGTGATCATCAAGCAGATTCCAGTGGAACAGATGACCAAGGAAGAGCGGCAGGCAGCCCAGAATGAGTGCCAGGTCCTCAAGCTGCTCAACCACCCCAATGTCATTGAGTACTACGAGAACTTCCTGGAAGACAAAGCCCTTATGATCGCCATGGAATATGCACCAGGTGGGCCAGCCTCCTTACAGTGGCCTGGCTGGAGGGCCTCTTACCTCTGGGACAGGCAGACACAGATCTCCTGGCTTCCCTCCTTGGAATGGGCATGGCCAAGGGTTAGAGTTCTGGTCCCAATTATCTGACCCCGGCTAGCCCCTTGTCCTCTCTGGTCCCAGTGCCCTGTTCCATACATAAAAGGAGAGGGGTTGTTGGCTGGGCACGGTGGCTCATGCCTGTAATCTCAGCACTTTGGGAGGCCAACGCCGAGGCGGGCGGATCATGAGGTCAGGAGATCGAGACCATCCTGTTTAACACGGGGAAACCCCGTCTCTACTAAAAATACAAAAAAAAAAAAAAATTAGCCGGGTGTGGTGGCAGGCACCTGTAGTCCCAGCTACTAAGGAGGCTGAGGCAGGAGAATGGCTTGAACCCGGGAGGGGGGGCTTGCAGCAGTGAGCTGAGATCATGCCACTGCACTCCAGCCTGGGCAACAGAGCGAGACTCCATCTCAAAAAAAAAAAACAACAACAACAATGGAGAGGGGTTGTCGTAGGTGTGAGAAAGCCTGGATCTTGATTAGTCCCTTGGGCCACAGGCGGCACTCTGGCTGAGTTCATCCAAAAGCGCTGTAATTCCCTGCTGGAGGAGGAGACCATCCTGCACTTCTTCGTGCAGATCCTGCTTGCACTGCATCATGTGCACACCCACCTCATCCTGCACCGAGACCTCAAGACCCAGAACATCCTGCTTGACAAACACCGCATGGTCGTCAAGATCGGTGATTTCGGCATCTCCAAGATCCTTAGCAGCAAGAGCAAGGCCTACACGGTGCCTGGGCATGGAAGGGACCTCCAGGGCACTAGAAGTCTTGAGGGCCAGGACCTAACCCTGCCTCCTCCCCTCCCCCTAAAAAACCCTTGGCCCTTTGGCCCCTGTTTGGGTGGTTCTGCAGGAGGAAGCCCCTTGGCTTGCTTTGAGAAGAAGCTGTCCCCAAATGGGCTTATGCACAGAGCCCCTGGTCTTCCCTCCCTGCAGGGCTGTGATCCCAGCTTCTATCCTGCAGGTGGTGGGTACCCCATGCTATATCTCCCCTGAGCTGTGTGAGGGCAAGCCCTACAACCAGAAGAGTGACATCTGGGCCCTGGGCTGTGTCCTCTACGAGCTGGCCAGCCTCAAGAGGGCTTTCGAGGCTGCGGTGAGTGTATGCACCCTCCAGGGGACAACTGAGAAATCTACTGCCTCGCCCAGCAGCCCTTGGCTCAAGCCACCTCAGGTTTCTCCTCTAGCTGAGTCATGTCTCTCCCTTATCAGATTACCCCAGGGGAGGGCTATGGGTGTCCCTCAGACTATGGATTTCTGAGAGTAGGTCTTGCCTCCCATTAGACGGAGGGCTCCTGAGGGCAGGGCTGTGGCTTTCCCAGAAGACCCTCCCAAGAGCAAGACTTGAGTTTTCCCAGCATGCTGGGGTTTCTGAGGATATAGCTGCAGCTCCCCTATCAGACTAGGGATCACTGAAAGCCAGGTTGGACTCCCCTGTCAGTCTGGGAGTCTCCTCATCAGACTGAAGTCTCCTGAGGGCAAAGCTGTTATTGTTTATTTATTTATTTTTTTTATTATACTTTAAGTTTTAGGGCACATGTACACAACGTGCAGGTTTGATACGTATGTATACATGTGCGATGTTGGTGTGCTGCACCCATTAACTCATCATTTAACATTAGGTATATCTCCTAATGCTATCCCTTCCCCCTCCCCCCACCCCACAACAGGCCCCGGTGTGTGATGTTCCCCTTCCTGTGTCCATGTGTTCTCATTGTTCAATTCCCACCTATGAGTGAGAACATGCGGTGTTTGGTTTTTTGTCCTTGCGATAGTTTGCTGAGAATGATGGTTTCCAGCTCCATCCATGTCCTACAAAGGACATGAACTCATCATTTTTTACGGCTGCATAGTTTTCCATGGTGTGTATGTGCCACGTTTTCTTAATCCATCTATCATTGTTGGACATTTAGGTTGGTTCCAAGTCTTTGCTATTGTGAATAGTGCCACAATAAACATACGTGTGCATGTGTCTTTATAGCAGCATGATTTATAATCCTTTGGGTATACACCCAGTAATGGGATGGCTGGGTCAAATGGTATTTCTAGTTCTAGATCCCTGAGGAATCGCCACACTGACTTCCACAATGGTTGAACTAGTTTACAGTCCCACCAACAGTGTAAAAGTGTTCCTATTTCTCCACATCCTCTCCAGCACTTGTTGTTTCCTGACTTTTTAAAGATCACCATTCTAACTGGTGTGAGATGGTATCTCATTGTGGTTTTGATTTGCATTTCTTGATGGCCAGTGATGATGAGCATTTTTTCATGTGTCTTTTGGCTGCATAAATGTCTTCTTTTGAGAAGTGTCTGTTCATATCCTTCGCCCACTTGTTGATGGGGTTGTTTTTTTCTTGTAAATTTGTTTGAGTTCTTTGTAGATTCTGGATATTAGCCCTTTGTCAGATGAGTAGATTGCAAAAATCTTCTCCCATTCTGTAGGTTGCCTGTTCACTCTGATGGTAGTTTCTTTTGCTGTGCAGAAGCTCTTTAGTTTAATTAGATCCCATTTGTCAATTTTGGCTTTTGTTGCCATTGCTTTTGGTGTTTTAGACATGAAGTCCTTGCCCATGCCTATGTCCTGAATGGTATTGCCTAGGTATTCTTCTAGGGGTTTGATGGTTTTAGGTCTAACATGTAAGTCTTTAGTCCATCTTGAATTAATTTTTGTATAAGGTGTAAGGAAGGGATCCAGTTTCAGCTTTCTACATATGGCTAGCCAGTTTTCCCAGCACCATTTATTAAATAGGGAATCCTTTCCCCATTTCTTGTTTTTCTCAGGTTTGTCAAAGATCAGATAGTTGTAGATGTGTGGCATTATTTCTGAGGGCTCTGTTCTGTTCCATTGGTCTATATCTCTGTTTTGGTACCAGTACCATGCTGTTTTGGTTACTGTAGCCTTGTAGTATAGTTTGAAGTCAGGTAGCATGATGCCTCCAGGCAAAGCTGTTATTATCCCAGGAGACCAGGGGCTGGAGCTGGGGGGTGCTGCCCTCACTTCCCCAAATTCTCAACCTGGTGCCTTCACAGAACTTGCCAGCACTGGTGCTGAAGATCATGAGTGGCACCTTTGCACCTATCTCTGACCGGTACAGCCCTGAGCTTCGCCAGCTGGTCCTGAGTCTACTCAGCCTGGAGCCTGCCCAGCGGCCACCACTCAGCCACATCATGGCACAGCCCCTCTGCATCCGTGCCCTCCTCAACCTCCACACCGACGTGGGCAGTGTCCGCATGCGGAGGCCTGTGCAGGGACAGCGAGCGGTCCTGGGCGGCAGGGTGTGGGCACCCAGTGGGAGCACAGGAGGTCTGAGGCAGAGGGAAACCTGGGGCAAGTCCTCCCTTCCTGCATGTAGGAATGTCAGGAGGGTCTTTGTCCTTAGGCCCCCATCTGTCCTGCAGGGCAGAGAAGTCCGTGGCCCCCAGCAACACAGGGAGCAGGACCACCAGTGTCCGCTGCAGAGGTAAGTGGGAAGAGGCCGCCAGTCCCCATGGATGCCACACCATTCCCATCAGTTTAATAGTCCCCATGCACTGTACCTGCAGGTATCCCCCGGGGACCTGTGAGGCCAGCCATCCCACCACCACTGTCGTCAGTGTATGCCTGGGGTGGTGGGCTGGGCACCCCCCTGCGGCTGCCAATGCTCAACACAGAGGTGGTCCAGGTGGCAGCTGGGCGCACGCAGAAAGCCGGCGTCACGCGCTCTGGGCGTCTCATCCTGTGGGAGGTGAGCAGGCCAGGGGGTGGCCTGGATGGGTGGAGGTGGAGGTCCACAGCAGGGTTGGGGTGCTCAGGCGCTGCCCATCCCCCTGCCCCTGCAGGCCCCACCCCTAGGTGCAGGCGGAGGCAGTCTCCTTCCTGGGGCAGTGGAGCAGCCACAGCCCCAGTTCATCTCGCGTTTCCTGGAGGGCCAGTCGGGTGTGACCATCAAGCACGTGGCCTGTGGGGACTTCTTCACTGCCTGCCTGACTGGTGAGTTGTCGGGCCTACCTTGTGGGACCTGCTCTGAGGCCCCACAGAGCACCTTCTCTCTTCTCTTGCAAAACACGCACTTAATGAATGCTTCTGTCTACTAGTTATCGAGTTATTGCTTCTGTCTAGTAACTATTGAGGAGATTTCCTTATACAACCTCCTTTACCCTACGGACAGGCCTGGCAAGGCAGTTATTATATTATCCTCATTTGACAAGTGGGGACGCTAAGGCTCAGAGAGGGTGTCACTTGTCCAAAGTCACATATGTTTGAAGGGACTCATATCCTTTTCTCTCTTCCTATCCCATCCTTCCAGCCCTGGTCCCCAACTTTATTTTGCTGCTGCAACCCACTGGAGGACCGGGCTATCTGGAAAGACTGTTTAACTTCTTTCCCTTCTCCTTCCTCACTGCCCTTCTCCCCAGACAGAGGCATCATCATGACATTCGGCAGCGGCAGCAATGGGTGCCTAGGCCATGGCAGCCTCACTGACATCAGCCAGGTGGGTGTCACATATACCTTGGGAAGGGGAAGTCGGGGGATGGCGGGGAGCCCACATCTGTGAGTTGACACCAGATTGGGGGCAGGGGAGTTCCCAGCAACCACAGGTTCCTCTAGCTTCCCAGCTGCACCTGCTCTGGGCCACCTACATCGGGGAAAGTACAGAAAAACCAGGCTTCCCCAATGGTTGCCCACCTGGCAGTGTGTATGGCTGGATTTAAAGACACAGCCACCTCCTGAGAATGTGTAGCCTCCAGCTTTGTCCCTACAGGGGGTGTTGAAGCCAGATGGCTCCAGACCCTTTGCCCAGTTTCTCCTTGCTTCCTCTCCTCTCTAGCCCACCATTGTGGAGGCTTTGCTGGGCTATGAAATGGTGCAGGTGGCCTGTGGGGCCTCTCACGTGCTGGCCCTGTCCACTGAGCGAGAACTATTTGCCTGGGGCCGTGGAGACAGCGGTAAGCTCCAGCCTTTAGGCCCCATCTCACAGCATCCTCAGCCATGACTTGCTCCCCTTCATACCCACCTTCCACCTCACAGCACATTCTCTCTTCCCTCTTTTCTCTCAAATTCTCTTCATTCATTCAACAAACCTTTATTTTACACCGACTATGTGCACACCCTGTGCTGGGTGCTGAGATGAGATGGAGATGTGGCTTCCTTCAGGTGTTTATGAGGTAATGAAGGAAATTTCATTCATCCACCTAGTTTTTTATTTTATTTTGAGATGGAGTCTCGCTCTGTTACCCAGGCTAGAGTGCAGTGGCGTGATCTCAGCTCACTGCAACCTCCACCACCGGGTTCAAGCGAATCTCCTGCCTCAGCCTCCCAAGTAGCTGGCATTACAGGCACCCGCCACCGCGCCCAGCAAATTTTTGTATTTTTAGTAGAGACAGGGTTTCACCATCTTGGCCAGGCTGGTCTCGAACTCCTGACCTCGTGATCCACATGCCTCAGCCTCCCAAAGTGCTGGGATTACAGGCGTGAGCCACCACGCCTGGCCCATCCACTAATTTTTTTTATTGAGGTCCTCTTTGGGTCAGGCATCAGGCTGGCCACTGAAACTAGAGATGACACTGATGGGTTCTTGTCTTCCTGGAGGACTCAGTCTAGTGGGAGAAAGATGACATTGCCAGCATGCCAGAGAACAGATAGCATCAGGGCTACACCCCAGTGCAGAGGCGTGGAATTCAGTGAACAGTAATGTCAACTGGAGGAGAGAGATGTCATTTGAACAGGGCTTTAAAGGAGGAGGATTTTGAGCCGGCGTGGTGGCTCACGCCTGTAATCCCAGCACTTTGGGAGGCCGAGGCAGGTGGATCACAAGGTCAGGAGTTCAAGACCAGCCTGGCCAACATGGTAAAACCCCGTCTCTACTAAAAATAAAAAAATTAGCTGGGCATGGTGGTGCATGCCTGTAATCCCGGCTACTCAGGAGGCTGAGGCAGGAGAATCGCTTGAACCCAGGAGGCAGAGGTTGCAGTGAGTGAAGATCATACCCTTGTACTCCAGCCTTGGCGACAGAGTGAGACTCAGTCTCGAAAAATAAAAATAAAAAATAAAGAAGGAGGATTTTAACCAGCAGAGGGGCCTAGGAAAGGCATTTGGGACTGAGAGAACAGAGAACTCATGCTGTTCCCTCCCCTCAGTGGGCCCTCCTCATTCGGGCATCACCCCCACTAAAGCTCAAATTAACTCCTTCTGGGTTTCTTCTTGTAGGCAGACTGGGGCTAGGCACCAGGGAGTCCCACAGCTGCCCCCAGCAGGTGCCCATGCCCCCAGGACAGGAAGCTCAGCGAGTTGTATGTGGTATCGATTCCTCCATGATCCTCACTGTGCCTGGCCAAGCCCTAGCCTGTGGGAGCAACAGGTGAATAGATCATCAGGATGACTAACCTGCCCCTGGCTCTCCTTGGCTGCAAGTGCTCCGTCCATCATTGCCTACCTTTCACCAAAGACCAGAATTGAGGGGGTTGAGGGTGCTATTGGTTCAACCCAGGGTGGGATCTGTCTCCTGGTGCACCAGCTCCTGCCCAAACTGTCTGTCAGTTGGATTTGGCTTCTGGCTCTGCCCTCAGGTTCAACAAGCTGGGCCTGGACCACCTCTCCCTGGGGGAGGAGCCTGTCCCCCACCAGCAAGTGGAGGAGGCCCTGAGCTTCACACTACTAGGCTCTGCACCCCTGGACCAGGAGCCTCTGCTGAGTATAGACCTGGGCACTGCTCACTCAGCTGCTGTGACTGGTGAGGAGGACTTGGGCTCTGGAGGTCAGAGGGGGACTCACGGTCTCCTTGGTACCCTGTTGAAGCACCCCTTTCCTTCCTCTCCCCCATAGCCTCGGGTGATTGCTACACTTTTGGCAGCAATCAGCACGGACAGTTGGGCACCAATACTCGCCGAGGCAGTCGGGCACCCTGTAAGGTCCAAGGCCTTGAGGGCATCAAGATGGCAATGGTAGCCTGTGGGGATGCCTTCACTGTAGCTATTGGGGCAGGTGAGGACTGAGCATGGTGGGGGCAGACAGTGCCATGAGCAGTGGGGGGTGGGGGTTGCTATTCAGGGCCACTGGACTCTGGAGCCTCCCAGGGGCCATCCTGGCAATGTGGGAGGGGAGATCCTGCTCGGGCTGTGCCCACTTCCCACTTCCCTCCTGGGGATTCTTCCTGGCAGAGAGCGAAGTGTACTCTTGGGGCAAAGGGGCGCGAGGTCGATTGGGAAGGAGGGATGAGGATGCCGGACTCCCTCGGCCAGTGCAGTTGGATGAGACACACCCTTACACGGTGACTTCCGTGTCCTGTTGCCATGGAAACACCCTCCTGGCTGTTCGATGTGAGTTGTAACTTTTCCCACTTCACCACACAGCCCAGCTGGCCCCTGTCCACACTCCCATCCCCAGTGTTCACAGATGGCCACATCACCAAAAGCATCTTTAGCCCCCAGATAAAAAAAGCAGAAGCTGCGGTTGAAAAGCTTCAAGCTTCCTGCCTGGGGTGGCCAAGGCTGGTGCTTCTTGGGCCTCATGGAAGGGCTGCCTCCACTGCTCCCCAGGGCTCACATGCATTCTTTCTCCTACTGCTGAGTCCCGTTGATGCTGAAACTCTCTTTCTGGCCTAACAGGGTCCAGAATCCAGGGCCCAGTGGGAGTGGGAGGTGGGTGATGATTTCTGGAGGCACTGCCCTCAGAAGCTGCAAGGGTTTCTCTTCGGTACCCTCCAGCGGTCACAGATGAGCCGGTCCCCCCCTGAGGCACCCGGATTCACCTCTGGACCACCCTGATATTGCTTCTCCTCTGAATGCTCTGAAAAGTGCAGGTGCCCAAGGCATGACTTGCAGCTGTCTCCTGGATTGTGTCATCATGGGGTATCAGGGCTGGCAAAACCCCTGCTCTGCTTTTGGCCTTGGATATGGAAACCTCAACCACTTTGTTCTCCTACCACCTCTTTGCCCTTCCTACCCCTTCCTCCCTTCAGTCAGTGTCCCCAGGGTCCAGCCTGGCTAGAGTTAGAAGGCAGACCTAGCCTTTGGAAGCAGGGTGGCCTCCAGAGCCTTGCCATAAAAAGGCTGAAGGCAGCCGGGCGCAGTGGCTCACGCCTGTAATCCCAGCACTTTGGGAGGCTGAGGCGGGCGGATCACGAGGTCAGGAGATCGAGACCATCCTGGCTAACGTGGTGAAACCCCATCTCTACTAAAAATACAAAAAAATTAGCTGGGCGTGGTGGCACGCGCCTGTAGTCCCAGCTGCTCAGGAGGCTGAGGCAGGAGAATGGCGTAAACCCCTCCAGCCTGGGCGACAGAACCAGACTCCGTCTCAAAAAAAAAAAAAAAACAAAAAAGGCTGAAGGCAGCTGTAGCTCCACACAGACCCTACCCTTTCCCCTAGCCCAGTTAGAAAATAAGTCTGGGCCGGCGGCGGTGGCTCACACCTGCATAGGCAGTGCTTTGGCCAGGAGGATCCCTTGATCCCTTGTGGCCAGGAGTTGGGAGACCAGCCTGGGGACCATAGCGAGACCGCTGTCTCCACCAAAAAAAAAAAAAAAGAAGAAAATAAGGCTGGGTGCGGTGGCTCACGCCTGTAATTCCAGCACTTTGGGAGGCCAAGGCGGGCGGATCACTTGAGGTCAGTAGACTGAGGCCAGCCTGGCCAACATGGTGAAACCCCGTCTCTACTAAAAATACAAAAATTAACCAGGCATGGTGACGGGCGCCTGTAATCCCAGCTACTCTGGAGGCTAAGGCAAGAGAATCCCTTGAACCCGGGAGGTGAAGTTTGCAGTGAGCCGAGATCGCACCACTGCACTCCAGCCTGGATGACAGAGCAAGTCTCCCTCTCAAAAAAAAAAAAAAAAAAAAAAAAAAAAAAGTATTTGGTGCTTACCGGGACTCTATCTCCATACTTTGGAGCAGGGCAAGCCAGGGCCTGCCTGGACTGGCCATTAGGCCTGCCTAGCTTCTGCATAGCCCGGGGCTGGGCGGTCCCCGGGAGTGCTGCCACCTCCCCTACACTTTCATCCTGAGGCAGGATTTGCTAGACGTCGGCTTGCCTCTCTTCCCCAGCAGGAGGGCAGGAGTCACTAAGTGCTGCAGAAAAGATCCGCGCTGGAGATTGCCCGTCCCCCCCATGCCTTTCCCCAGAAACAGTTGAGAGAATGGGTAGCTGGTGGGACCAGACCGGTTTCCCAGAGGACAGGAAGGCCAATAAAAATATCAGCTGCCTGCCTGGAGTGTGGTGTCTTCAAGGGTGGGGGTGGCGACCAGGCACCCCAGGACTGGGCTGGGCCCGACCTCGGTGGCAGGGCTGCGGCCAAGGGAGGAATGTGGGCGCAGCCGGAGGCTGGGGCCGAGGTTCCTCTGGCCCAGCGCCCAGTCCAGCCTCCCCGCCCCAGCTGGGCTCCCCGGAGCTGGTTGCCAGGCTTCGGCTGCCTAGCACCTGGAAGCTGGGGCCACGGTTCCTGGGCTGCTCACGGCCCCGGAGGCCGAGCTGTTGCCTCTGGAGAAGAAAACCTTTGTGGCGCGGCCCGTCCCCTTTTCCGACCCGCACTTCCCCGGGGCCCGCGGGCTCTGGGGAGAAGCGGAGCCACGATCTCTGTCCCCCAGGGGAAAGAAAAGCCCATGATCCCGTGGGTGGGCGAGACTGGCGGTCACCAGACCCAAAAACCATGCACTCGGGGGTGGGCGGGGCCGCGAGGGCGCGCATTAGGACCGCGCGGCCGCGGTCCGCCCTCTCTTCCGGAGGGCGGGCTTCACAGCCGAGCCCTGGCCGCGACCGCCAGTCGGCGCCGCCCGGAGCCGGGAGCGCCGCTCCAGCGAGGCGCGGGCTGTGGGGCCGCCGCGTGCCTGGCCCCGCTCGCCCGTGCCGGCCGCTCGCCCGCCATGCCTGGCTTCGACTACAAGTTCCTGGAGAAGCCCAAGCGACGGCTGCTGTGCCCACTGTGCGGGAAGCCCATGCGCGAGCCTGTGCAGGTTTCCACCTGCGGCCACCGTTTCTGCGATACCTGCCTGCAGGAGTTCCTCAGGTGCTGGCCGGGGAGCAGGGGACAGCGGGGGCGGGGCGGGGCGGGGGGCGCCGCCTGGGGAGGGTCTCGGGCCCGGGGCAAGGCGGGCCTTTGTCTGCGCTGCGACCCTGTGACCTCAGGGGCGCCCCGTGACGTCACGGGGAGGGATGACGTCAAGCCCCGAGGGAGGCCCCCCCCGCAGGAATCCGAGGGGTCCGGGCGGGTCCCAACTGCCCGGCCCGGGGCGGAAGACCTCGGCGCCTTCTCGTGGGGTCAGGAGGGGAAGAGGCCCTTCCCCGTCACCTGAGAGCCGGCGCGGCCTCAGCCTTGAACTTTGAATCCTGGGGGAAGAGGACAAAACCCGCTCCCGCGTGGCAGTTTGAGCCTCCGGAGCTTTCCCCCATCTAACCTCTTCTGATTCTTCGAACGTTCAGAGAACGGTAGCTATTGTTCTCCCATTTCACAGATCATGAAACGAGATTCAAAGAAAGGCTGCGACTTGCCCAGGGTCACATAGTTACTTAAAGGCTTAACTAGGATTTAAACCCGGACTGCTTATGATCACACAATGGAGGAAGGACTGAATCCTCCCCCGAAGAAGGACCCCTCTAGGCGGCTCCCCTCTCTCCCGGGGGCTGGAGTAAGGCGGGTGGTCCATAAGTCATGAAGAAGGGGGTCGCACTCGTGTTGTTACTGAACTCCCGCTGCCCTCTCAGGACGCAGGTTAGCCCTTGGCTCTTGGGCATCCATCAAGTTTCTGGGCGCCCTGTATGTCTTGAATCTCCTGCTCACGCAGGGAACCCCTCAGGCCCGGGTGTGGGAAGCAGGGTGAAGGAGCCCCGACTCTTCGGAGGTCATGCCCCCAGAGCGCAGGGGAAGGCCGAGTCGGCCACTGCCTGGCTGTTTGCTGGGACGAGGGGATCGAGGGCCTGGCAGGGATAGTACCTCTGAGACGCCTGCCTCCGGTGCTCCCTCCCGCCGTGCCTCCCTCCCTCGCTCGGTCCTCCGTAGCTCCTACTGGCGGAAATCTCAGCAGGCCCTTTGTTTTCTGTTCCCCACAGCCTGGGCCGGCTCCTGCCCTCACATATGCTCCGGCACAAGCTGCAGGACTGCCCCCTCCCCCTCGGCAGTGTACACATTTACTCTCCTACAGACACAGCCCCATTGTCTCCGCCACTGCTCTTCCCCGGCCCTCTGGGTTCCAGATGAGGCCAGCTGAGCCCCCCGACCCCCCCACAGCTGACCCACCCTGACTGCCTCGGGAAAGGAGCGGGGGAGGGGGCCGTCAGGCCGGATTCCTTCCACCACCTTCTTGGCCCCCCTCTCTGCCACTCCCCCTCCCGGAAATCCCCTCTTCCTCTCCCACTCCCACACCCCCTCCCCCCATCCTGTCTTCTTCCCTGGGCCTTGGCCTCCACTGCACAGCCTGGAGCAGCCTCTGCCCTGCCTGTCCCCCATCCCCCAGTGCCTGAGCTGTGCTGCTGAGGCTTCTGAAGGGGAGAGAGGTGGTTGGGTGGTCCCTGCTCCTCACCCGCCACGGTACAAGCACAAGTGAGGGTGTCCACAGCCCTGGCTGGGCCCCAAGCTGCAGGCTAAGCTTCTGCCTGAAGCCTAGGGACTTGCCTCTGTCCCCTCCCTTTCTCCAAAACCACTCAGTCAGCACATTCCTGAAGCAGCCAAGTGGACCCCCTCCCCCTGGGCCCACCCCTCTTTCCCCACTCCTGCCTGAGCTGTTAGGTTGGCCCAGGAAGGCTGGTTGCCCTGTGGGCAGACACACCCCTTCAGTGCCTGTGGTTGTATTGTCCTTGGCATTGAAGCATGGCCAGTGGTAGTGGGATCAAGGGGAGGAGGTGGGTGCTAGAAATCCTTGGGGCAGTTGGGGCATGGACTGCCTGGGTCCTGGAGAGTGCCTCTAGAACTGGGCTCCCATGTGGGCTCTGGTTCCGCCTGGATCCCTGCCTGCCTTCCACCTACCTGACTCAGACCTGCCAGGAATGCCCTGCCCCAGGGCCCTGAGTCCTGCTGGGTGAGCCATTGCTCTGCCTGAGCCATGCCAGGCATGTGTGACTGGCCCTGGCTGGGGTCAGCAAGGGCATGTCGACAGAAAGAAGCATGCCAACAGGCTCCTTGGGTGCTGACGGCCAGGTAGGGTTTGGTGCAGGAGAAGGCGGGCAGCTAGCAGGAGGGGACGGTCACCAGGCTTCAGAAGCCCACTGAGCAGTGCCCAGAGTCTTAGCTGTGCTTGCTGGACATTTTTCCTTGCCCCAGCTTCTCTTCCTTGTGTGTGTGGTGTAGTAGAGCCTGTCTGAGCTGTGGAGTCAGACACACATAGCCAGGTGCTGCTTCACCTGTAAGCCTCTTCGTTTCATCTGTAAAATGGGGGCATTCCACCCCTTCTCAGAGGCAGGTGGCAAGGGCCGGGTGGGAATGTAAACAGGTGCCAAGGAGCATGCCTTTCCTCCCCTTTTCTGTGGGAGACACACCCTCAAAGGAGCAGGGCAGGGTAAGGTGGCCGCAAGCTGACCTTTGCCCTGGTTCTTGGCAGAGGACCTTCCTGGGGACTGGGCAGCCTTCGCACTTAATCTCAGCCCATCCCTGTTCCCCCTCCCAGTCAGCTTTCAGCGCAGCCAATGAAAACTAACCTAGGGGGAGGGGGTGACTGTGCAGCGTGTTCCTTTCCCAGTCCAGCTGCCATCCTGGGGGAGGGGGTGCCAGCTGCCACCTGTTGGCCAAGTCCTGACTGAGGCAGCTGTCTGTGCCTCCTCTAGGCCCAGACCCCCCTTCCCAGGACAGGGGCTGGGGTCTTCTGGGATCCTGGGGAAGTAGAGCCCCTCAGGCCTCTGCTTGCCCTTTTGTCTCATCTAGGCTGGTTGGGAACCGGTCTGGTGAGGAAGGGAGGCTGCCTCAGTGGAGGGGGTGGGGCCAGGCCTCCCTTTCCCCTAATGAGAAACCTTTTTCCTGCCCCTCCCCCATTTCAGTGAAGGAGTCTTCAAGTGCCCTGAGGACCAGCTTCCTCTGGACTATGCCAAGGTGAGTCCACACTGCCAGGAAGAAGCCCAAGCACAGTCTGTTGCCCTTGGAGGCCGGAGCTGCTGGCAGCCAGTGGGCTCAGGGCCAGTGTCAACCAAAAGCCTTGGGATGGTGCGCCTCCACAAAGGTAGCCTGTTCCCTCCCACCAGGCCAGTTTGCAAACGAGGCCCCTGTTTGCCCTGGAGGGCATGCACAATGCCCAGCCTGTAGGGGTGCACAGAGCTGCTCTGTGCCCGCAAGAAGTGTTCCCTCCCCTTCCGGTGGCAAGCCAGACCTGTGGCTGAGGGCCAGTATCCCTCCACCAGGGGAAAGGAAGCAGAGCCCCAGGGACAGCCTGGGATTGAGCAGGCTGATTGGCTGCCTCTTCAAAGGAAGCGTCCTGTGCAGGCATGTTAGGACCCAGCATCAGAGCAGATGCTGCCTGCTGTGCCCTTCATCCCTGGACTCAAGAGGGGCAAAGAGCCCAAGAGAGGCTATTACAGGCTCCAAGGTAGAGCCAGCCCAGTTGGGTCTAGGGGTGGGAACTGGGCACTGCAGTCAGCTCTGACCCTGGCCAGTTCCCCCATCCCTACCCCCAGATCTACCCAGACCCGGAGCTGGAAGTACAAGTATTGGGCCTGCCTATCCGCTGCATCCACAGTGAGGAGGGCTGCCGCTGGAGTGGGCCACTACGTCATCTACAGGTGAGGCTCTGATGTGAGGGCTGGCACCACCTCTCCCTTGGCAGGCACTAATTGCAGCCTTCCCACCAGGGCCACCTGAATACCTGCAGCTTCAATGTCATTCCCTGCCCTAATCGCTGCCCCATGAAGCTGAGCCGCCGTGATCTACCTGCACACTTGCAGCATGACTGCCCCAAGCGGCGCCTCAAGTGCGAGTTTTGTGGCTGTGACTTCAGTGGGGAGGCCTATGAGGTGGGTGGGGTCTGGCTGAATGTGGAGGAGGGGGTACCTGATGGCCTAGGCATCTCTTAACTCAGCACCTCTGACATTTCCAGAGCCATGAGGGTATGTGCCCCCAGGAGAGTGTCTACTGTGAGAATAAGTGTGGTGCCCGCATGATGCGGCGGCTGCTGGCCCAGCATGCCACCTCTGAGTGCCCCAAGCGCACTCAGCCCTGCACCTACTGCACTAAGGAGTTCGTCTTTGACACCATCCAGGTGAGGCCTTCCCTGAACTGTGGGTTGCAGGGTAGGTGACAGGTAGTCAGGATATTGACTCCTGCCTCTCTACTTCTGTGGCCCCAGAGCCACCAGTACCAGTGCCCAAGGCTGCCTGTTGCCTGCCCCAACCAATGTGGTGTGGGCACTGTGGCTCGGGAGGACCTGCCAGGCCATCTGAAGGACAGCTGTAACACCGCCCTGGTGCTCTGCCCATTCAAAGACTCCGGCTGCAAGCACAGGGTGAGATGCCCCTTTTCCTGTCAGCCCCCTTTTGCCCTTGAAGCCCTAGACAGAGGCTCAGCTTCTGATGTACTTAGGCCTTGGTGGTCCCTGCTGTGCTGCTCTGAAACCCTCAGTCCTTCCCTCTGCTGCCAGCTCCAGCCTCTTCCTAACACCCTCTGTCTTCCTCACGTAGAGCTGGGTGCCTGCTACCCTGTACCCACTCCTCTCCTCTCCCTGGACCTCCCCCTACTGATAACTCTCCTCCCTTCCCCCATGGCCTGGGGCTTTGCCAACAGTGCCCTAAGCTGGCAATGGCACGGCATGTGGAGGAGAGTGTGAAGCCACATCTGGCCATGATGTGTGCCCTGGTGAGCCGGCAACGGCAGGAGCTGCAGGAGCTTCGGCGAGAGCTGGAGGAGCTATCAGTGGGCAGTGATGGCGTGCTCATCTGGAAGATTGGCAGCTATGGACGGCGGCTACAGGAGGCCAAGGCCAAGCCCAACCTTGAGTGCTTCAGCCCAGCCTTCTACACACATAAGTATGGTTACAAGCTGCAGGTGTCTGCATTCCTCAATGGCAATGGCAGTGGTGAGGGCACACACCTCTCACTGTACATTCGTGTGCTGCCTGGTGCCTTTGACAATCTCCTTGAGTGGCCCTTTGCCCGCCGTGTCACCTTCTCCCTGCTGGATCAGAGCGACCCTGGGCTGGCTAAACCACAGCACGTCACTGAGACCTTCCACCCCGACCCAAACTGGAAGAATTTCCAGAAGCCAGGCACGTGGCGGGGCTCCCTGGATGAGAGTTCTCTGGGCTTTGGTTATCCCAAGTTCATCTCCCACCAGGACATTCGAAAGCGAAACTATGTGCGGGATGATGCAGTCTTCATCCGTGCTGCTGTTGAACTGCCCCGGAAGATCCTCAGCTGAGTGCAGGTGGGGTTCGAGGGGAAAGGACGATGGGGCATGACCTCAGTCAGGCACTGGCTGAACTTGGAGAGGGGGCCGGACCCCCGTCAGCTGCTTCTGCTGCCTAGGTTCTGTTACCCCATCCTCCCTCCCCCAGCCACCACCCTCAGGTGCCTCCAATTGGTGCTTCAGCCCTGGCCCCTGTGGGGAACAGGTCTTGGGGTCATGAAGGGCTGGAAACAAGTGACCCCAGGGCCTGTCTCCCTTCTTGGGTAGGGCAGACATGCCTTGGTGCCGGTCACACTCTACACGGACTGAGGTGCCTGCTCAGGTGCTATGTCCCAAGAGCCATAAGGGGGTGGGAATTGGGGAGGGAGAAAGGGTAGTTCAAAGAGTCTGTCTTGAGATCTGATTTTTTCCCCCTTTACCTAGCTGTGCCCCCTCTGGTTATTTATTTCCTTAGTGCCAGGAGGGCACAGCAGGGGAGCCCTGATTTTTAATAAATCCGGAATTGTATTTATTAATTTGCTTCCAGCCTGACTTACCTGGGTTGGTTAGGTCCCTGGGAGGCTCAACCAAACTGAAGGCAAAGAAAGGACCAGTCAGAGAAGGGCCGCTGCCTGGGTCTGGCCCCAGGATCCAGCTTACCTGCTGGCTCGCCCTCTGATGGACGCCGGGAAAACTGCATCGGGCTTTGTGTGGAAGACGGTCCCTGCCACTGCCCTCTGCCGATGAAATGCGGGAAGTGTATGGCCTAGATGTTTCATAAGGCTGGAGTCCCTGGTCAGCCCCACCAGATTAGTGCTTCTACCCTAGGCAGGGCTTTCTTGGTCTAATGGTAATAAGCACCGACACTGCTAAGCACTTTACGTGCATTATTATTTCATTGAAAAGAACTGTCAAGTGAAATACTTTTTAGCACAGTAACTGGCTTTGTGGGCTCTAGAGAAGAGTTAATGAGGCAGTGCATGTTCTTGGCCCAGAGTAAGTGCTTAGTGAATGCTTTCTAACTCCGAACCCCAGCCACATCCAGGGACTGGGTGTTGAGCAAAAGGGGCCTTCAAGATGTTCAAGGCACTTGGATTTTCTCCTGTCTCTCATCGGCTTTTCTTAACGGGCCTCAGTGGGTGCATGTGATTATCCACGTTTCACCTATGAAACATGAACAGAGGAGACTGACTTATCAGTGATTCTTCCGCGGGTTCGGACAGGGCCTCGATTCTGTTTTAAACTCCAGTAGTCCCTAGAAATTGTAGCTCCCTCTAGTTGTGGCAATAGGTGTGGGTCCTTGTGCTTGCTTTTGGCAAGTTTCTGAGCTACACAGGGCCTCCATTACCGTCACTGGTGAAATGCGGCTCACCTCCCAGATTTGTTGTAAAGATTAAATGAACTGGTCAGCACACAGTGCCTTACTGTCTTGCCTAGCCCTGAGAAGAGGCTGTATGTACGAGAATCATTAGTAAGGGAAGGTTCAAGGACTGTAGTTCTTTCTTTTCCCATGCAGAGGCTGAGGGTTTAAACAAAAAAAAAAAAAACTCAGCCTCTGCTGCACACGACTAGCTACTCAGGAGGCTGAGGTGGGAGGATGGCTTGAGCCCAGGAGGCAGAGGTTAAAGTGAGCAGAGATTGCGCTACTGCACTCCAGCCTGTGTGGCAGAGCCAGACCCTGTCTCAAAAAAAAAGGCCTTGGGCTGGGCGAAGTGGCTCACTCACACCTGTAATCCCAGCATTTTGGGAGGTTGAGGTGGACGGATCACGAGGTCAGGAGATCAAGACCATCCTGGCTAACATGGTGAAACCCCGTCTCTACTAAAAATACAAAAAAAAATTAGCTGGTGTGGTGACACGCACCTGTAGTCCCAACTACTCAGAAGGCTGAGGCAGGAGAATCACTTGAACCCGGGAGGCGGAGGTTGCAGTGAGCCAAGATCGCGTCATTGCACTCCGGCCTGGCGACAGGGAGAATAAAAAAAAAAAAAACCCTTTATGGGGTGACAGGACAGGACTAAGCCTCAGTGAGCCAGGCTGGGGAGGTCATCATCGGCCCAATCTTTCTTTTCAAAAAGGTCAAATTGACTTACTTATCTAGGGAGAAATGGGGCCCTCCTGCCTAGGTGAGAAACTAGAGCTGGGCTTCTTCACCAGATAAACCGTCTTGGTACGGTGATGCCTGGAGACTGGTAGAGGCAACCATGGGCTCCAGCAGCATAAATGCTTTCAGGCAACAGGCTGAAACACCTTTCCAGAATCCCAGCTACACACCTGACCGAGCACAGTGGCTGATGCCTATAATCCCAGCACTTTGGGAGCCTGAGTTGGAGATGACCCTGGGCAACAAAGGGAGCCACCCCGTATCTACAAAAAAATATAAGGAGCCGGGCACAGTGGCTCACACCTGTAATCGCAACACTTTGGGAGGCTAAGGAGGGCGGATTACCTGAGGTCAGGAGTTCAACACCAGCCTGGCCAACATGGTGAAACAAAAGTCTCTACTAAAAATACAAAAATTAGCTGGGCGTGGTGGCAGGTGCCTATAATCACACCTACTTGGGAGGCTGAGACAGGAGTATTGCTTGAACCTGGGAGGTAGAGTCTGCAGTGAGCTGAGATCGCACCACTGCACTCCAGCCTGGGCAACAATGAGCAAAACTCCATCTCAAAAAAAAAAAAAAAAAATTAGTTGGGCATGGTGGTGCACACCTGTAGTCCCAGCTACTTGGGAGGCCCAGGCAGAAGAATCACTTGAACCTGGGAGGTGGAGGTTGCAGTGAGCTGAACTCCAGCCTGGGAAACATAGTGAGACTCCGTCTCTAAATAAATAAATACACTGTCACTGCATGCTTCCGGGGGTCACATTCACATAGTCTAGATGGTGCCTCCTAGAGTTGCATGCAAACAATGGGGCTGTTAACCCCATACTCTGCAAGCCTTGCACACCTGGACCTTATTCAGTGCTAGTCATAACTTGCAGAATTCAGGCCATGTTCTGCAATAAAAGTGTGAGCTGCACTCCCCAAGGATCTACCTCAGCCCAGGAATCATTCACTCTGGAGGAAGCGCTGTACTTTACTAATGTCTAGCTCCGCTTTTGGGCCGACTGCAGATCTTATCTGACACAGGCAGAAGACAGCTTCCTTTCACAGGGGTGGCATGAGGCATAAAGGAGTCAAAACACTTTCACAAAAGAACACCCTCGGCCAGGCACAGTGGCTCACGCCTGTAATCCCAGCACTTTGGGAGGTTGAGGCGAGCGGATCACAAGATCAGGAGTTCAAGACCAGCCTGACCAACATGGCGAAACCCCGTCTCTACTAAAAATACAAAAATTACCTGGGCATGGTGGCGCACACCTGTAGTCCCAGCTTCTCATGGGGCTGAGGCAGGAGAATCACTTGAACCCGGGAGGTGGAGGTTGCAGTGAGCTAAGATCGTGCCACTGCCCGCCTGAACGACAGAGCAAGAGACTATCTCAAGGAAAAAAAAGCACCCCCATCCTGGCTAACATGGTGAAACCCCATCTCTACTAAAAATACAAAAATTAGCCAGGCATGGCGGCGGGCGCCTGTAGTCCCAGCTACTCAGGAGGCTGAGGCAGGAGAATGGTGTGAACCCAGGAGGTGGAGCCTGCAGTGAGCCTAGATTGCGCCACTGCACTCCAGCCTGGGCGACAGAGTGAGACTCCGTCTGAAAAAAAATAAAAAAACAAAAGCACCCTACAGAAAAGGGTGTGCTCAAGAAAGAAGGCTGGTGCTTTAGCTCCGTCAGCATTCAGGAAGCCACCTGCGGACTCTTGCCGCCAAGGGTCTGATTCTACCCTCCCTGAATCCCCCATCTTGTGGAATCTATATGTGTATATATATAATCTATATATATATTATATAATTATATATATAGATATTATATGTATACATATAGATATTATAATTATATATATATATACACACATATATATATAATCTTTTTTTTGAGACAGAGTCTCACTCTTTTTGCCCAGGCTGGAGTGCAGTGGCACGATTTCAGCTCACCGCAACCTCTGCCTCCCGGGTTCACAAGCGATTCTCCTGCCTCAGCCTCCCGAGTAGCTGGGATTACAGGCCCCTGCCACCATGCCTGGCTAATTTTTGTATCTTTAGTAGAGACGGGATTTCACCATGTTGGCCAGGCTGGTCTCAAACTCCTGACCTTAGGTGATCTGGCTGGCCTTCACTTCCCAAAGTGCTGGGATTACAGAGGTGAGCCACTGTGCCAAGCCTCAATTTTCTTTTCTCTTTTTTTTTTTTACGGAGTTTTTTCTCGTCATCCAGGCTGGAGTGCAGTGGCGCGATCTTGGCTCACTGCAACCTCTGCCTCCCAGGTTCAAGTGATTCTCGTGCCTCAGCCTCCTGAGTAGCTGGGACTACAGGCGCCCGCTGCCATGCCTGGCTAATTTTTGTATTTTTAGTAGAGACGGGTTTTCACCATGTTGGCCAGGCTGGTCTCGAACTCCTGACCTTAGGTGATCCAGCTGGCCTCAGCCTCCCAAAGTGCTGGGATTACAGGTGTGAGCCACCACACCCGGCCTCAGTTTTCTTTTTTTAAAAAAATAGTTTTTTCATTTAGAGATGGGGGTCTCACTCCTGTCACCCAGATACTGGCACTGCAGCCGTAAACTCTCGGGCTTGAGGAATCCTACCACTTCAGCCTCCCAAGCAGCTGGGACTACAGGTATGTGCCATCACACCCAACTTTTGTTTTTTTTTTTTTTTTTTTTTGAGACTGAGTTTCACTCGTTGCCCAGGCTGGAGTGCAATGGCGCGATCTCGGCTCACCACAACCTCCGCCTCCGAGGTTCAAGCAACTCTCCTGCCTCAGCCTCCCGAGTAGCTGGGATTACAGGCATGCGCCACCATGCCCAGCTAATTTTGTATTTTTAATAGAGACAAGGTTTCTCCATGTTGGTCAGGCCGGTCTTGAACTCCCGACCTCAGGTGATCCGCCTGCCTCGGCCTCCCAAAGTGCTGGGATTACAGGCGTGAGCCACTGTACCCGGACTACACACCCAACTTTTTACAATTTTTGAAGACACAGGGTCTCACCCCTGGGCACAAGCAATCCACTTCAGCCACCCAGAGCTAGGATTACAGGCATGAGCCACCGCACCCAGCCAGAATCAACTTTTCCTTCCATTACATCTTAGCTCAAACCCAAGCTCAACAGAAGAGGAGGGTAACTTAATTCATTTTTTTTTTTTTTTTCCTGAGACGGGAGTCTCACTGTCGCCCAGGCTGGAGTGCAGTGGCATAATCTCGGCTCACTGCAACCTCCGCCTCCCAGGTTCAAGCGATTCTCCTGTCTCACCCTCCTGAGTAGCTGGAATTACAGGCGCGTGGTACCACGCCCAGCTAATTTTTGTATTGTTAGTAGAGACTGGGTTTCCCCGTGTTTGTCAGGTTGGTCTTGAACTCCTGACCTCAGATGATCCACCTGCTTTGGCCTCCCAAAGTGCTGGGATTACAGGCATGAGCCACTGTGCCTGGCTGCAATCACTTAGTGTTTTTTTTTTTTCCTCTGCAGACAAAAAAATAAAGTTATCCAAAATTCAACATAAGAAAACTGTAATCACCAAGAGGAGCCAGTTACATTGCAGATAACAGTGCCTATCACCTTCACCTCTGTCAGAGGCCCTCAGAATTTCCAAAGTGTTGGAAGTGGAAGAAGGCAGGTTTGAAGTTTTAGGTTGGGTTATTAGCAAACCAGATCCCCATTTCTTGGCTGGGCATGGTGGTTCACGCCTGTAATCTCAGCACTTTGGGAGGCCGAGGCAGGTGTATCACTTGAGGTCGGGAGTTCGAGACCAGCCTGGCCAACATGGTGAAACCCCATCTCTACTAATAATACAAAAAATTAGCTGAGCGTGGTGGCAGGCACCTGTAATCCCAGCTACTCAGGAGGCTGAGACAGGAGAATCCTTTGAACCTGGGAAGTGGAGGTTGCAGTGAGCCGAGATCGTGCCACTGGACTCCAGCCTGGGCGACAGAGCAAGACTTCGCCTCAAACAAAACAAAACAACCAGATCGCCATTTCTCAATGACTTATGGCCCTTGGAATGCAAGTGGCAGGACCTTTTGGGCCTCCAGTGAGGGACAGCAAACCACACTTATCCTCAAACTTCACAGTAAGCCCACAGCAGCCCTGCCCAGGGAGAGGGCCTGTCAGCCGGGTACCCTGTGTCCAGGGTTTCATTGAAGAACTGTCTACAATCACCATAGCACCTGGCCTTAAATAATGGATTTGGAGACGGCTTCTGGGTGGGATGCATATTACAGGGGTACCCCTTTTAAAAATTAGGAATTACTCCTATGAAGTGAGGTATGTTAGAAACTGTTAAGAAAAAGTTACCTCAAACATTCACAGCACTAAACGAATAGAACAAGGTCAGAAAGCGAGGTTTTCTTATTTTTACTGGTTTATAATAATCTTAAAAACCCCATCACACCCATAAACCACCACAGGTGAGGTGAGAGAGATGGAGAATGAATGCTACAGTATGTGGATAGAATGGGGAATCCAGGTATTCCCTAGGGTAGTGTAGGATGGAGACAGGGAGTGTGGAGAGGAGGCCCTGGCTTGGACCCTTATTGCTGGCTGGGGGTTGGCTGGCAGAGGGGAGAGGGACTCAGGCTGAACTCCGAAAGAAGGAACATCTCACACCAAAGGCGAGGGCAGTTGGGGGCAGGGGGATCACAGTACATTTTCCATGCAGACTAAGGGTGGGAGTGAGAGCTTCAGAGGCTTGCACCCCTACACAGGAAGAGATGGGTTTGAGGTTGTTTGACTTAAAGCCCCCAAGTTGGTGTCTGGTCCAGTTTCCTAAAATAGCAGCTCACCTTTCAGGGAGAGGTATTGGGGAGGAAAAAAAAATACAGCAAGAATATCTGCTTTGGAGATCAAGCAAGGGGTAGGGGGAAGACAGTGGTGCTCTTTAAATCTGACTCAGAAAAGCAGGAACTGGAAGAGGGCCCTGGGTGAGATGGCGGCCAACACCTTCGGAGAAGGCATTGAGTCAGAAGCTACAGGTGCTCCTGGGGGATCAGGACAGGGAGGTACCAGTGTTCACAGACGGCAGGAAAACAATTGGGAACAATAAATTAGGACTTCATGTTGCTATCATTTGGCATAACACAATCAGGCTTTTTTTTTTTTCTTTTTCCTTTTAAATATAAGGCAACTTGCCAACACATAACTTAAAACTGGTCTTCAGTCACATTGCTTCAGATCACTAGAGAATTTCTGGCTAACGAACAGTAGTGGATAGTGAACAAAATGCAAAACCTTAAATAAGAACCATCAGCTGACATTCCCCAGAGACAAGAGGAAAGGTAAGGGCTTATTTCATCTGTAAAAAATAAAAAAGCCCAATTCTGCATCTTTAACAGAATGGTGCAAAAATTTGTAACAAAACAGTCTAAGTTTAAAATTACAGAAAAGTGTTTCTAGCCAACTAATTGTCGCTTGGGATGAGACGTGCTGAGCATGGAGTGGATGAAGGTATGCTCTAAGAATGGACAGAGGGCAGGAGGGGCTTGTTTCCAATGTAGGCCCAGCTCCAGGTGTTAGAACCATGCTCATTTGGTAAAGGAAGTACTCAAAGAGCTTAAGGCTTTGTGTTTGTTTTTTTTTCCTTCATTAAACTGAGGGGCTGCACTAGAGGGTGAATGTACCTGTGGGGCCACTCACACACAATGCTACTCAAACCCACACTACATTCATACAGAAACGTAACGTTTAAAACTTACAGTGTAGAGCAATATTCTTAGCCAGTGTAGAGAGAACCAAATGCATTTTTTTTTTTTTGGTGTTTTTAATCCCAAACTCCAATGTGATCATTCCTTACCTACCTAATTCCTCAAGTAAGGTAGATTTTGTTTTTGTTGAGGGGGAAAGGATAGGGGCTGTGGGGAGGTGAGTTAGGGGACAGGCAACAGTGAGAAAGGGATCTTGGGTATGCTCAAAGGTCACTGTATTTTTCTAGGTTTGGAAAGGGGAGTCTGGAACCAAGATGCCAATACAAAGACTTTTTCCCCCCATATCTCAAGAAATGGTCAAATACTTCCAAGATGCCCTTGAGATCAAGTGTGGCAAGGGCAAGTGCAGTGGCTGTGGGATCAATATAGACACAAAACAAAGCCTTGAGGAATGGAAAGGAACTTGAAGGATATGAAGACTGGGTCAGCTTTGATTTGAGATCCTTCGATGAGTAAGTAATTAGCTTTCAGAGCACCTGGGAAATCTTGCTTCTTAGTCCTGGAGGGAGGGGAAGGGGGGTAGCAACAGGTAGAGGTCTGGATTAGGGGCCTGAGCACCTATACTACCTCAACTAGGGCATTCCGTCAGCCCACACCTCAGTCGTCCTAAGGGAAACAGGAAGAGATTCAAGAAAAGATGGGTGGGAGCTGGCTGGAAATGGCCAAGGTGGAGAGACTAGCTGACAGGCAGTCAGTGGAGAGAAAAGCCTGGGCTTAGGGTTAGGTTCTAACATAAAACCAAAAGTTGCTGGAGGGGAGGACGAGAGGACCCCTTCTGTCCCCACTTAGATCCCACCAAATTCCCTTTCTTAGACATCTAAGAATGATCACACTGGAGCAGTGAAACTTTGAAACTATCCAGTTACTTAAAAGACTAAACCTAGGAGGGTGATGTATGATGTGTTGCACGTGGAGGGCAGCAGGGCTACCTATCTATACCCTGGGTGCTGAATATGAAGACTTCGACTCTCTGTGGGATCGGGGGCTCGGTTGCCAGGGGCTCGGTGGGCCTTGCTCAGCATGGCCAGGCTCTGTTCTCGGAAGCAGGCCTGTTGGAAATCCCCACTTAGGTAATCCACTGTTTGCATCAAGCTGTTCTGGCTTGCCACTGGACCGCCCCCGGTCCCTGCTCGGTAGTGGGCCCCGGGAGCTGCCGCACAGTCGAGGGGTGCACCTGTGGGCTGCCCACCGTGGAACGGCATGGCAAGGTCCTGAGACCCCGAGCTGTCGCTATTGGGAGTGGGCAGAATGTTGTTCCACAGGGGTTGGAAGTAGTGACCATTGGGGTAGGCCAATGGGGCTGCCATGCCGTTGACTGGTGGGGATGGGGTCGGCTTTTCCAGGGGTGGCTTCAGATGGAAGGACTGCGCCAGGCAGAGTTCCTGCGGGTAGGCAGGGGCCTTGCCCACAAAGCCAGGCCCTGCCAACTCGCGTCCTGCCGCATGCTTGCCTGTCAGGCCAGGGGCTGGCGTCCCACTAGCCTCGCTGCACATCTGCTGTAGGTGGGCCAGCTGGTGCTGGTTCCAGGTGACTGGCTTGAGGTCGCTAGGGTAGCCAGTGGGGACGCGAGAGATGCCTGTGGGCAGGTTGACAGGACCTGCAGCAGGCAACGCGGCGGTGGCCGCGTGGGTGTGCTCCATGGGATTGACCACACATGAAGGCATTGGTGTGGGGACGCTGTGGGTCGACACCCGGGTGCTTGCATTGATGAGCAGACTGCGACTAATGGGGCTGGGGTTGGCGATCTGGCCCTCACACACTGAGGTAGTGCTGATGCCTGCCCTCGTCTGGCAAAACTGGTTGATCTGGTGCACGATGCTACTCAGGTCCGGAGGCTGGCTGTGCTGCAGAGTGGCCGCCATTGAAAGGGGGATAGTTGAGGTAGACACGGTCACATTCGGGGGGGCATCTGAGTCTGGCATCTTCCGGCCTCCATGCAGCAAGGGATTGTGGGGGTGCTGGAGACCCTGGTGAGCCAGGGCCTGAGGGTGGACCAAGCCCTGGGTTTGGGCCATGGGCTGAGGGTGGCCCAGGCCCTGAGGCTGCTGGAGGCTCTGAGGGTGGGACAGTGCCTGGGGTGGCGGGATACCCTGAGGGTGCTGCAGCGTCTGGGGAGGGGCATGGGCCAGGGTCTGTGCATGCTGCAGGGCCTGCTGGCGGGCCAGAGCCTGGGCCTGGGGGTGGGCTAAAGTGCTGGGTGCCACAGTAGCATAGGGTGCCACTGGGGGGTTCATGATGGCCTCAGGGAGCAACCGGGCTCGGGTGCCGTCAAAGTCCTTGAGTATGCTTTTGGCTGGCACTTTGACAATGGCAAGCAGGCCTGCCTTGGTGGCAGCCTGTGTCGGGTAGGGGCTGTAGCGCTGGGCTGATGTGTCGAGGCCGTTCACAGTACGACGAACGTGTTTCCGCTGGGGAACCTTCACACTGTTGGGGAAGATTTTTATAGTCAGTGGGTTGTTTGCGACCTTCTTAGCATACGCATCCAATTCGGCTGGGGTAGGATAGTGAGCAGTTCTCATTTTCTGTGTAGTGTCCCCTAGAGAGAGAGAATGGGAAGGAGAGCAAAGAGGGAGAGGGAGCTCATCAGTGCCAAGGCAAACAGCCCTTCCAGATTCCCCTTTTGAGGGCCTGGGGTGGGGTGGGGAAATGACTAGATTGTCATCTGTAGCCTTCATTCGAGACCCAGCTTCAGTCTTCACATTAACAAGCACTGCTAATGTTCAGTAAGTGCTTATAGTGGGCCAGGCCTTCTGCCAGATGACAGGCCATCTCAATGAATCCTCACTATTGCTGTAGAAGCAGGCACTATCATCATTTACATTTTATAAATGAGGTAAGTAGAGATCAGAACAGCAAAGCATCTTTCAAAGTCTCATATCTTGCAGAACCAGAATTTGGCCAATTCTCAGAGAGGTAACCGAGAGTTCTCCCCCTACACAGAAATTCAGGGTCGCTGGGCACGGTGGCTCACACTTGTAAATCCCAGCATTTTGGGAGGCCAAGGTGGGTGGATCATCTGAGGTCAGGAGTTCAAGACCAGCCTGGGCAACATGGCGAAACCCCGTCTCTACTAAAAATACAAAAAGTTAGCCAGGCGTGATGGCAAGCACCTGTAATCCCAGCTACTTGGGAGGCTGAGGCAGGAGGATTAATTGCTTGAACCCAGGAGGCGGAGGTTGCAGTGAGCCGACATCGCACCACTGCACTCCAACCTGGGCGACAGAGCAAGACTCTGTCTCAGAAAAAGAAAAAAAAAAAAGAGAGAAATGCAGGGTCTGGAACTCTACCAGCCCATGTGGCTTGGGGGTAGGTTCTAAGCAAAGCTCCTTGTCAGGGCCATGGTGGCCCTTCAGTCTAGAGGGTACCCAGAGCTACGACTCTTCAGTCTGCAGGGACCAATGAGGGATCAGCTTTCCCTTGCATCTTGGCAGCTGGGGGGCTTTGCCCACTGGGTGGGCACCCTGAACAGTAGACAGAATGCTTCCTTTCAGGAGCAGAGGAATAAGCTGCCAACATCTCTCCCCTTCCCCATGTCACAAGTTCACTTTTGTTTACAGTTTACTCTATGCCCGACTGGATGAGGATCAAAGGCTTTATTTATTTGCTTGAGAAGGAAGATAATAATGACAGGGCAGCAGGGAGGGAATTGAGAAGAAAGGATTCAGAGCATCTTTCAGTCCTTTCAGTCCTGAGAGCCAAAAATAGTCTGTATTTGGTCCATGTCAGCTGTCATTTTCCAAAAAGAAAGAGGAAAAACCTGCCTGCCTTTGGAGACTGCGGAAATGCCCACTCGGTGTGCCTCATTAATGTTAACAGTCTCTTTGTTCCCATCTCCTGTTGCCTCCCATCAGGGGGCTCAGCGGATGTCCGGCTTCCAGTCAAAAAGGAAAAGGTTCTGAGAACAAGGGCTCTTTAAGGATGCCAACCTCCTGCAAGGGGGCTCTGCTCTACTCTCTCGTCTCTGAGGGAGGGTCTCCCCTGAGTATACACAAAAGGTGCCTAATAAATGCTTGCTGAATGAGTACACAGACTGCCCAAAGCAGAAGTGGCTTGGCAGGAAGCCCAGGCTCAGCTAGCCGACTCTCTCCTTACTTCCTCCTCTTGCAAAAGGCAGGAGGATAGGCCAACGACTAATCTGACTGAATGCCCAGCTTGTGGCCTCAGGTGGCCTTGGCCCAAAGGAGACTCTATTCAAAGTCACATCACTGGGCATCACCTAGAACAAAGGTAGGCTAATGAGCATATTAGAAGGAAAATGGGTACAGCTCTCTTTGTTTGGTGATAATGCTGGTTAGCAACTCCTGCTCTGGGAAGCAGGAAAAGAAAGCTCAAGTCAGGAGGGGCAGAGAGATTTGGGCCCATGCTCACAAGCAGATCTGGGCAAAAAGAGCCAGGCATCCCCACCTCCCAAAACAGGTCTGTGCTTTCAAATACTGGCAAAAAAGTCTGGGATCACTGATTGAGAGCAAGTCCCTAAACTCAAGACATCAGAATTCCAACAGAAGCTGCCTTGGTCAACCACTGTACCTATGTGTCTTATTGGTCATAATCTCATATAATACTCCTAGCACAGTGCTTTAAACCTAGCCCACCTCCATGCTGGTGGGCTTCTCTCCTTGAAATCCAAGTAGAAGTCGTATAGTACCTTGATGAGTAGAAGAGTCCCTTTGTTCCAAGTTAGTACCAACTCTGAGGTTTTTTTTAGCAGAGGCAAGGGGGAAGCTTGACCTCATTCAGGAGTATGGAAGGGGACACTTATCCACATTGATTAGTTTTCTTTGTCCTGCCTCCACTGATGCTGAAATGGTGAAGAGGGCTGTCAAAGGATTCAGAAATAAAGTGAAATGAGGGTAGGGAGGGTGGCCACAAGGCTACAGTAGCTTTGTTAAGGAAGAACCCCAAAGATGAGTACAGTATATTGAACAAAAAAGGGGTATCATTCTGGGAATACAGCACCATCTACCTCACATACCAGACTTAAGCCTAACTCTTAAAAAAAGTTTTCTGCTGGGCGCAGTGGCTCATGCCTGTAATCCTGGCACTTTGGGAGGCCGAGGCGGGTGGATCATGAGGTCAGGAGTTCAAGACCAGCCTGCCCAGCATGGTGAAACCCTGTCTCTACTAAAAATACAAAAAATTAGCCTGGGATGGTGGAGCGCACTTGTAGTCCCAGCTACTTGGGAGGCTGAGGCAGGAGAATTGCTTGAACCCGGCAGGTGGAGGTTGCAGTGAGCAAAGATTGCACCACTGCACTCCAGCCTGGGTGACAGAGCGAGACTCCATCTCAAAAAAAAAAAAAAAAAAAAAAGTTTTCTCAGCTGGGCATGGTGGCTCACGCCTGTAATCCCAGCACTTTGGGAGGCCGAGGTGGGTGGATCACGAGGTCAGGAGTTCAAGACCAGCCTGGCCAAGATGGAGAAACCCCGTCTCTACTAAAAAAATACAAAAAATTAGCCGGGCATGGTGGCAGGTGCCTGTAATCCCAGCTACTCGGGAGGCTGAGGCAAAGAATTGCTTAAACCCGGGAGGCAGGGTTGCAGTGAGCCAAGATCGCACCACTGCACTCCAACCTGGGTGACAGAGTAAGACTCCGTCTCAAAAAAAAAAAAAAAAGTTTTCTCAACACTTATCACAGCCCCCACACAGGCACCCTGACTACTTATTTTCTTCTGTAATGTATTTCTGTAACTACACAGCCAACACAGATACCACAGCTTTGTAAGCGACTTACTTAAATAGCTTATACCAATAGTGTCATTAATAGAGACATAGACAATGTAGGGAATAGGAAATCTGTAGTTTGTAAAGGGTTAGAGAAACCTGTATTCAAGTACTAGCTTCATCATTTGCCCATACTGAGAGCCTGTCATTCCTCAATTATCAACAGGGATGAATTCTGCTCTCCTACTTCACAGAATTACTAAGATCGAGAGTCAATGAACATTTTCACTAAATGAGCATTTTCATTGAAAATGAAACAATGATGGTCAATAGTTACCATTCAAGGATAGCAGATGTGGCTGAGTCTGACCACAGACAACACAAAGAAAACTGACTAAGGAAGCCCCAACTGCAGGACAACCTGGCCTTCAGCCTGAGAGTTAAATGTAACAGAAAGCACTGCTGTCTATTCCAGGATGGACTGGAGGCAATTTTCTGCCTGAAATTCAGTCCTCCCAATGGAGACCTCTCTGTTCATCCTTCTGTTTTGAAGGTCAGAGGGCACAGGTGGCATAGGCAACAGGAACCTCTATCTGTAGGCAGAGAGGCACAGGCAATGTGTTCAAACACAGATTTCAGAGTCTGAGCTGAGTATGGGCCAGTCACAGGACTGTCATGTGGCACTGGCAAGTGACAAACCCTCTCTCTATACCTTATCCTTCTGACAAAGGCAAGAGAGTCTTCCATATGGAATTTTTGAGGAATGGGTGACAACATATGTGAAAATATTCAATATAGTGCCTGGCACATGGTAGCAACTTGACAAATGTTAGCTATTATTTCTATGACTTTATCCAGTCATTGGGTCAATCTGCCATTTCCAGACCCCTCCACTAGGGGGCAGATATGCACATAAAGAAGCAGTAAAAGAAGGTAATTTTGGCATTTGTCCCCAGAGCCCCAGTGTTCTGCCATGGAAGGAAATCAAAGTTGTTATCTGAAGATGGTTTAAGGACCAAGGACCTTTTATCAGCTATTCAAACAGTAAATATTTACAGAGCCACTACTATATTGTGATCCTGAGAAGGGGAAATACAGAGCAGAGGTTTAGGATTAAGAAAGAAAAAATTTCCAGTGGCGCATGCCTGTAATCTGAGCTACTCGAGAGACTAAGGCAGGAGCACTGCTTAAACCCGGGAGATGGAGGTTGCAGTGAACCGAGATTGCGCCACTGCACTCCAGTCTGGGTGACAGAGGGAGACTCCATCTCAAAAAAAAAAAAAAAAAAAAAAAGGGCCGGGCATGGTGGCTCATGCCTGTAATCCCACTACTCAGGAGACTGAGGCGGGAGAATCACTTGAACTTGGGAGGCGGAGGTTGCAGTGAGCCGAGATCGTGCCACTGCACTCCAGCCTGGGTGACAAGAGCAAAAGTCCTCCTCAAAATAATAAAATAAAATAAAGTGGGCTGGGTGTGGTGGCTCACACCTGTAATCCCAGCACTTTGAGAGGCCGAGGCAGGCGGATCACCTGAAGTCGGGAGTTCGAGACCAGCCTGACCAACATGAAGAAACCCTGTCTCTACTGAAAATACAAAATTAGCTGGGCGTGGTGGTGCATGCCTGTAATCTCAGCTACTCAAGAGGCTGAGGTAGAGAATCGCTTGAACCCAGAAGGCGGAGGTTGCGTTGAGCCGAGATCACGCCATTGCACTCCAGCCTAGCAACAAGAGCAAAACTCTATCTAAAAAAAATAATTAAAAAAAAAATAAAAATAATAAAAGTGAACACCAAGATAAAGCTGCCAATTTGCCCGTCCTCCAAATGGCTTTTCCCTTGATATCACATCTTTGGGTAAAGCTGTCAGAGTGTGTTAAGGAACCCAGAACAAAGGAAGCTTCTCTTTGTCATCTTACTGCATGCCTCTAAGTACGTTCCCTCTCCAGTTGTGTCCCCAGAAGCCCAGAAATAGGCACGATGCAGTTAGGATGCTGATTTGGATGACCAGAGAGTATAACATAACACCTTCATCACCCAATCATCACTTATTAAGATAAAGGATGGGTTGAGAAAGCTATAGCAGAGCTTGCCTTATTGTGTCAGGCAACTGTAGAAGGAGGACTACCACCTTCAGCTGTTATTACATAGAGCTGGATTCACTGGCCAAATTCCAGAACTAGCCAGGCTCTGAGTCTTACGCTCTCTCAAAGAAATGAAGTCTAAAGGCTGGACCATTTTTAACTTCTGATGATGTTCTCACATGGCAGGGGCTGGCAAACGACAGCCTGCGTGCCTGGTCCAGTTGCTGTTTTTTTGTAAAAAAGTTTCACTGGAACACAGACACCCTCATTTGTTTATTGTCTGTGGCTGCCGTTGCCCTACAATGCCAGAGTTGAGTAGATGCAACAGAGACCACATGGCCCACAAAGCTTAAATTATTGGCTATCTGGGCTTTACAGAAAGTTTGTTAACCCCTGTCATAAGGGGTTCAGTTAAGGTGCTGAAGCACCTTTCCTATCAAAGGGAAGCCTAGCCACCTCAATGATTTCCCCTTTGTGCTCTGAATGGAAGGTCTATTCCAAATTTAGGGCTGTTTTTACACCTGAAGATACTATACATGGTAATGTGCCAAGAATAGAATATTTTCCTTGCAGATCATGTATTACAGGGAGAGAAGGTAGGAAGGAGTCCGGGAAAATATGAAGTATAAAACCCCAATTCCAGAAAGTTAAGACAAGAATCTAACAGTTTTCAAAGGCTCAATCTTCTGGGAAGTGTATTAGCAGGAAAATGCCCAGAGAGACTGAGAAAGCTAGCTCTCCATCTCTTCTGAGGGCAAAAGCTCCCTGACTTCCTGTGAACTAAAGTCACACTGACTCAGAAGGCAGGTAGCAAAGCCAAAGGGAACTGTCTGTTTCCATGGTAGACTACTAAGAGAGTTCAAAACAAGAGAACAGCATAGTTTATTTCAGAGATATAGTAAGTAATCTGGACTGTGAGTTTTCATTCAATTCCCTATGAAGGTTCAAACTGAAACACCTTTTTTAAGGGTGATATATATATATATATTTCCCCTGAAGCTCTTTATAGTTTTGTTGTTCAACAGAAAGCTATCAGCAACAATTAAAATTGAGATACAATGGGGAATTACAGAATTTAAGCAGACCCCTAATGGCTGGACACAGTGGCTCACACCTGTAATCCCAGCACTTTGGGAGGCCAAGTTAGGGGCATCACCTGAGATCAGGAGTTTGAGACCAGCCTGGCCAACATGGTGAAACCCTATCTCTACTAAAAATAGAAAATTAGCCAGGCATGGTGGTGGGCACCTGTAATCCCAGCTACTCGGGAGGCTGAAGCAAGAGAATTGCTTAACCCGGGAGGGAGAGGTTGCAGTGAGCCAATCAAGATCGCGTCATTGCACTCCAGCCTGGGTGACAAGAGCAAGACTTCGTCTTAAAAAAAAAAAAAAAAGAAAGGTGTCAAAATTCAAGGTCAGTGTACCCCAGATGTGCTTCAAGGACGGCCCAAATGTAGAGACAAAAACAAAGAATCACACATGCTCCATAGGATCCAGATTACTTACATTTCTGAAGTCCAGTGTTCATCTGCGTGTGAGAAAGAAGCTGAAAGGACAGGTCACCTGGCCCTGGTAGACAGGCTAGCATGGCAGATTGGCATCAACACAACATGGGGCAGTGGCTCACACTGTAATGAACAAAAACAAGGTCATGAAACACAAGGCAACTCATTCGAAGAAGAGAGTAGGAACACTGGATATGACTGGCGTGAGGCCCAAGTTTAGACACATAAAGCAATTTAATTAGCAGTGTGTTGGTTGAAAGTATACTTACATCTTTATCTGTGACGACAATTTGCTGTCAAATATCACTATGGTTAAAATGATTTTTCAGTTACCACAGATGTATGGATGGGAGAAATAAAACTGGAAAGCACCTATTCATACAACTGGAAAGTACAGGTGCATTTATAATGTCTCAGTATTCCTGAGGAGAGTGGGCCCTCATAGGGCCTGGCTCAGCCAGCCCATTTATAGGCCTGGTTGGAGACCAGCCAGACATTTTCAGAAGCAGCACATTATATGATTGCAAAGGTACCCAATGTCTGACTTGTGAGCCAGTAATATGAACCCACTTTTATTTTATTTTTTTTGAGACGGAGTTTCACTCTTGTTGCCCAGGCTGGAGTGCCATGGTGCGATCTTGGCTCACTGCAACCTCTGCCTCCCAGGTTCAAGCGATTCTCCTGCTTCAGCCTCCCGAGTAGCTGGGATTAAAGGCACCCGCCACCACGCCTGGCTAATTTCTTTGTATTTTTAGTAGAGACGGGGTTTCACCATGTTGGCCAGGCTGGTCTCGAACTCCTGACCTCAGTTGATCCGCCCACCTCGGCCTCCCAAAGTGCCGGGATTACAGGTGTGAGCCACTGCACCCGGCCATGAACTTACATTTATTTACTTATTTATTTATTTATTTAAGACAGAGTTCTGCTGTCACCTAGGCTGGAGTGCAGTGGTACAATTTTGGCTCACTGCAACCCTTGACTCCTGAGTTCAAGCGATTCTCGTCCCTCAGCCTCTCTAGCAGCTGGGATTACAGGCGCATGCCGCCATGCCCAGCCAATTTTTGTACTTTTAGTAGAGATGGGGTTTCACCATGTTGGTCAGGCTGGTCTCAAACTCCTGACCTCAGGTGGTCCGCCCGCCTCAGCTTCCCAAAGTGCTGTGATTACAGTCATGAGCCACCGCACCCGGCCGAACTCACTTTTAAATGGAAGGAGGAAAGCATCCTAGGAGGCACAATTAACCACTGTTAAAGCAAATTCTGTTTGCAAATTTCTGGGGCTTCACCCTTCCTGACATGCAATTAGACCTCCTGAACTACCTCTCCCACCCCCTCAAAAGAAATGCATTGCTCCCAGACTAAAGCAAGGAGAAAGGCTGCCAGCAGCTCTCTTCGTGCAGGCAATCCTGACATGTCAAGACCGCACGAGTTTCATTAGTGATGTTTACCAACCAGACATACACAGCCCAAGCAAGCAGACATTGATGGGGCCTTCTGTAGCGAAAGAAGCCCTGTCAACAATGCAAGCTCCTTAGGTAACAGAAATACGATTTTCCTAAATAAGTACACGAACTTCTTTTCCCATATTTCAGAAACCAAGGTGGCAAATTATGGCTTTAGATCACAGCAAAAAAGGAGTGGGGGAAAAGCTCAAAAGTTAAAGACGACAAAAATCTCCTTATTTTCTTGAGAGGGCTCTCTCAGGTATATTAAACTACCTTGTCATGATGAGTATCAGAGGGCTCCTGCTTCCAAGACCAGGTAGCTGAAAAGACACTTTGTAAAAGAGGCTGCTCAAACTGTGTCTAAGATAGCAACTGCAGAAAGAACTGAAGATTGAATGCCTTAATGAGAACAGAGCTGTCCAAGAGTTCTGGCACAGCGTCAGTCTTTTTAAGATCTCTGGTGGGTGGGAAAACAGAATGAACACAGTGAGCCAACTTCAGTGCCTCAAGAAAAAAAAAAAGTCTTGGCCGGGCACGGTGGCTCACACCTGTAATCCCAGCACTTTGGGAGGCCGAGGCGGGCAGATTACCTGAGGTCAGGAGTTCGAGAACAGCGTGGCCAACGTGGTGAAACCCTGTCTCTACTAAAAATACAAAATTAGCTGGGCATGGTGGCGCATGCCTGTAGTCCCAGCTACTCAGGAGGCTGAGGCAGGAGAACTGCTTGAACCCAGAAGGCAGAGGTTGCAGTGAGCAGAGGCTGCGCCACTGCACTCCAGCCCGGGCCACAAGAGTAAAACTCTGTCTCAAAAAAAAAAAAAAAAAAAAAAAAGAGAGACTTCTGTTGGGGTCTGGATGCTGATCTTTACATAATAACTTCTCCCTTAAGACCCTAACACAGCTGAAGGCAAACTCCAAGGAAAGGAAGAGAATTAACAAGTACTGGGAGCTAAAACTGTGAAATGGGCTGTATGAGGGGCTTTAGTGATGTTTTCTTAATTGAGTCTCTCAAGCCTTGGAAACAGGTAACAAACTTCACCTGTCATCTCATCATCTCTAGATGGGATTACTATTAGCCTTCTAAATGGTCTGTTCCACGCTTACCCTTTATCACCCAATCTATTCTCTATTCAGCAATGTTAGTTCTTTTTTTTTTTTTTTTTTTTTTTGAGATGGAGTCTTGCTCTGTTCCCCAGCCTGGAGTGCAGTGGTGCGATCTCGGTTCACTGCAACCTCCGCTCCCGGGTTCACGCCATTCTCCTGCCTCAGCCTCCCGAGTAGCTGGGACTACAGGCGCCTGCCACCATGCCCGGATAATTTTTTTTTGTATTTTTAGTAGAGATGGGGTTTCACAGTGTTAGCCAGGATGGTCTCAATCTCCTGACCTCATGATCCGCCCGCCTCGGCCTCCCAAAGTGCTGGGATTACAGGCGTAAGCCACCGTGCCTGGCCCAAACGGGGTTTCACCCCATGTTGGCCAGGATGGTCTCGATCTCTTGACCTCGTGTTCCGCCCGCCTTGGCCTCCCAAAGTGCTGGGATTACAGACGTGAGCCACCGCGCCCGGCCAATTCTGTTAACTGAAAGTCAGAGCAGCTTAAATATCTCTAATGACTTTCCATCTAAGAATAAAATACAAAATCCTAACATGGACCCCAAGGCCCTCCATGATCTATTACTACTGGTTCTCTGACCTCACCTTCTGACCTACCCTGCCCTCTCTTGCTGACTTACTTCCAGCCACCATGGTCTCACCATGGTTTCCCTGCAGTTCCTTCAACGAGCCAAACACGCTACCGCTTTAGGACTTTGTCCTTACCATTCCCTCTGCCTGGAATGTTCTTGCCCCAGATGTCTACTTATTTTTCTAGCTCCCTCACTTCATTCAGGTTTCTGCTTAAATGTCACTTCTTAAGGGGAGGGCTTCTTTGACCTCCATGTCTAAAACAGTATCCTTATTTCCCTCATTTTTTTCTTTTAAAATCTATCCTGAGACCCTGAACTCAACAATTCCTCCCACACAATTAACCCCAGGCACGTGGCCCTTCCTGTTGTTAACTCCTCTATTTCCCTCACTTTTTACCACCATCATTACCACCTGTTTTACGTCCATCTCTCTCCACCCCACTAGGATATAAACTCAGTAAGAACAGACCCTTGGTTCGTTTTGTTCATTATTATATCTAGAAAAGCATCATCTACTAACACTTACGAGGCTCTCCATAAGTAACTGTTGACCATATAAAAGGCAGATTGTTATTAATTTTTTGAGGTTGTCATTTAATCTACATATGTCAATCTATTAATGATGGCAGAGCCCAGGACTGAAACCTAGATTTGACTTTTCCCAAAGCCTGTGGCTCACTCTTCAACTCCAGGTTCTATCAGTTTCCTTTTTCTTCAGACAGCCTATCAGCCAGGCTGGAGTGCAGCAGTGCCATCTTGGCTCACTGCAACCTCCACCTCCCACGTTCAAGCGATTCTCCTGCCTCAGCCTCCCAAGCAGCTGGGATTACAGGTATGCACCACCATGCCCAGCTAATATTTTTTTTTTTTTTTTTGAGACAGAGTCTTGCTCTCTCACCCAGGCTGGAGTGCGGTGGCGCCTTCTCGGCGGCTACAATGCTCCGCCTCCTGGGTTCCCGCCATTCTCCTGCCTCAGCCTCCAGAGTAGCTGGGACTACAGGCGCCCGCCATCATGCCCGGCTAATTTTTTGTATTTTTAGTAGAGACAGGGTTTCACTGTGTTAGCCAGGATGGTCATGATCTCCTGACCCCGTGATCTGCCCGCCTCAGCCTCCCAAAGTGCTGGGATTACGGCGTGAACCACAGTGTTGGGCCATATCAGTTTCCATTTTGAATAGTACATTCAGAAGGTTCTAAGGGTCACAATGTCTATGATTAAGAGGCAATTATATATATATATGTGTGTGTGTATAAATATGTGTGTGTATATATATGTGTGTGTATATATATATATTTTTTCTTTTTTTTTTTTTAAAGGAGAGGGTGCAATGATGCTCCCTAGCTAGTAAGAGTCCCATCTTGGCCTTCTAAGGGAAAGATAGGTAAATGAAAAGACTGCTAAATCCAAGGTCAGACAGCATATAGAAGGCTTTATAAAAGAACAGGAAAACTCAGAACACTAAATAAGAGAGTGCTTTCTTGGACTCTGCAGTTGGCCTCAATCATCGGATCTGGAATATTACTTTTTACGATTTTGGAAGCCGATACACACCTGTAAGTAATAACTGAGGAAGGTAGAGTATGATTAGTCTTTTTACCTTTCAGTGTGTATCAATGTTAAGTGAACAAGAGCAAAAGGAAAACCATATATTTAGTATTTTGCAACATATATAAAATAACAACACTGGCTGGGCGTGGTGGCTCAAGCCTGTAATCCCAGCACTTTGGGAGGCCGAGGCAGGGGGATCACAAGGTCAGGAGTTTGAGACCAGCCTGGCCAACATAGTGAAACCCCGTCTCTACTCAAAATACAAAAAATTAGTCGGGCGTGGTGATGGGCACCTGTAATCCTAGCTACTCGGGAGGCTGAGGCATGATGATCGCTTGAACCTGGGAGGCAGAGGTTGTCGTGAGCTGAGATTTTGCCACTGCACACCAGCCCGGGAAACAGTGCGAGACTCCGTCTTAACATGAAAAACATGAACAGCCGCTACTATCTGAGGGCAATTTTTTGTCTTTATACTTTGGCATGTATATTATTTCTACAAATAATTTTAAAGGCCAGGTGCGGTGGCTCACGCCTGTAATCTCAGCACTTTGGGAGGCCGAGGTGGGCGGATCACGAGGTCAGGAGATCGAGACTATCCTGGCTAACACAGTGAAACCCTGTCTCTACTAAAAAATACAAAAAATTAGCCAGGTGTTTGGTGGCGGGCACCTGCAGTCCCAGCTACTCAGGAGTCTGAGGCAGGAGAATGGCATGAACCCGGGAGGCGGAGCTTGCAGTGAGCCAAGATGGCGCCACTGAGCTCCAGCCTGGGCAACAGAGCGAGACTATGTCTCAAAATAGTAATAATAATAATTTTAAAATAAGGGGGAAAAAATCACTGATAAACCAAAAACCTCAACCTTAAGAAACGTTCACATCTGTATAGCTAATACTCTGACGATGGGGATACAAAAACACCTTCACTCAGTGGTCTTGCAGATATCATTTTTTTCCCAGTATTTTTTGGAAAGAACCAATCTTTGTCTTTTTTTCTCCTTCTTCAGGGAACTTTATGAATCCAGAAAGAGCCAACGTTTGAATGATTACTGCAATCTCACATCTATTAAATCCTGATACCTGCAACCAAGAGATGAGTAGGAGATGTGGATCCTAAGAGGTGACCTGTAACATACTGCCCCTCAAACCACATCTTTGGATTTCAATAGAAAGAACAGAGAGAGGCCGGTCGCGGTGGCTCATGCCTGTAATCCCAGCACTTTGGGAGGCCGAGGCGGGCGGATCACGAGGTCAAGAGATCGAGACCATCCTGGCTAACACAGTGAAACCCCATCTCTACTAAAAAAAAAATACAAAAAAAAAAAAAAAAGAACAGAGAGAATTAAACCAGCTAGGGCCACACGCGGTGGCTCATGTCTATAATCCCAGCACTTTGGGAGGCCAAGGTGGGCAGATCACAAGGTCAGGAGTTCGAGACCAGCCTGGCCAATATGGTGAAACCCCATCTCTACTAAAAATAGAAAAATTAGCTGGGCATGGCGGTGGGCACCTGTAGTCCCACCTACTCAGGAGGCTGAGGCAGAAGAATCGCTTGAACTGGGGAGGCGGAGGCTGCAGTGAGCCGAGATCGCGCCACTGCACTCCAGCCTCGGCGACAGAGCGAGACTCTGTCTCAAAACAAAACAAAAGAAAAAACAGCTAAACTATGGCAAAGAGGCATTAATGAATTTATTGATAGCAAACAAAGAAGTAAAGATAAGAGGTGAATTCAGCAGACTCCAGAAAGTCAACTTTTGGTTTGGGCAGGAAGGAGTGAACCAGTAAGAAACAGAGCTTGAGGTCCTCCGTGATTACAGTCCCAAGAAGAAACTTCCACAAGTCTAGAATACTCTAGAGCTCTCACTGGCATGAAACGAACTGCTAAGATTACAGTCCATAATTTGTGATCCTTGCTTTAAGAATTCTGGGATCCAGGGCAGGTGCGGTGGCTCATGCCTGTAATCCCCAGCACTTTGGGAGGCCAAGACGGGTGGATTACCTGAGGTCAGGAGTTCAGGACCAGACTGGCCAACGTGGTGAAACCCCATCTCTACTAAAAAAAAATACAAAAAATTAGCCGGGCGTGGTGGTGGGTGCCTGTAATCCCAGCTACTCGATAGGCTGAGACAGAATTGCTTGAACCTGGGAGGTGGAGGTTGCAATGAGCTTAGATCACATCATTGCACTCCAACCTGGGCAATAAGAGTGAAACTCTGTCTCAAAAAAAAAAAAAAAAAAAAAAAGAATTCTGGGATCCAATCAGGCACATTGGCTCACGCCTGTAATCCAAGCACTTTGGGAGGCCAAGGTGGGAGGATCACATTAGGTCAGGAGTTTGAGACCAGCCTGGCCAACATGGCAAAACCCCATCTCTACGAAAAATACAAAATTAGCCGGGCATGGTGGCATGTGCTTGTAATCCCAGCTACTCGAGAGGCTGAGGCAGGAGAATCACCTGGGTCCAGAAGGCGGAGGTTGCAGTGAGCCGAGATCATGCCACTCCACTCCAGCCTGGGCGACACAGCGAGCCTCTGTCTCAAAAAAAAAAAAAGAATTCTGGGATCCATTTGTCATCCTTTCCAGAAGACTTCCTCCAGTACTAAGAAAGTCCACAAGCCCCTTGACCAGTTTCACTGACGTCAAGAATCAGATCCTGCTAGGGTAGAAAAGGTACGGAATGAGCTCAGACTGTGGCAAGGTCATGAGGGTTGTGATGAAACAAGAATGAAACAACCTCTCCCCACAACATATTCTAGAAAGCAGAGATGTCAGAATAAAGGAATCCTCCAGAGGCCTGGCGGCTGAGTGGAGGCATTTTATTTAAAAGCTTCAAACTACCCACACCTTTTGATTACCATCTGGCTTTTTCTATTTTTCTTTTGTTTTCTTTTTTTTTTTTTTCCTGGACAGAATTGACTGGGGTCTGACTTTTTCTTAAATGTAAATTCCAATATAATTTTACAGCTGGTATTTCCAGAATTAGATCCAGAAATCAACACTAGCACTACTCTCTGAAAGTGTTTCAGAATGCAACTCTTAACTGCTGAAGAGAATCAAGTAGTAACCTGGAGCAGGCCAAATGAGTTACAGACATTACAGAGAAAGATCGATCACTTTGGCAGAGCCTCTCTGTGAGCTTTAGCTAGTTTTCCTAACGCCAGCTGGTATGCTACGTTAGCTACCCAAGGCAGGGGGACTATGGTATCACAGTGACCACAGAACTAAGCTTTTCCAACTCTCCTGGGGCACCTGCACAAGTGCTAGCATTTCCCAGACTACCTCTAATTAAGGAACAAACCTTTTTCCCTACTGGAAAATTCAAAAGTGCTTTCATCTCTGCTCCCTGCCCCCGACCAGAAGAGGTTTTATTAGAGTTCTGATGTCACACTCTCTGCTTTCCTGGGTGGCATCTGAAAAAGGACCACCTGTGCCTTCAGGGTAGATTTGTGCCAGTGAGAAAACCTCAGCTTCAGGAATTCATGACCAGCCTGGTCAACCATGGTGAAACCCCGTCTCTACTAAAAATACAAAAATTAGCTGGGCATGGTGGCACACACCTGTAATCCCAGCTACTCAGGAGGCTGAGGCAAGAGAATCGCTTGAACTCGGGAGGTGGAGGGTGCAGTGAGCTGAGATGGCACCACTGCACTCCAGCCAGGGTCACAGGGCGAGACTCCGTCTCAAAATAAATAAATTAAATAAATAAATAAATAAATAAAACAAACAAAAAAAATCTCAGCTGTATTTTTTTTTTTTTTTTTGAGACAGTCTTGCTCTGTTGCCCCGGCTGGAGTGCAGTGGCGCGATCTCAGGTCACTACAACCTCTGCCTCCTGGGTTCAAGCAATTCTCCTGCCTCAGCCTCCTGAGTAGCTGGGATTACAGGTGTGCACCACCATGCCCGACTAATTTTTGTATTTTTAGTACAAACAGGGTTTCACCATGTTGGCCAGGCTGGTCTCCAACTCCCCACCTCGGCCTCCCAAGGTGCTGGGATTACAGACATGGGCCACACCGCCCAGCCTCATGTTTTTTGATGGGAAAAGGAGGAGAAGATAAAGTACTGGCAAAGGCATTTTTCCGTGGGGAATGGGGGATAAAGTGATCTCTAGAGAGCTCACTTCCCAGCATAGCCTCGCCACTCACAATCTAGTGTCTTTCAGTACTTCATTAGTTCTCTTCTGCCTTCCTTTCACTGCCTTCAAAAAAAAAAAAAAACACAGACAAAAAACAACAGCTCCCCTAGCCCCCAAAAACCCAGGGTGGCCAGCCCAGCTTCTGATTCATGCTGTGGCTCAAAAATGAAGTTTACACACTTGAATTAAAAAGTAAAATTGGAGGTCATGCGTGGTGGCTCACACCTGGAATCCCCAGCACTTCGGGAGGCTGAGGTGCGTGGATCACTTGAGGTCAGGAGTTCGTGACCAGCCTGGCCAACATGGTGAAGCTCCGTCTCTACTAAAAATACAAAAATTAGCCGGGCATGGTGGCTCGAGACTATAGTCCCAGCTACTCAGGAGGCTGAAGCAGGAGAATCACTTGAACCCAGGAGATGGAGGTTGCAGTGAGCCGAGATGGCGCCACTACACTCCAGCCTGGGTGACAGAGCAAGACTCCATCTCCAAAAAAAAAAACAAAAACAAAAACAAAAAAACAAAAAAAACAAAAAGAGCCGGGCATGGTGGTGTGCACCTGTAATCCCAGCTACTTGGGAGGCTGAGGCACGAGAGTCGTTTGAACCCAGGAGGCAGAGGTTGCAGTATGCCAAGATCATGCCACTGCACCCCAGCCTGGGCAACAAAGTGAGACTTTGTCTCAAAAAAAAAAAAAGAAAAAAAAAAGCCAGGTGCAGTGGCTCACACCTGTAATCCCAGGAGGCTGAGGCGGGCGTATCATGAGATCAGGAGATCAAGACCATCCTGGCTAACATGGTGAAACCCTGTCCCTACTAAAAATCCAATAACAAAAATTAGCTGGGCATGGTGGCAGGCGCCTATAGTCCCAGCTACTCGGGAGGCTGAGGCAGGAGAATGGTGTGAACCCAGGAAGCAGAGTTGCAATGAGGCGAGATCACGCCACTGCACTCCAGCCTGGGCAACAGAGCGAGACTCCGTCTCAAAAAAAAAAAAAAAAAAAAGTCATTGCCAATATCTGATTCTTCTCATCCATGAGCCAAAGGCTTACCTAAAAAGACTTTTTTTTTTTTTTTTTTTTTTGAGACAGGGTCTCACTCTGTCACTCAGGCTGGAGTACAGTGGCACAAACACGGCTCACTGTAGTCTCAACCTCCCGGGCTCAAGCAATCCTCCTGCTTCAGCCTCGTGTGTAGCTGGGACCAGGGGCATGCCACCACCTGGTTAATTTTTAAAAATTTTTTTGAAGAGATGGGGTCTCACTTTGTTGCCCAGGCTGCTGCTGAACTCCTGCTGAAGCAATCTTCTGGCCTCAAGTGGCCTCCCAAAGTGCTGAGATTACAGGTATGAGCCTCGGTGCCAGCCAAAAGACTCCTTTTGATAATCAAGGGGAAAGTTTTATCCTACACTGCTCCCTATTCCGTTACTCCTGGGTTCCAAGAAATGTAGCTTAAACCTAAGGGAGACACCAAAATGCTGCTCTGGGAAAAATAAGCAGTACCAAAGACTTCAAAAATTACAAGTTTATCAAATCAGACTCTGCAAAATCAGTCATCTTTATGGTCTGTTACAATGAAACAATCCATTCAACAGGTAATTTTGTTAGCCCAAATAACTAAGAATCTCCCAACTAGTACATTTCACTATATGACTGACCTGAATAATGTTTAGCCATTGCTCAAAGGCCTTTTTCTTCTCCATCTTTAACTCAATAGGGGACCGTAAAGTCACTTGCAATTGTGACCTCACAACTCTAGGCTAGAGGAAACAGCAAGGAAGAGAGATGGGTATTTACTCTAGACTTACTCTCCTGAAAATCTAGAAATATATCTGCCACAAACCATCTTCATGCTGCTGAACACATGTGGCTCAAGGCATTTGGAAACCTGCTTCTAAACTATACCCTTAGAACCTGTCACAACAGGTCCTCTTCCCATCCTGTTTCCTGTCCCCACCCTGATTCCCCCAAAGGTACTATTTATACCACTGCTCTCTTTGGCAAGGATACTCTGTCCGGGATCTACTTATTATTACTTAACTCATCTCTGATCCAGAGTTTTCTCTTGAATTCTTTATTATTCAGGTACCAGGGAAGTATTCTCCCTGCATATTCTAACTTTTCAATTTGAGAGTGACCTTCCTAAGACCACAGCCTGTCTCCTAATCATCCTTCCATGTTACAGAGTCAGGGGCAAGATTATTCAGACAATAAATGTTTAATAACTTTTACTGGCTCACATTCCTGAAGGATAGCACATACTTTAATTCCAGGCTCCGAAAATTTGTGGTACATGGATAATACAAGTGTTAACAACTGTGTGTGTATGTGTGTGTGTACAGGTAACTTTACTAGGGGAGTGAGAGGAAAGAGGAGATAAAAATGCCTGGTACTTTTTTTTTTTCTTCAGTTTTTTGAGACAAGGTCTCACTTAGGTGGTCCAGGCTGGAGTGTGGTGGCTTAATCTTGGCTCACTGTAGCCTTGACTTCCTGGGTTCAGGTGATCCTCCAACTTCAGCCTCCTGAGTAGCTGGGACTGCAGGCATGAGCTACCATGCCTGGCTAATTTTTTGTATTTTTAGTAGTGACAGGGTTTCATCATGTTGCCCAGGCTGGACTTTTTTTTTTTTTTTTTTTTTAAGCCTGGGCACTACTTCTGCACTGTATTGAAAAGTATTATTTGGCCTCTGTGTTTTTGCTTTTTTATTTTACTGTAAGTTCTGGGATACATGTGCAGAACGTGCAGGTTTGTTACATAGGTATACATGTGCCATGGTAGTTTGCTGCACCTATCAACCTGTCATCTAGGTTTTAAGTCCCAGATATGCATTAGTATTTGTCCTAATGCTCTCCCTCCCCTTACCCTCCACCCACCGACAGGTCCTGGTATATGATGTTCCCCTATGTCCATGTGTTCTCACTGTTCAGCTCCCACTTATGAGTGAGAACATGCGGTGTTTGGTTTTCTGTTCCTGTGTTAGTTTGCTGAGAATGATGGTTTCCTGCTTCGTTCATGTCCCTGCAAAGGACATGAACTCATTCTTTTTTATGGCTGCAGGCTTCTGTGTTTTAATGTTTTAATTCCTATTAAGTAAAAATGAGTGTTCCCCCCACCCCCGCTTTTTTTTTTTTGAGACAGGGCCTCCTTCTGTCACCCAGACTGGAATATGGTGGTGTGATCTTGGTTCACTGAAACCTCCACCTCCTGGGCTCAGGCAATCCTTGCACCTCAGCTTCCTGAGTAGCTGGGACTACAGGCGCATGTCATCATGCCTAGCTAATTTTTTTTTTGTGTGTGTGTGTGTGTGTATATATATATATATATATATATTTTTTTTTTTTTTTTTTTTTTTTTGGTAGAAGTGGGGTTTTGCCATGTTGCCCAGCCTGGTCTTGAACTCCGAACTCAAGTGATCCACCCACCTCAGCCTCCCAAAGTGCTGGGATTATAGGTGTGAACCACCTCACCAAGCCAATTTTTCATTACGTTATATAATAGACTTGAGGTTTCAAAGCTCTATCAGGACTGGATCGCTGTAACTTGAGCTGAACTACCTTAGAAAGGTAGAGTGACCACTGCATTTAATCACATTCATAATTCTAAGCAGAGTTGTCAGACTGAGTAGAATTTTGCTCATAAGTACCTGGATCTATGCTCAGCAAGGCAATGAAAACATCAAGAGACCAGAAGAATTCTGCCAAACACTTAAGGTAAAACTAGTACCAATTCTTCTCAAACTCTTCCCAAAAATCAAAGACGACGAATACTTCCAGATACACTTCCAAACTCATTTTACGACGTCGGCATTACCCTGATACCAAAGCGAGACAAGGACACTACAAGAAAATTACAGGTCAATATCCCTGATGAACAAATATGCAAAAATCCTCAACAAAATACTAACAAACCAAATTCAACAGCCCATTAAAAGAAGCATTCACCATGATCAAGTGAGATTTATCCCAGGAATACAAGGGTGGTTCAACATAAACAAATCTATAAATGTGATAAACCATACAAGCAAAGTGAAGGGCAAAAACCATATGATCATCACAACAGATGCAAAAAAGCATCTGACAGGCCGGGCGCGGTGGCTCAAGCCTGTAATCCCAGCACTTTGGGAGGCTGAGGCGGGCGGATCATGAGATCAGGAGATCGTGACCATCCTGGCTAACACGGTGAAACCCAGTCTCTACTAAAAATACAAAAAATTAGCCGGGTGTGGTGGCGGGCGCCTGTAGTCCCAGCTACTCTGGAAGCTGAGGCAGGAGAATGGCGTGAACCCCGGAGGCGGAGCTTGCAGTGAGTCGAGATTGCGCCACTGCTCTCTGGCCTGGGCGACAGAGCGAGACTCCGTCTCAAAATAAATAAATAAATAAATAAATAAATAAATAAATAAATAAAGCATCTGACAAAATTCAGCATACTTTCATGAGAAAAACTCAACAAATTGGGTATAAAAGCAATGTACCTCAATACATAAAGGCCATATACGACAAGACTTCAGCTAACATCATACTCAACGGTGGACAGCTGAATGCTTTTCCTCTAAGATCAGGAAAAAGACAAGGACCACTCTAGCCACTTTTTTTTTTTTTGAGATGAAGTCTCGCTCTGTCGCCCAGGCTGGAGTGCAGTGATGCAATCTCAGCTCACTGCAACCTCTGCCTCCCGGGGTTCAAGCGATTCTCCTTCGTCAGCCTCCTGGGTAGGTGGGACTATAGGTGCATGCCACCATGTCCGGCTAATTTTTATATTTTTAGTAGAGACGGGGTTTCACCATACTGGCCAGGATGGTCTCGATCTCCTGACCTCATGATCTATCCGCCTCAGCCCACTCCAGCCACTTTTATTCAACATAGTACTGTAAGTCCCAGACAGAGCAATTAGGCAAGAAAAATAAATAAAAAGACATCTAAATCGGAAAGGAAGTAAAATTTTCTCTGTCTGCAGATGACATGATCTTACATATAGAAAACGCTAAAGACTCCAAAAAACTATTAGAACTAATGAACAAATTCAGTTAAGTAGTAGCATAAGGAAATCAATGTATAAAAATCAGCAGTGTTTCTATGTACTAAGAACAAACTATCCAAAAAAGAAATAAATAAAACAATCTCACAATAACTACCAAAAAAAAAAGGCTTGGGAATAAATTTATTCAAAGAGGTGAAAGACCCATACACTAATAAGTATAAAATATTGAAGAGGATGGGTGCGGTGGCTCATGACAGTAATTCCAGCACTTTGGGAGACTGATGTGGGCAGATCACCTGAGGTCAGTAGTTCGAGACCAGCCTAGCTAACATAGAGAAACCCCATCTCTACTAAATATACACAAATTAGGTGGTCGTGGTGGCAGGCACCTGTAATACCAGCTACTCGGAAGGCTGCAGCAGGAGAATCGCCTGAACTTGGGAGGCGGAGGTTGCAGTGAGCCGAGATCGCACCATTGGACTCCAACCTGGATGACAGGAATGAAACTCCGTCTCAAAAAAAAAACCCAAAGAAACAAAAACAGAGTTCAGAGACAATCTACAGGGAGAGAGAAAATATTTGCAAACCATACATCCAATAAGGGGTTAATATCCAAAATACATAAAGAAATGACTCAACAGCAACAAAACAACCCAATTAAGAAATGGGAATAGAACTCAAAAGACACTGCTCCAAAGACATACAAATGGCCAATAGGTACGTGAAAAAATGCTCAACATTGGTAACTGTCAGAGAAATGCAAGTTAAAACCACAATGAAATTAGCTGGGCATGGTGGCTCACACCTGTAGTCCCAGCTACTCGGGAGACTGAGGTGGGGGGATCACCTGAGTCCACGAAGTCGACGCTGCAGTGAGCCATGATCATGCCACTATACTCCAGCCTGGGTGATGGAAGTGAAACCTTGTCTCAAAAAACAAAAAACCAAAAACAAACAAAAATACCCCACATCAACTCACACCTGTCAGAATGGCTATTAAAATATATATATATATATAAATTGTTGGAGAGGATGTGGAGAAAAGGAACCTTTGTACACTGTTGATGAGAATGTAAATTAGCACAGCTATTAGGAAAAACAGTATGGAGGTTTCTCACAAAACTGGAAACAGAACTACCATATGATCCAGCAATCCCACTACTGGGCATATATACAAGGAAATGAAATCAGCATGTTGAAAAGATACCTGCACTCCCATGTTAACTGCAGCATTATTCACAACAGCCAAGATATGGAATCAGCCTAAGTGTCAGTCTATCAATGGATGAACAGATGAAAGAAAATGTATATAAACACAATGAAAGACTATTCAGTCTTAGAAAGAAATCCTGCCATTTTAAGTAACATGAATGAACCTGCAGGACATTATGTTAAGTGAAATAAGTCTGACACAGAAAGACAAATACTGCATAATTTCACTAGTATGTGGAATCTAAAAAAGTCAAACTCAGAAGCAGAGAGATAATGGGCTGAAGAGGGGTGACTGGGGAGAAGGAAACAAAATTTTAGCTAAGCAAGAGAAACAAGTTCAAGAGATCTACTGTACAACATGGTGACTATAGTTAATAACAATGTTTTGTTTACAGGCATGCCCCATTTCAGTCAACACTAGACTGCACATACAATGGCAGTCCCATAAGATCAAAATATCGAGGGGCCAGGCATGCTGGCTCACACTTGTAATTCCAGCACTTGGGAGCCTGAGATGGTAGGATCACTTGAGACCAGGAATTTGAGACCAGCCAGGACAACACAGAGACCCCATCTCTACAAAAAATAAATAATTAGCTGGGTGTGTTGGCACATGCCTGTGGTCCCAGCTGCTCGGGAGGCTAAGGCAGGAGGATCACTTAGGCTCAGGAGCTCGAGGTTGCAGTGAGTTATGAATGCACCACTGCACTCCAGCCTGGGTGACACAGTGAGACCCTGTCTTAAAAAAATAAATAAATAAAATAAAATCTAATTTAGGGAAATAATCAAAGATGTGAAAAAAGATTTACAGGAAATTCTCTTCACTGCAGTGCTGTTCATAATTATTTAAAAACTGGAAATAATCTAAATGGATTATGGAATCTAAATAACTCCCAAAGGAGGAAAATGGTTACATAAATTTTGTGGTATTCATCTAATAACATTAGCATGAGCCTCCTAATATGTTAATATTGTTAAAGGATATCTAAAGATAAACAAAAATGCTTATAATATGAATGCTGGGTATGTAAATATGGTATAACAAGAATTTTTAAAAATTATATGCACACAAAAATTATGAAGTCACTTGTATTTGATCATCAAATGCATTACAGCATTTGTGGGGATAAATTCTCATTCTTGCTGGGCACAGTGACATATACCTGTAATCCCAGCTACTTGGGAGGCTGCAGTGGGAAGATCACTTGAGCCCAGGAGTTTGTGTCCACTCTGTGCAACTATCAAAACCCTGTCTCTTTAAAAAACGAACAAACTCGGCCGGGCGCGGTGGCTCACGGCTGTAATCCCAGCACTTTGGGAGGCCGAGGCAGGCGGATCACGAGGTCAGGAGATCGAGACCATCCTGGCTAACACAGTGAAACCCTGTTTCTACTAAAAAATACAAAAAATTAGCCGGGTGAGGCGGTGGGTGCCTGTAGCCCCAGCTACTTGGGAGGCTGAGGCAGAAGAATGGTGTCAACCCAGGAGGCGGAGCTTGCAGTGAGCCAAGATCGTGCCACTGCACTCCAGCGTGGGTGACAGAGCGAGACCCTGTCTCAAAAAAAAAAAAAAAAACAAACTCATTCCTAGACTGTCTAGTTTAGGATAACATACAAATTAGTTTCTCCTAATTTGGATTACAGAAACATAAAATTGACAGAGCCAGGAAGTAACCCAGGAAAAAGATGTGGTAGCAAGGACAAGTCATTCTTGGAGAAGTTTTCAAAAGGGGAATATCCACGGGTAAATGTCAACTGAAGCTCAGATCACCTCAAGAAACCTGAGATTAACAAAAAGGCACTACACAGAAGTGGGTAAGAGAACACTGGAAGCACACTGACTAAATTTGAATCCCAGCTCTTTGCATTTACCAGCTGTGTGACCTTGGGAACATAGTTTACCACCATTTATAAAATGTACCCTACCTTCATGAGATTTTTTTTTTTTTTTTTAAACAAAGTCTCGCTCTGTCGCCCAGGCTGGAGTGCAGTGGCAAAATCTTGGCTCACTGCAACCTCCGCTTCCCAGGTTCAAGGGATTCTCCTGCTTCAGCCTCCCTAGCTGGGATTACAGGCACGCACCAGTGCATCCAGCTAATTTTTTGTATCTTTAGTAGAGACAGGGTTTCACCATGTTGGCCAGGCTGGTCTTGAACTCCTGGCCTCAAATGATCCACCTGCCTCGGCCTCCCAAACTGCTAGGATTATAGGTATGAGCCACTGCGCCCAGACTTTTTTGAGGCTGAGTCTCACTCTCTTGCCCTGGCTGTAGTGCAGTGGCACAATCTCGGCTCACTGCAACCTCTTCCTCCTGGGTTCAAGCGATTCTCCTGCCTCAGGCTCCCAAGTAGCTGGGGTTACAGGCTCCTGCCACCACGCCTGGTTAATTTTTTGTATTTTTAGTAGAGATGGGGTTTCACCATGTTGGCCAGGCTGGTCTCGAACTCTTAACCTCAGGTGATCCACCCGCCTCGGCCTCCCAAAGTGCTAGGATTACAGGTGTGAGCCACCACCACACCTGGCCGAGATTATTTTGAAGATTAAATTTGGGTTTAACATATTCCAGTGCTTAGGTGCCTGATACACAGTAAACATTATTTACATGTTGGCTCTTGTGGGGCACAGTGGCTCACATCTGTAATCCCAGCTACTCAGGAGGCTGAGGTAGGAAGACTGCTTGAGGCCAGGAATTTAAGACCAGCATGGGCAACGCAGTAAAATTCCAACTCTTTAAAAACTTTTAAAAAATTAGCCAAGTGTGGTGGCATAAACTTATAGTCCCAACGACTTAGGAGGCTGAGAGGACAGAATTGCTGGAGCTCAGGAGCCTGAGCTTGCAGTGTGCCATAGTGACACCTGTGAATATCCACTGTACTCCAGCCTGGGCAACAACAGAGTAAGATCCCCTCTCTTAAAAAAAAAAAAAAAAAAAAAAAAAAAAAAAAAAAAAAAAGGCAATAATCATTACTATTACTTTTCACTGGGCGCGGTGGCTCACGCCTGTAATCCCAGCACTCTGGGAGGCTGAGGTGGGCGGATCAGGAGATCGAGACCATCCTGGCTAACACAATGAAACCCCGTCTCTACTAAAAATACAAAAAATTAGCTGGGCGTGGTGGCAGGGACCTGTAATCAAAGCTACTCAGGAGGCTGAGGCAGGAGAATTGCTTGAACCCAGGAGATGGAGGTTGCAGTGAGCTGCTCTGTCACCCAGGCTTCAATATCCAATGGCGTGAAACACGGCTCATTGAAGCCTCAACCTCCCGGGCTCAAGTGATCCTCCCACCTCAGCCTTCTGAGTAGGTGGGACTACAGGTGTGAGCCACCATGCCCAGCTATTTTTTTTTTTTTCCTTTATGTAGAGATGGGGTCTCACTATGTTTCCCAGGCTGGTCTTAAACTCCTGGACTCAAATGATTCTCCCACCTCAGTCTCCCAAAGTGCTGGGTTTATAGGTATGAGCCACTGTGCCCAGCCTTAATTTGAAATTTAAAACAATCCTAATCTAGATGGAACAAGTATTATTCTCTTTCTACAGATAAGGAAACCCAGGCTCAGAAAGATTAAGTAACTTGTTCTGTGATATAAAGCTGGGTCAGTGGATCTGGTATTGAATCTCTGTCTTAGTTCCTAGACATGTGATCATTCCATTAAATATTTTCCAATCTGCAGGCTGTGACCAGCCTTTTAAAAGTGTTGAATTTAAAATGCCACAAAATAATAGTAAGCATACTTATTTTTTCATGACTGTTATCTATATTCTATGTGTGTGTTTACTGAGATGCAATCTTTATCGTGGGCATAGATAAAATGTCTGAAAAACATTGAACGGTTCCATAGCTGCCTCTCTAGTCAATGTTTAACAAGCACATATTATATCCCTCTGATTACACTATTATATACGACAAAAACACACAATTCTAAGCCGTGGTTTTGATGATGATGATGATGAGGATGAGGATGATATTATTTTTGAGACAGAGTTTCGCTCTTGTTGCCCAGGCTGGAGTGCAATGGCACGATTTCAGCTCACTGCAACCTCCGCCTCCCAGGTTCAAGCAATTCTCCTGCCTCAGCCTCCCAAGTAGCTGAGATTACAGGCATGTGCCACCATGCCCGGCTATTTTTTTTTTTTTTTTGAGACAAAGTTTCACTCTTGTAGCCTAGGCTGGAGTGCAATGACGCAATCTCGCAATCTCAGCTTACTGCAACTCCATCTCCCAGGTTCAAACGATTCTCCTGCCTCAGCCTCCCGAGTAGCTGGGACTACAGGTGCCTGCCACCATGCCCTGCTAATTTTTTTGTATTTTTAGTAGAGACGGGGTTTCACCATGTTAGCCAGGATGGTCTCGATCTCCTCTCCGCCTGCCTTGGCCTCCCAAAGTGCTGGGATTACAGGTGTGAGGCACCACACCCAGCTAATTTTTGTATTTTTAGTAGAGACGGGGTTTCACCTTGTTGGCCAGGATGGTCTCGATCTCCTCACCTCGTGATCTATCCACCTCGGCCTCCCAAAGTGCTGGGATTACAGGTGTGAGCCACCACACCCGGCCATAGGTTTTGTTTTTTTTTTTAAGTGTGCATGTAATTACTGACTTCCTAATGAATTGGAGGAATCACCTCTCCTAGGCCAACACTTTGCAATGTAACTCATTCTTATGCTTTGGCTAGCCTAACACTTTGAAATCAATTCATAGTGAAAATCCTTTCAAAGTGAAGGATAAGACAGCAACTATAAGCAAGGTAAATCCGCTGGGAAAATGACTATACATAGGCAAAGGAAAGCTTGAAGTGGTCAGACTTTTATTCCCCCAGGGGAGAGCTGTATTATTCACACAGAGTAAACTGTATCAAAACACAATACAACTAATGATGGAATAGTTACCTCTCATTCTCAAGCAATCCTAGCACAGAAAACCCTTCCCCTTGTATCCTCATTCTCTCCCTGAATGTAAGAAGTAAACCCTGACTTTAAGCCTACTCTCAACTCATACCTTTCCTAAGTCAGTTTTCATTTGGACACTTGTGCTGTGACATCTTTTGGAAGCTGGGCATCATACAGCCCGCCCAGGTCTCTAGCAGGAAGCATCTCCCTGCTCCCTATATTATTTTGAATTTTCTGGGAAAAAGGATTTCACATGTGTACTTGGCCATGTACCCACTATGTATCCATTTGGTCTGACAACTTCTTAGAACTAGTTCTCTGTGCACAACGCCTTGCCATACATTGCTAGTGAAGAGTTTCAGAAAGGACAGTAAATTCAGGGCAGGGAGAATGAAGTTTTACTTATAGCTAACACACTGCCCTTCACTGTATTTTTTTTTTTTTTTTTTTTTTTTTTTTGAGACAGAGTCTCGCTCTGTCGCCCAGCCTGGAGTGCAGTGGCGCGATCTCGAGTGCAGTGGTGCGATCTCCGCTCACGGCAACCTCCACCTCCTGGGTTCACGCCATTCTCCTGCCTCAGCCTCCTGAGTAGTTGAGACTACAGGCGCCCGCAACCACGCCCAGCTAATTTTTTTGTATTTTTAGTAGAGACGGGGTTTCACCATGTTAGCCAGGATGGTATGATCTCCTGACCTCGTGATCCACCCTCCTCGGCCTCCCAAAGTGCTGGGATTACAGGCGTGAGCCACCATGCCCAGCCCCCACTGTATCTTCTATTCTTCTGTTATCTAGGGCTAGTTTCCCAATCTTGCCAAGGCAGATTATAAGGTAATACAGAAAGACAAGTTTGATACATTAATGCATTCTATTCCCTTTAGGCCCTTCCTTCTCCTCCCCCAGCCTGAGTATGGACCATGAGGAATCCTGATATGTAATAACCTTTGTCAAAGGCTTCTATATAGCCTTAGTGAAAATCAAAGCACTTACATTGCTTGTCACTGAGACTCACTATAACTTGAAGATTTATGGTTCACGCTCCACATGTCCAAGGAATTAGCAGGTTTCTGAAGCTAAAGGGTCTCTGAAAGCTCAAGAGGCTGCTAAGCTTAAAGGGGCCCGAGAATTGAAAGCTTAAAGGAAGAGGTGGAGCACCCCCTTCCACACCTGGCAGACCACAACTAGCTAATGAAATTTGCAATGCTGGGTCAATCTACAGGAAGGAAAAACAGATATACAGTCCCTGTTAGAATAATACTTTCATAGCTAGGGTAAACACACAGATAAAGATTCTGAAATTCACTTTAGGAAGCTTCCTCATTTCAGGAACTGTCTGCAAAACAAATAAAAAACTAATAAAGTAGTCTTTTTTTTTTTTTTTTTGAGACGGAGTTTCGCTCTTGTTGCAGGCTGGAGTGCAATGGCACGATCTTGGCTCACCGCAACCTCCACCTCCTGGGTTCAAGCAATTCTCCTGCCTCAGCCTCCCGAGTGGCTAGGATTACAGGAATGTGCCACCACACCCAGCTAATTTTGAATTTTTAGTAGAGATGGGGTTTCTCCATGTTGGTCAGGCTAGTTTTGAACTCCCAACCTCAGGTGATCCGCCCGCCTCGGCCTCCCAAAGTGCTGGGATTACAGGCGTGAGCCACCGCACCCAGCCTAAAGCAGTCCTTTAAACCTCTAAAGTGTTGAAAGTACCACAACTCACTCAATGATCAGCAGAATTATTTGGCTCCCTTCTGTGGACCTGAGAAATTCAAAAGTCATTCAGAATTGCTTTTTTGTTTGTTTTTGACACAAGGTCTCACCCTGTCATCCAGGCTGGAGTATGGTGGTGCAATCATAGCTCACTGCAACCTTGAACTTCTAGGCTTAACGGATCTTCTTGCCTCAGCTTCCTGAGTAGCTGGGATTATAGGTGCACACCATTGCATGTGGCTAATTTTTTTGTTTTTTATAGAGACAGGTTTTTGCCATGTTGCCCAGGCTGGTCTGGAACTCATGAGCTCAGGCAATCTGCCTGCCTCGGCCTCCCAAAGTGCTGGGATTACAGGCATGAGCCACCGCGTCCGGCCTCAGTATTGTTATTTATCAAAGTGTGTGACTGCTTCTAACCTGTCAAATATGCATCTTATACTACATATTAAGTCCCACCAAACAAGTCATTTAAGTCAACATTATTTTAGCATTGAGTTAATCGGGGAGGAAAAATCCAATAAATATACATGTAACTCTAAAGATGCCCAAATAATTGTAATTTGCCCTCCCTTTTAAAATTAATTTACTTTTGTTTTTTGAGTCAGAGTCTCACTCTGTCATCCAGGCTGGAGCGCAGTGATGCAATATTGGCTTACTATAACCACTGCCTCCCAGGTTCAAACAATTCTCCTGCCTCAGCCTCCCGAGTAGCTGGGATTACAGATGCCCGCCACCACACCCACCTAATTTTTGTATTTTTAGTTTAGTAGAGATGGGGTTTCACCATGTTAGCCAGGCTGGTCTTGAACTCCTGATTTCAGGTGATCTGCCTGCCTGCCTCGGCCTCCCAAAGTGCTGGGATTACAGATGTAAGCCACAGCGCCCGGCCTTGCCTTTCTTTTATCTCAAAGATACCTCAAAAAAAAAAAAAAAAAAAAAAAACTAACACCCCCCCGACAAGTAATCTTATGGATAGTGGTAGAAAACAAAAGTTCAAAATTCTTCTATTACTGGTACACATCTTCTTCATTCTGTGTCCTTTTTTTTTTTTTTGAGATGGAGTCTCGCTCTGTTACGCAGGCTGGAGTGTGCAGTGGCGGAATCTCAGCTCATTGCAACCTCTACCTCCTGGGTTCAAGCAACTCTCTGTCTCAGCCTCATGAGTAGCTGGGATTACAGGCACCCACCACCATGCACAGCTAATTTTTTGTATTCTTAGTACACACGGGGTTTCACCATCTTAGCCAGGCTGGTCTTGAACTCCTGAACGATCCACCTGCCTCGGCCCCCCAAATTCCTGGGGTTACAGGCGTGAGCCACTGTGCCTGGCCCACTGTCCTCTTTAATTTCTTCTCTCTTTGGGACCTCCCTTACCAACTCAGTGTCCTTATCAACTTTTACCCAGTTCTATTAAGTCACTTCAATTGAATTAGAAATGGAAGCTACCCAAACAGAATGAGAAGAGTACTGGATGCAGTGATCACTCCCACCCAATTGCAATGAGCCCCAACAGGGCCTACTCTTGGTTTCTAAATACTGCATTTTCCATTGAAAGGAACCAAGGCTCCTTGGAGAATTGACTGAGGCAGAGAAAGTACTAGATGAGTCTAATATATCTTATTGTGCAGGAAAGGAAGTGCTCAAAGAATAACAGTGAAATATCAAAGGACAAAGAAGGCACAAGATGCTTAGTTGGTGAGGGAAACCCCAGAGACAGAAGTTTACACAGTAGAAATTAGAGAAGACATTGAGTGGGTACACTGGGTAAAGCAGGCATGTTACCAGAATACAACAGTTGTGAATTTTTCTTTTCTACCATTGCCTGTAAGGTGTTAGTTTGGGGAGTATTTATCTGTCAACCTATTGAAATAAAAGAATGGCAGATTATTTGGGCATTTTTATGATTAAACATATATTTATATAATTTTTTTTCTTGATTTACTGGCCAAATCGGGAATAATCTGAGCATCAAAATAAATAATAAAAGATGATATTTCATTGAATAAAACAAGAAATCATTAGTTCATACTAATGTAAACAAATACATTGGAAGGCTGAAAAGGAATGCAATATTTGTATAGTTTCTAAGCCCTGTCTCCTAAAAATACTAATTACAAAGGGAAAATGAGTAACTTTACTTAGGAAAAGCCTAGCAAACACCACCTTAATCAAGTGATCAAACATTATCAGTAACGATACAAATCAAAATTCTGTACCTTTTGAAATCATGCAGTGAAGAACACAGCATCACTCCTGTGATATTCCTGTTGAAGATATGTTACCTAAATTAAACACAAGGAACCACCAGACAAGTCCAAATTGAGGGACTTTCTACAAAATAACTTAATAGCATCAAGGTTATGAACATCAAAGAAGGCCTGAAGAAACTGTTCCAGACTGGAGGAGACTAAGACAACATGAAAAATAAATGCAATGTGTGATTCTGACCTGGATCCTTTTTGCTATAAAGCATATAACTGGTATAATAACAAGCAACATTTGAAGAGGATCTGATAATTATATGGAAGTAATGTGTCAATGTTACTTTCCTGATTTTGACAGTTGTATTGTGGTAAAGTTGGAGAATGCCCCTTGTTTATAGGAAATACTAAAGTATTCAAGGATGATGGAACATCAGGTCAGCAACACTGTCAAATGATTGAAAGAAAAAAAATTATTTCTAGCATACTTACAACTGTTCTATATATTTCAAATTGTTTCACTTTTTTTTTTTTTTTTTTTTTTTTTTTTTTTAGAGACAGAATCTTGCTCTGTTGCCCAGGCTGGAGTGCAGTGGCGAGATCTTGGCTCACTGCAAGCTCCGCCTCCCAGGTCCACGCCATTCTCCTGCCTGAGCCTCCTGAGTAGCCGGCGTAGCTGGGACTACAGGTGCCCGCCACCACGCCCAGCTAATTTTTTTTTGTATTTTTAGTAGAGACGGGGTTTCACTGGGCTAGCCAGGATGGTCTCGATCTCCTGATGTCGTGATCTGCCCACCTCGGCCTCCCAAAAGCTGGGATTACAGGTGTGAGCCACTGTGCCTGGACAAATTTTTTTATTTTAAAAAAATACAAGGTTGAAGTCTAGAAAGGGTGGGGTTGGAGATCAAAAAGAGATGAGAGTGGTCTGTTAGCAACTATTCTCATTTATCTTAATGGAGAAGACATCTCTAAATTGGTGAGTGTGCCACTGGGGTTCTTGCCACTTGGAATAGGTTTCCTGTATCTTTCTGCCTCATCAACTTCCAATTTCTTCTCAACAGTTTTTTGAATAACATTTTCTCCAGTGCCTATACTTCAAATTATCTCCCTACTTCCACTCTGTTCTGGGAATGCTTCCACTGTGAGCATTCATGGACTCCCTTATTCTAAAGATAGAGAATTTCGCCATTGGAAAGCAAAAAACAAAAAACAAAAAACAAAAAAACACCTACCCTAAGCCAGGTGCAGTGGCTCATGACTGCAATCCCAGCTCTTTGGGAGATTGAGTCAGGAGAATCACTTGAGCCCAGGAATTTTTTTTTTTTTTTTTTTTTTTGAGACAGAGTCTAGGCTGGAGTGCGATCTCGGCTCACTACAGCCTCCACTTTCTGGGTTCAAGTGATTGTCCTGCCTCAGTCTCCTGAGCAGCTGGGATTACAGGCACGTGTCACCACGCCCAGCTAATTTTTGTATTTTTAGTAGAGACTGGGTTTCACCATGTTGGCTAGGCTAGTCTCCTACTCCTGACCTCAGGTGATCTGCCCGCCTTCGCCTCCCAAAGTGCTGGGATTAAAGGTGTGAACCACCTGTGCCTGGCCATGCCCAGGAATTTGAGACCACCCTGGATAGCAAAGTGAGACCATGTCTAAAAAAATTAGCCAGGTGTAGGCCAGGCGCAGTGGCTCACGCCTGTAATCCCAGCACTTTGGGAGGCCAAGGCGGGCGGATCGCGAGGTCAGGAGATCGAGACCATCCTGGCCAACACGGTGAAACCCCGTCTCTACTAAAAATACAAAAAAATTAGCTGGGCGTGATGGCAGGCGCCTGTAGTCCTAGCTACTTAGGAGGCTGAGGCAAGAGAATGGCGTGAACCTGGGAGGCGGAGCTTGCAGTGAGCCGAGATTGCGCCACTGCACTCCTGCCTGGGCGACCCAGCAAGACTCTGTCTCAAAAAAAAAAAAAAAAAAAATTAGCCAGTTGTGGTGGTGTGTGCCTGCAGTCCCAGCTACTTGGGAGCTAAGGTGGGAGAATTTCTTAAACCCAAGAGTTTGAGGCTTCAGTGAGCCGTCATCGTGCCACTGCACTCCAGCCTGGGCGACAGAGTGAGACCCTGTCTCAAGAAAGAAGAAACAAACAAGTTGGGCGCAGTGGCTCACATCTGTAATCCTAGCACTTTGGGAGGGTGAGTCGGGTGGATCACCTGAGGTCAGGAGTTCAATACCACCCTGGGCAACATGGTGAAACCCCATCTCTACGAAAAATACAAAAATTAGCCAGGTGTGGTGGCATGTGCCTTTAATCCCAGTTACTTGGGGGGCCAAGGCACGAGAACTGCTTGAACCCAGGAGGTGGAAGTTGCAGTGAGCCAACATCACATCATTTCACTCCAGCCTGGGTGACAGAGCGAGGCCCTATTTCAAAAAAAAAAAAAAAAAAGAAAGAAGAAACAAACAGAAAGAGAAATGTCTATCTTGAAGGAGGAGCTGTTAATGATCCTCCCTTCTTCATACCTGACATTCACCACCATCTCTTTAACTGCCATGTTCACTTTTCATTTTTTCATCTTTTTTTTTAAGATAGGGTCTCACTCTGTTGTCCAGGCTTCATTCAGTGCAGTAGTGTGACCACAACTGCAGCCTCGACCTCCTGGGCTCAACTGCTCCCACCTCAGTCTTCCCCAACCCCCAACACCCCCACCCAACAGTTGGGACTACAAGCATGCACCACCACACCTGGCTAATTTTAAAGTTTTTTGTAGAGACAGGGTCTTACTATGTTGCCCAGGCTGGTCTTGAACTCTTGGGCTCAAGCAATCCTCCTGTCTTGACTTCCCAAAGTGCTGGGATTGCAGTTGTGAGCCACCATGCCCACCCCATGTTCACATTTTAGTAAGAGTTTCTCAAGGTCCTTCCTTCTAAACACACATCCAGAACCTCAAGTGTCATGCAAACTCTCTTATATTTTAAAAGAAAGCCTTCTTATATCTTCCAGAGTGTTAACCGTTTTGACATTCTTTCCTCACATCATCCAAAAAGTTTCAAATGACATCATAAACTTTATCTCCAACTTCCTGAAAAGTACCCACTATAGCTAGCTTCTCCACTTTCACACCAACAGCAGCTGGCCAGCAGGGACTTAGCTATTCTATAGCAGAATGGTTTTCAGTAACCAATGAAAAGCTTTGTACTACAAGGATGATGTTTATATACTCCCCCTTTCCTCTTCTTTCATTGTTAGTGAGGCCTGGGAAGTTCTAGAGGTAGAACAAGTGTGTTATGACCCTTCTGCAAGCAGCCATCAACTTATCCCCTACTTTAAACAAACATTAACAAAAAATAGGCTCTTAAAATGCATTGTCATATTCTGCCATACTCAACCAATTTTTTTTTTTTTTTTTTTTGAGACAGAGTTTCACTCTTGTTGCCCAGGCTGGAGTGCAATGGTGCGATACGGGCTCACTGCAACCTCCACCTCCTGGGTTCAAGCAATTCTCCTGCCTCAGCCTCCAAAGTAGCTAGGATTACAGCCATGCACCACCACGCCAGGCTAATTTTTTTTGCATTTTTAGTAGAGACAGGGTTTCTCCATGTTGGTCAGGCTGGCCTCAAACTCCCGACCTCAGGTAATCTGCCTGCCTCGGCCTCCCAAAGTGTTGGGATTACAGGCGTAAGCCACGGCTCCCGGCTCAACCAAATTTTTATGCAGCCAAGCCCATGAAGATATCCAAGGAAACTGATACACCCTTAGAAAGAGTACACAACAACAAAGGATACGAAGGCAGGCAACATCCAAAATGAAAACAGCAGCAAGTCACCTGCAAATCTAATAACAGCACCAGCTGGAATCTACTTGTCTTTTGCTTTTTTTTTTTTTGGAGACAGAGTCTTGCTCTGTCACCCAGGCTGGAGTGCAGTGGTGCGATCTCGGCTCACAGCAACTTCCATCTCCCGGGTTCAAGCAATTCTTCTGCCTCAAGCCTCCCAAGTAGCTGGGACTACAAACACGTGCCACCATGCCCGGCTAATTTTTGTATTTTTAGTAGAGACGGGGTTTCAACATGTTGGCCAGGATGGTCTCAAACTCCTGACCTCAAATGATCTGCCCGCCTCAGCCTCCAAAAGTGCTGGGATTACAGGCATGAGCCACAGTGCCCGGCCTGTCTTTTGCATTTTAAAGAGATAAGATTTTGCTTATACCCACAACATTTTAAGAAGTAACAAAAAAATCCAAATAAAATTAAAATTTTAAAAATATTTTGCTTGTAAGTCCACTTTTCAGGGTAACCTTCAAAAAACAATACTGACAGGAAAGTTTGAAGAAAGCAGAAGGGGACCTACAAGTCTTCTTCTTCAAGAAAGGCAAATTATGTCCCTTGTTTCTATCCCTCTTTATCCATCTTATAAGGGTTACTTCCAAAAATATGTAACTTTCTATTAAAATAACATACTAGCTGGGCATGGTGGCTCATGCCTGTAATCCCAGCACTTCGGGAGGCTGAGGTGGGCAGATCACTTGAGATCAGGAGTTTGAGACCAGTCTGGCCAACGTGGTGAAACCCCATCTCCACTAAAAATACAAAAATTAGACAGGTGTGGTGGCACGCGCCTGTAATCCCAGGTACTTGGGAGGCTGAGGCAGGAGAATCACGTGAACCAGGGAGGCCAAGGTTGCAGTGAGTCAAGATCACACCACTGCACTTCAGCCTGGGCAATAGAGTGAGACCCTGTTTCAAAAAAAAAAAAAAACCCTAAAATTCCTATACAGCAAAAGAGACGTGTCCTCAGTGTCCTATTGATTTCCTTTTCTTTTTGAGACAGTCCTCCTCTGTTACCTACCCTGGAGTACAGTGATGGGATCTCATATCACGGCAACCTCCACTTCAAGCGATTCTCCCACCTCAGCCTGCCAAGTAGATGGGATTACAGGCACATGCCATCGTGCCCAGTTAACTTTTGTATTTTTAGTATAGACAGGGTTTCGCCGTGTTGGGCAGACTGGTCTCGAACTCCTGACCTCAAGTGATCCTCCTGCTTCGGCCTCCCAAACTGCTTACAGGTGTAAGCCACCGCACCCAGACTTCTTTTGTTTTTAAGACAGCATCTCACTCTGTTGCCCGGGCTGGAGCACAGTGATGCAATCACTGCAGCCTCGACTTCCCGGGCTCAGGTGATTCTCCCACCACAGCCTCCTGGGCATCTGGGACTACAGACATGTGCCACCACACCCAGCTAATTTTTTAAAATATTTTTTGTAGAGAAGGAGTTTCACCATGTTTCCCAGGCTGGTCTCAAACTCCTGGGTTTAAGCAATCCACCTCATCCCCCCAAAATGCTGGGATTACAGGCACTGGATTACAGCCAATGTCCTACAGACTTTTAAAGTGTCCAAACCAAGTTTTCTTTTGCACTTAGAAGAGAATTTAAAACGCAATCAGAAAACCAGATTGTACCTTGCCAATTACTATAATCTTAAAATTAGCATATATTGCTATGAATGACATTTAGTTAATCTCAGTCTATTCTCCTATGATAAGCAACAGTGAACTCAAGGGTATGATCTCAGAATGTAAAAAGCCATTAAGACTGCTCCTAATAGATTATTTTAAAATATGATCCTATAAGTCTCTTCCAAGGAAGGACAGTATGTTTTAATTGTGAGATGGACTTTTCAATGCTTTGACTTCTTGTCTAAAAGAGGCCTGGAAAAAGAAATAACTGCAGTGGAGTGAGGGTGTGAAATGTGTCATACCGGTTATTAAAATCCATCAAGTTCATACTTCAGTCTTGGTTTAACTGCAGCCAAAAACTGACTTGCAAGTAATTATCATCACTATCTGCAATAAAAGTTAATTGGACATAATTGAACTAACACCCTAAGCGGAGGGAAGCTGTAACTGGCAAAGAGCCCATTCCTCCTGCTTCTTCAATCTGCAAATGAAACTGCTAATGATAATTTGTGGACAAACATGAAATTGCTCTCATGGTTTCCCCACTGCAAATCACTCAGCAATTCCAGTTAATACCCAGCATGTTGGGCCAGGAGAAAAATCATTAACTGGTGCTTCCTTTGATAAAGATGAATTTTAACAATAAACAAGCCCATTAAGGCTGAGAGTTACTGAGAATTGTTAAATTTCCCCTGGATGCGCTAAAGTAAAGCACTGTGGTCTGATCTCCACACCATGCTACTATGCACTAAATGCATCATGTGCCACCAGTGTGTAGTAGTAAGAAGAGACAGTATGCAAAGACAGAAGCTACTGTTATACTAACAATTTATCTTCTTTTAACAAAATCCTGGAAAAATCTTATTTTTCAACAGGCAAATGGCATTGTTGATCTACTTCAACAGCAAAGATTAAAAAAAAAAAGAAAGAAAGAAAGTGGACCCAACACCTTTCAGAATAATTGTGAGGATTAAATGAGATGGTATTTGCAAAGTGGTTAGTACACTGCCTATGCTTGACGGCAGTTATAACTATTATTTGCTAATGTCAGACTTCTCTGAAAACCATGGGGAGATAGGGATAGGTTTTAAGGCAAGTAACATTATCAGATGTCTATTTAGAATAAATCTTCTTCAAGTGTGAAAGAAAAACAGGAGATGGTAGAAGCCAGTTAAGTGGCTATTGCTTTTTTTTTTTTTTTTTTTTTTTTTGAGACAAGGATCTCGCTCTGTCACCCAGGCTAGAGTACAATGGTGCGATCTCAGCTCACTGCAACCTTCCCCTCCTGGGCTTCAGTGATTCTCTTGCCTCAGCCTCCCGAGTAGCTGGGATTACAGACGTAAGTCACCACACCCAGCTAATTTTTGTATTTTTAGTAGAGATGGGGTTTTGTTGTTGGCTGGTCTTGAACTCCTGGCCTCAACTGATCTGCCCACCTCAGCTTCCTAAAGTGCTGGGATTACAGACATGAGCCACAGCGGCTGGCTGGCTATTGCGATTTTGAGGTGAGATGATGAAGATCTCAAATGAGCATGTCATAAAAGGGCTATCATATAAAGGAGGAAGCAGATCTGTCTCTGAGCTCCAGAGATAAAAAATAAGTTAATAAAGTTTTTGAAGAAGGGCAATTTTAAGTGAACATAAAGAACAATTTGATCTTGTTCAACAGCAATAGAGAAATACTGAAGCAAAAGCAATTATCATTCATCAGGAATTATGGAAAAGGGTTTTTTTCAGTAGCTAAGAATTTGGACTAGACCACTAGAATCAACTTTTAGAGTCTATGATTCCAAATCATTTTAAAAAGGTGGTTTTTGTAAGGTCATTAACAATATCTTACATTTGTAGGGAGTTTTACAATTTTCAAAGTGCTTTTTCACATGATTCTCTCTCCATCTTCTCAAGATGCCCTTTGAGATAGGTTGGGTATGTATCATCAGCCCCATTTTCACATATAAAGATACTAGAAACTGGACAGCCATCACGGATCATGCCTGTAATCCCAGAAATTTAGGAGGCTGAGGCAGGAGGACTGCTTGAGCCCAAGAGCAAGACCAGTCTGGACAACATAGGGAGACCCCATCTCTACAAAAAAAAAATTAGCCAGGTGTGGTAGTGTGCACCTTTGGTCCCAGCTCCACAGGAGGCTGAGATGGGAGGATCACTTGAGCCCCAGGGGTGGAGGCTGCAAGGAGCCATGATCGTGCCATTACACTCCAGCCTGGGTGACAGTGAGACCCGGTCCCCCAGCCACACAAAAAGAGTAATAAACGCTACGAAAAAAATATGAAAAATAAATAGGTCAGGCGCGGTGGTTCACACTGGTAATCTCAACACTCTGGGAGGCTGAGGTGAGCAGACTGCAGGAGTCCAAGAGTTTGAGACCAGCCTGGCAAGAGCAAAACCTACTAAAAATACAAACAATTAGCCGGGTGTGATGGCGTGCACCTACAATCTCACCTACTTGGAAGGCTAAGGTCAGAGAATCACCTGAGCCCAGGAGGTTGAGGCTGCAGTGAGCCAAGATCATGCCACTGCACTCCAGCCCGGGCAAACAGAGTAAGACCCTGTCTCAAAAATAATAATAACAAATTAAATAAATAAAGCAGTGTAAGGAAATAGAAAGTACTGGGTAGGGTAATAATTTTAAACAGCATAGTCAGAGCAATCCTCACTAAGAAACTACAGTTTCTCCATGGTTTACCTGTTAGTTTCAGTGCAAGACAGCAGCACAGCTTTTAATTAGGTAATTTTTTAAAAAGCACTTAACCATAACTAATACAGTTTTTGTTTTCTCATGTGAAGTTTAATACTTAGGCACTTGCACCCCCTTTTTTTTTTTTTGAAACGGAGTCTTGCTCTCTCGCCCAAACTGGAGTGCAGTGGCGCGATCTCGGCTCACTGCAAGCTCCGCCTCCCGGGTTCACATTATTCTCCTGTCTCAGCCTCCTGAGTAGCGCCACTATGCCCGGCTAATTTTTTGTATTTTTAGTAGAGACAGGGTTTCACCGTGTTAGCCAGGATAGTCTCGATCTCCTGACCTCGTGATCCACCCGCCTCGGCCTCCCAAAGTGCTGGGATTACAGGCGTGAGCCACCACACCAGGCCACTTGCACCTTTAATAAAAAGCAATTTATCAACTTGTTTTCAAGAATGGAATCCTGTTGTTTTTTTTTTCTTTTTTTGGGATGGAGTCTCACTCTGTTGACAGGATGGAGTGCAGTGGCACGATCTCGGCTCACTGCAACCTCCGCCTCCCGGGTTCAAGCAATTCTCCTGCCTCAGCCTCCCAAGTAGCTGGGACTACAGGCGCACACCACCATGCCCAGCTAATTGTTGTATTTTTAGTAGAGACGGGGTTTCACCATGTTGACCAGGATAGTGTCGATCTCTTGACCTCATGATCCACCCACCTCGGCCTCCCAAAGTGCTGGGATTACAGGTGTGAGCCACCGCGACTGGCCTCTTGTTTTTGTAACACAGAAAAACTTTTTTTTTTTTTTTTTTGAGACCGAGTCTCGGTCTGTCGCCCAAGCTGGAGTGCAGTGGTGCGATCTCAACTCACTGCAACCTCTGCCTCTCGGGTTCAAGCGATTCTCCTGCCTCAGCTTCCCAAGTAGCTGGGACCACAGGCGCCTGCCACCACGACCGGCTAATTTTTTTTTGTTGTTGTTGTATTTTTAGTAGAGACGGGGTTTCACAGTGTTCGCCAGGATGGTCTCGATCTCCTGACCTCGTGATCCGCCCACCTCGGCCTACCAAAGTGCTGGGATTACAGGCGTGAGCCACCGCGCCCAGCCAAAACTTTCTTTTTTTAAGAGACAGGGCTCACTCTGTCACCCAGGCTTCAGTGCAGTTGCACCACTATAGCTCACTGCAGCCTCAAACTCCTAGGCTCAAGTGATCCTCCTGCCTCAATCTCCTGAGTAAGCTGGGACTACAGGTGATTGCCACCACACTCAGGTAATTATTTTATTTTTTGTAGAAACAAGATCTCGGCTGTTGCCCAGGCTGGTCTTGAACTCCTAGGCTCAGGAGATCCTCCTGCCTTGGCCTCCCAAAGTTCTAGGATTATAGGTGTGAGTCACCACACCTGGCAAGAAAGGCTCTTTAAACAATAAGAAAACAAAGTAATGCAAACTTCCACACATACCAAAGACTGCTGTTGTATGTAACTATGACTTTGATAAAGACTGGCATTTCTCTGGTTGAGCAATGATACTTTCTTTTTTTTTTTTTTGAGACGGAGTTTCACTCTTGTTGCCCATGCTGGAGTGCCATGGCACGATCTCGGCTCACAGCAACCTCCGCCTCCCGCGTTCAAGCGATTCTCCTGCCTCAGCTTCCCGAGTAGCTAGGATTACAGGCATGAGCCACCACACCTGGCTAATTTTGTATTTTTCACAGACGGGGTTTCTCCATGTTGGTCAGGCTGGTCTCGAACTCCCGACCTCAGGTGATCTGCATGCCTTGGCCTCCCAAAGTGCTGGGATGACAGGCGTGAGCCACCGCACCCGGCCTATGAGACTTTCTTAACTAGTTGTGAGGAACTGAAAGATGAGCAGATGTGGACAGATGTGAGGTGGAGGGAGTTGGTATAAACAATTTTAGAGAGCTATTAAAATTGATGTGCAGGCTGAAGTGGCATAAGCTTCTTACTTCTAGGCGCACTAAGGAACAATTTCTCCCAAAATATACTATCACTGATAAGAATGACACATTTCAGTTGGGACACTGGTTCAGCTTGGAGAAGAGGCAAAAATAAAAATATATCTGGCTGAAAAAGCTGCCTTTTCCAACTTAATTTTGCCAGGGACTATGGAAATAGTCAAAGGACTTTTCTTAAAATGAAAGGTTCTTTTTGTCTCTCTGGAGAAAAGTTCTAACACAGTATCACTCTCCAATTGCACCATACCTCACTAAATATAGGCCAAATATTAAAATATTTTGTAAAGCACTTTAGTGAATGCACAGTAACACCTGGCAAGACAAGTTAAAACTAAGATGTGGATTCTTAATTAAGCTACTAGTTCCACATTTTGTTGAAAAAAAAAAAAAAAAAAAAAGTTGGCCAGGCGCGGTGGCTCACACCTGTAATCCTAGCACTTTGGGAGGCCGAGGCGGGTGGATCACAAGGTCAGGGGTTCGAGACCAGCCTGACCAACATGGTGAAACCCCATCTCTACTAAAAATACAAAAATTAGCTGGGCGTGGTGGCAGGCGCCTGTAACCCAGCTACTCAGGAGGCTGAGGCAGGAGAATTGCTTGAACCTGGGAGGTGGAGGTTAAAGTGAGCCGAGATCGTGCCACTGCACTCCAGCTTGGACGACAGAGCGAGACTCCGTCTCAAAGAAAAAAAAAAAGACCAGGCGCAGTGGCTCACGCCTGTAATCCCAGCACTTTGGGAGGCCAAGGCGGGCGGATCACGAGGTCAGGAGATCGAGACCATCCTGGCTAACACAGTGAAACCCCGTCTCTACTAAAAATACAAAAAATTAGCCGGGCGATGTGGCGGGCGCCTGTAGTCCCAGCTACTCAGGAGGCTGAGGCAGGAGAATGGTGTGAACCCCGGGGGGCGGAGGCTGCAGTGAGCCAAGATCATGCCACTGCACTCCAGTCTGGGCGACAGCGAGACTCCGTCTCAAAAAAAAAAAAAAAAAAAGAAAAGAAAAAGTTCTGGGAGAGTAAGATAAGCAAAAGCCAAACCAGTATCTTTACAGCTGCTAAATTAATGTCTTCATAATAGTAAAACAGGCTGGGCATGGTGGCTCACGCCTGTAATCCCAGCACTTTACTATTATTATTATTATTATTGTTGTTCTTCTTCTTCTAGTAAAACCATTCCCAGCTGAATAGCTGGGTAAGGCAGAGGGTCCATACAGGAACCCAGTAAATGGGACTTTTCCCTCCTAATTTAGGATGAGCTGTCTTCAACTTCTCACAGACTTGATATATCTTTCCTTTTAAAGTAGATTAAGTCCTATCCTTTACATAATAAGAATGAAGATAAATAAAATGCCAATGGTAGAAGTGCTTAGCTTTTGGAAGGAAGTAAATCTTAAGTTATGACTAATAATGCTTATGCTTCTCCTTTGAAGCAACACGAATGTTGTCTAAATCATCCCAATTCTGCAAGTGGCATAAAATCTGATTTTCATTCAGTTCAGCAACTGATCCTCAAAAACACTTTGCTGAATGCAAAAAAAAAAAAAGAAAAAAAGAAAAAGAAAAAAAGTGATTGTTCAGGTAATATCTTCCCAGCAAACAGCACTTAAAGAAACCCCCAGCTTTTTTTTCTGAGAAAGAGTCTTACTCTGTGGCCCAGGTGCAATGGTGTGATCGGCAATGGTGCGATCTCGGCTTACTGCAACCTCTGCCTCCCAGGTTCAAGCAATTCTCCTGCTTCAGCCTCCCGAGTAGCTGGGATTACAAGTGTCTGCCACCACACCCCACTAATTTTTGTATTTTTAGTAGAGATAAGGTTTCACCATGTTGGCCAGGCTGGTCTCAAACTCCTGACCTCAAGTGATCCACCCACCTCGGCCTCCCAAAGTGCTGGGATTATAGACATGAGCCACTGCGCCCAGCCAGAAACCCCCAGCTTTAAAGTGATGACTGCTTTCCAATTTGGGCCTAGCAGAATGGCTCCCGCAAAGGGTGGTAAGAAGAAAGGCTGTTCTGCCATCAACCAGGTGGTAACCCAAGAATACACTATTGAGATTCACAAGTGCATTCATGGAGTGAGCCTCTAAGAAGCAAGCCCCTCAGGCACTCAAAGAGATCTGGAAATTTGCCATGAGGGAGATGAGGACCCCAGATGCACACATTGATAGCAGGCTCAACAAAGCTGTCTGGGCCAAAGGAATAAGGAATGTCTCACACAGTGTATCCCTGCGTGGTTGTCCAGAAAATGTAATGAAGATAAAAATTCACTAAAACAAGCTCTATACTTTGGTTACTTATGTACCTGTTACCACTTTCAAAATCTACAGACACTCCATGTGGATAAGAACTAACCACTGGTCATCAAATAAAATTATACAACTGCAAAAACAACAACAAAGTGATGACAGTACTACTTTCATCACACACTGACTATTCTAAATGGATTTCATTTCAGCCAACAGCTCTGATTATTAGCAAGTATTGCCCAGTGTTAGAAAACTTTGCTTTGGTTAAGAAGAGAGGTTTGTTTCTTTGCTTTTTCTTTTTTTTTTTGAGAGGGAGTCCCACTCTGTTGCCTAGGCTGGAGTACAGTGGTGCAATCTCGGCTCACTGCAACCTCCACCTCCCAAGTTCAAGCAATTCTCCTGCCTTAGCCTCCTGAGTAACTGGGATTACAGGTGCATGCCACCATGCCTGGCTAATTTTTGAATTTTAGTAGAGACAGTGTTTCACCAGGTTGGCCAGGCTGGTCTCGAATGCCTGACTTCAAGTGATCTGCCCACCTTGGCCTCCCAAAGTGTGGAGATTACAGGCATGAGCCACCGTACCCAGGTTCTTCTTTTTTCTTTTTAGAGACACGGTCCTGCTCTCTCACCCTGCTCTCTCACTACTTGGGATAGCAGCTCACTGCAACCTCGAACTCCTGGGCTCAAGGGATCTTTCCATCTCAGCCTCCCAAGTAGCTGGGAGTACAGGCACACATCACCACACCCACCTAATTTTTTTATAGAGAGGGTCTCACCATCTTGCTTGGGCGGGTCTCAAACTCCTGGGCTCAAGCAATCCTCCTGCCTCAGTCTCCCAAAGTGTTGGGATTACAGGCATAAGCCACTGTGTCTGGCTGCAGTTTGTTTCTTTGGCTTAGCTACCAACAGCTCACCCACATATGATGAATTATTTACATATACTATGGGGTCAGAAGACACCAACAATGAAGACATTTCAGCCAGGTGCGGTGGCTCACGCCTGTAATCCCAGCACTTTGGGAGGCCGAGACGGGTGGATCAAGAGGTCAGGAGTTCAAGACCAGCCTGGCCAAGATGGTGAAACCCCATCTCTACTAAAAAAATACAAAAAAATTAGCTGGGTGTGGTGGCAGGTGCCTGTAATCCCAACTACTTGGGAGGCTGAGGCAGAGAACTTTTTGAACCTGGGAGGCAGAGGATGCAGTAAGCCGAGATCATGCCACTGCGCTCCAGCCTGGGTGACAGAGCAAGACCACGTCTCAAAAAAAAAACCAAAAAGCAAAAAACAAACAAAAATGACATTTCAGTATCAAAAGCTAGTTTACGTATGACTTACTTGAAAGATTTTAATTCTCCATAGCACCTCAGTGTGATTAAGTAACAAAGGTCAGGTCTCTTCGGGAACCAGGACATCTATCTTCTCCTCCCCTTGGCAATCAGAGCTCCTAGTTCTTAGGCCTTTGGTCTCAGACTGAATGACACCACCAGCTTTCCTGGTTCTCGGGCTTGCAGACAGCATATTGTGGAACTTCTCAGCCTCCATAACTAAATGAGCCAAGTCCTAATCCCCTCTTATATATTTACCCTACTGGTTGTTTCTCTGGAGAATGCTAATACAGATTTTTTTTTTTTTTCAGGCACAGTCTCGCCCTGTCGCCAGCCTAGAGCGCAGTGGCGCGATCTCGGCTCACCGCAACCTCCACCTCTCGGGTTCAAGCGATTCTCCTGCCTCAGCCTCCCGAGTAGCTGGGACTACAGGCACGCGCCACCACGCCCAGCTAACTTTTGTATTTTTTAGTAGAGAAGGGGTTTCACTATGTTGGCCAGGATGGCCTTGATCTCTTGACCTTGTGATCCACACACCTCGGCCTCCCAAAGTGCTGGGATTACAGGCATGAGCCACCATGCCTGGCCTCTAATATAGATTTTATATTTAGTATTAAATAAAACAAACTGTCCCAAGGATACTACATTGAGCTGAATTTTTCTAGGTCCAGTACTGAGTTATATACTACTTTTGATGATTAAGAAACTAAGTGCAGGCCGGGTGCGGTGGCTCACGCCTATAATCCCAGCACTCTGGGAGGCCAAGGTGGGCAGATCACAAGGTCAGGATATCGAGACCATCCTGGCTAACACAGTGAAACCCCATCTCTACTGAAAATACAGAAACAAAATTAGCCAGGCGTGGTGGCAGGCACCTATAGTCCCAGCTACTCGGGAGGCTGAGGCGGGGGAATGGCGTGAACCCCATTGGCAGAGCTTGCAGTGAGCCGAGATCACGCCACTGCACTCTGGTCTGGGCGACAGAGCGAGACTCCATCTCAGGAAAAAAAAAAAGAAAGAAACTAAGTGTAGTCTGGACATGATAGCTCATGGTTCTAATCCCAGCACTTGGGAGGCCAAGGTGGGAGGATCATTGGAGCCCAGGAGTTTGGGACCAACCTGGACAACATAGGGAGACCCCGTCTCTATAAAAAATGAAAAAAGTAGCCAGGCATGATGATGCGAACCTGTGGTCCTACCTACTCAAGAGGCTGAGATGGGCCGGGCATGGTGGCTCACACCACTTTGGGAGGCCATGGCAGGCAGATCACTTGAGGCCAGAAGTTCGAGACCAACCTGGCCAACATGGTGAAACCCCGTCTCTACTGAAAATTCAAAAATTAGCCTGGTGTGGTGGTACATGCCTGTAATCCCAGCTATTCAGGAGGCTGAGGCACAAGAATCACTTGAACCCAGGAGGTGGAGGTTACAGTGAGCCGAGATCATGCCACTGAACTCCAGCCTGGGTGACAGAGCAAGCCTCCCATCTCAAAAAAAATAAAAGAGGCTGAGATGGGAAGACTGCCTGAGCCCAAGGGGTGGAGACTGCAGTGAGCCGTGATCACACTATATTCGAACCTGGATGACACAGTGAGAACCTGTCTCAAAAAAAAAAAGAAAGAAAGAGAAACACAAAAAAGTGGGATCTCTGTCTCAAAACAAAACTAAGTGTAATACAGGTTCTTGGCTATCTTGCCTACTGCTTAGTTGAATGACCAAAGAAAAAAACAAATTTTTCAGTAGTCTGTATGCCTAGAAAACCTCAGTTAAAAACCAGAGGAAGTTAAAGCTGTTGCCTAAAAATGTGCCCTTGAGGCAGGGCACGGTGGGTCACGCCTGTAATCCCAGCACTTTGGGAGGTGGAGGTGGGCGTATCACCTGAGGTCGGGAGTTCGAGACCAGCCTGACCAACATGGAGAAACCCCATCTCTACTAAAAATACAAAATTAGCTGGGCACATGGTGCATGTGGTGGCACATTCCTATAATCCCAGCTACTTGGGAGGCTGAGACAGGAGAATCGCTTGAACCTGGGAGGTGGACATTGCAGTGAGCCGAGATCGCGCCATTGCACTCCAACCTAGGCAACAAGAGTGAAACTCCAACTAAAAAAAAAAAAAGTGTCCTTGAGAATATCTTTGGATTGATTTCACCTGTCTATACTTTGCCTGCTTGCCCTTTTGTGTGTATAATCAATAACAGACTTTTCAAAGATCAGGAATGAACTTTTGTTTTTTCCACTTTTTGGTCTCTGTGAATCTAAGGAATGAACTCTTAACTAGAGTCTTGTCCATATCTTGGTAAAGATGCCCTCTGCCCTTTTCAGTTAGGCCGCAATGTAACAAACTCAGTCCATGACTGAATTTAATCTAACCAGCCCAGTATTTCCTTCCTGGGATCCACCAGCACCAAATATAATAAAACTTCAATTTGGAAGTCGGGCACCACGGTGCACACCTGTAGTCCCTTCGGTGGCTGGGTCAGGAGTACTGCTTGAGTCCGGGAGTTCAAGGCCAGCCTGGGCAATATAATTGGGACGGCACCCTGTCTCAAAACAAAACAAAATAAAATCACCTTCAAGTTGGTCTTTTCTTAACAACTTTATTTTTTCTTTCTCCAATACCTCATCTTGAGCATTCTTCTTTTGATTAATAATAGCATACTGGTGTTTGGATCCCCTTCACAACCAGAAAGATAAAAAAAGCCTCTCAGGGTAGATATAGGAAAACTTCAAATCATTTCAAATAGGGTTCCTGAAATTTCTTGGAGAAAATAATAAGCTATATTAGAAATTCAGAGAAAGGAAGAATTCAGAGACCTTGGCTCTCGGTCTGGCTTCACTACCAAATCACTTAAGTTATTTAGATAATCACAGGCCATTAGTTTTCCCTACTTCAGAGAAATGCTGAGACCGATGTTCATTTAATTCACTGGATAAAAACTATCCAAAAGTAAGACTATTTATCTTTTTTTATCTTTTTTTTTTTTTAGATGGAATTTCGTTCCTGTTGCCCAGGCTGGAGTGCAATGGCACAATCTCGGCTCACTGCAACCTCTACCTCCTGGGTTCAAGCGATTCTCCTGCCTGGGCTTCCCAAGTAGCTGGGATTATAGGCACGCACCACCACACCCAGCTAATTTTTGTATTTTTAATAGAGATGGGGTTTCTCCATGTTGGTCAAGCTGGTCTTGAACTCCCGAACTCAGGTGATCCGCCTGCCTCAGCTTCCCAAAGTCCTGGGATTACAGGCGTGAGCCACCGCGCCTGGCAAATATTTATCTTAATACTGGAAATGATTCTTGGGCTGAAGAAACGCTTGTTTTTGTGTGTGTGTTTTTTTGTTTGTTTGTTTTGCTTTTATGTGGAGTCTCACTCTGTCACCCAGGCTGGAGTGCAGTCCAACGATCTCAGCTCACTGCAACCCCCACTTCCTGGGTTCAAGCAATTCTCCTGCCTCAGCCTCCTGAGTAGCTGGAATTACAGGCCTGTGCCACCATGCCCAGCTAATTTTCATATTTTTAGTAGAGATGAGGTTTCACCATGTTGGTCAGGCTGGTCTTGAACTCCTGGCCTCAAGTGATCCGTCCGCCTCAGCCTCCTGAAGTGTTGGGATTACAAGCATGAGTCACCACATCTGGCCCAAACTCTTGTCTTAACCTTTTGTGAGACGTTTTATGTATTTACAGATCATGAAATCTCTAATGAAGTAAACTTCTAAGATCTGACTAAACAAAAGGACCATCAAGTGTTCACAGAATGCTAACATATAGAACAAAGTTTAAAGAAGATACAAAGGCCTGGACTCTAAAAAATAAATGAACAATTCAAATGTCTGGTTTAAAACAAACAAAAAGATGGATTAAAAGTTTGTATCGGAAAGGTAACTTTGTTTTGAATGGTTTTGACAATCTCATACCTCCTGCAGTATCAAATACAGTCTGGGTAATTAATTCAGTGGACTCTTTCCCTTTTACTGCCAGACTGAACAGCTCTGAGGATAATCTCCCTCACTCTCCCAGGGCTCAGTTGGAAGATTCATTATTTATGCCCTCAATTGTTTACTCTGTCCTATTTTTCCACACGTCCAGCAGGCCCAAGAGCTGTGTTACCACTGGCCTGTTTCCAAAATGAATGCATTACTCATTGCCCTATTAGTTACAAAACCAAAATAATCAAACACAGTGGTGTCTTAACGTTGGAAAGCAACCCCACCAACCATTTGATCTAGGAGAGAAATTAATAACAATGCCAGCCCAGGTTACCAAAAGCTAAATTGTCCTGGATGAAGAGAGAACCATACATCATTCCAGTCCTTTATTTTGAGCCACTGAACAACACACATGCATATCCAACAAGGATTCTTAAAGGACAGTATCATTAGAAAGACAGCTCTGGCCTTCACTGAGAACAGACTGTAAACTACTAAGGGTTAAACTGATTGAGAGAAAATTTGCCTAAGCAACCATTCTTTAGGAAGAGTTCAGTAACTCACCAACAATAAATTCTACATCCTCATCTGAGTGGTAAACAGATTACAGACTCCATCAAGTCCTCTACTTTCAGGATTCAGACTCATAGCAAACAACTTCCTCAAAAGATTCAGCTTCCAAGAGTCAAACCCTGGGGGAGGGGATTGTGCTTAAACACACAAAATATTGTCTCTGACACCTGACTGAAAAAGCTGAAAAGCTAAAAACTACCATCACCCACATCTCCATATGAATGCATCCATTGTTCTAAATAAGTCTCTGACAATTGACAGAGCATTCTCAGAGTCTCCTGTGCCTCTAATATTTTCTCACCTAGAGTAAGCTTTTCCCAATTCCAAACCTTACAACACTCAAGCTGATTATTCTGAGAATCAAGCAATGCCAAGGGCCCAATATTTTTCTTTCACCTTCTCAAGGGGATCATTTTATACTTCTGATGTGAACAGGGGATTAGTCTCGAGTCTCCCTTTAGAGAGAACATAGAGTCCTTTTTCTTAACACATTCCAAGCCGTGACTCACAGAAATAAGCAGGATGGGCCGGGCACGGTGGCTCATGCCTGTAATCCCAGCACTGTGGAAGGCCGAGGCAGGTGGACCATCTGAGGTCAGTTTGAGACCACCCTGGCCAACATGGTGAAACCCTGTCTCTACTGAAAATACAAAAATTAGCCAGGCGTGCTGGTGCGTGTCTGTAGTCCCAGCTACTCAGGAGGCTGAGGCAGGAGAACTGCTTGAACCTGGGAAGCAGAGGCTGCAGTGAGCAGAGAGATTGTGCCACTGCATTCCAGCCTGGGTGACAGAGCGAGACTCCGTCTCAAAAAAAAAAAAAAAAAGAGAGAGAGAGAGAAATGAAATAAGCAGGTTGGATAAAAACAGACTGCTAAAGAAAATTAAATCAACTGCTTTAACCTCAACCAGCACTATGCCCCCTCAACCTAAGAGATTATGGCTTTCTATAATTGTTTCCTTGCAGATGACCAAATTCCAGGATTTCCATGCCCCTTAAATGATATTTGAACATCAGTGCAAATACATTTATGATTAGTTCTATACATAGTCTTCTGTCTCCTGGGAAAATTCTTTCACGAACCCCTAATTATTGCACCATGCAAAACAGTGATCACACAAATCAGTCAAAAAAATAGAAATATCGGGCGTGGAGGGGTGCAGTGGCTCACACCTTAATCCCAACACTTTGGGAGGCCTCTGGGAGGGCTGCTTGAGGCCAGGAGTTTGAGACCAACCTGGGCAACAGAGCCAGACCCTATTCTCTACAAAACATAAAAATTAAAAAATAGTAATATAAAAAAGTGAGTGAAGTATAACTTTATAAAGCTGTACTTACTGCTCACCCATGGGTAGAGAACATAAAAACCACCCAGATATCAAATAGAAGGGCAAACTTGTTTTTTGACAGAAGCAAGTTGAAATTGTACAGCCTCCAACTGGTTTTTTTTTGTTTTTGTTTTTGTTTTTTTGAGACAGGGTCTCACTGTGTCACCCAGGTTGGAGTGCAGTGGTACAACCTTGGCTCACTGCAACCTCTGCCTCCCGGGTTCCAGCAATTCTCCCACCTCAGCCTCCCAAGCAGCTGGGACTACAGGAGTGCACCACCACGCCCAGCTAATTTTTTTATGTTTTGGTAGAGACGGGGTTTTCACCATGTTGGTCTTTAACTTCTGACTTCAAGTGATCCACCCACCTCAGCCTCCCAAAGTGCTGGGATTACAGGAGCAAGCCATTGCACCCCGCCTTCCAACTGGTTTTTTTGGTCACTTCCCCAGCTTCCTATACCTTAGATATCAAAGTGCACTTTGTTTTATATACTAGCTAACTCTGTTTTATATACTAGCTAACTTTGTTTTATATACTAGCTAACTTTGTTTTACATACTAGCTAACTCTGTTTTATATACTAGCTAACTTTGTTTTATATACTAGCTAACTTTGTTTTATATACTAGCTAACTTTGTTTTATATACTAGCTAACTCTGTTTTATATACTAGCTAACTGTAAAGGCTTCAATCAGTGATTTTTAACAGTTCACTCTCAGTAGCAAGTTAACTAGTCAACATCTGGGGGATCCCCTTTCCCTCCCAATTTAAATACAACTCATGGAGCCTTAAGGGACAAGTGAGTAATAAAAACCCAAAACCTGACACAGGATTACTGTGAATCTACTTTTTAGTAACATGTCTATTCTAAGGTATTTGAAATCTTCTTTTTAAAAAAGGTAAAGTAAGCTTCGTAATCCCTATTACTTTCCACAGCTGAAATGGTTTCCTATCCCATTATCCCTATTTTTTATAATACTTGCTTTCATCCCAAATTGCTCCTAATTGTCTAGAGATCTAATAAATCAATGCAAAGAAAAAAATCACTAATCTAGCCAAAAGTGTAAGACAGCTCCAGTGTATCAATTCTGTCTTCAAAAGTGGACCCCAGTTACAACAATCGTGGGAAACTGAACCTGTATTACATAAACTCTGAACCATTTTAATTAATATTTATCAAAGTGTTGCCAAAAAAAAAAATATTCATCCCTTTTGGTACTGTAGCTCTTTGCTAATCAACATTAAGATAAACCTGCTCCAAACACGTTTCGTTGAAAATGCCCATTTAGGCCAGGCGCGGTGGCTCACGCCTGTAATCCCAGCACTTTGGGAGGCCGAGGCGGGTGGATCACGAGGTCAGGATATCAAGACCATCCTGGCTAACACGGTGAAACCCGGTCACTACTAAAAATACAAAAAATTAGCCAGGTGTGGTGGCAGGCGCCTGTAATCCCAGCTACTCAGGAGGCTAAGACAGGGGAATCGCTTGAACCCTGGAGGCAGAGGTTGCAGTGAGCCGAGATCGCGCCACTGCACTCCAGCCTGGGCAACAGAGCGAGACTCGTCTCAAAAAACAAAAACAAAAACAAAAAAACCCCCACGAACTAAAATACATCTGGAGGTTTGTTTTTTTAAGTTTGGTTTTGGTTTTTGACGATAGAAACTACTCCCTCCGAGGGTCTGTGAATATAAGAAATATACCAACAGAGAAAAAGATAAGACTTTTAAGTTTCAGCAACAGCAAGGTAAGTTTGCCTGCTCTAGTCAGGTTTCTCCAACAGAGATGAGCTACTACACAAAGCCGGTGACAATGTACTCCAGGAAGAGACTTTAGCAGAGTTAATCACTAACAACTATCAGGATTTCCTTTAACCACCATTTGACTGGGGCTGCTCCCTCTTTCCACTAGCACCTCCTCTCCTTTCAGATTGTTATTGCTGATCAAGGCAGTCCCAAGGAGGAAAATGGTGAAGACAACCTTAATGGACACGCATGGAGTACAGTTCCAAATATCCACTCCTAGCTTGCCTTTTCTTTTTTTTAAATTACGGTTTACTGCATCAGATACCACACAAAAAAGGGCTCCTCTTTTCTTCTCTGTGCATTTTACTATGCGACCGATATCGACACATCAGTAAAAAGAGATAAGAGTCCTGAATCTCCTTACCCATCTGCAGGGGTGAGATGAAGGGAAGGAAAAAAAATGATGAAGGGTAGAAACAGATAATCAAAATAAACTGATGCGATCCAGAGACATTATTTCCCGTTCCATTTCCCCTTTTCTTACAAGGTTAAGTCGGCTGAAGTCGGGGTCGCGTTAGAAAAAGCACACACACACCTTGCGCCCTGGAAAGGTGAGGTTCGCTCCGCAGCGCTCCGTGGGGCTCCTGGCTCCGCCCCGCCCGCCTTGGGCAGCTGAGCCCAGCTCACCCCCGCCCCGGGAGGATGGAAGAGAGGGGGCTTCTAGCGGTCTAGGCAGGGGGAGGGGGAGGCGGCTGCTCCGGGTGCCAGGCTCACGGAGCGCAGGACTCCGCGGTGCGCCGACACCCCCTCCCCCAGCCGGCTGCCGCTTGCTCCCAGCCGCCGCCGGAAGCCAGCCCCGCCCCCTCACCTCCACCCTGGCTCTTCGCGAGCCCTCTCCTGTCTGCACAGCCAATGGCGAGCCAGGGAGCCAGCAGAGCGACTCGCCAAACAGCCAACTGGGGAGGCCCACAGGGAGGTCAGCCACCGGGATAGGCCCGCTACCCGCGGACCCGGCCCGACTCGGCTCCTCTTTGTTAGCGCTGCCCCCATCTCTCCCGGCCCCTACCCCAAAGCCAGGAGCCAAGCATCCCGTAGCTGGGCCAGGTGAAGCTGCGCCCCTTTGCACCCCTTCTCCCTCTGTCCCCTTGTCCCCTCCCACTTTCTGCCTGGGTACTAGGAGACCCCCCCCCACCCACGCGATACCTCCCAGAGTGCCTCAGACTTCAACAGCAATTGCCACCTGGAGACACTCGACAGTAAAAAGATGCTCCCCAAGCCTCTCTGCCTCTAGTCTAATCAACTGCACTGCACTGTAACAGTGGACGGATTTAGGATTGCATATTAAATCAACTGCACACATCAATCCTCCCTGTCGGAAACTCGTGCTTCCCGTGACGCAGAAATTAAGCGGGGGGGGGGGGGGGGGGGAGGGGGGGGCGTTGGAGGCATGTTGGGAAAGTATGTATCTAGAAGTTGGTGGGGTGGAGAAGGGAATACATGAAATCATCAGACACAAAAAAAAAAAAAACACACACATACAAAAAAAAAAAACACACATAGTTGGCTCCAACCTGTTTCAGATACAAAACATCCAATGTATTTAGCTGGATGTATCCAATCCAGTTAAATCCCAAGATAACAATTCCTTTAGCAGGTTTCAGTACAATTAGGAAGCAAACACCTAATCCTTGTTCAGTCATATACCTAATATTATGGGGAACATACTCTCAGCAACCAGACTGGAGGAGACTAAGACAACATGAAAAATAAATGCAATGTGTGATTCTGACCTGGATCCTTTTTGCTATAAAGTATATAACTGGTATAATAATAAGCAACAGTTGAAGAGGATCTGATAATTATATGGAAGTAATGTGTCAATGTTACTTTCCTGATTTTGACAGTTGTTTCTTTTTTTTTTGTTTTTTTTGGAGACGGAGTCTCGCTCTGTTGCCCAGGCTGGAGTGCAGTGGCGAGATCTTGGCTCACTGCAAGCTCCGCCTCCCAGGTTCATGCCATTCTCCTGCCTGAGCCTCCCAAGTAGCTGGAGTAGCTGGGACTACAGGTGGCCGCCATCACGCCCAGCTAATTTTTTTTTTTTTTTTGTATTTTTTAGTAGAGACGGGGTTTCACTGTGTTAGCCAGGACGGTCTCGATCTCCTGACGTCGTGATCCGCCCGCCTCGGCCTTCCAAAGTGCTGGTATTACAGGCGTCAGCCACCGCGCCCGGCATGGAATAGGACATTTTAAACACTGTGGTATATTTTCTGGGGTGTAGTGATAGAGCACTACATGGGGCTCATTTAAGAAAACTGGCCGGGCGCGGTGTGTCTCACCTGTAATCCCAGCACTTTGGGAGGCCAACGTGGGCAGATCACTTGAACCCAGGTGTTCGAGACCAGCCTGGTCAACATGGTGACCTGGTGAGAACCCCACCTCTACCACAAATTTTAGAGGTAGCTAGGCGTGGTAACTCGCACGGTAGTCCCAGCTACTTGGCAGAGTACAGTGAGCAGAGACCGTGCCACTGCACTCCAGCCTGAGTGAGAGTAAGACTCTAACTCCAAAAAAAAAAAAAGAAAAGAAAAAGAAAACGGGGGTCAGGAAAGGCAAGCTATTACCTAGAATGTCATTTTTATTCAGCGTTCTTGCAAGTGCATAACATTAAATATCTACATCACACTCTACAACACTGCTTAATCCCCCCGAACACTACTATAATTTAAAACAAAACAAAACTTTAAAATTAAGCAGTCTAGGCTACCTTGGAACTCAAAACATTTCATATATAACAACCTCAGTACTCCTGGAAGATGGAAAAGGAGCTGTATGACATGCCTGTTTTTATTTTATTTATTTTTGAGACGGAGTTTCGCTCTGTTTCCCAAGCTGGAGTGCAGTGGTGAGATGCTGTGGTGTAATCTTGACTCACTGCAACCTCCGCCTCCTAGGTTCAAGCAGTTCTGCCTCAGCCTCCCAAGTAGCTGAAATTACAGGTGCACACCACCACGCCTGGCTAACTTTTGTATTTTTACTCGAGACGGGGTTTCGCCATGGTGGCCAGGCTAGTCTCGAACTCCTGACCTCAAGTGATCTGCCTGCCTCGGCCTCCCAAAGTGCTGGGATTACAGGCATGAGCCAACGTGCCAGGCCGATCTTTTTTTTTTTTTTTTTTTTGAGATAAGAGTCTCGATCTGTCATCCAGGCTGGAGTGCAACAGCACAATCTTGGCTCACTGCAACCTCTGCCTCCCGGGCTCAAGCGATTCTCCTGCCTCAGCTTCCCGAGTAGCTGGGATTACAGGCACGAGCCACCGTGCCCGGCTAATTTTTGTATTTTTAGTAGAAACGGGGTTTCACCATGTTGCCCAGGCTGATCTCGAACTCCAGACCTCAGGTGATCCACCCCCCTCGCCTCCCAAAGTGCTGGGATTACAGGCATGAGCCACCACGCCCAGCATCACAGCTATTTTTTAAACACATATAAATATACATCTCTTGGTCCAATATAATATCTAGATGTTACACCAATCCGTCAACAGTAGTTATTGAGAGAATAAGAATACAGGTAGGGAGAACTGAAGAAGAGAATTTATTACATCTTTTTTTTTTTTTTTTAAAGACAGAGTCTCGCTCTGTCACCCAGGCTGGAGTGCAGTGGCGCGATCTCGGCGCACTGCAACCTCCACCTCCCAGGTTCATGCCATTCTCCTGCCTCAGCCTCCCAAGTAGCTGAGACTACAGGTGCCTGCCACCAAGCCCAGCTAATTTTTTGTATTCTTTAGTAGAGACGGGGTTTCACCGTGTTAGCCAGGATGATCTCGATCTCTTGACCTCGTAATCCGCCCGACTCGGCTTCCCAAAGTGCTGGGATTACAGGCGTGAGCCACCGTGCCCGGCCTTTATTACATCTTTTAAAAAATAAAAAAGCGGGCCAGGTGCAGTGGCTCATGCCTGTAATCCCAGCACTTCGGGAGGTCAGGGTGGGTGGATCACTTGAGCTCAGGAGTTCAAGACCAGCCTGGGCAACACAGTGAAACCCTGTCTCTACAAAAAATACAAAAATTAGCAGCCAGGTGTGATGACTCACGACTGTAACTCCAGCACTTTGGGTGGCTGAGACAGGCAGATCTCGAGGTCAGGAGATTGAGATCAGCCTGGCCAATATGGTAAAACCCTGTCTCTACTAAAAAAAAGTACAAAAATTAGCCAAGTGTGGTGGCGCGCATCTGTAATCCCAGCTACTCAGCAGGCTGAGGTAGGAGAATCGCTTGAAACCGGGAGGCGCAGGTTGCAGTGAGCTGAGATCGTGCCACTGCACTCCAGCCTGGGCAACAGAGCGAGACTCCGTCTCAAAAAAAAAAAAAAAAAATTAAGGCACGGCATGGTAGCTGACGCCTGTAATCAATCCTAGCACCTTGGGATGCTGAAATAGGGCAGATCACTTGAGGTCAGGGATTCAAAACCAGCCTGGCCAACATGGTGAAACCTCATCGCTACAATTAAAAAAAAAAATTAGCCCAGTATGGTAGTGGGGGCCTGTAATCCCAGCTACTCGGGAGGCTGGGACAGGAAAATTGCTTGAACCCAGGAGGCAGAGATTACAATGAGCCAAGATCATGCCACTGCACTCCAGCCTGGGCGAGTGGGACTCCGTCTCAAAAAATAAATAAGTAAATAAAAAGCATTAATTTTGTCATTTTTACTATGTTAACTTAGTGAAATTACAGATTTTATCATCTTTAAACTATGTTGAACATATCTTTTATAGTCAGTAAAAGATACTAAAACATAAACATCTCTCAAAAATAGATGGAAGAGATCAATAGGCTAGACTAAAAATTAGTTTAGGTAATATCCCTCTAGACTGATCAGTTTGCACCTCATTATTTCTTGAGCACCCTATTTTGCAAATTTCCTAAATGGCATTTATAACAACCAAAAAAAAAATAAATAAAATGTAACTCTGACACTTAATTTACTCCAATCAAAACGACACAGTTCCCAGTAGAACGGAATAAAAAAAACAAAAAAAAACAATGATTGCACCCGAAAAGAAGGCAAACAGTCTTAAAAAGACAATTTCCTCATAAAGAACTGCTACGTCATATTTACAGAATTCAAACACCCATGACACAGAGCATAGAAACTTTGATAAAACCTTTATTGTTCATTAGACTTCAAGAGAACAGTAGGCCTGAGAAAAACACTGTGGTAATTTTTTTTAAGGGAATTCCTGGCACTATCACTTCAAAGTAGCAAGGTGTAACAGTAATTAAAGGGTTTTAACTGGCTGCACTTTCTGTTTCAGACACTACAGGGGAGTATAAAAATCCAAATAAAATCTGGGATTTTGTTTTACTCATTCACTAACATCATCAAATATGTACTGTATTCCTGTATGCCTGAAATTCTATTAGACCCCAGAGACAAAAAGATTAATAAGATGTGGTCTTTGTCTTTAAAGTACTTAGTTTAGTTAGAGAAGACATGACTGTTAAAAAAAAAAATAGTAATAAGCCCGGCGCAGTGGCTCACACCTGTAATCCCAGCACTTTGGGAGGCCGAGCAGATGGATCAACTGAGGTCAGCAGTTCGAGACCAGCCTGGCCAACATTGTGAAACCCCATCTCTACTAAAAAATACAAAAATTAGCCGGGCGTGGTGGCACATGCCTGTAATCCCAGATACTCAGGAGGATGAGATAGGAGAATCGCTTGAACCTGGGAGACAGAGATTGCAGTGAGCCGATATCGCACCACTGAACTCCAGCCTGGGCAACAGAGTGAGACTCTGTCTCAAAAAAAAAAAAATTAATAATCATAATAAGGCCAGGCACAGAGGCTCACGCCTGTAATCCCAACACTTTGGGAGGCCGAGGCTGGACTACCTGAGGTCAGGAGTTCGAGACCAGCCAGGCCAACATGGTGAAACCCTGTCTCTACTAAAAATACAAAAAATTAGCCGGCCATGGTGGTCGCCTATAATCCCAGCTACTCGGGAGGCTGAGGCAGGAGAATCGCTTGAACCCAGGAGGCAGAGGTTGCAGTGAGCTGAGATTGTGCCATTGCACTCCAGCTTGGGCAACAAGAGTGAAATTCCATCTCAAAATAATAATAATAATAGGCAAACTACAACAGAGAATGCAGAGTAGAGAATCAAACCCATGACTTTGGGAGACTATGGATATGGGACAGGACAGAAGGAGAATCATTCCTAGAAGAGAGAGGAAAAACATGTGCCTATATATAATAATTCACACTAGACAAACCAGCCTATCCAAATTGGCTTTTTCTCCTAATAACAACATTTCTGGCCTTAATCTAAATGGAAATAACCTATACCTAGATGGTATCTTTAAACTTCTATCTATGAAAGTAGAAGCATTATCTGGTAAAGAAGATTTGCTAAAATAACTAGTTGGTTAGGCTTCAAAATCTATTGCATGCAGTTTAAAAGGCATGAAGGTGGGGTGTAGGGGGTGGTTTATACTTCTAGCTACTTGGGAGGCTGAGGTGGGAGGATCATTTGAGCCCAGGAGTAAGAGTTCAAGGTTATAGTGAGCTATGATCGTGCCACAGCACTCCAAGCCTCAGTGACAGAGCAAGACCCTGCCTTTAAAAAAATAAAAATAGGCCAGGCGCGGTGGCTCACGCCTGTAATCCCAGCACTTTGGGAGGCCGAGGTGGGCGGATCACGAGGTCAGGAGATCGAGACCATCTGGGCTAACACGGTGAAACCCTGTCTCTGCTAAAAATACAAAAAATTAGCTGGGCGTGGTGGTGGGCACCTGCAGTCCCAGCTACTTGGGAGGCTGAGGCAGGAGAATGGCGTGAACCTGGGAGGCGGAGCTTGCAGTCAGCCGAGATCGCGCCACTGCACTCCAGCCTGTCTCCAGGGCGACAGAGCGAGAGTCCGTCTCAAAAAAAAAAAAGAATAAAAATAAAAAATAAAAATAAAAATAAAAATAACAAGACTCTATAGGAATGACTGATAAACCAGAATTAAAGCTCAAAGTCACGACAAGGGTGCCAAAGGGAAACACTTGTATGGTATATTTTTCCCTAATCTTCAAAATGACTGCTCCATCATTTATGGTTTAGGATGTTTGGGTTGTATGTTCTGGGAGTAGAGAGCTGGAAAGAAGGGGCAAGTTGTTAATTTTTCATACTGATGGGGTAGCACATGGTAGAAAAAGTAAAAAGCCAAAATCCTGAAAAAGTTTCACACACATAGACAAAATGAGACAGCAAACTTGTGAATCGAGCATGATTTGGCATCTTTAAATGCACAGCCAATTCCCTTCTAGTGCCAAAGCCAATGGCTTCTCCTGTAGATAAAATGGCACGGTTCCTGAAAAAGCCCTGGACGCTGTTTCCCCACAATCCTATAATCTGTCAGAAGACAGAAAACAAAAAGAAGGCTGTGCAAGCCAGAAAAAGCAAATTATAACCAACACAGAGCCAACACTTTACTTCAGACAGAAGGAGCTTTTCTATGCATCTTTGGAAAGGAAGAGACAAAAGAAGCTTACCATTGCTCAAATAATCAAGGCAAACAATAAAACAATTTAACCAAACACCATCTGGGATTAGCATTCAATGCAATAGCCTCCCTTCTCACTTCTTATTCATAGCCTTAAGGAATACTAACATCACATAAAAAAGAGTTGAATGCCACAATATACAAAGAACTCTTATAACTAAATAAGAGGAAGACAAATAACCAAAGGGGAAAATATTCAAAGAATATGAGATAGTAAATCACAGAAGAAATACATAAAGTCAAAAATTATATATATATTCCATTTTGTTAGGTAGTGGTGGAAAGTGCCTTCTCCATACAGTCCTAAAGGCATTTTGTCTTGATAGTACTGCCAACTGCAAGCTTCCAGAGAAACTTGGGCTATTTTGAATGAAAAAAATAATGATAAAGATGTCAAGCATAAGTAATACATTCCTAAAAATATTTAGAAGTTTTATGAAATACCTAATCTAGGAAGGAAACTATTCAATATAATGGATACATATAAGCTACAAATTAAATCCAAGAGAACTAAAATATGAATATAAAATGAACCTTTGCCTATGAATGTAAAACAGTTGAAGCCAATCCCTAAGCCTAGAATGAACAAAGCTGATGATGAAAGCAAATAACAGGGAGTCTTACTACAACCACAGAAATAAAACGTCTCTAAGAAAATAAAATTACTCAACTGTCTTTGCTGTGAAAGCATGTCATTCAAGGACCCTTTTAGCAGTCACCAAATGCAAATGCAAAAGCAGATAATGCCTGAGTCCAGCAAAAGCAAGTACAGTCTTCCCATCAAAGAGGAAAAGAAACCTAAGCCTTTCACTTGTCCTTGATACAAAAAGGTAAATGGATTGTGAAAGAACTCAAATTCCAGAAAAAAAGATTCCAGTCCAACCTGCATAAAGCTAAAAAAACTTCATGTTACTTTGTTCTAAAATTAGCAACACACAGGTCCCTATACTAAAAACAATATATACGATCCCAGGTGAGGTGTCAGGGTAAAGTTCCCAGCACGTCAGCAGACTATCCCATAACCATTTCAGTTTTCCCTTTTTGGCTTTTAGACAACATCCCAATTTTCCTCTATTGTTAATGTCACTTAAAAGGCTGAGAAAAATTTAGTTCAACAGATTCAAATTTCAATGTAGTTCCTAAGTACATTACAGGTAATGATGCCACTGATTCTATATTTAGACTCTGGTATGGAACAAGGAGTGTTAGTTTTGTCTAAAATGGTACCATGTCACTCTTCAAAGCCTAACTGCAACAATCACCTAATCCTGCATTAAAATGTCTTTAAGGTGTTACCTATAGCAAGTTAAAATGTTTTTTCAGTGTCTTTTGTGTGTGAGTGTTTCTATTGATTGGCTGTGATGCTATAAATATAGACACAATAAGTCACTCCCATCAGGCCTTTAAACATTCAGCAATGCAAGTACCATAAGGTGGAATTCATTCCTCATCTGAACCAAAAAGCAAAAATGGTAAAACTTTTTTTTTTTTTTTGAGGCGAAGTCTCGCTCTGTCACCCAGGCTGGAGTGCAGTGGCAAGATCTCGGATAACTGCAACCTCTGCCTCCTGGGTTCAAGCAATTCTCGTGCCTTGGCCTCCCGAGTAGCGGGAATTACAGGCGCCTGCCACCACGCCCAGCTAATTTTTTAAAATATTTTTAGTAGAGATGGGTTTTCACCATGTTGGCCAGGCTGGTTTCAAACTCCTGACGACCTTAAATGATCCACCTGCCTCAGCCTCCAAAGTGCTGGGATTACAGGAGTGAGCCACTGCACCCAGTCTGGTAAAACTCTTTTTATTTTATTTTTTTTTTTTTGAGATGGACTCTCGCTCTGTTGCCAGGCTGGAGTGCAACAGTGCAATCTCGGCTCACTGCAACCTCCCCCACCTGGGTTCAAGCGATTCTCCTGCCTCAGTCTCCCAAGTAGCTGGGACTACAGGCACGCGCCACCACACCCAGCTAATTTTTATATTTTTAGTACAAACGGGGTTTCACCATATTGGCCAGGATGGTCTCGATCTCTTGACCTCGTGATCCACCCACCTCGGCCTCCCAAAGTGCGGGATTACAGGTGTAAGCCACTGCGCCTGGCCAAAACTCTAATAATATGAACATTCTAAAGTGATCTAATAGTACTTATAAAAATATATTGCCTCCTCAAAAGGAATTTAAGGCCTCTCAATAAAAAGCATGTTGCTTATTTTCACAACATCCCAATAAAGAACTATTATTTAGCATTTATATCACACTTTAACTTGCAAAAGTGTTTTACAATTATTTTCATTAGTAGTCATGCATCACAACCACCCAACAAGCCAAAATGGTCCTGTTATCCTCATTTGACAGCTGAGAAAACTGATGTACTTTAAGAACAAGGTCAAGTCAGTCTGCTTTTCTTATAGACCAAGGGCCTAACCCTTATAAAAAGTCTCATTCGCTCACCAGTTACCTGTATTGCTCATAAAAGTAGTTAAAGCAGGTTTTTGGAAATAGGAGTCCATATAAAATAATCGTACAGGGCCGGGTGAGAGGTGGCTCATGCCTGTAATACCAGCACTTTGGGAGGCTGAGGCAGGTGGATCACATGAGGTCAGGAGTTGGAGATCAGCCTGGCCAACATGGTGAAACCCCATCTCTACTAAAAATACAAAAATTAGCTGGGCGTGGTGGCGCATGCCTGTAATCCCAGCTACTCAGGAGGCTGAGGCAGGAGAATCGCTTCAACCTGGGGCTGGGCAGAGGTTGCAGTGAGCCGAGATTGCACCATTGCACTCCAGCCTGGGCGACAGAGCAAGAGTCCGTCTCAAAATAAATAAACAAATAAAATAAAATAATGGCACAAAAACACTGAAAGATACTAATTCAACAAAAATACATAGTCAGGCTGGGTGCAGTGGCTCACGCCTATAATCCCAGCAATGGTGCGATCTCGGCTCACTGCAACCTCCCCCACCTGGGTTCAAGCGATTCTCCTGCCTCAGTCTCCCAAGTAGCTGGGACTACGGGCACGCGCCACCACACCCAGCTAATTTGTATATTTTTAGTACAGACGGGGTTTCACCATACTGGCCAGGATGGTCTCGATCTCTTGACCTCGTGATCCACCCACCTCGGCCTCCCAAAGTGCGGGATTACAGGCATGAGCCACCACGCCCGGCCTAAAAGTATTTTTTAAAAAGGCCAGGCAGCACAGTGGCTCACGCCTGTAATCCCAGCACTTTGGGAGGCCGAAGGCAGGTGGATCACCTGAGGTCAGAAGTTCAAGACCAGCCTGGCCAACATGGTGAAACCCCGTCTCTACTAAAAATACAAAAATTAAGCTGGGCGCAGTGGCATAAGCCTGTAATCCCAGCACTTTTGGGAGACTGAAGTAGGAGAATCGCTTGAACCCGGGAGGCGGAGGTTGGAAAGAGCCGAGATTGCACCATTGCACTCCAGCCTGGGCAACAAGAGCGAAACTCCACCACAAAAAATAATAATAATAATACAAAATTAGCCGGGCATGGTGGCAGGCGCCTGTAATCCCAGCCACCTGGGAGACTGAGGCAGAGAGAACTGCTTAAAACCCAGGAGGTGGAGATTGCACTGAGCTGAGATCACGCCACTGCACTCCAGCCTGGGCGATAGAGCAAGACTCCATCTCAAAAAAAAAAAAAAAAAAAAAAAAAAAAAAATATATATATATATATATATATATATATATATACACACATATATATATATACACACACACATATATGAATATAGAATTAGCCAGGCGTGCTTCCATGCGCAGGTAGTCCCAGCTACTCAGGAGGCTGAGGCAGGAGAATCACTTGAACTCGGGGCAGAGGTTGCAGTGAGCCAAGATCACGCCACTGCACTCCAGCCTGGGCAAGAGACTGAGACTCCATCTTGGGGGGAAAAAAAAAACATATTCAACTGGAATACAAACAGGTAAGTACTTAGTTACAATGACACAGGAAGTTTTCAAGGAAACTGGGTGCCAAAACCTGTTACCAAACAAAAACAAAAAAAATGATCAAATGTTTCTTCATCTTATTTTTCCCCCTCAATCAACTACAATTAGACTTCTATTTCCACCACTCCAATGAACGGTTCTACTGGAAGTCACCAATAATCCCTAGGTTGTCAAATCCTGTGAGTACTTCTCTGTTACGTGACCTCTATATAGCATTCAACAGAGCTCACCACTCCGTTCTATTTTTTTTTTTTTTTTGAGAAAGTGTCTAGCTCTGTCACATGGAGTGCAGTGGTGCAATTAGGCCGGAGTGCAGTGGCACAATCACCACTTACTGCAGCCTCAACCTTCCAGACTCAAGCAATTCTCCCACCTCAGCCTCCTGAATACCTGGGACTGCCATAGGCATGTGCCACCACAAACAGCTAATTTTCTATTTTTTGTAGACACAGGATCTTACTATGTTACCCAGGCTGACCACTCCCTTCTTGAAACACTTCTTTACTTGCCTTCTAAAACATCACTTTCTGGGTTTTCCACCTATCTCACTAGCTATTCCTTCTCTTTCAAATTGCTCTTCTCTAGCCACAAACCATCTGTAGATGACCTCCTGATTAAATACCATGACTTCAAATTCTATCTATTTCAGCTCAGAATTCTCCTAGGAATGCCAGGCATTTCTATCCAACTGCCTATCTAATTTCTCCATTTGGATACCTAACAAGTATCTCAAACTTGGCAGGACCAAAAGAGAATTTTTTTTTTTTTTTTTTTTGAGACGGAGTCTTGCTCTGTCGCCCAGGCTGGAGTGCAGTGGCACAATCTCGGCTCACTACAAGCTCTGCCTCCCAGGTTCATGCCATTCTCCTGCCTCAGCCTCCCAAGTAGCTGGGACTACAGGCGCCTGCCACCACACCCAGCTCATTTTTTGTATTTTTAGCAGAGACAGGGTTTCACCGTGTTAGCCAGGATGGTCTCGATCTCCTAACCTCATGATCCACCCGCCTCGGCCTCCCAAAGTGCTGGGATTAAAGGCGTGAGCCACCACGCCCGGCCGAGAATTTTTTTTTTTTTTTTAATTTTAGACAAGTTATCACTCTGTTGCCAAGGCTGAAGTGCAATGGCACAATCACAGCTCACTGCAACCTCCACCCCCTGGGCTCAAGCCATCCTCCCACCTCAGCCCCTCAAGTAGTTGGGACCACAGGCATGTACTACCACACCTGGCTAATTTTCTTATTTTTTTGTAGACACAGGGTCTCTCTATCTTGCCGAGGCTCGTCTGAAACTCCTGGGCTCAGGTGATCCTCTTGTCTCAGACCCCCAAAGTGCTGGGTTACAGGCATGAGCCACCACTGTCCAAGAATTTTTGACAATTATATTCTGCTAGTCTTACCCATATCAATTAACAGCAACAACCATTTACCTCCCTGGTTGCTCCAGTCAATAATATAGAAGTTATCCATGATTCCTTATTACCTCACTTCCAAAGGTGTAACAATCCCAAAGCAAGCCCTGTCAACTTCACTTCCAAAAGATATGCCAAATCTGTCATCTTTCCACAGCTTTTATACCATCACCCCAGTCCAAGTTACCATAAAGTCTCATTTGATTCGTGCAAAGAGCCTTGTTACTGGTCTCCTTGCTTCCTTCTACAACCCATTTCTTTTTGAGGTGGAGTTTCGCTCTTGTTGACCAAGCTGGATTGCAATGGCATGATCTCAGCTCACCGCAACCCAGGTTCAAGCAATTCTCCTGCCTCAGCCTCCCGAGTAGCTGGGATTACAGGCATGTGCCACCACGCCCAGCTAATTTTGTATTTTTAGTAGAGATGGGGTTTCTCCATGTTGGTCTGGCTGGTCTCGAACTCCTGACCTCGGTGATCCGCCCGCCTTGGCCTCCCAAAGTGCTGGGATTACAGGCGTGAACCACTGTGCCCGCACTACAATCCATTTCTAACATAGCAACTGAACATTCTTTCTAGTCACAAATCGACTCATATCATACTCGTACTTAAAAACTCCAAAGGAGGCTGGGTGCAGTGGCTCACGCCTGAAATCCCAGCACTTTGGGAGGCCAAAGCAGGTGAATTGCCTGAGCTTAGGAGTTTGAGAACAGACTGGGCAACATGGTGAAATCTGGTCTCTACCAAAAATACAAAAAAAATTAGCCGGACGTAGAGGCGTGCACCTATGGTCCCAGCTACTTGAGAGGCTGGGGTGGGAGGATCCCTTAGCCCGGTGGTGGAGGTTACGGGGAACCAAGATTGCACCACTGCACTCCAACCTAGGTGACAGAGTGAGATCCCGTCTCAAAAAAAAAAAAAAAAAAAAAACACTCCAAAGGAAACGAAACACCTTACCCTAGCTTCCAAATCTCACTGTCACCTAGCCTCTGCCTTTGTCATCTCGTCATTCTCTCCCTCATTCACCGTATTCAAACAACACTGGCCTGATTTCTGTTCCTTCAACATACCAAGCTCATTCCTCCTTAGGTGTTCTGCACTATAATGTTTGATCTGCTGATCTTCATATACTCCTAGATCTTAAATGCCATATCCTTAGAGAGATATTCTCCCAATATAAAGTAGCTATCAATTCATACTATCACATCCTCTATTTTTCTGTACAGTGTTTATCATTAACTGATTTTTATTTATTTTGTTTTATTTTTGAGATGGAGTCTCGCTCTGTCTCGCAGGCTGGAATGCAGTGGCGCGATCTTGGCTCATTGCAACCTCTGCCTCCTGGGTTCAAGAATTCTCCTGCCTCAGCCTCCCAAGTAGCTGGGATTACAGGCACCCACCACCATGCCCGCCTAATTTTTGTATAAAAGTAGAGATGGGGTTTTGTCATGTTGGCCAGGCTGGTCTTGAACTCCTGGCCTCAAGTGATCTGCCCACCTCGGCCTCCCAAAGTGCTGGGATTACCGTGCCCGGCCATTAACTGTTTTTTTTGTTGTTTTTTTGAGACTGAGTCTTGCTCTGTAGCCCAGGCTGGAGTGCAGTGGCACGATCTTGGCTCCCTGCAACCTCTGCCTGCCGGTTCAAGCGATTCTCCTGCCTCAGCCTCCTGAATAGCTGGGACTACAGGCTCATGCCACCACACCCAGCTAATTTTTGGTATTTTTAGTAGAGACAGGGTTTCACCATGTTGGCCAGGCTTGTCTCGAACTCCAGACCTCAAGTGATCTGCCTGCCTCGGCCTCCTAAAGTGCTGGGTTTACAGGCATAAGCCACCCACGCCCGGCCATTAACTGATTTTTAAAAAGCTGTCTGTTGCTGGACAGGTTGGCTCACGCCTGTAATCCCAACACTTTGGGAGGCCGAGGCCAGTGGATCACCTAAGGTCAGGAGTTCATGACCAGCCTGACTAACATGGTGAAACCCTGTCTCTACTAAACACAAAAAAAACAGCCAGGCGTGGTGGTGCATGCTTGTAATCTGAGCTGCTTGGGAGGCTGAGACAGGAGAATCGCTTATACCTGGGAGGCAGAGGTTGTGGTGAGCCAAGATGGCGCCATTGCACTCCAGCCTGGGCAACAAGAGCAGAACTCCGTCTCAAAAAAAAAAAAAAAAAAAAAATCTGTTTGTTGTCTGTTTGCCCTCATTGGAATGTAAGCTCCATAACAGCAGGGACTTTGTCTATCTTGTTTTGTGTACTGCCAATGCTGAAAACATAGTAGAAACTCAATACATTTGGCAGGCTTAGTTGTTAGGTGCTGAAGTTAAAAAGGTGAAAAAGGGCCAGGCACTCACCACCTGTAATCCCAGCACTTTGCGAGGCTGAGGTGGGAAGATCACTTGAGGCCAGGAGCTTGAGACCAGCATTGGCAATATAGCAAGACCTTGTCTTTGCCAAAAAAATTTTTTTTTTCATTAGCCAGGCACAGTGGCTAGTGTCTATTGTCCTAGCTACTTGGGAGGCTGACACGAGAGGATCATTTAGGCCCAGGAGTTTGAGGTTGCAGTGAGCTATAACAGCACCACTATACTCTAGCCTGGTGGAGAATTAAACTCTGTCTCAAAAAAAGAAAAAAACAGCCTGGACAACATATTGAAACCCCATCTCCACAAAAAATTTTAAAAATTAACTTGCACGCTGGCTTGCATCTGTAGTCCTAGCTACTTGGGAGGCTGAGGCAGGAGGATTGCTTGAGCCCAAGACTTTAGAAGCTGCAGTGAGCTATGACAGTGCCATGGCACTCCAAGCCTGGGTAACACAGTGAGATCTTGTCTATTGAAAAAAAAAGAAAAAGTGAAAAAGGAATAACCCCTACCTACAAAAAGCTCACAATCCAGATGAGGAAACAGAATAGCAATTAAATAATAAATGTAAGGAACATGCATTCTATTTAATAGAATGAGATGCTGTCATTTAAACAATGTAAAAAATAATAATAAAGGTAATGTTAGCAGGATAGTAAAATGTCAGAGTAGCCCATCAGCAAGAGTGATTAATACTGCCTTGGGAACAGGGAAGACTTCACAGAAGAAATTAACTATGAGCTAAATCCTAAAGCTTAATTAGGAGAGTCTTAGTTATGTTTGTTCAGATAATTGTTTATGTTTGTCTATTTTGGAAGAAATGTCCTTGGAAGAAAAGAAAATAGCTTGAGCAAAAATATAATAAAGTGAGGAAGGAAGATGGAATCAAGCATCTGCTATGTATCAGGCACTAGGGTAATGAAGGGCTTTAAAGGGAAAGGGCATAAGTAGTCTTACAACTTAGGAAGATCATTCTTGTGGCAGTGTGGTGGACAGACTAGAGGGGTGATAAGCCTTGAGACATGCAGATTAGTTAGGAGGCTACTGTAACTGTCAGAGTTAAGAAATAAAAAAGGTCTCATCCAAGAATTTGGCAATATGGTATAAATGAAAAAATGCAGATTTAGGAGAACTTCAACATTAAAATCAGACCTGGGACCAACCAGATATGTCGGATAAGGGGTAAGGAGAAATCAAGATCAAATCCAATTTTTTTTTTTTTTTTTTTTTTTTTTTTTTTTGAGACAGAGTTTCACTCTTGTTGCCCAGGCTGGAGTGCAATGGTGCGATCTCGGCTCACAGCAACCTCCGCCTCCCGGGTTCAAGCAATTCTCCTGCCGCAGCCTCCTGAGTAGCTAGGTAAGAGGGAAACCTTGTCTCAAAAAAACAAAGTGAGCTGGGCACAGAGGCTCACACCTGCAACCCCAGCAGTTTGGGAGGCTGTGGTGACCAGATCACTTGATCCCAGGAGTTCACGACCACCCTGGGCAACATGGCAAAACCCCATCTCTAAAAAAAAATACCCACAAAAAATTAGCCAGGCATGGTGGCGCACCATCTGTAGTGCCAGCTACTCAAGAGGCTTAGGTGGGAGGATCGCTTGAGCCCAAAGGCATAGGTTGCAGTGAACTGTGATTGTGCCACTGCACTCCAGCCTGAGCTACAGAGAAGACTCTGTCACGAAAAAAAAAAAACAAAAAACATACAACTGCATTTCTAAGTAAAATAAATTCAAAAGGATTTAAATTTTCTAGACTTTTCACTTTTAATTATGTAAAATGTATTAAAAAAGAAAATTAAGCTAAAAATTCAAATGTATTTAGGGAATTACATTTCTGGAATTAGTCTTTAAAGTCTCTCTTCTCTGCCCCAGACAAAAATAACATTCTTTTATTGTTCAGTTCTAAGAGTTCTCATAAATGCATAGTTGTGTAACCACAACTACAATCAAAATACGGAACAGTCATGTCACCCCCAAAAAATTTCCTCATACTACCTCTTTGCAGTCAACTCTCTACTTTTTTTTTTTTTTAATTGAGACGGAGTCTCGCTCTATCACCGGGCTGAAGTGCAGTATGGCGCCATCTCGGCTCACTGCAACCTCCGACTCCCGGGTTCAAGCGACTGTCCTGCCTCAGCGTCCCGAGTAGCTGGGACTACAGGTGCGCGCCACCATGCCCGGCTAATTTTTGTATTTTTAGTAGAGATGGGATTTCACTACATTGGCCAGGCTGATCTCGAACTCCTGACCTCGAGATCTGCCCGCCTCGGCCTCCCAAAGTGCTGGGATTACAGGCGTGAGCCATCACGCTTGGCCACCCTCTCTCTACTCTTTTTTTTTTTTTGAGACGTGGTTTCACTCTTGTTGCCTCAGCTGGAGTGCAATGGCGCCATCTTGGCTCACCGCAACCTCCGCCTCCCGGGTTCAAGCTGCGCCACCACGCCCAGCTAATTTTGTATTTTTAGTAGAGACAGGGTTTCTCCATGTTGCTCAGGCTGGTCTCAAACTCCCGACCTCAGGTGATCCGCCCCAACTCGGCCTCCCAAAGTGCTGGGATTACAGGCATAAACCACTGCGCCCGGCCCACTGTCTCTCTAGTCTTACCCAAAGGCAATCACTGATCTGTTCCCCACTGTCCTTATAGTTGAGTTTTCCCCAGAACATCATACAAATGCAATCATACAGACCATAGCCTTTTGAGTTTTGTTTCTTTTACTAAGCATAATACCAATGAGTTTCATTCATGTTATTGCATATATGAATAGTTCCTTTTTATTGCTGAGTAGTATTCCATTGTGTAGATACATTAGTTTGTTTATCCATTCCCCAGCTGAGAGTCATTCAGGTTGTTTCCAGTTTGTGGTGACTATAAATAAAGCTGCTGTAAACAGTCACATACAAGTTTTTTTGTGAACACAGATTTTTATTTCACTTGGATAAATACTTAGGTCATTTTTTTTAAATTTTTTTTTTTGAGACCGAGTCTCACTCTGTCTCCCAAGCTGGAGTTGGAGTGCAGTGGCGCGATCTCGGCTCACTGCAACCTTCACCTCCCAGGTTCAAGAAATTCTCCTGCCTCAGCCTCCCGAGTAGCCGGGACTACAGGCGCAAGCCACCATGCCTGGCTAATTTTTTGTATTTTTAGTAGAGATGAGGTTTCACTGTGTTAACCAGGATAGTCTCCATCTCCTGACCTCGTGATCCACCCACCTCGGCCTCCCAAAGTGCTGGGATTACAGGAGTAAGCCACTTCGCCCAGCCTCTTTATACATTCTTTTTTTTTTTTTTTTTTGAGAGCGTGTCTCACTCTGTTGCCCAGGCTGGAGTGCAGTGGCGCGATCTTGGCTCACCACAAGCTCCGCCTCCCAGGTTTACGCCATTCTCCTACCTCGGCCTCCCAAGCAGCTGGGACTACAGGTGCCCGCAACCACGCCTGGCTAATTCTTTGTTTTTTAGTAGAGAAGCGGTTTCACCGTGTTAGCCGGGATGGTCTTGATCTCCCAACCTCGTGATCCAGCTGCCTCGGTCTCCCAAAGTGCTGGGATTACAGGTGTGAGCCACCACACCCGGCCTATACATTCTTAATATGAGCTGTATGTCTGATACATAATTGGCGAACATTTCTCCCAGTGTGTTGCTTATATTTTCATCTACTTGACAGTCTTCTGCAAAGCAAAAGTTTTTAATTTTGATGAAATCCAATTTATCAACTTTTTATTTTTATGGATCTTGCTTTTGGTGTCATATCTAAGAACTCTTTGCCTAACTCAATGTAATAAGGATTTTCTCTTATCTTCTTTTAAATCTCATAGTTTAGGCCGGGCATGGTGGCTAACACCTGTAGTCCCAGCACTGTGGAAGGCTGAGGTAAGCAGATGGCTTGAGCCCAGGAGTTTGAGACCAGCCTGGGCAACATGGCAAAACCCCATCTCTATTAAAAAAAAAATAAAATAAAATAAAGTTAAAATAAAATAATAAAAATATTTTATAATTTTACAAATTACATTTAGGTGTAATTGTTGAGATGACTATTCTTTCTCCACTGAATTGCCTTTGCACCTCGGTCAAATATCAATAGCCATACTTAATAGTGTGAATGTTTCTTTTTTTTTTTTTTTTTTTTTTTGAGACGGAGTCTCGCTCTGTCACCTTGGCTGGAATGTAGTGGAATGGTCTCGGCCACTGCAACCTCTGCCTCCTGGGTTCAAGTGATTCTCCTGCCTCAGCCTCCTGAGTAGCTGGGACTACAGGTGCTCACCACCATGCCCCACTAATTTTTGTATTTTTAGTAGAGATGGGGTTTCACCATGTTGGCCAAGCTGGTCTCAAACTCCTGACCTCAAGTGATCCCCCACCTCGACCTCCCAAAGTGCTGGGATTACAGGCATAAGCCACCGTGCCCGGCCTGAATCTATGTCTGAACCTCTGTTCTGTTCATTGATCTATGTATCTATCCTTCTGCCAATACCACACTGTCTTGATTACTGTAGCTCTTTATTAAGTCTTGAAATCAGATAGTATGAGTCTTCCAACTCTGTTGTCCTTTTTCAAAATTGTTTTGGCTATTTTAGTCCCTTTGCCTTTCCATATAAATTTTAGAATTAGCTTGTCAAAGGCTTTTTTTTTTTTTTTTTTTTGATACAGGGTCTCACTCTGTCACCCAGGCTGGAGTGCAGTGTTGCGATCTTGGTTCACTGCAACCTCCGCCTTCTGGGCTCAAGCAATCCTACTGCCTCAGCCTCCAAAGTACCTGGGATTACAGGTGTGAGCAACTATGCCAGGCTAATTTTTGTATTTTTTTGTAGAGATGGGATTTCACCATGTTTCCCAGGCTGGTCTCGAACCCTGGGAACTCCTAGGCTCAAGCAATACACCCACCTCTGCCTCCCAAAGTGCTGAGATTACAGGCATGAACCACCATGCCTGACCATGTCAAAGACTTTTTAAACTTTCCCACAAAGTGTCTACTTTTAAGTAGGGGTTAGCTTCCTAGATTTACTTAAAGAAAAAAACAATGCTGGGCCGAGTGCAGTGGCTCACGCCTGTAATCCCAGCACTTTGGGAGGCCGAGGAGGGCAGATCACAAGGTGATGAGATCGAGACCATCCTGGCTAACACGGTGAAACCCCGTCTCAACTAAAAATACAAAAAAATTAGCCAGGCGTGGTGGCAGGCACCTGTAGTCCCAGCAACTCAGGAGGCTGAGGCAGAAGAAAGGCATGAACCCGGGAGGCGGAGCTTGCCGTGAGCCGAGATCGCGCCACTGCACTCCAGCCTGGGCAACACAGCAAGACTCCATCTCAAAAAAAATAAAATAAAAATAAAAAATAATAAAGAAAAAAACAATGGAGGTATTAGGAGGATTAGAAATCTAATATCTATTTTTCAAGATTCTAAAGTTTTACTTGCACAGCTGTTCTGAGATTTCCTGCAGTTGTCCAGAAGAAAAGAAAAATGTTTTATTTAAAGATATGTATTATTGTTTAGTACAACAGAGTTGAAAACCCATTTTTCATAAAAGACAAGCTATTCATTCCAAACAGATAAAATGTTAAGCTTCTTGCACTTTACAAACAATGGTCCCTCTGCTGCCAATGATCTTCCTCTGACTCTTCACCTAAATCGTACACATCCTTCAGGTCTTACTTTGGACAATCCTCCATGCACAAGCCTTCCTTGATTCTCCCCAAATATGGGTTAAGGGTTAACATATTTCCATTACACCCTAAAGACCTCTATCATCACTCTTAACTCTATAATTGAGAGTTAACTTGTTTCTCCCATCAGGACATAAACTCTGGGTATGAAGGAGAAAACACTAAATATTTACATTTTAGCTCCTAGCAGAGACAGAGAAATACATAAGTCTGTTTTGAATGACCAATTGCTTTGAATAACAGCAAGAAGGGGGAGAAGTTGAAAATAGGATGTCCTACCTTGCAAACAAGCTACAAAAAGAATCCTCCAAAAAAGTGGAAAGTGATACCAGTTAAAAAAGAAAGGCTGGGCACAGTGGCTCACACCTAAAATCCTAGCACTTTGGGAGGCTGAGCCAGGAGGATCACTTGAGGCCAGGATTTTGAGACCACCCTGAGCAACACAGTTAAGACTCTGTCTCTATTAAAAAAAAAAAAAAAAAAAAAAAAGGAAAGGGGCCAGGCACGGTGACTCAGGCCTGTAATCCCAGCACTTTGGGAGGCTGAGGCAGGCGGATAACAAGGTCAGGAGTTCGAGACCTGGTGAAACCTGGTCTCAACTAAAAATACAAAAAATTAGCCAGGCATGGTGGCACGCGCCTGTAGTCCCAGCTACTTGGGAGGCTGAGGCAGGAGAATACCTTGAACCCAGGAAGTGGAGGTTGCAGTGAGCTGAGATGGCCCCACTGCACTCCAGCCTGGGCAACAGAGGGAGACTCCCTCTCAAAAAAATAAATAAATAAATAAGTTCCACTGGGCATGGTGGCTCATGCCTGTTATCCCAGTATTTTGGGAGGCCGAAGCAGGTGCATCACCTGAGGTCAGGAGTTCGAGACTACCCTGGCCAACATGGTGAAACCCCGTCTCTACTAAAAATACAAAAATTAGCTAGGCGTGGTGGTGTGCGCCTGTAGTCCCAGCTACTTGGGAGAGGCAGGAGAATTCCTTGAACCCAGGAGACTGAGGTTGCAGTCAGCTGAGATCGTGCCACTGTACTCCAGCCTGGGCAACAGAGTGAGACTTTGTCTCAAAAAAAAAAAAAAAAAAAAGAAGTTCACAGAAAAAAAAAATTGAAAAATAAGGAAAAGGACTAGCACTGTACTATGAAGTAGTAGTTGTCATGCCACATTCCTGCAAAACTAATCTCTCAAAAAGATACGAATGAACAACATATAAAGCAACTGAAGCTTGGACTCACAGAGTCATCAAGCTGACTTTCACTACTAATATGCTAATGACTACTAAATCTGTATCTCCCTTCTGAACCTTTCTACTCAAGACCTAGGTATATCTGGAAGCCTATTGGATTTCCCAGATACCTCAAATCCTATATACCAAAATCAAACTTATTTCCTTCAAATGTAATACCCTCTTTTACTCTTGTATTCCGTAACTTGGTTAATGACATCACATTCCACTTAGTTGTCCATGCCAGCAATTTCAACTCCATCTTTGACAACTCCTTCTTCTTTACCCGTCCTCCAATATAAAGTCAATGAGATCCTTTTAGTTACTCTCCTAAAAAGTTCTCCAATCAGTCTACAATTCCACCATGACTACTGTACCTGATTTCGTCAATCTCTCAAGTCATCACACCATTCTCCCAACCAACTAGTCTCCCTACAATCAATTGTGCCTTTTAAAGTCTAACTTCTATACTGTCAACAGAGTTACTTCTACTTAAATAGTGATCTAAACATGTTCCTTACCTGGTTTAAAAACTCTTCCATGACTCCTCAGCACCTACAAAATAAAATTCAGACCCCTTACTAAGGTCATCCATAACTGGATTCCAACCCATCTCTCACCTCACTTTCTTCTACTCCTTCCTCATACCCCATGATCCTGCCACATTAAACTAGTCCACATGTCCATACTTCTTGCACATCTGTATCTTTGTACAAGCTATTTTCTGCACTTCAAACAGTAACTTTTCCAATCCTTTTTTTTGCTGACTCAGCCAAATTGTATTCCTCCTTCAAGACCCAACTGACTCTTTCTCTAGGAAGTCTTCTCTAACTTTCCCCTCCCACTACAAGGCAGAACTAATGTTCCCATAGCACTTAGTACAGATCTCTATTACAGCACTTATTGTACTGACTCAGAACTATTTATGTGTTGGTCTCTAATTAAAATGTGGCTGGTCCGAGTGCAGTAGTGTTTACAAGTAATTGATATAAGAAGTTACAAATTTCTTTGTTGCTTCTTCATTCCCACTGCTTCACTTGGCTAGCCTTAAAAAAAAAGAAAAAAAGAAAAAAAAAAAGTCAATTTTTTTTTTTTTTCCCTGAGATGGAATCTCACCCTGTTGCCCAGGCTGGAGTGCAATGGCGTGACCTCAGCTCACTGCAACCTATGCCTCCCAGGTTGAAACGATTCTCCTGCCTCAGCCTGCTGAGCAGCTGGGATTACAGGCGCCCACCACTACACTCAGCTAATTTTGTGTGTGTGTGTGTGTGTGTGTGTGTGTGTGTGTGTGTGTGATGGAGTCACGCTCTATCGCCCAGGCTAGAGTGCAGTGGCGTGATCTCAGCTCACTGCAACTTTCACCTCCCGGGTTCAAGCAATTCTCAATCCTAGCCTCCTGAGTAGCTGGGATTACAGGCACCTGCCACCACGCCTGGCTAATTTTTAGTAGAGACGGGGTCTCACCATCTTGGCCAGGATGGTATTGAACTCCTGACCTCATGATCCGCCCACCTCGGCCTCCCAAAGTGCTGGGATTACAGGTGTAAGCCACTGCATCTGGCCAACAGTGAACTCTTTAAAAATGATTTTGTCATTTATATTTTAATTCCCTCCCAGCGCCTAGTACAAGACATAACACATGGTAGACACTTAAATATTTGCTGAAGTTGACTGCTGAAAGGATCAACTCCAACATTTTTTCAATGAGGCCACAGAATCCAAAAAGCTTACGATTCAAGCCTAGTTATGGCTTACTGGTAGAAAAAAAGACATTACACAAATTCGCAAATTGATACTTATGTTGTTTCTAGATTTGCATATTTTTCCCAACTAGTTTCAGGGTTAGTTCCCAGAAAATTGGTAACCAAGTAAATCTTTTAAACAAAACAGTTTTTTGTTGTTGTTTTAAATAGGGTCTCACTCTGTCGCCCAGGCTGGAGTGCAATAGCGAGTTTACAGCTCAGATTACTGCTCACTACATCCTTCATCTCTTGTACTCAAGTGATCCTCCCACCTCAGCCTCCCAAGTACCTGGGACTATAGGTGCATGCCACCACACCCGGCTCATTTTTTTTTATTTTTTTGTAAAGAGAGGGTTTCACCTTATTGCCCAGGCTGGTCTGGAACTCCTGGGCTCAGGTGATCCTCCTGCCTAGGCCTCCCAAAGTGCTGATATTACAGGCATGAACCACCATGCCAACTTAAATCACTTCTTATTTTTATTATATATTTTTTTCAGAGTCTCCCTCTTGTTGTTGCCCGGGCTGGAGTGCAGTGGCATGATCTCGGCTCACTGAGACCTCCGCCTCCCGTGTTCAAACAATTCTCCTGCCTCAGCCTCTCAGGTAGCTGGGATTACAGGCGTCCACCACCACACCCAGCTAATTTGTGTGTTTTTAGAAGAGATGGGGTTTCACCATATTGGCCAGGCTGGTCTCAAACCCCTGACCTTGTGATCCACCCGCCTCGGCCTCCCAAAGTGCTGGGATTACAGGCATAAGCCACCGCGCCTGGCCCTAAATCACTTCTTAAATGACCTATATTTTCCCATGAAATAGTATGATCCAGTGTTGTACCAAACCACCATTTAATAATTGAGCCAGCATACGCCTGTAATCCCAGCACTTTGGGAGGCCATGAGGCGGGCTTGTAGCAGGACAAGCCACAGACAAAACCCCTCAGATGCTGAGTTAAAGAAGGAAGGGCTTTATTCGGCCGGGAGCTTCGGCAAGACTCACGTCTCCAACAACCGAGCTCCCCAAGTGAGCAATTCCTGTCCCTTTTAAGGGATCACAACTCTAAGGGGGTCTGCGTGAGAGGGTCGTGATCGATTGAGCAAGCAGGGGGTACGTGACTGGGGGCTGCATGCACCAGTAATTGGAACGGAACAGAACAGGATGGGGATTTTCACAGTGCTTTTCTATACAATGTCTGTAATCTATAGATAACATAACCTATTAGGTCAGGGGTCGATCTTTAACTACCAGGCCCAGGGTGTGGCGCCGGGCTGTCTACTGGTGGATTTCGTTTCTGCCTTTTAGTTTTTACTTCTTTCTTTGGAGGCAGATATTGGGCATAAGACCCATATTGGGCATAAGAGGGGTGGGCTCCTCCCTTAAGCTGATCACCTGAGGTCAGGAGTTCGAGACCAGCCCAGCCAACATGGCAAAACTCCATCTCTACTAAAAGTACAAAAATTAGCCAGGCATAGTGGCGGGCACCTGTAATCCCAGCTACTCAGGAGGATAAGGCAGGAGAAGCTTGAACCCGGGCAGTGGAGGCTGCAGTGAGCCAAGATCGCACCCCTGCACTCCAGCCTGGGTGACAAGAGTGAGACTCCATCTCAAAAAGTAAATAAATAAATACATAAATTTAAAGGCCAGGTGCGGTGGCTCACGCCTGTAATCCCTGCACTTTGGAAGGCTGAGACGGGTGGATCACGAGGTCAGGAGATCGAGACCATCCTGGCTAACACAGTGAAACCTCGTGTCTACTAAAAACACAAAAAATTAGCTGGGTGTGTTGGTGGGCGCCTGTAGTCCTAGCTACTAGGGAGGCTGAGGCAGGAGAATGGCGTGAACCCGGGAGGCAGAGCTTGCAGTGAGCCGAGATCGAGCCACTGCACTCCAGCCTGGGCGACCGAGGGAGACTCCGTCTCAAAAAAAAAAAAAATAAATAAATAAATTTTTAAAAAAATTGAGCCAGCAAATCTGATTACCCCTCCTTGTATTAAATGCATCTGTAATAAAGAAAATTTAGTATTTTTCTTGTTAAATTGTAGTCCTTTTCACTATAAGTCACAGAGCTTTGACAGGGAAACAATCGAGACCCTGAGAGGTAATAAGACAGAAATAGATATTAAATACTTCTTTTTGTTTTTTTTTTTTTGTTTTTTGAGACGGAGTCTCGCTCGCTGTTTCGCCCAGGGTGGAGTGCCATGGCATGAGCTCGGCTCATTACCACCTCCACCTCCTGGATTCAAGCGATTCTCCCGCCTCAGTCTCCTAAGTAACTGGGATTACAGGCGGGTGCCACCATGCCCAGCTAATCTTTGTATTTTTAGCAGAGACGGGGTTTCACTTTGTTTGCCAGGCTGGTCTTGAATTCCTGACCTCAAATGATCCACCCACCTCGGCCTCCCAAAGTGCTAGGATTACAGGAGTGAGCCAACATGTCCGACCAATAATTTTGTTTTTAAATAGAATGTTTTTAGGCCGGATGCAGTGGCTGACGCCTGTAATCCCAGCACTTTGGGAGGTAGAGGCGGGTGGAACATTTGAGGTCAGGAGTTCGAGACCAGACTGGCCAGCATGGTGAAACACCATTTCTACTAAAAATACAAAAATTATCCGGGCAGTAGTGCCATGCCTGTAATCCCAGCTACTCAGGAGGCTGAAGCAGGAGAACTGCTTGAAGCAGGAGAACTGCTTGAGCCAGGGAGGCAGAGGTTGCGCTGAGCCAAGATGGCGCCACTGCACTCCAGTCTGGGCGACAGAGTGAGACCCTGTCTCAAAAAAACAACAAATAGGCCGGGCGCGGTGGCTCACGCCTGTAATCCCAACACTTTGGGAGGCCGAGGTAGGCAGATCACAAGGTCAGGAGATCGAGACCATCCTGGCTAACACGGTGAAACCTCATCTCTACTAAAAATACAAAAAATTAGCCGGGCGTGGTGACGGGCACCTGTAGTCCCAGCTACTCAGGAGGCGGAGGCAGGAGAATGGCGTGAACCTTGGAGGCGGAGCTTATAGTGAGCCGAGATCGCGTCACTGCACTCCAGTCTGGGCGACAGAGACTCCATCTCAAAATAAATAAATAAATAAATAGAATTTAAAAACAAAAAAAAGATTTTTGGCTGGGCGCGGTGGCTCACACCTGCAATCCCAGCACTTTGGGAGGCCGAGGCAGGCGGATCACCTGAGGTCGGCAGTTCGAGACTAGCCTGGCCAACATGGTGAAACGTCATCTCTACTAAAAATACAAAAATCAGCCAGGTATGGTGGTACGCGCCTGTAATCCCAGCTACTCAGGAGGCTGAGACCAGAGAATCACTTGAACACAGGAGGCAGACGTTGCAATCAGCTGAGATCTCGCCATTGCACTCCAGCCTGGGCAACAGAGTGAAACTTGGTATCAAAAAAAATAAAATAAGGCCGGGCATGGTGGCTCATGCCTGTAATCCCAGCACTTTGGGAGGCTGAGTCGGGCAGATCACAAGGTCAGGAGATCGACACCATCCTGGCTAACACGGTGAAACCCCGTCTCTACTAAAAATATGAAAAGAAATTAGCCAGGCATGGTGGCGGGTGCCTGTAGTTCCAGCTACTAGGGAGGCTGAGGCAGGAGAATGGCGAGAACCCGGGAGGCGGAGCTTGCAGTGAGCCGAGATCGCGCCACTGCAATCCAGTCTGGGCAACAGAGCAGGACTCCGTCTCAAAAAATAATAATAATGATAATAATAAGCCAATAAATATTTATTTTAGCCCCTGGTATGTCAGAGATTCACAGGAAGTCCTTAAATCTCCAAAGTTCCTCTCCCACTTTAGAAAAACTTCTCACACGAAAGGCAATCAAGATACTAGCCCACCCCTTTTTCTTCCCCAGGGAAAGAAATCCTCATTTTGTAAGGTCATTTACTACATAAAAGTAACCACAAGTAGGAAAGATAACAGAAGGAGAGGAGGACAGGAAATTCTCATCACAGCTGAACAAACCTCTATTATTTTAACATAACATGGGTGGCATTTATGCGCTTATTTGAACTGATGGAAATTTCCAGTAGGGGGAAAAATGCATTACCAACATTAAAAATAAATGTCCAACTATTAAAAAATAAAATAAGATAGCTATGCCCAGCTTTAACATTTTATACTCTACTCCATGTAGTAGTCAAACATGGAATAAATTTCTGTAATGACCTATCACAATAGTAACAAATGCTTTATTTTTAAAACTATTATCTTAAACAAAGTATTATAGACAAATAATCTATTGGGACGGTCAAGGAACTAAAGTAAAAAGGTTAAAATTATACATCACTGTGCATTTCCAGGAAAGAAAAGTGAAACACATTTTACCAGACAGAGAAGTTAAAAACAACCAGGTTCATTTTTCCCATTCCTGTAAATTCACTCCCCTTATTTGTGAATCTTCAAGAATCTAGTATAGCCCCTCCCTACCTTTACTCAGGTAAAAGACCAATCACTCATCAATTGCCAAAACGCCTTGACAGTTTAAGGTCTCAATCCTCAGAGTCAGCAAAGCTGAAGTGTCTATGTCCTTTTAAAAGGAGTCTGCATCTCTACTTTAGAAACCATTTTCTCACTGCGCTTGGTGGCTTACGCCTGTGATCCCAGCACTTTGGGAGGCCGAGGCAGGCGGATCACCTGGTTCGAAACCAGCCTGACCAAAATGGCGAAACCCCATCTCTACTAAAAATACAAAAACTAGCCGGGCATGGTGGTGGGTGCCTGTAATCGCAACTACTTGGAGGCTGAGGCAGGAGAACTGCTTGAACCCGGGAGGTGGAGGTTGCAATGAGCCGAGATTGCGCTACTGCACTCCAGCCTGGGCGACAGAACAAGACTCTGTGTCAAAACAAAATAAAATAAAAAGAACCCATTTTCTCTTTCCATAAACACATAGTTTGTCCTCTGCTTTGTCTACATTAAAAAACACGTCTCAGGAGTGTTTCTTCAGCCTCTCAGGAAAACCAAGACACCTCTTGGGCTCCTCTTCTGAGATATTCCACCTGAGAGATCCCACTGACAAGCAGGGTAACAAAAAGCAGAGCTAGAGGGCTGCCTTATGCATATCTGACCTCCAAAACAGCGACAGGTCCCCGGAGCAGCCAGAGACTCCTTTGCAAAGGAGAACTTTTTATAATTTAAAAATAATAAAATGGGCCAAGCACGGTGGTTCACGCCTGTAATCCCAGCACTTTGGGAGGCTGGGGCGGGCGGATCACCTGAGGTCAGAAGTTTGAGACCAGCCTGTCCAGCAATGGAGAAACCCCGAGTGTACTAAAAAAAATACAAAAATTAGCCGGGTATGGTGGCACGTGCCTATAATCCCAGGTACTAGGGAGGCTGAGGCAGGAGAATTGCTTGAACCCAGGAGGCGGAGGTTGCAGTGAACCAAGTTCGCACCACTGCACTCCAGCCTGGGTGACAGAGCAAGACTCCTTCACCCACCTCAAAAAAAATTATAATAAAATAAAATAAAAATAAAGATAACAAAATAGCCAGGCACGGTGGCTCACGCCTGTAATCCCGGCACTTTGAGAGGCCGAGGTGGGTGGATCACCTGACGTGAGGAGTTCAAGACCAGCCTGGCCAACATGGTGAAACCCCATCTCTACTAAAACTACAAAAATTAGCCAGGCGTGGTGGTGGGCATTTGTAATCCCAGCTACTCAGGAGGCTGAGACAGGAGAATCGCTTGAACCCGGGAGGCGGAGGTTGCTGTGAGCCGAGATGATGCCACTGCACTCCTGCCTGGCGACAGAGCGAGACTCCGTCTCAAAAATAAAATAAAATATAATAAACAAATTATATTTTCACATCCCTCACTGGGCAGCCCTCCCAGCTTGTCTCAAACTAGTTTTCTTAACTCTTTTTTCCAGACGGAGTCTCGCACTGTCACCCGAACTGGAGTGCAATAGCACTATCTCGGCTCACCGCAACCTCTGCCTCCCGGGTTCGAGTGATTCCCCTGCCTCAGCTTCCCAAGCAGCTGGGATTACAGGCGCCCGCCACCACACCCGGCTGATTTTTTGTATTTTTAGTAGAGACGGGATTTCACTACGTTGGCTAGGCTGGTCTCCAACTTCTGACCTCGTGATCCGCCCGCCTCGGCCTCCCAAAGTGCTGGGATTACAGACATGAGCCACTGCACCCGGCCTTTTCTCAACTCGTTAAAGCACATTAGTGCCAACTGTGTTATAAGGCAACATGAGTTAGCTATGTTCAGAAAATATTTTAATAGATTGGCCCTCCATCCTTTCGGGTGAGGAGCTGCAAACCGTTTGTAAAAACGCCGGAGTACGGTATTTTTCCTACAGAAGTCTGATGGCTAATTTATCACATTACAGAACTGGTAGTTCTGCACATGGTCTGCTGTGCCCATAAAGAAAGCACATATGTGTCTACTGAGGTTTTACAAACAATACGCTTCTTATCTTAACAGAGAAATCAGTCATTCCATTAACAACGGTAAGGTCTAAATTCCACTAACATTGTTGGTGATACATTAACATCAACATAGTACTTACAATTCACAATTTGCATAAACAATCTCAATTACATAGGTGATGCTTGCAATAGCCCGTTTGAAGCATGACATCTTCCTGGTGTTCAGAAAGGTTAAGTGGGACCTGCCCAAGGTTACCTAACAGCTTTATCAATGGTGGACTTCCTTTCGAACCTGCCTGACTCTAAGCCCCTAGCTCTTTTCCCTAGACCCCTCCCGGCTTTCAAAAGAGGGTTCCCGACTCCCATCCTCTACCCAGAGCAGCCTATTACTCCGGGAGACCGACCCTTCCCCTGCCTGGTTCAGAGGTGGCTTCTTAAGCTCCAGCAGAGCTTTCATCCTCCACCACCCTCCCCCCGCAATCATTCTCTGAAAGAAGCGGAAAGGAGAGGCGACCAAAAGCTCCTGGAGGAAGGGATGATACAAATGGGCTGCTTCACTCCACAGCACGCAACCCCGTCCCCCTCCACCAAGCTGTCCAGCTCTGCGGCCGGCGACCGGGCCACCCGTGCCCCAAATTCTCCCATCATCACCTCAAACTGTACCTCCCCCACGCCCTTCCGTCTCCCACAGTCAGAGCCCACCCCACAAAGTCATGTATCCTTCCGCTAAGTTACCCTCTTCCCACGCGTTGTCCACTCCCCCTCCACCACTACTCACGGTCGGTGACTGGGCCCGGCCCTCATGGCTGCTCCTTTGCCGCCCGCCGCCCGCCGCCACCACTTCTCCACTGCCCGGCCCCTCAGTCACCGGCGCAGCTGTGGGGACTACCCGGAGCCGCTCCTGCGCCTGCGCAGCGTGTAGCGCCTGGGCCCTTTCGGGCCGCACGCGCCTGCGCAGCCCCTGCCGGGGGCGTCTTCCTCAGTGCCTGATGGTCTGGACCCCTGGGTCTCTAGTGGACATGGGAGCTGGCCTTGAAGAATTCTGAGGCTTAGAGAATTTGGCGGCTGCCTCAGGGTACGCCTCTGGAGTACCGTGCCTAGGTTACTAAACCCTTGGATCGCGCTTCCCCAAGGAGCCACAGACTTACTGGCTCTTCCAGAATTCTGCATCCTACTTGCACTTAAAGGCCTGAATTCAGGTGCTCTGAGGTGACCACTGATGATAAATTTGGGTCTTTTTTTTTTTTTTTCTGAGTCGAAGTTTCGCTCTTGTTGTCCAGGTTGGAGTGCAATGGCGTGATCTCGGCTCAAACAACCTCCGCCTCCCGGGTTCAAGCGATTCTCCTGCCTCAGCCTCCCGAGTAGCTGGGATTACAGGCATGCACCACCACGCCCAGCTAATTTTGTATTTTTAGTAGAGACGGGGTTTTATCATGTTGGTCAGGCTGGTCTCGAACTCCCGACCTCAGGTGATCCACCCACCTCAGCCTTCTAAAGCGCTGGGATTACAAGCATGAGCCACCGCGCCCAGCCTGGGTCTTTTTTTTTTTTTTTTTTTTTTGAGACGGAGTTTTGCTCTTGTTGCCCAGGCTGGAGTGCAGTGGCGCGATCTCAGCTCACTGCAACCTCCGCCTCCCGGGTTCAAACGATTCTCCTGCCTCAGCCTCCTGACTAGCTGGGATTACAGGCTTGCACCACCACGCCTGGCTAACTTTTGTATTTTTAGTAGAGACGGGGTTTCACCATGTTGGCCAGGCTGGTCTCGAACTCCTGACCTCAGATGATTCGCCCGCCCCGGCCTCCCAAAGTGCTGGGATTACAGGCCTGAGTCACCATGCCTGGTAAAATTTGGGTCTCTTTCAAGATGATCGTGTCTAGAATGTATCGGGGGTAATTATGTAAAGGCAGCTTTGCCATCCTAGAATACGCTACTAGCTAGGAGGTGCAATGAAGTCCTGGGGACCTTGTCAAGGAGGTGACCTCGCCTAGAATGCACTGGGGACACCGCTAAGTTCAGTATGTTTATCAAGCACATGCTGTTTATTGGACAGAAATGTTCTAGGCATCGCGTGTATGCTATTGAGGAATTCGCAGGCAAATAGTCCCCTGCTTTCCAGCTCTCACTGTGAGCCTGGCCCTTTTTCAAACTGGTAAAAGAAAACCACTAAAGTCCAGTGAGGCCCAACTGTCAGTCCCTAGACTACTGTGCTGCTTTGGCATAGCCTGACAAGAGACTAAGCTCAATCGAGTCCTGAGAATTCAACAAAACAGACTTGAAAGCAGCAGGCAAGAGGAGGTACAGGACTAAACTCTCTCCTCATCACCATGGCTCTTTTTTCTCTCTCAACTCCAGCGCTGGTCTCCTCTCTTCAGAGTTTGGACACATAAGGCCCAAGATACAACGTAAGGGGGAAAAAGAGAAGAAAAAAAGACAAGTTGAGTGCTCAATGAGGAATGTTAAAAAAATTTAAATAGGCCAGGTGCAGTGGCTCACGCCTGTAATCCCAGCACTTTGGGAGGCCGAGGCGGGCGGATCATGAGGTCAGGAGATCGAGACCATCCTGGCTAACACGGTGAAACCCCGTCTCACTAAAAATACAAAAAATTAGCCGGGCGTGGTGGCGGGCGCCTGTAGTCCCAGCTACTCAGGAGGCTGAGGCAAGAGAATGGCGTGAACCCGGGAGGCGGAGCTTGCAGTGAGCCGAGATCAAGCCACTGCATTCCAGCCTGGGCGACAGAGCGAGACTCCGTCTCAAAAGAAAAAAAAATTAAAAATAAAGCTGGGCATAGTGACTTATGCTTGTAATCCCAACATTTTGGGAGGCCAGGTTGGGAGGATTGCTTGAGCCCAGGAGTTAGAGACCAGCCTGGGCAACATAGGGAGACTCATCTCTACAAAAAATCTAAAAAATAGTGGCCAGGCAAGATAGCTCATGCCTGTAAACCCAGCACTTTGGGAGGTTAAGGCGGGCGGATCACTTGAAGCCAGGAATTCGAGACCAGCCTGGCCAACACGGTGAAACCCTGTCTCTACTGAAAAAATACAAAAATTATCTGGGCATGGTGGCATGCACCTGTAGTCCCAGCTACTCAGGAGGCTGAGGCAGGAAAATCGCTTGAACCCAGGAACGGAGGTTACAATGAGCCGAGATCGCACCACTGCACTCCAGCCTGGATAACAGAGTGAGACTCCATCTCAATTAAAAAAATAAATAGGGCCGGGCGCGGTGGCTCAGGCCTGTAATCCCAGCACTTTGGGAGGTCGAGGTGGGCGGATCACGAGGTCAGGAAATCGAGACCATCCTGGCTAACACGGTGAAACCTCATCTCTACTAAAAATATAAAAAATTAGCCGGGCATGGTGGCGGGCCCCTGCAGTCCCAGCTACTTGGGAGGCTGAGGCGGGAGAATGGCGTGAAGCCCGGAGGCAGAGCTTGCAGTGAGCCAAGACGGTGCCACTGCACTCCAGCCTGGGGACAGAGCGAGACTCCATCTCAAAAAAAAAAAATACAAAAATACAAAAAAATTGGCTGGGCGTGGTGGTGGGCGCCTGTAGTCCCAGCTACACGGGAGGCCGAGGCAGGAGAATGGCATGAACTGGGAAGCGGAGCTTGCAGTGAGCCGAGATCGCGCCACTGCACTCCAGCCTTGGCGACAGAGCGAGACTCTGTCTCAAAAAAAAAAGGAAAAAAAGAAAAAATAAATAAATAGGCCAGGCACAGTGGGTCACACCTGTAATCCCAGCACTTTGGGAAGCCGAGGTGGGCAGATCATAAGGTCAGGAGATCGAGACCATTCTGGCTAACACGGTGAAACCCCATCTCTACTAAAAATACAAAAAATTAGCCGGGCATGGTGGCGGGTGCCTGTAGTCCCAGCTACTTGGGGGGCTGAGGTGGGACAATCAATTGAACCCGGGAGGTGGAGGTTGTAGTGAGCCAAGATTGCGCCACTGCAATCCAGCCTGGGTGACAGAGCAAGGCTCCATCTCAAAAAGAAAAATAAATAAATAAATAAGGGTTGGGCCTGGTGGCTCACGCCTGTAATCTCAGCACTTTGGGAGGCCAAGGCGGGTGGATCACGAGGTCAGGAGATCGAGACCATCCTGGCTAACACGGTGAAACCCCGTCTCTACTAAAAATACAAAAAATTAGCTGGGCATGGTGGCGGGCGCCTGTAGTCCCAGGTACACAGGAGGCTGAGGCAGGAGAACGGCGTGAACCCAGGAGGTGGAGGTTGCAGTGAGCCGAGACCATGCCACTGCACTCCAGCCTGGGCGACAGAGCAAGACTCCATCTCAAAAAAAAAAAAAAAAATTAGCTGGATGTGGTGGTGCACACCTGTGGTCCCACCTACTTGGGAGGCTGAGGTGGGAGAATCACTTGAACCCAGGAGGCAGAGGTTGCAGTGAGCCTAGACTACACTACACCGCAGCCTAAGGAACCGAGTGAGACTGTGTCTCAAAAAAATTTTTTTAATTAAAAAAAAAATGTTCAGGCCAGGTACGGTGACTCACGCCTGTAATGTCATCACTTTGGGAGGTGGAGTAGGCGGAGTTTGAGACCAAGCTGGGCCACATGGTGAAAACCCGTCTGTACAAAAAAATTACCAAAAAATTAGCCGGGTGTGGTGGCCCGCATCTGTAGTCCCAGCTACTTGGGAGGCTGAAGAGCGAGGATTGCTTGGGTCTGGGAGGCGGAGGTTGCAGTGAGATTCAACCATTGCACTCCAGCCTAGGGGAGCCAGACTCCATCTCAGTAAGAATAAAATTTTCCTCTTAAAAAAGAAAAGAAAATCCTCTATTAACCCCACAGCCCTCTCCTGCTCAATATTGGTCCTCAATATCCAAGGGTTCAGCATCTAGGAATTCAACCATCCGAAGAACAAAAATATCTGGGGAAAGGCCAAACGTGGTGTCTCATGCCTGTAAACTCAGCACTTGGGGAGGCCAAGGCAGAGGACCATTTGAGGCCAGGAGTTCGTGACCAGCCTGGGCAACGTAGTGAGACTCTGTCTCTGCAAAAGATTTAAAAATTAGCGCTGGGCGTGGTGGCTGACGCCTGTAATCCCAGCACTTTGGGAGGCCTAGGTGGGTAGATCACCTAAGGTCAGGAGTTCGAGACCAGCCTGACCAACATGGAGAAACCCCATCTCTACTAAAAATACCAAATTAGCCGGGCATGGTGGAACATGCCTGTGATCCCAGCTACTCGGGAGGCTGAGGCAGGAAAATCGCTTGAACCCCAGAGGCACAGGTTGCAGTGAGCCGAGATAGTGCCATTGCACTCCAGCCTGAACGACAGAGACTCCGTCTCAAAAGAAAAAAAAAAGAAAAAGAAAAAATCTAAAACTTCCGTGACCCCAAGTTACAAGGTGTAACTTTATCTTCCTTACTAAAATAGTGTAGTGGGCCGTGCGTGGTGGTTCATGCCTATAGTCCCAGCACTTTGGGAGGCTGAGGCAGGCGGATCACGAGGTCAGGAGTTCGAGGCCAGTTTGGCCAACATGGAGAAACCCCATCTCTACTAAAAATACAAAAAATTAGCCGGGCATTGTGGCGGAAGCCTGTAATCCCACCTACTCCGGAGGCTAAGGCAGGACTATTGCTTGAATCTGGGAAGTGGAGGTTGCAGTGAGCCGAGATCGTGCCACTGCACTGCAGCCTGGGCGACAGAGAAGGACTCTATCTCAAACATAAATAAATAAATTAATTAAATAAAGAAAAACAAGGCCGGGCGCGGTGGCTCACTCCTGTAATCCCAGCGCTTTGGGAGGCCGATGTGGGCAGATCACGAGGTCAGGAGATCGAGACCATTCTGGCTAACATGGTGAAACCCCGTCTCTACTAAAAATACAAAAAATGAGCCGGGCGCCATGGCGGGCGCCTATAGTCCCAGCTACTCCGGAGGCTGAGGCCGGAGAATGGTGTGAACCCGGGAGGCGGAGCTTGCAGTGAGCCGAGATAGCGCCACTGTACTCCGGCCTGGGCGAAAGAGCGAGACTCCGCCTCAAAAAAAAAAAAAAGAAAAGAAAAGAAAGAAAGAAAACAAAATAGTGTAGTGAAGATGAAGGAGAGAGAAGCAGATGGAGCCTGCGCATGTTGGCTCACATCTGAAATCCCAACACTTTGGAAGGCTGAGGTGGGTGACTTGAACCCTAGAGCGGTGTCTGGCACATAGCAAGTACTCAATAGATTTTTGTTCAGGAGCGAATAAATGACATCTTTCTCTGGGTTGGCTCTCCCCTTCTGGTATCAACATGACTGCAGCAGCTCCAGATATTATGTCTTCTTACATCCAGCTCCAGTGGGAAAGAAGCAAAATTCTCCTTGTACGTTTTATCTCCCTGGGTTATGTGCCCATCTCTAAAACAATCATCATGGGCTAGAGAATGTTATACGCTGATTGAGTTGGTTCCGAGTTGTGTGCTCCTTGCCTGGGGTGAGCCTCATCCAACCACATGGTCTGAGTTTGCAGTAGGGGTGTTTCTATGGATAACTATATTGTATATAATGAATTAATGATTGGCAGGGGAAAAATCCACTATTCTGCCCTTGGTAAGAAATTCAAGTAGGGGCCCGGGCACGGTGGCTCACGCCTGTAATCGCAGCACTTTGGGAGGCTGAGGAAGGTGGATCACGAGGTCAGGAATTCAAGACCAGCCTGGCCAAGGTGGTGAAAGTGTGTCTCTACTAAAAATAAAAAAATTAGCCGGTGTGGTGGTGGCTACCTGTAATCCCAGCTACTTGGGAGGCTGAGGCAGGAGAATCGCTTGAACCAGGGAGGCGGAGGTTGCAGTGAGCCAAGATCGGGCCACTGCACTCTAGCCTGGGCGACAGAGCAAGACTGTCTCAAAGAAAGAAAAAAAGAAATTCAAGTAGGGAAATGGCTCAGAAGACCCGCAGTGGTTCAAATATAGGAATATATGTTGTTGTCATATAGTCTCCAGCAGGGGGCGCCACCTTCCCCTCTCCCCTGGGAGCCAAGAGTCTAGACTGGGCCACCAGCCCATACCCCTAGTCCTGGCAGCACTGATTCCCCACCAGAACTGAGCTCATGTTAAGTGGGGGATGACCCGGCCGGGCGCGGTGGCTTACGCCTATAATCCCAGCACTTTGGGAGGCCGAGGCGGGAGGATCACGAGGTTAGGAGATCGAGACCATCCTGGCTAACATGGTGAAATCTCGTCTCCACTAAAAATACAAAAAATTAGCCGGGCGTGGTGGCGGGCACCTGTAGTCCCAGCTACTGGGGAGGCTGAGGCAGGAGAATGGCGAGAACCCGGGAAGCGGAGCTTGCAGTGAGCCGAGATTGCGCCACTGCACTCCAGCCTGGGAGACAGCGAGACTCCGTCTCAAAAAAAAAAAAAAAAAGTGGGGGATGACCCAAGAAAGCACTGTAATTGACACTTAGCGATTTTCTACTCTTCGGACCCGGGGCCATGGAGCCTTGAGTAGAGTTGTTTTTTTTAAATCAGCATATCAACTTATTTTCTCTTCTACCCCAATTCCTTCCCTGCTATTCTCTACACTCCAGGAACTCACCAGCAGGGAGCAGGCCGCAGCTAATTTTGGTACCACTTAAGGGTTGCCCATTCTGGCCCCCCTTCTACTCTCTCACCCTCAAATCTTTGTATCTGGAGTGTTTTCTTCCAAGAAGCTGCAACACCCAAGGTTGGTAACTCTCATAACCAACCCACACAAGCGCCCACCTCCTCTTTAGGAAGTGGCCAAATTTGGCATTTTTTTCATTACAGCCTGCCATTCCTAGATGTTTTCTACATTAAAGAAGAAGAAAAAAAATCACTGTTTTCTCCTTAACTTCAAGCTACCACTCTCTCCTCTTTCCCTATAAGGGAAGAGAAAACAAAAAGTTGAAATGTAAAAATTCCCCTCCTCACCAGGCGCAGTGGCTCACGCCTGTAATCCCAGCACTTTGGGAGGCCGAGGAGGGCGGATCACCTGAGATTGGGAGTTCGAGACCAGCCTGACCAACATGGAGAAACCCCGTCTCTACTAAAAATACAAAAAATTAGCCAGGCGTGGTGGCGCATGCCTGTAATCCCAACTACTCAGGAGGCTAAGGCAGGAGAATCACTTAGAACCCAGGAGGCAGAGGTTGCAGTGAGCCGAGGTCATGCCATTGCACTCCAACCTGGCCAACAAGAGTGAAACTCTGTCTCAAAAAAAAATTCCCCCTCCTCCCATTATTTAAGCTATTGTCCTATTGTCATCACTCTCTTCTCTGCCCCATAAAGCTGTGAAGCCCTTTGCCTCACTCTTGATAGCATGAGGGGCCAGCGGGCAGGGATTGCGATTTGAATTTCTGAACTGTTTTTCCTTCCACTCTGGGTACTTGCTCAGGCATTGGAGTCTCCTCACCCTTGGCCATATGAGTTTCTTTTTTTTTTTCTTTTTAAGACAGAGTCTTGCTCTGTCGCCCGGGCTGGAGTGCAGTGGTGCGATCTCGGCTCACTGCAAGCCCCGCTTCCTGGGTTCACGCCATTCTCCTGCCTCAGCCTCCCAAGTAGCTGGGACTACAAGTGCCTGACACCACGCCCGGCTTTTTTGTATTTTTAGTAGAGACAGAGTTTCACCGTGTTAGCCAGGATGGTCTCGATCTCCTGACCTTGTGATCCGCCCACCTCGGCCTCCCGAAGTGCTGGGATTAGAGGCTTGAGCCACCGCGCCCGGCCGGCCACATGAGTTTCTTTAGAATCCTTTGGTCAACTGGGACCTTGATTTTGAAACAGTTTAGTCTCGGGTATTTTTGTTCTGTTTGTTCTGTTTGTAGGTTCTGTCTGTTTGCCTATTTTCTTCTGTCTGTCGGTTTTTGTTGTTTTCATCATTGTGGTTCTAGAAACTTCTCGTGTGCAGTGTCTGACCAATTTTGAACAGGTTCTTTCTATAAAAATCAAAAATTGTAAAAAAATGTTCCGCCAGGCATGGCAGCTCACACCTGTAATCCCAACGCTTTGGGAGGCCAAGGTGGGCAAATCACAAGGTTAGGAGTTTGAGACAAGCCTGGCCAATATGGTGAAACCCCGTCTGTACTAAAACTACAAAAATTAGCCGGGCTTGGTGGGGTGCGCCTGTAATCCCACCTACTCAGGAGGCTGAGGCAGAAGAATTGCTTGAACCCAGGAGGTGGAGGTTGCAGTGAGCTGAGATCGCACCGCTGCACTCCAGCCTGGGCGACAGAGGGAGACTCCATCTCAAAACAAAACAAAACAAAACAAAAAAATGTTCCAAGGCTAGGGGCAGTAACTCACACCTGTAATCTCAGCACTTTGGGAGGTCAAAGCAGATGGCTTACTTGAGCCCAGGAGTTCAAGACCAGCCTGGGCCAAGCCAGGCATGGTGGCTCACACCTGTAAGCCCAGCACTTTGGGAGGCCGAGGTGGGTGGATCACCTGAGGTCAGGAGTTCGAGACCAGCCTGGCCAACATGGTGAAACCCCATCTCTACTAAAAATACAAAAAATTAGCCGGGCGTGGTGGCAGAAGACTGTAACCCCACCTACTTGGGAGCCTGAGGCAGGAAAATAGCTTGAACCCGGGAGGCAGAGGTTGCAGTGAGCCAAGATCATGCCATTGCACTCCAGCCTGGGAGTCTCAAACGAACAAACAAACAAACAAAAGACCAACCTGGGCAACATGGTGACAGCCTGTCTCTATAAAAAATACAGAAATTAGGCTAGGTGCAGTGACTCATCCCTGTAATCCCAGCACTTTGGGACGCCAAGGCGGGCAGATCACCGGGTCAGGAGTTTGAGACCAGCCTAGCCAACATGGCGAAACCCTGTCTCTACTAAAAATACAAAAATTAGCCAGTGTGGTGGCGGGCACCTGTAATCCCAGCTACTCGGGAGGCTGAGCCAGGAGAATCACTTGAACCAGGGAGGTGGAGGTTGCAGTGAGCTGAGATCGCACCACTGCACTCCAGCCTGGGCAATGAGAAAGACTCCATCTCAAAAAAAAAAAAAAAACCAAAAACAGAAATTAGCTGGGCGTGGTCAGGCACATCTGTAGTCCCAGCTACCTGGGAGGCTAAAATGGGGGAATCACCTGAGCCCAGGAGGTGGAGGTTGCAGTGCGCCAAAATTAAACCACTACACTCCAGCTCAGACAACAGAGTGAGACTGTGGCTCAAAAAAATTTTTTTTTAATTAAAAAAAGCAACGTGGCCTGGCGCGGTGGCTCACGCCTGCAATCCTAGCACTTTGGGAGGCCAAGGCGGGTGGATCACGAGGTCAGGAGATCGAGACCATCCAGGCTAACACAGTAAAACACCGTCTCTACTAAAAATACAAAAAATTAGCCGGGCATGGTGGTGGGCGCCTGCAGTCTCAGCTACTCGGGAGGCTGAGGCAGGAGAATGGCCTGAACCCGGGAGGCAGAGCCAAGATCGTGCCACTGCACTCCAGCCTGGGCGACAGAGCGAGACTCTGTCTCCAAAAAAAAATGTTCAGGCCAGGTACAGTGACTCACGCCTGTTATCTCAGCACTTTGGGAGATGGAGTAGGCAGAGTTCAAGACCAACCTGGAATACATGGTGAAACCCCATCTGTACAAAAAAATTACCAAAAAATTAGCCGGATGTGGTGGCCCGCATCTGTAGTCCCAGCTACTTGGGAGGCTGAAGAGGGAGGATTGCTTGGGTCTGGGAGGTGGAGGTTGCAGTGAGATTCAACCATTGCACTCCAGCCTAGGGGAGCCAGACTCCATCTCAGTAAGAATAAAATTTTCCTCTTAAAAAAGAAAAGAAAATCCTCTGTTAACCCCACAGCCCTCTCCTGCTCAATACTGGTCCTCAATATCCAAGGGTTCAGCATCCAGGAATTCAACCAACTGAAGAAAAAAATATCTGGGGAAAGGCCAAGCATGGTGTCTCATGCCTGTAAACTCGCACTTGGGGAGGCCAAGGCAGAGGATCACTTGAGGCAAGGAGTTCGTAACCAGCCTGGGCAACATAGTGAGACTCTGTCTCTGCAAAAGATTTAAAAATTAGCACTGGGCGAGGTGGCTGACGCCTGTAATCCCAGCGCATTGGGAGGTTGAGGTGGGCGGATCACCTGAGGTCGGGAGTTCAAGACCAGCCTGACCAACATGGAGAAACCCCGTCTCTACTGAAAATACAAAATTAGCCGGGCATGGTGGTGTATGCCTGTGATCCCAGCTACTCGGGAGGCTGAGGCAGGAAAATCACTTCAACCCGGGAAGTAGAGGTTGCAGTGAGCCAAGATTGCACCATTGCACTGAAGCCTGGGCAACAAGAGTGAAACTCTGTCTCAAAAAAAAAAAAAAAAAAGAATTACTAGGCATGGCAGCGGCAGGTCTGTAGTCACAGCTACTAGCAGGGCTGAGGTGGGAGGAACGCTTGAGACTGGGAGGTCGAGGCTGTAGTGAGCCATGATTGCACCACTGCACTCCAGTCTGGGTGAGAGAGCAAGACCCTGTCTCAAAAAAATAAAAATAAAAGAAAGAATGGGAGAAGAGAAATTGAGGATAGCCAGAATATACAGTGGTGTCTTCCCAGGGAATTTAGATACCATAATTTCCACCCTCCCATCCTATGGATACCAAAATCTGCTGATTCTCTTGTAGTAAGAGATGACTTTAAGTCATCTTAAAGTCTCTAGATTACTTATAATATCTAATACAATGTAAGTGCTATATAAATAGTTGTTATACTGTATTGTGTTGTATTTTTGTTGCTATTGTTATTTTAGAGATGGGGTCCCTGAAATCCCGTGATAGAGATTTCTGTCTGTTTTGTTCACTGATGTATTCCCAGCACAGGACAGAGCTTGCTAGTGGATGCTTTATACATCTTCCTCCATAGTCAGGCATGTTAGCATGTGCCTGTAGTCCTAGCTACTCAAGAGGGCTGAAACTGGAAGATCGCTTGAACCCAAGAGTTTCAGGCTCCAGTGAGCTATGATCATGCCACTGCACTCCAGCCTGGGTGACAGAATGAGCACTGACTCTAAGAACCTTCCTTCCTCAACACCCCCTCTACCAAAGTTTATCTCTGTTTCTTTTTTTTTTTTTTTTTTTTGAGATGGAGTCTCGCTCTATCGCCCAGGCTGGAGTGCAGTGGTGCAATCTCAGCTCACTGCAAGCTCCGCCTCCCAGGTTCACGCCATTCTCCTGCCTCAGCCTCCTGAGTAGCTGGGACTACAGGCGCCCGCCACCACGCCCGGCTAATTTTTTGTATTTTTAGTAGAGACCGGGTTTCACCGTATTAGCCAGGATGGTCTCGATCTCCTGACCTCGTGATCCGCCCGCCTCGGCCTCCCAAAGTGCTGGGATTACAGGCGTGAGCCACCGCGCCCAGCTCTCTGTTTCAAGTGTTTGATTTAGAGGCTACAAAGGATGAAGAGGGCTCAAGGCCTCAAACAGAGCAAGGTAAATGAGTTTCTCCGGCTGCTAGAGCGGTCTAGGAGACCTTAGGTGGCTAAGCCACTTCTTCCTCCTTTGCAAACCCTCTGGTTGTTCTCCATAAAGGAATGACCTCAGATAGTAGACAGTAGCCAAGGCTTACAGGAGGGAAATCCAGACCTGCTCTTCATCCCAAACACCGACCCAAGGACCACTCCTTCCAGGAACCTAGCCTAAAGCAAAGGTGCAGACAGCCCGGGGCCACCGCTGACCTCTAGGGCAAGCCAAATTAAGGCTGGGAGAGGATCCTGCAGGCCAAAGGATGGAAAGGACTAGGAACAAACAACAACAAAACCCTTACGGGGACAGGCGGAACAGTGCCCCCTCCCACTCCCACAACCATTCCTCCCTCGATGGGAGGACGATTTCTGCTATTTGGCCTCATGGGAAATGTAGTCTTTTAGGAGACATGGCCAGAAGGGCCGTTTACAAAACTTTGGCAGAAGAAAAAAATACGTTGTGTATGGGAGTCCAAAACTACCGTCATGCTTGCACAGACTCTAAATACACATTTTCCCCTTTCCTTAGCCTCCACCAGTCTCCAGAGCAATTCCTCCTCCCGCCCACATCCCATGTGTCTCGGCTTTCAATTTGGGCAGACCTACCTCTCTCCTACTCGCTGGTTCGTCAGCCGCTCTGTTCAATCGTAGGAGCGCTCCTGGTCGGTTCCCGCAGTGCCTTGCGGCTGTAATGGCTGCCCCCAGCTGGCGCGGGGCTAGGCTTGTTCAATCGGTGTTAAGAGTCTGGCAGGTGGGCCCTCATGTCGCGAGGGAGCGGGTGATCCCTTTTTCCTCACTCTTAGGCTTCCAACGGAGGTGCGTGTCCTGCGTCGCGGGGTCCGCTTTCTCTGGTCCCCGCTTGGCCTCGGCTTCTCGCAGTAATGGCCAGGGCTCTGCCCTGGACCACTTCCTCGGATTCTCTCAGCCCGACAGTTCGGTGACTCCTTGCGTCCCCGCGGTGTCCATGAACAGAGGTAAAGCGCCCTGATAGGTTTGCTCGGAACTGTCATGTTTTTAGTATTGAAAGGTTTCTGGGGATACTGTCTTTGATTCTATTTTATAGAAAACAATTTTGAGGCCCTGACAGGGAGGAGCAGTGAAAAATCTCTCAGGAGAGAAATAACAGTTTGAGTGGGAGAAGGAAACGATCTGGTCACAACCAGAGACGCTCACTAAAGAGCATGAGATTGAAGGGCCACAAAGTGGAACTATGGCTCTGCACCCCGACATGGGAAGCAAATTTGATCCAGTAAATGCATGTTGGGCCTCATCTTCTTGTTAAGACACAGTTACACCTGGAAAACAGCACACTTTATTCTTCAAACAGTGTCCGGTATTGGAGACTGGACACAAACTGGTCATTGCAAAATGGTGTCATAAGAAGATAATATAAAAAGACTGGGCCCTCTCCCTTCTTGACCCTTAGCCCTTCCTCCCGTCCCTCCTTCAGGAAAAAAAAAAAAAAAGACTGGGAAAGCTTGCAGGGCCTTCATAGCACCCTTAGTAGGGTGAGAGAATGAGAGCTGAGGAAATATCTGGCTTTGTGTAATCCAGCTTGCTTTCATGTACATTCACTTCTCAGGCACAGCTATACATTATAATTACATGCAGTAATTATTAAGTGCCAGGTATTGTGCTGAGTTGTTTTACACAATTGCTAGTCATCAAAAAAATTATAAGCTGGTAAGTAGGTACTGTTAATATCAACTCACTTTTACATATGAGAAAACTAAAGGGCTCAGGGAGTTACTTTATAAATTAATGTAAATTAAGGGCCAAAGTCTCAAAGTCAGCTCTAGGTGACTTCAACCTGGTGCACTAATTTTGTACCCCTGCTCCCTTTGTGGGTGGGCAGGAACAAGCACTTGACAGGAAATCCAGATTCCACTGTGTCTCATGCTTCTTCCCACTTGCACATAGATGAGCAGGATGTCCTCTTGGTCCATCACCCTGATATGCCTGAGAATTCCCGGGTCCTACGAGTGGTCCTCCTGGGAGCCCCGAATGCAGGGAAGTCAACACTCTCCAACCAGCTACTGGGCCGAAAGGTATGCTACACCCTTGACCATCCTACCCTTTACATCTTTTACTTCTTGCCATGCCTTCAAGGATGGTCTTGGAGGGATCTGGGACCTCACTGAGACTCCTTTGTTCCTGGCAGGTGTTCCCTGTTTCCAGGAAGGTGCATACTACTCGCTGCCAAGCTCTGGGGGTCATCACAGAGAAGGAGACCCAGGTGGTGGGTACCTACAAAGGGAGTCCTTGAAACAGGACAGAGGGTGAAGCTAAGAGGGTCTCCCTTACCATCAGCCTTGAAGAAAATGATGGTCACATTCATTTATGTGAGGAAAGGGGGTTTCTTTTCTTTTTCTTTTTTTTTTTTTTTGAGATGGAGTCTCACTCTGTCTCCCAGGCTGGAGTGCAGTGACGCGATCTTGGCTCACTGCAAGCTCCACCTCCCAGGTTGACGCCATTCTCCTGCCTCAGCCTCCTGAGTAGCTGGGACTACAGGCGCCTGCCACCACACCCAGCTAATTTTTTGTATTTTTAGTAGAGATGGGGTCTCACTGTGTTAGCCAGGATGGTCTCGATCTCCTGACCGCGTGATCCGCCTGCCTCAGCATCCCAAAGTGCTGGGATTACAGGTGTGAGCCACTGCGCCTGGCCAGGAAAGGGGGTTTCCTCTTCCTTTAGGCATGGTACAGTTCTGTCTCTACCTTGCCCTCCCCTGACATCTAGTCAGAAAGATTTCATTCTCTCGCTCTCTTTTTTTTTTTTTTTGAGATGGAGTTTCACTCTTGTTGCCCAGGCTGGAGTTCAATGGCATGATCTCAGCTCACTACAACCTCTGCCTCCCGGGTTTAAGCAGTTCTCCTGCCTCAGCCTCCCGAGTAGCTGGGACTACAGGCATGCGCCACCACGCCCGGCTACTTTTGTATTTTTAGTAGAGATGGGGTTTCACCATGTTGGCCAGGCTAGTCTCAAACTCCTGACCTCAGGTGATCCGCCTGCCTTGGCCTCCCAAAGTGCTGGGATTACAGGCATGAGCCACCACGCCCAGCCGATTTCATTCTCTGTTTACTGCTTCCTAATCTTCCTTATATTCACAGTCATCATCTTTCTCCCAGATCCCATCAAAGCAGAATGGTAGAAACCTAAGGTCAGCCTGGGCGCAGTGGCTCACGTCTGTAATCCCAGCACTTTGGGAGGCCAAAGCAGGCGGATCACTTGAGATCAGGAGTTCAAGACCAGCCTGGCCAACATGGTGAAACCCTGTCTCTACTAAAAAAATACAAAAATTAGCCGGGTGTGGTGGTGCACGCCTGTAATCCCAGCTACTCAGGAGGTTGAGGCAGGAGAATTGCTTGAACCCGGGAGGCAGAGGTTGCAGTGAGCTGAGATTGTGCCACTGCACTCCAGCCTGGATGACAGAGTGAGACTCCGTCTCAGAAAAAAACAAAAAACAAACCTAAAGTCAATAATAGTTTGACTGAGAAGGGAGGGCAGGCTCCTGACATCACAGGTAGCCTCTCTCTGACTTCCCAGTCATAATCTTTTCTCCTGGGGTCTGGGTATCTCACTTTCCTGATTTTAGATTCTACTTGACACACCTGGCATTATCAGTCCTGGTAAACAGAAGAGGTAATGGTGGTGGAATTGGGGTGGATTGGCGGGGAGGTACTGAAAGAGGGTGGGGAGATTCCATTATAGGGGCTGGAAAACCCCTTTACCATACCACATCCCTCATCAGAAATGCCTTAGTCATAAGACCTTTCCTGACTGATGTATGTCTGTCCCTCAGGCATCACCTGGAGCTCTCTTTGTTGGAAGATCCATGGAAGAGCATGGAATCTGCTGATCTTGGTTAGGTTCAGGATGGGAACCTTAAGCCCAGTTTACAGGGGTCATGGCCTTTCATTCCTTGGTAGTTTGGGGGGCAAAAGCCAAGCTCATACCATGGAAGTTTTTGTCAGGGCAGGAGGAAGAGTGACCATTTCCTTTTCCTTCTTCCTGCCTTGCCATCTTCTAGTTGTGGTTCTTGTGGATGTCTCAGACAAGTGGACACGGAACCAGCTCAGCCCCCAGTTGCTCAGGTGCTTGACCAAGTACTCCCAGATCCCTAGTGTCCTGGTCATGAACAAGGTGAGCACTACCCACCTGAGGAAGGGGTCTACTTCCCTCCAAGTCCCCTATCTCTGACCACACACCCTTTGCCCATCCCCCATGTCCAGGTAGATTGTTTGAAGCAGAAGTCAGTTCTCCTGGAGCTCACGGCAGCCCTCACTGAAGGTGTGGTCAATGGCAAAAAGCTCAAGATGAGGCAGGCCTTCCACTCACACCCTGGCACCCATTGCCCCAGCCCAGCAGTTAAGGACCCAAACACACAATCTGTGGGAAATCCTCAGAGGATTGGCTGGCCCCACTTCAAGGAGATCTTCATGTTGTCAGCCCTAAGCCAGGAGGACGTGAAAACACTAAAGGTCAGTTAGTCTTGGCCATAGCCTGGCCCTTGGTTTCTACCATATGAAGACAGCCCTCAAATTTCCTCCTGGAAGCAAAAGTGAGGAGAAAAGTCCTGGTTGGGATTAAGATGCCCATCTATTCCCTCTGTTCCCACAGCAATACCTTCTGACACAGGCCCAGCCAGGGCCCTGGGAGTACCACAGTGCAGTCCTCACTAGCCAGACACCAGAAGAGATCTGTGCCAACATTATCCGAGAGAAGCTCCTAGAACACCTGCCCCAGGAGGTGCCTTACAATGTACAGCAGGTACAGAGTGAAGGGTTCTGGGGGCTCTCTATCAGACACACACCTCTACCCAGGTGTATGACTGACTAATCATTTGTCTCCCTGTACAGAAGACAGCAGTGTGGGAGGAAGGACCAGGTGGGGAGCTGGTTATCCAACAGAAGCTTCTGGTGCCCAAAGAATCTTATGTGGTAAGTGAGACTAGGCTCAGAGGAGAGATCAAGACTATGTTAGGCAGGAGTTCTTCCCCCAGCTTGGAGCCCTGAGAGCAGGACCATATCCTTCTCTCTTTTTTTCTTCTTCTTTTCTTTTTTTTGAGACAGTCTCGCTCTGTCACCCAGGCTGGAGTGCAGTGGTGTGATCACAGTTCACTGCAGCCTTGACTTCCCACGCTCAAGCAATCCTCCCGCCTCAGCCCCCTGAGGAGCTGAGACCAGCTGATTATAATTTTCTTTTTTTTTTTTTGAGACAAAGTCTCACTCTGTCATCCAGGCTGGAGTGCAGTGGCGTGATCTCTGCTCACTGCAACCTCCGCCTCCCAGGCTCAAGTGATTCTCCTGCCTCAGCCTCCCGAGAAGCTGGGATTACAGGTGCCCACCACCAAGCCCAGCTAATTTTTGTATTTTTAGTAGAGATGGGGTTTCACCATCTTGGCCAGGCTGGCTTCGAACGCTTGACCTCAAATTGTCCGCCCACCTCAGCCTCCCAAAGTGCCGCCTGACTATCCGCTAATTTAAAAAAATTTTTTTGTAGAGAAGGGGTTTCACCATGTTGCCCAGGCTGGTCTCAAATTCCTGGGCTCAAGCAGTCCATGCACCTTGGCCTCCGAAAGTGCTGGGATTAATATGCGTGAGCCACCACATCTAACCCTCTCTTTTTTTTATTTTTTTATTTTTTTTTTGAGCCAGGTTCTTGCTCTGTCACTCAGGCTGGGGTGCAGAGGCACGATCTCAGCTCACTGCAACCTCTGCCTCCCAGGTTCAAGTGATTCTCCTGCCTCAGCCTCCCAAGTAGCTGAGATTACAGGTGCCCGCCACCATGTCCAGCTAATTTTTTGTGTTTTTAGTAGAGACAGCATTTCACCATGTTGGCCAGGCTGGTCTCGAACTCCTGACCTCAGGTGATCTGCCCGCCTCAGCCTCCCAAAGTGCTGGGATTACAGGCGTGAGCCACTGCGCCCGGCCACCCTCTCTTTTTTTTAAAGAGGGGTCGCACTGTTACCCAGGCTGGACTCAAACTCCTGTGCTCAAAGGATCTTCTCACCTTAGCCCCCCAAGTAGCTGGGACTACAGGCATGTGCCATCATTCCTGGCTTCCTTCTCTTTCACATACCCTCAGAAACTCCTGATTGGTCCGAAGGGCCACGTGATCTCCCAGATAGCACAGGAGGCAGGCCATGACCTCATGGACATCTTCCTCTGCGATGTTGACATCCGCCTCTCTGTGAAGCTCCTCAAGTGACCACCCTCTACTGACCCTCCCAGGGCATTCCAGCTCAAGCTGCTGGCAGGAACTGACCAGTTCTGTCCTTGGCTGGGGACCCTCCAGGCACTGGTGAGAGACATGAACACTGACTGGCCACTAGCTGGCCTGGCCCTGTTGAGTCTGCACAGTCCCTGCCCAGCTGTGTCTTCTGTTGGAAGAAGGAACCTGCCTTAGCTCAGTTTCCAGGTGGTTCCTCTGCCTGGCACCACAGCTACAAAGGTGTAGCTAAGAAGATGGCCCATTGGTGGGAGCAATGTCACCCTGCCTCCAGCTAGCTATGGGCCCAGAGTTTCTCCCTGAGTCGCTGTTGCTAGCAGGGAGATTTCTCTTCCTGCCCTCACTTCTTTCACCTTGAACTTGGATAAGAACTCGTGTCTCCTGAGTGAGGTAGCGCCTCCCATCTGCTCCCCAATTCTTGATCTCTCCCACCCCATCCCTCTCCCCAGTCTTGGATACTAATAAAATATAAGCATTCTGGTTCTCATCTTTATTCCTTTTATTTATTTATTTTTATTTTTTAATATTAGGGACTGAGTCTCACTATGTTGTCTAGGCTGGTCTCAAACTCCTGGGCTCAAGAAATCCTCCTGCCTTGGCCTCTGAAAGTGGTGGGATTACAGGCGTGAGCCACTGTGCCTGGCTTATCTTTATTTCTTTACAACAGGAAAGAGAAAATGTATCTATTCCCTCCCCTACCCCCAATCCCACGCCCCCACCCCTGCCTTGTTTGAGCTGGAGTCTCCCTTCCAGTAGTCTGCTTCAGGGTCCTGAGTTCTCTTCCTGGCACGTTTTCTGGGTATAGCAAGAGAACCATTACCATTACTAAACTCAGTAATGGTAACGGTTTCCTTGCCATTCCCAAGTGCCCTGGCAGTCAGTAGGTTGTGACAGGCTGAGCAGAGAGCTTCTTGGGCTTGCAGCATCTCTCCTGTCCTCCTTGTCAGGCTCCAGAGCTGGGGGTGCCCGGACTAGTACATCATCTATACTGTAGTGTCTCATCGCAAACTTACAGTATATGATGATATCCCAGCCAGGGCCCCACTGGGGGCACAGGAAGCATGGCTTGAAAAGCACTGTGAGGGGCTGGGGGCAGAACAGGACAGGTCAGGGCTGGACACACACAGCTTCCTGCTCCCTGCTCTACAGCTCCCTCGCAGGCCAGCGTCTCCTTGATTCTGTGGTCAGGCACAGCCCAGGTGGGTTATGGGAAGGGGACTGGAGCTAGGGTCTGTTAAGATCTCATAGGGACCCAGGGCCAGTGTTAAACAAGCCAGAGATGGCGTAATGATGCAGAAGGTTCCCTTTGGTCACACTAACAAGCAGACAGGCAGACAGACCCAGAGAAGGTGCACTTACCTGGAGCTGGAACTGCAGACTGAGGAGGCCTTTGGATGCAGGGAGGATCTGTCCCTCAAGCTGCTTGCCTTTTATCATACCGGTCCCTCCCCTGGGTGGGGCACTTTTCCTGGCCCTGCCTCTTAACCCTTGCCCTGCTAGAGTCCATGACAAGGGTCACTGGCCCCTTTCCCTAGAAGGCCTTTTCTCACATACTCTCTCATGGACCATATTCACCCTTCACTCCCATCTCCAAGAAGCTCATCATCTCTGCCGGGCTGGGAAGGAGAAAGAACAGCCTCATCCCATCCACCAGCATTTAATTGCTGGTCAGATCCCTAGTGGAAGGTTTCTCGTTTTTGCTTTTTTTGTTTTTGTTTTTGTTTTGCAGTGGTGGTAGGCAATGTTAGTTGAATCTCTCTGTATAGGGCAGGAAGGGTCCTGGCAACTGGATCTCCAGAATCTGTCTGGCAGCCGAGCTCACCCTACCCGTCAGCCTAAATTTCTATTCCCAGCCCCTGCCCCTGTGTTTATGATGAGCCCAAGGAGGCCAGACCTAGGCAGGCAGAGAGACTCTGCCTAGCACTGCCCTGGCAAGGTCCTCTTGGGGGTTGCTCTACTAGGAGATTTGAGAGCAGCTGAATCCCCAGCTCTTGTGGGTCTGCTCTTCAAAGCTCAAGGCACCTCCAGTGAGAGCCTAGCACTGTTTGGTTCTTTGCCTCTGGGGTAGAGGAGAGGCTCCTCAAAGCAAGGCCTCTGCTGTTTAGAATCCCCATTCTGGGGGACACGCCCTTCCCTCTTCCCTATCCTAGACAATCTGGTCTGTGTGCTGGAAGGCAGTTAATACTCTTCCTCTGCGGGGGTAGACTAGACCAGGATGGAAGTGGGAGAAGAGACCCAACCTTTTCTGGGTCCTGTGGAGGTGTTCTATTTCCTGAGGTCACAGCACGCTGGCACATGCTCTACCCTCTGCTTAGCATGGTCTTCCCTCCTTTCTTGTCTAGTTAGCTCCTAGCCCCTCTTCAGAGCTCTTTTTTTTTCCTTCCTTTTTTTTGAGACAATTTAACTCTGTCACCCAGGTTGGAGTGCAGTTGTGTCATCATGGCTCACTGCAGACTCCCTGGGCTCAGGTGATCCTCCCACCTCAGCCTCCCAAGTAGCTGGGACTACAGGCGTACACCACCACACCTGGCTAATTTTTGTATTTTTAGTGGAGATGGGGTTTCGCCATGTTGTCTAGGCTGCTCTCAAACTCCTGGGCTCAAGTGATCCGCCCACATGGGCTCCCAGAGTGCTGGGATTACAGGCGTGAGCCACCGCACCAGCCTCCCTCTTCACATCTCTAAGTGTTACTTCTGCAGGGAAGTCTTCCCAGACTATTTAAGTCTCCCTGATAGGGACTTATTTATTTGTGTGATTATTCACATTAAGTAAATAGTCATGAGGGCCTTGTTTATTCACTAATATATTTCTGTGTTTTTGTTTTTGTTTTTTGTTTTTTTTTAGCGAGAGTCTTGCTCTGTCGCCCAGGCTGGAGTACAGTAGCATAATCTCAGCTCACTGCAACCTCCGCCTCCTGGGTTCAAGCGATTCTCCTGCCTCAGCCTCCTGAGTAGCTGGGACTACAGGTACTCGCTGCCACGCCCAGCTAATTTTTTGTATTTTTAGTAGAGACAGGCTTTCACCGTGTTGCCCAGGCTGGTGTCGAACTCTTGAGCTCAGGCGATCCGCCCGCCTCAGCCTCCCAAAGTGCTGGGATTACAGGCGTGAGCCACTGCGCCCAGCTCACTGATGTACTTCTATCACATAATTAACAACTAAATAAATGTTCCAGCCTACATCAAGCTGAGCCTAATGTAATATGGGGGAGGAGAGAGACCTTGGCCTGAGGAGGCAGATGGACAAAGCTGTGGCTCTCTCAGGCAAGCCATTTTCTCTCTGGGACCCTCCCTGTTCTTATTTGTAAATAGGAATAACAATAGTCCCCAGTTCACAGAGTTGCCAGATCTAGGGGATCAGCTGCTGGTGCCGGTCAACAGAAGGGGTTCAAACAAGTTCATTCCCACCTCACCCCATTCCCTCAGGGACCCCCACAAGGCCTGTCCTTGAACATCTGAAAGCCCATGGAATATTATTGAAAGCCACCTGGGACCATTGCAAGAACCCAGGTCTAGAGGTGACAGGTCCCAAGTGACAGTCTCAGCTGTGCTGCATCCAGCTCTGTGACTTTGGACCAAGTGTTCCCACTCACAGTTTCCTCAAATTTAAAATGGCAGCTGTCAATACCAACCTTATACAGTGATGAAGAGGGTGATACGAGCACTCATCTCAAGCTCCCAGATCAGGTCCTAGCACATATGAAACAAATGTCAGTTTCCTTCTTTACTTCTTTCTTCTGTCTCACAAACTGTGTGACTGGGGACAAATTGCACTTCTCTGAGCTTTGGTGGTTATACACATCTTGCCAAGTTGTAAGAGTCAAGTCAGAAATATGAGTGAGAGCCCAGGCATGGTGGCTCACGATTGTAATCCCAGAACTTTGGGAGGTTGAGGGGGGCAGATCACTTAAGCCCAGGAGTTCAAGACCAGCCTGGGTAACATAGTGAGACCCCATCTCTACTAAAAGTACGAAAAAAAAAAAAAAAAGAAAACAAATTAGCCAGTTGTGGTGGCATGTGCCTATATAGTCCCAACTACTTGGTGGGCTGTGGTGAGAGGATCACTTTAGCCTGGAAAGTCGAGGCTGCAATGAGCCATGTTTGCACCACTGCACTTCAGCCTGGGTGACAAGAGTGAGACTCTACCTCAAAAAAAAAAAAAAAAAAAGAAAAAGAAATATAGAAAGATGAGTGAGGGCCAGGTGCGGTGGCTCACGCCTGTAATCCCAGCACTTTGGGAGGCTGAGGTGGGTGGATAATTCGAGGTCAGGAGTTTGAGACCAGCCTGGCCAACATGGAGAAACCCCATCTCTACTAAAAATACAAAAAATTAGCCGGGCGTGGTGGCAGCACCAGTAATCCCAACTACTCGGGAGGCTGAGGCACAAGAATTGCTTAAACCCAGGAGGCAGAGGTTGCTGTGAGCCAAGACTGCACCACTGCCATCTACGCTGGGTGACAGAATGAGACTCCGTTTAAAAAAAAAAAAAAGATGAGCGACAAAGCTTCTGAAATCCAGCTGCTCTAACCAGGTGAGGCATTGTCGTTATGTCTGCTCCTGCTTCCCCTGACCCCCTTTCCTGTCCTGTGTCCCTCCTGCGAGGCCACCTCTACTCAGAAACCCCACAGACAGCTCAAGCTCCTTCAACAAAGGCAGGGCTTCGTGTACTAGGGCAAGCTTCATGCCACTTACTTCCTAGACTTCTGCCTAGTGCCTGGGGGCCAAGTCCAAAGGTGAGCATGGGCAGAACCTAGGCGTCCTAAAGGGAAAGGGGAGAGATTATCTCAGCCAGCCAGAGATCCTGTGGCTGTGGCCTCTGGCCAGGGGTGGGGATTGCTGTGAGTAGGGTGTGGGTTGGAGGAGAGTCTGGGCCTGGGAGGGATAGTCAGGGGGCCCTGATAAGCAGACATTGGGCTATCAGGGTGGGGGCCCAGCAGCCTTCTGTTTATCAGGAGCCAACACGGGCCAAAGCAGGGCTGAGGCGCTTCCCGCCCAGGGCTGTTTTCCTGGATATTTGTTCTTCCATTCCTCTGCCTCCCCAGTACCCCACAGGGAGTTGGAATGTGAATCCCTCTGCCTCTCTGCAAGGCACATGGAGACTCTCTGGCCAGTACAGGGGTGGGAGGACACCAGCTAGGGCCTTGGGCCTGACTTTTAAATTCTGACAGCTTTTGCTTCAAACCAGGAGCTCCATGGCTTTTCTGAGGCCAGTGAGGCAAGTCTGGGGACTTCGTCCTTCTAACTTCAACCCCTGCCACTGCAGCTTTAAGCTCTTGACTGTTCTTTAGGTCTTTTTTGGAAGAAGTCCTAAAGTGTATGGTGATGAAGTTAAGGATGGTCAGATCTGTACAGGTCCTTCAAAATCATGGAGTTCAAGTCTCCCATTTATATAGGAGAGAAACTGAAGGCAGAGAGGAGGAGAGAATTGTCCAAAGCTTAAGGGTTCCCTCCACCTCTCAGCATCGGAGAACAATGCATGACTCAGAGGAACAGGAAGCAGCCATAGACACTCACAGACAGATACACATAATATGCAAAACACACACATACAAATGCACACATGTGCACTGCCCACATGTACGCAGACATACAACACATAGAGATACACAGCATACACATTAAAAAAAGAAATTCAGGCCGGGCACAGTGACTCATGCCTGTAATCCCAGCACTTTAGGAGGCTGAGGCAGGAGGGTCGCTTGAACCCAGGAGTTCAGACTGGCCACAGCAACATAGCAAGACCTCATCTCTCCAGAAACATTTAAAAATTAGCCACCTGTGGGCCAAGCGCGGTGACTCACACCTGTAATCCCAGCACTTTGGGAGGTCCAGCCGGGCGGATCACCTGAGGTCGGGAGTTTGAGACCAGCCTGACCAACATGGAGAAACCCTATCTCTACTAAAAATACAAAATTAGCCGGGCGTGATGGTGCATGCCTGTAATCCAAACTACTCAGGAGGCTGAGGCAGGAGAGTCATTTGAACCCGGGAGGCAGAGGCAGCAGTGAGCTGAGATCATCCTATTGTACTCCAGCCTGGGCAACAAGAGCAAAACTCCATCTCAAAAAAAAAAAAAAAAAAAATTAGTCAGCTGTGGTGGCACATGCCTGTATTCCTAGCTACTTGGGAGGCTGGGGTGAGAACATTGCTTGACCCCGGGAGACTGAGGCTGCAGTGAACTATGATTGCAGCAGCACTGAACTCCAGCATGGGAGGCTGGCTGAGTGAGACCCTGTTTCTAAAAAATAAATAATAAATTCAGCGGGTAGAATTACTCTTATTTTCCTCTTGGTTGCTTTACTATGTCTCATGACATTAGCAATTTTATACAAGGATAAAAGGAGGCCAAATAATATGGTTATTCAAACAGTTATTCAGTGTTTTCTCATTCAATGTCTCATAGCACAGACAGTAGCAAAACTCATTCAGGAACAAAGGACTTTGAGAAATTTTGAGAAGCTGGAAAACTGGTTTTTCGTTTTGTTTTGTTTTGTTTGTTTTTTGAGACTGAGTCTCGCTCTGTTGCCAGGCTGGAGTGCAGTGGCACAATCTCAGCTCACTGCAACCTCTGCCTCCCGGGTTCAAGGGATTCTCTGGCCTCAGCCTCCCGAGTAGCTGGGACTACAGGCGCCCACCACCATGCCCAGCTAATTTTTGTATTTTTAGTAGAGACGGGGTTTCACCATGTTGGTCAGGATGGTCTTGAACCCCCTACCTCAGGTGATCCGCCTGCCCGGCCACTGTTTTTTTTTTTTGTTTTTTTTTTCTTTTAAAAATGATAGGGTCTCATTCTATTGCCCAGGCTGGAGTGCAGTGGTGCGGTGTTGTGGTCATAACTCACTTCTGCGCTCAAGGGATCCCCCTACCTCAGCCTCTCAAGAGTAACTGAGTAAGCATTCCTCCCGCATCAGCCTTCCAAAGTGCTGAGATTACAGATGTGAGCCACTGCGCCCAGCCTGGAAAACCATTCTAATCCTTACCCTCCATGAGGTCAATGGGGCTTGAGATTTAGGAGTTTGTCAGAGAGGCCTGCTCCACTTCATCCTGACTGGTCTGTGAAGCTTCTCTTCACTCTCCCTGACACTTCCCTCTCGAGGTCCAGGCTTGGGACCTGCTCTTACTGTTGTCCTCATCACAGTGTGGCAAATTCCCTTGTTTGTCCCCAACCATTCCATGAATGGGCACCTTGTCTGAACCATCTCCCTGGCCCAGCACCCGGGATTTATCCTGGGAGGTGTTCAGAGAACGCCTTACATGGAACAGATGCTCAAGCATATGTTCCCTTATACTCTTTATGCCGTTCAGCCCCATGAGGAAGTGTGCATGTTGAGCACTGTACCCAGATGCCCCTGGAGCCCTTCCAGGGAGTGGGGTCCTAGGAATGGCTTTCCTGGGGGCTTTGCCGATGTCCATCCATCTCCAAAAGACACCTGCATGCCATTTTCACGATAGAGAAACTAAGGTTCAGGGAGGAAGTGCTTGGCCCGAGTCTTATAGTGAGCAGAACTACAGCCCTGTTCTCCAGACCCCACACCCTGGCTCTATGCACAAACCCGCTAGGAATAGGGTAGATTTTGTGTCTTTGTGAGGCCTTTTTGAGTTTCAATGGAATCAAACCTAAGTTCTGCCAGTTACCAGTAATGTGATTCTGAGCCTCCTTATCTATTATAGGGATGAGAATAATACCTGCCTCACAAGATCCTTCAGAAGATTCAGTAAAATCTAGCTGGGCACGGTGGCTCACACTTGTAATCTTAGTACTTTGGGAGGCCAAGGTGGGTGGATCACTTGAAGTTAGGAGTTGGAGACCAGCCTGTTCAACGTGGCAAAACCCTGCCTCTACTAAAAATACAAAAAAAGGTCGCTGGGTGTGCTGGCAGGCACCTGTAATCCCAGCTACTCAAGAGGCTGAGGCAGGAGAATCACTTGAACCTGGGAGGCGGAGGCTGCATTGAGCTGAGATTGCGTCGCTGTACTCCAGCCAGGGCGACAGAGTGAAACTCCATCTCAAAACAACAGCAAACAAACAAACAAGATTCAGTGAAATCGTGTAAGAAAGCCCCTGAATGATGCAAGGATTCCTTCTGTGTTTCTACTTATGCAGGCAGACTCCACTCATCTATCGGACCTCTTTTTTTTTTTTTTTTCCAGAGACTGGAGTGCAGTGGTACAATCACAGCACGTTGCAACCTTGAATTCCTGGACTCAAGGAATCCTCCTGCCTCAGTCCCCCAAGTAGCTGGGACTGCAGGCCCATACCACCACACCCAGGAAAAAATTTGTTTTCTCGCTCTGTCGCCCAGGCTGAAATGCAGTGGCACAGTCTTGGCTTAATGCAGCCTCTGCCTCTGGGTTCAAGAGATTCTCCTGCCTCAGCTCCCGAGTAGCTGGGATTACAGGCATGCACCACTCCTGGCTAATTATTTTTTGTATTTTTAGTAGAAACGGGGTTTCACCATGTTGGCCAGGCTGGTCTCAAATTTCTGACCTCCAGTGATCTGCCTACCTTGGCCTCCCAAAGTACTGGGATTACAGGCATGAGCCTGTACGTGAGCACCCGGCTCCACGTATTTTTTTTTTTTTTTTTTTGAGAGGGTGTCTTGCTCTGTTCCACAGGCTGGAGTGCAGTGGTGCAATCTCGGCTCACTGCAACCTCCATCTTCCGGGTTCAAGCAATTCTCTGTCTCAGCCTCCTGAGCAGCTGGGATTACAGGTGTCCGCCACCACGCCTGGCTAATTTTTGTATTTTTAGTAGAGATGGGGTTTCACCATCTTGTCCAGGCTGGTCTTGAACTCCAGACCTCGTGATACACCCGCCTTGGCCTCCCAAAGTGCTGGGATTACAGGCATGAGCCACCACGCCTGGCCTGGCTCCAGGTACAGGTAATATATATATATATTTTAAGACCGAGTCTCGCTCTGTAGCCAGGCTGGAGTGCAGTGGCGTGATTTGGGCTCACTGCAACCTCTGTGTCCTGGGTTCAAGCTATTCTCCTGCCTCAGCCTCCCAAGTAGCTGTAACTATAGGCGTGTGCCACCACACCCAGCTAATTTTTGTATTTGTATTTATTATTTTTTTTTGAGACGGAGTTTCGCTCTTGTCACCCAGGCTGGAGTGCAGTGGCACGATCTTGGCTCACCACAACCTCCTCCTCCCATGTCCAAGTGATTCTCCTGCCTCAGCCTCCAGAGTAGCTGGGATTATCCGCACGTGCCACCACGCCCAGCTAATTTTGTATTTTTAGTACAGTCGGGGTTTCTCCATGTTGGTCAGGCTGGTCTTGAGCTCTCGACTTCAGGTGATCCACCCACCTCGGCCTCCCAAAGTGCTGGGATTACAGGCGTGAGCCACTGTTCCCGGCCCTAATTTTTGTGTTTTTAGTAGAGATGGGGTTTTACCATGTTGGGCAGGATGATCTCTATCTCTTGACCTCATGATCTGCCCACTTCGGCCTCCCAAAGTGCTGGGATTACGGGCGTCAGCCACCGCGCCCGGCTCCAGGTAATTTTAAAACAAAATTTTTGTAGAAGCCTGGTGTGGTGGTTCATGCCTATAATCCCAGCTCTTTGGGAGGCTGAGGCGAGTGGATTGCTTGAGGCCAGGAGTTGGAGACCAGCCTAGGCAACATGACAAAATCCATCTCTACATAAAATACAAAAATTAGCCTGGTGTGGTGGCATGTACCTGTAGTTCCAGCTACTCAGAAGGCTAAGGTGGGAGGATCGCTTGAGCCTGGGAGGTTGAAGCTGCAGTGAGCCGTGATCGCACCACTGCACTTCAGCCTGGGTGACAGAGTGAGACCCTGTCTTAAAAAAATTTTTTTAGGGCCAGGCGCAGTGGCTCAGGCCTGTAATCCCAGTACTTTGGGAGGCCAAGGTGGGTGGATCACGAGGTCAGCAGTTCGAGACTATCCTGACCAATGCGGTGAAACCCCGTCTCTACTAAAAATACAAAAAAATTAGCTGGGCATGGTGGTGGGCACCTGTAATCCCAGCTACTTGGGAGGCTGAGGCAGGAGAATCTCTTCAAACCAGAAGGTGGAGGTTGCAGTGAGCCAAGGCTGGACCACTGCACTCTAGCCTGGGCAACGAGAGCAAAACTCCATCTCAGAAAAAAAAATTTTTTTTTTTAAATAGAGATAGAGGCCAGGCACAGTGGCATACGCCTATAATCCTAGCACTTTGGGAGGCCGAAGCAGGCAAATCACTTGAGGTCAGGAGTTCAAGACCAGCTTGGCCAACGTGGTGAAACCGTGTCTCTACCAAAAATAGAAAAATTAGCTGGGCATGGTGGCAGGCGCCTGTAATCTCAGCTACTCGGGAGGCTGAGACAGGAGAATTGCTGGAACCTGGGAGGCGGAGGTTGCAGTGAGCCGAGATCACGCCACTGCACTCCAACCCAGGCTGACAACAGTGACCAAAAAAAAAAAATAGAGATGGGGGTTCTCACTGTGCAACCCAGCCTGATCTCAAACTCCTGGCCTCAAGCAAACCTCCCACCTCAGCCCTTAAAAGTTCTGGGATTACAGGCATGAGCCACCATGCCTAGTCATCTAATCCCTTGTTTAGCCTCTTCCACACACTGCTCTTGGGCAGCTGCAATCCAGCAACAATCCCCTCTCCTTTCTCTGACCTCCTGCAGTTTATGAGCCAAGCCTTCTCATGAAGCTCACTTGTCCTGAAATCACAGGCCCATGTTTGGCTTGAACCAGAGCTTTCGCCTTCACAGTTCAGGGGTTGTACATTAGGGTTCTTGCTTCCTGTCTAGGAGTACTGAGAGCTAGCAGGAAATAAGCACAGCTTCTGACTGACTTGTCAGAGTCCGGGCTCCACCACACTACCGCTGAGTGATTCTGGCCCCTGCACCTGATCTTAGAGTCTTGGCTTCCTCAACAGTAAAATGGGGTTCAGGCCAGGTTCAGTGGCTCATGCCTGTAATCCCAGCAGTTTGAAGGCCGTGGTGGGCGGATCCCTTGAGGTCAGGAGTTTGAGACCAGCCTGGACGACATGGCGAAACCCTGTCTCTACTAAAAATACAAAAATTAGCCACGCGTGGTGGTAGGCGCCTGTAATCCCAGCTACTCGAGAGGCTGAGGGAGGAGAATCTCTTGAACCTAGGAGGCAGAAGTTGCAGTGAGCCGAGATAGTGCCATTACACTCCAGGCTGGGTGACAGAGTGAGACTCTGTTTCAAAAAAAAAAAAAAAAAAGGCCGAGCGCGGTGGTTCACACCTATAATCCCAGCACTTTGGGAGCTTGAGGCGGGCAGATCACGAGGTCAGGAGTTCGAGACCAGCCTGACCAACATGGTGAAACTCCATCTCTACTAAAAATACAAAAATTAGCTGGGCTTGTTGGCACAGGCCTGTAATCCCAGCTACTGAGGAGGCTGAGGCAGGAGAATTGCTTGAAACCGGGGAGGCGGAGGTTGCAGTGAGCCGAGATCGTGCCACTGCACTCCAGCCTGGGCGACAGAGCAAGATTCTGTCTCAAAAAAAAGGGGTTCAAATGCTTTCTTTTCCATGCTGGTGAAGATGAAATGAGACAGTGAAGGTGGATAGTTCTAACCTAGAGCCTGGCACATGAACAACAGGAGCTCAACAGATGCCAAGCTCCTTCCTTCCTGGCTTTGCAGTGGGCTTTCCCTGTTTACTCTCTCCAACGGGGCATACACCTGTGGGCGCTCGTGCTCACTCATACCCGTGCACGTACACGTGATAGTGTCCCCCTTGCACCCCTGTTGAGACACATACTGAGTCAGAAATGGAAATTTTCCTCTCAACACCTCCCTAACTCTATTCATCAGCTTCCAGTTCCTATTCTCTGGGTCAGTGGGGACTCTCAAGTCCAGACTTGGGCCATGACCTTTCCAGTCTCCTGGTACAGTTCTTTCTTTTTTTTTTCTTTCTTTTTTTTTTTTTTTTGAGACGGAGTCTGGCTTTGTCCCCCAGGCTGGAGTGTAGTGGTGTGATCTCGGCTCACTGCAAGCTCCACTTCCCAGGTTCACACCATTCTCCTGCCTCAGCCTCCCGAGTAGCTGGAACTACAGGTGCCCGACACCACGCCCGGCTAATTTTTGTATTTTTAGTAGAGATGGGGTTTCACCGTGTTAGCCAGGATGGTCTTGATCTCCTGACCTCGTGATCCGCCTGCCTCGGCCTCCCAAAGTGCTGGGATTACAGGCGTGAGCCACTGCGCCCAGCCAGGTACAGTTCTAAAGGTGGCTGTTGAGTGGAGCCTGAGTGTCCCTACTGCCTCAAATCCTTCCCGCCATCAGCCAGGCCTTTACATTCCTCCCTCCCTGCCAGGACAACCTGTTTGCTTCACAGCTGCTGTGGAAAAGATAGGCAGCCTGGATTATCAAGACAGACAAGGCTCCTTGCTGACAGTTCCCACCCACCCAGAGGCAAGCGTTCCTGAGCCCTTAACCCCCTCTGTGCTGGGCCTTCAGGCCTAGGGACTGGGCACAGCAGGGAAGATGGGCAGGCCTGGTACCCTCTATATCGAATTCCTAAGGCTGGTGGGGTCATGAGCACAACAGGGTAGGAAACAGCATCACCTGCACACTCCAGGTGCCCATTCTATATACTAAGCCCTTTCCTTCCTGGGTTCATGGAAGTTCATGGTAAACAGGGCCTTAGCAGGCCTCTGAAGGCTCAGGCAGAATGCTCTATACTCTCCACTCTCTCTTCCTGAGGCTGGTTCCAGGCTCTGGGGACAGAGGCCTGGCTTTCTCCATTCCAGGGGTCCACTGGCATTAGTACAGGTGCTGAGGCATCCCCTCCTCACTCCCTACCCCCACATCATTGCCCCTTCCTCCTCTCCAGCACCCTTCAGATCTCTTTCAGCAAGGCCCCTCTCATCTTCTTGCTGAAGTCAGTGTCCCTGACACTAAGGCCAACCTGGACCATCTCCTAGTTGGGTCTCATTGCAGCCACTCAGGCCTCCTTTTCCTGAAGGTCAACAGGAAGCAGTGAAAAGACCAGTAGTGGGCCAGGCATGGTGGCTCATGCCTGTAATCCCAGCACTTTGGGAGGCTGAGGCAGGTGGATTGCTTGAGCCTCAGGAGTTCGAGACCAGCCTGGGCAACATGGTGAAACCCCATCTCTACTAAAAATACAAAAATTAGCCAGGCGGTGGTATGCAATTGTAGTCTCAGCTACTTGGGAGGCTGAGGCAGAAGAATCGCTTGAACCTGGGAGGTGGAGGTTGCAGTGAGCCGAGATAGTGCCACTGCACTCCAGCCCAGCAGAGCGGGACTCCATCTCAAAAAACAAACAAACAAACAAAAATTAGCCAGGTATGGTGGTGCATGTCTGTAGTCCCAGCTACTCAGGAGGCTGAGGTAGGAGGTTCACTTGAGCTTAGGGAAGTCAAAGCTGCAGTAAGTCGTGATGGTGCCACTGCATTCCAGCCTAGGCGACAGAGAGAGACTATCTCTCTATCTTGAAAAAAAAAAAGTCTGCTCCCTCAAATGTTTTTCCCATTTCAGTAAATAACAACTCCGTTCTTCCGTTCTTCCAGATGGGACGAAGATCTTGGAGGCAATTTATTTTCTTTTTTTGGACATGTTCCAGATTTTGATCTTCACGCTGGTTAGAAAGGTATATGCATTTATGAAATTTTATTATATGTAAAATTCACAAGATTTGTACCCCTTTCGCTATGTAAGTTATACTTCCAATTTAAAAGCAACCACTCAATTCCCTATTTTCTATGTATTAATCACAATTTTTTTTGTTTTGTTTTTTGAGACAGGGTCTTGCTCTGTCACCCAGGGCAAAATGCAGTCACCCAGGGCAAAATGCAGTGGCATGAACATGGTGTGTCCAGAATTGGTGGGTTCTTGGTCTCATTGACTTCAAGAATGAAGCTGCAGACCCTCGCAGTGAGTGTTACAGTTCTTAAAGATGGTGTGTCCGGAGTTTGTTCCTTCTGATGTTTGGACGTGTTCGGAGTTTCTTCCTTCTGGTGGGTTCATGGTCTGGCTGGCTTCAAGAGTGAAGCTGCAGACCTTCGCAGTAAGTGTTACAGCTCTTAGGGCGGCACGTCTGGAGTTATTGGTTCCTCCCGTCCGGAGTTGTTCATTCCTCCCGGTGGGTTCGTGGTCTTGCTGGCCTCAGGAGTGAAGCTGCAGACCTTCGCAGTGATTGTTACAGCTCATAAAGGCAGTGCGGACCCAAAGAGTGAGCAGCAGCAAGATTTATTGCAGAGTGAAAGAACAAAGCTTCCACAGTGTGGAAGGGGACCTAGCGGCTTGCCCGCAATTTATTTTCTTAATTAACTTTTTGCTGAAGTAGAACATATATTCAAAAAGTGCATGACTCATAAGTGAATTATCACAAAGTGAACACACCCATGTAATCACCATCCAGGTCAAGAAACAGGACATTCTCAGGGGGCTCCTGTGCCCTCTATTTCTGTCTCTTCTTCCCCAAAGGTGACCTTTAGCTGATCTAATGTCATAGATTAGCTTTGCCTGCTTTTTGGACTTTATATGGAATGATACAATCTATATTATTATTATTATTATTTTTTGAGATGGAGTCTCGCTCTGTTGCCCAGGCTGGAGTGCAATGGTGTGATCTCAGCTCACTGCAACCTTTGCCTCCCGGGTTCAAGCAATTCTCCTGCCTCAGTTTCCCAAGTAGCTGGGACTACAGATGTGCGCCACCACGCCCAGGTAATTTTTGTATTTTTAGTAGAGACGGGGTTTCACTATATGTTGGCCTGGCTGGTCTCGAACTCCTGACCTCAGGCAGTCCACCCGCCTCAGCCTCCCAAAGTGCTGGGATTACAGGCGTGAGCCACCATACCCGTCTATTATTATTTTTGGGACAGGGTCTCACTGTGTCTCCCAGGCTGGAGTGCAATGGTGCAATCTTGACTCACTGCAGCCTCAACTCAACGTCCCGGGCTGAAGCAATCCTCCCACCCCAGCCTCCCGAGTAGCTGGGACTATAGGTGCAAACCACCATGCCCAGTTAATTTTTTTTTTTTGTATCTTTTGTGGAGACAGGGTTTTGCCACACACTCAAGCAATCTGCAATCTGCCCACCTCATCCTCTCAAAGTGCTGGGATTACAGGTGTGAACCACCGCACCCAGCCCATGTCTGGCTTCTTTCACTCAACATTACGTTTGCAAGATTTATTCAAGTATTTGCATGTAGCAGTAGTTCATTTGTTTTTATTACTGCATAGTATTCAATTTCATGAATATGATACACATTTTTCATTCTACCATTGATGAACATTTGAGTTGTTTGAATTTGGGGGCCATTATTCATAATGCTGCTGTGAGTATTCTTGTACCCATATGTATGTATATTGCTGTTGGAGTGAGATGGTTGGGTCAAAGGGTATGCTTTTGTTCAGCTGTAGTAGATTCTGTCAAACAGGTTTCCAAAGTGGTTGTATTGACATATATTTCTACCAGCAGTGTATGAATGTTCCAATTGCTCTTCCTCCTCACCCATGCTTGATATTGTAACTTTTTTTTTCATTTCAGTCATTCTGGTAGGTGTGAAGTGATAATCTCATTTTGGTTTTAATTTGCATTTCCCTGATGACTAATGAAGTTATGCATGCTATTCCTGCCATTCTTTACTATGTAACAAATCAACCTCCAACTTAGAAGCTTAAACAATGAGCAGTCCATTTACTATCTCACACAGTTTCAGGAGTCTGGATTTTAGGAGGTTGGCTGGGCAGAAATGGCTTGGGGTCTCTCCTGCACATGCAGCCAGATGGTGGCTGGAGCAGCTGCAGGTGTCTATCTCTTTCTCTTCATGTAGCCAGGGCCCAACCCTGTGGTCCCTCTGTTTGGGCTTCCTTACAGTACAGTGCCCTCAGAACAGTCATACTGCTTACATGGTGGCTAAAGGCTTAAAGAGAGAGTATTCCAGCAAATAAAGCACAGGCTTTGTCATCGTTTGTGATCTAAACTCAGAAGTCACATAATGTCACTTCTGCAATACTCTTTATTGGCCTGAATAGCCACAAAAGTCCCACCAGTTTCAAGGGAAGGAAGAATAGGCTCTACCTCTAATTGTAAGGATGGTCAAAGTGACACTGTAAGAGGAACATGTAGGATGGAAGATATTGTTGCCACTATCTGTGGAAAATACAATCTGTCACACAGATTTCATACATCTATTGGCCATTCCTTTGTCTATTTTTCTGCGGCATTACCATTTCTTCCCATACTGATTGGTAAAATATATTCTGAATGCTAGTTTTTTTTTTTTTTTTTTGCCAGACATATATCTTGCAAATATTTTTTCCCATTATTCTGAGGCTTGTCTTCTCATTCTTTTTTTTTTTTTTTTTGAGACAGGGTCTCTGTCGCCTAGGCTGGGGTACAGTTATGTGATCATAGTTCACTGCAGCCTCCATCTCCTAGGCTCACACGATCCTCCCACCTCAGCCACCCAAGTAGCTGGGACTATAGGCACAAACCACCATGCTCAGTTAATTTTTTTTTTGAGATGGAGTTTTGCTCTGTTGCTGAGGCTGGAGTAGAGTGGCGCGATCTCAGCTTACTGCAACCTCCGCCTCCTGGGTTCAAGCAATTCTCCCTGCCTCAGCCTCCTGAGTAGCTGGGATTACAGGAGCCTGCCACCACGCCTGGCTAATTTTTGTTGTTTTAGTAGCGACAGGGTTTCACCATATTGGTCAGGCTGGTCTCAAACTCCTGACCTCAGGTGATCCACCCGCCTCGGCCTCCCAAAGTGCTGAGATTGCAGGCATAAGCCACCATGCCTGGCTGGCCAAGACCTATTGTGATGATGCAATATATCAAATTTTTCTTTTATGGTTAGTAGTTTTTTTTTTTTTGGTCTTAAGAAATCTTGCCTATGTCAAGGTCATAGAAACATTCCCTGCTTGCTCTATGAACTTTATGTTTTGAGTTTTTACATTAGGTCTGTGATCCACCCCAAACTAGATTTGGGTATATGGTGTGAGGTAGGGGGTTGCAATTCAATTGTTTTTTTCTTTTTTTTTTGAGACAGAGTCTCACTCTGTGTGCAGTGGCATGATCTCGGCTCACTGCAACCTCTGCTGCCTGGGTTCAAGTGATTCTTCTGCCTCAGCCTCCCGAGTAGCTGGGATTACAGGTGCCTGACACTGCACCTGGCTAATTTTTGTAGTTTTATTTTTTTGAGACGGAGTCTTGCTCTGTCACCTAGGCTGGAGTGCAGTGGTGCGGATCTCGGCTCACTGCAAGCTCTGCCTCCTGGGTTCATGCCATTCTCCTGCCTCAGCCTCCCAAGTAGCTGGGACTACAGGCGCCTGCCACCATGCCTGGCTAATTTTTTGTATTTTTAGTAGAGACAGGGTTTCACTGCATTAGCCAGGATGGTCTCGATCTCCTGACCTCGTGATCTGCACGCCTCGGCCTCCCAAAGCGCCAGGATTACAGGCGTGAGCCACTGTGCCCAGCCCATTTTTGTAGTTTTTAATAGAGACAGGGTTTCACCATCTTGGCCAGGCTGGTCTTGAACTCCTGACCTTGTGGTCCACCCAACTAGGCCTCCCAAAGTGCTTGGATTACAGGCATGAACCACCACGCTCAGCTGCAATTCAATTTTTTTCCCCAATACAGACCCAGTTGTTCTAGCACCATCTGTTCCTTTCTGCCTTGAATTGTCTTGGTGCCTAGAAATACCTTTTAAGGTGTATCAAATGATATCACTCCTTTTTCAAAGCCTTTCAGTGGTTTCCCACCTCAGAGTAAAGACCACAATATGCCTCATTAAGGTTCTACATGATCTGGAAAGATGAGATCCTGACTCATCTCCTGATACCCTGACTTACTCCCTTGCTCCAAACATCCTGACCTTGCTATTCTTTCATCATGCCAGACACTCTCCTGCCTCAGGGCCTTTGGATGGAAAACTCTTCCTTCAGATATCTGAATGGCTCAATCCTTTACTTTCTTCAGGGCTACCTTCTTAATGAGGCCTTTTTTGGATACCCTAAAATTTCAGCGGACTCCCACACTTCCTATAATTTCTTTGACTTCTTTTCCTTATGACTTACCATTATCTAACATACTGTACGTTTAATTTTTCTTGTTTCTATCTGAATGTAAGCTTGAATGGCTGTGCATTTATTTTGTTGACTCATTGCTCTGGCATCTAAGACAATGCTTAGTACATTGCAAGCATTTGATAAATTCATTAAATGAATAAGAATATTGAGGCCCAGAAAGATGAAGTTACTCACCTAAGATTACACAGGTAATGAACAATAAAGCTAAAATCTAAACCTACATTGCCTTACTTCAGAGTCTAAGCTCTTAAGCCTGAGAGATGGGCTCCATTACTGAGTAGGGCTCAGTATACCGGTACAGAGGTGCAGTGAACCTGGCAGTTTCCTCCACCTTTTCTTCTTTTTTTTTTTTAAGAGATGGAGTCTTCCTATGTTGCCCAGGCTGGACTCAAACTCCTGGGCTCAAGCAATTCTCTCACCTCAGCCTCCTGAGTAGCTGGGACTACAGGCATGTGCAACTGCACCCTGCTAGTCCCCTCCACCTTCTGCCTGTGATGGAGCCAGGTGTTCCAGGGCTGGGGTTTGGCCTAAGCATCTTAGCCAATCAGTCATGTCCAAGGCGCAACTGGGGGCAAGGCCAGTGTGCTGTTGCTCCCCAGTGGCTAGAATGCGGAAGAACAGGCTAAAAGCTGCCTTGAAGCTGAAGAGAGGTAGGGGACCTGGTTGGTTCTCGGTTCGCAGTCTCTCTCCTCACAGAAGACACAATGCAGGGGTGGGCATTAAGAGTTCTTTATTTTACCAGAAGGGACAGGCAGTGGGGCAGTGCAACATCCAAGCCCCAGACCAGACATGCAGCATCCACATGCAGGAAGAGCTACACAGGCTGGGGCAGGGCCAGGGTGGGGAGCTGGGACCACTGGACATTCACAGCACCCCTGCCAAGACGCTTGGGTCCTGGGCTCTTCTGCCTCCATTGGAGCAAGGAGACAGAGGATTGGGTTGCTTCCCCATGGCTGGAACCCCATCACTCTGGCCAGGAAGAAAGATGGCACAAGGGCTCTGGGGTCTGGCCAGGCTACAGCACTCGATTCTGTACAGGGTTGGCACAGCCTTGTCCACCAGAAGGGCCCAACACCCAGGACAGTGCAGCCCTAGCAGGAAGAAGGTCTACACACTTTTCTGTCCCCAACAGGGCTAGACCCTCATCTCAGAAAACTTAGCAGAGTTGGGACCAAACCGCACCGCCCCAGCAGGAACATGCCCATGAAGAGGCCTTCCCTGAGCACAAGCAGGGGCCTCCTAAGGCAGTAGGAAACTGAGGAAGCTGCTGTAGACAGGAGGCCTTGCCTCTGTGCCCTTGGGGTCAGGGAGAAAGGACAGGGTATGAGCGCTGGCTGGGGCCTTGGGTGGATGAGGGGAAGGACAGTGTCTCTGGGCCCTGCAGGTCATGGCTGCCCAGACCTAGAGGGGCAGCAGCAGGTGAGGCTGTGGGCTTCCTGGGGCAGGGTTTAGGGCTGGGAAGACCAGTCCAGGAGAGAGGACAGTGACCGTCCTACCCAGAACCCCTGCCCATGCTGAGCTCTGGCCAGGGCCATAGGGAGGATGGACAGATGCACAGAGAACTTCAAGGCACCAGGATTCTGAGGAGCAGCAGGGCCACCCCCCACAGAGAGTGATTGTAATAAACATCTTCAGCTTAATCTACATGATGTGCATGGGGGAAAGAAAAAGACAGACAAAGGAAAAGACACGCAGGGAGATGAGACACAAACCTGATGAAAGTGGCAGTGAAAGTGGGGTAAAGGAGAGGAAGAGGAGGAGGTGGACAGACAGGAGAGACAGGAAGACAGCCAGAGATGGCCTGAACACGCAGCACTTCTGGTCCCTTCGAGATAAGGCACCAGAGTCAGTAACGTTCCCGTTGTTCTGTGGGATTAAAACGGGTGCTGGAGGGAGGGCCGGGTGGCTGCTGAAGAGAGTGGGCCTGCAGGAGCCTCACACCTGCACACCAGTGGCCTTCTTGATCAGGGGTATCTGCAAGGATGGGAGATGCCATGAGACCTTGGCTCCAGAGCCCAGGACCACTTTGCCTGGGCCAGTCCGACGGGCTACCTGGGCAACCCCACCGCAGCTAGGCAGGCACATACCTTAGACAGGTCCACGCCTGTGAGGGCATGCACAGAGGCAGGCAGCTCGGCCAGCAGTCGGTTCACTTCTGATGTGACCTTACTGTTGTCTCCACTGAGGACCACAATCTCATCGACCTTGGTAAGTGGGGCAGCGATTTTGGCAGCAATCTAGGAGGTAAGAGTGGGAGGACAGCCTGGTTGGCGCTGACTCTGTTCTCAGCCCGGTCCAGCATCTCTCCCTCCCTTCCTTAACTCACTCCAACCCCAAAGCAGCCTGGGTGGCCCTTAGTCTCGAGCCATGGTAAGAGACGCCCTGTGGGCCAGGGATGGCTTAGGCCTTTGTAGGGTTCCTGCCCCCTGCTGAGGATGCTCCTCATTTAACCCTTCTAGCCATCTGTCCCTGTGTTACTCGCAAGGCCCAGAGAAGTTCTGGCACTTGCCCAGCTTGTCAAGCAAGGACACTTGAACCCTAGGACCCGCTTGGGTGGAAGCCTCACCTGGGGCAGGGCCTCTAGCACCAAGGCCATCTTGGCTGCATCCCCGTATTTCTGGTAGGCTTCTGCCTTGAGCTTCATCCGCTCAGCCTCTGCCTTGCCCATCGCCTCGATGACTGCCGCTTCCGCCTCCCCGATTTTGCGGATCTTCTCAGCCTCTGCCTGTGCCAAGAGGACCTGCTTCACCCTGGGGGAGCCCAGGCCAGTTAGGATCAGTGGGACGTACCAGGGTCCTCTCAAGCCTTGCCTGGGGGCCAGCAAACCTTCAAACCCTCTGCTCTGGGGGCTGTCGGGGTGGGAGACATTGGAACGGAGTGGGGTGGCCTGACCTTCCGGCTCTGGCCAGGGAAAGGCCACCGGCTCCCATCTGTAAGTGGGAGGGGACAAACCAGGATGCCGTCTATGCCCAAGCACTACACCAGGCACTGGAGCCTCCTTTATCTATTTAGTCTTCCCAACAGCAGTCCCACAGGGGACATGGGGTTATCCTCACTTCACAGTGAGTAAGAAGACACAGTGGAGGGGGAGAAGTGGCTTCCAAGCTGTGGTCAGGAGAGTAGAGGGAGTGCACTGAAGGCAGAGGAGCCTGACTAAGCCCTGACCCCGGCACCTGGGCGGCTCTCACTTTTCACCCTCGGCAATCTGCTGGATGCGGTGGGCCTCGGCCTCGGCAGGCCGGCGCACTGTAGCGATGAGCTCCTTGTCCGTACGCAGGATCTCCTGTGCCTCCACGGCAATCTGTTTCTTGCGCTGCACAACCTCAATCTCAATCTCTTCCTGCCGGATCTTCTGCTGTTCACGGGCCCCCTGCAGCTCATAGGCCAACTGGGCCTCAGCTGTCTGTGGCAAGAGGGTGTGTGGCACATTAGAGGCTGGTCACCAAGTCCTGATCCCTGAGCCCCATCCCAGGATGTCCTCAGGCTGCTCACCTTGATGTTAACCTCCTCACTGAAGGCTGACTTTTGCAGCTCGAAGGCTCGCTTAGAGTCAGCAATCTTGGTGTCTGCCATGAACTTCACATCCAGCATCTCCTTCTTGCACTCAGCTTCCTGGGGACAAAAGGGGCAGAAGGGGAAGGTGAGTGAGTAGAGGTCCTGAGTCATCATGGTCCCATCACCCCTGAGCTTCCCATCCTTGAACCCACATACCCGGATGCCTGCGTCCCGTTCAGCCTCGGCCACGCCAATGTCAGCATCTCTCTGCACCACGGCAGTCTGCGTCTTGCCCAGGGAGCTCAGATAGTCCACTTTGTCATACACGTCCTGGGGAGGGAAGGGGGTATCAGAGGCTCAAAGGAGCAGCCAGAGGCACAAAGGTGCCCCTCTAACAAAGCCACCATCTCCCAGATGGACGCCAGGAGATACAGCTTCCCATCACGTCGTACCTTGATGGTGAAGCTGAGGATCTCAATGCCCATGCGGCCAACATCAGGGGCTGCCACCTCCCGCACCAGCTTGGCAAACTGGTCCCGGTCCTGATAAATCTGCTCCACTGTCAGGGTCCCTGGGGGCAGAGGGATCAAGGGCTGGCTCCCCAGGGACCCAGCCAGCTGGGGAAGGGAGGAGGCATGCATGTAGAGGTAGGGGTGCATGCGGGGTGCTGCACTCTGAGCTGGGTCTTCCTGGGGTATCTTCTCAACAGCACTTAACACCGAGCTTCCTGCTGCACAGTCCAGGCTGAATGAGGAAAAGTGTCCCAAGCAGCACTAGGTTCCTGAGCAGACCGACAGCCCCCATCCCACCCCTTCACTCATACCCTCTCCTTAACTCAAGTCACCTGAAGTTTTGAAATTAAATATTTGAGGAAAAGTGTTTTAGCTTGAAACTCCTGTGAAACAGGCCCCCTGCCCAGCCCTGCACACCTCCCTGCCTTGGCTTAGGGGCCCCGTGAGGCTCCTCAAAGGCTGAACAGGGCCTCACCGAGGATGGAGCGCAGATGTCCCTCCAGGGTCTGCAGGACGACGTTTTTGATGTCCTGCACATTCTTACCCAGAAACTGCTCACAAGCCACGGCCAGGAGTTCCTTCTCCGTCATGATCTTCACCTGTCAGTGACGACAAAGGCGCTTCAGCTAGGCTGGAGCGAGGCAGACAAAGGCCCCAGACCCAGAGGTAGGCAGGATGGTGGCTGTGCCTCCTCCCTTCCTTTTTTCAGACCTGGAGGCCCTGGGGGGCTGGAATCTGTCTGAAGCCTCTAGTGGGGAGACAGCAGCACAAGGGCTTCTCTCACTATGAAACTTCTCCTGCACTGACAGCCCCAGGCCCTGCCACGGCCTCTCCTGGGCATTCGGGGCTTGTCTCCCCACCCCTCCAGCCTACTGTCCCCTCACCAGCTAATTCCTCCCTTGCAGGCTTCCTACACGTGGGAGACCCTCAGGCTGAGGGGCAGAGAGTATGAGAAGCAGAATGAGCAATAGGGACACAGACAGAGAAGGAAAGAGCCTGGACAGGGCAGGAGAGGGTTGGGGGATGCAACCGAGGGTGCCTCTCCTTCTTGAGTTACTCAGCCAACCCCTCGCCGAGGCCTACAGCATGGCTGAACCTCACTGCCCTGTGAAGCCAAGAGGTGGATCGGGGCAGGAAGCCCTCACCTAGGCCCTCAGCAGGGGATATGATGCAGCCTCCGACTCCCAGAGTCCAGAGCTCCTCTGCCTCACATGGCCTCTCCCTCTGGGCCCCACCCCTCCCACGCAGTACCCAGGGAACAAGGAAGGCCTGGATTCTGGGGCTTGACATTTCCAACACCTGCAAAGAATGGGGGTGGGGTTAGTGAGCCAGGAGCCCTCAGCACTGGTTCTGTCCCTCGTGGGCCCGCTGAGGAGAGAAGGGGTGTCTGTTAGTCCTGCTGGGTGGCCAAAATGGCCCGGTGAGCATGTTCCAGTGGCGACGACCTGACTAGCCCTCTCTTGTGGGACTTGCGGGGGCTGGGGTGCTGGAGAGAGACTGCCCCTGGCTGCTGTCCTCTCCTCCTCCCCCCGAACCCGAGTACGGGACCAGGCAGCTCAACGGACATGCGCAGGGCTGCTGAGTTACTATACCTGGGCGACACCCGTCACAGTTAAAGCTACCCCCTCGGCCGTCTCTACGTCCTCGCAGCGGGGCTGCAACGTCATAATCTCTAGGGAAATCCTGCCAAGAAACGCAAAACAGGGGCATGGGTCTGGGGGCGCAGGGCCTGGTGGTGTTGGGAAAGAGGCCAGTACCTCACTGCTCCGGCTGGGTCCTGGTGAGGAAGGTGGAGGGAGGACTCTCCACGGGGCTGAGATGGGAGTGTCTGAGAAGGAGGTGGGCACGAGGGCAGGGTGGGTGCAGGTGGCCCCAGGGGAAGGAGTGGAAGTGGGCTGCATATGTGCACACACCCTCTGCTCAAGTCAGCTGAGGAAAAGGAAGTAGAAAGAAGTGGTTGTGGGTGGTCGGGGGCTGTTGGTCAGGGGAGAATCCAGGTGTAGCTGTGTGTATGTTCTAGGATAGCAAGTCAGTGCTGGTCCTCCCGGCCCTGCTGTGCAGGCCATCCGTGGATGTCAACTGAGCCTCCCACAGGGGCCCTTGCCCATTCCTTGGTCTACCCAGCACCCCAGGGTGCCCCAGGAAGTTGCTTGGAAAGCTCTGCCTGATTGCCTGGCATCCTGGAGTATGCCTACTGCTGGGCTAAGATGGAAGTGATTCTGTACCTGCCCCTTGCCAGAGAAGCCCTACCTGGTGGCTGCAGCCTTTGACTTGAAACCCATGTCTGGTATTAGGCCCAGGTGGGTCACATGGGGAATTTAGACTGAAGTCACACTAGAGCTTCTTGGCCAAGGAGTGTTAACCCTGGAAAGAGTTGTTCTGGCCATGCAATCTGACTCCTCCAGGGTCCACAGTCACCCACTTTAAAAGGGATCTGGGCTTTGCAGGTGTTTCAAGTGTAGGTGTGGGTATGGAAGGAGAGAGGACTGCATCAAATAGAGTATTGAAGGAGGCCTGGACCCTACCCCTTCCACACAAGGTGCTCCAAGCCTCCCAGGCCTCTGCACCTCCCATGGCTACAAGGGCTAAGGGGATGGGGATGGTCCCCTTCCCCATTAGAGATGGCAGGATGGGTGAAGAAGGGAGTGGTGGTGTAGTGTTTTTGCCTAAGCAGAGGCTGAAGGGCAACTGAATGCAGAGGGAGGGGGTGAGAAAGATGTGGTTCAGGCCTCTTCCAGGCTGGGAACCCGCTGGCACACAGGCTCTGAGGGGGCAGGGGCTTTTTATTGTTCGCTCCTGCAGTCCACATGCCTCAAACTGAGAAGGTGCTCAGTAGAGAGCTGGTGAATGAAGCAATGAAGAGGGGAACCCACACATGACAGAGTAAGCATTTGGAGCTAATTAACACCCAAGCCCAAGAATAGATTTCACCAGCTATGGCTGCATGGTAACGAAGGCCTGGCATCCAGGGACACTCACTGGCAGACTTGGCAGAGCTTCCAGAATCCCTTGCTGTTTCCCCACTTGCAGTCCAATAGGCAAGGGCAAGGGACCTGGGGATGTACAGGGATCCATCCTGGCACCCAGAGCAGTGGAGGAGAGAAAAGAGGAGAGGGAGGAAGGCACGGTCTCAGGAGGGGAGTCCATCGGCTCCTGTCTGCCAGGCCCCGCAGGGCAGGAAGAGAGAAGGTTAGACACGGAGGAGGAAGCAGGTGGGTTATTACCTGTGCAACCCCTGTTACGAATAGTGGAACCCCCTCCGACGTCTCAATATTCTCACAGCGACACAGGATGGTCATAACCTCCAGAGACAGTCTGAGGAGCAGCCAGGGGGTGGGGAGAGGTAGGGACAGGAAGGGAAGGAGGGGACACAGCAAACACACACAGTAGTTACCAGACAAGCACCGATGCCTGACGCCTGGGGGCGGGGGGGGGCATGCTGTCAGTAATCCAACCCCCCAACTGCCAGCTCAGCCGAGGGCTGCAGGACAGCAGCGACCTCCTGTGCTGATCCGAGGCCTCTGGGTCTCTTCTCTAGCCCCCAAACCCTTTTAGTGAGGACCTGCTAGGCTGGGGAAGATGCCTGCTGCCACCCTGGGCCTGCGGCCTGAGGTCAGGAGGCTTGTGCACAGGGCACCTGGGTTGCCCGCCACCTCACTTTCCCAGGGATCCTGTCGCAATCTGGGAGACTGAGGCTTAGCCCCCCGTCTTCACACAGGTAAACCTGTGTTTCCAGAAATCGGGAGTGGGAGGCTATTCTGGGGACTCCTGAGCTTTAGCAAATGCCGAATCCGCCAGGTCTGCACTATCTATCACTAAGGCAAGGTGAGGCCAGAAAAGCCCAAATGTTCTGATGTGGGGCCAAGGAAGGCTGGGGGAGAGTGTGCTCCTGCCAGAATACTCAGGGATAACCGGGAGATAAGGGAGGCATTTAATTGGGAATTTCCAAAGTTGGCCAGGGGCAGAGAGAAGATTATTGGCAAAGAAAACAAGGTGCCTCGAAGCTCCCTGGCCCATCCTGGCTGGGCCTCCCTAGGCAGTCTGTGTGCAGGGTGATTGTCTAGGCAGAGGCCAGGCTGTGGACAGTGTGGAAGGTTTCCCTAAATCAGAGGAAGGAAGAGAGGACAGAGGCCGAGGGTGAAGGGGCAGAAGCAGGTGGAGGGGGTGATAAGGAGCAGCAGTCGATGTGCAGCCCCCATCTCAATCCCAGGAGGGGCCACCCCCACAGTGCCAGCCCTGGGGCACTGGCCATGCAGATGTGCAAAAGTTGCCTTCATTCGAGCCCCTAACACTAGCATCCTTGGGCCTGAGAGGATTCTTGACCCAGCTCAGACAGGAACCCACCAAGCTCTCTTCTGGGGAAGGAGAGAGGGAAATAGGGGAGAGGGAGGGAGGGAGGAAGGGTAGTGGGGAGGGAAGAAGGGAGGCTGCAGCTCAGATGCCAAAGGTGGAAGAATTGCTCAGGTAAGAGGGAGAGAGCCGCCCATATCAGGGCCTCGGGATAGTATAGGATGTGGCAGCAAAATGCAGCAGGAGGGGTCACTGAGCCTGGAAGAAGAATGGCTGACCCCAAGGGCACGTGACATATAGACAGCTGCAGAAAGGACCTTGAGAGGGAGGCTGAGTATCCAGGCTGAGTTAGAAGCCTCTACTCTGACCCGAGAGGCTCCTGCCAGCCTAGGGAAATAAAGCCCCAGCCTGTGGAGGCGTCCCCCAAGCAGGCTAGGGACTAGGGAAGAGGCTGCCCCCCAGAAAAGGTGTAAGAAGGAGAAGGATTACTGGCTCAGACTACCCAGCAAGTGAGACCAGAGGGAGGATGTAGAGCCTGGGTGTGAGGTCGGTGTCCTGGGAAGAGATACAAGGCCCTTCACCTTTAACTTCCAAACTTGCTGTCAGAAAGGCTTGGCCCTTCTGTCCTGGCTCTGCTCCCTGGAGCAGGAAGGGAGAGCAGGGGACCAAGAATCTGGAGAAAGGACTGCAGGGGAATTGGCCTAGCAGTGGCTGCCCACGCAGGGCAGGTGTCTGGACAAGATACTCTGTTGTGCTGGGAATGCACAGTGTGTGGGGTGGCAGTATGTCTGGAGAGGGCTCCCCACGGCTTCTGACAGGCCACTGGCCCACTCAGGTGTGGCCAGGATCCTCTCGAGTGGAGGCTGTGGCCACTACTGATTACTCTGACACTTTGAGCCTTGGACCAGAAGAGTCCCCAGCATCGCTCACCTCTGGTCGGGTAAAGTGAGGGGAGAGGTGGGAGAGTGCAGCGGTTACTGAGAACCAGTGAAGTTAATCCATTGTGCCATGCTTCCCATTCCCCCCGACCCTAGCAGATGCCCTCAGACTCCCAGGAGCCTCAAGCACTAGCAGCTTGGTGCAGACGTGAGCTGCTGACGGGTGGGGGATGGGGCAGAGGGGGTTTCCACTGGAATCTCCATGATTTCCCCTGTGGGGTGACCGACCACCTTGCAACATGCCCACAGCTCTGCTGCCCTTGTTGCCTGGGTCCTGGTTGGGAAGGATCTGCTCCTCCCCTCCCCACCGCCCCATCTCCCATAATGAGGAAGGGGGCGATCGTGGAAAGGTAGCTGGCGTGCCTCATCTCCCGGGTGGGCAGTGAGGGTGGCAGGAGAGGCCAGGTCTGGCCCTGCCCTAGGCTCTGCAGGCAGCGGCAGGTAGAGCTGGATGGTGGGCCCTCTGGGGAGCTGAAATCTCACTTCCTCTAGTAAGTCTTTCCAGACTGATTTAGGAGGTCCAGACCTGTCTTGCTCAGCCCCAGCACTAATTCGTTAGGTCCCCCTCCCTGTCTAACTTACCACTGTCACAGAACCACTTTTGACTATATGTCCATTCTCTGCCACATAGTCCCTGCCTGGATTACCCCAGGGCCTGCATGGGTAAGGGTGTGCATGGGGTCCCTCCAGCCTTTCCTCCCTTCATATGCCCACTCCAAACTGGGCGTATAATAAAGACTTCTTAAATAACTTTGAGTTATAATCAGGAAATCAAGATTCTGCCTGGGTTATGACCCTGAATTCTCTGGGACAGAAGTAATGCCACCTCCAGTGGAAAAAAGAACACCCACTAAGGAGGGGGTGCCCATGACAGACCTTCCTGATGCATGTCTCCTGCACCCCTGTGCAACCCATCTTACATGCTTCTTAGGAAGTCCCCCCCAACCCCACCCCTCCACCGCCAGAATGGAATGTGGAAATGGTAGATGCTCTAGCTGACCCTCAGAGTGAAGCAGAACAATGCTGGAAGCCCCTCTCTCCCTGGCCCACTCCATGACAGGTCCTAGAGCCCCCAGGTGCTTACCTCTGAGTGTCGGAGATACACCACCAGGCCCAGGCCCAGCCGCCAAACACGTACTGTTTATAGTCGGAACCACAACAGCCCCCTGGGGAGCAAAGCAAACCACCGCAAGTCAGTCGGTTCTTGGGTCTGTCTACCCTCCAGCCCACTGATAGCAACTTTTGTCCTTTACCTGCTCTGATACTTGACAACGCCTACTGTTGGGTGCCTAGTGCTGAGGTTACACATCAATGAGAGAGAAGTTCTCCCTACCCTTATGGGAGTTAAAGTCTAGATTGGTAGACAGGCAATTTACATAAAGAGAAGGATAGCCAATGAATAGTTTAGAATGTAAGTGCTTCCAGAGAAAAGAAGAACAGAACAGGACAATGGGCAGAGGTGATCTGAAAAAGCTTTTTTTTTTTTTCAGACAGAATGTCACTCTGTTGCCCAGGCTAGACTACAGTGGCGCAGTCTCGGCTCACTGCAACCTCTGCCTCCTGGGTTCAAGTGGTTCTCCTGCCTCAGCCTCCTGAGTTGCTGGGATCACAGGTGCCCGCCACAGCATACCTGGCTAATTTTTGTATTTTTAGTACAGACAGAGTTTCATCATGTTGGCCAGGCTGGTCTCAAACTCTTGGCCTTAGGCAATCTGCCTGCCTTGGCCTCCCAAAGTGCTGGCATTACAGGTGTGAGCCACCTCGCCAGGCCAGCTTCCTTTTTTTTTGGTTTTTCTGGAGATGGAGTTTTGCTCTGTTGCCCAGGCTGGAGTGCAGTGGCGTGATCTTGGCTCACTGCAACCTCTGCCTCCCAGGTTCAAGCAATTCTCCTGCCTCAGCCTCCCGAGTAGCTGGGATTACAGGCATGCATCATCATGCCCGTCTAATTTTTGTATTCTTAGTAGAGACGGGGTTTCACCATGTTGGCCAGGCTGGTCTCGAACTCTTGACCTTGTGATCCACCTGCCTCAGCCTCCCAAAATGCTGGGATTACAGGCATGAGCCACCACGCCTGGTCCAGCTTCCATTTTTAATTAATTAATTCAATAAACAAGTATGCCCTGGAGTTCACCTGTTATCACGGGGGGTGTAGACAGAGAGGGAACGCAGACAGGGACAACACTGGGGGGCTGGGAGGGAAGGAAGAGTCTCCCAACCAAGGCGAGAGGGTTTGCTCTTCTGCCTGGCAGACACATCTCAGTGAGGCTGGTTCTCTACTTCCAAAACATTCAGAATGACTTTGTTCCTCTCATGGGAACGGGTGGGGAAGGCAAGGCCTCAAAACAAAGGCTAACTTGTGGTACCAATGGGAGAAGTGGAGAAAGCAAAAAGGCCTAAAAAGGAAGTGGTTCTTGGAAACAGTGTGTCAGCTACACAGAACATCTAATTCAGCCACAACCCAGATCCATGCTGTAGACATGTTCTATATGTTCCCTATACAGAAACGAGAAAAATCAATTCCTGAGATTTCTTTTTTTTTTTTTTGAGACGGAGTCTCGCTCTGTCGCCCAGGCTGGAGTGCAGTGGTGCGATCTCAGCTCACTGCAAGCTCCACCTCCCGGGTTCACGCGATTCTCCTGCCTCAGCCTCCCGAATAGCTGGGACTACAGGTGCCCGCCACCACGCCCAGCTAATTTTTTGTATTTTTAGTAGAGACGGGGTTTCACCGTGTTAGCCAGGATGGTCACGATCTCCTAACCTCATGATCTGCCCGCCTCAGCTTCCCAAAGTGCTGGGATTACAGGCGTGAGCCACTGCGCCCGGCAATTCCTGAGATTCTTGTAGTGAACTCTCTTGTTAATGCCAAAATTCCTCATCAAGTTCAAGGAAACCTTCATAAAACTGGACAGGCAGTTAACTTGCAGTGCAAAAAAATGTACAGGAAACAGTATTCAAAGGAAATATGTGATCTGGGAAAAACCAGAGAGTGTTATCATTTCTTCTTTTTTTTTTTTTTTTTGAGACAGGGTCTCATTCTGTTGCCCAGGCTGGAGTACACTGTACACGAGTACAGCACTGCTGGAGTACACGGCTCACTGCAGCCTCCACCTCTTGGGCTCAATCCATCCTCCCACCTTAGCTTCTCGAGTAGCTGGAACCGCAGGTGTGTGCCCCCATGCCCAGCTAATTTTTGTATTTTTTGTGGAGACAAGGTTTCACCATGTTGCCCAGGCTGTTCTCGAATTCCTGGGCTCAAGCGATCCACATGCGTTGGCCTCTCAAAGTGCTGGGATTACAGGCATGAGCCGCCGCGCCTGGCCGAGCATTATCATTTCCATGTTCACAAAGTTAGGTTTTCATGAAAGCTTCAAAGAACCTCAAAAGGTTGACTGACTCCCAAGGTCAAGGGTCTGGGGGAGTTTCATGCAGCTGGGTTAGTGTCTCTGAGGACTCACGGCAGGGAATAAGGCAAGTGGAGGGGCAGAGGGCAGATCACACAGTGTCTTGTGTGTCAGGCCAAGAAGCTGTGTATGTGAGTGACAGGGAGCAAGGTTACCCTTGAGAAACACACACCACTTTGCATGAGGAGGAAGACACTGGGATCAGGGAGACTGGTCTCTTGCAGTAATCCAGGCAAGGCATGGTGGCTGATACTGGCAGACAACTTCTAGAGCAGTCTTATCCATGACAACTTTCTGTGAGGGTAGGAATGTTCTATATCTTCTTCTGTGTTTATGCTGTGCAGTACAGCAGCCTCTAGCAACATATGACTGTTGTGCACTTCAAATGAGGCTGGTATGACTGGGGAACTGAATTTTTTAATTAATTTAAATGGCCACCTGTGGCTCCTGTCCACATTGGACAGTGCAGCTGTAGAGTCTGGGTTTGGGTGGGTGTTGAGGACAATAATAGAAACAGACACAATGGAGAGAATGGGAAACTGGGGACAAATTTTCGGTGGGTGGAGGCAAAGAAATAAAGAACCGCTCCACCTCACCCCCAGTGGGGAGGGCTTGAAAGGTTGGAGAGCTGGCATCTAATACTGCTTACCAGGTAGGTAACCCAGTTTTCTGGGTCTGCTGCCATGCGTGAAGTTCCAGCAGCAGAACCAGAGGTCCAGGGATCAAAGAGCAGTGTGGGCAGGGAACAGTAAGACGGGGTCCTGGGTCTCTGTCTGTTTCTCTGGGGTAGAACTACCTGTTAACAGGGCTGCTGTTCAAGGTAAGCCATTCCGGGCTTCTCTGACCTGGGAAGTGGGGTGGGGAGGCCTCTGAGGACAAGCACTCAATCTGAAACCCAAACCATCTCAGGATCAAGTGAAACTGGAAGGGGACCAAAAATCACAGCTTATTCTACATCTTCTGGCCTGGTGGGGGCTGGGGCATGGCTGCCTTGGGCTAGCCCCATGGGACTTCTCAATGTGCAGTGGGAAGGTGGTAGTGGTGGGGGTAGGATGTGGGAGTGGGGTGGGGGATGGACAGGGTAGATGGCCACTCTTTTTTTTTTTTTTTTTTTTGAGATAGAGTCTCGCTCTGTCGCCCAGGCTGGAGTGCACTGGCGCAAGCTCCGCCTCCTGGGTTCACGCCATTCTCCTGCCTCAGCCTCCCAAGCAGCTGGGACTACAGGCGCCTGCCACCATGCCCAGCTTTTTTTTGTATTTTAATAGAGCCGGGTTTCACCTTGTCAGCCAGGATGATCTCGATCTCCTGACCTCGTGATCTGCCCGGCTCGGCTTCCCAAAGTGCTGGGATTACAGGTGGGAGCCACCGTGCCCGGCCCTAGATGGCCACTCTTTATCTTTTTTTTTTGAGACAGACTCTTGCTCTGTTGCCCAGGTTGGAGTGCAGTGCCACAATATCAGCTCAATGCAACTTCCGCCTCCCAGATTCAAGTGATTCTCCTGCCTCAGCCTCCCAAGTGGCTGGGATTACAGGCAACCACCACCACGTCTGGCTAATTTTTAAATTGTTAGTAGAGATGGGGTTTCGCCATGTTGGCCGGGCTGGTCTCGAACTCCTGACCTCAGGTGATCTGCCTGCCTTAGGTGCCCAAAGTGCTGGGATTACAGGCATGAGCCACCGCACCCAGCCCACCCTTTACCTTTAACTTATTCTTTGGCTTGGGGAGCAGGCTGCCACAGCTCAAGCTGGGCCTTGGCCAAGGGCAACATTGCCAGGTTCCCAAGGGTAGCAACAACAGGAAGCTGAAACTGCCAGATTACCCGCCCCTACCAGCATCCTCCCCTGGAAGGCAACTTCCTGCCAGCTTCCTGGTCACTCAGCCTGAGCACCCCTCCCAAGAGGCCAGTTAGGTGCCTCTTCCTTGATTTCCCTAACTCTTACTCGTCTCAAGACCTGGAAGTTTCTCCTAACTGTACCTCACTCTATTCTTTCTAACCCAACTTGCTTTCCCTTTCCACAATTGAGCTGAAGAACCACAAAATACCCCACGATAACCTCTGTTCCACTCCCTTAGCCCTTCCCCAGGACACAGCCCACCACTCTGCCCTCTCAGGAGCATCCCCTGCCCTTCCTGGCCTTCCTCCACCTTCTTTTTTTTTTTTTTTTTTTGAGACAGTATTGTGCTCTGTCACCCAGGCTGAATGCAGTGGTGTAATCACAGCTCACTGCAGCTTTGAACTCACGGGCTCAAGCGATCCTCCAGCCTCAGCCTTCCATACATCGCAATGCCTGTCTAATTAAAAAGAATTGTTTTTGTAGAGACAGGGTCTCGCTGAGGGAAGAGAGAGACCCTCTCATATTGTTTTATACTCAGTACCTGTTTTAAGAAAAAAACAAGGAAGTGAAATCAAAGACAGGCAGCCCAGCGCCAGGCCCGAAACCAGGCCTGGGCCTGCCTGGCCTAAACCTAGTAGTTAAAAATCAACTCATAACTTAGAAACCGATGTTATTCATAGATTGCAGACATTTTATAGAAGAACATTGTGAAACTCCCTGTCCTATTCTGTTTCACTCTGACTACCAGTGCATGAAACCCCTGTTACGTATCCCCTAGATTGCTCTATCAATCACGACCCTTTCATGTGAAATCTTTAGTGTTGTGAGCCCTTAAAAGGGACAGAAATTGGGCACTCGAGGAGCTCGGATTTTAAGGCAGTAGCTTGCCGATGCTCCCAGCTGAATAAAGCCCTTCCTTCTACAACTCAGTATCTGAGAAGTTTTGTCTGCAGCTCGTCCTGTTACATCACTATGTTGCACAAGCCGGTCTCAAACTCTGGGCCTCAAGTTCTCCTCCCACCTCGGTCTCCTAAAGTGCTGGGATTACAAGTGTGAGCCAGTGTGTCCAGCCCACTTTCTTCCTACTAGTCAAGAAGTCCATATCCTGGCTGGGCATGATGGCTCATGACTGTAATTCCAGCACTTTGGGAGGCTGAGGTGGGAGGATTGCTTGAGCCCAGGAGTTTGAGAACAGTCTGGGCAACACAGGGAGACCCTGTCTCTACAAAAAATTAAAAATTAGCAGCCAGGCATGGTGGCTAACACCTGTAATCCCAGCACTTTGGGAGGCCGAGGTGGGCGGATCACTTGAGGCCAGGAGTTTGAGAACAGCCTGGCCAACATGGTGAAACCCTGTCTCTACTAAAAATATAAAAATTAGCTGGGCACTGTGGCGTGCACCTGTAATCCCAGCTACTTGGGAGGCTGAGACATGAGAATGGCTTGAACCTGGTAGGTGGAGGCTGCAGTGAGCTGAAGTCATACCACTGCACTCCAGCCTGGGCAACAGAGCAAGACCTTTTTTTTTTTTTTTTTTTTTTTTTTTAAATACTGAGTGTGGTGGCGTCCACTTATAGTCTCAGCTACTTGGGAGGCTGAGGTGGGAGGATTGCTTGAGCCTGGGAGGTCGAGGCTGCAGTGAGCTGTGATCATGCTACTGCACTCTAGTAGCCTGGGTGACAGAGCAAGACTGTATTTAAAAAAAAAAAAAAAAGTCCATATCCTACTAGGGGGTTTAGTCTTTTTTGAGCCACATACCCCTTTAGCAATCCAGCAATGCCTAAGGACCCCTCCTCAAGAATATTTGTTTATTATTTATTTATTTATTTATTGAAACAGGGTCTCACTCTGTTGCCCAGGCTGGAGTGCAGTGGTGTGATCTTGGCTCAATGCATCCTCTGCCTCCTGGGCTCAAGCGATCCTCCCACCTCAGCCTCCGGAGTAGCTGGGACCACAGGTATGTGCCACCACTCCTGGCTAATTTTTTTTTTTTTTGGTAGAGACAGAGTTTTGCCATATTGCCCAAGCTGGTCTCAAACTCCTGGCCTCGAGTGATCCATCTGCCTCAGCCTCTCAAATTGCTGGAATTACAGGCATTAGTCTGGCCAAGAATACTTATAAATTCATAAAATAAATACATAAGAAATTATATTGAAAGTTATCAAAATTTAAAACCAAGTGTGCAATATTAGTAATATGTCATTCTTTATTAATACATTAAATAGTAAGATCTAGTGGTAAATCTAATTATTAGCTTAATGCCAAAATACAGATGAATTATTTCCTTTTTTTTTGAGATGCTTACAAGCGTGCATCACTATGCCCGGCTAATTTTTTGTATTTTTAACAGAAACGGGATTTCACCATGTTAGCCAGAACGGTCTCCAACTCCTGACCTCAGTTGATCCTCCCATCTCGGCCTCCCAAAGTGCTGGAATTACAGGCATGAGCCACCGTGCCCGGCCAATAGATTTTCAAGGTACCAGAAATAACTGTAGTGTAGTAGGAAACTTTTTGCTAATACTATCATGAATTGTTGCCAACATTCATAATCACAGAAAACACTAAATTTCAGTTAGGGTGAGTGAAAATAAAATTATGCTTTTCTCCCCCCTTATCCCCATCCCCCGACCCCATCCAAATGAAAAGGATTCCCCTTTAAAATTTTCAAAAGTAGAGAGAAAAAAGGTTTTATGTTACAAACTGAAGGAGGGAAGTTAGATAATAAGAAAGGATGGAAAAGATGACCATGAGATGTATTAGCATCCTCCTTCTGAAACTGGGCTGGGTGAGATGCCTCTGGTCTTAGACACAGGTCCAAGGAGCAAGGCAGACAGGTGGGGGCAGGGGTGGGGGCAGTTGCTCTGCTCTCGCAGGAGTCCACACACAAGAGGGAGCTGGATCTCAGCTTGATCATCTCAAATCCCAAGGTATCATTGTGCCAGGCATTATCTGTCACCCCCGCCAACCTTCTCTGCTTCCCTGACTCCAGCATCCTCAGTTCTCAGCAAGATCTCCTCTTCCCACCCCTAAAATAGCGTTGAAGCTAACAGTGCATTGACTTCTGTTCTGAAGACCAGGTTCTCAGTAACTGGAAGGCACAGAGCAACCCATCTCTGGGGCTCTTCTTGCCCCTCAGTCCCAAGACTTTCCACAAGGATGGAACTGGAGCTTTTGTCTTCTCAGCTCAGAGTCTGGGCTTCCTGAAGGAAATTCCACAAGAAAAACAAAGTGCAGTGCAGATTCTGGTCTCTAAAAGCCTTCTCTAAGGGTGGGGACTGGGAGACAGGTTTAGGTCTTATGGAGGAGCAAGTCTGCATTTAGTGTTCTCTGGGAGTCTCCCTTCTGTCCTCAAGGCTATTTCTGGTCTTCAGGGGGGTAGGGTACTTATCTCCCACACACTGGGGATGTCCCAGTGGAGAGATTGATTTTGAGATCCAAAGTGAGCCTGAAGCCATGTTTTGGAATGAAAATTCCCAGTGGATTTATCACCCCTCTCCAAGGGTTGGCAGCTGTGAGGCCTGGCTCAGGGCTTCTATCCCCTTCTATCTCTTCAGTAACCAGTTCTACCAAATCTGCACGCAGGCTGAAAAAATCAGCACTGATAGTGGGAAGATAGAGAAGAGAAATTCCTCCAGCTCCAGGCCTCCAAGCTGTCAGGCACCAGGACCCCCGTCCCCCAGCTCCTGAGAGCAAGGAGCTGCACAACCCGGTGGCTTGCAAGGTGTCAGCCGCTTCTCAAAGCGCCCCAAATATAAAATCTCAATAGCAGTTCCTTTTCCCCAGTACCGCAGTCCCCATGCCCCACCTAGATAGAAATTCTGGAACTTGCAGCATTTTGCAATCCCAAACTGCACTGCCCAGAACCGGGTTTCCCAACCTGTAGAGGCCGCATCCGCGTCTCCTGGGCGGGCAGTGCCGGTAATCCCCAACAAGCCCCAGCCTGCTTGGAATTAACGGGTCTGACTGTGCCGAGAAACGACCTCTGTTTCAGGGCCCCTCCCCATACAGGCACCTGCCCTCCAGGGCTGCGCGACCCGCCCCCCATCCCGGGCGCTGGAATCCAGCCAAACCTCTGCGTTCCCGGAACCACCAGTTCCCTCCCTCCTGGAACCCCGCGGCTTCAGTTCGGGACCCCCAACCTCACAGTAGAGCGGCGGGGAGGCCCGCCTAGGGAGGGGGAGGAGAAGCAAATAAACACAGGAAAACCCACAGCGGGAGGGGGAGCCCCTGGTGGGTGCCCGAGGGTGCGCAGCAAGGAAAGCGTGAGCACGAGATCTCTCTTGGAAGGGGCCTCAGGTGCGGCCCGGGGGCCAGCGCCCTGCGCCGCGCGGTGGACTCAGGCCCAGCTCTTCCCCGTGCACTCCCCAGCCCTGCACCCACCCCGAGCACCCTCCACAGCTCCCACCTTCCTCGCCGCCCCCTCACCTGAAACCACCAGCGCCTCGTTGGGCCCCACCGTGTGGCAATTGCCCATGGCGCCGGCGGCACGGAGGGCCCTCGGGACCGCACAGACCCGGACAACAGCAGCGGGTCTGCAGCGCCGGCCGCGCCCAGCCTATCCCGCCACCCCCAGCGGCCGGCCGCCCGCTCGCTCGCCCGCGCCCCTCTGCGGTCGCAGCCCCGCCGGAAGTGTGGCGGCGGAGGGCGGGGCCGGCGCGTTGAGGCAGGAGTGAGCGCAGCTTCGGCGGTCAACGCGCTTTATTCCGAGGGGCTTCAGATACAGATGACCCCAGCCCTGCATCCGCCCGGAAGGCGTCCCCTTACTCCCATGGGGCACCTCGATACCAGCTGCCCTGCCCTGACTCACTTCTCAGCACCCATCTTACGGCAGTCGGCCCTGGCCTCAGACCCTTGGGTTCAGATCCCAGGCCCTCCTCCTACTCACTGTGAGACCCTAGGCGAGTCCCTTAGCTCGGGAGCCTAATTCCGCTTCATTAACATGGGGGTAATTTAACTACCTAGCTAGACGGTTGCAAAGGGATCAGTTCACTAATTCTCAATGTTGGCAGTGCATCACATTGCAAACTCCCTGCCTCTGCTCCAGAGCTGATCAGAATCAATAAGGGTGGGGCCTGAAAATACTACATCCAAATTTCCGAGAAGCACAGTGTCTAGCATACCCCTATCTCTCCATCTGGGGTTACTGTCACTCTCAGGAAGAAATAATCACCCATTATTCCTTCAACCAGGAAAAGAGATGTCCAGGGCACAGCTTGGGGCCCCAGAAAGTAACCACGGAGGTCAAGATCACAAACCCGTCAGTGTCCAGGGCATGGCCTCGCACACATCCGAGGTTTTCAAGGACCATGAAGTGCCATGGCAAGCATCCTGGCCTGAGGGTTAGGAGAGCTGGATCTCAGGCTCAACTTTAGCCTGAATTCGGTGCGTCATCTTAGACAAATCTGGTGAGCTCTGAGGGCTGGGGTAAGGTTGAGAAACTGTGGGCTCCTCAGGGTGGGGGGTGCTTAGAGAAGATGGGGCCTCTGAGTCCTCAGACTGGGGGTCTTCATCGGGTTCAGCATCCTCCCCAGGCCCAAGCCCTGCCAGCCTCTTGCTGGCCTCCCATAGCCGATGGGCTGCCCGGTCGTCTCGGGCAGCTGGAGGCACCTCTTCCACATGGCAGTTGGCAAAATATCTCCCACTGAGGGGCTCGATGCCCTCTTGTAGAGCACAATACAGGGGTGTCTGGGCACCCCCTCTTGGTGCCCGGAGCACCAGCCAAGCCAATGGGCGCAAAAGTGGGCGCAGCCATCCAGGAACATGGCGCAGGAACAGCTCCGAGTTCACAGGCCCTGTAGGCAGGAAGAAAGAAAGGAGTCGGGCTAGGCACAGTGGTGTGTATTTACAGTCACAGCTACTCGGGAGGCGGAGCAGGAGGATCACTTGAGCCCAGGAGTTTGAGACCAGACTGGGCAACATAGTCAAGCTCTGTCTCTTTAAAAAAAAAAACAACAACAAAAAAAATAGAACAGAGCTAGAAGAACAGGGACAGAATCTGGTTTCAAGGGAACCAGGATAGTATTTACCAGGCATTCGGGGCTTCTGCGAGGTGACTTCACTCATTTCCTGCATGAAGCCTCTTCGCTTCCATCCAGACTGCTTGTTCACCCCACATCCCAGATTTTGTTCATGCTGTGTCCCATGTCTGAAACAATTCTCAGTCTCTCTCCATCTTTTCTTCTAGCTCAAGTCCTGTTCCTTGTTTAACCAGCATTTATTAAGTACTTGCAGTATACCAGCCACTATTTTGGACATTAGTGATATGGAGTGTAATAAAGACTTAATAAAGGCTAATTGTGATCATCGCTATTATAATTACTAATGAGCCTTAGGCAGTGACTATCTAAAATGCAGTATGGTAATATGAATATGACAGATCTTGTTATCCTGGTATAACCTCTTCCATAAGACAAAGTGTTGCTCTGGATCCCCAATTATCTCACTCAGAGTAAAAGCCAGAATGCCTATAGTGAACCTCCCTCCAAACCCTACAGGACACAGTGCCTCTCTATGACCTCACCTCTTGCCACTCTCCCCCCTCACTCTGTTCCAGCCACATTAGCCTTTCTCAAGCACACCAGGAACTTCTGCCTTAGGGCCTCTGCACTTACTTTTTTCTGTTTTGGAGACAGAGTCTCGCTCTGTCACCCAGGCTGGAGTACAGTGGCGAGATCTCAGCTTACTGGCAACGTCCACCTCTAGGTTCAGGCGATTCTCCTGCCTCAGCCTCCTGAATAGCTGGGACTACAGGTGATAGCCACAATGCCTAGCTAATTTTTGTATTTGTAGTAGAGACAGGTTTTCTTTTTTTTTTCTTTTTTCTTTTTTTTTGAGATGGAGTCTTGCTCTGTCCCCCAGGCTGGAGTGCGGTGGCGTGATCACGGCTCACTGCAACCTCCACCTCCCGGATTAAAGCGATTCTCCTGCCTCAGCCTCCTGAGTAGCTGGGATTACAGGCGCGCGCCACCACACCTGGCTAATTTTTGTATTTTTAGTACAGATGGGGTTTCACCATGTTGGTCAGGCTGGTCTCGAACTCCTGACCTTGTGATTGCCCGCCTCGGCCTCCCAAAATGCTGGGATTACAGGTGTGAGCCACCACGCCCAGCCTAGAGATGGGGTTTCACCATGTTGCCCAGGTTGGTCTCGAACTCCTGACCTCAAGTGATCTACCAGCCTTGGCCTCCCAAAGTGCTGGGATTACAGGCATGAGCCACCGCTTCCAGCCCCTCTGCACTTATTATTTGCACTGTTCTCTCTTTTTCTGGGCATCTCCCCAGTGAGCCATGTATCTTTCAGACCTCTGTTCAAATGTCACCTTTATAGATATGTCTTCCTTGACTGCCACACCATATTCCCGTTCCATTTGCCCCTTGCTGTTTCCTTTTTCCTCAGAGCACTCTATCACCACCCCTCATCGTATATATTTATTGGCTGTCTCCCTCTCCTCCAAACTAGAATGCAAACTCTATGAGGGCAGGGTCTTTGTTTTGTTCACTGCTATATCCCCAGCACTGCAAGTAATGCCTGATACAGAGTAGGTACTCGGTAAATGCTTCTTGGATGAATTATTAGCTATCATCATCATCATTATCAGTTCAGTCAGTGCAGATGGCTCCTGGGGGTGGGAATCCAGGTCTTATTCATGGCCATATACCCCCCAGGGCTGAGGACCCAGGCTTGTGGTGTGAGAGGAAGAACCTAAACCAGGAGAACCTGGTTCCAAGAGCAGCAAGGAACAGGTCTCTCCTTGGACTATGCTTCCTTGCTGCCCTGAGATTCTGTGACTCAATGAGGGATGGAGGGTGGGGAGGCGGTAGTGGTGTGGGGGGCACAGGATGGGGCAAGGAAAGGAGAGGGGAATCGGAAGCCAAAGAACCAGACCTCACCTGGGTGGGCTGCATAGCAGGTGACGCCAGTGGCCTCAAGCTGGTTGGCGAGCTCCCGGGCAAACAGTACATTAGCCAGCTTAGTGTCAGCATATGCCCGCAGCTCCTGCCGCCAGCCCACCACTGGGCGGTCCAGGCGTTTGAAGTCAAGACGTCCCCGACAGTGGGCAGCTGAGGCTACCACCACCACGCGGCTAGGGGCACATGCCTTCAGGCAAGGCAGCAGCAGATGTGTCAGCAGAAAGGGACCGATATGGTTCACCCGAAGCAGCAGGTTAAACGCCTCACGGGTCCGGCCACAGGAACTGATACCTGGGGCAGAGGCTAAATGTGAGCGGCTGCTCCAGAAGGAGCTCTGCAGCCTTGGCATCCCTATCTATGAGATGGGAGAAGGGGGCATCCTTCCCATGTGTCCACTGGCCCCAGCAGGGCCCCCGCTGGAGGGGGCAGTTGCCCCTGGCCACCCGCCACCCCACCCCCACGCAGGGCCTGCTGCCCCTCACCGGCATTGTGGATGAGGATGTCCAACCGTGGCTCAGAGCTCAGAAAGGCAGTGGCAAAGGCCCGCACCGAGGCCAGACTGGCCAAGTCCAAGGCCATGAAGATGACCTCATTGTTCCCACTCTCCTGTGGAGAGGCAAGGGCTGGGCTTGTCACCAGGCATCTCTCTCCTCTTCCCTCTCCCCAGGCACCAAATTCTGAGAGTCCATCTCCTACTGTTTACTAAAATCTGCCCCTGTGTCTTAGAGTGTACTAGATAAGTGTGTGGATTCAAATCCTGACTTTGCCTTTTACTAAAGTGTGACCTTGGGCAAGATACTTAATCTCTCTGGGTCTCAGTTCTCTCACTGCGTAAAGGGAATAATAATAACAACAGTCCCAATCTCACTGAGCTTTTGTGAGGATGAAAGGAGTTAACGTGTAAAATACACTCTAGCAGCACTGGGTAGGTACTTGCTATTATTATTATCACCTCCTTTCCCCATTACCATTTACCCTAAAATCTGTAACTTCTCACTGGTCTCCTCTCTCCCGCTCTTGCCCCCCCACTCCAGGCACCACGCAGCCACAAAGGAGTTCCTTCCAAAGGCTATTCTGACAGTCCGGAGCCTACTGAGGGCTGTTCATGGTCTCCACTGGTCTCTGCTGCCCAATCTATAAAATCCAAGCTTCTCAATAGGCTCTAGAATGTTCTCCAGCCCCCTCATTTGCCCATCTTCCTCATACTTTGTGCTCCAGCCTCATTAAATCTTTTTCTCAGTTTTTCAGATCAGTCCAGCTCTCTTTGCCTCAGAGCCTTTGCTTATGCTGTGCCCTCTGCTGTTCCCTTTCCTACTGATCATTAACCCAACTTCTACTGATGCTTAAACGTCTCAGAACTGCAATTACGGCCTTCAGGAAGCCCCTCCCCCACTCGGCTCTGGTGCGCCTTCCTCGGGTGACCCCAGCGCTCCGTGCACTCCCTCTTCGCGCTCAGCCGCCCGCGCCGCGCTCTCCTCCCTGGACCCGGATCCTCCGCAGCCCCTTTGCTGGCTTCTCTGTGTCCCGGCGGGTTCTCGGCTCACCGTCCCACGCGCCCCCGCTGCCTCTCACCTGGCGGAGGTCGAAGGCAGCCGCCTCCCCGCGCTCCTGGCTGCGGCAGGCCAGCACCACGCGCGCTCCCCGGCGCGCCAGCTCCAGCGCCGTCATCTTTCCGATGCCGCTGTTGGCGCCTGCGGACCGCGGGCGGGAGCCGAGCTGAGCTGAGCCCGGCGGGCCGCTGCTACCGCCGGCCCGGCCTCCTCTCCGCGCGCCCCGCCAGCTCGCACTCACCCGCCTCCGCACTCACCCGTGACCACGGCCGTGCGGCCCCGCAGGTTGCCCATGCCGCCGCACGGCGGGGCCTTCACCAGGTTGTAGTAGACAAGCACGTAAGCGCCCAGCAGCAACCCCGCGCCCAGCAGCAGCGCCTCCATGCCGGCCGCGCCTCCCGGCTCCCGCCCAGGCCCCGCACCGCCCTGGATCGCCGCCAGGCGGCTGCCGATCCGCCCTGCACAGGCCTGGAACGGCGCCCGGGCGCGTCAGCCTCCGAAGGCGGAGGCGGGCAGGAGGCTGGGCAGGGGCGTGTGCGCGTGCGGGTGCGCGCCGGCCCTGCGAGCGCCCCCTAGGCGTGCGTCGGCGTCCTGGGGGCGTGTGCCTCTGTGGACACCTTTGAGGTGAGTGTGTGCGCTTGGGCCCTGGGAGCGCCCCCTAGGTGTGTGCCTGTGTGAACTCCTGGGTGTGTGTGTCCACGTACACCCTGTGAGTGCACGCTAGGTATGTGCATGCATCTGCAACGCTTGTATGTGAATGATCTCTAGGTGTGTATGTGCCCATGTCCCTGAGGATCACCCTTTGGGTTGTGTGCGTGCCTCTGGATCCTGTGTGTGAGCTCCTGTAAGCACCTTGTAGGTGTTTGTGTGCATTCTGGCAGAGTCCCTCCAGGTATGTGCCTGCATCTGTAGTCTCTGCCAGTGCATGTGCTTGCATATCTCCATATGTTTACTCGAGGTGTATGTAGCACAGTCCCTCCCTTCTGAAGTTAGGTGTGTACATGAATACACGTGTGTCTTTGAGTCTAGTCCTAGATGCTTTTCCCTCTAAGAACAAATCCTTCTCCTTCCTTCCCTTCTGCACAAATCCTTCTCCTTTCCTTCCTTTCCTTTCCTTCCTTCCTTCCTTCCTTCCTTCCTTCCCTTCCTTCCTTCCTCCCTTCCTTCCTTCCTTCCTTCCCTCCCTCCCTTCCTTCCTTCTTTCCTTTCTTTCTTTCTTTTGAGACGGAGTTTCACTCTCGTTGCCCAGGCTGGAGTGCAGTGGCGTGATCCCGGCTCACTGCAACCTCCGCTTCCCGGGTTCAAGCAATTCTCCTGCCTCAGAATCCAGAGTAGCTGGGATCACAGGTGTGTGACACCACACCCGGCTAATTTTTGTATTTTAGTAGAGAAGGGTTTTCACTATGTTGGCCAGGTTGGTCTCAAACTTCTGACCTTAAGTGACCCACCTGCCTCAGCCTCTCAAAGTGCTGGGATTACAGGTGTGAGCCTCTGCACTGGGCCAAATCCTTCGTTTTCTTATCTTCACATCCAGCCCCCAGCTTCTAGGATTCTTCCGTGTTCTCCCCACACAGGCTAGAGAGGACACTGTTAAAGGTGGCACAGGCAGTTAAGGGGTGTCAGAATTCACTCCTTCATTCCCCCTCTGTATCTCCCTACCTCAACCCCACTAGTGCCTTCCATGGCTGAAGGGAAGCAGGAAGAGATAGAGAGTAAAATCTGTTATTGCCTTTCAGGAGGAAATTTGCCTTTGGAATGGTTCTCATAGGTGATAAGAGACAGGCAGAGAAGCTCCATCACTCAATTACAAGTGACCATGATGGCAGGAAGGGTGGGGCTGGCTAGGAACAAATGGGTAAGACCATTCCAGGGCAGAAGGCCGTTGCCTGATACATTCAGTACAATTTAGAACCTGGTATTTGGCACTTATGGTGTGCCCAGCAGTGTAGTTAGACTTGGAAATTCCGAGTGGAAGATATACAAGTTTCTGTCCTTAGGGAGTTCAAAAAGCCCATTAGGGCACCGGGAGCAGAGTGATGACGCCTGCATGGGCAGATGAAAGTCAGGGACAGACCTCAGATTCCAGGGCCAGTTTCCTATTTAGCTGCACTGCGGATTCGGGTTTCCATTGTAGATGCTGTGGGATGAGGCTGGGGGTAGAATATTCATTTTCTATCCCTAAGGCAAAATCCTGACACACAAGCAGATGCACCTACACAAACAGTGCTGGAATATACACAGAGGTGCTCTCCATCTGAGGAGGCTGACCTCAGGAAAACTTCCTGGAGAGTTTTTCACTAAGATCTGGGAGGAAAGCATGGAATTTGGTTTAATGAAGGTCCCCGGGACTTGAGAATTAAGGTAATGCAGCAGACTCGTTTTTTGATGAGGAATAGCAGTTGTAGAGAAGTGTGACTGCAGATCACATGACTAGAAGTGACAGGTCAAGACTAGATTCCACTATCAGTCAGGGTTCTCTGGAGAAACAGCTCCCCCCGGGCCAGCAGACGCACCCATGTCATTCCATTGTCATCCACCCACCCTGGCTCACTTTTCTCCAACACCTCCCCTACCAAACTTCCCTATGGGAATGAGACCTGTTCAAAAGGCCCCCCACCTGCTAGACCCAGATCTAGGGGAGGGTCTCCTCTAAGGGTGATGACAGGTAGGACAGACAGTCAGAAAACAATTTGAAGTATTTTTGTTTTTTATATACAGAATACAGGAAAGTTTCTGTAAAGTCTAAAACATTACAATTACTATGTACATTGGTACTGGTTGTGGGGGTGGGAGGAGAGGAGGGAACCAGGGGCAGGAGGAAGAGGAGAGAAGTGGCAAGAGAACAAAAAAAGGAGACAAAACAGGTTTACGACAAAAACATTTTTGCTACAATAGACAATTTGAGAAAACGCTCTACCACATGTAGTACTGTACACGGTTTTTAAAAACATTGAAAAAATGTCATCACTAGATGTATTTACACAAAATCCAAATACACTTTTCCTTATTTGAAATAAAATAGATGGACAGCCAGAAAAAGAATTCATTTCTCATTTGTCCATAATACACAGTAGCTACCTGTAGTGCAACCGCTGCAGAAAGGGAAAATAACGTGGAGGGTGGGAACCATGGAAGGAAGGTGGGTAGCGATCTTTATATTAAATAAAACAATGATATTGTATAGATTTTGCTGTATGAAAACTGTATTTTTTCTTTTAATATAAAACTATTGTCACTGCCACAAAATAGAACAAGTTTCTGATTATTTTACAATGGTGGGCGAGGGGGAGGGAGCAGGAGGTGGGTGGGGAAGGGTTTTGTGTTGGAGGAAGTGTCCAGACCCTGGGTCTTTCCCTCCCTGCCCACGCTGTTCCTCAGCTCAGGTCTGCCGCTTTCCCATGAAATGTTGAGTACAAATATATGTGCAAATGCCCCCTAGAACTTGAGAAAAGAAAAAGGATTTTTAAAAAACAGTCAAAAGGTTTTCTTCATTTCATGCAAAGATTGTAGTTGAAGGGTTTCTGGTAGAGTATAGAAAACACCCGGGCTTGGTTTGTGTACATTTTTGCATTGCAGGAGTCTTGGGTGGGTGTACAGGCCAGTGGCGGGGTAGCCGCCAGTCCTAAGGAACAGAGTTGGAGCGCAGCACAGGGCCCTGGTGGGGCTTGAGAGAGAGCTTCTCGGCCAAGACCCCATCCTGCAGCAGGCTGGCATCGCCTTTGGGCTGTTTGGTCGCAAACTCAGTGATGCTGAAGACAAACTGCAGGCAGCCCAGCTTGATGTAGCTGCCATGGTGCAGTAAGGCTGTGCCCTCCCAGCCGGCCCCACTGCCCCCAATCAAGCTCGAGCTGCTGGCTTTGCAATTGCAGGGTCTCCGCTGCGGCCCCTGGGCCTGGGAACTCATCATGGCTGCCTCCTCACTTGGCTCTTCGTCCTGTTTCTGGTGCCGGCGGCGCCCTGGGAAAAAGGGGGATGGTCACAGAAGAGGAACAGTGAGCAGCCAACCCATGTGGGCTGTTTGCCAAGGTTGGGCTCCTGCATCTCCCCATTCCAACTGCTGCATGACTAGGGAGGAAGGATGCTCAGAAAGGGTTGGTGGAGTCTGAAGTCCCCACAGGTGTGTACACACATGGGGGTACTCAGCACTTGCTTCTCTGTGGCCTGCCCTGGGCCCACGAGGAAGTAGAGCTTGGCCAATAGGACTGGGAAGGCAAGAGACAGACCATGGGCAGCAAGTCAGAACCACCCTGACTGGGGCCTCAGCTTTGTGGCCACAGATCTCTGCTCCAACTTACTGATGACACTCTGCACTTTGGCAACAATACTGCTTGGGGGGGTTGGCGGGGTCTTCTCCGAGAAGTCACATGAATACAGCACATTGTCCACCGTTGTCCCATGCTCACTGTAGTTTAACAGCTCATAATGTTTGGTATTCTGAGGAGGAGGAGGGGAGATAAGATGTGTGGTCTGCTGTGTGGGGCCTGGGGCTAAGGGGAGAGAGGACATATGGAGAAGGCCGTGCTACTCTACCTAGAGAGTCCTTACTTGCCTCCCCAGTCATGGCCCCTGTCCTTTCAGAAGGGGGCTGGAGACACCTCCTCAGGGAAGCTTTCCTTCTGGTGTCCCACACTCCCTACTCTCCCACTCCTTCACTCTGCCCTCTCAGCACCGCTCCTCTTGGTATGATACTCACTGGCCCGTGATGATAATGAAATTCACAGGGACACACCCACAAGGCTTGGCTTCCTTCTATGCTGGTCCCCTCCCTTGCTTTAGGGTAGGCTCCCTCTGTTGTGCCTGTGACTAACCTCAGGAAAAATGGTAGCCCTGCTCCTGGGAAGCAGGTAGCTTCCCAGGTAGGATGCTATTTCACATCAAGACTCTCCTCCTCCAGGAATGACAGGGAGGGAAGAAAAAGAGAGGACCCCCAATCCCTCTTCCCTCCCCTCAGGGCACTGAACAAAAACCTACTGCCTGGGAGAGGCCTCAGGTTGGGAAAGCTCCCTCCCACCGCATCTCCGGCCCTCACCTCATCGTAGAATATGCAGGCATGTTTCCCGGACACGTAGTTACAGTGACCATAGTTTGTAAGGCACACATCCATGTCAGCTCCTGCAAGGTGGCAGGAGTAGAGGAAAAGGAAGGCAGAGAACAGATTGTAAGGTGCATGTGTCGGGGAGGTAAGACAGGGAGAGAGTTAGCTTCTGGGTTGGCACTAGCAGAGACTTCAAGGGTGAGTAGCTCAGGGCCCTCCCCTTTTATTTTTGAACAAAAACTGTTGTCTTTTCCAAGCTCCTGATAAAGAACAGCTGTCCCTGCCAGCTGATCTGCTTTAGAACATGTGGCTGCTACCCAGAAGGGAAGAGTGAGCTACTGAAGAGGATGGGATATTTCTATGAAAATACAACATCGGGGTGCAGAGCCTAGAAAATCTTATCACCTTAAAGAAAGGGAAGTTTCTAGGGTAAGGGCTAATCTGTCTGTCCTTCTGTACCAGATACAGAGCTATCGGTCTCTAGGACTTTTAGGGAAAACAAAACAAAACAAAAAACAGATACAGGGCTAACTGAAGATTGGGTATGTGTGAGTCTATCACTCTTTCAAAGACCACCAGGGACAAAGCATCTGCCTTCTCCTTAGGTTCTTCCCTGCAGTGTTTAAAGTGCCTCCCTGGGCAGTAGTCAGAGCTGACTTTCATCTCTGCTGTTGCAACACTGGGCAAAGACAAAGCAAAAGGGCCTGAACAAGGGAAGACAAGGAACTGATTGTCTCTTTTATTTTTGAGACAGGGTCTCACTCTGTTGCCTGGGCTGGAGTGCAGAGGCACAAAAAGGATCACTGCCTGGACCTCCCAGCCTCAGGTGATCTTCCCACCTCAGCCTCCCAAGTAGCTGGGACTATAGGCATGTTAGCCCAGCTAATTTTTTATATTTGTTTTTGGTAGAGATAGGGTTTCACCATGTTGCCCAGGCTGGTCTCGAAGTCCTGGGCTCAAGTGTTCCTCCTGCCTTGTCCTCCCAAAGTGTTGGGATTATAGGCGTGAGCCACCGTGACTGGCTGATTGTCTCTATTCTTAGTTTCTCTTGTCTAGCTATCCACTGATTTAAAGCAGTCAACTCTGGAAAGGGCTTCCCTCACCCCTTTCTAACTTCTGTGGGTAAGGGTGTCAGTCTTTAGGGCTGAACAGATTCAGTGTCTCTCCCAGCTTCCTGGCTGGCTCACCTGTCCCGATGTAGAGGGTTCGATAGCACATGTTCACAGCTCCTCCCAACCCTAAGAGGGGGTAGAACACAGCTCGGGCCTGTACCTCCTTTCTTTGCACTACAAGACAAACATAGGAATAGGATCATTCAGAAACTCAGATCCTGTGATCCAAACATAAACCAACAAAATCTGGACCTTTGGCTCATGGCCTGGAGAAAATCCCGCTGGATGACTCATCTTTCCAAACTCACATCCAACACTGAGCTGCGGCAGGGTAAGGCTTTCTCTCCCCACCCACAGCATTTCCAACACAGGGTACAGAGGACCATCTTTGAAGATGGTCAGAGAAGTCAGAGATGACAGTACTGTGTAAGTTCCTGGGCTCCTGGCTGGCTAATCCGGGATATTCCAGCTGGTACTATAGGGAGAATATGGAAAAACAGACGGCATGGACCAGTGTTTCTCAAACTTTAATGTGCATAAGAATCGCCTACAGATCTTGTTGAAATGCAGATTCTGATTCAATAGGTCTGAGGAGGGGCCTTAGCTCTGCATTTCTTTTGCTGTTTTCTTTAAAAATAGGCAAAAAACCAATGCATTGAGCTCTGCATTTCTAACAAGCTCTCAGGGGCTGCTGATGCTGCTGGTCTGCGAACCACACTTTGAAGCAGCAAGGCTCTTAATGGCCAATGCTCAGACATATCTGAAACAGAGTTAACCACTTGGGGAAAATTTCCAGAAGGTTGGCCTAGTGTTATTCTATTTCTCAACTTGAACTTGAAAAGTTCCCTCTTGGGAAGCCATTCTTTTTAAAATTTTATTTATTTATTTACTTATTTATTTGGAGACAGGGTCTCACTCTGTCACCCAGGCTGGAGTGCAGTGGCACAATCATAGCTCACTGCAGCCTTGACCTCCCAGACTCAAGCGATCCTCCCATCTTAGCCTTCCAAGCAGCTGGGATTACAGGTGTATGCCACCATGCCTGGGTAAGTTTAAAATTATTTGTAGAGATAGGGTCTCACTGTGTTGCCCAGGCTGGTCTCCAACTCCTGGGCTCAAGTGATCCTCCCGCCTCAGCCTCCCAAAGTGCTGGGATTACAGGTGTGAGCCACTGCACTCAGTCGGGAAGCCCTTCTAATTCAAATATTTGAAAGCAAGTAAGCAGAAAGTACACTACATATACCCAAAGGTACTGGTAGCTGCTTTGCTGTGTCTCGAAGTGGACTTATATATGAAAGAAAGTTACAGCAGACTTCCCCAAGTCTGATCAGAAAGCTGTGGTTGCCATCTTGTTCCTGCTCTCTTCAGAAAAAAACCATGGTGCTTTATTAAGCCCATGAAAAGCACACAAGGAGGTTTGAGATACTGGAAGCTCAGATTCTCCATGGAGGCAAGGTGACCATTCGCACACGTAGAGGGGAGATCTGATGATGTGGTGACAGGTGTGTACATGCGCACCTTCTATGTGGTGCCCTCCAGAAGCCAGCTGATGTGTCCCGACACTGCCCGGTGAAGGTTGGACCCGGGAGGGGAAAAGCTGATGTATTCTCTGCAAGGCCAGAAACTTGATCAGCTTCTCGTCCAGCATATTTATCTCGATTTCTATTAGCCAAAGAGAAAGATTAAAAAGCAGCTGAGATGGGAAGTGGAATGTGGAAGCAAATCAGGGTCACAGAGCAAATAGTTTGGCATTTCTAAAATCCAGCCAAGTGATTTTTACTCAAACAGCATTGAGTGCAGAGCGTACAAGGATCTGCAGCTGGGCATCTCACTTGCCATTTGCAGTGAGATGGGCCCCAATGCAGCCTGTGCAGCTGCCTCCTGTAGTTGGGTGGACTGATTTTAATTAAAGTGCCCCTAGAAAGGCAGAGTGGAATAAACCACTTGCCTGTCTGTGGGGGAGGGCCTGGATGTCTGATATTGAGACTTGAACTTTCTACCCACCTTGTGTTCACAGAGATCAAGATCTGTCCCTGTTCTCCTGGACTTTGGGGGTTTCCCACAGATGAGGTCCCTCCTTTGGGAGTGAGGATCTTAGTTTTATTCTGCAAATCCAGGTGATCTGCCTAAAGTGATTTTGTTCTCGTCTCACTGGTTCAGCTTGGCTCTGTCCTCCCTTCATCTTTGATTATGTGTATATGCACATGTAGAAGGCAGAGCTACAGAAGGAGCTTTCTTTTTCACCCCGCCCCCCCATCCAAAAGGATACTCCTCATTCCCATCTCCCCCTAGGCCTCTGGGATCAGGTGTCCCTTCCCTCCCTTTCTGAAATGAGCTGAATGCTGTATAGGAATAGCACCTTCAACATAGCAAACGGTGGAACAGCAGCAGCTCATTCACTCACCTCCATTGACATCCATAAATGCTCGAAGTGAGTTGGTGAGGTCCACCATGGCAGTAGAGTTGGCTGGGAAAGAGGGTACGGTTAAAGCGCTTCCTATGGATAACGTGCCGGGGCTGACCTTGCCATCTGGGGACGGAGCAGGAAGACTGTTACTTACGTCGCCTGAGGGAAACCCACCGTCCAATCCCCCACTGCTGAGACAGGTCTGGATTTCGGACCCAAGGTGATGTTCCCTTCTTGATTCTCAACCCATAGGCTCTGGAACTCCTAGAGCTAAAAACGTGTGGTGAGGAAGGGCAGATGGAACGACAAAGCACCCAGGCACGCAGGAGTCTCCAGAGCACTGAGAACCACTGAAATCCACTGCTCTGGGGAAAGTGGTGGGGCAGCTTCATTCTTTGGGCCATGACCACCTCCCTGCTGCCTCTACTTTAAAATAAGTAGTGCCTGCCCTTATAATTCTTGCCTACTGAAATATGACTCACGGCGTGGAGAATCTACCCACGCTGGTTTTAAGCGATAAACAGAGATAGGAAAACAGCCTGGGAGCGGGGCCATCCTGGGACCAGGGGCTCCCATGCAGAGAAATCACAATCATCTGGTTACCGAGACTCCCAGCTGACTAGGAGGCCGGCTTCAGTTCAGACGGGAGAGACCACAGAGGGTTCCGGCAGCATCTGAAACCTGGTTCAGATGCTGGGGTCAGCAACTTCAAGGTCCTGAGTGCTCTCTGGGGACAGCTGAGAGAGCAGGTCCACAGTAGGCCAAGTACAGACCTGAAGGACCGCCCTTTGGCATGTGGCCTGAGGGCACGCTTCTGGGCTAGAACAATCCCTGTGGGCATCCCACTCTACAGCTCCTCTGAAAGACAGTGCTGCTGTCTAGCCCTGCTTCCTGACATGGAAGTTCATCAGATTAACTCTTTCTGAGAATATGCATCAGGCATGAATCCATTCTTTTGTGTGGATCTGACAATACTGAGGCCATCACGCAGAACCTCAGGCTGATCATAGTAATTCCAGAGAGCACCCTGCCTTCTTTTAAGGTGACAGAACAAAACAGGCAGAGGCCTAGGCCTGGAAGGTATGGGATGGAGTCAGGAGACCTGGGCTGTGGTTCCAATCCTGCCACTGACTCAGTAGGTCATTTTAAGGAAATCACTGAAGCTTTCAGAGCCTAAGCAGTCCCATTTATAAACGGGACAAGTTAACATGTGCTTCCTCTTCTATTACGGAAATGAGAGTAAGACAAACAATACAAAGGCCAAAGTCCTCTGAAGTATTCACAGGGATATAAGTGCTTTTAGAATCTTATTTGCCAGAAAGAGCATAAAATTATTCCAAATCAACCCAAGGCTGAGCAGCACTCACCTGACGATGGCGCTGGTGAGCTGAATCGTTGGTTGGCTGTTGTGGCCAAGATACCATCTCCTGCTGCTTGCGGGGGAGTGAGCACCCGGGTGGCGTTTGGGGGTGAGCCCAGTGGCCTTGAATCTGTCAACGGAGGTCCTATCTGTGATTGGACAGTCTTTCTTTGCAAAGTGCTGGTGTTCTCGATGCTGGCACAAGAGCTGGGAATGGAAGGGGGCAGGCTTGGGACAGGAACCAAACTCCTCTGGGGGCAAGAGCTGGGGCCAGTGGCATTCTCTGTCTTCACAATGATGCCGACGGTGTGGTTCTGAAGGCCCCCAGCCGCTGGTGGCGTGAGGGGCCGGGGCCAGCCTTGCCGGTGTGAGAGGCCTGGTAGTGGGGTGTTAGCGCCTGGAAGTCGCCGGGGGTCCGTGGAATCAGTAGGGCTGCTGTAGAGGTGTGGGCCATTAGCTTTCACCTCTGTGTTCACTGGCCCATTGGCAGTCCCACAAGGGGTTTTCTTGGATTTTTCCGCACAAGAACTGCAGCCGATGTCCTCTAGGGCTGGGGACTGGTGGGGTGGAGAGCAGCTCAGGGAATTCTGGGTGCTAATCCCTGAGGGGCAGGACAAGGGGTAGTGGGAAGGTGTAGGTGTCTTGTCAGCTGTTTGCAGGGAGGTGGTGACTGAGCTGTCAGTCACAATAACAGGCTTAATATCAGCCTTCTCTGTCTGTTCAGAGTCCCAATGCGAAGGCATCTGCTTAGCAGATAAATGTTTCAATATGCTGCACTGGAGCGCAACAACACTACAGAGCCACTGCAATGGAAGGAGAGGAGAGGGGGGTGAGAAGCCTGAGAGGCGCCGGTCCTTCCTGCCACAGTGGCCAGGGCTGCAGCAGAGCTGACAAGCAGTTTCCGAGGTCCCATCATGAATGCTCACAAAGGGTGTGCTTGACTCCTGATAGAATTCCATTTCCATTCCCAAGCAAGACTTATAGGTACCCTCAGCAGGCCAACACTCCCTCTGGCCAACAGAGCTTGGGATCTGCATTTTGACTCTGCCTTTAAGGCTTACTTGTGACCAATATTCAGCAATTACCCCGAGCACCTGTGGTATGTCCAGCACTATCACCTAACCTCTCTATGGGTCTACTCATCTCTTTCTACAGTATAGATTTGCCCATCTCACAGTGCACTGGGGTAACGATGGAGAGAAGCAGACCAGTTGCCTTTGTAGATCTCTTACTTGCCTTTGGGATTTGAGCCAGAAGTTCCCCCTGGAATACTCAACTCTTGAGGGGTTAGGATGAGGGTGGGTGGGGACTGGAATGAGAATGACACTGAGGCTACTTCTGATAACAGCTGTGGTGACACAGAAGGAAGGTTGGATTTGGAATCCCCGCCCCACCTTCACTCACCTCTTGCTGCTCTGCTTGGGTGGCTAAGTGCTCAGAGTTCAAAAGGTGCATCTGTGATTCCTCAGGGATCCCATTGCAGATCAGCTCCCCGTCCCGAATGGCCGCGGGTGCAATGAGAGGGGGTGGAAACTGGTACTGAGATTTTATAGCATCAGGAACCTGTTCAGGATAGATAGAAGGAGGAAGGAGAGGGAGATAGTTCCAACATGTCTAGTTGATTCTGCCCTGGTATGCTGTTCTGTCTGTGGTGCTGGTGCTCAAGGGACCATCCACTCTGGGGTCTGCTGAGGAAAAGGAGGCTCAGAAATGGAAATAGCAGGTGGGGCCTCCACTTTCCTTCATCAAGGTCTAAGGCCTGCAGAACACAGAAACCACTGCGTTCTGTCTTCTGCTTTAGCCTGAAAGGTGTAAGACTGGCACTGGACAGGGCTTCAGAGTGGTACTCTGGGTTCTTATTGCTCAGTGTCAAGTTTGGGAGTGGGTGAGCAGTCACTGAGAGATAAAAATGCTTAGGCCAGGCGCGGTGGCTCACGCCTGTAATCCCAGCACTTTGGGAGGCCGAGGCGGGAGGATCATGAGGTCAGGAGATCGAGACCATCCTGGCTAACATGGTGAAACCCCATCTCTACTACAAATATGAAAAATTAGCCGGGCGTGGTGGTGGGCGCCTATAGTCCCAGCTACTTGGGAGGCTGAGGCAGGAGAATGGCATGAACCCGGGAGGCGGAGCTTGCAGTGAACCGAGATAGGGCCACTGCAGTCCGGCCTGGGTGAAAGAGCGAGACTCCGTCTCAAAAAAAAAAAAAAAAAAAAAAAAAAAAAAATGCTTGACATGAGGCCTGGCTCATGATAAGCACTCCATCAATGTCAGTTTCCTTCATCCATTCATTCATGACTCATGAAACAACTAAAGACGTCTTTGTGCAACAAAAACAGAAGCCACACTCTGAATCACACCATGTAAGAATGAAAGAGCCACACAAGCAAAGAGTCATTCATACATTCAACCAACATTTATTGAGCACCTCCTGTGTCTGGGCACTGTTCCAAGTTCTAGAGATCCAGAGATGAATAAAAGTTAAGACTTGCCCTCAAGGAGCTCACAGTCTAGTGGGGAGATAAACACAGAAATATTACAACACAAGGTAATGGGTTCTAGAAGAGAAGCATGTCTAAGGTGCTATTAAAAACATAGTGCTTATTTTAGTTTGGGGGACAGGAATTTGGGATTGGGGATGATTTTATAGGAAGTCAGTATTTGGGTTGACACTTGGAAGTTGAGAAGGATCTTCCAGGCAGATAAAGGAAAAATAAGGGAGGGGGAGAAGCATGTAAGGCATAGAGATGTGATAGCACTTTGTGGATTTGGAAAACATCCAGAGAACCAACAGATTTGGTGACAAAATCCTTATGGTAGACAAGGGAGAACTGAAAATGGTTCCCAGAATTTTAGTTTGAGGGACTGAGTAGTGATCATTGTTATTTACTGCAATAGGAGATACAGGAGGAAGAGCAGATGTGGAGAGGCAGAAGACTTCTGGTCTTATGGAGGAGGTTCATCCTGAGATATCTGTGGGATGGGCAGGCAGATATGAGTCTGGATATAAGGAGAAAGGCATGGAATATGGAGTTGAGAGTCATCACCATGGGCTGGTGATGGCCTTAGCTGGTGCCATGGGCTTTCTGAGATCACCCAGGAATGAGAGGAGGAGGAATAAACAGTGGACTAGTTTATTCCACTACCCCTGGGGTAAGAACAGGATACCCCTGGGGAAGAGTGAAGGGCTAAGTGGAAGAGAAATTCGCAACGAAGATACAAAGTTCTCAGCAGATTTTTCCTGAATTGCTAGAATCAAGTGTAAAGGCTAATGTTCCAGGAGAGAGCTGGGGTTCTTCACCAATGTTCTATGGTGCTACGGTCCTCATTTCACTCTCAAACTGTCCAAGTACAAAATGCTTTGCAGGTAACTCATGCCCTTTGAGTTTCCTCACTAGAGAAACACTTAAAAGGTGGGAGGGGCACCATACAACAAGGGGATTTTTATCAAGGTCTCCTGGCCCGTTCACTTCAGCAGCTATGCTCTCTGACAAATCTACACAGTGAATTACACAGTCTGGATTACTTTTAGATCTGTTTCACTGAGATGAGGCATACTACCTTTAATATCATCCATTTCCGAAATATTTGAATCTAGTTTTGGAAAACCTGTGTCTCCACTGATGTATAAATATTTGCCCAGTTAAGTTTGTTATACAATTTTCAACAGTTAGCATCTTGCTAGTGCTGATACCCACTGAAGGTGATGGCAGTGGTGTGACTGACCTTTTTTTTTGAGACAGAGTTTCACTCTTGTTGTCCAGGCCGGAGTGCAATGGCGCGATCTCGGCTCACTGCAACCTCCACCTCCCAGGTTCTAATGATTCTCCTGCCTCAGCCTCCCGAGTAGCTGGTATTACAGGTGCCTGCCACAATGCCAGGCTAATGTTTTATATTTTTAGCAGAGACGGGGTTTCACCACGTTGGTCAGGCTGGTCTCAAACTCCTGACCTCAGGTAATCCACCTGCCTTGGTCTCCCAAAGTGCTAGGATTACAGGCGTGAGCCACCGCGCCTGGCCAGTGTGATTGATTTTAAAATGTGGCTGCCACCAAGTGGCCATACTTGAGAAGTGCTGGTTTCTGTTAGCACATAAGACTGTGGGATCATTTCAAAAGAGAAAAACAAGTTTATATATGGGTATATAGTGTTGGACCCTCTAGGTTAACTGAATGAGGGGATTGAATGGTTTAAAAACATCCTCACTACCACCAAATGCTTTTCAAGGAGGGAAATTTTTCTGTCAATCTCTGTAAACACACTTTGGCCAATGTCAAGAGCATATAAATATTAGGCATTATTACAGCTATGCCACAATTTGGAGCATTGGTGATATATTAACAGCAGCCTGGAAAAATAGATTCAAGTTTCCTTTAGATATTTTCCACTTAAGTTCCTGAGCTGGGATTAGCTCTTCACCTTCCACATGGCTCTTTCTGCTTAATCATCCCCACCTTTACTTTGCCTCTTGGACAGAGGCCATCTAACAGGAACAGATAGAATGAGCGTTAGGTGAGGGTGGCAGTAACAACAGAGCACATTTGGGTTTGGTGGGATGGGCTGAAGAGTGCTTATCCTTTGGAAAACTAGAGACTGGTAGACTTCGAAGGCTAACTTGAGGTTCGGCCCTCATAATCCTGACCATCATCCCCAAGTATTAAAATGAAGGTCACACTCATTACTCACGAGACACCACAAACCTATTTCTGGGGCTTCAGTTTCCCTGCCTGTAAAATTGGGACAGTGATCCTCTGTCTAACCCATGATGGCAGGCAGACTACCATCTTGCCTGCACCTGATTGTGACTCACCTTCAAGCTTCTTCTTTTGACCGACTGGAGCACACGCCGGTTAGGGGGGTGCTTCTTGTGGATTCGGTTCAGGAAGTCCACTTTGACGACATGCTGCGAAACGGTGTCCTGGAAACGATCAAACACCTGGCACCGATTGCTCAGTGTCATATTCTTCTGGTTCAGCTAGGGACAAAGCAGACACAACCTTGTGGTGAGCCTCAAAAGGCACCTCCTATCCCAGTTAACCCCATTCCCTGTGTTTAAAAACTAGAAGCCCTCAGCCACATAGGTTCCCTCAATTAGGGACCAGGATGTCGGCACTCTTTGTCAGAGAGCAAGGGAACATGGATGAGACTTCCTACTCAGCCCTGCCCAGTCCAGTGGAAGAGAGCCAATATGTTCCTGTTCCCTAGAGAGCCTTAAGGAAGGCAGGAGAAATTAGCCAAGACGTGCCCTTCCAAATTCGGCCTCTGACAGTCTTCTGTTCCAGCTCAGAGAAGCCTCTGTCAGGGCCCTCTAATAGCAGCACAGGTTTCAGAGAAGACGTATGCTTCGACCCTTAAGAGACCCACACTCCCTTCCCAGGAAGGGCCTCTCTCTAATAGGAAAAGCAGGACTGTGTCCTACATAGGAGCTTGGCTGACAACTGGGTCAGAACCAGAAATCCGTGTGCTCTGCTCTACTCCTACTCCGTGGTACCAAGGAGCATAAGTTAACCCATCTTGATATCAGTCTTCCTCTACTGGAAGGGAAAACCTTGGATTGCTCTTAGAAGCCAAAAGGAGAAAAGAAAGAAGAGTTTCTGCAATAATATACGAAGGCATACAGAAATTATGCCACTTTTCCTATTCTACATCTGGGCTCCTACATTTTAATTCAAAAGAAAGGACCTGCTGTGGCAGCTGCCTAATTCATAAATCAGGAAAAACCTTTAAGTGGCTAACAAAAATTTAACCCACTAAGAATTTCTCAACTGCTAGAAAGCTGCTCTTTAAGTTTCACATTTGGGTAAACTGCTTATGGTCATTTTTTTTCTGGTTCATCAGGAAGCAAAACAAGACTAGGAGAGAAACAAGGAAGCAAAACAAGACTAGATTTTCCTCCTAGAAAAATCTTTGACTGGCATGAGTCAAAAGAACACAAAGTAACTCTTCTCTTCCATGTGTGCAAGTCTTTAACCGAGGTTCCTCTCAGTGCAAGGTCAGCAGCACACTGCCATGAAGGCCAACGGTCATTCCATGGTTATCATCATTTGACAGACAATGTCTTAAGCAGTAGCCTTTTTAATTTGGAAGGCTGCTCTTATGAGGGAGCTCCTCCTCCTCAAATCCTCTCCCATTCAATCTTGTGAGTGACTGTTCTAACTGCCTATAAAGAGATGTCCTAAACTTCTTTTGGAGATAGCAAGTGACAGCTCTTTTCTAGCCTCAGTCTGGAAAATAAACCCAAGACTCTTGGAAGAGAAAGCAATAGGACCTTCACACTATTATTCATTCAACAGCTTATTTACTAAACTTCATTTGGTGCCTGGGACACATGTACCCCAGACAGCCAACGATTTATTTCCTTAAGGTTGGATCTAATATACTCCCCTTTTAGGGCTATAACATCAACTGCTTAATTCCCTATAAGTCACTTACAAACAACCAAGCACTAGTGAGTTAAGTCTGTATGGGCAGCTGAAACAAAACATTGTGAGAAAAAGCATAGCTGAAATATGTCAAAATGATCAGAATTGAGTAGGGTGGCCTGCAGAAACCAGTACCTATGACAATGTGGTGAACTTGGCACCAAGCTGACCTTAATATGCTTTCTGCTAATCAGTCCACGCTCCAGCTATGCCCATTGAGGACTGAATGGACACTGCTGTGCTTACCACCACATGTTCGATGTGATTCGGACACATCCATCTGCCCAGGGGCATGGCAGTGAGCGGCGGCTCGAGGCAATCCATGTGAAACAGGAGAGGGCAATAGTCACACTGGATGAGAGGAGCCACACGGCAACTCCTGCAAAAAAGAGATGTTGGCCATTTCTGTGGCAAGAAAAGGAAAATTCAAACTAACTTTGACCTGTGGAACAGCCTCCCCTCCTTGATCCTAACATTCTCCCCTCCTTGATCCTAACATTCTCCCCTATCTTCCTCCAGTGATTCAGTTACATTTATGATTAGAAAGATGGATGGGGCTGGTGCGATGGCTCACGCCTATAATCCCTGCACTTTGGGAGGCCGAGGTGGGCGGATTGCCTGAGGTCAGGAGACTGAGACTGAGACTAGCCTGACCAACATGGTGAAACCCTGTCTCTACTAAAAATACAAAAAATTAGCTGGGCGTGGTGGTGGGCACCTGTAATCCCAGCTACTCGGGAGGCTGAGGCAGGAGAATTGCTTGAACCTAGGAGGCCGGAGGTTGCAGTGAGCCAAGATGGCGCCACTGCACTCCAGCCTGGGTGACAGAGAGAGACTCTATCTCAAACAAAACAAAACAGAACACAACAAAACAAAAAAACAACATGGATGGATTTGGGGGCTCCCATTAGGTTCTTCATTATTCTCTCTTCTAAGAAGAACATGTCTTGCGGGAAAGTGAATGTTTATTTGGAGTACAGCTAAAGTGGCAGAGTAGGGATGATCAATGCTCAGTACTCACTAGGGGAAAACAGTGAACTCTGCTCTGATCTTCCTACTTCTTAAAAGAGAGAGCCTACTTCATTAAAAAAATCACTAGCAACCTTTCTGGAGTCTTAACTATAGCAAGAAAATATTTCTCTTCTGCATGAAGCACTCAGCAGAACTGACAATTAGAGGTGTGCTGGAAAGATGATTTTGTAATGTATTCATGTAAGCAGGGTTCAAAAGAGGACTAAGCAAATGACAACTACGATTTGTAACTACAATACTCCTGGGGTCCCCAAGATGCACTGGAGCCACAGTTTGTCCTGGCTCAGAGTTCTGCCACTCTACTATCTAGTTCCCTTTCCCTATACCTTTTGCTGTGAAACATTTCTTTTTGATAGTTACTTTCTCTTGCTACCCTGCTCTGACCATAATACAGTCCTTCTAACACACCCAAGCCAACAAGTCCAGCTTCAGTAACTGAAGCAGCTGGTTTCTGTCAAAGAGATCCTATTTGAAGGAAACCAGTGTCCCAGAGACTATAACTGGGGCAGCCCTAGGGGCTTTTGGAAGTCATCCAGTCCAATACACACTATCATAGATCCTTATACTACTTTTAAACTTATCTTTAGTGATTCAAGTTAATGTTTAGTTTAAGTCCAACTCCTCTTGTTCTAGTGTGTAAACACAGTTTTTTTGAGATGGAGTCTTGGTCTGTCACCAGGCTAGAGTGCAGTGGCGTGACCTCAGCTCACTGCAACCTCCGCCTCCTGGGTTCAAGTGATTCTCCTGCCTCAGCCTCCTGAGTAGCTGGGACTACAGGTGCGTGCCACCACACCCAGCTAATTTTTGTATTTTTAGTAGAGATGGAGTTTCACCATGTTGACCAGGATGGTCTTGATCTCCTGACCTCATGATCTGCCCGCCTCGGCCTCCCAAAGTGTTGGGATTACAGGCGTGAGCCACCACACCGGGCCATTGTTTTTATTTATTTTTATTTATTTTTTTGAGACGGAGTCTTGCTCTGTCGCCCAGGCTGGAGTGCAGTGGCGCGATCTTGGCTCACTGCAAGCTCCGCCTCCCAGGTTCATGCCATTCTCCTGCCTCAGCCTTCAGAGTAGCTGGGATTACAGATGCCTGCCACCATGCCCGGCTAATTTTTTTTTGTTTGTTTGAATTTTTAGTTGAGACAGGGTTTCACCATGTTAGCCAGGATGGTCTCAATATCCTGACCTTGTGATCAGCCTGCCTCGGCCTCCCAAAGTGTTGGGATTACAGGCATGTGCCACAGCGCCCGGCCCCTTGTTTTTGTTTTAAAATACAGGGTCTCGCTCTGTTGACCAGGCTGGAGTGCAGTGGCGTGATCACAGTTTAGCCTCCAGGGCTAATCTGCTTAAGCCTCTGGAGTAGCTGGGACTACAGGTGCGTATCACCATACCTGGTTCATTAAAAAAATTTTTTTTTGTAGAGACAAGGTTTCACTGTGTTGCCCAGGTTGGTCTCAAGCTCCCAGGTTCAAACAATCTGACCGCCTCGGCCTCCCAGATTGCTGCGATTACAGGCATAAGCCACCGTGCTCGGCCTCAACACAGTTCACAGTACTCCTGTACTGTGATTCTTCAGAAAATTTGTTAACACATACACATTCAAGGCTCTCGTCAGTCCATTAGTTAGTCTCCATGTACTCATACTATCAGAATATGGGCTGTTCACATTTAACATACATGGTCTGGAAGAGGTGATGAGAGAAAAAGTATCATCTGCTAAATAATGAGAAAGAGCCCCTTAGTATGAAAGAAAATACCTGTTACACGTGAAGCAGACTTTGACGGGTAAGGGAACGAGACCATTGTGATCTAATTCATGCTGTGTCTTCTTAACATTTTTCCCTGTGGTTTCCTCCTTTCTTCTCCTCTTGCTAGAACCTAGAAAAGAAAATGATGGTGCTGAGCTATCCCTGGCTTCAGAGTTCCTAGCCTGCAATATGGAAACAACATTAAGTGACAAAAACAGATCTTAAGCATGTGTCATGGCCTAAGCATGAATTGCTCTCTGAGGCCCCTGGGGTTGATTTTAAGTTAGAAAAAAGAAAGATTAGGGAGGAAAAAAAAAGAGACTAATACGTAAGTCAGAACCAGAAGTCACCTGTTCTATGGCAGAAACACATCTAACTGTTTTGCAAACATAAAATGGTCAGAAATGCTAGGTTAGATACAGGCAACCTAAGAAATGTAAATGTCCAAGCCACATAGTCAACAAGGACTATTCTGTGGAGTTGGCCTGCAGTCTTGAACTACTGGGCTCAAGCAACTTTCCTGCCTCAGCCTCCATATGAGCCAGGACTACAGGTGTGGGCCATCAAACTCAGCTAACTTTTTTATTTTTATTTTTTGAGAGATGGGGTCTCATTATGTTGCCAAGACTGGTCTCCAATTCCTGGCCTTAAGCAATCCTCCTGCCTTGATCTCTCAAAGTACTAGGATTACAGGTGTGAGCCACCACACCTGGCCCACATTTTCATAAAAATCAGAGAAGCTTTGATTCTATATGCATCCTTCTTAAGCCTACCAATTTCACTTTCTTTGGGAATAAAAACTAAGACCTAGAAGCTTTACAGTATCAAGAAGCCAGGACTTAAAAAAAAAGAATGGAGGACAATTTGGCAATATCTATCAAAACTATATAGTTTTGACCCAGCAATTTTATTGTCCTATAGACATAGTCACACATCTATACATGTATATAATGATGTATTTACAAAGTTATTCTCTGAAGCACTACCAGTAGTAATGAAAGATTTGGAACCTAAATGTCCATTAATAGAAAATGTCCATTAATAGAAAATGGCACTGGTTAAATAAATTATGACGTATCTGTACAAAGAACTACTATGCAACCATTAAAAAAAGCAAGAAGGCCAGGCGCAGTGGCTCATGCCTATAATCCCAGCACTTTGGGATCCTCTGAGGCGGGAGGATCGTGTGAGCACAATTTGAGACCAGCCCTGGCAACATAGTGAGACCCTGTCTTTATAAAAAATATAAAAATTAGCTGAGTGTGGTGGTGTACAACTGTGGTCCCAGCTACTTGGGAGGCTGAGGTGGGAGGATTGCTTGAGCTGTGGTCACACCACTGCACCACAGTGCAGTGCAGCCTCTGTCTCAAAAAAAAAAAAATTCTATATTAATATGAAAAGACTTCTAGAACATATTTTAAAGTGAGAAAAAAAAAGCAACGTGTAGAATGGTTTAACTAGCATGTTACTTAAGGGAAAATTAATCAGCATATATCTGTATTTGCTTTTACATGCACAAAGAAATTTGAGAAGAATAAACAAGAATCAACCAGTGGTTACCTGTGAAGAGCAGGAAGGTGGAAAGTAGGCAAATGGCAGACGGGTGGGAGGGAAATTTTCATTGTAGCCCTTAATATTTTTTGATTTTTGAACCATGTGAATGTATAATACTTTTTTTTTTTAAAAGATAATTCTGGGGCCGGGCGTGGTGACTCGCACCTGTAATCCCAGCACTTCGGGAGGCCGAGGTGGGCAGATCACCTGAGGTCAGGAGTTCAAGACCAGCCTGAACAACATGGTAAAATCCTGTCTCTACTGAAAATACAAAAATTAGCCAGGCATGGTAGCATGCGCCTGTAGTCCCAGCTACTTGGAAGGCTGAAGCACGAGAATCGCCTGAACCTGGGAGGCGGAGGTTGCAATGAGCCGAGATCGTGCCACTGCACTCTAGCCTGAGTGACAAAGTGAGACTCACAAAAAAAAAAAAAAAAAAAAAAGGAAAAAGATAATTCTGGGGGAGGGGAAGGAAAGAAGTTCAGAAACTGAGAAAATGGAAAACTGAGTAAGCTCTGTAATGGCTAAGACCTTCAAAGATCTCTCCAAGCAGAACTAGGAACAGGAACCCAAGACAGTAGCTACATGAACAGTGACTCCACAGGCAGCACTGCTCTTGTGCTGGTCCTTTGGGGAAACTGGGGTTGGGAAGGGATATGATGATGGTTTGGCTGACCTGGTAGTGCAGTGGTACAAGTCAGTTCATTGGGCAACTGAAATTGGGTGGGGTTCCGCTCCATGGCGGCAGCAATCAGCAGCTCAAAGGGCCGCCTCAGCTGGGGCTGCACATAGTCTGGCTCCGCTGCTACTGGTTCCTCATCCACGTCAATGATGTCTTCGTCGACATCATTCTGCTCAGAGGTGGGAGTCTCTGTGCTGGCGCTGGATGTGGGTGTGCCAGGCCTGCTGGCTCTCCTTTCCAGGATCCGGGCATGGGCAATGGCCTTTAGTTCAGTTTTGCTGGCCGATCTGTCCAACAAGTCAGTGTCACTGCTGGGGGATGTAGTCCGTTTGCCAGATTTGTCCACCAGTCCATTGACATGACCCAGCTCCTTTTTCTGCTCTCGTTTCTGTGCAAATGAACAGGTGGGCCCATCATGAAAAGTACCATGAAACAAAGAGATGGGTGCTACAAAGTCCTGGTAGACCACTAATCAAAACTGTAAAAGGCCTTCACATATCACAGACTCATCTACCTGGTCACTTGGAACACTGGTCTGTTAAAGTTGACACAACTCTAACTGAACTAAAGCTGACAAAACTGTTGCATCAGAGAATCACCAAAAAGCATGGTAAGTTAGGAATAACTATACAAAATATATATCATTAACATTAACTCATTGTATGACATACAACATCTATAAAGTATAGGGTAAAGGGCTAAAAAGGTAACACAGTGAGAATAAATTTAGTGAGACCAATAGTAAAAATCAATGGGGCAGGCACGGTGGCTCACGTCTGTAATCCCAGCACTTTGGGAGGCCGAGGCAGGCAGATCACCTGAGGTCAGGAGTTCAAGACCAGCCTGGCCAACATGGTGAAACCCCATCTCTACTAAAAACACAAAAATTAGCTGGGTGTGGTGGCATGTGCCTGTAATCCCAGCTACTCAGGAGGCTGAGGCAGGAGAATCGCTTGAACCTGGGAGGCAAAGATTGCAGTGAACTGAGATTGCGCCATTGCACTCCAGCTTGGGCGACAGAGCAAGATTCCATCTCAAAAAAAAAAAAAAAAAAAATCAGTGAGATCACTATAGAGCCTTCTGACCTCCTGAATGGTTTTAAAAATAAAAACTTTGCTCAAAATAAGTGACACTTCTTAGAAAGTGGGGAAATGGAAAAAGATTAAGTGTACTCAGTAGGACTGGATATCTGATAGTACATTTTCCTCCAGGACTCCAAATAGAGTGGTCAAATGAAGGTTTAACACTGATCTCCAGGTAGGAGACCTGTGATCTTGTCCTATTTCTGCCACGGATCCCCTCTGACCTTGTGGTGACTCAGGCTGGTGGGCAGGAATTTCTTCATCTGTAAAATGAGACAGAAAAATCTTTCTCCTCCTCCTCTCAGGGATATGGTGGAGGGAGATAAAAAGGGTCATATATACGAAAGGGATAATTTGGAGTTGGAGTAGGACCTAGTCTTCCACTACGAATCATGATAGGGCCTGAATGTCAGGAGCTGATGAAGGCCAGAGGATGTATTATTTCAATCCACTTCAGTGTAAATACAAGAGGCCAAAGGGGAGTAGTGCTGGTGATGGTGGAAAAGGCAGACTTGGCACTGGTAGGCAGAGGTCCATGTGAAAGGTAAGAGAGGCATCTCAGGAGAAGTGCCATGTTAGAAAAGGGCATACTGTAATCCCCAACAAGTAGCTCTCCTTCTAGAAAACTGATGAAGAGGTAACAGAGGTTTGGAATGAGAGAATTTGGTTCAAACATTGGTTCTGTCAATACCTTTGAGTCCTTGGGAAAGTTAATCTACATTTTTGAGCCTCCGTTTCTTCCTTTCTAAAATGGAAACCTACGGCCAGCATTCGGTATCCATCTATGGCTGGATGGATAGATAATGGGATAACGTAATTAAAACACCTGGCACACGATGGGCACTAACATAATATTTCCTTTTCTCCACCGTCTTTACCCCTTTTCCTTCAGCTCCCCTAAACCTTTTCAGGTCCAGCTTTTTTGAGTGGCAAGTTTGAGAGGGCTCCTGGCTGGCAGGTGCCTCTAACAGGCCCTGCTCTAACCTAATTAGGGATGCACAGGAAAGGATCTTGGAAGGTGGAGAGGCTGGAAGACAGCCTGGTTTATGGAGAAATTTAACTACAGCTGTGGTTAGGTGGTTGACCTGGCTTTGGCTTGCTTTTAAATATGAACCCTTATGCACGTATTTGAAAAATAATGTCTGCTTGTTTACTTTCTTTCTTAAAGGCTGAAACTGTTACACACATAAACCACAATCTTAATCATCTCATCCTGTTTCTGCAACCAAGGAAGTCATCATTCATTGTGACATCATGTTCGGGGACCAGGCAAATAGAGGTGAGGTCACAACATAGGAAAGTTGCTTGGTGTATAATTAGTGTGGGGAGCACAGGGGGGTGGATTACAATGCACAGACAAATTCTAATCCATAGCCTGTAATTTGAGGGTTGGGTCAATCATAATTTGGGTGCAAGCACACCTACTTCCTTTTTTAATAAGGGAGAATTTAGCTCTTGTTACCCACAAGAGTTCTCAAAGTAGAAAATAATAAACCATGTTCTTGAAGCCAGTACTGAATTATCAAAGCTGAAGGAAGGGAAGCTAAAGAAAGATTAGGCAACTTGGGGTACAAATGCGTTCAAAATCCTCTCCGTCAGTATGCCAAGTCTCTGGATACCAGTGACTTATTTGCCCTGGGGTGAGAGAAAACTCCATTTTCCATCAAGCTGGAGAAGCAGCCTTTGTTTTTCAGCCATGGATAAGGCCACTTATTAGGAGGACAACAAGAAGGTAAGACTACTCCTGTCACTAGTGACTAAACATGGCTCAGTAAGTTAACACACCTCTTCTGCCCATTTCAGCAGCCCATGTTTGGATTTTTAGGCCCTACTGGATTCCAAACAGTCACCATGGGAAGAGTGGGGTGATTCCAGGGCTGGAAGAGACAAGAAGAAGGGACAAGAATGCCTTCAGGGCTAGGCCGTCTTAGCTCTAGCATATCAGTGCTCTGGATCAGGCTTTCTGGACAGTCTTCAGAAAGCAGCATTATTACCTTTCGGCGAACAGTGCACCGGTGACACATCCACTCTCCAGGAGGCAACATTTCTTCACTCAGTGGAGGGTTACTGTGGGGAACAGACAAGGGCAAGACTAAATAACTAGCCCTTTGAGGCAGTAGGAAAAGCCTAGCTAGGTTTGCATGTTCCTAAACTCCTATTGTGGCCAGTCCTGCAGGACTGCTAGGGTTGTCTCCTCCAAAATGCCTAAGTCAGCATCACTCATAATAACCTAAGGAGTGACCATCCCTTCCCACACCTTAGAGAGAGAAGCCAAATCCAGAGCTATTAACACTGGGTTTGTAGGGAAAGGTATAATAAAATAACTGAGAGGTCCTCCACACTGTTTTCTTAAAGCCTGTTAGTGTAGAGCCAAGCTTTTCTAACTGCTGTTCAAAGCCCTGTCACATGGTCCCACCGTTCCATCTTCCCAGACCCCTTCAGGTGCTCTTCCCACTATTCAAATGGAAGACTTCCTATTTCTTCCTCTAGAATACTCTTCCTTTAGAAAGCTATGCCTGTCAAAACTCTATTCATCCTTTCATACCTGCCTCAATCAGCTGTGATGGATTAAAGACAGCTGCAAATTATCTGCTCTGCCTCCCATCCACAGGTAGTCCCTTTCCCTCCTCTTGAATTGTGCTTGTCTTATGACTTGCTTTGACCACAGAATGCAGCAGAGGTGACAATGTTGCAACTTCCAAAGCTTGGCCTTAAGAGATCTGCAGATTCTATTTTTTAAGAAATATGCTTGGAAAGTTCCATCTCAGAGCCCTGCTGTCATGCTATGAGAGAGGACATGGAGGAGACAAGGTATTCCAATCAACAGTTTTGGGCTGGGCGTGGTGGCTCACACCTGGAATCCCAGCACTTTGGGAGGCCGAGGCTGGTGGATCACTCGAGATCAGGAGTTCAAGACCAGCCTGGCCAACATGGCGAAACCCCATCTCTACTAAAAATATAAAAATTAGCCAAATATGGTGGCACATGCCTGTAATCCCAGCTATTTGGGAGGCTGAGGCAGAAGAATTGCTTGAATTTGGGAGGTGGAGGTTGCAGTGAACCAAGATCACACCACTGCACTCTAGCCTGGGCAACAGAGTGAAACTCCATCTTGAGAAAACAAAAAACCAGCTTCAGCTGAACTCCAAGCCAACACGCAGCAGCAACTACTGCTATGTGAGTGAGTCATCTTGGACTTACCAGTTCAGTGAAGCCTCCAAATGACTGCAGTCCCAGCCAACATCATGTGAAACAGAAAAACCACCCAGCAGAGCCCAGGCAACCCTCAGAACTGTGAGAGATAATAATGAGTTTCTGTACCAGGCCAATGAGTTTTGGCGTAGTTTGTTATGCAACAATAGATAACCAAACAGCTTTTCCATGAGTTCATATTACTCCTGTATCTTGGACCTCTTGCTGCATGGGTTAGTTCTCTTTTGGCACTTCTCATGCTTTGCCCATTTCAGCAGTTCTCTTACTTATTTTATTAGAGGGACTAGGACAATGATTGGATCTCTTCCCTCCTTGTATTTTTATAATACAGAGGTTGTGCACACAGCAGATCACCTGAGATTGGAAGTTCAAGACCAGCCTGGCTAACACGGTGAAACCCCATCTCTATTACAAATACAAAAATTAGCTGGGCGTGGTGGTGGGCACCTGTAATCCCAGCTACTTGGGAGGCTGAGGCAGGAGAATCCTTTGAACTCGGGAGGCGGAAGTTGCAGTGAGCCAAGATTATGTCATTGCACTCCAGCCTGCGTGACAAAACTCCATCTCAAAACAAACAAACAAACAAACAAACCAAACCAAAAAACAGGCCAGGCATGGTGGCTTACACTTGTAATCCCAGCACTTTGGGAGGCCGAGGCAGGCAGAACACGACGTCAGGAGTTTGAGAACAGCCTGGCCAACATGGTGAAACCCTGTCTCTACTAATAATACAAAAATTAGCCGGGTGTAGTGGCACGCGCCTGTAGTCCCAGCTACTCAGGAGGCCGAGGCAGGAGAATCGCTTGAACCTGGGAAGTGGAGGTTGCAGTGAGCCGAGACAGTGCCACTGCACTCCAGCCTGGGCGACAGAGTGAGACTCTGTCTCAAAAACAAAACAACAACAACAACAACAAAAACCACATTTATGCTTAAGAAATTCCTACCATTGAGTTCTTGGCTAAGTCACCTACTTGGAATGGTATGCAGGAAATTTTTCTTCAAATAATGGGGGAAATGGTAAAAAAAAAAAAAAATTGAGTATTTTTTTTTGAGATGGAGTTTTGCTCTTGTTGCCCAGGCTGGAGTGCAATGGTGCGATCTTGGCTCACTGCAACCTCCGCCTCCCATGTTCAAGCAATTCTCCCGCCTCAGCCTCCTGAGTAGCTAGGATTACAAGCATGCGCCACCATGCCTGGCAAATTTTTTAGTATTTTTAGTAGAGATGGGGTTTCTCCATGTTGGTCAGACTGGTCTTGAACTCCTGACCTCAGGTGATCCACCAACCTCGGCCTCCCAAAGTGCTGGGTGTACAGGCGTGAGCCACTGTGCCCAGCCAAACTTGAGTATCTCAGAGCTTAAAGCTATGCTGTTTTACCATTTCTACATAAAATAGCACTTGACTTGGCAAATTTTCTTAGCTCCCTGTTTCCCCAGAGCCCCAAGCTTACATGTCAGATGCCCACCAAGGCTTCACAGCTCATTACTTCCCTTCCTCCCTGTTTCCTTAGTGAAATCTCAGGAGGATGCTTACCAGGAATCAGGAAACTGGAAAAACAATGGCCTGCTGGGACAGATCTCCAAGCCCTAGAGGACCACAGGTGAATGTCACCTGTAAGTCTCCGCTCATTCTAGCCAATGTAATTCTACAAAAGGCCACATCTAAACTACTGAAATGCATGCAAGTAATTTTCAAAGGCCTACAGACTCTGCTATGCTTCAGTAGCTGTCCTATCAAAATTAACCCTGAAGGGTGTCACTTCTGATTCTGTTTCTCATCATTTCTGTTCATCTGCCCACTGGCTTTGTACCAAGATATCCTACATCAAACATTTAAAACATTTAAAGTAGAGAAGATAAGACCCCTGTGGCCAGAACCCTCTTCTTTCTCCAGCTCAATCAGTTGGCCGGCTCCCTACACAGACCATACTGTTTCTCATCTGTGTCTCTGCTCACTCCAGGGCTGCTACCCACAACTACACCACTCTTCCCTAACTACTTCACCTGGTAAGCTCTTTATCTTTTGAGACTCAAGTCACGTATTCTTTCCAGGAAGCTTTCTCTGAAAGTCTCTGGTTCCACAGAGCACTTCTGCACCACACTGTATTCAAACCATTACATGTCTGAATCCCCTTCTCCATGCCTCATTTGCCTTTGTACCTCCACACCCTGTACAATGCCTGGCATGTAGTAAGTACTCAATAAAGCTTTAAAGAACTGGGGAACACTAAGGAATGGGCTTCTAGGAAGTGAGTGTAATCCTTCAAAGCTATGAGGGGAGGTAATGCAATGGGGCAGGCAACTGTTTTGTGGGTTAAATCACACATGAAATTACTTATGTTTTCTAAGTTACTACACAATGAGACAGAAGAGGAGTCCAAGTCCATACTGGCAAGCCTGTACTTACTGAACCATCCCACCTCTACTCATTTTAATCTTCTTTAAACAATTTGATTTTCAATATCGTTTATCTTAACACAAGGTAAAATGCTTAAACTTGTATTAAGAGGCTCTCAGAAGTAGCATCTTGCTAGTTTCTAAAGGATCACTTTTAGAGTTACCAAGTTTAAGAACACACTTCTGGCCGGGTGCAGTAGCTCATGCCTGTAATACCAGCACTTTGTGAGGCCGAGGTGGGTGGATTGCTTGAGCCCAGGAGTTCAAGACCAGCCTGGGCGACATGGTGAAACCCCACCTCTACTAAAAATACAAAAAATTAGCCAGGTGAGGCGGCATGAGCCTATAGCCCCAGCTACTTGTGGGGCTGAGGTGAGAGGATCACTTGAGCCTGGGAGGTAGAGCCGTGATCGTGCCACTGCACTCCAGTTTGGGCAACAGAGTGAGACCCTGTCTCAAAAATAACAACAACAAAAAACAAACAAACAAAACCACACATTCCTCAGAACTCTAGATAATGACCACAGGCTCCCTTTGTTAAGCCTGCCCTAAAGTATGGATAGGGGCTATGAATTTAGGGAGTAGTCCAGGGAAACCCAAGCATTGTCTCCCAGATGAAGACAAAACATTTAAAAGACTGAGGCCATCATTCCTTTTTTTTTTTTTTTTTGAGACGGAGTCTTGCTCAGTTGCCCAGGCTGGAGTGCAGTGGCGCGATCTTGGCTCACTGCAACCTCTGCCTCCAGGGTTCAAGCGATTCCCTTGCCTCAGCCTCCCGAGTAGCTGGGATTACAGGTTGCCCGCCATCACACCCGGCTAATTTTTATATTTTTAGTAGAGATGGGGTTTCACCATGTTGGCCAGGCTGGTCTTGACCTCCTAACCTCAAGTGATCCACCCACCTCAGCCTCCCAAAGTACTGGGATTACAGGCGTGAGCCACTGCACCTGGCTGAGGCCATCACTTCTTAAGATCTGCTTTTTTTTTGTTTGTTTTGAGATGTAGTCTCACCGTATCACCCAAGCTGGAGTTCAGTGGCGTGATCTCGGCTCACTGCAACCTCTGCCTCCTGGGTTCAAGTGATTCTCCTGCCTCAGCCTCCCGAGTAGCTGGGATTACAGGTGCCTGCCCCCATGTCCAGCTAATTTTTGTTTTTTTTTTAGAGATGGGGTTTCACCATGTTGGCCAGGCTGGTCTCGAACTCCTGACCTCAAGTAATCTGCCTACCTCGGCCTCCCAAAGTACTGGGATTACAGGTGTGAGCCACTGTGCCTGGCCAAGATTTGCTGCTTTCTTAGGGACAGAACATGCATCTTGAAATAACAAATTTGAAATGATGGTATCTTGGGAGAAGGCAGTAATATCTAAGATTAGATGGATAGGAAAGAAAGGTCTTAGAAAATGATCATCATAGGCATAGCTGGAACACAAGAATCACCCATCATAAAGCTTTCTCATGACCATGTTTCCTCTCTGCTTCAAGCAATTAATTCCTTTCAAGCTATTTAGAAGGCAGCTTTTCAATTCAAACTTCTATCTTTTTTTTGAGGCAGGGTCTCACTCTGTCACCCAGGCTGGAGTGCAGTGGGGCAATCTTGGCTCACTGAAGCCTTGACCCCCTAGGCTCAAGCAGTCCTCCCACCTCAGCCTCCCGAGTAGCTGGGACCACAGGCGCATACCACTACGCTGGGCTAAATTTTATATTTTTTGTAGAAATAGGGTTTCACTATGTTGCCGAAGGCTGGGTCTTGAACTCCTGGGCTCAAATGGTCCGCTTGCCTCTGCCTTCCAAAGTGCTGGGATTACACGTGTGAGCCAACACGCCTGGCTCAATGCAAATTTTTTAGAGGAAAGGGATTCATGAAATGGTTCCAGGAAAGACACTGTCATTGGGGTAAGCTCAGGAACCAATTCTGAAAGAGGCTGTTTTGCTCCATATCAGAAATACTGCTGACAGGGAAAGGATTCCAGGGAGAAAGGAGATTCTGCAGCCTCACGGTACTCATGTACTTATTCTGAGGACTCCCCACCTCAGCTGCCCATCTCAAAACTCCTTCCGCAGCTGGGTGTGGTGGCTCACGCCTGTAATCCCAGCACTTTGGGAGGCCAAGGTGGGTGGGTCACTTTAGGTCAGGAATTCGAGACCAGCCTGGCCAACATGGCAAAACCCTGTCTCTACTAAAAACACAAAAATTGGCTGGGTGTGGTGGTGTGCACTTGTAGTCCCAGCTACTGGGGAAGCTGAGGCAAGAGAATTGCTTGAACCCAGGAGGTGGAGGTTGCAGTGAGCCGAGACCGCATCACTGCACTCTAGCCTGGGTGACAGGAGATTCTTCCCAAAAACAAAAACAAAAACCCCTTCTTCCTTGGAAGAATGGTATTCCCATAAGCCTAGCGTGCAACTCTGAAAACAATTACATGCACACCAGAGTCTTTAAATCATGATATGCCTGTCAAGAAAAAAAGGCTCTGCCCTCGCTCCCTCTCATCCTCATGTATCAATGAAGACAGGGTCCTGGAGGCCGTCCTTTATAAGAAAAAATCATTAAAAGTTAAAAGTCACGTAACACTGAGATTACTCTACCAGAGTTTCAGCTGCTTAGCAGTGAAAACACTATAATGAGACAATGCTGCTTTTGTAAAGACATCAATGTGTTTCTTAAACTAAAGCCTAGAAATAGCATAGTGATAATTTCATTGACATCTAGGTATTACAGTTCACAAAGTATTTTAACAGATGTTCTTATTTGATCTTCACTACCATACTGTGAGATAATTCTTATTCCCATCATACAGGTGAGGAAACTGACTTATCTAAAGCCACTAAGTAGCAGAACTGGAACCCAAATCAAAGTTTCCTGGCTCTTTGAAATCTTGAGCCTAAGCTATTTTTGTTGTTGTTGTTTTGTTTTTGGTTCACTCTCAGGATATGCTTCAGAGCCCAAGTTGTTTTTTAAGAACCTTTAGTAGTCTTCTTATTTCTGGGGTACACAGTGAAATATCCATCAGGGTACCCTCCTTAACCTCAAGGCTGCGCATTTCCTTCTACATCAGTCAATATTTATTGAGTACCCATGACTTTCTCATCAATGTACTAGGTACCACACTGAAAAATGAACGCAAAGCAAACAAATTATCATCTACCCCATCAAAAAAGTAGTCTAGGCCAGGCTGTAGCTCATATCTGTAATCCCAGCACTTTGGGAGGCTAAGGTGGGAGGACTACTTGACCCCAGGAGTTAGAGGCCAGGCTGGGCAACATGGTGAGACCCCATTTCTACAAAAATACAAAAATGAGCTAGATGTGGTGGCATGCATCTGTAGTCCCAGCTACTTGGGAGGCTGAGGCAGGAGGATCACTTGAGTCCAGGAGGGCAAAACTGAAGTGAGCCATGTCCACACGACTACACCCCAACCTGGGCTTCAAAGCAAGACCCCGCCTCAAAAAAAAAGTAGCCTTGGGGAGAGAGGATCAAAATCATCCATCCACTCAAAAATTATTGGATGTTTATTTTAGGCTAGACAATGTGCTAAGTGCTGGTATTTCAGACATGGTTCTTGATTTTAGGGATCATGGGCTGGAGATAAGGTGAAAAGGACATGCAGTAATGAGAACATACATAATCAACTACAAACTGATTCTTACCATAAAGACCCACATAAAACTCAATTACTTATGGATGCCAGAATCAATGAAGAGCCCCAAAGTTTGGACATTTGGTACCTGAAGGTGACATGCGATTTTTTCCTACTCTTTTCATAATTCAGAGCTATTTAACAAATGGTAATTCAGCCAGTGAGCCTTTAAAGACAGTGAAGTTAAGGATCGTGAGGAGTTCAGGAGGAAGCCATAGTTTCAGAAGCAGGTATATTTCTGCATTTTGATAAAATACCTGATAAAAGGAAGGTTCTAGCAGTGGAGACATTTCTTCTGAAAATGAATGTTTAAGTCTGTCTAGAGCACAATAGTGTTTGAACCTTTCTTTTCTTTCTTTTTTTCTTTTCTATTTTTTTTTTTTTTTTTTGAGATGGAGTCTTGCTCTGTTGCCCAGGCTGGAGCGCAATGGTGCGATCTCTGCTCACTGCAACCTCTGCCTCCCGAGTTCAAGCAATTCTCCTCTGGAGTAGCTGGGATTACAGGCACCCGCCACCACGCCCAGCTACTTTTTGTATTTTTAGTAGAGACAGGGTTTCACTATCTTGGTCAGGCTGGTCTCGAACTCCTGACCTAAGGTGATCTACCCGCCTATGCCTTCCAAAGTGCTGAGATTACAGGCGTAAGCCACTGTGTCCAGCATGTTTGAACCTTTAGATTCCTTCTGAGAATTATCTGAGTACTTGGGATGGTGAGCTCTGGAATAGTTGTCTTCTGTACCTGAACTGGCTTGTCTTGGAAAACTGGTAGCTTTTTAGCCAACAAGCCAAGGACCTCTACTTTATTTTCTGGCTTCAAAAGAGCATAGCCTGCATTGCTATGAGACATGCATTCTTTTCCATAGGCAGAGATGACAGTGCCCTATGAAGACAGAGCTCTTGCAGAGTATCTTCCCATTTTCACTGCTGTTGATAAATTTCCTACCAGATCATTTGTTAAAAGGCCCTGGCCTACAATTCCTGGCCAGAAAGCGACCGTTCACTGCTTTTACAACTCACTATTTTATTTTATTTATTTTATTTTTTTATTTTGAGATGGAGCCTCACTCTGTCGCCCAGGCTGGAATGCAGTGGTGCGATCTCAGCTCATTGTAGCCTCTGTCTCCCGGGTTCAAGAGATTGTTGTGCCTCAGCCTCCTGAGTAGCTGGGATTACAGGCATGCACCACCACACTGGGCTAATTTTTGTCTTTTTAGTAGAGATGGGGTTTCACCACGTTGGCCAGGCTGGTCTTGAACTCCTGACCTCAAGTGATCCGCCCTCCTCAGCCTCCCAAAGTGTTGGGATTACAGGTGTGAGCCACCACTCCTGGCCCCAGCTCACTATTTTAACCACTACCTGATCTTAAAGACATGCTGTTAGTTATAAAGCTGTTCATAACAGTAAAGCCCTAAATCTTCAGAGACTGTACATTCAATTGGAGGGTATGTTTCTCAGTTTGGTGTGGCTCTCTGTGAGGCCTAGAGGGCCTACAAAGTGTTAAGAGTAATATTAACATACAAACCAATTCCTAAAGCCAACCTCTTCAGCATGACTCCAACATACCTAGACTCCCATAAACAAATCCAAATGGCCCATCTCTACTGCTGAGAAGGTTATCTAGATCAGTCTATTTCTGGAGTCATCAAGGAGAAAACCACAAACATACATCCCTCAGCTAACTGTAATGCCTATACTGACAGATTTCTGTTTCAAAGATTCAAATCGAAGCCCAGAGCCAGATGATCCCAACTCTCAGCCCGAGGTTAAAGTTCAGTTTTAATTTAGAATGCCTTGCATTCACTAATAAGGCTGCAGCTCAACACTGCAAGTAGAAGATGTTGGTAGTTGTCATGGTTCTTGGCGCTCTAATTAAGAGGATCTATTTCAAGTCATATACCAGTGTGGTTGATCTGAGTCTAACCTCACTCATCTCCCTCGCCTATTAATACATGTGAACCTGCACGACATTAACATTTACTTCAGATTTAGTCGCTACCAGTGGGACCTGTTGCTCCACAGCACCATGTTAATTATCCATCCAGAACAAGCAGTTTCTCAGTCTGGAATTGGAGGGGAGAGCGGGGGATGGGGGAATAAGAGAACAAAGGGAAGAGGCGAGAGGTAGAGGGAGAGAAAGCAAGTAGATGAAAAATATTTAAGAAAAAGTACACTCCATTTTCTCTTTCTGGATTAACAAAATAATTCTATTTAATACAAATACTTAACAGGAACACTATGTAAATAGCATATCCATATACAATACACCAACAGCCTACTAAGCAGGTTCTCTTCCAAAAGAGGTCAGTCACATGAACTGGTAGGGTCTTTCTTGTCAGAACCCGTAATTCTTCAGGAATCAGAAGCTCTCTAGCCATCTATAGCAGTTTCAGTTTCAGTCAAAATAAAACATCAGTTGGACTAAAAAGAAAGAGTTCACTGCCCCTATCATCATCTGTATGCCTCCCCACCCTTTTTTTTGGTGGGGGAAGAGGTGTTCAGCAAGCAAACAATAGGACTGAGCAGTTTTGATTTTTAATTTCACAGTTCACGGGGCTCATCCATCCATCTGAGGACCACTACCAGATAAAAATCCTGCAATTATATTTAGTCTCACTGTGTAAGACAAACTGCAAAACATAAATACATGCTCAGAACTAGCCTACTCTCCCTCAGACTGGCCCTGCGGCCCTCATCCAGCTCAGAAAATGTGTTGATACTAGCCAAAATGGGGAGTGAAGGTGATCACTGAAAGGACCACAATCATGTCTCAGCCTCCTAGCAGCCATTTTGCTCTATAAAGGGAGCCATGAGCACAGAGAACCAGCCTTTTATAAACGAAAACAAACTTATGTCCTGGAAAAGCTAAGTGGTGCTGGGTAAAGTTTAATTTAAATTTTAATTTAAATTAAAAGTTGCATTAATACACCCAAATTTTAAAGTGCATGCCTTGAGGGAACAACATTTAATGAAATGTAAATGTCAGCAGAAATAGCTAGCTTCCTCTGGACACTTGTGTGGGCATCAGCTTTTCTCTTCAAGTATGGCCTGTCTTTTGCAGGAAGATAGCTATATTGAAGGATATTAAAGAGATGGAAGGAGAAAATTCATAGGGTCCCTCAACCTTAATCCCTTATCCTCCTTCATCCTGGCTACTGACTCAAACACCACTAATGCCACAAAGTACATAAAAAGGTACAAGGACTGTTGGGTTTCTCATGCAAAGCCTCAGTGAGAGTGTTAACAAGGAAACAAATGAAGTGCCAGAACATTACAAATGCCCCATTGAGAAACTTAGCTAGTTGCGTCACTTCCACAGGCAAACAATCCTTTTAAACTGGCTGACTGTGCCCCCAAGTTTTATCGCCTTCTATGTAGAGCTGGCTGGTGGCATCTTCCCGGTAAAGGACACCTGGATACGAGTGTTACTAGTTAGTACAGGGAAAAAAGGAAGCAGGGAGGGTAGAGCACTGACAGTTATACCAGGTGTTTGCCTCTGCTAACTTTTCTACAAGCTGAGCCTCAGTCTCAAGGGCCTGATCTATCACTAGCCTGGTTTGGCTATTCTTGCAATTCTGGCTTCTCTACAAAGAAAGATGGGCTGGGGTGCAAACATTTTAAAAAGGGCCTTCATTAATTCACCTCATGATTGATGCTAGAGCCCACCTGTTTTGGAAAAGGGACAAAATTCTGGCCTCAACGGTAATTTTCTCACACTCTTGGGAACATTCCATTGGAAGGAAGAACCAACAACTGCCAACTCTGTATTCTGGAAGAGTCTCAGAGGTATGGAAAGCTGGGTACTATTCTATTGCCAAATTTTAACAGACTATCAAGAAAAAGGAAATAGCCAGGTGACACACTTCTTGCAGACACAGCTCAGGAATGTGGGCCAGTTTACAGTTTATATATATTGTACCTAAAATTCTATAAAGGCTCAGAAAACAAAAAATACTAACAATGTATTTAAAACCCAACAAAATCAAGAGAGCAGGTTTCTTTCTTTCTTTTTGAGATGGAGTCTCACTCTGTCATCCAGGTTGGAGTGCAATGGCACCATCTCAGCTCACTGCAACCTCCGCCTCCCGGTTCAACTGATTCTCCTGCCTCAGCCTCCTGAGCGGCTGGGATTACAGGCAGGCACCACCACACCCGGCTAATTTTTGTATTTTTAGTAGAGACGGGGTTTCACCATGTTGGTCAGGCTGGTCTTGAACTCCTGACCTTGTGATCCGTCCACCTCAGCTTCCCAAAGTGCTAGGATTACAGGTGTGAGCCACCGCACCCAGCCTGAGAGCAGGTTTCTACTTAAGACCCAGCTGCTTTTTCCTAAGGAGGGACTTTGGTTTAATTTACCCTCCCCTGACAGGGTCTATAGAAACAGGAAAAAGTGAGAATAATACTATTTGGGCCATGCCAGCACAGGGATTATACCCCCCTACTTTTACCCTTACCCTCTCCCATCCCCCAATTCCACTCATAAACATCAAAGCTCCCCACCCTACAGGACTGAAGTAATCTCCTGGGCATGCTGTCAAACTGTGCTGTCATGGTTTGATGCCACAGCTAAGTGCTGACTTGGGCTTCCAAAGCCTTCCAGTTATACCCACCAGTGACCTATTTATGAGTTGAACATACTTCTCCAGAGCCATGATTTTCCCCTTTGGTCCACTTTTCTTTCAGATGGTCCCTAACCAAAGAATGATCACCCTAAAGGTCTGCATGTGTACACACAAACGGTGAGCACTCAGGAAAGCCCTCAAAGAAAGGCAGCAAGCATACAAACCTTGGACATGCGTTATTTGCTATAACAAATAAAATGGAGATACTTTTCTTAACATACAGCTTACTTCAACACCAACAAACTGTAGCCTGCAGTCAGATGCCTGATATCACAGAATTAGGCATTTCCTTTGGTATGACAGTTTGCTAAGTTAAAATGGCTAAGTGTCACCCATGCCAGGCAAAACAACAAGGACCACAAAGGAGGGATACAGCAAAACAAAAATGACAAAGCAAAACAATGTTTATTAAAAAGCCAAAATTACTGACAACTCTCTCTACATTTTAGATGATGCTTTTGCAAAAAATGGCAAATAAGATCAGGGAAAGTTAAATATAGCCAACCTATGTATCGAACTATGACAAGTTACAGGTTTAGGCACATTTAATGAGATTAATGGAGCATAATTTTCACAATTATAATGTATTCTGACCAGTAATTGATGACTGCTAATTGAAAAAGTTCACTGTAGAGTTTCCCTCTAAAGCTGAGAATCAGCAGAACTATGATGGTTTAGTGAACGTGGGAATTAACGAGCACTCAGCTGATCACAGGAGCCTAGGGGTAGTGGAAAGAAAAGCAAGAGTAGGTCATCATTGCCTTATTTCATAATGCAGAGGCTTCTTTAAATTCACTTGAAGCTCTGTGCATTTCATTAGTTTCTCTGCTCTGTTCTCTGCACAAATGCAGACAGGAGAAAAATAATATTCAACATCCCTCTGAGGACCATAGCTGAGTAAAAAAGATGCTTGTGCTGCCACAAACAGGGGTCCACCTGGAACTCAAGCTTGCTAGTAATTCTGAGAGGTTCCCCTATCCCTGCCTGGCTTGGAGGTAAAGTGATGTCTTTGGGCTACCGTTAAATTCAAACCCTGCAGAGAGTCCTCTTTTGCTCACTCAAGCTTATTTCAAAACGAGCCTCACGCAGAGAGCCCAGATCAGTAGGAAAGACTGACGCTACATTCAGGCACGGAGTTGCTCCCTGCCCTGCTGTTACTCTGTATGTCTTTTGTCCTGTCAAGGCTGAGAAACATTTCTTGGGAGATATCCCATAAAATTTGTCAGAAAACAGGGGAGAGGCAAAAATTAAACACCAAAGTCACTAACTTAAAAGAAAGCAAATGTAATTAGGGGAAAAGAAATTTTCACCTTGTGTCTGTGTTAACAAAGGTATCATCCACTTGGAATAACCCAGATATCATTTTTGTTCCCCAACTACTGTTTACCTTTGCATGTCTCTCATCTGTAATACCACTAGGAATTACACGGCAGTGAGAAGAGGAAATGGGTCAGCCTCCGGCTTTTAAGTAGTTTAGTGAGCATTTATGTAGTACGATTGTAGCAAAAGGGAAAGTAGGCAGCAGAGCAAAAGGGACTCACTCTCTGAGTGAGCAAGTCAAGTTTTTCATTACTTTGAAAATTGCATCAATCTGCAAGGTGCACATGTAATTTACTTATTGTGAATTCCACAACAGCTCTATGTAGTAGTCAAGTTCCTTCCTGCTGATGGGTCAACTCATGGATTCCTCCTTTTATTAGTGTCTATTGTATGCCTCAGCTTTTGCCTCACACAAAATGTGCTAAAACCTCATCTTTGTTCTTATTTGCTGAGACTTAGGTTTAGGAATAACCTTAGGCTTAAAGGATAAGGATTTTGATATCTGGAAATGGCAGGCAGAAAAAGGAGTCACATTCTCATTCTTCTTAACTGCTCTCAAGTCCTGGGAAAAGCAGTCAGCTAGTGACCTGTGCATGCGTCCTGGGCATGGTGACAAATCTGCAATACCAAAGTGGCTTTCTGAAATTTGGTCTAGGACTTGCACTGAATACAATGTCCTCCTCTTTCAGGAAACTGGCAGGGGTACAGCCGTGCTCCTGTCCTGTATTCTCTTGGGAGGCACGCATTATGCAGAGGTTCTCTTCTAAGTGTCACTCATTGAATGGCAATGCAGCTGGCCATGTTGTACTCCCTGGGGCCTCTAAGTCAAAGGAGGAGCCCAGTGGAGGGGGGAAAACAGACTTTTTTTTTTTTTTTTTTCCTGTTCTGGTGACTTAAAACGCTGGACCTTAAAACTTGAATGCATTTCCAGGAGCTTGTGCTGCATTAATATATAAGGGCTACCATAAACCCAAACGGAATCTTTTATCAGGGTGGCCTACTTAACTGCATACCCAAGGAATTGTCCCTGTGTTGGGGTTGGGACAAGAAAGTTGAGAGATGGATTTCAGTATGCTTACCCATTATCAAAAGCCCAGAGTATTAATCTATTTTCTATTACTCTTCTTGTGGGAGAAAAGATGTACCCATTTCTGTTCAAGAAGCAGGACAGCTGCATTTTTAGGTAGCAAAAATCCTCTTGGGAGGATCAAAGCAGATGGTTTCTTTTTATGAGCCATATAAAACTGTCCAGTAAATATTCTCTGCGCTCTCTTTATTTACTGTTATCTGGGCTTATATAAAGATACAAATACACAGGTGAGTTTGCTGTAATATACAAACAACTTTTTGTTCTTGTTAACTGGGCTCAAAAGACAGCACATTTTAATTGACCTGAAGTTATTTCCACCACAACCAATAAAACTGAGACAATTAAAATCTTTTTTTTTTGAGATGGAGTTTCACTCTTGGTGCCCAGGCTAGAGTGCAATGGCGTGATCACTGCAACCTCCACCTCCCGGGTTCAAGCGATTCTCCTGCCTCAGCCTCCCAAGTACTTGGGACTCCCAAGTAGCGTGCATCACCACGCCCAGCTAATTTTGTATTTTTAGTAGAGATGGGGTTTCACCATGTTGGTCAGGCTGGTCTCGAACTCCTGACCTCAAGTGATCCACCTGCCTCGGCTCCCCAAAGTGCTGGGATTACAGGTGTGAGCCACTGCCCTCAGCCAACATCTTCTTTCTTAAACTAGGGTCCTCCAAGTATGAGAAGTGCTCAAACACAGACATTTTCTGTTGTGGCTAGTGGGTGACAGGTGAGCATCCTATCTAAAGGCAGATGGTGGATTTTTTGTACTTCCTCTAAGGCAACAATACAGCTTTAGACTTCTTTGCTAGGAAAGGACATGCAGAAAAGTTGAAACAACAACATACCAAATCACATCGTAAGGTTCTCTTCACTGGGATGTACCATCCTAACTGGAGCTCACGGAAGAAACTCTTAATTTACTGACATTACAGAGCTAATATAGGCATAGATATTAAAGTGTGCTTAAATCAACCATCTTTTGCTAGGTTAAGACTAAAAAATAAAAAATAGAGGCTGAGGCAGGAGGATCGGTTGAGGCCAGGACAGGAGTTCGAGAACAGCCTGGGTAACACAGTGAGACCCTATCTCTACAAAAAAAGGAAAAAATTAGCCGGGTGTAGTGGCAAATGCCTGTAGTCCCAGCTACTCAGGAGGCTGAGGTGGAGGATTGCTTGAGACTAGGAGTTCAAGGTTACTGTGAGTTATGACTGTGCCACTGCCCTCCAGCCTGGGAGACATAGCAAGACTCTGCCTCTAAAAATAAATAAATAGGCCAGGTGCGGTGGCTCACACCTGTAATCCCAGCACTTTGCGAGGCCGAGGCGGGCAGATCACGAGGTCAGGAGTTTGAGACCAGCCTGACCAACATGGTGAAACCCCGTCTCAACAAAAAATACAAAAATTAGCTGGGTGTGGTGGCAGGCGCCTGTAATCCCAGCTACTTGGGAGGCTGAGGCAGGAGAACCACTTGAACCTGGGAGGTGAAGGTTGCAGTGAGCTGAGATCACACCACTGTACTCCAGCCTCGGCGACAGAGGGAGACTCTGTCCCAAAAAAATAATAAGTAAAATAAAATAAATAAATAAATAAATAAAAGATGGGGGAAGTGTAAAGACAACCCACAAAATGGAAGAATACTTGTAAATCATATATGCGACAAGGAACTTATATTTACAACATATAAAGAACTCTCATAACTCAATTAAAAAACCAAACAACTCAATTAAAAATAGACAAAAATCTTAATAGAGATCTCTAAGTAAATACACAAATGACCAATAACCACATGAAAAAAAGTTTAACATCACTAGCCTTCAGGGAAATCTGATTCAAAACCATAATGTGATACTACTTCACGCTCACTAGGATGGCTTTAATCAAGAAGGCAGAAAATAACAAGTGTTGTCAAGGAAGTGGAGAAATTAGAACCCTCCTACACTACTGGTAGGAAAGTAAAATAATGCAGCTTCTTTGGAAAACAGGCAGTTCCTCCAAAGGTTAAGAGTTACCATACGACCCAGCAATTCTGCCTCTAGGTGTATATCCAAGAGAAATGAAAACTTGCACATAAAAACTTGCACCCTGGCTGGCACGGTGGCTCACACCTGTAATCCCAGCATTTTAGGAGGCTGAGGTGGGTGGATCACTTGAGGTCAGGAGTATGAGACCAGTCTGACCAACATGGTGAAACCCCGTTTCTACTAAAATTACAAAAATTAGTCGGGCGTGGTGGCGGACATCTGTAATCCCAGCTACCCGGGAGGCTGAGGCAGGAGAATCGCTTGAACCTGGGAGGTGGACGCTGCAGTGAGCTGAGATCACTCCACTGCATTTCAGCCTAGGCAACGAAGCTAGACTCTGTCTCAAAAAATAAACAAACAAACAAACAAACAAAACCAAAACCAACAACAAAGAAAACTGGCACCCAAATGTTCACAACATTATTTACAACACCAAAAAGTAGAAACTACCCAAGTGTCTATCAACTAATGAACTAATAAATAAAATGTCATCCATACAATGGAATATTGTTTAGCCATTAAAAAGCAATGTAAGTATTGATAAATGCTACAACCAGGATGAACCTTGGAAAGATTCACTGAGCTCCTCTGAGTAATTTTAGGTATCACTTGTACTTTCACTCAGGTTAGCAAAAACCAGTGTTTTATTCAACACATTCATAGTGACTAGTTGAATTCCATTTAAATTAAGATTAGACAATTTATTGAACATTACTGATTTAGCTTTCAAAAATACTCCTGGAGGCATACTTGAACTTACCAAGAACATACCAAGAACTTACAACAGACCAACATGAATCCCATCTCCAGATTCAAATGAAAGCAGTACCTAAATATTCCTTTGAACCTTTATATCTATTAAAAATACACAAGTCATTTACAAAAGCCAAAACTGTCCTAATATATTATTAGTGGAGCTATATGTAAAGTACTTAGTGAGCCTTAAGGAACAGCAGCAGATTGATGAGATTACAACTGCATCCTACCTTTTACTGAGTATGGCAATTAATTTTGGGACAGGCCTTAAGTGAAAAATTTCCCATAACAGTACTACTAAGTACTTGCCTTACTTTACACAAAAACTGTAATCTTTCAAGAGTATAACCTCCTTTTCCACTTTAAATATTTCTGACACTTGCACTCATTTCATAACAATTAGCCCCTAAGCCCTACATTAAGAAGCATGCATCTGAACCTGAGTTAAAATTGAACATTACCGTATCTTCCATATTTAGGTGGACCAGTAAGACAACATGACACGTAAGGCAGGAGAATCACTTGAACCTGGAAGGCGGAGATTGCAGTGAACTGAGATCACACCAATGCACTCTAGCCTGGGCAACAGAGTGAGACTCTGTCTCAAAAAAGAAAAAAAACAAAGACAATACGACATACCTAGATTCTAATTCAACACAGAAAATGCAAAACAAATAAATAAATAAATAAAATAAACATAAAACCAAATTAGGTTTGTTTACTGTAGAATCATTTTACTATTGATGGGGCCGGGCGAGGGGAAGGAATCTAGACGTTGTCACCTCCAGTTCGTCAGTGCTAGGCTTCTAAGCACTTACAATGTCAAAAACAACATGCTGACAAGATAATGTTAAAGTTAATATATTTTAATCTATCACTTGCCTGATACTATTCTAATGAGGAGCTAAACACAACAAAATCAGAAAAACCACCTCCTTAAAAGTTCAAACAGGTTGGGCATGACAGCTCACTCCTATAATCTCAACACTTTGTGAGGCCAAGGTGAGAGGACTGCTTGACGTGCCTGGGCAGCATAGTGAGACCCTATTTCTACAAAAACATTTAAAAAATTAGCCCAGCATGGTGGAATGTTCCTGTGGTCCCACTACTTGGGAGGCTTAGGTGGGAGGATCACTTGAGCCCAGAGTTTGAGGCTGCAGGGAGCTAGGATCAAGCCTTGGAGACCCTGTATCCAAAAACAAACAAACAACCCCACTTCAAACATCAAACATTTTCTGCAAGGCAGTTTTCTATTCTATGTGTGAAACCTTTGTTACGACTCACTGAAAATATGCAAAACTCCAAGCTGAGCTTAGTTTTGCCTGTGCACAGAGACCTTTTTACTCTCATTCTTCGAAAACCTCATTTTGGATCTCGCTGCCAACACCAGAGAGAGGAAAGCTGGCCAACAATTCCAAATATAACACGCGGAGGCAAATGCTACAGAAATCTGTCTGACGGGAAGGGACCATGCTGAGGTCTGCCGAGGTAGATGCACTTCTCTATCAGACCATTTTGGTCCCTCAGTCTGTTTGGAGCAAAATGCCATAAGAAGGTAATCACAGGAAACCAGTCAGTTTTATCATCCTGATTACTGATGCCCCATGGTATTCACTCTGTCAATGACAACAATCCTACCAATCTCAAACAGAAAGATGGGTCAGTGAAAAGTAAAGCTGTACTGGTTATTCTAATTTTTAACAGATTTTTTGGGATCAGTCCAGAGACCTTTCAGAAAGCTCAACTCATGGCATGATAATTATGATGAAGTCAGATTCACCAAGGGACACTTAAAAACATATCTCCCTCCATGGCCGGGTGTGGTGGCTCACACCTGTAATCCCAGCTCTTTGGGAGGCCGAGGCGGGTGGATCATGAGGTCAGGAGTTCGAGACCAGCCTGACCAACACGGTGAAACCCTGTCTCTACTAAAAATACAAGAAAATTAGCCAGGCCTGGTGGCGTGCGCCTGTAATCCCAGCTACTCAGAAGGCTGAGAAAGGAGAATTGCTTGAGCCCGGGAGGCGTTGCAGTGAGCTGAGATTGCGCTACTGCACTCCAGCCTCGGTGACAGAGCAAGACTCCGTCTCAGAAAAACAAAAACAAAAACACCACACACACATCTCTTTCCAATTCTCTAGGGACAGGTTTAGTAACCCCTACTATCACTCTGAATAATTGATAAACCAGTTAAACTTGGATAAAATGATTACACTATCACTTAATCAAAAAGACATCAGTTCTTCAACCTTAATTCTTTGGTGAGGTCACGGTACTGAGCACAAGACAATTCATTCCAGAGAATCATTACAGAAAACCCAGAAATAGGTTCCCAGTCTAACTGGGAAGAGATGACGTGCCTCATACAAAGCATTGTCTCCTGAGAAAAGACAACAATTAAAACAGCTTATTTGACTAGTCATTTCCTTACTATTTATCTTAGAAAGATCTCCTGTGGTTTATAGCTGTGTTACCAAGCCCGGGAGGTAAAGTTTGCCTAGAACCACTTTTGGAACACTTGTACTGGATTCCGTTCACAGTGAGGCAGACTGGCAAGGAATACTAGAGACTGAAAAAAGACTTATCCCACAGAGCTTTGGATAGAGAACCACAGCAGCACTGCAATTAAGACCTACAGCATTTGCAAAATTTAAATTTCACTTTTTCTTTAAATTTTGTAGAGATGGAGTCTTGCTATGTTGCCTAGACTGGTCTTGAACTCCTGGCCTCAGGCGATCCTCCCACCTTGGCCCCTTTAAGTGCTGGGATTACAGGCATGAGCCACCATACTCGGCTTCAACCTTACTCTTGTACTTTCCGTATGGAAGGAAAATTATCATTATCATGCCTACCTAAATAATTCAGTCTTAGCCAGTTTAAAAGGGAAGCCAGAGGAAATATAACCTTACTCTCACATGATAAAATTAAGCAGTAATAGGACAATTTTTTTTTTTTCTCCTGAGATGGGGTCTTACTCTGTCACCTAGGCTGGGGTGCAGTAGTGTGATCTCGGCTCACTACAACCTCTGCTGCCTGGGTTCAAGTGATTCTCCTGCCTCAGCCTCCTGAGTAGCTGGAACTACAGGCTCGTGCCACCACACCCGGCTAATTTTGTATTTTTAGTAGAGACGGAGTTTCACTATGTTGGCCAGGCTGGTCTCGAACTCCTGACCTCGTGATCCACCCTCCTCGGCCTCCCAAAGTGCTGGGATTACAGGCGTGAGCCACAGCACCCGGCTGGGACAAATTCATGAAAACACATTCAAGAATAAAAATGTTCTGAGACATTAAATACTTGATCTAACTACTCTGATTGAGTTAATAAAATACTTCACTCTCCAGCCTGGCCAACGTGGTGAAACCCTGTCTCTACTAAAAATACAAAAATTAGCTGGGTGTGGTGGCGGGCACCTATAATCCCAGCTACTTGGGAGGCTGAGGCAGAAGAATCCGTTGAACCTGGGAGGTGGAGGTTGCAATAAGCCGAGATTGCACCACTGCACTCCAGCCTGGGTGACAAAGCGAAGACGCCTGTCTCAGAAAAAAACAAACAAACAAAAAACAACAACAAAAAAAACTTCACTCTTGGTGGAAAGAGTGTGGCTTCAGACGCAGAAAAGTGAGATAAGCCTCACTAAATGAAATTCGTCTAGGGAATACCTACTTAAAAGACTTCCTGCCTTTGCACCAATATCTACAATGCTTTGTGATTTAGATAATAACTCAGATAAGTCAATGGTACATTCAGTATTGACATCTTCAAAGGGAGAATTGGAGATGTGAAACAAGCACTACTTCATTTACACATTCACAAATCTCTGATTACCAGTTCCCATTCAATGCCTCAAAAAAAAAAAAAATTTCAATGAAATGCACAGTCTGGGCAAGTCTGAATCTCACCAACAGCTAAAGAGTCCCTCCTTCTTTCTCCTTTCATCTAAAGTGGAAACTGTTAATTGTTACAACTTGACAAGACTTTAGACTCGTCTAATTAAAAAATTCAGAGGTTAGGTTTTAGAGTTTAAAAGCCCAATCTCAGGCAAAACAGACAGCACACTTTTCCCATGCCTGAGGTTTCTAATAAACAATTTCAGCTTTATCAAATAAGAGAGCTTATCAAATTCTCACTCAACATGCATGTCAGCAATCATGGTTAACACCAATTTCATCCTAGGAGTAGGACGTAAGCCCACATTTTAAATCAAGAAGTCTACAACTCAGTCCTGGTATACATACCAAACAAACACACTAAAAAAATGTAAGCAACTGGGAATAACTGGTAAGCAACACAACGTATATTCAGGCACAAATTTCTCCTAAGAATAGCAAAAGAAATGTGACCAGAAATATCTTCTCCAGGTGGATTACACCTTATAGGAAGTAAAGGCTAAAAACCACAGACCCTTAGTCACTTCATAATAAAAATTTTAAAGCCAGCAGCAAAACTTCCTCTACGATAATCATTTTTGTCCCAGCAATTTTACAAGCTGGGATGGGGTGCCCTCCTGGGCAAAAGTATCTTGGGAATGGTAATGGGAGTTTCCTACATAACTTCTGACCATAAACTTAATTTGCTCAGTATCAGTCATCTGTCTAATAAGTGTTCCCAAACCTGCAATTAGTACAAATATACAGTAGACACTACTCCACAAACCGAGAGATGGAACGTGAATGGAACTGTTGAGAGACCTTCGGTGAAATTTCACTTAAAACAAAATAAAAAGAGGGCTAAAAAAGGCAACATCAAACAACTGGTGGGAACACAGAACAGCCCCCTTTTCCTCTCTCCAGTCTGGCTCCTCTCTCAAACCCCTGCCTCAGTCAACTGTTGCAGAACAACAGAACGAGACCCAGTAGAACAAGACGAAATCTGGGTTTGCTGCCGCAGATGTGGGATTTTTGTGGAGGGCAGAGGTGATTTCGGCCGGCAGAAGATGGAGTTTAAACTCTTCTTTGCCGGATTGTCCTGGGCTGAGCCGCTGAGGAGGATCACGCAGCGGGCGATCAACTCAGGTCCCTCCCTCTCGGTTCGGTCTCTCCCCTCCTCTCATGTCCAGTAAGGGGGAAAAAGCGTACGGCTTTCCAGCTCTCAGCTCCTTAAAAATGCCTTTCTAGTGCCACCGCACACAATCCTCCCTCTGGCAGCAAAGAATTTTGCAGCGAAGGGCTCGCCGATCCGGAGCGGAGAAATGAAATCGGCGCCCAAGGGCAATTTTAATTGTCTAACCCGGCCCGATTTCCTAAGAGGCAGCGGCGCCGGGAGGGAGGAGGGAAGAGGGAGGAGGAAGGAAGGCAGCTCTGAGAGGCAACAGGGGGCAAGCGGAGGCAGAGAAAGGGGATCAAAGCGGCGAGATCCCAGACGGGGCCCCCGAGGAGCTTCTGCAGAAAGGACTCTGGGGCTGTCCCCACCGTTCCCCCGAGAGACGTTTGCAAATCATATATGCAGCCAAAATGGCGCTGAGAATAAAAATATAATTTAAAGGCAGGTCGCCATATTGTAAACAGAGAGGCAAAGAAGAGGCGGACTCGAGAGACACCCTCCACGATTTTTTCTACAGCCACAAGCGCCCGGTTGCCGGGGTCTGGACCAGGGCAACTCAGGTGGCCGAGGGCTCCACGCACCCACCCCGAGGAGATCCCGGCCGGGCAGGAGCCCCGAGGGCAGCGGGCGCGCGGGCAGGCAAGCGGCACTGGGCCCGGAGCTCCTCCCCTTCCTCCCCCGCCACTGCCGGCTGTCCCCGGCCGGCTCTGTCCCGGCTCCCCAGCGACTTCCAATCCCATATGGGGTTCTCTTCACTCGTCCCAACCCCCACCTCGGGGTCCGGACCCACCGCTGCTCCTCCCCGCTAAACTGCCAGAACCCGGCGGACACCTGGGGGCGGGGAGGTGCTCGCCCCGGCAGCTGCAGAAAGTCAGCTAGCGGCTGCAAGCGCCCGTTATTTCGGCAGTCAGGGGCAGGCCGGGTGAAGGAATGCGCAGAGAAGGGTCCGCCAAGAAGCTCCAAAAGGGTCCCCAGACCTTACCAGCACTGGAGGTGGAAGGCAGCCGGGCAGTGGTCGCAGCACAGGAGATCTCCACCTTCCTTGCAGCTATCGCAGCTGTCGTGGTTGGTGGCCCTGCCGCTTCTCCGGGGCTCCTTCTCAGGCTTCCGACTGCGCTTTTCTGCCTCGTCCGTCTTGGGGGGAGCCAGCAGAGCTTGGATTTGCTGCACACACATACAAACGGCGTGTGTGCACACTCGGAGCTCCCGGGCGGTCCGTCGCCCCCCCGGCGCGGTTTCTCCGTCACCCACCCCTCTCCCCCCTTTTGTCCTTCTTCCTCCCATCCAGGCTGCTCCCAGAATCTCTCAGCCCCCGGAACCAGGGGGAGCCCACCCTAACCGCGTTCCTGCAGCACAACAACGAGAACAGCTTCTTCCAAATGGGGAGGATCAAGGGTAGGGGGATGGGAAGAGGGTGCGCGGTTCCCTTCTTGCCACTTCCTTGTATGGACAGTGGGGGACTCCAAAGACCCGCTCGGGAGAGGCCCAAAGCCCGGTACCCGGACGTGCTGGGGGAAGCACAAAGGGGCCAACAAGAAGGGGGTGGGGAGGCCTGCCGGTGCAACGAGATGGAGTGGGCTGGCGCCTCGGGAGAGCGAATCGAGGGCGGCGGGTAGGTGAAACTGCTGCAAACGTCCTCGGAGGCTGAGCTCAGCCCCCTAAATTGCAAAGAGGGGAGGGAGAGGCTAGGTGAGGAAGAATCCCCCTCCCTCGGCCATCTAGGCGCTTCGAGTTTAGGACTGGCTTTGTGGGGCGGAGGGCGGAGGTTCCCTCCCGGCGCTGGAGGAAGGAGATGAGGAGGGCCACTCTTACCTCCATCAGCCCCCCTGATGTGTCCAAGTCGTACACGATCGTCTTGGTCTCCATTTTCTCCCACATTCATCCACCTCCCGGGCTGGGTGCTCTCTGCTCCGGCCCCCCCAACCCCGGGGGGAGGGGGGAGGTGAGGGGAGGGGGCGCTCCTGACCCCGGCCCCGCTTTTTTCCCAATACGGGTCCCGACTTCCTCGCCCTGGCTCCCCCCCACCCCCCGGCCCCCAGTCCCCGGGACGACAGCGTCCTCCCGACGGGCCGCGAGGGGGGAGCGGCCCCTCAGTCCCGGCCCGGCTGCTGGCTGCACAGTGGGTCCCGGCTCCGGGGGTCAGGCCTCGGCGGGGCCTAGTCCCACAGGCTAAAGCCGGCACTGGCGACAGCCGGTCCGGCCGGGAAGGCTGGCGGGCGCTGCCATCCCGGGGCTGGGGGTATCGGAGGGGGGGTGAGAGGTTACGTGAGGTTGTGGTACGTGAGGTGACTGGGGGGAGGGTGATGGGGGGTGGTCCCCGGGCTCCGCCTCTCGCCGCCGCCGCCGTCTGCGTCCCGGCTGCCGCGCACTTGGCGCAAACTTACCGCGAGCGCCCGCAAAGCCACCCGCGCAGGCGCCCCGGGATCGGCGCTCGCCGCGCGCAACCGCAGTGACAGCCGGCGGCCTGGCTCCCGCGCAGCCGCGGTGAGGGAGTACCCCCCAGCGCGCAGCCGCGCTGGCATTCGTCTGGAGGACCGAAGCCCCACCTTTCTGCCCTGCGCCAGCGCACTGAGACAAAAGGGCGGGACCTGAGGTCTCGCGCAGGCGCTTGAGAAAGCTTGTAGGGGTCAAGGCGCAGCCGCAGGAAGCTAGGGACTGTTCATCCATTGGTGTTTGTGTGCAAACTAAGACGACTCTGTTCTGCGCAGGCGTGTTGGGGGTGCTCCCCCTTCCTCTCCATAACACAGACGCCTCCCGCGCAGGCGTATTGCCTTCCGCAGGCCCTCACAAGAAAGCTGCTCCTTTCGCCATTTTGGTAATGGGATATGGGCTATCATGCCCTTGGAGTCCTCAGGCATGAACAGAAAGGAGCAAGGTGTGGTGTTGGATGGAGCTGGTCGCCTGTCGGTGACAGCAGTATTCCTAGGGATGTTGTACTTGACCGTTTGGTTCTACCATCGGGTGTGGCTGGACCAGGCCACCATATTGGTAAAGAGAAAAGCCATTTGAGACAGAAAATGACGCTTTTGGAGGCGTGTGGGATGACTGTGGTTCCTAATTCTCTCCCGCTCCTGACAGATAATTTTATCAGTTAATTGTATCCTCAGCATCCCTGCCTTGCGTGGTGGTGGCACTGGAGAGTTCCGCCTGCCCGTTACCACCCTCTCTTCACCACTGTCCCTGAGATCTGCTCTTCAAGAGGAAGCCTAAAGTGGAGAGTTTGTAATCCTGACAACGCCCAGCTACCTGCGTACCCCGGACTCCAACTCCCAGTTTGCAACGCCAAAGGGTCTAAAGGGCGAACGGGGGCGCATTGCATCCTGGGAGCAAGAATCGCGATAGGTCTGATGGATTGTGGGAACTGTAGTTCCATGTGCGTGCGATGCACTCTATGGTAGGATAGACCCGGGGAAGAGTCATTTGCCGGCCAGGAAGGGATACTTTTGAGAGCGTCAGTGCTGCATGCCGGGATTTGTAGTCTGAGGGCCCGCCTCGCATTCTGGGCGGGGATTCATGCTCCTTTTCAGGGCGCCCGCTCCTCCCCTTGGTATTGCCGTCAGAGATGGGCGGTTGGTTATTGCTGCCTGATGGTGGATGAAGCAGTGGAAAAGAGAATTGTATCGTTGTGCTTGACACTAGGGGTTTAGTTGGAATTGTTGCTTCGTAGCTGTGCTCGGCCCACTTTTAATGTTAAGGGACACAGCATTCTCAGAGTCGTCAAACTAGCAAGGGTTTAGAGACCATCTGATTTAATCCCCTCTTTTCCAGATGCACAGGGAGGCGCAGTGATTTGCCTAGGTCACATAGTGCATTTATGGCAGACCTAAGAATTGGATTTCTTGATTCTCAAGCCAGACACTGTCCATTACACTATGTCGACTGTGTCTAAGGAATTACTATGCTTGCTTTGGGGACAGTAAGGAGGATGAGTTAGACAGAGTGGGGATGTCAGTGTATGGAGTCTTAGGTTTCTGTTTTCCTGACTTTTCGCTTTTCTGATGACCCTCTTGGTGCCTGGAAAGAATGATAAGGTCATGGATGGTGGGGTGGAGAATGTCATGTGAATTGGCTGCCCTCTGCTTTCTACCATTCTGAGCCAACAATAAACTTCAGGAGCTGTGGACCAGAGATGTGGCCATCAGAGAGGGGAGGGCTGAGCTAGATTGTTTGTATGAAAGAGGCAAGATTTTCTATCTCCTATGGCTATATTTTATGTCACAGGCTCTCAGAGTTTAGAACCTCATGTGCCCTCTCTCTTTGGCTTTTTTTCCTACTGCTCAGGGCCCAGCTGTGCTGCTGTGTTAACCTGGAGGCATTATGGAACAGGTAAGTAAGCCATTGGCATCCATCCACTGGACAAGGCTTTGCTTTGATCAACACCATCAATTGCAGCTGATAATAGGAACTATGGGCTAATGAGGGAAATAAGACTTGGCTCTGTTGACAAGAGCCAGGGAAACTTCACACCTCTTCCTCTTGGAACTTGCAGGATGAGGTTAGGCCAGTGGGGCCAAGGAATGCTCCCACCTTGGAGAGCTCCCGCCCTGACAGTTGAGGGGGGATTGAGGGGCGAGCAGGTGGGATACAGACGCCTTTGGAAGTGACCTCTTGTGGCTAATCTAGGCACTGCACTCTGCATGGACAAGAGCTTCTCCATCCTTCAAGGTGGCTTGTGCTAGAGCCAGGGGTAGGCAGCATGAGTGGTCAAGACTTCCCTTTTGGAAGACTGTAGAAGCAGAAGGTGCTGGTTGCTGCTATTATTTCTTTCATGGATTTTTCTCTACTGGTTTCTGAGCTCCCATAATTTCCTGTTGCCTGCCTCTTGCTGTCACTCTTGGAGAGCAGCAATGCAGGGCACACCTCTCAGCATGGAATGTGCATACTGGGGGCCAACGCTGGGCACTTTCCATCTTTGTAGGTGCTGGGGCCCATAGGGAAGGGGCAAACTTGAGCACATCCTCCCAGCCACCTTTTTCCAGAGCCCATGGTTAGGGCCTTTGCCTAACTTAGGATCCAAGCCCGTAAGCTGCATTACCACTGCTCCTGACAATCTAAGGGTTTTGTAAGGCCAAGCCAGATTAGGGCTTCATGTTTTGGGGATCAGTCTCTGTTTCCTATTCTAATTTCCCAAGCCTTGCTTACTTAGAAATAAGGGGAAGGAGAGATGCATCAGACTTCCTGAGCCTAGTTAGCATTGAGAAGGGCATCAGTGGCGTTGAGAAGGGATTTGGGAGTGTGCCAGCCTGTAGTTCTGGACCTGGCAAAGAGGAGGAAATAAGGCATTGGGTGGATGTGCAGTGGGGTTCCTGGGCTCCCACATCCCTGTAACATCAGCCATTGGGGCCTCTGATTTTGCCTGCTATCTGTTGCACTGTCCCTTTTGGTACAGGGGACCCTGTTCAACTGCATGCAATAATTTCTTTTAAAATAAAATCTGAGCACTTTGGGTGGCTGAGGTGGGAGGATCACTTGAGCCCAGGAGTTGGAGACCAGCCTGGGCAACATAGTAAGACCCCATCTCTACAATAATTTTTTTTTAAATTAGCCATGTGTGGTGGCCTGCATCTATAGTCTTAACTATTCAGGAGGCTGAGGTGGATCACTTGAGCCTTGGAGGTTGAGGCTGCAGTGAACCGTGATCCAGTCACTGCATTCCACCCTGGTTGACAGAGTGAGACCCTATCTCAAAAACAGTAGTAATAAAATAAAATCTGAAGATGATTGATTGGTGGGTCTAGCATGCCTTCTGGTCCTGAAGTCCATATCCCATTTATCTCCCACCTCCCGTCCCTCCAAGAAAGCATCATTCACCTGGCCATTGCTTTTTTTTTTTTTTTTTTTTTTTTTTCCAAAAACACCATTTTAATAAGGAAACAACAGAAATAAAAGATTGTTCTCTGGCTGGAGCCCAGACCCCATATAATACATTACATGTACAAAGTGGCTTTCAGCCAGCTCCTGGGCGTCTCCCTGGGGCTCTCCTACCACCTGTTCCATGCCAAATTCCTGGGTCCTTGGACCTCTGCTCCTCTCCAGAATATGCCCACCCCCTCCCCTTATCCCATAACACAGTGGTCAAGAGGAGAGCCTGACAAGTGGCTGGAATTGGAGGAGGGACTATTAGGGTGAAGATGTTTGCAACAGCTAAATAAACATCGGAGGAAAGTCTCCCTTTCCTCAGGGTATAGGGTGGTCAGTGGAAAATGGCGTGTCCTGCTTTGGTGTGGAGCATGAGTGCCCAGGGAAGCCCAACCTGAGGTGGGGGTAGGGTCCCCCTGAACCCCTTAGGATCTCCTAGAATTACTGCCTCCACTGGGACAGGGCAGGAGGCAGAACTGTCCAGAACTTTAGAGAACTAGAGACCTCCCAAGAGGCTGATGTTGGCATGCCAGGACTACCCAGAGGTCACCGTTGAGAGGAGTTTTGGCCATTGGTGATGGCGCTGTGAGGAGTACCCTGGTGCAGTTCCCACCATGGTCAAGTTAATCCTGCTGCAGGTTGCCATGCCAGGGCGGGATGGTGGTCATGTGGAGAAAGGTACTCCTGCTCTGCTAGTGTGTTCCAGGCTGGTCCAGGGCATGAGGAGGCTCAGGATGCTGGCTGTTGATGCTTGTGCTCCAGCTATGTTCTTCCCACAGGTAGATGCCCCCTGACATGGGCCCAATGAAGGGCCCCAAGTGGGCAATGACACCAAGAAAATAGGCCATGGTGGGCATCGCAGGCGGGGAAGGGCACAACTTCTTGAGGGCTTGGTGGCATCTCCTCCTAGGTGGTATATACAGGAGGTGGAGGGACAGCAGGAAGCAAGGAGCCTTGCTGCTGGACTGTGGTGCAAGTCTGAGTTGACTTCCCTAGACTGCCCCCACCTAGATGGAGACTTCATATTCTCTCGTCTCCTGCAAAGGAAAGAGACTGCTGGGAGTTGGAAACTTGTATTAGGTTTGCCAGGCCATAATTCACCTTCCCTAGGAAAAGGGAAAAAGTGAGAGGGCTTGGCAGGACCCTCAGGGTTATCTGCCCAAAGAAGCAAAGAACTGGGTCTTGGATAGGGTGGCAAGGCTGGCATGGTTACTTACTCCAGTCTCGTAAGTTGGATTGTCAAACGCTGACTCTATGGTAATGCGGTTGTAGGGGCGGGGGCGGGGGCGGGGCAGCTGCAGGGAGCTTTTTCCCTGGAGCCTGTGGGGCAGAGAAGCCTGCAAGTCAGGAGCACTGGGTAGGAGTGAGGTATGCAGGTATGCAGAGCAGAAAGAGAAGCCAGACTCACCTGGAGAAGTAGAAGTATACACCTCCTACCAACAACACCATCGCCACCAGTGGCAAGAAGATGGCAGCTGCAATGTGGGCAGCATCCAGGGTGCTGGAGGCAGCAGGTGCCTTGGCAACTGAAGACACAGAGGGTGTGACTGGAGCAGAGGTCTCTGTCACCTGGAGCCCATATTCTCTCACCTCTGCCCAAGGGCATCTGACTACCAGCTCCCTCTAGCTGGCTGGGTGTAGGGAAGGAGCTTTTTAACCTGCTAGGCCCAAACCTCTCTCTTTCTCTGCCCTCCCTCCTTGGGAAGCCCATGACCTGGGAGCCGTGAGAACCAGGACCAGGGAGACCACTTCTCTGGCCTCAAGGGTGGAGACTTACCATCCAGGCTGCGACTGTTGTAGAACCCATCCAGAGAGGCTGGAACAAAAGGGGAGGGCCAAGGGCAGTGAGTGAGCCCAATGGGCCAAACCACTAAGGCAGGGAGAGGAGGTAGTGGGATGATCATGGGAAGGATTTGTCCAAGGAGAGGCCACTCCAGCATTTGTCTTGGTGATGCCAGGTCAGAAGGATCTGGCAGAGACTGGGGAGACCAAGGGTAACATGAAGGTGGCATGGGCAGGTGGTTCTGGTTCTAAACATTGGACATCTTTGCCAGAGCAGCTCTATGGGCCAGGGAGGGTTTTGAGGGGTGACAGGGCACTCACCAGCCCTACAGATGGGTGGGGGGTCACTCCAATGCGAGGGGTGCCCAGGCACACACTTGATGCTGGCCTGGCCCTTCAGCACATAGCCAGGGGCACACGAGAAGTGGATGGTGGCCCCTGCTGGGTGTAGCTGCTTCTCAGGACTTCGGGCACCATTCTCAGGGGCACTGAGACCATGGCATGGCTTGAGCTGTTCCACTACAAAGCAGGCAGAGTGCAGTGAGGGTGTCATGCCCTTGGCCTCCAGGGCAGCATCTTTTATCTCCAGCTAGAGGTTTTCCCTCCTACTCAATTGACACTTACGGAGACATTTAGGGGCCCGGTCACTCCACTTGGGGCTGCCAGCCTGGCGATCATGGCAGGTGAGGATGGAGCTGCCCATCAGCACAAAACCCTGGTCACAGATATATTGCACGGTGGCCCCCACGGGAAACTTGGGGCTGGATATGAGGCGTCGGCTGTGCTCCACATCTCCAGGATCGTGGCAGGAAGTCACTATGGGTAGGGGGTGATGGGGAGAAGTAGCCCAAGGAGAACTAAGCAGAGGCCAATCCACCCTGGCTTTGTTCCAGGCCAGCTAACTTCTTCATGTCGTATGGGTCTACCCCCTACGTATCTGTCCCTACCATTATGCTAGTGTGTCCCCCCATTTGTCCCCTTCCCATCTATTAGGTTCGATAAAAACTGATTGGCCATCTACCAGGAATGAAATACTTAGAGTACGTGGCTGATAACCCCATGAAAAGTATCATCCCCATTTCACAGATGAGGAAACTGAGGCTATAAGAGGTGAAGGAACTTTGAAGATACTAGCTAATAACAGCTACAGTCTGGTTCAGAATCCAGGAGAGAGGTTTGGAGTTTGTGTTGGGAAGGGGAGCGTGGGGAACAGGTATACTCACCCCTCTGGCATGAGGGCAGGTCCTCACTCCAAGTTAGGTCCCACTGGCACATGAGGACACTGGATCCCACTACCTGGTAGCCAGGGTAGCACTGGTAAGTGACCACGGTGCCGTGCACTAGCTCAGGCTGCGATGGGCTCTTCCAGCCATTGGGGATCTCAGGCAGCTCCGGACATGTGTCATTGCGGGGCACCTCTGGGGGCACAGAGGCACAAGATGCAGGCCCTCGGCCAGCACCAAAGTGACTGTCCCCCTCACCTTGAGGGCACTCTGGCTCCTGCTAGTTTGTCCTGGACCTAGACTGTCCTGGGCGGGCTCAGGGATCCATTCCTCCCTGCTCAAGGGCCCCTCCTTGACTGCCTGACATTGCTCTGTCTCCTAGATTCCAGGGTTAGCATTTAAGCTTTGGCCTTACTTCCAAAAGCACCTTGACCAGTTCCTTAGGCCTGAGAGATGGGGCCAGGTAGGGTGAGGGAAATCGTCACTTCTATGAAAGATTGTCAGAAAGATAGAAGCCAGCACCTTTCCTTAGTTCCCCCATTTTTGTTTGAAAGTTGTTCTGGCCAGGTGCAGTGGCTCACACCTGTAATGCCAGCACTTTGGGAGGCTGAGGTGGGCAGATCACTTGAAGCCAGGAGTTCGAGACCAGCCAGGCCAACATGGCAAAATCCGGTCTCCACTAAAAATAAAAAAATTAGCCAGGCGTGGTGGCATGTGCCTATAATCCCAGCTACTCAGGAGGATGAGGCACGAGAATCGCTTGAGCCCAGGAGGTGGAGGTTGCAATGAACAGAGATCACACCATGGTCTGGGTGACAGAGGGAAACTGTCTCAGAAAAAAAAAAAAAGGAAGAAAAAGAAAGTTGTTCTGCTGCCTACCCAAACCCCTCTTGCCACTATAGAATTCTGGCTCTCCCTCAGGGCAGATGGAGAACAGGACTAGCTTCCTCCAGGTGATCCCTGGTGCTTTTCCAGCTTACTCTTGTCTGAGACAGCATTCAGGCACCTCACTGCCCTAGCCTCTTTGGCTTGCCATGGCTTGCTGTCTGCACTCTGAGTGGGGTAGGGACAAGCTCACCAAAGAAGTGGATGACGAAGCCCTGCTGGTAGCCCAGCACTGAGGTCCCGGGGTCCGACTGGAACTGAATGGTGACATCAGCCATGGAGGTAAAGAGCTTGAAGTGGCTACGGGGCCCTGAGTACTGGCCCAGAACCCGGGCCGTCAGGTCATCCCCATCATAGAAGGTAAGCACATCACCAGGGCCTATGCGCAGCCTGTGAAGGAGGAGCGTCAGGGCAGAGCCGGCCTGGGGGCCCGAGGATGGGCTGGACAAGGGATATCCCCAGACCTCAGGAGTTGGCTCGGCCTGACCCGGTAGGCACTCACACTCGGATGTCCAGCATGATGCGCTTGTCCTCTTCCACATGCACACCCCAGATACAATCCTGCCCACGACCGTAGGGCTCTGGCCAGTTGGGAGAGAGTACCACGCCAGCCGAGTCTGTGATCTCCCCGCTGCACACGGCTGGAAGGCAGAGGAGGCCCAGAAGGGTCTTTTCAAGCTTACCATGGTGTTGCTTACCATCTGCCCGCAGGAGTGCCCACAAATTGCTGGGACCCCCCACCTCCTCCTTGGAGGAAGCCTGAACCACGCATATCACAGGGCCCCTGTGGCCCCGGGCTCTGCTGCTATTCTCCTGGTATGACCCTGCCTTTTGCCCGGTAGGCCCATCCACTGGTGTCTACTGACCTCGGCAGGCTGGCTCTGTCTCATTCCACTGGGGGTCGTGGGGGTCAACACACTCGATGATGATGGAGCCCTGCTCCAGGGTGTAGCCAGGGTCGCAGCTGAACTCCACAGTGGTACCCACAGGGTAGGTGGGTGTGCTGCTGCTGAAGTTACCGTATTTGACAAAGGGCTCATAGCAATGGCCCTGCTGGAAGGCTGTAAACCACAGGTCCCAGCCCAGCTCAGCCTTGACTGGTATTAAACACAGTGGGCAAGCATCCCCCTACTTCCCTCCCCAGAGCCTTTCTTTTCCTGGGTACGAATGACAAATATATGTCCTGGGGTTGGAGCAGGAATGTGATGGAGGAGGGACAGCCAAGAGCATCCATCCCTATTATGCTCAGGAGGCCATCTTGATTACCATCCTGTTCCCACTGCCTGGTTTTGTGCTTAGTACACAGAAGGTACTCCATACATGTTTTTTGAATGAATTAATCAATGCATGCATGCATAAATGGTTCTAGAATGTCTCTTACAGCAATTCTTTCTTAAGGGTTGAGGCCTTTTTTGCTTTTCAAAATCTGGAGAATTTATTCCCTTGGACCATAGGGCCTGGGTCCAGGCAGAGGTTTCCTGCAAAGCTGTGGTAGGGATCCCGGACCCAAAGAGAGGGGCAGGGAAAGGGGGCCTAAGTACTGAGTGAGCAGGGGCTGACTTGGAAGGAGTGACAGCATGGAGGCAGAGAGGGGTAGGGTGTGGGAGAAAGACCCTAGGCCCGAGCCCATCCCCGTGGACCCGCCACCCCCAGTGAGGCCCCAGCAGGCTCACCCTCATAGCGCAGGGCCATGCCTGCAGCTGCCCCGCTGCTGTCAGTACTGAGCTCAACAAAGAAGTGTTTGCCAGAGCTGAGCAGGCCCTCAATGGGCAGGTATTCCACCTCATAGGAATCATACACTGGTGGGGCCTCCACGTTGTCCCCATTGCGAATGATGAGCCTGAACCAGGAGAGTGGCAGCTATGTAGGCTGGTGGCTGACCCAGATGGGGTGTGGCCCCAGGCTTGGGTAGCGTCCCTCCAGCAGGGTATTACCAGGCCAGGCACTCCCATTCCACTAGGACAGCCCCTCACCTGTCATCATCCTCTGCCAGGGAAACCTTCTCAAAGTGCAGGTGTAGCCGCTGGCCCTCAGGAGCCTCAAGCAGCCAGTGACAGGTGAGGTTGTTGCTGTAGTTGCCCGGGAAGCCTGGAGAGACGATGCGGCCGGTGGTGGCATTGCGGATCACTCCGCCGCAAGCAGCTGTTAAGACCAGGACAGGACGTAGGCTAGGCCCCTGCCTGAACCCAGGCAGCCTAACATGCCTTCCTCCCTATCCCAGCCCTATATCCTCTGCTTGGAGCAGCGGGGACCTTGCCTCCCTGCCATCTTGGCCCTCATCGTCCTGAAGGTCAACCTTTTAGCCCTGTGAACCTGCATCTCCAGGCAGCCTGAGCTCCAGAATCCTGCCGCCTAACCTTTCACACCCCTGGGACTGACCAGGGTAACTCTCTTGACTGTGGGTAGATGTATCACTGCCTGGTTGTGTGCCCAGGTAAGTCACTTTCCCTCTCTGCTGACTTCTCTAGAAGGCCGACTCTCCCTAGGTAGACTTTACTAAAGCCCTTACTGTGGGCTTCAACCTTCTTGGATACATCTGCTACTTCTACCTCATGCCACTTTCCTAAAATCAGTTGTTTGGGTATGTCCCTTAACTAGGACCCCCTGGAGCAGGAACCAGGTCTTTCCAGGCCAGGCACAGAGTTGGTGTTCAGCGTTGGTTGAATAAAATGAGTGAATGAATGTAAAAAGGGGTTAGCACTAGATCCGGGCGGCAAACACCTGATGTGCATGCCATCCGCCCCGGCCTCACTACCACTGCCGTTCCTGGGCTGACTGACCTTTCTAGTGCTGACCCTACTGGCTTGGGGCTGTCCTCTCTTTCTAAGGAGAGACTGAACAGTTTGCCTATGGCTATCTGTGAGGATTGCTGGGTTACTTGGCCACAAACTCCTGGCGGTTATGTGAGGCCAGAGAGGGGTCCTCAGGCAAGAGGAGTATGGCTGGTTCCAGGCAGTGCTTTCCTCTCCTGGACACATAGCTCTGACCTACCCAACTCTCAGAGACCAGGCTGCCATGACCAATACACAGGACCTTTGTCTCCAAATGCTCAAGGCAGCAGAATATTGTAACCTAGTAAAGCTCCTGGGGGGCTGGGGCAAGTTTCTTCTCTGCAGAAAGGACAGACCTGCCTCAGCTTGGTCTCAGAATGGAACTGCCCTTCAAATCTGATCATGCCCCATCCTTTGCTGAAAATTGCTTAGTGGCTCCCCATTACCCTCAGGATAGAGTTAAAGCTGAAAATGGTGTTCAAGCCCTTTATGAATCCACCTCTCTCTAGACTCAGCTTCAGTCCCCTCTCCCCGCATACCCTCTGCTTCAGGCACACTTCACTGTGTGCTCACTATCTTGTGCTATTTCATGCCTGCACATCTCTGCATATGCAGTTCCAGGAACCCACCCCACTTTCCCAAACTAATATTTCTGAAATCCTTCCATGCTGTCTCCTTGGGAAGCCTTGCTTGCCTCCTCTCTCATCTTGGAGTAGCTCTCCATCCCTTGGGCTCCTCCACCACTCTGCCTTTACTCCTATTGTAGCATCCTCTGCACTGAGCTGCTTGCCAGCCTCCCCGCTAGATCCTCGAGGGCTGAGAAAGCATCTGTGTTATTCAACTCTGGTTGTGCCTGGCACCCAGGAAGAATTTATAGAATGAAATAAGATTCATGGCTGGGTATGGTGGCTCAAGTCTGTAATCCCAGCACTTTGGGAGGCCGAGGCAGGTGGATCACCTGAGGTCAAGAGTTCGAGATCAGACTGGCCAACATGGTGAAACCCCATCTCTACTAAAAATACAAAAAAATTAGCTGGGTATGGTGGCATGCACCTGTAACCCCAGCTACTCTGGAGGGTGAGGCAGAAGAATCGCTTGAACCCGGGAGGTGGAGGTTGCAGTGAGCGGACATCGTGCCACTGCACTCCAGCCTGGGTGACAGAGGGAGACTCCATCTCAAAAAAAAAAAAAAAAAAAGATTCAAAAGCCTAAGCCCATACCCACTAAAAAGAAAAAGCCCGGCCAGGCACGGTGGCTCACGCCTGTAATCCCAGCACTTTGGGAGGCTGAGGTGGGTGGATCACGAGGTCAGGAGATCAAGACCATCTTGGCTAACATGGTGAAACCCCATCTCTACTAAAAATACAAAAAATTAGCTGGGAGTGGTGGCGGGCGCCTGTAGTCCCAGCTACTCGGGAGGCTGAGGCAGGAGAATGGCGTGAACCTGGGAGGCAGAGCTTGCAGTGAGCCGAGATAGCGCCACTGCAGTCTGGCCTGGGTGAAAGAGCGAGACTCCGTCTCGAAGAAAAAAAAAAAAAAAAAGCCCAAGTTGCTTTTCATACTGCAAACCAAACACTGAGTCTTCCTTTCTCCAACAAGCCCCTTTTCATTGGCAGCAATCCCAGACCTGATCACTCAGGACCAGACCTGGGAGTCCCCTTTCCCTTTTCCCAGTTCCCATCAGTTTCTGGAACTTCCCTCTGCTTCATTCCCCAAATCACAATCTAAGTTCAAACTGTCTTGCCTGGCTGGCCTCCCAGTCATCTCCTGAGGAATTCTAAGGCCCTCCCTTCTCATAAGCTTCAACAGCTCCTCAGCCTGTATCTTGCCCTGACACTCAAGGCCCTTCCATTGCCACATGTCTCAGGCTTCAGCCAAACCTGGCTGTCTTCTGTGTCCCTAAACACCCTCACCTGCCTGCCTCTATGTCCCTGCCCACGTTGTTCTCTCCATTTAAATGTCAAACCTGCAGTGCCTCCTCCCCTAGGAAGCCTCCTAAATGTCCAGCTAAGAATGATTGCGCCCTTGCCTCCCAGGTCACTTTATGTCTTTTCATTGGTGCTTTTTACTTCTTCCCCTGGAAATTGGTGACCTCTGTGCTTTCTCCTTTCTCCCTTTCCTGGAAATGTGGGTTCTTTGAGGGCAGAGTCCCTGTTTAATTCAGCTGTTTGTACCTGTGGTGCCTTCATCTGGTAGATGCTCAATAAGTGCAGGTTGGATGAATGCCACTGAGGTGCATGGCCATTTTCTGGCTTCCTTATGAAGAGCAAATGAAAGTGGCAGAGAGCAACAGAGAGCAGGGATGAGCCCCCACCTCACTTCTCTGCTCAGCACTGAGCCCTTTCCCCTGGGCACTCACCGATGCAGACGGGCTCCTTTGAATCCCAGAAGGGCTGGGTGGCATTGAGACAGGTGAGATGCCTGGCGCCCTTCAGCTGGTAGCCAGTGGCACAATGGAAGCGGGCACTACCCCCTGGGTGGAGGCTGGTGACAGTCACATCTCCATAAGCTGGACGACGGGGAAAGTGGCAGCTCAGGAGATAGGCTGCAAACAGAGAACGGGTGACACTGTGTATGTGTGCAGGGTGGGGGCGGGAGCTGGGCCATTGGTTGGGGGAGGTCTGCCTCAGTCTGCCTGGAGGTGTCATTTGGGGCCAGAGGAAGCACTAGGAGTTCCAAAACAACTCCAATCTCCTCCCTAGAAGGTTACCAGTGATATTTCCAGCAGCCTGGGCTGGTTAGTGGAGCAGACAGAGCTGGAAATTAGAAGGGTTAGGTTCTGGCTCAAGCTTTATGACACTTTAGGCAGGTTATTTAATCTTTGTGTGTGTGTTTCCTCATTTGTTAAATGAGGTTTAAAATCCTAGCCTACCTACAGGGTTACTGTGAGAAGAAATGATAGAGTATTTTATCTAGCTTGGTATCTCTGGTACCCAGCTGATATTATATCTTCAGGAAATGCTTATTGAATGACTCGTAGACATGAAAGCACTTGAAATAGTGAAAAACCTATACAGATGTAAAGTGTTGATACTGTTTTTCCTTTAGGGAATAAATATGAATTGCAGCAGCAAAGAGTGAAATCAGACAGTAAAGGCTTTCCCAGTATTCACTGAGAAATGCTAAAAAGCTTGATGCCAATGGCCATGGACTTCTTTTAAAACCAGAATGGTGGCCGGGCCGGTGTCTCATGCCTGTAATCCCAGCACTTTGGGAGGCCGAGGTGGGCGGATCACCTGAGGTCGGGAGTTCGAGACAAGCCTGACCAACATGGATAAACCCCGTCTCTACTAAAAATACAAAATTAGCCGGGCATGGTGGCGCATGCCTGTAATCCCAGCTACGGGGGAGGCTGAGGCAGGAGAATCGCTTGAACCCGGGAGGTGGAGGTTGTGGTGAGCTGAGATCACTCCATTGCATTCCTGCTTGGGCAACGAGAGCAAAACTCCATCTCAAAACAAACAAACAGCCGGGAGTGGTGGCTCATGCCTGTAATCCCAGCACTTTGGGAGGCCGAAGTGGGCGGATCACCTGAGGTCAGGAGGTCGAGACCAGCCTGGCCAACATGGAGAAACCCCATCTCTACTAAAAATACAAAAATCAGCCGGACGTGATGGCAGGCGCCTGTAATCCCAGCTACTCGGGAGGCTGAGGCAGGAGAATCGCTTGAACCCGGCAGGTGGAGGTTGCAGTGAGCCGAGATCGTGCCATTGCGCTCCAGCCTAGGGGACGAGAGCGAGACTTCATCTCAAAAAAACAAACTTACAAACAAACAAAATCCAGAATGGTGGTAGGCTGGGGCAAGGTGGGAGGATTGCTTGAGGCCAGGAGTTCAAGAGCAGCCTGGGCAACATAGTGAGGTCCCCATCTCTGTAAAAAATTTTTAAAAAATACCCAGGCATGGTGATGTGTACCTGTAGTCTTAGCTACTCAGGAGGCTGAAGTGGGATCGCTTGAGCCTAGGAGTTTAAGGCTGCAGTGAACTATGATTGCACCACTGCGCTCCAGCCTAGGTGACAGAGTGAGTCCCTGTTTCGAAAAACAACATCAAACAAACAAGAAAAAGATGGGGACGAGGGTAGGGAGGCAGTGCACTGCCTTCATGGAAGTTGGGGAAAGAACAAGTTGCCCTGGGAAAGCTGGTAGCTTTGGAATTGTCATACCAAATTTGACCAAATGGTGGCAGCAAATCCTACAAAACAATCTGGCATATCCCGATCCTGGGGTCAAGCTGGGGTGGTAGCTAAAAGGATCAACCCGGTGCAGTGGCTCACGCCTGTAATCCCAGCACTTTGGGAGGCTGAGGTGGACGGATGGCCTGAGGTCAAGAGTTCAAGACCAGCCTGGCCAACATGGCAAAACCCCATCTCTACTAATAAAATACAAAAATATTAGCTGGGCATGGTGGCAGGCGCCTGTTATCCCAGCTACTCGGGAGGCTGAGGCAGGAGAATCGCTTGGACCGGGGAGATGGAGGTTGCAGTGAGTCGATATCATGCCATTGCACTCCAGCCTGGGCGACAGAGTGAGACTCCATGTTCCAAAAAATAAAATAAATAAATAAAATAAAATAAAATAAAATAAAAGTGAAGATCCAGCTGGGCACGGTGGCTCACACCTGTAATCCCAGCACTTTGGGAGGCCGAGGCAGGTGGATAACAAAATCAGGAGTTCGAGACCAGCTAACATGGTAAAACCCCATCTCTACTAAAAATACAAAAAAAAAAAAAATGATCTGGGCATGGTGGCACGCGCCTGTAGTCCCAGTTACTTGGGAGGCTGAGGCAGGAGAATCGCTTGAACTCGGGAGGCAGAGGTTGCAGTGAGTGGAGATTGCGCTACTGCACTCCAGCCTGGGCGGCAGAGTGAGACTCTTTCTCAAAAAAAAGTGAAGATCCTGGCTTGCGTCTAAGAGGTGAGAGCAAAGGCCTGGAGGGGTCAAGGAGAGGCTGAGAGGCTTGTGCTACAGAGCCTGATAACCCTTGGGGTGGTAGGAAAAGTGAGGACTGTCTAGACTGAAGATCTTGGGTCTTGGGGTAGGGGGCAGCCCCACTGATGGTATCAGGTAAATGGGAGGAGAGGTCCATGCAAGGCCTCTGTTCCTGGGTGCCTTTGTGTGAATAGAAAAATGGGCCCTCTTTCTTCCCCCCCATTAAAAAGAAAAAGAAAAAGAAAAAGAGGCTGTCTCAGGGCAGACCAGGGTCCAGAAATTTGAGTTTTATGACTTTCACCTGTCCTGTTACTATGTCTGTGAAAGTGGGAGGAGAATTCCTCCTCTTCTGTCTCTCATGGGGCTCTGGAGAGAATGGTCGGTAAGTGGCTAGTTGTGCTTGGCAGGCAGTACAGGGCAGTGCTTAGCAGGTGGGCTGTGGGTCAGACTGCCTGGGTTTGAATGCAGGCTTCTTCCCTACGTGCTGTGCCACCGTGGGCAAGTTACCTAAATTCTCTGTGCCTCAGTTGCCTCATTTATCCACCCACTTTCAGTATTACATCCAAGGTTGTGGAGGTTAAGTGAGAAGACATATGTGCAGTTCCTGAACAAATGCCTAAGACATCAGCCTGCTGTTATTGTTTGTAATCTTGATTAATAATAGCACCTCACATCTACATGTACTTTCCAGATTCTAAAATGCCTTCACACTCTTCTTTCTTGATGTCTACAATATGCTTGGGAGAAAGGCAGGCAAGGTAGGGGCTATGAGCCCATTTTCAGATGAGAACAGGTTCAGAGAGACCCTGTGCCCTCATCACACAGCAAGGAAGTACTAGACCAGGAACTTGAAGCTCCTGGGCTCTGAAGCCTTCTTGCTTTCCACCACCACCCCACCTGCTTCCTCATTTGAAGTAGAAACTTGGGTTCAGGGGTCAGAGAAATCTGAGAGTAACAGACAAGCCTGCTCTGGGTGGTTGTCCAGGGCAGCCACTCACAGTGACCTGGGGAGAGGTCCCAGTCCAGGATGGGATGGAGAAAGGGGTGTGGGGCACCACACCCAGAGTGGAGGAGGTTAAGAGGTTAACTGACGCCTAGTGGGGTCTAGACCATGAGCCAGGCTCAGGCCCAGCATTTCCCCTTACATCTTCCCCTTTGAGTTCTTATCACCACTCTAGTAAGGGAGGGCCCTCGTTTCACAGATGAGGAAACTGGGCTGGAATGGGGTGGAACTGGGCTGGAACTGTAGGAGGCTGGGGGCAGACAATGAAGCCCCCAGACTCCATAGTAGTTAAAGTATCACTTCCCAGGATGAGCTTCCTCCTGTTGCCATGACAACCGTTCCCGGGGAGCCTGAACCACTGCAATCTGTTGAGTTATTTTCTCACTGGAGTCTGTTTCTGGAGCCAAGTCCAGTGCCAGGAATGCTGAGGATGCAGGAGGGGGATGTCTGTCAGGGCCGTCTGCCTCCCCACCCTGCCTGAGGCTGTGGGAGGGGAGTTGACTTGGTCTTGCGATAAGGCCCTTGTGAGGGCTCATCCTTGTGACCTCCAACATCAGCTTGGACAGCTCGAGCACAGGTGTGGGTACTAGGCCCCTCACCCCCTCTTCTGGCACCCTCTTTCTCTAGCCCACGGAGATTTGCGTGTGAGCACACGCTCCTCCTGTTCCCATCTCTGGGATCAGGGCTAATTACAGCCTATAATTAGGGGAATTACACTCATTAAGGCAAGAGCTGATCATTGACAAAAACTGGGCTGACGAGGGAGGGCTTCTGGGAGCTGAGAAGGAGGCAGGACCAGGCCAGCTCTTCCAGCCCTTCCTTGGAGGTTGCTCCCCCTTGCTGGGCCTCCAGCTCACTGCCATTCAGCCACCTTTGTCTGGCCCGACAGAGAGGAGGTCCGGAGTTTTGTGCAAAGGAATTTGCAGCAAGAGAGAAGGTTATCATGGCGTGAAATTATGCCTGCTGCCAGGGAGGATTGATGAGCCATTAGGGAGGCTAGCTGGGCCGCCTAGACGTTTCACCCTTGCCTCAGCTGGCCCCTTGCCTCTGCCAAGCCACTCTACAGCCCCATCCACTTCCAGGCTCCCTGCTGCTATGCCAGACTGCTCCAGTAGTTTGGGTGGAGGGGTGAGGGTAGGGTGAGTGCTCCTTAGGTGGGGTTCCAAGCAGCCCCATCTCCAGAGTGCTGGCTCTTCTGCCCGGCTGTGGTCCCCTGCAGGACTGCGGAAGTGGTCCATGACAATGCAAGACAATCCCTTGATTGTTCACACCAATTATTTCCGTATTAGTTCTCCCTAGTCTCAAATAGTTAACCCATGCAAAGGATCGAGCTGACTTTGTGCTCAGAGAGGGGGATGGGTAGGAGGGACACAGCTGAGACAGCGGCAAAGTCCTGAGCCCCTTTTCCTCCCTCTCCCATCCTGCCAGTCATGTAATACTGGTTTCCTTAATGAAGCATGTGCTAAGCACTTGACATGTACCATTTTGCTTAATCCTAACCATGACTTTGTGGGGTAGGTGTTTTGGTTTCATATTACAGCAGAAGGGTCAGAGAGGTCAAATGACTTGTCCAAGGTCAACAGCCAATGAGGAGATTCAAACACAGATCTGCCCATTGCCTGAGTCTGTGATTTTTTTTCATTACATCGTGCTGCTCCCTTATTTCCAGAGGTGTTCTGAGCTGATTGGGGCATGGGCCAGGTCAAGGTGGGTGAAGCAGTTCAGGAAGGGCAGTCTGGCAGCTAAGCAGATGGTCATTGTCAGATCCCTTTGACCTTCACCCTCTTGCATTTGGGGAGGGCTTCTATTGTTATTGCCTGTTTAAGTGTCTGCCTCCTCCTGAGAAAGAACTCCTTGAGGACAAGGACCTTGGTGCATCCTGACATTGCCAGTGTCCAGCACAAGCCTGGCAAAGAGCAGGTGCCTAGGAAAAGTTTGCTGAATGAATGAATGAGGGACAACGGGCACACCTAGAGGCTACCTGATCCTGAGTCAAGACCAGCTCTCTGCAGGGTGGTGGGTGGAAGAGAGAAGATCCTGGAGGTTTCAGATACGCGATACTTACCTCCAATTGTCCAGAGCTTCACTGGACATTTGTGCTATGTGTCACTAGCCCCTCTCTGCTCCTTCCCTCTAGGATGTAATTGCACAGAGACCCCCCTCCCCAGCAAGGAGGGCAGCGAGTCTGGGCTGGTTCCACCTTCAACTACCCAGGCCTTACCTTGGTAATGGAAATGGAAGGTGCCAGGGCCAGCCGGTGGCGGGAGGCTCTGGAACCTCAGGGCCGCTTGGTGGGTGGGGCTGCGGATGACTTGGCCCCGCAGCAGGAAAGACTGGTTGGCCAGGGGCAGTGGGTCAGGCCCCCCCAGGCCTTCCACAGTCACTGTCTCCCCTTCCCGGAGGCTGATATTCTGGACCTGTCAGTAGAGTAGAGAGAGAAAAGCAAAGTAGTCAGACTTCTTCCTGCTGCCTGGATCCTGCCGCCCTCAGGATCCTGCAGGCCCCGGGCAGATCAATCCTCAATGCTACTTGAGCATCGGAGCCCCCAGGCCCTGAGCTGGGCACTTCAGCAGTGCAGGAGTTGCTCATCTCAGTGTGAGACAGGACCGGAAGTTCAGAGATTAAGTAAATTATCCAAGGTCACATAGAGATTCTTAGCAGAACTGGGGTTTGTAAACACATCTTTCTGTCTCCAAGCTTTTCAGATACACCAGCTGCTTCCTGTCCTGCCCCTCCCTGGGCTCTGTTTTCTCATCTGTAAAGTAGGGATGGGGTAGGTGTATTGAACCAGATGGTGTCCGAGGCCCTGGTCAGCAGTATGAGGTCTTAAATATCAGATCCATGTGCCCAGCTTCCCCTGGACATCCCTGTTGGATGCTTCACACCCAGCCTGCCTCATGCTAGGTGACTGTCTTCCCCTAGCCAGCAGTTCCCCTGGGAATGATCTTGCTATCTCCCTGGGTGTCCAAATCAGAAACTGGCATCTTGCCTCCTCCCTCATACCTGGTCAGTCATTCAGTCCTGTCAACTGGATCTCAAATCTGTTCATTACTCTTCATCCCCACTGCCATTCCCCAGCTTATCGCCGTTACTGTGCACCTAGATCACCGCAGCAGCCTCCTGGCCAGCCTTCCTGCCTGTAGGGCTTAACCCACTCCTCCCTCTACAGCAGTATTTTCTGAACTATAGCCAGCTAACGGTCTTAGATCTGTTGCTGATCATGGTGCTTCCTTGTTTAAGTCCTCCAGTGGCTCCCCATTGAGTCTGTGAAGCCGATAATATGTAGTTCAAACTCTTTGCTTAGCCCTCAAGGCCCTGCCCAACTTGGCCCCTGCTGACTGTCAGCTGGGCCTTACACCATGCCCCTCCGCATGTCAATCGTGATTCTCTCTTTTTTCTGAGCCTCTTTCTCCGATCCTTTCCCCTGGCTGTCACAGTCTCCTCTGCTATCATGCTGATCTTCAGGCCCTCAGTCCCTTGAGCATCTTTCTGGGCTCCATGCCTCCATTCAGGCAAACAAGGATTGGACAACGACGGACTCTGCCCAGAGGGAAATTAGCAGCATGGCTTGATAGAAGGAACACTGGATTGATTGGGAGCCCAGAAATCTGGGACCTCATCCTAACCATGTGATCTTGGACAAATATGCTGCTATTTGAACTTCAGTTTCCTCATTTTATAAAACGAACTAGTGGAGTTCTTTGCTACTTAAAATGTGGTTCTTGGACCAGCATCAGCAGCCTCACCTGGGAACTTGTAAGAAATGCAGAATCTTGGCTGGGCGCTGTGGCTCACGCCTGTAATCCCAGCACTTTGGGAGGCCAAGGCAGGTGGATCACCTGAGGTCAGGATTTCAAGACCAGCCTGACCAACATGGAGAAACCCCGTCTCTACTAAAAATACAAAGATTAGCTGGGCGTGGTGGCACATGCCTGTAATCCCAGCTACTCAAGCAGCTGAGGCAGGAGAATCGCTTGAACCTGGGAGGCGGAGGTTGCGGTGAGCCGAGATCGCGCCATTGCACTCCAGCCTGGACAACAAAAGCGAAACTCCATTTCAAAACAAAAAAAAAAAGGAAATACAGAATCTCAGACCCACTAAAGCATACTCTGCATTTTAACAAGATCCTCGGGCAACTCAAAAGCACTGATCTACATGGGCTCAAGGTTCCTACCATGTTGCTCTGAAGCAGGGTTTCAAGGGTTGACCACCTGGGATGGTTAAGTGGCATCAGTGAGTCACCAAATCCTTCCCAGTCTTATTTCCCAAATACTCCAATGGGTTCCTCCTCTCTATCCTTTTGTTACTGTCCTGGCCCTAATTACCTCCTGCCCATTACTTTTCACTTGAGAATGGCTTTCTGTCTGTCTAACACTTCCCATCCCCAACTCATCTCCTGCTGATTTCAGATTGCCTGGAGGACAAGCTCCAAACTGCCCAGCTCACATTTGGTGCCAGTATCTCTGCGGCCCTCATTAACGTGCACTGCAGCCGCAGACCACCCCTCACTTCTGCCCCCTGGGCATCCACATATGGGACTCTGCGGGGGCAATATCTTCCCTTCTTCCCCTCCTGGTGAAGCTGGTCATCTTTTCAGATCTTAGGGCCGCATCGTCTGCCTCCCAGGCTAGGCCAGCAGTCCTTCTGTTTCAGACTCTCCCCACTGGCCCCTGCCCATCTTGCTGTTAAAGCCCAGGGTGGCATGTTGGGTCACAGTGCCCTCTTCACTGGCCAGTCTCAACAAAGACGTGTGGAAAGAGTAAATGTGTGGGCTGCTGGAGAGACATTCCCCATCAGATACCTGTGAGCTGAGAAGCATAGAGGATGCTGAGCCCAGCCAGGTCCAAGGATATGGCTGCTGCGAGGCTCAGGGCCCCTCAGACTGGGTGCTGAGAAGAGATGTGCCCTGGGGACTCCAGAAGGGGCAGCTGGGCAGGGAGAGGTCCCTACCCCTGCCTGAGAGGAAAGACCTGGTGGGTCTTTGGGCTGAAGAGAAGGCTCAAGGCAGGGTGCTGGAGGCCGAGGCGTCTCCTCTCTGTGAGAAACTCTCCACCCAGGCACGTTTGGGCGGAGGCTGCCTGACCATCTGCTGGGGACATTCCTCAGGGAATTCCTGCAGCAGGCGGAGGCTGGATGAGGTCCCTTCAAACTTGGAGATTCTGTGATTCTAGAGTTGGGAAAACAAGACTCACACACGTGGAATCTGTAATTATCGAGAGATGCCAGGCAGCATATAATTCCGCCTTAAGTGGCACTGAATGCAGGCAGCAGGAATCCTCGGGGGGAGAGCGAAGGGCTCAGAGGCTCAGGGAAAGTGCCTGAAGCAGGTGGGTCTCAGAGTGCCTTGAAGAGAGGAGCACTGGGAGAAGGAGGAAGGGAGGACGCTCACTACAGGGAAATTACCACGAAAGCAAAGGCAGAGAAGTATTACTAGAAATTAATTTGTATTTTCTTCCTAGTTCCCCATATACCTCTGGCTTGACCTCTAGCTTCTTTTTCCTGATCTTGCTGCTTTGGGACCAGAGAGAAGCTGTAGCGACAGAGTAACAACAGTTGCCATCATAGAGTGTGTCAAGCCTTGTATTGTACTAAGTGCTTTTCATCCTCACCGTGAATCTATAAGATAGGTGGTAAAATACCCACCAGTAACAGAGGCTCAGAGAAGCTAAGGAACTTGCAAAAGGTCACATAGGGGTTAAGCAGTCTTGCTTTGCTGAGACAAGGCAGCTCCCTATCCTCCCAACTTCATGGGGGCATCTTCTGTAGAAATAACATCTAGACATCTTTATTCCCAAGCTCAGCACCCCCAGGTTTAGCAAGGAGGTGGGTCTTGGCTTGGCCTGGCTTTTTTAAGATGTTGGGATTTGAGTTCCCACCAGCCACCCTTGCTCCTAGCAGTCTGTAAAGCTGGGAAAACTGAGACTGAGACCTCTGGCCCCCTCTGGTCCAGGGGAGGCATGGCCCTTTCAAGCTGGCCTGGCTCCCGGCCCAGTCTAGTGGTGAGGGTTGGGATGAGAGTGTGGAATGAAGTGGCTCCTATCCAGAAGGCTCCCTGTTCTCAACCAGAGGCTGTCTGTGCAGCTCTGGTCCCCTGGGTTTCAAGCACCCTCTTGTGGGTCTGCTGCAGTGGCTGGAATGTAATTTGTCACTTGTTTGAGGGCCAGGCTGACAGAGGCCAGACAGGGCTGGGTGTCGGACAGGAGGGGTGATGAAGTCTTGATGCAATTTGCAGGCATCTGTAGAGCCTGGGAGACAGATTGAAATGTCAGCTCTGTTCTTGAGGGCTGTCTTCCATACCCATAGCCAGTGACAGGAGGGGACCTGGGGGCCAGGCAGGGGGAAGACAAAAGCAGAGGGAGCTGAGGACAATTCCTCCAGGACCCTGGGCTGTCTAACACTGCCCTGCTTCCAGCAGACCATGGAGTCAGCTCAAGGAGGAAATACAGCCACTTTGAGAGGCTGGCCCTTTCCAGGATGGGAGGTGGGAAGGATTCAGGTTGTCTTCTGCCAACCTCTAGCTCAACAGCCTCATCTGCCCTGTCTGTCCCCATAGAAGCTGTCAGTCAGGCCTCCAGCACGTGCCCTAATGGCGTAACCCACAGACGAGATGGCACTACAGTTTTTGTACTCATTTGCACCAGTACAACCCGGCATAGGCAGATGAGCTCAAAGATGACTCTTGTGTGCGATCCCCACCCCCAGATGCTGGCTACAGGTCTCCTAGGCTCTCTTGGTCACCATCACCTGTGTGTACTCGGACACAGGCCCACTTACACGCACACAGCCCCCTCAAACGTGTCATGGCACGTGCACTTCCACCCCCTGGCAGAAAATAACCCACCAATCCAAACTCTCACACTATGCCTAGGCGCCACCACCACCCTATTCGCATGCCCTCACACACCCGTGCTCCCTCACAGCAACCATAGGATAATCACAATTTTCCCACAAGAACCTTCGCAGTTTTCACATCCATTATCTCTTCAGCTCTCATAAAGTCTCAATAAGGGAGGCAGGGCAGGCTGTTTTCCTGCACTTTATAGATAAGGGAACCTTGTAATCAGGGAAGTTGAGAGATCCTCTTTGGTCACACAGTGAGTCCAAGACAAAGCCAGGACTCGAGGCCAGGACTCATGATTCCTGGTCCAGTGTCCTGTCTTGTGTGCCTGGCAACCCCAGGCCCTCCCCAGAACTGGGAGAATTCCAAGTGGATGTCCTCCAGAATCAGGCAGGGCTGACTGGGAAAGGGCATCTGGGGCAGATCCTGACAGGTACCGGTCTCCGCCTGGGTCTCCCACTTTGGATTTGCCTTGTGCCACAGACAGGCCTATCTCCTGGGCCAAGGGAAGAACAGGGGCTTTTGAGTCTTGGATTGAATCCCGGCTCAATCACTGACCAGTTGAGGGGCCTTAGGCAAGTCATATGACCTCTCTGAGCCCCAGTTTTGCCTGTGAAATGGGGATAGTTTACCTACTTCATGGGTTTGTAAGGATTTGGTTAGATCCTGCCAGTAAGGGTTTTAGCACAGAGGGGCACAGCGCTAGCAGTCATCTTTCCATTTAATGGGGAGATGTGGGCCACACCCTGGTAAAACCTTGGCATTTGCAGCAGAAATGATAGCCGGCTATGAACTTACTTTGCCCTCAGGTCTGCCAGGGCTCTGCCTGGGAGGCATTGTACCTTGGAGCCACCCTCTCCCTGGCCCAGACTCTGCAGCTGCCAGGAAGCAAGCAGCAGAGCCAAGAACCTGAGGTGCCCCTGCTCAGTCAGGCCTATAAGGGAGCTTGCTGACCCCAGAGAAGGAGCCACACTCAAAGGGACTGGCTAGGAGAAGCCTGGTGCATCATCTGGTTCAATCTCCCTTTATAGAGAGGTAAACTGAGGCACAGAGAAGGCCAGGGGTTTAGCTCAGTCACAGAGAGGTGGGCTGCAGAGCCAACACTGAAACCCCAGTCTTACAAGACAGACTCTGTGCCCTTCTGAATTGGCACTTATCCAGAAAACCTTATGGGGTAAGATCTGTTTTAGGGATGAGGACAGTGGCCAAAATCCATGGGGCTAGACCTGACTGCACCCTGTCATCCCTCTTGGATAAGCCTGCCTAGAGCCAGGAAATATAAAGTTGTCCAGAAATTCCACCCAACTGACCCCCTACCCCATGCCCACATCAGGCCTGGTCCTGACACGGCTTAGAAGGGCAGGGTATTCTGGCTATCAAACTGTCAGCTGGCCTGGCATGGGCGAGCTGTGTGCCAACAGAGCCACCTGGGGCACGAGGGCAGGGACTGTGGGCAGCTGTGCCCAGGCTCCAGATGGTACAGAGAGCAGCCAAGCCAAGATGGAGGCTGGCAGTGGGAAGGCTCTTGGAATGCCAAGTGCAGAGAGAGGCAGGCGCCAGGCCCGGAAAGGCCTGGAGCCCTCAGGGGGAGACTGACTGCCTGGGGAGGGGCTGGGACCCACATGGGCTGTGAGGCTCATGCCCATCCATCCTGAAGGGGCTTCTCTGGACCTCTCAAGAAAGAGCCTAGCCCAATGCCTGATCCCCAGATGAATCAGGCAAGCCTCCTTGGATCACAGAGGGCCTGACCTGGCCTCCTCCCTGTGGATGGCTCAGACCTTCAGCCTCAGAGGGCATCAATAACTGCAGCACCATCAAAGGAGGTGGGAGGCAGGAGATGAAGCAGGTTATGAGAGGCTGTGGTCCAAGCCATGGAGAATAGGGCTTTTAGGGATTCTGGTACCCCTGAGGCTGGTCCTCCAAAAAAAGGGAATTGAGAGGGTCTTGCTGAAGGCCCCGGACTTGAGGCAAGGGCTGTGGTCTCATGCTAGGGTCCCAGCATGGTGTCTGGCTGCTTTGCTCAGGGGTATGATTTGTGGGTCCCTAAGACAGTCCTCTCCTCCATGGCTCCTGTCACTCTTCTTGCCCAGACTTTGTCCCACCTATCTGCCCTGAGTGATCCCAGTGAATTCATAGAGGGGCAGGTGGGGAATTCTCCATGATGGAGGGAAGCCACAGGCAGTCCCTTCTCCCCAAGCCTGAGGAGCCATGGGGAGCTCTGTAGGCCTTCCAGCTGCCCACCCATCCTGCCCCCAGTGTCCAGCATGGCCTGACACAACTGTCAGCCTGGGCAGAAGGACGCTGCTCTTGGGCTGAGCCTCTGGCAGGAGTGTGATCCGGAAGCCCTTACCCTTACCCTCCGCCCCTACACAACAAAGCCACCTTTCCAAAACAGCCAGGGCAGCCTTCAAGGGCCAGGCCTGCCGCACCTGCTGCTGCCCAGGCCAGACTTGGCTGCTGGCTTCTCATCCTACAGGTCTCAGGCCAGGTGTCATCACCTCCAGGAAGCCTTCCCTGACCCCCAGGCTGGTGGAGTGTGCCCGTCCTGTGCTTCCCATCCCCATCCCTGCCAGCACTGGGCATTCCGTGGTCATTGTTTATGATTTCTGTCTTCCCTACTAATCATGAAGGTCTGTGTCCCCAGTGCCCAGCGCAGAGCATGGCACATAGCAAATTCTCAATGTTTGCTTGTGGAACAAATCCACTCAACAAAACTAATTAGTAATTAACTGACTGACTTTTGGCAAGTCCCTTTTCTTGCCTGGGCCTCAGTTTTTCCAACTCTCCAGTGGGTATTGTTGGGTAGTGTCAGAAATTCTTCAGGTCCCAAGTGGCCTGGGTGGGGGTGGAGGTTGCCAGAACTGGCCCTGGAAGAAGAGCCTTAAATCCTGCTTAGTTCTGGCTGATTCTTTCTCTTGCTCCTTCCCCAAATTGGGTGCTGACCCCGCTCTGGCCACCCTGTGCCCGCCTCCCCTCCATGACTTCAGACTATCTCAGGCCGTCCGGGCCGACAGTGTCCCCAAGGACCCTGCCCCCATGGCACCGAGGTGGAGGGTGGGGCCAGCATCTGCCACATTTCCTGACAGCAATCCAGGGCTGTGGCAGGTCTTCGTCTCAAGGTTGCCTGGTAATGGCTTTTGCATTCTGATAAAAGAAAAAAAATGTGGCAGCACCAGACAACAGACACGGGGCTTATGTGAGGGGTGGGCATCCAGCATGGGGCTTGTGCCTGGGCCAGAGAGGGGGCAGGCAGAGCCAGCATCTTGCTCCATTGTGGAGGGTGCCAGGGCTGGGCTCAGCCTTGTCCAGTGGGCTTCAGTAGGGGTGGTAGGCTTGGGGGGGGCAGACAGAGCCTCCCAGGCCTGTAGGGGGGCACTCAGCCTGGCACCTGCCCCCTCCCACCCCCTTTCCCACACCTGCAGCTGGTGCTTTCCACCCAGTGAGCCACAGCCGGTGCCACCTCTCATTAGGTGATGATTTTACATTAATTACCTTAATTAAGCGGTGCTGAGTGCTAATGGCTTGAGGCGGGGTGGCTGTTCCTAATTACCCTCCCAGTCAGCCCAGAGTGAGGGGCACAGGGCTTGGCAGAGTAGGAGGAAACAGTTGTAGGAAGAAGGGGAGGGGCCCAACAGGGGTAGGAGAGGGTCCCCCTGACAGGGTCTGATTCAGATACCTGGACCTGACATCCCCAGAGGGGAGGGCTGGAGGCACTGCCCCAAGATAGGTCTAGACGGCTTCAGTCCCCAATCCAGGGACATGCAGGAATTGGAATGGGCGGGAAGCAGAACAGAAGGCAGGGAGCAGGGAGCAGGACACACTTCTCAGCGCCCTGCCAGATTCCCTCAACCAGGCTGAATGCCTCTCTTGCCCACTCCTGGTCAGTCTCCAAGATTCAAGTCAAATGTCATCACATCCCTTCCTTCCTCCATCCCTTTGTCCGATCATTCAGTCAGCGCATGGAGTACCCATTCTGGGCTCTGCACTACAAGGCACCCCTTAAGGAGCTCACAGTCTAGCTGGGGAGGTGGACAGCTGTAAACAGTTGGATGGAAGGCAGACTGCTAAGAGCTAAGATGGGGGATGCCCCAGGCTTTGGGGATCTGAGGGAATTCCCAGAGAGGGTGATGCCAGGGCCAAGTCCTAAGGGAAGGCATCATGGGATGACTCTTCCAGGCAGAGGGACCAGCATGTGCAGCTGGGACTTGGGAAAGAAGGTTTGGCCCATTCAGTTAGCTGCAAGCTGTTTAGTGCAAAGTGGGGGTAAAGAACAAGGGACGAAGTGTCTAGGGGTGGACCCAGAGAGACTGACCTTGATTCAGGAGCCCTTAGAGAGGTGTAGGGGGCAGGATTGATTTGAGAAAAATGACTGCAGTGGAGGTGGAGATGGGTAGAGTAGGGAGCAAGTGTGGGCGGGGTGACCAGTGAGGCAGCTACTGCATCATCAGGGGAGGGATGGTGGGGTCTAAACCACATGTGGTTGTGGGGATGGAGGGAGAGAAGCAGAGAGATTTAGAGGGGAGTATCATGGTGACAGAATTTGGGGATGAATTGATGGGACTGGGGGAAGAGGGACAGGGAAAGGCTAAGGAGACCCCATGTTGCACATTAAGGGACACCATCCACATTGCACTATGGTGGTTCTGCTCCAGGTTTCTGACCTGGACAGGAGTGGCTTTGGGGGAACAAAAGGAAGATTTGGGTTTGTGGAGGTTGAGGAGCCTGTGGGACATCTGTGAGGACCTGTAGCCTCAGGCCTCGGGATTAAGAGAAAGTCTTAATCCTAACGGAGGGATGAGATAACCCAGGGAGGCTGGGGACAGGAGGCTGGCCTGTAGATTTGACTTTCCTATCAGCTGATCACCTCTCTGATGGTGTAATCAGGTCTGTCTTCCCCCACCTCTGCATCCCAGAAGCCAGCACAGAACCTGACCCAGAGGAACTGCTCAGAGAGGATTTGCTGAATGAATGAATGAATGAGTGAAGCTCCATGACTCTCTCAGGCCCAGCGAGGCAGCCCTGTGTTCTCTGCTTAGCCCATAGATTCAGATGTAGGGTTTATACTCACCCAGTCCCCTGCCCATCCAAGGCTAGAGCCCCCTCCCACAGCCCCTCTTGGCTTAGGCCATTGCCAAACACACGGGGCAGAATCTAACCATTTAGGCCCATCTCCCAGCCCTGGCCTTAGGCGATGCCCCACAATTGATGCCCCTAATCATCCCCACATCCTCTCATAGCATGTGCCTCTCTGAAGAAAGAGAATACACCCGCCCCAGCTTTGCCCTTGCCAGATCCAGATCACTCACCTTGATTTCCACGCCATAGCCAGGGTAGACAGAGATGTAGAAGAAGCAGTCCAGGCCAACATCAGTGGGGGAGCTGAGGTCTGTAGGGGAGTCCAGAGAGCCCTCTGGGCCTGAGAAATTCCAGCTACAAGGGCCTGGGAGGCAGGAGGAGACACAAAGCTAGTGCCAGCTCTGGTGAAGTGGTCCAACTAAGGCTGAACCGTGTGTGTGTGTGTGTGTGTGTGTGTGTGTGTGTGTGTGTGTGTGGTGAAGACCACCTCTTGTGATGTCTAGTCTCCTGTTGAAGGAAGGGGACCACCTTTTATTAGGCACCTACCATGTGCAATCTTTTTTTTTTTTTTGTATTTTTAGTAGAGATGGGGTTTCACCATGTTAGCCAGGATAGTCTCCATCTCCTGACCTCATGATCCGCCCGCCTCAGCCTCCCAAAGTGCTGGGATTACAGGCGTGAGCCACTGCACCCGGCCCCCTAACATGTGCAATCTTATCTCAGTTTTCACAGTAGCTCAATGAGGTTTGTTTTCTTTCTTTTTTTTTTTTTTTTTGAGACGGAGTTTTACTCTTGTTGCTCAGGCTGAAGTGCAATGGCGTGATCTCAGCTCACTGCAACCTCTGCCTCCTGGGTTCAAGCTATTCTCCTGCTCAGCTTCCCGAGTAGCTAGGATTACAGGTGTACACCACCATGCCTGGCTATTTTTTTTTTTTTTTGAGACAGAGTCTCGCTCTGTCACCCAGGCTGGCGTGCAGTGACATGATCTTGGCTCACTGCAAGCTCTGACTCCCGGGTTCACGCCATTCTCCTGCCTCAGCCTCCTGAGTAGCTGGGACTACGGGCACCCCCCACTACGCCCGGCTAATTTTTTGTATTTTTTAGTAGAGATGGGGTTTCACCGTGTTAGCAAGGGTGGTCTCGATCTCCTGACCTCGTTCCACACGCCTCAGCCTCCCAAAGTGCTGGGATTACAGGCATGAGCCACCGCGCCCGGCCAATTTTTTGTATTTTTAGTAGAGACGGGGTTTCACCATGTTGGCCAGACTAATCTTGAACTTCTGATGTCAGGTGATCCACCTGCCTCGGCCTCCCAAAGTGCTGGGATTACAGGCATGAGCCACCGTGTCCAGCCAGAAGTTTATTTTCTTATTGCCATTTTACAGATGAGGCTCAGAGATGAGATGTTAAATAGAATTCCTAGGGTCATGTTATAGTTGGAAGAATCAAGATTTTTTCTTTTTTGAGACAGAGTCTCGCTCTGTTGCCCAGGCTGGAGTGCAATGGTGCAATCTCAGCTCACTGCAACCTCTGCCTCCCAGGTTTGAGTGATTCTCCTGCCTCAGCCTCCCGAGTAGCTGGGATTACAGGTGCCCACCACCATGCCCGGCTCATTTTTGTATTTTTAGTAGAGATGGTGTTTCGCCATGTTGGCCAGGAGGGTCTTGAACTCCTGACCTCAGATGATCCACTGGCCTCTGCCTCCCAAAGTGCTGGGATTACAGGCATGAGCCACTGTACTTGGCTGAAGAATCAGGATTTGAGCTCAGGTCTATCTGGGTCCAATCTACATGCCTCCTGCAGGCTGGCCCTTGGTGCCAAAGGGCAGGGCAGGCTGGCACAGTGTCAGAGACAGGCTTTTAGGGGCCCCGCAGCCTCCCCCATCCCCATTTCCACATCTGCAAGCCAGCAGGTAGCTGACCTGGTGTCTGGACTGTGGTGATGGTGGTGGTGATGATGGTGGTGGTAGTGGTGGTCTCCTCATCATCTCCTGAAGCTGTGGAGGAGGTGATGGTCCCCTGGATCCCGATCCCTGCGCCCTGGGACACAACCTCTGCAACCCACGGCCTTCCCATGTCTCCAGGACCCTCTTGGGTTGGTGTCCAGGCTCTGCTGGGGGGTGTAGTGCTGGCTATCTCCCCTGGGCCTAGGGTGGGCACTGCCATGCTGGGCCCTGGAGGTAGGGGAGCTGTGATTCGAAGCATAGGGGACTCTGACTCCGGACTCCAGGGTCCCTCCTTGGACTGGGGCTGAGTGGGTACCGCAGCCATGGCTGGAGTGGGGCTGGTAAAGACAGGGCGGCTGTCCTGGTTGGCCAGGCGGGGAAGGGGACTTGGGGTGAAGGGTGCAGGTGGGTCAGGCTGGAAGGGCAGTGCTGGCCTCAGCTCCTCATCTCCCTTTTCCAGCCCCTCTTGTAGGAATTCCTCAAGCAGCGGGTGGTGGTTGAGCAGCTTCAAGGTGGGGGCTGTTGTGACAAAGTGGACGCCTCGTTCTGGCTGCTCAGGTGTGGGGGCTGCTGTCAGCTCGCCATCTGTCTCCTCGATGCCTGGGGCTTGTCCTTTCCCCACGGTTGGGGCCTCTAAAGAGAGTCCTGAAATAATAAGGGATGGTCAGAGGTTCTCCCCCTGCTCCAGAGAGCAGCATCACGCCCAACTCGAGTAGTGGGGGGGCCCGCTCTCTTTTGACAGACAGCCCTGAGGAGCGTGCTCACTGCTGAGAATCACGGAACTACAGAATTTGTGAACTGGAAGTGAGGTGCTATTACATACTTCAAGGGTGGCACATGAGATACTCTTTCTCCTCCAGCACCAGAGGCAGGCATTTCTAGCCCATCCGTGCACTATTTCCTACTGTTCTCAGGTTCAGCCTCAGAATCCTCCTCAACACAGCACTCCACGAGGTCACACCTGACACCTCAGACTGACATGACAAATATTTGCCATCCCTAATGAAGAGCAGAGGCCTTATTTTACTAGTGAGGAAATAGGCCAGAGAAAGGAAGTGACTTGCTCAAAGTCACGCGACCAGTTGAATTGAGATGAAAACCGTAAGTGTGTCTCCCACCACAGTGTCTTTCCTGTCTGAGATGATAGGGCATTCAAGTTCATTTCCTGTTCTCAGTGAACCTGCTGGTCATTAGCCTCAGGAAATGCGTCACATATTTGGGATTTTATTTTAGATTTCCTCATGGTTGCATGACTTCTTTTTTTGTTTGTTGGTTTTGAGACAGTGTCTCGCTGTGTGGCCCGGGCTGCAATGCAGTGGTGTGATCATGGCTCCACTGCAGCCTCAACCTCCCAGGTTCAAGCGATCCTCCCACCTCAGCCACAGTCCCCACACCCCCACTTCTAGTAGCTGGGACTACAGGTGCATGCCACCATGCCTGGCTAATTTTTAGAATTTTTGTAGAGATGGAGATCTCACTATGTTGTCTGGGCTGGTCTCAAACTCCTGGGCTCAAGCAATCCTCTCACCTCAGCCTCCTAGGGATTACAGCATGAGCCACCGCACCCGACCATGGGTGCATGACTTCTTTGTTAGGGGCCCAGTAGTTTCTCTCCGTTCTCAGGAAATCATTTCTTTTGTACTCATTTCTGTTTTTATGGTCCTTCTAGAGCAGTAATATGAGTAGAGTGGGAAGAGCCAAGTTCTGGAGCTAGGCAGACATAACTTCAAATCCCAGATCCACTACTCTAGGGCTGTGTGCCCTCAGGCAAATAACCCAAACTCTCTGAAGCTCAGTTTTCTCATCTGTAAAATTGGGTTTCCTTTTTAGGATTGACTGAGATAATATTACATCCCGTCTCTATTTGATATGTCCCCCTGAGTTCCCTTAATCTTTCTGGTGACACTAATCAGGTTCCATCTAGGGCAGGGTGAAAAACAGGTGTAGAATGGAAATCTAGCATGCTACCCACCCACTCCCTAATCCATGGCAGGCATTGCTAATCAATTTTGGTTATTTCTTGCTAAGGCCACCTGGTCCTTAGCAACTTCCCTCTCACAATGTTATTCAGGCAGCCACTACCAATCAATGAGATTGGCTCTGGGGGATGAAACTGATTTGCTATCTCTGGTCTGAGGTACAGATTGCTCTGCTATTGATTGTGTTGACTTATTCAACCACATAGCTGGAGAGATGATGCATATTCTGCTTGTGGCCCATTCGGCTCCCCAGATCCTTAACTGCCAAGAAAAGGTCAATGAATGCTGGCTCCAGATTCAGCTCATACAGAATTTTGCCAGCTCTGAGAAGCCTGGGAGGATATTTCTGATCCTTACAGCTCTCAAAATGGCTGCATGAGGACTTGAAGGGAAACACAGCCGGGGTGAGATCACAGAGTTTGCAAGGAGAAGGTCGCTTCCTCCGCACGTCTGGTGGTGGGGCTGTCATTCCAGAGGCTCACACCCACTCCATAGATTGGCAGGCATGAGGAAGCAGCAGATGGCCTACGTTCTGTTCAGGAGACCATAGCAGCTCTGATGTGTCAGACAAATGGGAGGAGGGAGGAAATTGGGTGGGGGAGGTGGGTACAGGTTGGAGGGCTCTCCATTCTTCTGGGTCAGAGGAGCTTGGGCACCCCACATCCCTGAGAAACCAGGACCAACTGCTATCTCCTGAGATGCCCACTAAAGCAGCCCATCTGTGTCTTGGCATTGTGTGCCAGCCACTGACAACACCATCCAATCTAGATGTCCAGCCAGGCCCACACCCCCCAGAGCAGATGGTCCACCAGTGCCTGTCTTTCATCTGAATAAGTTACGGAAGGTCCAGGCAGTGCCTGTGACATGCCAGAACAGGGCTCCTCTTTTTGCCCACCCCCCAGACATCACACAGGCTATGCCAGGTAAGCTGAGACTGATTCTAGCATGGCGCAAGGAAGGGGGGCTTTTCTAATCACATAGATTGGAGCCCCCTGGATCCGGGCATTGTTTATGCGGCCCCTTTCCAGAGTACCCAACAAGAGATGTGGCCCTTGGCTCTCAGAGTAGGTACCTGTGTGACTCTTCCTGGGAGAGGGAGTGCACAGAGATTCTCTAATTCAGGAAGTGTCCAGGGCAGGCACAGCTCTTCCCGCTGGCTGCCAGGTGGGTGCTGAGCAATGGAGCAGCACTAATGGGCACCTCCCATCACTGTCGATTGCACTGATTGTGCTATCTGGGATCGAGATAGCATATCAAACGAGCAAGTTGATTCCAAAATCAGCTGCCACTTGGTCCCAGCGGGTGCCACCCACTGTCATAGAGGGTAAGATAACCTCTGGGAGACAAGCCATTTCTGGGGAGAGGGCATCTCCAGACCCCCTGGTTGACTCTGTTGGAGGCCTGAGGCCCTGAGACCTGCCCCCTAGTTTCCCAGGATTGTGGCCAGTGGATAGGGGCTTCTCTCTGCCTGGGCTGACTGAATTCAGGGGTGCAGGGACTGACGAAGGGAGAGTATGATATAGGGGACAGCAGAAGAAGGTGTCAGGGGCTCTAATGCCCAGTCTCATCAGGCACTACTGTGTCAGGCCCTTCCCAGACCTTGTATCATTTAATGGATGCTGCGCCTCTGGGAGATGGGAATTTTATTTCCATTTTACAAAGACCTGAAGCCTAGAGAGCTGAGGCAAGGACTCGCCTGAAGTCTCGCAGTGACGCAGCTGGGATTTAAACCTTCGATGATTTGGCTTCAAAGCCCTAGGTCTTTCCACATACCCACCTGCCTCATGGGAGGGGCAGACTGGAGCTACACAGCAGACAACACTCCAGCCAGTTGAAGAAACTAAGTCCAGGGAGAGGCACGGACTCGTCGAAGATCTCACGCCATTTAGAAGTCTGGGGCCAGAGCTTCTGGCATTGGGACTTGGGTTGGGCCCTGGTCGAGCAGGCCCTCAGGAAGCCTTCTGGCTGGGACCCAGGGAAGCCCCCACCCTGTGCCTGAAGCACATCTGAGCCTCAAACCCAAACCGGAGACCCAACAACACTGCTGTGTGGGGCCAGGGCACAGAGCCACACAGACCTGGGTTCAAGTGTCAGTTCTGCCACTTAAAAGTCATGTGAACCTGGCAAGTTGCCTCTCAGAGCCTTTGCCTCCTCAGCTATAAAATGGGCACTTTGGAAGGGTTTTGTGTGAATCTGCATGCTCTGAATAGGAGAGTTCTGAAGGCTGAGGGAGAAGGCCACAGTCAGAGGTTAGGCAGCCCCTGTCAGGGGAACACTGAGGCAGGCTTCTAGGGTAGGAAGGGGTGGCCCCTGGCAGGTAGGGCTCTCTCTTCTCTGGGGGACTACCCATGTTCCATGTTGGGTGGCAGCATGTGTGACCCTGAGGATGTCAAATACCTCATCCATAAAACAAGGATAATACTGCACCATGCAAAGGGCGACCACCTTCAAGGCCCTGCATGTCGGTGGGGGACACAGCGGTGGGCCGCAGCAAGATCGTCCCCGTGATCCCCACTTGCCAGGCCCACCTGGTGCCAGAACACAGGATGCACTCCGCAGTTGCTCAGTCCTCCCCTCCCGCAGGGCCGGGGGCTGCATTCTCCGAGTGGGCTGGGTCCGGGAAACACCCCTCCCTTCCCCGCGGGCCATCCCTGGTGGAGACTGCCCAGGAACTTCCCAGCGCCTGCCGCCCCCAGCCCTGGCATGGCCCCGCCGCCGCCTGGGCCCTCCCCCCGCATTAGCTCTTAAGCTGTGCAAATAGACATCGGAGGGAGCCCTGTTTAAAGTATTTAGACGAAATGAAAAAAGGCTTTCATCGGCACTAATGAGCCATTCAGGATGCCTCCCCGGTGGATTCTCTCCCGCTCCCGCCTCCCTGCCCGCGCCGCCCCGCTATGGCCCCTCTTGGGATTGGAGGCCCCTTCCTCCCAACCCCAGCCTGGGACTCCCTGGGAGGACCGCTTACCCCGCCTCACTTCCCAGGGCCCAGCTGGGTGAGGGTGGAGCGGAGGCCACCTGCGCCCCAGCCCCACCAGATCTGGATCGGGATGGGGGGCGGGGCCCAGCCTGTGTTTAGGGGAAGCCTTAAGGACTGGGGCGTGTTCTAGCGTCCAGCTAGGTAGGTGTTATGGCCTCTGTCTTATAGATGGGGAAACCGAGGCTCAGTGAGGCCCAGGAGCTTGCCCAGGTTCACAGTGGTGGTGTGCGGTGGAGCTGGAGTCATTACGCAGTGCCCCAGCCTGGGGGAACCGCCGAACCAGGCAGTGGTGCCACCTCAGGGCCAGCTGGCTTGCCCCTTCAGCGCTGCTGTTTCTGCAGATCTTTCTGTACCAGTCAGCCAGAAAGCCTTGGGTTCCAATCCCAAATCGATGTGACACTAGCTGTGTGACCTGGGCGGGGGCTGCCCACTCAAGCCTCTGTCTGCTCATCTGTGGAGTGAAGACATACTGGGTTTGGGGAGAGCTCATCTATGGACAGACATATACTGTCACCCACCGCAGCCTCTGGAAGGGCAGGTGGCACTGTCTGTCACTCTGGCAGCCCCTGAAGAGGTGCCAGGCATTTCCCAAGCCTCTGGCCCCTCTGAGGTGGGCAGTCACGGGAACCAAAGTTCTGGGACGAGTTCAGGCCTGATCCCCGCCTCATGGCAGCACCAACTGTCAGCTTCGGGGGAGGGCATGACAGCGTGTGGGTACAAGGGGGAGCCTGAGGGACAGGGCGGGCAGGGGGCCCACTCCTCTGGGTTCCAGAGGTTAAGCTGGCCCAGCACGGGGACAATGAGAATTTAATGGGATCCATTTATTATCCCATAAAAGTTAATGAGTTTATTCTGAAGGTTCCCTGGCCCCTTTCAAGTTTTAATAGGGGATTAGTGAGGGCCTGGTCCCTGCAGACCCCTATTATCCGAGAACCTGAGGGAGCTGAGAGTGCTTGGGCCCCCCAGAGCCAGAGTCCCTCCTTACAGTGACAATTCCACGGGCCCAGCCCTGCCCTCTGTACTGTGAGGCCCCAGCTAGAGGCTGGCAGGGCTATATAGGGCCGCTGGGATCTGAGGCCTAGTTCTAGAGGCTTCCAATTCCATGCGCAACTGAAATAATTACCCCGACAGTGTCCAGCACCTGAGGCAGGTTTGCTGCTATCCATCTGCTTGTATTGACAGGGAAAGCAATATAACCCCCATGAGACAGATAAGGAAAGCAAGGCCCTGAGCAGGGATGTGGCTCCTCCAAGGTCACCCAGAAGCTATGGCTGAGCCAGAATGGACACATTCTGTCTCCTGTGGTTGGTAGCCAGGAAACTGGGGCTGGTAAGAGCTGCCATTCACTTACTCGGTGCCCACTGTGTGCTGACCATGCACTCAGTGCCCTCATACGTAATTTCTCATTCTCCCCTTGCTCCAGGGAGGTTTGGGACATTATCCCAAGAGATGAAGACACTGAAGCCCAGAATGGTTATGTAACTTGTCCAAGGTCACGCAGCTAATGATGGCAGAGCCTCGGACTGGAACCCAAAGCTGGACAGCCCCATAGCTCAGCTGTCTACTGCTCTTGCTGGCTTTCGGCTGTAGCACCTGGGGCCTCCTATCTCCCCACCAAGCTGGACACCACTATCCTAGCGCACTCGTGCCAGGAGCCCTGCAGCTTGGATGATGGGGAAGGGTGTTCTGGTTGTGCCCTGGAGGGGCAGTTGTTGGGTTGGACACAGAGATACACTCAAAAGGAACTTCTCATCGTCAGAACAGGTGCCTTCCCCGTTTTGGCCCCAATTGCTCACGCGATTCTCTCTCCTTGCCATGGCTTCTCTACTCCTTTGTCTCTGCAAAACCTCCCCATCCTTCACGGGTCAGTTCCTAGCCTCCTCTGGAGATCCATCCTTGCCTGGCCCTTCTCTTGACCTCCTGGGGGCACTTCCTAGTGGGCTCCTAACACATGAATGGCTTGTGTCCCTGGGCAAGGATCCAGCAGTGGGTATCTCTCTTCCCATTTCTCTACCTGGTGCTAGGCATAGTGAAGGCTGGGCTCAGGGCACACTGTTTCCAAGCCCCGATTCTGCCTCTCTGCACACTCAGAAGGCAACCTGCTCCCCAAAGTGCCTAGCCCTTGGCCAGCAAGGTGAGCAGGAGTGGGTCCTGCCAGGAGAAGATGGGCAGCCAGCCCTTGGCCATGCCCCATCACAGCCCCAACTGGCAGTTGATGGGGAGTGTCTGCTGGCACAAGCTGATGGGTCCCCATTGCCCCGGACTACCCTCTCTTCCCCTGCCACTGATCATCCCCATCACAGCCTCTCACCACCCTCTCTTTCTTGGTCAACCCCTGCAGTCCAGTCAAATTTGGATTGCAAATATGAATGGGGGCACCTCCTCTTGGCCAGGCTCCAAGTGGGGCAGTGGCTGGTTCCCAGAACATGAGCCCTTGTAGCATCTCATCCCTCCCTCACTTACCCAAGAGGAAACCAAGTCCAGGGGGTTTTCCCAAGTCACACAGCAAACTTGGGGCAGGGTTGGGACTCAGGATGGGGCTGGGACATCTAGCCCAACTACTGGGAAGAGTGAACCCTCCAGTCTGGAGCTGTCTTTTATCTGTGGGCATACCTCCAGGGACAGAGACCCCACTGCCTCCTTAGCCATCCTGGTTGGGGACAGGGGTAACTGTGGGCTTTGGCATCTCCAGAGTTGGGGTCTCACTGTCACATGGAGGGAGCATGGGTGGAGGTAGTGGGCACCAGCTAGGAGTCAGGCCATGCTATCCTCATCCCACCCCTGACAAGCCAGGTCCCTCAGCACAAATCACTTCCACAACCTGAGTTTCCATATTTTTGTCAGTAAAATGGGTCCCTGCCAGTTCTCACATTCCAGGATCTAGTGAACCATGAAGGGCTCTATGAATAAAAATATTGAATGCTGCTGTTTACTGAGTATACATTTACCACATGCCCAGCAACACTCTAAGTGCTTTATCAGAATTAATCCCTATAATAACTTTATGAGATGGGAACTTTTATTATCCCATTTTGTAGATGAGGACACTGAGACCCAGGGAAATGCATTAGCAGTTTGGATGCTAATGCAGTCTGATTCAAACCTGGGTTGTCTAGCCTAGAGCAGCCCTGTCCAATAGACCTTTGTGATGATGGAAATATTTTTATTTATTTATCTTATTTTTAGAGATGAGGGTCAAGACCCTATGTTGCCCAGACTGGGCTTGAAACCACCTTTGCCAAAATTATAATGGTGAGAAAATTATGACAGTGAAATAGATGTGATGTAACCAACTCCATCTTACCTTTAACCTCCAGACTGCCCTTGGTCATTCCTGGGTATGGGCCAAGCTAACTTTGGGAGAAATTTAGTTTATAGTTTAAATGATAATAGCCCTTCCCAAAACTAAGCCACCTTTTAAAAACTAATGAAAGAGGCCAGGTGCGGTGGCTCACACCTGTAATCCCAGCACTTTGAGAAGCCGAGGTGGGGGGATCACCTGAGGTCAGGAGTTCGAGACCAGCCTGGTGAAACAACATGGTGAAACCCCATTTCTACTAAAAATACAAAAGTTAGCTGGGCGTGGTGGTGCACACCTGTAATCCCAGCTACTCAGGAAGCTAAGGCAGGAGAATCACTTGAATCTGGGAGGCGGAGGTTGCAGTGAGCTGAGATAGCACCATTGCACTCCATCCTGGGCGACAAGAGTTAAACTCTGTCCCCTGCCCACACACACACAAAAAAAAGAATGAAAGACCACCAGGTTTGGAGGCTGAGAGGGGCCTGAATTCTGCTGAGATGTAGGCATAGTTAGCAGCCGTTATTCTGGAAGTCACAAGATTTGCAACTTTCCCAATTACTCCTGTAAATAACATCACTATAGTAGAACCTATGATTGGCTTTTTGAGATGTCTTTTCGGACTTTTGCATTTCTTTTTTTCTTTACTCTGTCACCCAGACTGGAGTGCAGTGGCATGGTCTTGGCTTGCTGCAGCCTTGACCTCCCAGGCTCAGGTGATTCTCCCACCTCAGCCTCCTAAGTAGCTGGGATTACAAGCATGTGCCACCACACCCAGACAGTTTTTTGTATTTTTAGTAGAGATGGGGTTTCACCATGTTGCCCAGGCTGGTCTAGAACTCCTGAACTCAAGCAATCTGCCCACCTCAGCCTCCCAAAGTGCTGGGATTACAGGTGTGAGCCACTGTGCCTGGCAAGACTTTTGCATTTCTGTTGACAAGATGGCTCCACCTGGCTCAAGACTCATGACTCCCGGGTCCTGCGGCCCCCACCCAGAAGTGGACTCAGTGTAGGAGGACCATTTTCCAGACCCCTATGATTTCATCCCCAACCAATCAGCAGCACCCATTCCCCATCTCCCGGCTATAAAAAAACCCTAGCCTCCTTCAGGCTTGAAAGAAGACTCCCGAATAATAGTAATAATAATATAATAATAATAAAAGTAAAAAACCAAAAAAACACCAAAACCCTAGCCTCCAAATATTCAGGGAGGCTGATTTGAGTAGTAATAAAACTCTGGTCTCTCATTTATTTATTTATTAAAAAAAATTTTTTTTGAGACAGTCTCACTCTGTCACTCAGGCTGGAGTGCAGTGGCATGATCTCGTCTCACTGCAACCTCTGCCTCCTGGGTTCAAGCAATTTTCCTGTCTCAGCCTCCCAAGTAGCTGGGACTACAGGCATGTGCCACCATGGCCAGCTAATTTTTGTATTTTAGTAGGGATGAGGTTTCGCTGTGTTGGCCAGGCTGATCTCAAACTCCTGACCTCAGGTGATCTACCCGCCTTGGCCTCCCAAAATGCTGGGATTACAGGCGTGAGCCACCACTCCCAGCCTCCATTTATTTATTTATTGAGACGGAATCTCGCTCTGTCACCGAGGCTGGAGTGCAGTGGCACGATCTTGGCTCACTGCAACCTCCGCCTCCTGGGTTCAAGCGATTCTCCTGCCTCAGCCTCCTGAGTAGCTGGGATTGCAGGCGCCCGCCACTACGCCTGGCTAATTTTTGGTATTTTTAGTAGAGACAGGGTTTCACCATGTTGGCCAGGCTGGTCTCGAACTCCTGACCTCAGGTGATCGGCCTGCCTCGGCCTCCCAAAGTGCTGGGATTACAGGTATGAGTCACAGCGCCCGGCCAGTTTACATTTAAATAGCCACATGTGGTCAGTGGCTACCATAATGGAAAGTGCATATCCCTACCTGACTTCTCAGCCTTACAGTAGTCACACCTCTCAGTGAGGAAGAGCCCAGGGTGGGGCTCCTGGAAAAGAGTTAAGATGGGGTGTCTGCTCCCCTCCTTTCGGGTCTGGGAAAACTGCGGCTTGGGATTGGCAGGGAGAGATGACAAGGAGCCCTGGACTTCTTCGAGTTTTTCAGAAAGGCCTCGGGGAACTGGGCGTAGCAGCTACTCATTCCTCAGGGAGGATTCTTGTCATCCACCGATGAGGTTTGCTTCCCAAACTTGGCCGCGCACAGGTGCTCTGAGGGTTGGATGTATGATGGGCAATTCTGGAAGCTCAGAGCCAGTTTAGGAGGATTTTATGGGTGGAGGACAGCCAGGAACACTTAGCTTCGTACTTTGCCCTCACATGTGTGTTCCAGGGGAACGTTTGCTGCGCTCTGTTGGCTTGCCCCTGCCTCACTGCCCAGCCAGCAGCACCGAGGGCAGAGTATCTGGCCTGGCTACTACCCCAGAGCAGCTGCCTGGCCTCGGGCACAGGAGAGGCACTCACATTTACTGAGCACCTGCTATGGGCTAGCCATGCACTTCACAAAGAGCTGTCTTCCACCTAGAGTGGCAGCCCTTTGTGCTTGGAATCAATAGTTTATGCTTGGCCTATGAAGAAACTAAGGCTGAGAGGCAAAGTGAATCCTCCTAGTTCACACAGAGGAAAGTGACAAATAGAGTTTGAACCGAGTCTGCCTGTTCCATAGCCTGGGATGAAAATGTCTACTGCCTTGGCTGCTGCTTCGTGTGAGCATGTGTGCACGTGCGTGTGTGTGTGGGCGTACGTGTGTGCATGAGACCGGGTGTGTGTGTGTGTGTTCAAGTGCATGTGCATGTGCAGGTCCAAATACATGCCTGTGCCACAAGTCACTACCATGTGTCCCTGCCCAAGGATGCCACACCCTGGGACCTGGCTTCAAGCAGTCCCCAAGCCCAGAAAGGCCCTACCCCCCAAAAGAAGGGATATATTTCTCTCCAAGCTGGCTGTTGTGCCCCTTTTTCACTCTGCCCTCTCCTTGGGGCCTGACCTGACCCGCCCCAGGGCCATCTGTCCTGGACAGCGTCTCAGGCTCTGGGTGGGTGGGGGAGGGAGAGACTAGTTGGGGCTGCGGCTGGGCCAGTCCTCTCTCCTCCAGTGTCCCCTCCCTCCCATGAGGCTGTGACCAGGGGCCCAGGGTAGAGAGCTCCCAGCTAACTGCCACGTTCTCTGCTTTTCAATTTACAGTCTAATATGGTCTCGCCACTGCAGAGCTGGGGGCTGGAGAGGTGATGAATGAGGCCTCTGCTCCTGCGTCACCTGCTGCACTCTACACCGTCCCCTGCAGACCTGTGTTCCCTTCTCCTGTTTGCCTGCTGGCCCTGGGGACCCCAGCCCTGCCTGCCCACAGTTCCTCAGACTGGGCAGGTGGCACTGGAGCTGGGGGCCTGGAGTGGGGGTTAGGTGAGAGGGAGGGACTGACCTTGAGGTAGGGGCAGGAATCGACCCCAGCCTCTGGGGTAGGATGGAAGGAATGGTCTTCTTGGCATCACCCCTCACCAGTCTGATAAATAATCAATCTGCTGTACCTCACCCTGCTTATGCCACCTCCCAGGAGTGTGGCCAGGGCAGAGTCCTAGGTAGGGCTGGAGCTGGGGACTGGGCTTCGTTCTCTCCCTGGAGGCGTTTCTGTCCATCAGCTCCTTCTGTCCATCTGCTAGCCCCAGGCCCCTTCTCCTACCTGCTATGTTAGGAGGCAGAGAATGAGGAGCTACCCACTGGCCCCAAGGTGGGGGTGTGGAGCAAGTGGGCAGAAGTATGTGGCCCTGAGCTGGGTGCGTGACTCACAGCCCTCTCCCTGTGCCAGCCACTTCTACCACCACCATATCAGCAGCAGAGACCATATTTCTCTGAATGGAAAATCTTGGAGGTGTCAGCTGGGACAAGGAAGGATGTGGAGGCAGGAGCTGCATTCTCCCTAGAGCCAGTACCAGGGTCAGCTCTGCCCAGTGCAGTGGTGAAGTTGGGGGACAGGGGTTGATCTAGGGAGGAATAGCATCCCCTCCATCCTTTGCCCTACTGCCTCGCTCCACATACCCAACAAAGACAGTCCTTCCTAGCCATGGAGCCCAGCAAGACAGGGCCATGAGGTGCCAGGGCCGGAGAGTAGGTTCCTTCCTGGGCCCCAGGCCAGCATCTTTGGACTACTGCCCCCTCCCAGCCTCTACCCTGAGGTTCAAAAGGCCACACCACTGAGGCTGTTCCAGCACACGTGTCCACTTTTGAGCTGAATCACCGGCCTGGCAGCCCCAAGCCTCTGTGGCCTTTGGGTTAGATGAAGGGGCTTGTTTTGTGCACCAGGACCAAAGTTACCTCCCTGACTTTGTGACCTTTGCCCTGTGGTTACTTTTGTCTGCTGCATCTGGGAGGAGATGAAGTTGGAGAGCTTGACTGTAGATGGAGGGGCCCTAAGCCCAGACCCCTGGGCTACCCTGATGCTGAGGTGAGCTCTGGCCACTCCCTACCCTGAAAGTCCCTAGCATGTCTGTTCTTAGGTGTGGAAGCTGAGGAGCCTGGTGAGGCCTTATTAGAAGGCCTCGAGCATGGATGGAGCTCTGCCACTGACAGGCTATGCGACCTTGGGTTTGCCCGGCCTCTCTGGGCCTGGCCGGTTTTTCACACAGTATTTGGTTACTGACTTTTTTTTTTTTTCCTTTTTGGAGACGGAGTCTCACTCTGTCACCCAGGCTGGAGTACAGTGGCATAATCTTGGCTCACTGCAACCTCTGCCGCCCAGGTTCAAGCGATTCTCTTGCCTCAGCCTCCCGAGTAGGTGGGAGTACAGGCGCCTGCCATAGTGCCCGGCTAATTTTTGTATTTTTATTAGAGACAGGGTTTCACCGTGTTAGCCAGGATGGTCTTGATCTCTTGACCTCATGATCCGCCCGCCTCAGCCTCCCAAAGTGCTGGGACTACAGGCGCCCGCCACTGAGCCTGGCTAATTTTTTGTATTTTTTAGTAGAGACGGGGTTTCACCGTGTTAGCCAGGATGGTCTCGATCTCCTGACCTTGTGATCCACCTGCCTCGGCCTCCCAAAGTGCTGGGATTACAGGCGTAAGCCACCGCGTCCGGCCCGGTTACTGACTTTTTAGAGAGTCTTTTGGGTGGGTGGGACATAGTCACTGACCCTTTATTATCGGTGCTCAACCCTGGGGGCTGATGGAGCCTCCGGATGGGCAGGGGTAGAGGAGGAGGGGGCTTGGCATGGTGGGGGACTGTGCTCTGTTGACTTGCCACTTTTCTTTTCTTTTTTTTTTGAGACAGAGTCTCACTCTGTCGCCTAGGCTGGAGTGCAGTGGTGCGATCTTGACTCATGCAAGCTCCACCTCCAGGGTTCACTCCGTTCTCCTGCCTCAGCCTCCCGAGTAGCTAGGACTACAGGCACCCACCACCATGCCTGGCTAATTTTTTGTATTTTGTAGTACAGACGGGGTTTCACCGTGTTAGCCAGGATGGTCTCGATCTCCTGACCTCGTGACCCACCCGCCTTGGCCTCCCAAAGTGCTTGGATTACAGGCGTGAGCCACCGCGCCCGGCCGACTTGTCACTTTTCTTTTGAGTGTGCTGGAGCCTGTCACCTCATCTCCCTCTGCTGAGCATCTGCAGGGCTAGGCTGTGTGTATGTGTTTGTGTGTCTGTGTGTGTGCACATGTGTATGTATGTAGGTGTGTGAGCATATTTGTTTGTGTGTCTCTGTGTGTGTGCATGTATGTGGGGGGGGGTGCATTAGGTGAGGAATAGGAGTCAGGGATGGAGGTGTGAGAAGAGGGCCTGGAGAGAGCGCTAAGGTTTCTGGGCAGCTGCTGTGTGCTAGACTCCATGCTGCCCCATCATCTACACCATCTGATTAATCGTCTCCATCCCGCAGGTGGAGAAACAGGGTCTGAGAGCTGACGTGACCTGTGGGAGGTGGTCTAGCTGGGCCTGGGAGGCAGACCCTGGGCATCCTTGTCCTGCTGAGCTCAAGAGACAGACAGAAGGACAGATGCAGGAACAAAAGACTTTGAAAGCAAAGATGGCCTGCGACCAGAGGACTCCCTCCTTGGTCTCTCAGTTCAGACCCCTTGAACTGCCCTACCATACCTTCTCCCAGCTGGTGCCAGTTTCCAGAGCAGCTGCAGCTGGTGGTGGTGGGACCCAGGGTGAAGGCTCAAGGGTGTGGAAGGCAATGAGCTCTAATGGTGGCCTTTTGGCAGAGTTGAGCTGTAGTAGGGGCCTGAAGCCCTGCTGGGGAGTGCAAGGACAGTACTGGAGGTCCCTGGGTGGGCCACCTCCTCCAGGCATGCCTCCCTCCTCTCCACATCCTGACACTTTGAGCTCCTTTCTGCCTCTCCCAGCCTCTGTGTGGGAGACACAGAAGCTCCAGCCTTATTTCCTTTTTTTTTTTGGAGATGGAGTCTCTGTTGCTCAGGCTGGAGTGCAGTGGCGAGATCTCGGCTCACTGCAAGCTCCGCCTCCCGGGTTCACGCCATTCTCCTGCCTCAGCCTCCCGGGTGGCTGGGACTACAGCGGGTGCCTGTAGTCCCAGCCACCACACCCAGCTAATTAGCTCCAGCCTTATTTCCAAATGGCTTAGGGAGGAGTCACTGGAGGCCTGGGCTCTGCCCTTAGGGACTTGGCGAGGTTGTAGAGGCAGAGGGAGGTCATCGTGGGACCTCTCCCATCGGCAGGCAGGAGGAATGAGCTTCTCCTGCCCCAGGGTGTGGGCCCTGAGCCTGTGGGCTATCCCAGGCACCTTTTGCCTGAGGGGAAGGGGCCCCGCCCACCCAGCACTCCAGCCCATGAGGCTGGCCTGGCCCTTCACTTCCCCAGCAAACCTGAGTGGGGGAGGGGAGGGGTGCAGAGCTGCTAAAAATAGCTGCAGAAGCTCCAGCTATGAGTCTCCTTGAGGGGTCAGTGAAGCCCAAGATTGGGGAGGAAGAGACTGGAGTGGGCTGCAGGGAGGGAGAGAGACCAGCCTGGGCTGGGGCCTGGTGTACCTTACACCCAGGCCACAGTCCTAGGATGCAGGGACAGAGGGCACAGACATGCAGGGACATGTGAACACAGACACTCAAGGACAGGTGAACGAGCCAGGCAGAAATGCACGTAGACATGGCTACCAGCACAACTGGGGCTTCCTCTCCCCAGAACCTCAGGAACACCAGATGGGCCCAACTGCACAGCCCCCAGCCTCTCAGGCCTGTCCCTTGTCTCCACCTTGTTTTGACCTCCAAGGACCCTGCAGAGCTGGGTGTGTGGACACCTTGAGTTGACAGGGCTAAGCCCTCCTCCCTTGTCTCTTTCAGTCTCCTGTGTGTGCAGCTTAGGGTAGGGAAGGACCAAGGGTCACCGGAGGCAGCATCAGGGATAGAGTTACAGCACAGACCAGAGTTAGGGCACCAACAAGTGGCTGTCGGCTCAGGAGCATCACTCGACCTGAGCAACAGGCTCTTTCTATCCTGGCTGGCAGGCAGAGGGAGGCATGGGAGAGAAGTGATTGGACCCAGTAGGGCAGGACTGGGGCTCTGCCAGGAGATGCGTGGGAATTGAGGGAAGGGGGCCAAGGGGATCTAGAGAAGTAAATGCATGGATGACCACTCTCGTGCATGCGTTGTTTGATCCCACATTCACACCTTTGCCCGGAGATGCCCCCTTTGCCAGGGGCTCTTTGGTCCACAAAAGTTGACTCCATGTCTTACCTTTCCTCTAACCAGCCAGAAAATAGGGCTTCATGACAAGAGGGGGCCTGCCAGCTGCTGGACCAGACATTTCAAATCACCAGCATATCTCTTTGCTAGACGTAAATGATGCCTAAGACAATGTCCATCAGAGCAGCAAGCCAGGGTGAAGGCCTTAGAAGCACCCTGATCTTGGTCCCTCTGCATTGCTAGTCTCACCTTCTTGGACAGACCCAAACCAGCTGGCGCTCACCCCCACTGCTGCCTCAGCGGTCCAGCTCTGGACTCCTGGGTTGTATGATTCAGCCCCTCCAGAGATGCCTGACAAATCAGCCTCTCCTGGTGATGGACAGTTCTGGCTGTTGGAGGGGCTCCTCTCAAGGGGTCTTGTGGTTTCTTCCCAGTCACCATCCCCCCCACCCCGATTTCCTTTGATCTTCATGCTGTTCTACAAAAGAGGTGGGGCAGGGACAGGCATCATGAATTCTCAAGGAAACTGAGGCTTGGGGTGTGACACAACTTGCCCAAGGTCACACAGCCAGCAAAACCCATCACTGGGTGTCCTGACTCCCTGACCAGCCTTCTTCCTCTTATGTTCTTCCTTTAGGACTCCCCCCTCCTCCTTGAGCACAACTTGGCTCCCCACACTGCCTGATGCCTCCCTGCCCCCACCCCCAGGCTCTGGGACTCCTTAGGCACCTGCTGGCTGGTGGGACCCAGGCCAGACACTCAGCAGGTGGCTGCCTGGGGGACAAAGGAGTTGGCACTCAGCTGCTGAGCTGGGAGGGAGGGAGGGAAGGAGAGAGGAAGGGAGGGAAGGAGAAGCTATGGGGAGGGAGGAGGGATGGGGCTGGAAGTTGAGGGGAGAAGGGTCCGCTTTGGTGTCTTTAACAAGGAGCCATGAGCAAAAAGGGGTAAACCAGCATGCACATGAGCATGGGGGGCGCTCAGTGGTTTAGGCACTTTTCACAGTAACCCCAAGTTCTGTCCTCCCAGACTCATGACCAGTTAGAGGGAGGGGCTTGAGGGTAGAGAGAAGAGCCTGTTGAGAGGGGGGATGGAGAGACTGAGAGAGATGCCAAGGTTGATGCCACAGTATCAAGGTTCTGGCTGGGCCCTGGGGACCCAGGGGTAGGGAGGGATGGCATGAGAAGGAGGGCATTGTGAGGAGAGATTCTGCAGCACATGCGATTTGGTGCTGCAGAATCCAAGCAGCGGGTCTCCCCCTTCTTTCCCCACCACAAATTCATGATGCCTGTCCTTTTTCCAGCTCTTTAATGGAACAGCATCAGGATCAAAGGAAATCAGTGGGGTGGTGACTGGGAAGAAACCAGAAGTCCCCCCTACCCCTTGAGAGGAGGGTCCTCCAATAGCCAGAGCTGTCCAGTGGCAGGAGAGGTCCTGTACCTGCTCTTCAGGGGCACACCTGACCTGCCAGAGATAGGAAGGGTTGTGATGAAGGGCACCCATCATGGATTGGCCCAGGGACCCCAGAGGCTTGCTGGGTCGTCACAGACCCAGAGGCAAACTCTTTTCCTACAAATGAGAAACTGAGGCCTTGAGCGGTCCCTGGCCAGGAGTCTCCTGTCCTTCTGGAGGCCAGAGTAGCTGGATCATATAGGTGCTGTTTGTCATTTCATCTGTATCTCTTTCTATTAAAATCTAACTGGAGAGATAGTCACAACTGAGCTTATTAAAAAGGCAGCTCTCCTCTAAACTGAGTTCCTTAAGGGGAGGGACTATGTTATATTCCTCCCAATCAAAGCACCTGGTAGCTGTTGAATAGAGGGTTGCTGAATGGAGAATGGAAGGATGGATGGATGGAGGATGGACAGGCTAAGTTCTATTGGTGTTTGGGAAACAGAGAGAGCCATCTGGGCTGGGTGATCAGGAAAAGAGGGGATGGGAGAAATGAAATAAGCAGAAGGACCCAGGATGGCCTTCCAGGTATGAAAAAATGGCTGAGCAAAACTGTAGGGGATGAGTGACACAGGGCATGCTCAGGGTCTAGGATTCACCCTAGCATCCTCATGGCATCTTTCCACTGCCCCCCTTCATTCAGTCCCTGCTCATCTCCTGGCAGAGCCCCTTGTTCCAGATGGACCCAGCCAGGACTTCCCACCCTACCCCCTCCCTTCCTGCCAGACTGCCTGCCAGCAAGGCTGCAGGCTCTGCAGCCTGAGACCTGGAGACCCGGATTGTTGTTGGAGAATCGGCAGGTTTGTGGATTGTTGTTGGAGAAGCCGCAGGTTTGTTTGCTCCGGAGCCCGCAGAGAAATCCCAACAATCAATGGCCAACAACACTCTGCCTGTGGCTGCAGCATCCATCCTCCCCCCACAGGTCTGGTGGTTTGGGCAGCAGGTAGGCAGGTGGAAGGAAGCTGGGGCAGGGTTGGGCCTTCCCACCTGGGGGCTGGGCCTCAGTGGAGGCTGAAGGGGAGAGGTAGGGAAGCCCAGGATGCCAGGACAGGAGTGACTGGTCCTCTCATTCACAAAGCCCTCAAAGGACTGAAGAGTAAGAGCCACCCCACATCACTCTGCTCTGGCCCAAGACTTCAGGGACCATAGTTCACCTGACTCCCAGCCCCTTATTCTTTCCTGACCTCCAAATATTGGAAAGGATGTTTTATTCCTTTGCCACTAATGACTGAGAAGCACCTATCATCACCAGAAATGTGCTAGAAGAAAGTGAAGGGCTGTTTATGTCTTGGGTCTGTCTGACAACATGGGTTTCAACTTGATTAATAAAAGGCAGATAATAACTTCTATCTCACAGAGATGATAAGAGAACTAAATGAGCTAATGTATACAAAGCACTTCGTACAGCGCCTGGCACATAGTTGGTACCATATAAATGTTTGCTATTATTGTTGTTGCTATTATTTGGATAGTGATACTCTCCTGGGTTCCCTTCTGCCTGTAGTGAAGCTCTCCCCTATGCCGGGAAAGTGGACATAGTGCTAGCTGAAGCCAGGTTTTGTGAAATGGGCAGACACTTTGGAGTAGCCTTACTACTTACTGGCTGTACAGCCTCAGGGTAAGTGACTTAATCTCATCAAAACTCAGTTTTTCCATGTGTAAAATGGGAACAACTAATATCTTACTGCGAGTACTAAATAGAAAAGTCATGTGAAACGCTTGACCAGTGAAGGCTGGGCCCCTGAGGATTCTGGGCCAGGCCTCACGTCTCAATATATATCTATGGAATGAATGAATGAATGATGGATGGATGGGTAGATATACCCCAGGGCCTGCTCTTTTAGGAGTTGTGGACCTGAATTATTGTGGTTCTGGATGATTCTTAGGCCTCCACCTCTCCATTAAAGGGCATGTAGGCTCAGAGCTGCTCCCAAAGATTCATGTTGGTCCCTGCAAGCTATGTGAGAGTGTCTGAAGCTGGGAGATGGATGAGGGGGCTATGGAGCCAGATGACATGGATTCATCCTTCCCTTACCTCTTAGTGCCAGCCAAGTCCATTCGAGGCATCCCTCTCAGCCATTAGGGGTAGTGGGTGGGTGCTTAGGGTGGCTGTTATAGGGGGGGTGGTCAGGAATCCTGGGCTTTACCTCTGCCAATACCCACCTGTGCAACTCTCATTAATTTATTCAACATGTATTTAATGTCTGCCATGTGCTAGGCTTTGTGTCACTGGGGACACAAGCAGTGGTGGCACTAAGGGGTGACTGGGGAGAGGCTTTAGCCCATTCAGAATGGCCATCAGCACCCTATCCCTGAGCCACCTCAGGCTGATGGCGTGACAGCTTAATTTGTAGAAGGAAAAAACGAAGTAAAGGCTGTAATTTACAGTTGGGATAATTGGCCAACTGTTAGGAAAGGAAAAAAATTCTAACATACAATCTATGTAAAAATAGCATGCTTGCTACGCAAACTCAGCTTCAAGATTCGGTCCCAGCTGCCATAGGCCCGCCTCCCCTTTCTAACCAAGCAGCTGACCCTAAACTTCTCCCAAACAGGAATTCTAGAGCTTCCCCAAGACATAGTGGGTGAACAAAACAGACTTGGGATCATCTTTGTTGAGTTTAGTTTTGCTGCTGGAGCATCAAGCAACCAGGGACTTGTGACCTAGCAAGATGGGGACCTGGATGGGGGAAGCCAAGGGATGGTGAGAGCACAGAAGAGTCCTCTGACCCAGGCTGGAGGACAGGCCTGGCTCCCCTGAGGAACCATGTAGTAGATGCTCCTTAAATAGGTACTGGAGAATTACAGGAAGTGTCAGCTAAGCTAATACTTGAAGCGTGAGGTAGAGTGAGCCAGATTGGTCCGGGAGGGGAAAGGAATTTCAGGCAGAAAGGCTGATAAGAGCCCAAAAGCTGTTGAGAACTTGGTTCATTTGACTTGGCTAATTTGGAAAACTGAAGCTAAAACTCCTTTGGCCTGGCTGGGTGGGTCGGCTTCCTGGAATTGCCACTTCCTGTTGGAATTGGTCTTGGAGACCTCCTAGTGCCTGCTTCCCACCACCCAGCTGCAGACCAGTGCTGGCAGCATAGTCTCCGCCAGAAACCTCTTCTGTATAGAACCTGGCTCCTCCTCCCTGAGAATAGGCCAGTAAGCTGGGGACCCAGAAATCTGCATGACTTGACAAGAACTTTGAGGCTCTCCTGTGCTATAAGGCATGGCAACTTCCATTGAAGGCTCCAGAGAGTGGAGGCCCAGAGAGGACAGGGGTATATGTGAGATCACATGGGAGCCTGGGTTCTTAACCACCTGGATTGAGAAGTTCCTTCACTAATGTAACTCCTGCCTAATAGGCCCTTTTCTGCACCCTCTTTCTTCTTTTTTTTTTTTTTTGGTGGGGGTAGGGGTGGGGTTGGTAGAGTGCTGAGCCATGACAGCTCTGCCCAGGTGGGGGCACAGCATTCCTGAGCTGATCCCAGCCCAGCAGATGGGGCTTAATTGGGCTAGGATAGGTGGGGACAAGGAGCACAGGAAGCTGGAGGGCCTGGAACTGGATGGATGGAGGGGCTAAGGAAGCAGGCTTTCTGATATGCTCCCCATATTTAGGCAGGCATGGTAGTACTGGTGGGGAATGGAAGCTCAGTTTCTAATTAAGCCCAGCCCTTGTGTCTCCTTGCTCTCCATTAGTGCCCCACAGTGTCCCCAAGGCATTTTAAGCGGCCACCCTGCTGAGGAGGCCAGGATGGCCGCCAGGGCCTGCCAAGCTTAGACCTATGAGGAGCAAAAAGCCAACTCAGGCTTCTCCTGTCCATGGCAGTCTCTGGGTCCTCCAGCCTCCTTGGAAGCCCGGGGCTGGTGGGTGGGGGTGTGCTCCTGCCTGCCATGTCAACCTCTGGGTTTCTGAACAGAATCTGGACTGTCTCCCATGGGGCCTTGTCCCCAGTACCACTTCCTGATCCCGAAGTGCCAGGCTGGGGACAAGGAACAGGACCTAGTATTGGTTTCAGCAGCAGCCCCCAGACTCATGGATGTGCTGTTAGAATCCAGCACCTACCAAGGAGTCTGCAGGAAGCAGCAATTACCATTTTAGGTTAAGGCAGCCCTCGTTTGTTAACCCTTGCAGCACTAGGGCTCCTGGAAGCTGAGTCGTCCTTCCTCTCTTTTCTCCTCCAGACCTTCCCTTCCAGACATCATCCCTCAGTTCTTGGCAGAGTGAGTAACCCAGACTAGCCATCCCCAGGCCCCCTCTATCACCACATTCTCAAGTGGAGCTCAGAGAGGTGGAGCAGCAGGTCCAAGGTCACACAGCCATGGAGGCAGCCTCCATTCCTGAGACCCAACCTTACCCCAGTCTCAGCGGCTTCCACCTTCATAATCTCCCTAGGCCACATTCACACATGCAGAGTTTAATTAACTTTATTGATATTCAGAAATTAGGAGAATGACTAAAGGTAATTGCTCATTAAAAATCATTAAACTGACACAGCAGGCTCGGCACACGCAGCCCCTTCAACACCGCTTTTTCCTCCACTGTGGCTGGATGGCCCAGGCACCCCACACAGCTTGGGAAGATACCCCGTGGCCCAAGACGCCCCTGATGCCTGACGCCAATCAAGACTTGGAGGCTGCAGAAGGGAATAGGGGACTGAGCCTGTGAGCTTGGGCCAAGCCCAGCACGATTTTGCCCTACCTCCGCAGCCTCGGCATACCAGGCCTTCCAAGGCATCTGGGCCGTGCCTGGCTACATCCTGCAGTCTGCATCCTGCCTATGAGCAAAGCTCTGAGGGCCTCATCAGAGAGGTGGCGGGGCTGAAAGGCTGAGGGATGCACCCCTCGGGCCGAAAAGGCTCATAGCCTGAGGTCTTTGCTCCTTTAGGCTCGCCTTCACAAAGCTAAAGTGCCCAGGAACCCCGGGATGGCCAAATGCGCTGCTCCCCACTGAGATGACTCACTATCCCAATGGTTGGGACCTCCAGTCCAGCCGAGGAGAGAGGAGCCTCTGGCTACCCAGCTCTGACATCCCAGCCCTCTCATCCTCAGGCTTGGCACTTCGGGGCTGCCTCTTCGTCTCCCTTGGGGAGTGAAAATAGAGGTCTTTCCCAACAGCCAGACTCCTACCCCACATATCCCACTGGCAGGTGCCTCCATGGGCACTGGAGATCCTGATAGTCAGGAAGGGACACTGCCCAGGGACACACAGACTTGAGGCCACAGAGTGAGCAGATTCCTCCTAACACTCACACCCACATCCCCATCAGGGCTGGTGGGACTCCTGGCCACACCAGCCTTCCTCCTGGATTCCCACAGTCTCACTCTAGCCCTGCAGGGAGCTCTCTGGCTGAGGCTGCACCCACACACTAGTGGCCTCACACAGTCCTCACACCCATTCACTGCTGACCCCTCACCCAAGATTCGGACCACTTGAAGTGCAGACACACTGGGACTGGCTCCTCTAGTCATGCAGGGCCCTGATTACTCTCACATTCAGACCCACAAACTCACACACAAGGCCTTGACTAACTGCCAGGGGACAGACACAGGCCCTGCGCCCCAGGGGAGCTGTCCAGCGCCAGGACCCATCAGGACCCAAGATAGGTTCGGAATTCCTAGGGACATCCCCAGGCAGCTAGGCAGGGATTCACACTTCTCCTTCCCGGTCTTCATCCCTGGGGTGGGTCTTGCAGGACTCTTCCCCTCTCCCCAGAACGTGAGCACACGGTTTCAAGTTCTGGGCGCTGCCGGAGGATCCAGCATGGGCAGCCCGGTAGCGGGGTGAGGACACTGGGCTGTGTGCAAGTGGAGCTAGAGGCTCAGAAAAAGGCTTCTGCGTCTCCGGGGCCACAGTTTTTCTTCCTGGATGAAGAAAACTGCCGTCCGGGGGCCCAGCCTGTCCCTGGCCGCGCTGCCTTGACCTCGGCAGCGGCCTGGAAAGATCGAGCAGGGAGGTTAGAAACTCCCACCCTCACACTTCACATCAGGCCCTTCAAACCATATGGCAAGGGATGGCAGGTCTCAACTCCAAGTGCGGTTCTGCCGACCCTACCAGCCTACTGCAGCGGGAGAAGGACGTGGGTGCCAGTAGCTTCCATGAGAGCTTGTTTGAGCCAGGACGGCAGGTCCAGACAAGACTCTTCCCCGAGGCACGGAACCCCTATCCTCTCCCCAACACTCCCTTGCCGCTCACACCATGGCCAAGCTTCCCTCTACCCAAGACCGACGAAGTTGGGGACCAGACTCCTAGAGGGGGCGCGGGGATTCTCAGGGTGTGGGGAACAGGTCCTCCAGAGACAAATCTGCCTTGCAGGTGGGGAGTGGACCAGGGCCGGGCAGGAAGGCAGGCCGGGAGGGAGGCAGAGCTCGGGGCAGTGGTGTGTGTGTGTGTGTGTGTGTGTGTGTGTGTGTGTGTGTACAAGGAAAGGACTTTGGGGAGGACAGAGTCTCTATCCCAGGATCTCCGCTGCTGCAGCCGAGGGCAGAGCCAGGAGCCAGATAGGGGGTCCAGGCCCTTGGAGTTTCTCTCTAGAATTGTGCTCTAGGTCCCGACTCTGGCGTGGCAGCGCCAGGGCATGGGGAGGTGAGCGAGGTCCCAACCCCGGGTCCGGCCGCCATCCGGCCCCGTCTCCCCTCAGTAAGAACACTAGAGGCCCTGGAACCGGCGGCAAAGTCGAGCGAAGTTTGGCGGGCGGCAGGGGAAGCGGGACCACGGGCCGCCAGCTGGACCGTCCCGACTCACTGCCTTGCGCCCCCCGGCACGCGCCCCAGCACCCTGAGATGCCTAGAGTGTGGCGAGGTAGCGCGCGGGTGAGCGCGTGTGTGCGGGGAGTGGGTGGCGTGATGAATTGCATCAGAGAAATCCCATTAGATCTGGGGAGATGATTAAAGACGAGGTCTCGGCCGGGCGCGAATGGCGGGAGCCGCGGCAGCTTCCCGCCCGCGAAGCCCGCGCCCCGCCCGGCTTGGCCGGCGCCGGGGGCAGCGCAGCCGGCGGGGCGCGGTGCTTGGACTGGGCAGCCAGATGCCCGAAGCTGGGCACCGGGTCTCCCTTCCCACCCCTGGGGCCCCGCTCCCGCCCCCGTCCTGCCGCCGGATGCCGGGGTCCCTTACCGTGAGCCAGGAGCGCCAGCAGCGAGGGCAGGAGCAGCAGGGCTACCGGGCGCATGGTGCTGGTTGCGGCCGCGCCCTGGGCTGGGACCGCGGCGGGAGGGCGGGGGGCTTGGTGGGGCTTGGGCGCGGGGGCAGAGCCGGGTCCGGCCGGGTAGAGGGAGCGGGGCCGCAGCCGTCACCGCCGCTGCCGCCGCCAGCGCCTGACAGAATCAGCACCACGGCCAGCGCCTGGCGACGGCGCCGGGGATCGCCGAGCGGGGCTGGGGGCGGGGGCGCGGGAGGAGCGGCTTACCGTAAAGTCTCATGCAAAGGCGCAGAGACCCAGGGGCAGGAGCCCAGGCTCCCGCTCCACCGCGACTGCCCTACTCATGTGGGCACACGGCCCCTGCCCTTCTGCGCTGCCCACCCCCAGCCAAGCATGCCACCCTCTTTCCCGTTAACGGCCTGCTAAGGAACCTCAATTAATAGCTCACTGTAGCCTTCTGATTCTCCATGAGAAAGAGCAACACTTTCCCCACCCCTCTCCACCCAATCCTGGTACCTGAGGGCGTCAAGGGTGACCTGGGAAGACATCCGAGAGTGAGGCAGCTGGTGAGGCCCGCGTGCCCTTGTGGCAGTTCCGTCTTGGGACGATAATGAAGATGGCTTTTGAGCGTACAAAGGATAATAAATTATTACTTTGCGCTCAATAAATGCCAGGGCTCCAGGCAGCTGCATCAGCAGCAAACTGTGCTCACAGAAAAGCTTAATTATCCTGATATTATAGTTAAAAGCCAGTGGCACTCGCATCCTGGGGAGACATTCTTCACTTGGCAGGAGGCAACCTGGGCCAAGCTGTGGGCAGCTGAAGGTAGTATCCTGGGTCCCCACGTAGCCCTGGGTCTCCAGGACTCTGCCTTGGCCCCTCTGCAGGACCAGAGAAGCCACAGTGACAGTCGATACAGACCCTTCATGCCATCTCTGCCCAGGTTTCTGGAATTGGTGGAGAAAATGGCATAGGCATGAGAGAGGGTTTCCTAGAGCTGTTATTTTATTTTATTTTATTATTGTTTTTAGAGACAGGGTCTCTGTTGCTTAGGCTGGAAATGCAGTGGCACAATTATATTAATAGCTCACCCAAACTCCTGGGCTCAAGAGATCCTCCCACTTCAGCCTCTCAAGTAGCTAGAACTACAGGCATGCACCCCCAAGCCTGGCTAATTTTTAAATTTTTTGCAGAGATAAGGTCTCATTATGTTGCCCAAACTGGTCTTGAAATCCTGGCCTCAAGAGATCCTCCCGCCTTGGCCTCCCAAAGTGCTGGGATTACAGGCATGAGCCACTGTGCCCTACGGCTGTTTTAGATAGAGACTTGAAGGAGGCCCAGGGGTGTAGCCTGTACTATTAAAGGCATGGAAAAATAACTTTCCAGGGCCCTGCTTGGGCTGAGGAGCCCCAGTGAGTCACAGGACAGCAAGGGGGCAGTCACAGCTGTGCCATCCTGAGGCTGCTCTTTAAAGGCAGGGGCTCATGGATGGGCTCACTTGAAGAGCTTTAATGGGTACAATGGGACAGGATCCTATGGCTGATGTTATTATTCCCTGTAGAGGAATAGGAGGGCTGAACTCCCTATTGCCCCTGGGAGAAGGGCAGTTTTTTGTTTAGTTTCTTTTTACATGAACTTGGTTGCTCTCCAAAGCTTCCAGACTCCAGTCATTGTCCAGTGTCCTTCCTGACCCTCATCCTGGAAGCAGGTGGTGAAATTTCTGCTCAAGTTCCTTAGAGAGTGTTTTGGTCCTCTTGACCAGAGTCTCCCAACTCTGCTGGTTGGATTCTCTCCAGACCCTCTTCTTGTGGGCTCTGGGGAGCTGTGATGACTGCTGTAAAGAGTCCCAGGCAGCAGGCAGATGGCGTGTGGAATTAGGAAGACGCTGGGATTTCTGGACAGTTGTTTTGAGAAGCTGAGGAAAAAGAGGGCAGCAGCAGAAGGATGGCAGGAAGAAGGAGGAGCTGATGCAAGAATCAGGGGTGAGGAGAGGAAGCCAGGAAAGAAGGTGCAAGAGGGGAGGCAGAAAGAGAGTTGCCAACAGAGGAAGGGAAGAGACACAGAGGTAGAAGGTTGTGTGACCGGGGGAAGTTTAGGAAAATGCTGGCAAATGTCATGAGATTCCTCTTTTCCTCCTTGAAAGTATTCCTGGGCTCCTCTAGTATTCCTGGTCCCTCATGGCTAGGCAGCTTGGGCAAGGGGAGTGAGTCATGACCTAGGGATGAATCTTGTATTGCCAGGATGATTCATGGGGATTTGGAGGTTGGTGGCAGGCTTGTCTGACTCTCTTAGCAACAGGGCTCCTTGATGGGCTGGGCACTATGCACATAAAGGAGGGGGAGAGAAGCCATCCTGGAACTTGTCACATCACCTTCCCTATGGCCTGAACTAACCTAGAGGGTCCAATGGAGACTACAAGTCCCAGAATACAGTACTGTACCCTGAGCTCAGAAGATGGGCTTGTACTGCATGATGGGCATGACAATGCACCGGGGCTGTCCCTCCCTCCTAAAGGCAGTTAACATAGCCTTTATGCAGTGGGTTCCTAGGCAGGTTGAGGCAGAGCCTGGGCCAAACTGGGAAACAGCAGAGCTTCTGTCAGGTGCCCTCTATCATGCCCTCCAAGGGGCTCGTCCTAACCAGACCTTGATATTACCTACAAATTGAGAACAATAAAATGCCCAAGGGGACAATCAGCTGTATACAGGGCTGGCAGGCTTATAGTCTACTCAATTCATAGGCACCTTTGAAAGTGGCAGTCTGGGTGGACTTGCAAGGCTCCCCTCACTGCTCTCACTTCTGTTCTCTGCATCCCCCACCTGGCTTTTTGCTCCCAGAGAACCCTGGGCTTCCCCTGTCTGTGTAATTGCTTGCTTAATTGTCTGTCTGCTCTACTAGTTGTTGACTTTGCGAAGGCACAGACCGTGTCTGTCTCATCTACCCACAATCTAGCTCAGTGGCTGGCACATAGTAGATGTTCAATAAATATTTGTGAATAAACAACAGGGATGAGGAGTGTCTAAAGCCCAAGGCCGGTCATTGGTGTCAAATGAGTGCTGTGAGATAATGAAGAAAAGGGCAATTGTTTCTTTTGGGGATGAGGCAAGGTCAGTGAAATCTTCACACAATGGATGGGTGAAACCAAGTTGAATATGTTTTTAAAAATTAATTAATTAATTTTTGAGACAGGTTCTTACTCTGTCACCCAGGCTGGGATGCAGTGGTGTGATCAGGGCTCACTGCAGCCTTGACTTCCTGGGCTGAAGTGATTCTCCCATCTCAGCCTCCTGAATAACTGGGACCACAGGCATGAGCCAGCATGCCCAGCTAATTTTTTACTTTTTTGTAGAGATGAGGTCTCTGTATGTAGTCCAGGCTGGTCTCAAATTCCTGGGCTCAAGTGATCCTCCCACCTTGGCCTCCCAAAGGACTGAGATTACAGGCATGAACCACTGCCCCTAGCCCAAATAAGTCTTATGATTCAATGGAGAGGGAGAGGGAAGACATTCAAAGTTGGGGGGTGTAGTTTATGCACAGCGTTGGAAAATGCAAGCTAGTCTGGGTCAGTGAGAAGACTGGTTCTGCTGGAGCAGAGTCCCTGCTGGGAAGTAGGAGAAAGGGCTAGAGTAGGCTGGGGCCTAGCTGTGAATGGCTTGGTGGTCACCTGAGCTGAAGGACATCCTTGGTGGCTATACTGAAGGGATTACCCCATCACGAAGATATTTGCACTGAAACAGAGCAATCTGGCATCATTAAGGTATGTTTTCAAGCACTGTGGCAAGTGGTAGGAACTGTGGGGTTCACTGCTGACTCCGAAGCCAGGGGGTGGGGTGTGTGTCTGAGCTACAGTGACTGAATTAGGTTTGAGAGACCAGAGAGAGGGAAGAAGGGGCTCTTCAATCCCAGACACCCCAACCCCTGCCCAGACAAAGCCAGACATACATAGAGCCCCCATCCATCCATTGAAGCTGGAGAAGCCAGCTTTACTTCCCCAGTTCCAAACAGCCCATCAATCTGTAGGATCACAGGCACATTGGTGACTTATTTTGAAGTCTCTGCTGAGATGACACTTGCTTTCTGCACGAGAGGAGGAGAAAATTACTCTCTTCTAAGACAGCTTTCAAACCAGAGCTATATCTTTTGTGGAGCCAAAGGGGTTTTGGTGTTTCAGGGAGGCAAGGGCAGGGGCTGCCACCTCACTCCAGAGGCTCCCAGGGGTTCAGAGCTGCCTGCTTACCTCAACCCACTTCATGGAGCAGGATTCCAGACCTTGCAGCTCCTGGAACAGTCAGGGATGCCAGTGCTCCAGCCAGGGCTCCCTGCATTACCCAAAGTCAACCCATTGAATTTAGGGGCAGGAGGAGGGCCCTGCTCTGATAAATGGAGAGTCCTGGCTCCAGGCATTTGCTCTTGCTCCAGGATTGACTGCAGGAAGAGCTCAGGGTAGATGGAGACAGCAGCAGAAAGTGGTTTGATGTGAGCTACTTTCCATCTCCAAACAGAGGCCTCCAGCCTGCCCACCACCCCCAGCCGAGGCCTTTGATCCTCCACAGCTCCATAAATGTTTAATGCCACCGGCTGGGCAGGAATGAGGCAGGTGCTGAAACAGGGAGACTGGGGATAGGACTTAAGACGTACAATGTTGGCTAGATTATTTTCACATAGGAGCTCTGGGATGGATGGGAGGAGGCTTTCCCCCATCATGTGGCAGGAGAAGTCCCAGGGTTCAAATTTGGGGCACTAATAAAGAAAACTCTTTGAAAACTACCAAGGGGATGAAAATAAATGAATAATCAATTGCAAAAGCCCAATCTCTGGTTTGATTGAAGGAGAAAGATGGAAAGTTAAATGACAATCAAATGCAAATACAGCTCAACAAACACCACAGCAATTACCAGGCGCAGGAACCACATGGTGCTTGCAGGCAGCGGGGGTTGGCAATTTGGAAGCCTGAGCCTGTGCAGAGGTGACGGGCGAGGGGCCATTTTAATGGACGGTTAAATAGATGCAAAAAAACCCTGCATCTACTTTGCATACACTGCTGATGAGTGGGGTGCTGGAATTCTGGCATCCAGAGGGAGGTTGTTCTACCTTCCGTGGCTGCCTCTGTATCATTTCAGGAGGCCCTGAGTACCTGCGGTGGGGTGAGGCCAGAGTGAGCTCCAGCTCAGATGATCAGGGAGAAGGCTGCACCAGTCTCATTGGATTCTTCACACCAGCTGGTGCTGAAGGTTCAGGGGTTGAAGTTGAAAGAAGCCCGTGGGGTCCTCCATAAAGGACTCAAGGTGCTGGCCTTCCAACAGCCTGGTAAGAGTGGCTTTCTCCTCTAGATTTGCATAATGCTTTGCATCTCATTTGAATACTATTAATTTGGTGTCAGGCTAGGTTGGCATGGTGTAGGAAAGAGAACAGCTGGCCTTCTCCATCCCCTCTGTACCACAGAGCTTATTCTAAGCATAGCCTTCTGCAACTGGGGGGCATGAGGCCTCCACTTTCACCATCCCCTTCATGTTCCCTGACACTTAGTCTCTTAGTGAAGCCAGCTCCTAAAAGCCAAGGCTGCCTGGCATTGTGGCCACCTGCAGGGTTATGCTGAAGGAAGAAGAAAGGGTCCCCCAAGGTCACTCTCACCAGACCCAGAGACACCATGGGAGGATGCTGGGGGCCTTTGTCATCCCAAGCAATCAAGGCAGCTTGGCTTGGAAAGGGTCCAAAGATAATAACCAAGAGAGGGAGGGAACAAAGACAGGCGATAATCCCAGAGAAATATAGAGGGCTCTAGAAATAAAATCCTCTGAACTCAATATTTCTAGTGCTTGAACTTACATAAAATACATCTGTCCAGAGGCATTGGGTTTATGGTGCTGCTCTGGGGCTGGGAACCTGGTACCAGGTTGATGGCCATGTGATGAGAGAGTGAGTCACCAGGTGGGGTGAGTTCCTGAGAAAGAGGGAAGAGGCCCCGGGTGCATCCTGTGGGCTGCCCCTGGCAGGTGGGCATCGGGAGGCTACAGGGAGATGCGGATGAGTTATTTAATTGAAGAGGAAGAGAAGTGCATTCCATGCAGAGGGAACAGCATGTACATCGGTAGGCAGGACTAAGAGATGGTTAGTGTAGCTGGATGGCAGCAAACAAGAGTTGTGGTGTGGGATGTAGCTGGAGAGCTGGGGTGTAGCAAAGCTTAGTGGCTGGTATGAAATCTCTAGGAGTCCTACCTGCCCATCCATCTGTCCATTTATTCGTTCGTCCTTCACCCTACTACCTCCCAATTCATTCATCACCCACTCATTCATTTACTGAATGAGTGAGCACTTATTGAGCACTGTGTGTATGCCAGGACCTGAACTAGCTACTGGAGAGGGAGAGCCCTCAAGGAGCACCCAGACTGGGGAGGGGAAACAGCCCCAACACCCTGTAAGACAGCATGTTTATCTCCACAAGGTACTTAAACAAGGCTCTGGAAGCCCTAGAGGCCAAGTCTCCCATGCTTCAAGCTTCCCAAGGCAAGGGTCCTTCATTACCTCCGGGGAGATCTTCCATTCACACAGATCCTCCTGGCATCTAATACTATTCCTTCCTGCTACAAAAGCAGCCCGCTTCTTATAGCCCCAGAGTGGCAGGGAGTGTTTCTGATGTTCCTTCTCATTGACCCTTTATTTGGGCCTTAGAGACATCACAGTCTCAGGAGAACCCAGGGGAAGTGATATGAGAACATGGTCAAGTCTCCCTTAGACATCAGAACCCAGGCTTAGATACACTTCTAGCCACTTCCTTTTCTGGGCATGAAAATAGGACAGAAATTCCCAATGTCCCTTAATTCAGCATATTCCCTCCCCCACTCCTCCTTGAACTACTTGTCCTCTATTTGTGACATCACAATGGTCTCTATGGCAACTGATTGTGAGGTCACCAGTCCTTAAAGCAACAGAATATGTGGGTCCAGACAATGGCCTGCAAGAGAAAGGAAGAATACAAAATGGAAGCCTGGGATAGAGATCATCTCCTAGGAAAGGGGGAGGCCACCCAAGGCCTGTCAGGGGGAGGGCTCCACTTCTCAGCCCATCTGCAGTAGGTCCACATTCGGGGTAGGCAAGAGCAAGGCCTGCTGGAAAGGGAAACTGCTCATCAAGAAACTGAGGGAGGCTGGGCACGGTGGTTCATGCCTGTAATCCCAGCACTCTGGAAGTCCAAGGTGGGTGGATCACCTGAGGTCAGGAGTTCGAGACCAGCCTGGCCAACATGGCAAAACCCTGTCTCTACTAAAAATACAAAAATTAGCCGGGTGTGGTAGTGCACGCCTATAGTCTCAGCTACTCAGGAGGCTGAGGCAGGATAATCGCTTGAACCTGAGAGGCGGAGGTTGTGGTGAGCCAAGATCGTGCCACTGTACTCCAGCCTGGGTGAAAGAGCAAGACTCTCTCAAAAAAAAAAAAAAAAAAAAGGAGAAGTGGAGGATTGAGGGTCATCCTGAGCATTGGCTGGACCTCAGAGGCAGGCCTGAGTTCAAATCATCCCAACCTAATGTTTGCCTTGGGCAAGTTTTGGAACCTCCATTTCTTTACCTATGAAAGGAAAATGATGCCACTTGCCTTTCAGAAAAGTATTCAGTGAGATAACCTGTTGGAGAGCCTGGCACATAGTAGGTGCTTGTTTCTATCTACTTGTACTTGTTTCTATTTCTTTTTCTACCCCCTCAGCCCTTATGCCTAGGATCTTGCATATTATATGTGCCTTATTAATGCTTGCAATTGTAAGTGCACTGTAAGTGCAGGATGAGGGCTACAGGGCAATGTTTAGAGCAGGGGAAGTCAATGGACCTGGATTCAAATCCTCGCTCTGCTATTTGCTAGCTGTAAGCCTTTGAGCAAATCACCTTTGAGCAAATCACCTTTCTGTTTCTTGGTTTCCTTAACTGTGAAATGGGAGATAGCAATACTGTTGTCTTCATAGGGTTGATTAGGACTAAATGAGACCCTGCAAATAAATAGCAGAGCTTGGCACATGAGGTGCATGGTACTTAAACTTGAGTGAGGCTGTTTCTGCATGCGCTGCACAGTTTGTGTTCACTGTCAGTTTTCAGGAAATGTGAATTAATCTGTGGGGTGTCCAGAACCGGAGAGTGGGTGAACCTCAAGACAGGGCCATAGGATGGCAGTCTCTCCCCGAAAGGGGTGACCGCTCACTTTCTGGATTCCCTCTAGTGCGGACACCCAGCTCATACCAGTCACAGGGGCTGGGTGCTCCTTGAAGTCAGAGTGAACTCATCTATGAAGCCCAGACCAGGGCCTGACACATGGCACAGGCTCAGCAACAGTTAAGGTAAACTGAGTTAGAGGATATCTTAATAATATACTGGCTAACATATATTCTGTGCATATTCTGTGCCAGGCTCTGGTCTAAGCACTTTACATTTTGATCCTCACAACAACCTATGAGCTAGATATTATCCATTTTTAAAATGTGGGAACAGAGAGGCTAAGTAATTTGCCCAAAGTCACACAACTAGTAAGCAATGACGAAGCTCGGATTTGAACCCAGGCTACCTGGCTCTAGAACCTATGTTCTTAACTACCACATTACCCGCAGCCCCATGGGCTGGGTCCATCCATTTTACTATATCTGCCACCACGAATTTCCTCCCCCAGCTCTCTCACTTGCCCCTCTCTTCTCCCAGCTGAGCCCAGGCCCAGTGCAACTCAAAGAATGGAAATTCTCTTCCACTAGCCTCAGCAATCTGCCTCCCCCTTTGTTGAAATAAAGCCACTGCCACAGCCAAAGCCACCACCGGATCTCTTGCTTATTTCAAGTCCTCCTAAAGCTTGTTGAGTTCTTAACTTATTAAAGATAAGCACATGGAAATAGGGAGCAAATCTCTTTATTTATGACATAATCTCCAGCCCAGAAAAGCGGCAGGAACGGTGTTGCCTATATTAGGGAACCAATAGGAAAAAAATCAATTAGATCCGCCAGACCGTTTCGCTATTAACTTTCTTCTGATGTTTCTCTTAAGGCTGGCCATGGGGGTCTCCACCAGCAGCTGAGGTGGAGAGAGAGGAGAGCTTTGTAGGAACAGAGAAAGGAATGTCACAAGGAAGGCAGCTGACCAGGCTTCCAGACAGACAGGGGAATCTTTTCATCATGGTCTCCTTCACTGCTTTCCAAATCTCATTTAACCTCCATGTTTCTTGCTGCAATTTCAGTTGGTGTCTTTAGGGGCAGGGGAGTCAATTGGTCACTGTTGGCTTCTTGCAGACTTGAACCCCAAGTCTGACCACATTTTTGCAAGACCCATCGGGAGAAGGATCCTCCCCTTTCTGAAAGAACAATATTCTGGAGGGGCTCTTCTTGACTGATGTTTAGTAGGCTCTTCTGCTGGATAATTATGCCTCAAACAACCCCAAGCAGCTACCGCATGAGGTCTTCACATCCATCTGCCTGCCTCCAGGAGCACTTTCTAAGCTATCTCCCAGAGATAGGGCTCACCCTTATTCCTGAGAGCCTCCGGTGAGGAGGGTGCCCTAGCTCCCATAGTAACCCCAGAATTAGTCTCCTTAAAGGCTGGGGATCATGGCTTGTTCAATAGTTTTTCTTCAGGTTCGGGCATATAGAAGGGGCTCAATAAATAGTCACAGAATCAATAACTATTACAAAAGCCCCATTGATGGAATGCTCGCTCCGTACCAAGGCTGAGAAGGGTGATCTGTCACCCAAAGTAGGACCCCTTTGTTGCTCCCTGAACCAACAACCCAGAAGAGCCTGCCAGTTTTGTAGTTTTGTTTTTCCTTTTCTTGCTATTTGGCCAGGAGCAGCAGTAGCAGCAGCTCCAAGAAGTAAGTATTATTATTATTATTATTATTATTATTATTATTTGAGACAGGATCTCACTCTGTTATCCAGGCTGGAGTATAGTGGCACAATCATGGCTCACTGTAGCCTCAACCTCCCCATGCTCAGGTGATCCTCCCATCTCAGCCTCCCAAGTAGCTGGGACTATAGGCATGCACCACCACACCCAGCTGATATTTGTATTTTTTTGTTGTTGTTGAGATGGAGTCTCGCTCTTTTGCCCAGGCCGGACTGCAGTGGCGCTGTCTCGGCTCACTGCAAGCTCTGCCTCCCGGGTTCATGCCATTCTCCTGCCTCAGCCTCCTGAGTAGCTGGGACTACAGGCGCCCGCCACCGCACCCTGCTAATTTTTTGTATTTTTAGTAGAGATGGGGTTTCACCATGTTAGCCAAGATGGTCTCGATCTCCTGACCTCGTGATTCGCCCGCCTCGGCCTCCCAAAGTGCTGGGATTATAGGTGTGAGCCACCGCGCCCGGCCTATATTTGTATTTTTTGTAGAGATGGGGTTTCACCATGTTGGCCAGGCAGAGGAGGAAGCTGAGTCAAGGAGGAGCAGTAACTTGTCCAGGCTAATAAGTGAATTAGATATTCTATGTCCATCCACTGTTGGTCATTAGGAAGTTCTTCTTAAGGTCTAACCTAAACCTTTTCTGTTTCAGCAGCACTGGCTCCTTCTTAGTCCCATGGAAGCACAGATCAACATCATTGCCCTTGCAAACTTCTCTCAGCTTAGGAGAGTCTACTCGCTCTTTGCACATTGTTGACATGAAATGAATATTAAACACCAAACCTCATAGAGGCCAGCCCTGCTGGGCGAGCAATGAACCAACCCTCCTCATGCCTGTTCATTATTATAATTAACATTGAGCCGAGGTTGGTGGTGACCTCGCCCTCGCCAGGTATTTGGGCTGTTTTAGCAGCTTATTCAGATCAGTGACAGACAGCTCTGAATAGATAAACTCCCCGCCATCCAGACGAATCAATTGCAACACTGCCGTCACAACAAGCCCAATAAATCAATCTGATTTCAGGCGACATGGTAACTCAGTGCTGGGCAAGCTGGTTTTAATTTCCGCGTGGCTGAGACCCAGCTTCCTCTACTCACTGGAGCACCCCTCTTTCCCAGCTGATGCTCTGTGCACACAGGTGCCCAGGGCCCTCAGAGGACTCAGGCCAAGGGGGCAGCTACAGGGAGGACAGGGTAACCAGGAAGCTATGTTACTTTGAGGAAGACTCTTGAACCCCCAGACCCAGAAGCAGCTGACTCAGATCCACTGCTGGGATCCTTGTTTTGCTGGCTTCAGCTTCGATTTTCCGCTGCCCTTTGCAAAAAACCAAGCCTGGAGGCCTCTCTGGGCTGCCTCCCAAATCAGGAAGCTGCAGAGGTAGGCTGCCTATCTCAGGCACCAGGACAACTGCCTTTTTGGTCTGGGAGATTGAGTTTGTCTGGCAGGGCAACAAAAAACTCATCAGGACAGATGTAGTCATGTATTGGGTGCCTACTTAATGCCCAGGCACCATGCTAAGCAGTTTATACACGTCATCTTCTTAACCTTTGTAACAGCCCAAAGAGATCAGTGGCAATGATCCACATTTTGCAGGGAAGGAAAACAAAGCTCAAAGAGGTTAAGTAACTTGTCCTGAGTCACACAGCTTGTAAGTGGTAGAGCGTGGATTTGAACTCATGTGTATTAGACTTCTGTGCCTAAGCTTCAGCCACCACAGTCTCCTAAAGATGACATCAGAGGTGCCCATACTCTCCCCCTGGCTAGATATTACCTGGTTAAGTAATTCCTACTTTAGAGAGGAGGAAGCAGATTCTGAGAGGAGAAGCCAGTGCATTTCCTCTAGGCTCCCAGGGAAGGGGAGCCTTTCTCATGAATTCTTACAATCAGCAATTGTTCCTTGAATTTTCATCTCAATGCTTCAGGTACTGAGTAGAGGATGTTGAGGAAAGAGAGGGTCAAGAGGCTGAGCTGGCCTCCTTCCCACACCCCAGCTCTGTCCCACCCCACTTGCACCCCATCACATTAATAGATCTAGATGGTGAGGTGAGGGGCTGGGACAGGCAGCAGTGTGTTAGGAGATGTGGCTTTGAAGTCAGCAGATCTGGGTCCAAATTCTAGCCCAACTACAACTTATTTGTTGAATACACCTGGGCAAGTCTATTAACCCCTTGGAACTTCCCTCATCCTGTCCATACCGTGGGGATAATATTACTCAAACCACAGGTTGTGCGGATTAAGAGGGAAAATTGCATGGGAAGTGCCTGGCATAAAGTGGGTCCTTAGTAGGCATTGGGTTCTTTCCCCCTCTTGTCCCTGCTCTTTCTGAAACCCCATGCCTTAGGTGCCCAGTTCTGAATGGCCGAGGTCAGGGCATTTCAAATATGTTTTAGCCAAGAAACTCTTTTGTTTTTTTGAGATGGAGTCTCGCTCTGTTGCCCAAGTTGGAGTGTAGTGGCGTGATCTCACTGCAACCTCCACCTCCCAAAGTCAAGCGATTCTCCTGCCTTAGCCTCCCGAGTAGCTGGGACTACAGGCGTGTGCCACCACGCCCGGCTCATTTTTGTATTTTTAGTAGAGATGGAGTTTCACTATGCTGGCCAGGCTGGTCTTGAACTCCTGACCTTGTGATCTGCCTGCCTCAGCCTCCCAAAGTGCTGGGATTACAGGCGTGAGCTACCGCGCCTGGCCAGCTAAGAAACTCTTTAATCAAAAGACACTTTATGAAGATGGCAAGGATACAAAATAGATAAAGGGGGAGTTGGTCAGATGGTGATAGGGGGCTGGGAGTTCTCCTGGCTTGAACCCCTCTCTCACCCTCAGCCCCAAAGCAGCCGCTCAAGTGCTTTCCTCAAGCCCTGGGCCAGCACATAAAGGGCTGCCTCACTCTTAGGTGTCTTAGGTCACGGGCTTCTCAGGAGCTCAGAAGTGATCACCTCTGGTGATTTCTGGCTCCAACACTATCTCTGAGCCACCAGCTACCTTGAACCTGTTCTGGATTCAGGGCATGACAATTTAGGTGCCAAATGGGCAAAGCTGCGTCTGGCCATAGGGAGGCTGTATCTGGCTGCTCCGGGTGGGAGGTGGGGTTGGGCGTCGCAGCTGGGAGAGCCATAGATCTGGGAAGGGGTGGGCAGATGACCCAGGATTGTGCAGGGGGTCTCTGTCCATCTTGGGCAGCAATGGACCTGTGGGCTTCCATGGGAAGTAGATGCCTGTTCACCAGGTCCAGCACTTAATATCCTCCCGAGGGAGGCAGGGACCACAGGAAGTGGAAGCGCAGTGGGGAGAGTGACATACAACACCATACAGTGAGCAAGTGACAGAAGTGAATTCAAACCTAGGCCTGTGGGCTCCAGAGGGCTGGGACTGCCGTTCATTCTCTCCTGTCCATACAGTGGCTGTCCTCTACCCCCAGCTCTCTGCAGAGAATTATCTATCAGCCCTTTCACCCACCAAACACAGAACATGAAGAGAGAAACTTAAATTGTAGCAGGAGGGAATGGGATTAGCTACTGGGAAGGACTTCCTGACTCATTAGCTTGTCTCTAGAATAGGTTATTAGAGAGGCAGTGTGCTCTCTCTCTTTGGAGGGATTTCACATGGGGCTTCAGTGCAGCTGGGCCCCTGTGGCTTCCACTTCCTGAAAGCTACTGAGAGACAAGCTGACCCCTGATGTGTATGGCTTTGTTTTTCGTAACGTTTATTTTTTGAATAGGTAATACCTGTACATGGTTCAAATAATAAGGGTATAAAAGGTTGTTCACTGAACTCTCCCTCCAGCCCCCGTCTCCAGCTTCCCCTCCCCAGAGGCAAGCAATGTTACCTGCTTCCTGTCTAGACCTATAAGAGCAAACACGGACACATACTCTTTCTTGAGTCCTGCTTTTAATACACAAGATGTAGCATCCCCTGCAAGCTCTTCTGTGCCTCGCTTTTGTCACCTGACAATATATCTTGGAGATTACTCCGAATCAGTACATAAAGAGCTGCCTCACTCTTAGGTGTCTTTTTATGGTCACGGACTTCTCAGGAGCTCAGAAATAATCACATCTGGTTTGATTAGCTTCACATTTCCATTTACAACGTCCCTGCCCAGAGAGGCAAGAAACCTCTCCAAGGTCACGCAGCAAGGACTAGGGACGCGCAGAGTTTCTCCCCCTCCTCCCGCCTCAGTTCCCAGCTCCTGTCCCCCGCCACCTCGAGGCTGAGCGCCGCCCAGGTGACCAGAAGGGAGAGGGGGAGGTCTCTAATTGAAATGCCCTCCGCGCTGCCCATTTGCGATCGGCACCTGGAGGGGCGCGCCGTGCACAATGAGGGCGGGGCCGTGGGGCTCCGGGTGCGGGCGGCGGCCGAGTGCCCACGTGGGTGCAGGCTAGGCCGGGCTGATTTCCCTGGAACCCCGCGCCGCGTGCTTCCCTGTAATGAGCTCCCAGGGCCCGAGGTGAGCTTCCTCGGCTGCTCACACGGCAGCCGCGTGGCAGCAAAGAACACGGGGACTTTTTTCTTCCGTGCCTGACAGCTCATTAGAAGAATTAATTTACTCTAGCGTTTGCAGTTTAAAGGACATTATTTACTGGTTAATTGTTGTTATTACAAAATGTTAAATATCATTATTTATTTCCCAGGCCCTGACAGCTTTTCTGACAGGAATTTATTAGGTGAGACTGTATCACCGGTAGGCACCCCTGTGCAGGGTAGCCTAAGAGTGGGCAGTTTGCCCCTAGGCCTAGCTCTCTAGGCAGGGCGGGCACTCCTAGGGGCAGAACAGGAGGGGCTGAACCCTGGCCCACCCCAGGACAAAGGATCATTGTCTCCTCCTCACCCCCCATTTCTGCCCCCTGATGTGCGTGTGTTGGTGGGGCAGGGGGGTGGGGGCTGGCAGACGGGGGGCATGCCTTGCATAAAGCTGCAGTTTAGGGGTCAGGCTGGCAGTTACCGGAGGCCCAGCGGCCAGAATGAGGTCCAGACTTTGAGTCCTTCCCTTTAAACAGTTACTTACAAGAATGTTCTCCTCTCCTGAACGCACAGAATTGAAGAGCTGGAAGGAAGCCAGGTGGTCCGCTGGTGCTGAGACTGCAAACCAGTGGCCTCCAGGTGGTAAATGGCCTATGGACTTGAGTTTGACCTATTCAAGAGACTTCACATAAAAATCCACTTTGCTGGCTTCCCTTGAAAGATCAGACAATCTTGCCACAAGACTTGACCCACAGTCTTGCATCAATTGGCGATGATCAGCGGGCAAGAAGGGCAGCGCTGTGCAAGGAGCATGCCTGCTCTCCAACAAAGGGAGGGTGCCACCTTCCCCCTTTGTTGCCTTGTCTACATTATTTTCCTGGCCTCTGTGGGCATTTGAGTTTTCAACCCCGATCTGCTCTACTAATGACCATATATAGATGAAGACACTGAGCCCAGAGAGGTTAAGTCTCTGATGGCCAGGACGACAGCCCCACTCTACTTTTCTTTTCCTTTTTTTTTTTCTTCTTCTTCTTCTTTTTGTTTTTTTTTTAGGATGGAGCAATCCTTTATTTTTATACACTTTGACAAGGAGGTTTTCCATAAACAATCTTTCCAGTGAGGAACAGAGAACAGGAAATTCAGCCTCCAGACATCAGCAGCTGCTCTGCTCAGGGCTGAGGCTCCTCCTTGCCAATGTGGTGAGGTGGAGGGGTGTACTTCCCTTCCTTTATCAGCTTATCCTGCTGCTTCCTGATGGTACCTGCACGTCTCATCGTTTTCTGCCGAAGCAAACACTCTACGAAATCATCAGATTCTATCTTGCACTCTTTCTCTGCCCGGATAACACTGATTCCATATGCACATTCTATCCATTCTTTTTCAAAAGCATGGCATCGAGCAGCAATCTTGTAGGGCTGTTCAGCACTCTGGATTGTCCACCATTGATCTATGTTAAGGCCGAATCTTTTCTGGATGGCCAAGAAAGGCATGGTGATCCGATGCTCATGTCTTTGTGTCTTCTCTGGCCGCCGCTTCAGGATGACCCCTAGTCTACTTTTCACCACACTGTGCTGCTCCCTGAATTTCTCTGCTCCCACCTCCTCTGGGTCCAGTTTAGAGTGAATTCAGACCGGGAACGCAGGTCTTCAGCAGCTTCAGGGGCAGGAACAAGAGGCAGCCTAGTGAGAATTTACAAGGATCATGGCCTTATAAATAGCATCCACTTATTCATTCAGCAAACAGTTTCTGGGGATCTACTACGTGATGTATTAAAATGATTAGGACCCAAATTGTGTTGTTGAGGAATTAGTCTGGGGACACTGTTCATGAAACAAGTTGCACAATGACAATACAAGGAGATGTCCGAGTAGTAGAGGCATAGGAAGATGGGATTGGTGGGGCTGGAGAGAATTCATCCTTCATGCAGCGTTTTCTAGGCTGGATGGATGGCCTGCATCCTCAAACACAGACGCACATGTCTTATTTAATTCTCACAACACAGCGGATTGAAAATATCTGTCATCAGCTTATAAATAACGGCTATACCAGGTCTCGGACTTGCTGTCTAGATTCTTCCCCCAGGGTGGGTGCTTGCAAGCAACTCCAGCCCTGGGGACCTTCTGTTCTAGCAGGTGGCACCCTTGCCATACAGTCTGTTGACTGGCAACCACATCTCATAATCAGGCTGATTACCCTCATTTTACAAGTGAGGAACCTGAGACTCAGAGACAGGTGACAGAAGCTGGGTGTTGACGGGTGAAATGGGCCCTGGGAAGGAGAGAGAGTTGTTGTCTGAGACCAACACCCAGCCCCGGGAAATGTGGGTCTTGCTGGCAGACTTCAAACAGTGGCCCTTTAGACAAGGTCTTGGGTCCCATCCTTTCCTCCCCAGGAACCTGACAGCAGTGGGTAGCCTCAAGGAAAATGTGGAGAACCAAAGGGAGATGAAAAGTTCTTCAAAAAAGTATGAAAACAGGTTCAACTGAGCCATTACTGTTGCTATGCTGTATATTATTATAAAGTTATTCCTGCCTGGCAGCCTGGTTTATGTTAGACCCTACCTCATTTCTTCTAGGTTATAGGCCCTAATTCCTTGTCTGGTGAGAAAGAAAGAGACCAGCACTATTGGAGTGAATCCTGAGCTGATTCAGAAACTGTACAGCTTGAGGAATTTCACAGATTCTCAGTCAGGGCTTGCTGTCCTTTGGAGGTCTTCACCACCCCCCTCATTTCATTTTATTGCCATATTAAATTTTTAAAAATTTAATTCATTTTTGGAATAGGTGATACGTGCCCAAAGTGCAAAATTCAAAAGGCATAAAAGAGTATATGGTGAACAGGCTTTCCCACTGCTCAGAGGCAGCCAGTGCCAGCAATTGCTTCTGTTTCACTGTTTGCAAAAATAGCATTGTTTCTCTTTTCCGTTCACATAGAAAATACAGTAATTCCTGCAGAAGAAAGTAAAAAATCATATGCAATCCACTATTTGGAGTTGAACATTGAACATTGTTCACATTTTTGGTGTTCACATTTCAGCCAGCCTTTTCTCTTTGCAAAGATACATGCATCTATAGTCATAAACTTGCATAACCTGGTTTTATTACTTGTTTACATTAAATGTGATTCTTCAAAAATACAGATCGGAGAGGATACAAACTAAACTGATAACAATGAGTACCTTGGGGAAGAATAATGAGATTGGGTAAGGATTGAAGGGAAATTTTTTAGAATGAAAATATATTGATACAGTACTTCCTCCTGTTATTCCTCTGGAATCTGATTTTAAATGACTAGATCAGAAGGCTACTATTTAATCAATCCTTTATTATTGTGGTTTTAGGATGTTTGCAAGTCTTCCTATTATAGACAAACCTGAGATGGACATTTTTGTATCTTTTTGTAGGTTGGAGCAAAAGTAATTGCTGTTCTTGCCATTGAAAGTAATGGCAAACCCAATATATCTTTGCACACTTATCTAGTATTTCCTTGGGGGTGCTTTAAGAAATGGAACTGCTGGGTCAAAGGTGGTATATACTTTATGGCTTTTTGATCCATCACGTCAAATTTCCTTCCCTCTGGGCTGTCCCAATCTCCTGTTCCACGGGCAGAGCCTGCCCCCTACTCCCACATCAGATTTATTCAACACAGCACACGTGTAAGGTCTGTGAGACAGTGAGGCAAACTCATGGGAGGCTGGGGAAGCTTCTTCTTGGGGTGAAGAACCCTAGGATGCTGGCAGCAGCCCAGAGGGACCTCAGTGGCCAAAGGGAAAAGGAGGAGGAGCAATGAATGGGTGTAGAATCCCCAGGCAGGTGGGGCAGGGGCCTCCACCAGTCCAAATCACAAGGCCAAAAGTTGTACAGCAACAACCCAAGGCTGGACTTGGATCCTCACCAGGGACCTAAGCGCCACCTTCTGCAGTGGCACCGCAGAGCTAAAGGCACAGCTGAGATGGTTCCTCTTGGAGTTCTTCTAGCCCATGAGAGTTACATGGCCTCAAGAGCATGCAGACATGGAGGACCTTCTAGGACTGGCTCCAACTCCTGCCTTCTCTAAGTGTCTCAGATTTGATTCCATGTCTCCTCTTTGCTTCCAGGTGCTTGTCACTGCCTAATACTTGTGGTTGTCACCCACAGCCTTTGTACTCTTAGATTCTCTGGCAAATTGACCCATTTCATTTGGAAAGCTTCAGAAGAAACTGGGCAGACACAAGACGGACTTGTTGATTTAATTGAAAAGATGGTATTCTGAAAGCACCCCCTCCCCTCTGGAGCCTGGCATCTTCACAGTAGCTGAGGTTTCCTCTTGATGGGGCGAAAAGAGAAAGCCCAAGATTGCATCTCATTGGTGAGATGAATAATACATTTGAAGCATCTCACAAACTGTGTTTGATCCGCCTAAAGCTTCAACCGTTAACGTATTTCTCTTTATCCCCAGCAAGGGAGGGCTGGGAACTGTCAACGTTTTCCTTTCTGCCTAATTTGTGCCTTCTCCATGAAGAGAAAAGCAGGGCCTGGGGGAGGGAAGGAGGCAAGGAAAGAGAAGGGTGACACACACCTCCTGGAACAATGCAGTGAGCCACAGGACTAGGGGGTGTTCCTGGGGCTTGGGAACACTGGGGGGTCATCAGGACACAGCAAGGGGTGGTTGGCTCTGGGGAGAGGGGCTGTGCTATGTGTGCTGGGACCTGTTTGCAGGACTGTGTGCCCCTAAGAAGTCAGTCCCTTGGAGGGTCCATCTCCTGTGTTTCTGGTGGGAAATCAGAGGTGGGAAATTGAGCCTTGAGCCTTGCCAGTTGCCAAGCACCAAAGATGCTTCCTTCATCTCATGGGAAGCAGAGAGTAACAGTGTTAAAAACTGGCCCCCTGGCCGGGTGCGGTGGCTCATGCCTGTAATCCCAGCACTTTGGGAGGCTGAGAGGTGCGGATCACGAGGTCAGGAGATCGAGACCATCCTGGCTAACACGGTGAAACCCCATCTCTACTAAACAAAATACAAAAAATTAGCCAGGCGTGGTGGCAGGCGCCTGTAGTCCCAGCTACTTGGGAGGCTGAGGCAGGAGAATGGCGTGAACCCAAGAAGTGGAGCTTGCAGTGAGCCGAGATCATGCCACTGCACTCTAGCCTGGGCAACAGAGGGAGACTCCATCTCAAAAAAAACAAAAAAAAAACTTCCCCTGACTGAGCTCAGGGACAGCACTGTGCCTGTGTTTTTACCAACATGCTTCCAGTCACTCTTCGTGTCTCTCTGCAGGCCGACCTTAGTGCTAAGGATCCTATCCAAGGTCAGACCGAGGGTAAGAGTCAGGCTACCGGGTCCAGAAGTTCACGTTCTTAAGTGCAGTGCCATTCTCCCCCTCCCTGAGTCTTCATGACTTTGCCTACCTAGGCTCCTATTCTGGAGGAGGGTGGTTACGAGCACAGACTCTGGAGGAAGGCGGCTGTGTTCTGAATCCTCTCACCAAGCCTCACTTTCCTCGTGTGTAAAATGGAGGTGTTAACAATAGTACCGACTCCATAGGATTGTGGTGAGATTAAATAAGTAAATATACTCCGGTTCTCAGAGCAATTCCTGGAGCATAGGATGCACTGTGTGTATTAGCTCATTTGTATTTTTCCCACTTCAATGAGCTGGTCTACGTGTGTATGAGCTCTTATTCCCAGCCTATTTCTATTCCACAGTCTGGTAGCAGCCACCCCTCCCAGCTGGCCTTGAACCTATTTCATCTCCCCTCTTGGGACGACCATCTCTGTTCCAGTCCACCTTATTTCCTAGCCCTCTTCCTCCCCTGCCCAGCCTGGCTTGGGGCGCCACCATCAGACCCCGCCACATAACCCTCATTCGTGGAAGCTTCCCTGAGACCCCCCAGAGTACCGTTGATGCATATCAGATTCCACCAGGTCTTTTGCCTGAGTTCTTCTTTTTTCTAAATTAAAAAAAAAAAGTATTGGTTGGTTTGTTTGCTTTTTAAGAGATGGGGTCTTGCTGCATTGCTTAGGCTAGATTTGAACTCCTGGGATCAAGTGATCTTCCCACCTCAGCCCCTGAGAAGTTGGGACTATATGCATGTGCCACTGTGCCCAGATTAAAATTTTATTTTTAATTGACAAATAATAATTGTATATATATTTATGGGGTACATTGTGATACTTTTATTTTATTTTTATTTTAGAGACAGGGTCCCACTGTCACCCAGGCTGGAGTGCAGTGGTGCGATTATAGTTCCCAGCAGTCTCGAACTCCTAGCAGTCCTCCCGCCTTAGCCTCCTGAGTAGCTGGGACCACAGGCATGCCGCACCGTGCCTGGCTAATTTTATTTTGTTTTATTTTTTGTAGAGATGGGGGTCTTGCTTTGTTGCTCAGACTGGTCTCAAACTCCTGGCCTCAAGCGGTCCTCTCTTCTCAGCCTCCCAAAGTTTTGGGGTTACAGACATGAGCCACTGTGCCCGGCCTGATGTTTCAATATATGTTTACAATGTGGAATGATTAAGTCAGGCTAATTAACAAATCCATCACATGATCTCACTTATATGTGAAATCCAAAAAAGTTAAAGTCATGGAAGTAGAGAGTGGAATAATGGTGGCTGGGCGCGGTGGCTCATGCCTGTAATCCCAGCACTCTGGGAGGCTGAGGCGGGCGGATCACCTGAGGTCAGGAGTTTGAGACCAGCCTGACCAACATGGAGAAGCCCCATCTCTACTAAAAAATACAAAAAATTAGCCGGGCATGGTGGTAGGCACCTGTAATCCCAGCTACTTGGGAGGCGGAGACAGGAGAATCACTTGAACCCAAGAGGCTGACGTTGCAGTGAGCCAAGATTGCACCGCTGTACTCCAGCCTGGGTGACAAGAGCGAAACTCAAAAAAAAAAAATGATGGTCACCACAGGCTCAGGGAGGGGGTTGGAGAGAGAGGAACTGTTGATCAAAGGGTACAGAGTGTGTGGTTTCTAGTAGGTCCTCTCATTCCCATGGACTTCACTGATTTGGGTGGCTCTTTTATCTCCTGTAATGGCCAGTACAGGAAACGCCCATTCCCTCAGTAACCAGCAGCACACTTTCGCATGTGGGAGAGCACCAAGAGAGATGACATCTCTGGGAGGGAAACAGAGTGGATAGTCCCCACTGGGGAAGGAACAAGGGACCGAGGAGTGAGAGGGATGTTCCTAATAACTAGCAGTGCGTCTCCATCCTAAGTCACTCATTCCTATACTTCAGTTTCCCAGCCTCCTTCCTCTGCTGACTCCCTGTGGGGAAGCTGCTCATTGTGTCCACCCTCAGTCCCCCAAGTTGCAGCTGTGAACTGGGACTTATGCGCAGCAGCCAAGAGACACCTCAGAATTCCCAAGTTTGGAACAGGAGGAAGGAGTCTGCCAAAGCAAGCGGTGAAACTAGATTTTGGAGAGGACTTCAAGTGTGGATGGTGAGAGGGTGGTCCTGGGGAAGGGAGACCTCTCTCTTCAGGGCAAGGCAGGCCTGGGGTCCCTGCAGCCTGGCCTGCATGCCTGCCCAGTGCCCCAGAGCCCTTCTGTTCAGGCCTGGCATCCCACAGAGGTGGCATTCTGCTCAGGAGCTTAGAGCACAGACGAAGAGGCAGGCATTGCCAGGAATTGATTTGCGGAAGCAGCGGGGGCTTTCTCTTCCTCCTTACTTCCTTGGTCTTTGATCTCCTGTCCTCCCTCCATAGTCCATTTTCCCCCTCCTTCCCTTGATTTATTCCTCTTTTTCTTTCTTTAGCTGAATCATAGCCACTCCCTAGAAGGCAAAGGCTGGGAGAGGCAGTTCTTTGTCCTCTTTTTCCCTTAACTAGGTGGGTCCTCGCTGTCCAGATCTCAGCCTCCTACCCAAGTCATGAGGCAGGATTTGGCCATGGATGGGGAAAGGAGACACACACACACACACACACACACACACACACACACACACATATCCAAGGCAAGAGCTGAAACAGGCAGAAAAATCAAGGAAAAGGGGAGAGGCAAAGAGAGAAAGCGTTCAGCCATCAGAAAGACAGTAAAAGACAAGAGTTGAGAAGAGTCAGAGACAACGAAAAAAGAGAATTCAGCAAATTAAAAATTTTACAACCATCCAGCAAGTCTGCAAAAATGATCTTCCCTGCGGTCTTTCATTTATCTCATTATCTGACTCCTAATGTGCTTTTTCCCCCCTTTCTTTTCTCGCCACACTTGGTGCAAAATCTTATTAGATTTTTTTTTTTTTTTCTGGCAGGGGCTTCATATAGTCTTTTTCATTACATTTCCTAATAAAAGCAATCACTAGGACGGCATGGCTGGAGGATTAAAAAGCCACCTCAGCAGCCTCCTGGCCAGCAGAACCATGACTCGCCAGAGCCTTGTTCACACTGCCAGGGGAGTGGGCCAGCCCCAGCGGGTCCCGGGTCAGGGAAACCCAGGCTGTGCTGTGGAATGTTCCAGGGCACAGATAGGTTCAAGATATTATGGGAGAAGAACTGAAGGAGGGGTCCCTTCCCAGAGCTATTTTAGAGCAGGAGTGACAGACACCTGTATTTAACCCAGCTGATCCTGGCTAATTTTTGTTCCTGAGGAAGGAATATTTTGGGTCTTTTTCTTTGGACTTTGGCCCACTCTGTCCCATAGCAAATTTTTATGAATAACATCAGTGATATAAAATATTTATCTCCCTTTTGTTTTGAGATAGGGTCTCTCATTCTGTCACCCAGGCTGGAGTGCAGTGGTGGGATCTTGGCTCACTGCAGCCTTAACCACCCTGGCTCAAGTGATCCTCCTGCCTCAGCCTCCCAAGTAGCTACAGGTGTGCACCAACACACCCAGCTAATTTTTCTATTTTTTTGTAGAGACAGAGTTTCACCGTGTTGCCCAGGCTGGTCTTGAACTACTGGGCCATGGCCTCCCAAAGTGCTGGGATTGCAGGCATGAGCCACTATCCCCAGCCAAATCTTTACCTTTTGAGTAGATTTTATTTTGTTAGGTAGACTTTTTTTTTTTTACTGTGTATAATACACATAACATTTACAATTTGCAATTTAACCATTTTAAGGGTACAGTTCAGTGGCATTGAGCACATTCACACAGCCATCACTGCCATCCATCTCCAGAACTTTTTCATCTTCCCAAAATGGAGATCTCTCCCCATTATACACTAACTCCCATTCCCTCTATTGCCAGCCCTTGGTAACCAATGTCTACTTTTTGTCTATGAATTTGTCTATGTCTATTTTAGGTACCTCATATAAGGAGAATCATAATATTTCTCGTTTTGTGTGTGCCCTGTTTCACTTAACATAATATCCTCCAGGTTCACCTGTGTTGTAGTATGTGTCAGAATGCCATTTCTTTCTTCTTCTTTTCTTCTCTATCTTTCTTTCTTTCTTTCTTTCTTTTTTTTTTGACACAGGATCTCGTTCTGTCACCCAGGCTGGAGTGCAGTGGTGTGATCACAGCTCACTGCAGCCTCGACCTCCTGGGCTCAAGCGATCCTCCTACCTCAGCCTCCCGAGTAGCTGGGACTACAGGCTACCACACCCGCTAATTTTTTCATTTTTTGTAGAGATGAGATTTTGCCGTGTTGCCTAGGCTGGGTCACCATTTTTTTTTTAAGGCCAAATAATATTTCATTGTATGAATATGTCACATTTTGTTTATTTCATCGTTTTTCAAAACAGAAACATTTTCTTTTCTTTTTTTTGAGACGGGGTCTCGCTCTGTCGCCCAGGCTGGAGTGCAGTGGCGCGATCTCAGCTCAGCGCAAGCTCCGCCTCCCGGGTTCACGCCATTCTCCTGTCTCAGCCTCCTCAGCAGCTGGGACTACAGGCACACGCCACCACGCCTGGCTAATTTTTGTATTTTTAGTACAGACGGGGTTTCACCGTGTTAGCCAGGATGGTCTCAATCTCCTGACCTTGTGATCCGCCCGCCTCGGCCTCCCAAAGTGCTGGGATTACAGGCGTGACCCACCGTGCCCGGCCAAAAACAGAAACATTTTCACATAAGGAAAGTGAAAAGCAGAGAAAACCCACCAGATTCCCATTAATACAATGGTTCTCTCATTTCTCTTTTGCTAATAATTATACCTCCATCCCATCCCCGAACAATCCTGTCCTCCCAGGGCTGCTCCAAACCTCTCCAAGAAAGCAGCTTGGCAGAGCATTTGGCATTTGGTAAGGGCCAAAAGTTACGGGGAAACAGGTCTGATAAATCAAGTTAAAGGAGAGCAAGGAAACCCCTATAAAGCAGCAAGACATTTTATTGCCTGGGTTATAAATTGGCCTGAAGGTATTTCACACATCAGCTCCAGGATGACTTGGGCCACACATTGAGTACCACTGGATTAACTACTCAACTTCATACGGGGGAGACTTTGAAGAGAACCATAGTCATTTGGAAATATGTGGTCTGGTATGTTTTAAAATAAAGGTACAATAATCAAGTTAAAAACAACTTTTCAATGACTTGTTGCTTTGAAACCACTTAGGCCACCCCTGGTTAACCGCTGCATCCCTTGGGTGCTCAGCCAGGGCTGCATGAGTTGGTCTCAATCAGCACTTCTCAAAGATCCGAGAGCATCGCAGATGTAGGGGAGGTGCAAGGGAAGCCATTATTGGAAAAGTGTGCACGTGGCTACCTGGAGTGCTGCAAGCTGCTCCCAGCAGGGTCTCCCCAGTCTCAACCACTGGTTCATTGGTTCGGTTTATGATGATATTACTTTGTATCTGCATGGTCCATTGGGATCCTTTTACGTTTCATTTCTTTCCAGTCTCCTCTAGGACCCGTTTTCTTTTTTTTTTTTAGACATAGTTTTGCTCTTGTCGCCTAGGCTGGAGTGCAATGGTGCCATCTCAGCTCACTGCAACCTCTGCATCCCAGGTTCAAGCAATTCTCCTGCCTCAACCACGGCCTCCCGGGTTCAAGTGATTCTCCTGTGTTAGCCTCCCGACTAGGTGGGATTACAGGTGCCTGCCACCATGCCTGGCTAATTTTTGTATTTTTAGTAGAGACGGGGTTTCACCATGTTGGCCAGGCTGGTCTTGAACTCCTGACCTCAGGTGATCCGCCCATCTCGGCCTCCCCCTAAAGTGTTGGGATTACAGGTGTGAGCCACCGCACTTGGCCTGTTTTTTTCTCTTTCTTTCTTTCTTTTTTTTTTTTTTGAGACAGAGTCTCACTCTGTTGCCCAGGCTGGAAGGCAATGTCACGATCTTGGCTCGCTGAAACCTCCACCCTCTGGGTTCAAGCAATTCTCCTGCTTCAGCCTCCCGAGTAGCTGGGATTACAGGCGCTCACCACCATGCCTCGCTAATTTTTTTGTATTTTTAGTAGAAACAGGGTTTCACCATGTTGGCCAGGCTGGTTTCAAACTCCTGACCTCAAGTGATCCACCCACCTCAGCCTCCCAAAGTGCTAGGATTACAGGAATGAGCCGTCATGCCCGACCTCCTTTGTTCTAAGTCTCTGCCAGCCTCATCTCTGTCCCAGACTCCAGAAGATAGCAGATCCTGCTCAGGAGCATAGAAGCCCAGAGGTCACAAAGACTTCCTCACCAAGCTCCTTTCCTTCCCTCTTCTTGTGGCAGAGCCCCTGAAATGAAATATGAATTTCGCCACCTTTCTGCATAAGCAGAAGTATTTATTCTCTTCTTTTCCCCTTTCCTTTTCTTTTTTTCTTTTGAGGTGGGGTCTCACTCTGTCGGTCTCACTTTCCCGCCTTCCACTGGTACCAGCCCTTTCTGGATCACACCCTTTCTCTTCTTAAGAAGCTGCCTCCTCCCTTCCATCAATGCTCCAGGGGGCTTTTATTTTTCTTTTATTTTCGGCTCCCTATCAATCAAGGGGAGGGGGACACTTTATCTGAACCTTTGGTGAGCAACAGCAGCAACCGGCAGCTGCCAGGGCAGTGGGAACTTCATTTTCAGCGCTGACGTTTATAAATGTGGCACAGAGTACCAGTAGGGACTGGAAAAAATCAAACAGCTTCTCCAGAGGTCCCTAGGGGCTGCTTTAGAATTTCTTCTCACTGGGGGCTCCTTCTCTTTCTTTGCAGGCATGGGTGGGGGTGGGGAATGTTATTTGCAACGTGGAATGAGCCACATTCTTTCCCTATCTTCACAAAAGAACTTAGCAGGACCCAAGACCCAGGGTGCTGAGGAGTGCGAACATCTGCCTCACTCTTGATTTGGAGAAAGGTTTGGGGTGAGGGGTGGGAATGCTGACTCTGTTGCTTTTTAGTGATCAGTTGCCTCATCTGCAAAATGGGAGTAAAAATGCCTGCCTGTCCACTTCACGAGGCTGCTGTGAAGATCAAATGAGATGTCTGTGAGTGAGTGCCCTGAAACCTGCGACAAGCTTAGGCAACCTGGCGGGTGGTTATGAAGGAGCAATGGTGAGGAGCAGAGTTATCCAGCACCCCAGGGCATCTGGAGAGCTTTGAACGGGCTCTGGGCAGACCTTCCCCGGACTATTCCAGGAACCTCCTCTTTCTCTATCCCTTTAAAAATTCTGGGCTAGGATCCCTGGTGGTCTGTTCCAAACACAACTGGAATCGTCCCAATGTCTTCTCTAAACCTTTCTTCCTCTGTCCTTCTAAACAGCAAGAAAATAAATGTGGGCAAGCCTGAGAGGTGAGAGACTGAGAGAGAGAAAGTGAGAGAAAGAATAAAGCTAAGATTCCACTTGGAAAAGGGGGCTGCCAAGGATGAGGTGGGAAGTGGGTCGCAGTTGGTTAATATAATACCGCGCTGCTGAGAGCTCTGCAGGGGTCCTTTCAAGGTTCTGTATGAGAACCTTGCTTAGTGAGATGAGACCCAGCATGGGCCCAGCAATCCCACTTCCTTTACATTCTCTAAATTTTCCAGATGCTGCACACAACCCTTCACCTGCTTTCTGGCGTTTCTGTGGATTTCACTCCTACCCAGGCTGTGGTTGGGAGCCAAGGGGCAGACAGGATGCTGGCAATGCCTAGAGCCCTTCCCTGACTCGCATCAGGACTGCAATGATCTGTACAGTATTTTCTCCTAAGTCATTTCCTATACGTAGCAAGATTCCACCCAGCTTCACTCCCCAGAGGCAACTAGTGTTGCCAGTTTCTTACTATCCTCATAGACAGAAAATTTATTTTCTATAAATATTTGTTCAACACTTTATTTATAGAGGTTAGGCACCACAAAAAGGAAGGATGAACAGAGGACCATGCCTGTCTGTGGATCTGAGCAATTCAGTGCTGGTGGGCAATTGCTGCCCATTCATTGAAACAAAAGCTGTAAGCAGGACCCACTCTTAGTGGAAAGCAATTAACCTTGGGAGGTCACAGCCTGCACCTGCACCTTATCAAAATATTCCTTCTTTAAAACAAATATAGTGATTCCCTAAAAAACATTCTAGACAGCAAGATGCTCTTCTAAGGTATTCCAATTCATGATGACGCTTTAGGGTTCCATGTATATTGGCCCCTCAGACAAAGCCTGGCTGGTCCACGCCTAAATCTAGCTCTAAGAGTGGCTATCAAGAGATTCTCACTCTTGCTCCCTAGGAGGTAGGTGGTCATCCTTGTTGACAATTGCCACTGTCTTTTTTCACCCTAGGCATCTGGGGAGGAAGGCATGAAGGAAATGAGAGACCAGTACACATGCAGAAGATACTGCAGAGCTTAGATATTCTAGGAGCTAGTACTCTGATTGCAACCAAGTTCAGAAGCTTGGCAATGACAGGCTGAGTTATTTGGACCGATTATCCCAGTAAAAAGAATGAAAAATGCTAGATAAAATATCAACAACATCTTAAAAGCCTTGAAGAGTTAATAAAATAGTAAGGAATTAACAGGCCAACATGGAAGAGAAAACTAGAGGATGCATAGAAATCACTTTTCCGTTAAAGAGCATCTGTCAATTCTTGCAAATCTGAACTTTCATTTTGATGGTCTGGTAGAGTAAGGGGGTTGGAAATCCAAGCCCAGTGCCTGCTCATTGTGGAGACTGTAGTAGAAGATTCTCCCCTCAATATGCTGAGACCCCCAAAGGGCTACACCATCAGGGTAAGGGTAAACCAAAGTAAGCTAGCCCCATTCACATTGCCTGGGTACTCCAGGGAACCTCAGGCTGGCAACTGGGTTTAGATGGTTGTGCCGCTGATGCCTGGCAGAAATAAACACAATGTGGTGTAAAAGAAGGCACTTTCATAAGAAAATAATTCCAATATATTTGTTCAAGCACAGCTACCAGAATACTGTTAAAGACAGCCAAGCCTATAAGAAAATAAGGCTCCATGAGTGAGACTCAGAGAAACAAGAGACAAAATAAAAAATTCGTGAGGACTTCACACATTAAAATGATCATACGTAGACTATAATACAATCATGCTTACTGCAGTCAAATAAATAAAAGACAAGCTTGAAAATATTTGCAGGGACAGGAAATTATGCAAGGTAACAAAATGGACTAAAGATATAGTAACAGCAATTAAAACTCAACTCATTAATTTAAAAACAGCTTAGATGCAGTGGAACAGAGAGTTAGCAAAGTAGAAGATAATAAGGAGAAATTACCTGGAACACAGCATAGAGATTAAAAAAAAAAGAGGGGAGAATAGAGAAGATAAGAGATACAGCATGCAGAGATCTATTGTATGTATTTTGCAGAAAGAGGGGGAAGAATGAATAGGGCAGAGGAACGTATTTGAAGAGATAATGGCTGAGTTTTCCAAAGCACATGAAAGACACCAGTCTACAGATTCAAGAGGTGTGAAATTCCAAACATGACAGTCCTGTCTAAACCAGCAGCCAGGTGAGAGAGGAGGGAGGGGTACAGCTGAGCCTTCCCAGCTCTAGCATGCTTAAACTTCCCATAAAAACCCCAGTGAGAAGAAAAAGCTCTAGGCTTCTCAACAAGAAGCAAAGCCTTCTGGCTTTGGCACCAAAGATTCCCTGGCTCTTCTAGGCCTTTCTCCCTTTTCCACTGCCTCAAGGCCTCTTCCCTAGCTAGGTCCTGGTTTCCTATTATCCATCCATGAAGGTCTTCCCTTATTTTTATTTAGTTATGTTCTTACTCTCTCTCTCTCTTTCCTTCTTTCTTCTCCTTCTTCTCCTCCTTCTCCTCCTTCTCTTTCTCCTTCTTCTTCTTCTTCTTCTTCTTCTTCTTCTTCTTCTTCTTCCTTTTTTTAGAGACAAGGTCTTGCTATGTTTCCCAGGCTGGACTCAAACTCCTGGGCTTAAGTGATCCTCCAATCTCGGCCTCCAGAGTAGCTGGGACTACTGATGCATGCCACAATACCACGCTAGGCTTTACCTTAAACCTCTCTTTCTCTCTTGACTTCAAAGGAAGGAAGGGGACCCAAGGCAGAAACAGAAAAAAGAACAGAATAAGAAACAGTGAGAAAAAAGAGTAAGAAAGATGTGTCTGCAGGCATCGTGGCCGAGAGATGGGCCAGACTGGCTTAGGGGCCAGTCTGGAGGCAACAAGCAGAAGGTGGGCACTGAAGAAGGCTTAGAAGTTGTTATCCAGAATTCTGCTTTCCTTTCCTCCTTTTTCTCAGGCTTCCCTTGGATTCTCTGCCTCCATGACCCTATGGCTGGCGGGATAGTGTGGGGAAGACCTGAGTTTGCATATCTGTCTATGTTCCCTAATAAACAGCGAAATCAGCAGGTCTGGCTGCAGAGCTAGGAGGGGAAGACCACATCTACCCAGAAAGGAGACTACTAGAGGGCCCAATGCTGGAGTTAATCTTCCTGCATGCTGCTGAATTTTTGTTGCCCTGTTACCTATCAAGCCAATCCAGCTCATGCAAAAGCTGTTTACTTTTCCTGCTCCCAATTTCCACTCTTTCCCCAACTCCCCACTTTAGGGTATAGTGATATCCAGGCTGTGAGGCACAAGAAAGACATGGAAATGCATCTCTGCAGAGAAGGGAGGGAAAGCTGCCAACAGGGGACACATACCTCGTCTCCATCCCAGACACACCCTCACCTCCACAGAGAAACAGGACCACTTCTGAGCACTCTGATTTCTCATTTTTCCCACTGCCTGCTGAGCTTTAATGGGGCCTTCTCCAAAAGCCTAGGGGTAGAAATATACACACTCGGATGTACATGTGTATGAAGACACCACTTAATGAATACCTGGGGATATTTTGGGGCACCACAGTCAGATAAGTGTGCAAATATGGACATGTCTTTATGTAGGATTGACAGAGAAAGACCTGGAAATAAGGCTAAGAAGATTCCATTGTTTACCTGCTGGGAAGTTTCGCCTGGAGACAGATGAAAGCCACTCCACCCTCCTTTTCCTTTTGTCTCAGTGCATTTCCTTTTGTCCCAGTGAGGTCTGAGGGTGCTCATTCACGAGTTTATCCTGCCTGCCCCTCACTTCCAGGCTAAATCATGACTTTGTATTTTCTCGAGGTTATGGTCTTAGTTCCCAAGACTTTTCTTATTTTCTGCCCTCCCCTGGAGTCTGCCTAGCAACTGTACTCTTGTATCTTGAGGGAGAAGCATTGACTCTAATATATGTCATTTAACAAATACAAAGGAAGCAGAAACCAGGGTCTCTGGGTGTTCAATCCCCTCCACCTCCTGGTCTGAAGGTGGGTGCTGTCCTGGGCACTCACAGAGGGCGCTGTCAGCCTTTGATAAACCTTGCTGGGCCAGCCCAGAACAGGCATCTCGCCCTCCCTGAACACCCAATAGCAGACAGCTAGAGAGCTTTGTGACTCGAGGGCACCTATGAGAGCCAGAGAAACTCACTACCTATCAGTAAACAGGAGGGGGTGCCTTCTTATTCCCAAATGTCTCCTACACACCATGGAATACTATGCAGCCGTCAGGGAGAAGGTGCCCACTCGGTATGACTGATGTGGATTGCCAAGATAAAGAAAATGAAAACACCAGGGTGTTCTTGTACCCTACTTTTGAGATGAATAAAAGAGAATATACTGTATATGTTTGTCTACCCATGAACATCTCTGGAAGGACACAAAAGAAAATAGCAACAGCGTTGCTTGCATCTGATGAGGAGAACTAAGCAGCTGAGGATAGGGTGGAAACAGACGTCCTTTCCACAGTGGTCTCTTTCGTACACTATGTTGTTCTATATGTATGTATTACCTACAAAAAAATGACAATGAAAAGAAGGCTTTTTCTCCTTAAAGAGCTTGGGGGAAGGCAGGCATGCAAACAATTACAATGCAATATGCTCAGTGTTATTGAGATGCGCAGGGTGGGAAGGGAGTATAGGAGAGAGACTGTCTAAGGGGGCTTGGGGGTGTCGGGGAATTTGGAAGAATCACACCGAATGCTAAAACCTCTCTAGGCTCAGCGTTGCCCGGGCATAAAGGACACAGTGAGAAGGGACCTGAGACGAAGCTGCAAGAGCAGGTAGAGGCCAGAGTGTGAACCGCCTTGTGTGCCAAGCTAAAGAATTTAGATTTTATCCTAATAGGAAATAGGCAGCTATTAAATAATTTTCAGCAGGGAGTGACCAGTTCAGATTTGCTGTTTAGAGAGATGACTCTGGCAGGGATGCGGAGGATAGATTAAGAGGGGCTAGGATGGGGCGGGGAGAAATGTTTTGAGGTTAATGCAATAATTTAGGTAAGAGATGGTGGGTAGGTGACCCCGGGGGCAAAGGGAGGGAGGATGGCAGAGAAGAGATTAAACCTGAGACTCGAACTGGGCCAGCGATGTGTATAGAGACCACGCACAAAGCCTGCTCTGCCGCTCTCTGTTTTCTCACGCTGGCATCCTCTGCACATTTGGATGCCCCAGATGCCCCAGCAGCTGGCAGGATGGGTCCAGGGAGCCCTTCCTGGTCTGCCTGCCTGCCTCCTTGCCCCAGGCTCCTTGGCAAAGCAGAGCAGGGAAAAGAGAACAGAAGCGTTTCCCTCGCCATCCAACTCCTAGGTCTCTCATTTATTCCTTGCTCTCTCCGGATTCGGGTCCTCTCATTATTTCTGATCTGTACAGCTTGCCGCTTCCCTGGCTCAGCTCTCCCACCCCCGTCTGCAAAGTGTCAATCAAGCCATCAGATGAGCAGCTCAGCCTCATATCCTCAGCGTCTCTGCCCCAGGACACGAGAAGCGATTGCTGACACACACAAGCAGCAAGGTGTAAGGCTGCTGGCTCTCCCTTTAATAGTCTTCCGATCCAGAATGGGTGTTAAAATGGAATTTGAGTGGATAGCGTCTCTCTGCCTGTCCCTGTCAGGACAGCCGCAAGGACGGGCAACCCTGAGAGAAGGGGAAGCCTTCAGAAGTCGATTCGCTTTTCATTTCAAGGTTGGGCCATGGCCAGTGTCTGCTTTCGGAGGAGCTGTTTGAAATTGTTAATGAGAAGCAGAATGCTTGAGTCCAGGAATCCAGGGCAGCCTTGTGAAGTAGGGATGGGGAAATGGAATTGTCATTTTATCTCTGAAGGGATATTGTATTAAACAAAGTGGGGGTGGGGGTATGGGATACAGAGACGCTTTGTAGCTTCCCTGGAGGACTGAACAATAAGAAATATCGAGGGCAGCAGGAAGAACTGAGATTAGAACAAAGAGTGAAATTCCCCAGGCCCTGGAACCAGGGGCCAGGGAGATTTGAAGCATCTGCTTCCCCGGGGGCTTGCTCCTTCTTTTACAAATTGTGAATGGATGTGTGGTTTTTATAGAATGTGGCAACTAATGAGCATGAAGCTCAATTACTCCACCAAGTTCTCTTTCGATTTTTGATCGCACGTACACAGAACACTTGGTTGCAGTGTGTGTGTGTGTGTCTGTTTGTGTTCTGCTTGCCTTTCTCAGGGTTATCTCATACACACATTTCTGCATAGCAGAGTCCAGCTTGTTATTTGGAATAGCTACGTAGTATTCCATTGTGCCAGCGAGCCAGAGCTTGTTCAGCCATTCCTTGTGGTTGAGTTATTTCCCATTTTTTTATATTGTAAAAGCACAGATATCAATATCTTCATACCTTTGTCTCCCCTTGGGATATGGTTCCCCAGGTTGAATTTCTAGGTCAGAAGGTTTGAGCTGTTTTACCCGGATTGCTGTGTATTGCCTCAGCCACCTCCAGGAGATCCTGACAACCCAAATTGCCACCCTCCTCTATCTCTGTCCCCACAGCACTGACAACATAAGAGATTGTCATTTTTATTTATTTTTGCTAATTTAATAGGCACATAATAGTACCTTGAAGTTATTTAATTCCCATTTCTTTCATTGCTAGTGAGACTGGGCACACTTCCATGTGAGGATTTATTGTCTGCTTTTCCTTGTACGTAAACTGTTCATCTCCTCTGACATCTTATCAAGAGAAATCTGGGGGCTGATCTTATATATTTATATCAAGCCTTTACATACTCAGATAGTACATTTTTCTCGGTTATGTCAGCCATTTTTTATTCTGGGGAGCTGTCCAGTTGTGATGTGGATGCTGGCCTGTTCCGGGGGGTGGGAGTGGCATATGGAGTTGTGAGGATTTCTGGACTCTTGAAATATACATACATATATATATATATATATATATATATATATATATATATATATTCTGGGGTTTTTTTTTTTTAGAAGAAAAAAAAGCCAAGCATGGTAGGTTTTGCTTGTAACCTAGCACTTTTTTTTTTTTTTTTTTTTTTTTTAGGCAGGCTTGCTCTGTCGCCCAGGCTGGAGTACAGTGGCACAATCTCGGTTCACTGCAACCTCCGCCTCCCGGGTTCAAGGGATTGTCTTGCCTCAGCCACCTGAGTAGGTGGGATTACAGGCCTGCACTACCACACCCAGCCAATTTTTGTATTTTTAAGTAGAGACAGGGTTTCGCCATGTTGGCCAGGATGGTCTTGAACTCCTTGCCTCTAAAGATCCTCCCACCTCGACCTCCCAAAGTGATAAGATAACAGGCGTGAGCCATCGCACCCAGCCAGTCCCAGCACTTTGAGAGGCCTACGTGGGCAGATTGCTTGAGCCCAGGAGTTTGAGACCAGCCTGGGCAGCATGGCAAAACTCTTGTCTCTACAAAAAATAAGCTGGGCGTGGTAGTGCACTCCTGTGGTCCCAGCTACTCAGGGGGCTGAGGTGGGAGGATCAGCAGAGCCTGGGAATTTGAGACTGCAGTGAGCTATGATCACACCACTGCACTCCAGCCTGGGTGACAGACTGAAATCCTGTAACAGGAAAAAAAAAAAAAAGATAAAGAAAAATCCAGTCCGATGGCACCTCCTCTCTGGGCTCCTGTTTTCCTAAGAACAAAAGGGCTAGGCTGAGAGGACAGCCAGTTGCCAAGATCAGTCTGGGGGATTACTTGTGGAATGAGAAGCATTGCTGGCGGCCTTGGCAGGCCACTGTAAGGAGGCAGGGCAGCTCCCTGTAGTCATGTGGGTTTCCTGGACCATTATTTTCTCCCACTCATTGTGGGAGAAATAGCAAAATATTGAAATCGGAATCATCATTACAAGTTCTGACTCATCCTCAGTAAAGCACAGTGGTTAAAGGAACGGATTCTGGGGCAGACAGACCTAGGTTCACAGTTCAGTGTCTTTCTTTTCTTTCTTTCTTTTTTTTTTTTTTTTTTCCATAGAGCTGGAATCTTGCTCCATTGCCCAGGCTGGAGTACAATGGTGTGATTATAGCTCACTGCAGCCTCAAACTCCTGGGCTCAAGTGACCCTCCTGCCTCAGCCTCCCAAGTAAGTAAGACTACAGGCATGCACCACCATCCCTGGCTAATTTTTAACATTTTTTGTAGAGATGCGGTCTTGCTATGTTGCCCAGACTGGTCTCAAACTTCTGGCCTCAAGTGATTCTCCCGCCTCGGCCTCTCAAAGTGTTGGGATTACAGACGTGAGCCACTGTGCCCAGCCTCAGTGTCTTTGTATACCAGGGGTGTTGCTTTGGGTAAGATAGAATCTCTCTAAGCCTTCACGTCTTCAGCCATTAAGTAATATTTTGGTTATGGCTGTGTAAAAAACCTCCCCAAAATGTTGTGGCTGAAAACAACAACCATTTTATTCTGTTTCATGGTTTTGTGGATCAGGAATGAAGCTTGACTGGGTGATTCTTCTGCACTATGCAGCATCAATTGGGTCACTTGGTACTATTTGGCTGGTGCTAGGCTGGGCTGGAGGAACCAAGATGACTTCACTTTTCTTTGAGACAAGGTCTTGCTATGTTGCACAGGTTTGTCTGGAACTCCTGGCCTCAAGCGATCCTTCCTGACTCAGCCTCCCAAACCAAGATAACTTCATTCTTATATAGAGTTCTCCACCTGGTCCCAGGTCCTCTCCATGTGAACTCTCCCATAGGGTGCCTGCACTTCTAACATGGTGGCTCAGGGCTCAGAGAGTAAGGGCTCCTTGGCCAGGTGCGGTGGCTCATGCCTGTAACCCCAGCACTTTGGGAGGCCGAGGTGGTCGGATCATGAGGTCAGGAGTTCGAGACCAGCCTGGCCAATATGGTGAAACCCCGTCTCTACTAAAAATATGAAAAATTAGCTGGGTGTAGTGGCGCTCGCCTGTAGGCCCAGCTACTCGGGAAGCTGAGGCAGAAGAATCGCTTGAACCCACGAGTCAGAGGTTGCAGTGAGCCAAGATAGTGCCACTGCTCTCCTGCCTGGATGACAAAACGAGACTCCCTCTCAAAAAAAAAAAAAAAGTAAGGGCTCCAACATAAGAAGAGGAAGCTGCCAGTCTCTTTAGGGCTGTGCCAGAAAGTGTCATGGTATCACTTTTGCCATATTTTATGGGTCAAGCAGTCACAGAGTCTGTGATAGAAGGAGTGAAAAAGAATTTGGGGCCATCCTTAATCTGCCAAAAGTAGGCATAAAAATACTCCTAAGCCAGGTGCAGTGTCTCACACCTGTAATCCAAGCTTTTGGGAGGATGAGGTGGGAGGATTGTATGAGTCCAGGAGTTCGAGACCAGCCTGAGCAACACAGTGAGCCCTCGTCTCTACAAAAAATAAACAAAATTAGCTGAGCATGGTGGCATGCGTTTGTAGTTTCAGCTACTCGGGCGGCTGAGGTAGGAGGACCCCTTGAGCCCAGGAAGTGGAGGCTACAGTGAGCCGAGTTCGTGCCACTGCACTCCAGCCTGCGTGACAGTGAGATCCCAGAGATCCTCTCAAAAACCAAAACTTCAAAAACAAAAACCCGCAGAAACTCCTAGGGCTATGAGGAGTAAATGAGATAACTCATGCAGAGGCAAATTTACCATGAAGCAAATGAAACTTCAACCATGGGGGTCCTTAATTGAACAGTTTCTTCCACATCCGGGCATCTAATTTTGTATTAATAATTCTCCTTTTTTCTTTTTCTCAAAGAGTACCCTCGAACTGTATGACAATCAAGCCCTACCCAAATGCCAGTATCAGTACTTACTAAGCATACTGCCTGGGACAGAGAGATGCTCAACACGGGGCCCCTCCAGGCACTGGGCTGGCCTGGTCCCCTCTCTGTGGCTGAGGAGAGGGCTCCTCCTCTCACTCTGCCCTTTCTGTCTTTTCAGGATCATTTCTTCTTTCTTCAAAATGAAAGTAAAACATGCTGGGAATAATTTCATAATTACAAAACTGCCCTCCCAATTGGCCCCTGCCTCTACCCCCTGACCTCACCACCCACCAGGGAGGTGGGTCTTATTCTGGGCATCGTGCCAAGTTCTTAGCGGGGCCCTCTAGAATCTCTAAAGCAAATCAGGCTGAAGAGGGGAAAACCAGCAGGGGGAGGCAGCATTCCCGGTGCCCAGTATGGTCTAGGAGGCATTGAAATTCCAGGGCCGAAGTCCTGAGACAAAGATCATAATGAGACAGGAAGGTGGCAAAGGAAGGAGCCCATTTGCATGACAATAATTGAGCCAAGAATAGAAAGCCACAGGGATGCAAGGGTGAGGCTGGCGGCTGAGCTGGGCTAAACCTCACAAATCAGACTACCCAGCTCTGCTCCGCAGGGGAAGGGAGACTGAGCCCTGGGCCAGGCTTGGCAGAGAGGGAAGCGGGAGGACACGACCCCAGGGCATTGTGGGAACACTGGCCAGGCTGGACTTTGCCTTCCTCCTCGTCCTTTAGCCGGGAGCCTGTCTTTGCTTGCCTTTGCCTTTGAGGCTCTGTGGCTGTGGGGCTGAGTGGCATCATGGCGGCTCAGAAAGATCTCTGGGACGCCATTGTGATTGGGGCGGGGATCCAGGGCTGCTTCACTGCATACCACCTGGCCAAACACAGGAAGAGGATCCTCCTGCTGGAGCAGGTACTGTGTCCCTTCTGCACCCCCAGCTGTAAGGACTGTCCTACCCTCCTCCCCTGCAGAAGGGTTTTCAGAGCCAGCAGGCTACAGGGCAAGGCCAAAGGGACTGAATCATCAAAAATTCTGTGTAATTTGTATCTTAGCTGCCTAGTGTGTTTCATGGCAATTCAAAGAAGTTTCACATCCCTCATACCCACATTGGGTTTCTAGGCACATTTCCTCTTTCTACTGCTTCCCAGTTCCTGCCCTTGACCAAGCGTCCTAGGCCCTGTTCTCTTCCTTCTCACTACTCTTTCCCTTCTGTGCCCAAATGGTTGATCCCCACCCCAGAAAAATAATTGGTTCTGCTCTAGGTAACCTAAAGTAAAGATAATTTTGCCTAGAGGCAAAGGTTGATTTATCAGCCTAAGAGGTAGGATTCTGTCTTGCATATTCCTGGCCTCTCACACCAGAACCCAGCAGAAGCTTCTGTTTTTTTTTTTTATTTTTTATTTTTTGCCACCTCCAGATAATAGCAGCCTCCTTGTTTGACACATGATAAGTGAGACTGAGGCCTTATTTTTCCTGCTACGCAGTGCAGTCTGCAGTGACCACTGCATATGTGGGTGGGCCCTGTGTGTCTGCAGGGTCCTTCGAGGACAGGGCCACCCAGCTATCCACTGCAGTGGACTCTCCCTTTCCATTCTGCCTGCAGCTACCCAGGCTGGCTATGGTTTGCTCTTCTTGGTAATGAGCCAGAGTAGTTAGAAACCTTCTTCATTTCTCTATCAGTTTTCTCAAAGCCCAAGGGATTCCTGGTTCATCCTCTCAGGAAACTCATTGTTGCTGAATCCTGAGGTGGTTCTCTTACCCTGAGTGATCTGTAGCCACAGAGAAATAAAGTCAGCATCAGTTTCCTTGTTCATAAAATGAAGGGGCTGGAGTAGTTGAACTGGAAGGTTTTTTCTAATTTTGCTTCTTTGTGAATCTAAGTGAGGTGAGATTGCAGCAGGATGGTTGAAGACTAGCTAACAAAAGAACTTCTGGATGTGAACAACGTTAGCAAAAAGGAAGCCTAAGTTAGTGCTATTGAAGAACTTCTATCTTGATTGCCAAGTCAGTAAATTGGTCATAAAGAGAGAATTTGGAAAGATTGTGTGAATTTTTTTTTGTGGGGGGACAGGATCTCACTCTATTGCACGGGCTGGAGTGCAGTGGTACTATCATAGTTCACTACAGCCTCAAACTCCTGGGCTCAAACAGTCCTCCTACCTCAGCCTTCCAAGTAGCTGGGACTACAAGTGCCACCACACCTGATAGTTTTTAAATTTTTGAGAAGACTGGGTCTTGCTATATTGCCTAAGCTGGTCTTGAATTCCTGGGCTCAAATTATCTTCCTGTGCATAATCCTTCCCCAGATTGTGTGGAAATATTTGAAGGATAAATGGCTCCTGGTTGACAGCACATGCTGATATGGCTCTTAACAGGGGATGCAGTGTGAGGGGTAATGGCTTCCATCATCTCTCTTGTTTTCCACTTCCAGTTCTTTCTACCACACTCCCGAGGAAGCTCCCATGGACAAAGCCGGATAATCCGAAAGGCGTACCTGGAAGACTTTTACACCCGGATGATGCATGAGTGCTATCAGATATGGGCCCAGCTGGAGCACGAGGCTGGAACCCAATTGCACAGGTGGGCTGTGGGAGGAATTCCTTGAATCGTGGGGCTCTGCACCTGCAGGTACTTTTAGTGTGTGAAGTGGCAGCGCCATGGAACATTTGGAATGCAATGGGAGGGACACAAGGCCTCAAGAAGTACCAGATGCATGGAAGAGTTCTGCTGTCATGGTGGTCACCCCACAGGTCCAGCTGACTCTGGCCAGGCTCTGCGTTGCAGGACTGGGTTCAGACCATGTGTCCAAGGCTAGCAGAAGCAGTACTGGAAAGCCTGCTGGCAAGGCACCGTGTGGCAGATGCCCAGAGTGGACAGGAGTCTGCTGGAGTGTGTATTTTCAACTCTGTGGAGGCCTCTGCAACTCTTTTAGGGCAGGGGTTGAGATAGAGGAGGAGGCTGCTTTCAGGAGGATTCTTTTTTTTTTTTTTTTTTTTTTTTTTTTGACAGAGTCTCGCTTTTTTGTCAGGCTGGAGTGTAGTGGCGCCATCTTGGCTCACTGCAACCTCCACCTCCCGGGTTCAAGTGATTCTTCTGCTTCAGCCTCCCGGGCAGCTGGGACTACAGGTGCGCACCACCACACCCAGCTAATTTTTGTATTTTTAGTAGAGACAGGGTTTCACCATGTTGGCCAGGATGGTCTTGATCTCTCGACCTCATGATCTGCCCTTCTCGGCCCCCCTAAGTACTGGGATTACAGGTGTGAGCCACCGTGCCTGGCCCAGGATTCTTTATAGTCAAATCAACATCCTAACTTTTCCTGAGGGGTCCTCACCCCCTTTAGCAGCCCTATAAACCCATTTTGTTCTCTCTGAGTACCTTTTCCTGTAGGAACAAAATGGGGACGTTCCCCAGGCTGGATTGCTTGCCAGGGAGTGAGCCTCCACGTCTTTCTCTGCTGCCTTCATGGCTCTCTCCAACCCTTGACCTTTCAAACACTCATGGGAAAGAAAGCCAATAATCTGTGATGCAATGGGAACTTTAACCATCCCACCTCCCTCCCACCTCCTCTGTGACTCTTAACTGAACTTCCTACAAACCCTGGCTCTACCTGATAGGGTGGTGGTTATTTTAATGGCCAGGAACCAAGAGGTTAGTGTTCTGTTGCAAAAATACCATTAACTTAAGAACAAAGTGAAATCCATTATGCAAATCAGCCAGGGCAGCTAATTACAGATTTATTCAGAGGCAGCTAATGCACCCAGCACCCAAATAAAGGAGCATGTCTTGCTGGTGGGTGGCCCGGCAGAGGGACCCCTCTCTGTCAGTTGTCTGTGAATACTGCTGAGCATCTTTTGCTAAAAGAATCGCCCTGGGCCTCAGAGGGCACACTTCCTCCTAGCACACAATGAGGCAACTAAGAGACGTTAGAGTGTCTGGAATCTTTCCGAGGGAGACGATTCTGGAGTGAGACAGGCTTAGGTTTGACATTGTGCTCTATTCCACACCAGTTGTGTGATCTTGGAAAAGTTTCTTGACTTCTCTGTGCCTCACTTTTTACGATAGGGCTCTGAGAGGATTAAATGAGACTTTTGTGAAATACTTGGCCCAATGTCTAGCACCTTTCAATAAGGGGCAGTCCCTTATTGACCCATTCTGGGTCAGCTGCATTCTGTTCCATTGAGCAACAGTGGGAGGAAAGGCAGGAGGAGACAGATGGGTGCAACAACCACAGATACCAAGGGGAGTGGCAGCAGGAAAGAGGGAGAGGGATCCTTGGGTAGGAGACTCTCAGAAGCGCACAATCCTCCTCTTTGCCAGGAGGACAGGAATTTGGACGGGCTTTGGAACTGGACCTGGCTCTAAATCTCAGCTCTGACACGCTCAGCTGTGTGGTTTGGAACGAGCTGTTGAACCTCTGGTGAGACTCAGCTTTTTTCATCTGTGAAGTAGGGATACTAATACCTGTGTCATGGTGCTGGGGTGAGGATAAGTAGGTAATGGGCTTAGAACAGCACCTGGAAAACCATCTTCCTCCTCCTCCTCACCATATATGTAGTGTTTACAATAAGAAACTAGGCTGGGCATGGTGGCTCACGCCTGTAATCCCAGCACTTTGGGAGGCTGAGGCAGGTGGATCACCTGAAGTCAGGAGTTAAAAACCAGCCTGGCCAACATGGTGAAACCCCGCCTCTACTAAAAATACAAAAAGTAGCCAGGCATGGTGGTGGACACCTGTAATCACAGCTATTAGGGAGGCTGATGAGGCAGAAGAATCGCTTGAACCTGGGAGGCAGAGGTTGCAGTGAGCCGAGATCACGCCACTGCACTGCACTCCAGCCTGGGTGACAGAGTGAGACTCCGTCTCAAAGAAAAAAAAAGAAAAGAAAAGAAAAGAAAAAACTAAGAGTTGCCTAAGTACCTGACACCTATAACTCATTCCATTCTCCTCACAATCTTATGAGAGGGTTGCTGCCGGGTAGTCAGGGTCTTATCCCATTAATGCAAATCACAGAATTACTATACTCTTAAGTCTAGAATAGAGGTTGGCCAGCTTTATCTATAAATGGCCACGTAGTAAGTATCTTAGCCTTTGCAGGCAACGTGGTCTCTGTTACAATTATTCAACTCTGCCATTGTAGTGTGAAAGCAAGATGTAAATAAATGAGCCTGGATGTATTCTAATACAACTTTATTTATAGACACTGAAATTTGAACTTCATATAATTTTCATGTGTCACTCAACATTATTCTTCTTTGGATTAAAAAAAATCAACAATTAAAAAATTTAAAAACCATCTTGGCTCATGGACCAGACCAAAACAAGCAGAAGGCCAGATTTGGTCCCTGAGTGGTAGCTTGCTGGCCCTGGGTGTGGAAGATACCTCAAACTGGTTAACTTGTCCATTTCTGTCTCCAAATAAGTTCATGCCTAAATCATCCCAGGTCAAAAGACTGCTACTATGCATTTAAAGACAGGGAAATATCACAGCCCTTCTTAAAAGACCATTCTGATGTCTCATAGCCCCAGTTACGAAAAATGAAAAGTAATGTGAATATGCTTTAAAAACCTCTAGAGTGCTAAGTATTCTTACTACTATTGTTATTATTCTATTATTATAAGTCCTTTCTTATGGCTAACCTAATGTACTCAGGCACACCAATTTATTTGGTTCTTTTACTTAGCAGGGACACAGAGCAGATACTTCCCATTCTCAGAATGGTATCTGAATACAGCTCTACTACCTTTGGGCTAAAAGCCATTCTAATTCCTTTAGCTTTTACTGATTCTTATTTTCTAAATGATTCATCATCTGTGTGGTTCTTACTTTTCCCCAGGTTTTTCTAGAAGAACCAGCACAATACCATAATACTACTGATAGATATGAGCATACTTAATGCTATTTGATGATGATTAAAAAAAAACCTTTAGGAGTTGGCAGTTCAGGTGGTTGTCCAGTGCTTTTCATTCTGTTTAGCTGCTTCCTGTGACAGCGGCATACTAAACATGGGTGGGTTTGGGACATTTGCATATATTCTGGGAACAGACAATGACACATGTGTCAGATCACAAGGTCTGAATCTTTTGTGATGTGTACAGCCAGGATGCTGATTCCAACAGCAAAACCCAGCTCCCTGGCCCATCTCTTTCCTGCCCCGCCTTCTCCCTTTGAGTCCTACTGTCTAGCTCCTGACCTGGGCTGCCCCTGCTTAGCTGACAGTATCAGACAAGATCACAGCCGTAGGCAGTACAGCTGCTGGCAGAACCTGGTGGCCCCCTCTGCAGCTGCTGTTTCTTGTGTCTGCGAAGTGTCTGGCTTGTCAGCCACATCCCCTCCCTGGAGCAGTCTTTGTTAACCAATTCCACCTCGGCCCACTGAACGGAAGATGAAATGCCTAGAGCTCCTCCAAAACCAACAAAGGCAGCAGCCATTACCAAGTCCCCATTCGAATCCCTTCCCCAAGGTGACTCAGAGCTGGCTTGCTGGGCATTTTTAACCCACAGAGGGGAGAGCTGAAGCTTGGGATGGGAGATGGCAGGTGCAGGGAGAGCCGTCTCCTCTCCCAATTCCTCCCCACTCCATCCTACACCCTGTCCTGCTACAGTAACTGGTGGAAATCCCTGATCACCAACTCCCTACATCATATCTGAGGCATTAGTCGGGCTATAGCAGAGTCAACAAGGCCCTCGGGAGGAATCTTCAATTACCTCTTCCTAGTGCTGGATCAAGCTAGGGTCAGGAGGAAGGAATAGTTCATACTAAATGCTCTTGACTCAGCTGATGGGCATTCTGGGAGGTGGGAGCTGCACTCTTTTCTAGGGTTCCCTGGCAACCCATGTGCTGGCTTTCAGTCCTTCTTTGTAGCTAGTCCTGACCATTCATTTCCCGGTCATTTTTTATCCTGCTGATGCCCTTGTCTCCTCTCACCCTTCTCCTTCCCAAACTTACAGCCCAGGTCTAAGCAGAAAAAAAGAAGACAGGGAGGCCACGAACACAGGGGTGAGAAATTGATGCAGAATGAGCAGTCTATTTGTTGGTATCTAGAAAAAGCCATTAAGAAAATAAGCACTTAAATGATTTTCAATCTGCCCATGGAAGCCATCCATCTTCATACTGGGAGGAAAAGGCCCATTCTCCAATCCCGGTTTTGACTGACTGGTTTCCAATTCTCTAAGCATTTCCCATAGGAGCCTCTCACCTATCTCCCATAATCACAGGCCTTTGCATTTCCAGGCAGTGTTTTACATTTATTTCCGATTTGCTCATAATGGTCAAAAATCTCTCTCCAATCCAAGGCATTTCTCCAGCAGCGCACGGTTTCCCTCAGGCCAAATAGCTCAGCTGTGATCCACGGAAAATGAGAATTTCCCAAACACATCTTCGGACTAGGGGAGGGTCTGGCATCACACATTCAGATGGAAAATTTCCCACTGTTATATCAATATCTGGGCTAAGAAAGAAATGCCACAGGGGCAGAGAGCTGGAGCAAAATGATTACAATCGGCACAATTACATTCACCGGCAGAATCAGCTCGCTGATTACTCCCAGGGATGGGGAGCTCCCGCTTCATCCACCACAGGATGGCTTGGGAATTAGAACATCACTCAGCATTTCATAATTCAACAGATATGCCCGTTGTCTTGGCATGAGTTCATTTTTCCCACATAGTACATCCCTGTAAGAGGAGTCATTTCAAGGAAAGAAGGAAAGAAGGAGGAAAGAAAGGAGGAAGAAACAATGGAAAAAGGGAAAGGAAATCTCAGAGTATATGAGAGGCCAAAGCTGGTATATTGCAGGCAGAGATTAGAATATGCTGCTCTGGAATTTCCAGGTCAGGGATTTCACATTACATCTGCTTAGGTGTGGTTTAAGCCAGGTCTGTCCCAGAATCCCTCCCAGCCAGGACCCCATTGGGTAAAAAGGACTCAAGGAAATACACCTGAGTGACTTCATACTTATTTGTTGAGTAAGAAGTTTACTAGGGCCGGGCACAGTGGCTCATCTTATAATCCTAGCACTTTGGGAGATCAAGACAGAAGGATCGCTTGAGGCCGGGAGTTTGAGATAGGCCTGGGCAACATACTGTGTGACTCTTGTGTCTACAAAACACAAAAAATTCGCCAAGTGTGGTGGCTCACGCCTGTAGTCTGTAGTCCCAAATATTTGGGAGGCCAAGGCAGGAGGATTGCTTGAGGCCAGGAGTTTGAGATAGGCCTCTGCAACACAGCGAGACCCCTATTTCTATACACACAAAAAATTAGCCAAGTGTGGTGGCATGTGCCTGTAGCCCTAGAAACTTGGAGGGCTGAGGCAGGAGGAGCTCGCTTGCGGCTGCAGTGAGCTGTGAACGTGCCACTGCACCCCAGCCTGGGTGATAGAGTGAGACCCCATCTCCATTAAAAAAAAAAAAGAAAAAGAAAAAAAAGTTTGGCCAGGTGCAGTGGCCCCTGCCTGTAATCTCAGCACTTTGTGAGGCTGAGGTGGGCAGATCATGAGGTCAGGAGTTCGAAACCAGCCTGGCCAACAAGGCTCAATACAAAAATGAGCCGGGTGTGGTGGTGAGCGCCTGTAATCTCAGCTACTCCAGAGGCTGAGGCAGGAGAATTGCTTACACCCGGGGGCAGAGGTTGCAGTGACCTGAGATCGCACCACTGCACTCCAGCCTGGATGACAGAGCAAGACTCTGTCTTGGGAAAAAAAAAAAGTTTACTAGGTAAGTTTTCATTACCTCTGAACCAATCTGAAGTCCTTTTGGGGGCCACAGAAAAAAGACAGTCAGCTGAGAGCAGGGATTTCCACTGCATCTTTCCTCTGTTGAGCTTCGAAGAGGCAGAGCTCTCGTTGCTATCTCGCTGGTGGTGAATGCTGGGTAGGCGGGGGCCATGGCAAATGGATTGGGCACGCTGCGCGGCTCTGTGTACTGACACCCGCCCCAGGGCCCACGGTGTCCCTACCCCCTCCCAATCTTCTCTTTAATCCCCCCAACCAGATAATGTGGGATTTGGAAGCATGTAATATCCATGAGACTCCATTATAGGCTATTACGAGCTTTACACCCACTACCTGGGGGATGTACCAGGCCGCTGCTGGGCAGTGCAGCAGCTGCAATGGAGAAGGACCACGGGAACAGTCCCAAAGGCCAGAGTGACTCTTCCATTGTTTCTATCCGTTTCCCCCCAAAAGGGAGCTCTGGTCTCTTGTGACAGAGAGGCAGGAAGCATGAAAGAGAAACAGCTTTCACTCCCTTAGGGAGTAAAAGCATAGAGGGAGGTACAGGGAGAAACAAAATCACAGTCACTGAGTGTATTGGTGGAGCCCTAGGAGACCATCTATCGGTGTTTCTGCATGAGAACACCACTGGAATTTGGGGTGGAATCTTCTCGAGCATTGCAGGTGTAGCATCCCGGGCCCCTGCCCACTAAATGTGAGAGGCAGCACCAGGCATTGTGCCAACTACAAAAATGGATCATGCCATTTTCAGTTGTCCCTGGGTGGGCGGGTGAGTGGGCGGTACCACCCTGGTGTGGAACCATCAGTTGTTCAACAGGCACGTTACAGAGGAGGAATCTGGGCCCAGAGAGGTGAGTGACCTAATCAAGGTCATGGGCAAGGTGAAGCCAGGACTAGAGACAGAGCCAGATCTCTCAGTTTAGGACCCTTTCCACAAAACAGGCAGCCTCTGAGGAATGAGAGACAGAGACAGACACACAGGAAGGGACAAACATATATGACAAGAAAGAAAAAGAGGGAAGCGGGGAGGGCAGGGGAGAATACAGAACAGAGAGATCAAAATAGTGAATGGGATCAGGGGACAGGAGGAAGGGAAGAAATTTCATCAAACTGACTGAACTTCCACCACTTCCAAGCCATGGGACATGAAAGAGGACTTAGGATCTCTGCCCTCAAGGGCAGGATGGGTCCTGAGAAGGGGCATAGAGGACAAGAAAACCAATAGTGAGAGCCCAAGGGCAGACTTGGGAATGGGCTGGAAATCAGCATGAGAATACTGGGATTCTACCGACTGAATCTAGATGGCTTCACCTCTTCTCTGAACATGAGGCCATGACTCCTCTCAGGGCCTACACCTGGACCCGAGATCCCTCCTGAAGGAGAGCAAATGGCCCAGGGCTTTGCTTTGTTTTGCTTTGAGACAGGGGCTTGCTCTCTCATCCAGGCTGGAGTGCAGTGGTGCAATCATGGCTCACTGCAACCCTGACCTCCCTGGCTAAAGTGATCCTCTCACCTCAGCCTCCCAAATAGCTGGGATCACAGGCATGTGACACCATGCTTGGCTACTTTTTAAAAATTTTTTACTTTTTGCAGAGACAGGGTCTCATGATATTGCCCAGGCTGCTAGTGAACAAATTAGTGGCCTCAAGTCATCCTCCTGCCTCAGCCTCCTGAAGTGCTGGGATTACAGGCGTGAGTCGTCACATCAGGCCCAGGATTTTGAAACACACCTTCACCTAGGTGACTTATTTTTTAACAGGCAGACTGGATTACTGCTGCTGGGAATGAAAGAGAATCAAGAATTAAAGACAATCCAGGCCAATCTGTCGAGGCAGAGGGTAGAACACCAGTGTCTTTCATCTGAGGAACTGAAGCAACGTTTCCCAAATATTCGGTTGCCCAGGGGAGAAGTGGGGCTCTTGGACAATTCCGGAGGAGTTATCTATGCATATAAGGCCCTCAGAGCCCTGCAGGTAATGTCGTATAGCACTGGGGCGATGCAGGTGCTCCCTGCTCTGGGTGTCCTGGGTCCCAAGCAGCCAGCCCAAGACCCCCCTCTGGATGAGGCCTTTGCCCTGCAGGCTTTAGTCTTGACTTTTCCAGCAGGGCAGTGAAATATATGCGGCTGGCCTTGTCAATACAGGACAGGTCTAGATTCTGCACTCTTTTCTGCCCCAGGCAAAAGGCTTTCTGTCCACCAGGGTGAACCACATACAGAACTAATTCACCTTTCCCTGCTCCTGCCCTTTCAGGATGCAATTCGACAGCTAGGAGGCATAGTGCGTGACGGAGAGAAGGTGGTGGAGATAAACCCAGGGCTACTGGTCACGGTGAAAACCACCTCCAGGAGCTACCAAGCTAAGAGCTTGGTCATCACAGCAGGTCCTTGGACCAACCAGCTCCTCCGTCCCCTGGGCATTGAGATGCCTCTCCAGGTAAGAGGAGCTGGAAGCCCGAGAGTTGGTGCTCAAGAGAAGCCTTGGAACCAGATGGAGTCAAATTTGAGTCCTGGATCTGCCTCTTGCTAGTGGACAACCTTGGGCACATTCATTCACCTCACCGAGCCTCAGTTTTATCATCTGTAATATGGGGGATGATAGCTACCTCATAGGGCTGTTGGAGAATTAAATTATTAGGCTGGTGCAAAAGTAATTGCAGTTTTACCGTTCAAAGTCATGGCAAAAACCACAATTACTTTTGCACTAACCTAATATATGCTGTATATAAAGCCTTTAAGAGGCCGGATGTGGTGGCTGACACCTGTAATTCCAGCACTCTGGAAGACCAAAGCAGGAGAATTTCTTGAGCCCAGGAGTTCAAGACCAGCCTGGGCAATATGGCGAGACCCTGTTTCTACAAAAACTAAGAAAAATTAGCCAGGTGTAGTGGCGTGTGCTTGTAGTCCCAGCTACTTGGGAGGCTGAGCCCAGGAGGCTGGCCTGAGCCCAGGAGGTTGAGGCTGCAATGAGTCGTGATTCTACCACTGCATTCCAGTCTGGGTGACAGAGCAAGACCCTGTCTCAATAAAATAAAATAAAATAAAATAAAAATAAAGCCCTTAGGACATAACCTGGCTTATAGTAAGCACTCAATAAACCTGAGGTCTTATTAATTCCCGAAAAGAGACAGAAATATGGCTGGGGGCTGGGTGTAGTTATGGGAGAAAACTAAGAATGGGAGAAGAGACAGAGGCTCAGAGATGTTTGTGCATCATAACACATGTAACAGGTAAACAACATGAGAAGTGGGAGAGACAAACATGGATGAGTTCAACTGGGTGTCCAGGCTTGTGTTAGAGGGCCGCAGGGGCCCAGAGAAACTGCTTTCATTGCTGTAGAGTTCCATGGCTTTTCTTCATTTCCCACTTCCTCTCCCTGCCTCAAGACCCTGCGGATCAACGTGTGTTACTGGCGAGAGATGGTTCCTGGGAGCTATGGTGTGTCCCAGGCCTTTCCGTGCTTCCTGTGGCTGGGCTTGTGTCCCCACCACATCTACGGACTGCCCACAGGAGAGTACCCAGGGCTGATGAAGGTGAGCGGAAAGACCGAGATAAGGCAGGTAGATGCCAGTGCAGATTAGGGGAAGCTGCTCTAACTTTCCCCTCCATAGATGCCCTTGGGTCTCGGGGCCAGCAGCAGGAGCCTGCTTCACTCATGGCGATTTGCAAGGAAAGACCCTCAGCTGCCCTGAGGCCCAGCAAAAGGAGCCCTTCCTTTGCAAACATAGGGTGGTTGCAGGGACCAACAGCTAAGCAGCCTCAGGTGACAGCCCACAGCACCTGCCAGGAGTGGGGAAGGCTGGAATGATGGATGGGGCTGTCCTGTGTACACGCCTGCCCTTCGGCTGTGGGTGTGTGTGGAAGGCCAGCCCTCACCACTCATGCCACTCTGATTGGGAGCCAGGTCAGCTATCACCACGGCAACCACGCAGACCCTGAGGAGCGGGACTGCCCCACAGCACGCACAGACATCGGAGACGTCCAGATCCTGAGCAGCTTTGTCAGAGATCACTTACCTGATCTGAAGCCCGAGCCTGCTGTCATTGAGAGCTGCATGTACACGGTAAGGGGTCTGGGCAGCCTTGCTGGGCCCCCTCACCACTCTACAGAAGGGAAGAAGGAGACAGACCTTGCACTGGCCAGGCCCGATTGTTTGACCCCTGACATAGTGTGTGACTTTAAACAAACGGGCTCATTTCTGTGGGTAGGTTCACCTCTACCAGGGAGGGTCCTGTTCGAAATTATTCCTATTCTTCTTCATTAGGAAACTAGGTTATGCCTGGCAGTCGGTCCTTCACTCTGATTCCCAGAAGAGCTCTAAAAGATTTTCTGGCAAGCTCCTCCAGTTGAGCAGGCCTTAGGGACAAAGAGAAGAGACAGATGTCACCACGGCCTAAGGCATCTTGGCTAAAGTTAGTTTACAAAGATTAACTGAACACCTACTGTGTTCGTAGCTCTGTGCGAGAAGAAAGGCAGCCGGACAAATGAAAAAGACTGGCACACCCAGAGGGGCACGGGCATGCGGAAAGCATCCTTGTGCCTCATTCCATCCTTTCTGGAAAGAAATCCAGCCCATCCCCTTCCAGTTAGAGCCTGCAGTTCTTTCTCTTCCCTCGAGCCTCAAAGAACACAAGGTGTGACTGTTTCTTTCTAGAATACCCCTGATGAGCAGTTCATTCTCGATCGCCACCCAAAGTATGACAACATTGTCATTGGTGCTGGATTCTCTGGTGAGTCTGAGCTGGGGGGAATGGGGTGCCTTAAAGCTGACCTACCTCAGTGCCAGGTGAAATGGTATTTTCCACACTCTTAGCTGCCCAGATAGGTGTGAAGCCTGGACATTGTAGGTATAAGGAGGCTGGGCAGTCAGAAAAGGGGTATTCATGGTGGGAGGCCACTTCTGGCTTTGGGATGTGACCAGGAGGACAGTCAGCCCTGTCTGGGTAAGTAGGGGATGTCCAGAGAGCTCAACCTCTGTCTGTGAAGCTGCCTGAGAGTCTGCTCTTCCCTTCCTAGGGCACGGGTTCAAGCTGGCCCCTGTGGTGGGGAAGATCCTGTATGAATTAAGCATGAAATTAACACCATCTTATGACTTGGCACCTTTTCGAATCAGCCGTTTCCCAAGCCTGGGCAAAGCCCACCTTTGACCTCTGGCCAGAAGCCTCCCTTCTGTGCACAGGAGCCAGTTTCACAGATGGAGAAGATGTCTCAGATGAAGGGAGTGTCCCTGAGATATCATCCTTTTCTTCTGCCTCGCCTGAATCCCCCATAAACACCAGATGATTGAGTCTACCTTCTTTCCTTGGCCCGCTCCCTTTTTCTTCTGCCTCACTTGAATCCCCCGTAAACACCAGACGATTGAGTCTACCTTCTTTTCTTGGCCACCTCCCCATTCACAACTACTTTCTCGCTCCCAGAAGGTTGATCAGATATTCTACAATCACAGAGTAGCAAGGACGTTTGAGATGGGTATATCAGTAAGAAGAGGGCACAAGAACTGGCTCTGGAGACCAAAGCAGTTGTTAAAAATTCTCTTTGCTGGGGGCCGGGTGTGGTGGCTCACACCTGTAATCTCGGCACTTTGGGGGGCTGAGACAGGCGGATCACCTGAGGCCAGGAATTCAAGACCAGCCTGGCCAACATGGTGAAACCCTATCTCCACTAAAAATACAAAATTAGCTGGGTGTGGTGGCGCATGCCTGTAATCCCAGCTACTTGGGAGACTGAGGCAAGAGAATCACTTGAACCCGGGAGGTGGAGGTGGCAGTGAGCCGAGATTGCGCCATTGCACTCCAGCCTGGGCAAAAAGAGTGAGACTCTGTCTCAAAAAAAAAACAAAACAAAAAAAACCTCTTTGCTGGTATATTTGAAGAGCTTGGGATGGATTTGACTAAATCTGCCCCGAGGAGGGTGAACAAGGTGATCTCAGAGATCACTACTGCTCTTGGAGTTCCTTCTCCTAAAGCTAAGGCCAGCCTCCATCACAAATGCCCATAAAATCTGGCTCGTCTTTGATGAACAATAAATATTTGTTGAACAAATAAATAACTGCCCTGCATTAAGTCTGTAGCGGGCTTTCTTTTCTGTGTGACCTCATTTCTTCCAGGCTCTAATTGTCTAAATTAGCACCACAGAATCCATTAACCCAGGAACCCTTGGAGTCTTTATCCCCTCAATGCGCTGCACCCCCTTTCTCTGGATTCTTTGTCTCCTCCTCACCCCCTCTCTGGTTGTGTGAAGATGCTCAGCTCCCCAGTCTCTCATTAAGGTGTATTGTCAGGTCCTTATGAAGATGGAGCTGTTATACCAGAAAGAAAGAGAGAGACACACTCGCTTAGAAACCCTGTTCAATGTTTGAATGTTAAATGTGCCATTTTATTATCATTAGGATTGCTCCCACTTAATGAAACAGCATTAGCACCGAGTTGGCTGGCCTCCTTGCACTAATTGCTTTGGAAGGGAACAGGCTTATAACCACCCCAGGGTGGGTGGAGGGGTGAGGGGTGGTAACAGGGACTCGAGCAAGTCTGGATGCACTCAGATGAAACCCACCTGGAGGATCTCCACATCGGGCCAGTTCAACCCCAGAACAGGAGCTAAAATGCTCTAGAGAGAAAAACTGGGACTGGGAGTGGCAGATGTGTTAGGGGGAGTCACAGAGTGGGGAGGAGCAGGCAGTGAGAATGACAGTACAAATATCCCCAAAGGAAATACAACACAGAGGAAATGGCTCTTCAACTGCCTGAGTCCTTAAGGTCCTAGGCACATGTATTAGCACTGATTCTCCAGTGAGTTATAAAAGCCAGCCAAGGCCGGGCGCCATGGCTCATGCCTGTCATCCCAACACTTTGGGAGGCTGAGCGGGGCAGATCACCTGAGGTCAGCAGGTCGAGACCAGCCTGGCCAATGTGGCGAAACCCCATCTCTACTAAAAATACAAAAATTAGTCGGGCGTGGTGGCGGGAACCTGTAGTCCCAGCTACTCAGGAGGCTGAGGCAGGAGAATTACTTGAACCTGGGAGGCAGAGGTTGCAGTGAGCCGAGATTGCACCACTGTACTCCAGCCTAGGTGACAGAGCAAGATTCAGTCTCAAAAAAAAAAAAAAAAAGCCAGCCAAGCCTGTCAACCCCATGCCAAGTCTGCTTTTTGTGTGATCTCAGATGGTTCCCTGAACCTCAGCCTCTGTAAAATGGGAGTATTATATCTGTAAATGGGAATAATAATGCCAACCAGCTCCACAGGGGTGTCTGAGGATCAAATAAGATCATTCATTCATGCATTTGTTCAAAACACAAATACTGAGTGAGCCTCTATTATGTGTCAGGCACTATGTGAGGCACCGTAGATACATCAGTGAACAAAACAGATAAAAATCCCTGTTCTAAAACAGCATGGTTGTTCCTCAAAAAATTAAAAATAGAATTACCATATGATCCAGCAGTTACACTTCTGGTATATGCCCAAAAGAACTGAAAACAGGATCTCAAAGAGTTATTTATACACCCCTGTTTAGAGCAGCATTATTCACGATGGCCAAGAGGTAGAAACAACCGAGGCATCCATGGATGGATGAATGGATAAACAATATGTGGTATGTACATACAATGTAATGTTATTCAGCCTTAGAAATAAACGGAATTCTGGCTGGGCATGGTGGCTCACACCTGTAGTCCCAGCACTTTGGGAGGCCGAGGGCAGGTGGGTCACTTGAGTCCAGGAGTTGGAGACCAGCTTGGCCATCATGGCAAAACCCTGTCTCTACTAAAAATACAAAAATTAGGCAGGGTGCAGTGGCTCACGCCTGTAATCCCAGCACTTTGGGAGGCCGAGGCAGGTGGATCAGGAGGTCAAGAGATCGAGACCATCCTAGCCAACATGGTGAAACCCTGTCTCTACTAAAAGTACAAAAATTAGCCAGGTGTGGTGGTGTGTGCCTGTGGTCCCAGCTACTCGGGAGGCTGAGGCAGGAGAATTCTTGAACCCAGGAGGCAGAGGTTGCAGTGAGCCAAGATCATGCCACTGCACTCCAGCCTGGCAACAGAGCGAGATCCTATCTCAAAAAAAAAAAAAAAAAAAATTAGCCAGGTGTGGTGGCACAAGCCTGTAATTCCAGCTACTCGGGAGACTGAGGCATAAGAATCAATTGAACCTGGGAGGTGGAGGTTGCAGTGAGCTGAGCAGCAGAGCACGACCCTGTCTAAAATAAATAAATAAAAATAAATAAATAAATAAATAAATAAAGGGAATTCTGATACATGCCACCACATGGATGAAACTTGAGGACATTATGCTAAGTGAAATAAGCCAGTCACAAAAACACAAGTGGTATTATTTCACTTCATACATATGAGGTATCTAGGGTAGTCTGAGTCATAGAGACAGAAAGTAAATAGTGGTTGCCAGGATCTGGGAGGAGGAAGAAATGGGGATTTGTTTAATGGGTACAGGTTTTCAGTTCTGCAGGATGAAAGGAGTTCTGTAGATTGGCTGCACAACAGTGCGAATGTACTTAATGCCACTTAGCTGTAGACTTACAAGTGGTTAAGATAGTCAATTTCGTTACGTGTTTTTGACGACAATTTTTAAAAAAATCTCATTCTTTTTTTTTTGAGACACAGTCTCACTCTGTTGCCCAGGCTGGAGTGCAGTGGTGCGATCTCAGCTCGCTGCAACCTCCACCTCCTGGATTCAAGTGATTCTCCTGTCTCAGCCTCCTGAGTAGCTGGGATTACAGGCATGTGCCACCACGCCTGGCTAATTTTTTTTTTTTTTTTTTTTTTTTTTAGTAGAGACGGGGTTTCCCTATGTTGGCCAGGCTGGTCTTGAACTCCTGGCCTCAAGTGATCCACCTGCCTTGGCCTCCCAAAGTGCTGGGATTATAGGCGTGAGCCACCGCGCCTGGCCTAAAAAAAAATCTCATTCTTACAAAGCTTACAGTCCAGTGAGAAGGAGACACATAGGCAATTCACGTAAGTAATTATAAATTAGAAGGTGATAAGTGCTTTGGGGACAAAACAGAGGCAGGTGATGAGGAGGTGACAGGGAGTGCTGGGGGAGGGTCTGACCTTTCAGGTGGGTGGTCAGAGGAGGACTCACAGAGGAGGGCCTTTGAGCAGACTTGAAGGAGAAGGAGTGAGCCATGCAGGCCTTCGGATGCAGGTGAAAGAATGTGATGAGTTGTAAAGCAAGGTATTGTGTTATCACTGGTGGGGACAGACAAATGAGACACAGAGAAGGGCCAGAATAAGATCCCACCAGCTCCCAAGCCGAGAAAGTTGGGAAGCTAAGATGCTCAGAATGCCCCCTCTCACCCCACAGCTGCCTGCAGTTCCCTCTGGCTTCTCTCAGTGCCACCCCTTCCCCCAGCCAGCTGCAGCTCCCCTTCCAAAATATCCAGCCTTATTCAGCTTGTTGGTGACAGCTAAAGGATGGACCAGTGTCTCCCAGGGGCTGAGAAAGGACGAGTGGGGGCTGCTCCCAAGCCCTGCCTCAGCTGGCGGAGGCCTCTCTAGATGAGCACAGGAAAGAGTGGGAGGAGGCAGGGGGGTGAGTGAGGGAGGATGGGTGTGGGGGGATGGATCGGGCCAGCGAAGAAAGGAGACAGACAAGAAGCAGGAAAGAAGAGACTGGCAATGTGCAGACCACGAAGGCAGGTCAGGACCTCCAGGGATGCCACGCACCCCTAAAGCCAAAAGAAATGGGCCCAGAGTGCCCAAGTGGGAGGAAACCAGCCATTCTTAGGTGGGATGGGGTGGGATAGTAGAGGAGATGTTGGGAATAGTCTCTGGGCCTAGAGGAAAGCAAAAGTCATTGTAGAAGGGGTCCTAGGATAACTTGAGGGTTTCAGTTATATCGAAGGATTTTCCAAAGCAGATCAACCAGTATTCTCTCTCTGCTTCCCTTCTGCCTGAGCGTGGCCAGGCATCCCCTTTCAGGCAGGCCGTACATATCTTCAGGATGGAAGAAAATCAAAATCAATCGGGCAGGCAAGAAGAGACCTCTGGAAGGGCAGCTGGGGTCTGCACAGGCTGCAGGGGAGAGATAAGGGCAACGAAGAGAAAGAGGCTGGCCTGGTTGGCAAGCAGACTGAGGAAAGCAGAGGCAGGCTGAAAATAGATTGGGGGCGGGAGGAAAGAAAGCCAGGCCAGGAAAGAAGGGAGAGCAGAGGCAATCGATGCCTTCGTGACTCTGACCCAATTTTTCATTTCAGCCTCACCAAAAGATGAGGAGATGGTGGGGAAATCGGGAAAGACTGGCAAAGAGGGAGGAGAGTCAGGGCAAAGTAATTTGAGTTCTAAGACCCAGGCGATCGTGGGGTACCAGTCAGGGATCGTGGTGGGGAGAGGAGGAGGTGTATACTATCCTCAGTACCAGTTTGGACCCCAGCAGAGTTTGGCATCCCAGAATGGGTTTAACAGCTTAAGGAATGTGAGTGTACCCAGGAAGGAGGGTCAACTATCTAGAAAGGTCAAAGGAGAAAACATGGCCGAGTCGGTCTGGAGACAGTCGGCTACAAAGTAACTCCAAGCCTGCATTTTCTTCTCAGAAGAGTGATGAAAGAGAATTTGGTTTTTTAAGTGGTGGGCTGTTAGAGCAGCAAGAGGGATTAAAGTTAGACTTCAGGAAATCCATCCCATTAGGTAGATTCATGAGATACTAAAACATGTAGATGAGCATACTTATATTCTTTCCTTGGAAATCTTAAAAAATTAGAAGCTCTGCTATTTGGGCCTGTAGAGGCTCGTCTGAAGGCCAGGGCCTCCCCTCAAAACTTCTGGACGACTGCTGGCTAGAAAGGGGGGTCTAAGATTTTTATTACCCTGGGGGTAGGGTCTGAAATAAATATCTGGGCCTAAGGCAGGGCTAATGCAGGCACCTGGGTTAGGGAGAATGGGGGAGGCCCAAGGTGGGCTGGATCCGTCAGCCCTGAAGGAGCCACAGAGACAAGGGGTGGGATTCTAACAGGCAGGACCTATGACATTTACATAACTTTGAATAATGAATAAGCCCAGCTCTGGGGTTCCTAGTTAGCACTGCTCATCTGCATCTTTATTCAGCTTTATAAATGATTCAGCTCCTACCCCTTCCCCCAGCCCCTGCCCAGCCTGCCCCCAAGCATCGGGGTAGTTGATTGCTCATTATTTTAGACTAGATTTGTTTCACCAACATTCAGTGAGACATGGAATGGGGGTGGCATGGGAGAGAGGAACAAGTCCAAAAGGCAAGTGGAGTGAAGGGGTCGGGGGCTGGAGAATGGAAACAGCAGCCGTGGGAAGGGAGGCTCACAGCTGCGAGCAGAGGCACAGAGCTAAGGACGTGGGCATCACTCTCCAAAATGCTCCTGGGGCCAGCATCTTCAGGAGAGAAAAGTTTCTTAGATTCCCCGACATGTGCCGGGTTCAAGTCCCACTCGAATCCCCGGGCTCCCTTACAACTGCTGCCAAGGCCCCCAGCAGGCCCCGTGCTCAGCTCCAGCACAGCACTGAGGCGTTGGAGCAGTCAAGTGAGTACAGCCCCCAGGGAAGTTCTCACTTTTTCCTGAGGCAGGAATTTTGCTATTTTCACGCAAAAAAAAAAAAATCTGCTACGCTTGTAAGGCAGGAACACGCACCAGGTATATTAGGGGAGAAAGAAATAGGAACAGATGTACATGGTATGAGAATCTGTAGGGAAAGGGAATGCTGTATCCACAGGGAGTTAGCACCCACCTTGAAAGAGGAACCTGGAGAAGATGGGCAGCCCTCACCTGATCGGAGCGGCTCTGGGAGCTGCCTGATCAGCTGGTCAGAAACGGGGAGAAGTATTTAATGGCATGAACACGGAAGAGTTGGCCGGAAGCTGGTAGGGGGAAAGGCAGAGCATTTCTCAACCCTGGCTGCACATTATAACCACCTGGGGAGCTTTAAAAAAGATGATGCTTGGGACCCACCTAAGACCATTTAAATTAGAATCGCCAAGGGAGAAGGCCCTAGGCACCATATTTTTTAAAAAGCTCTTCAATTTTATTTGGATCCTAGTTTAAACAGACCAATTTTAAAATATATATTATAAAATACATAACAAAACTATATAATAAAATCAGGGAAGTTTAAACATTGACTGGATGTTTTGTGTTAAGGAATTATTGATCATTTTTTAGGTGTGATAAGAGTATTGTGATTATATTTTTTAAAGAGTCATTTTCTGGCTGGGTGTGATGTCGCATATCTGTAATCCCAGTGCTTTGTGTGGCCAAGGTGGGAGGATCACTTGAGGCCAGGCGTTTGAGGCTGCAGTGAGCTATGATCATGCCATTGCCCTCCAGCCAGGACAAAAGAGCAAGATCTTGTCTCTATTTAAAAAAAAGAAAAAAGTTGGCTAGGTGCAGTGGCTCATGCCTGTAATCCCAGCACTTTGGGAGGCTGAGGGGAGCAGATCACGAGGTCAAGAGATGGAGACTATCATGGCCAACATGGTGAGACCCCGTCACTATTAAAAAATACAAAGAATTAGCTGGGCATGGTGGCACACGCCTATAGTCCCAGATACTTAGGAGGCTGAGGCAGGAGGCTCACTTGAACCCGGGAGGCAGAGGTTGCAGTGAGCTGAGATCATGCCACTGCACTCCAGCCTGGCGACAGAGCGAGACTCCATCTAAAAAAAAAAAGTCATTTTCCTTTCCTTTCCTTTCCTTTTCTTTTCTTCTTTTCTTTTCTTTTTTCTTTTCGAGACATCCTCTCACTCTGTTGCCCAGGCTGAAGTGCTGAAGTGCAATGGTGCTATCACAGGTCACTGCAGCCTTGACCTCCCAGGCTCAAGTGATCCTTCTACCTCAACCTAGCTAATTATTTTTATTTTTTGTAGAGATGGGGTCTCCCTATGTTGCCCAGGCTGGTCTCAAACTCCTGGGCTCAAGTGATCTGCTTGCCTTGGTCTTCCAAACTGTTGGGATTATAGATGTAAGTCACCGTGCCTGGCCTCATTTTCTTTTCTTTGAGGAATACTAAACTATTTCCTGGTGAAATGACATCATGTCTGTCAGCTTCAAAATAATACAGTGAAGAGAATGGGGAAGTGGGCAGGGTTGCCAACAAAGCAAGATTCCCTGTTGATAACTGTTTTAATTATTCTTATTTTAAATTAAATTAAGGCCAGGTGCGGTGGGCTCAAGCCTGTAACCCCAGCACTTCGGGAGGCCGAGGCGGGTGGATCGCCTGCAGTCAGGAGTTCGAGACCAGCCTGGCCAACATGGTGAAACCCCGTCTCAACTAAAAAAAATACAAAAATTAGCTGGGCGTGGTGGCGTGTGCTTGTAATCCCAGCTACTCAGGAGGCTGAGGCAGGAGAATCACTTGAACCTGGGAGGCGGAGGCTGCAGAGAGCTGAGATTGTGCCACTGTGCTCCAGCCTGGGCAACAGAATGAGACTCCGTCTCAAAAAAAAAAATTTAAATTATATATATTTTTTAAGATACAGGAGTTTCACTATGTTTCCCAGGCTGAATTTGAGCTCCTGGGCTCAAGGAATCCTCCCATCTCAGCATCCTGAGGTGTGATAACTGTTGAAGCTGCTTGATGGGTAAACAGGTGTATTAGTCCAGTCTCACACTGCTATGAAGAAATATCCGAGACTGGGTAATTTATAAAGAAAGGTTTAATTGACTCAGTTCTGCATGACTGGGTAAGGCCTCAGGAAACTTACGATCATGATGGAAGGCATCTCTTCACAGGGCTGCAGGAGAGCGAATGAGTGCAGAGTGAAGAGTGGAAAAGCCCCTTACAAAACCATCAGATCTCTTGAGAACTCACTCACTATCACAAGAACAGCATGGGGGTAACTGCACCCATGATTCAATTACCTCCCACCAGGTCCCTCCCACAACACAAGGGGATTATGGGAACTACAATTCAAGATGAGATTTGGGTGGGGACACAGCCAAACCATATCAACAGGTTCATTCATTATACTATTATTTTAAAACTTTTTGTATATAAACCAAAACAGCCAGGGGTGAGAACCTCAGAGCCAGCCACTTAGAAGGACAAGTGCCACCTCGGCAACTCTGCGGGCAGAACCAGCTTGGAGGAGAACAGGTTTGCAGGACCCTAAATAAGAGGGGAGGGCTCAGTCTCCAATGTCCTGGGCCCTGGGCAGCACAGAGCCACTTGGGGAAAGAATAACTGGCACTTAGAGACGCAACTTGGGGTTTGGAAGGCTCTGCAAGCTGCTTCACTGTAAGCCCACACAGCCTCTGGAGTCCCCATGTTTCATGTACTAGGCCTGGAGGCCAGACTGAGGGTGCCGGCTGACTGAGGCAACCAATGCAAACAATCAGCTTCTTCTCTGTCTCCCTGCCCTCTCCTGACCAGCTTCACAGGGATTCAGACCCCCATCTCAGTTGGCATCCCCCACTGCCCATCACCACTGCTTCCCTGCACTGTCACTCCTCCCATGGGCTCATCTGCTAGTGCCAGGGAACGTTAGCCCAGCTGACTTCTTCGGGGATCGGGGAAGGCTGAACGCAAATCTGTACAACTGTGGGCACCCAGACACCCATCGACAGAGGGAGCAGGAGAAGACCCCAGTGGTTGCTGCCAGAACTGTGTGAGCTGCTGAGAGATTCCCCGGTAGATTGACCCTACTTGCACATCACTCCTTCAATGAACAAATCAAATGAATCCTAAATGCTCAGGTATCTACCATCCTGGACTAGTTGAGTCTCCTCAGCCTTGGCCCATGGACCAACACAGGAATGCCCATGTTCTCCACGTGCTCCTGAGAAATAATTTCCTGCACCACTGAAGTGGATGCCCCCACCCTGCCGCACATCTCAGCCCTGTCCTCCACCCATTTCCGCTGGTGGCACTACTAGCTCCGGCCTCCTGCTCAGTTTGGGGCTCTATCTGTCTTCTGTGCTCCATTACCTTCCCCCATGGCCTCTAGGGGCTGGGGAGGGGAGAGTTGGAGGGGGGCTGCTTAAGAGATTTTTGGAATCAGTGCCTGCGCATCACCCGCTGCCATGAGTTATTTCAGCGCTGATGTTTGTCTCGAGCTGATTATTCCAGCCCGAGAACAGGTGGAGCAGCCTGCGGTGGTTTATTCGTCAGCCAAGGCCATCTGTTCCCAACAAGCTGAGATTTGTAGCTGATTTCTGCTGGGGAGCAAGGAGTAGGGGTGGGGAGGGAGAGGGAGATCACACCCACACCCCAGGGGACTTGCTCCTCCCAGACCTGCCAGGATGCCTCAACCCCTGGGCTTCCCTTTTACTAGGGATCCCACATTTTCCAATTTCTCAGAGAAACTCACTGGTCACTCAAGTCAGCAACAATACTTCCCTAAGGGGCTACACCTTCTTAGATGGAACCATGTATTAGAAGCACAAATCTACCAGCCAGGCACAAAGTCTGGCCACTGAGCCATGTCCCCACCTTGCAGATCTTAAAAAAAAAAAAAAAAAAAAAGTATATCACTATGACACAAATGTCCTAAATGACCTTCTCAACTCTTGGCTCCTCCTCATCCCAACCCCACTGCCAGTCCCTTTAACAAAAACAGCCTCACCTAAACCGATCACCTGCAGGGCTCTCAGCTGCATGGGAGGGCTTGATCTAGATGCTCTTGTCTCATCTGCGCTGCTCGCCTCCCCTAAATACCCTGTTCATGTTCCACCCTCCAATCTGTTCCTCTTCCAGCTTCCCTCTCAGCCATGCCGAGAGAAGCCTGCTGCTTTAAGAATGGCTTTCCCTGAGCAAGGGATCTAAGCAGTTTCTAAGCAGCTTTGCCACACGGTTTACCCCCTCCCGCCCACCCGCCTGCTATGATTTCTGTATATGAAATGTTGGGAAAGAAGTGATTCTTATAATCATGCTAATATGACAATTTGGGGCCTTCTTTGGTGTTGCTACACACATCTGTACTGACTTTTAAAAATTGTATGAAAACTTGGTATTGAAAGCACAGCCACTTCATCTATAACCCCACATCCCCAGGTAAAACTACTTATAGTTTTCAGAGGTCCCTTCTAATATTTATTTATTGATCTGTGTTTTCCCTTCTACTTTTGTCATGTCTATATGTAACCTTAGGAACCCATTAACAGAGCTGTAAGACTGCCTCACTTTCTAGTTGGTTCTCTAGGCTTATTTTGTCGGTTCCTGGGAGCAGAAGCTCCTTTCTACTATTAAAACCTGCCCAGTGGCTGAGTATGTTTCCACCAGAAACAGTAGCTCCCACAGATGTTCTCCGGAACCCACAAAGGCAGGCCATGAGACCTGTGCTTCCAGGGCAGAACCTTCCAGGGAGTGCACTCACTAGGGTCACTCTTCCTTGGACAGTAGTCCCCCAGCAGTCCTCAAGCAAGGGTGCCAACCTGCAGTTGATGCCAGGCCCCAGGGTTAAGATGAGCCATGAGACCTCTTTCATCACATACAATTTTATATTTGCCTGGCTGCCTGTCACTCACCGGTCTTTCAAAGTGCTAATGTTTCCGAAGCTATTGGCTATATCTTCCCCATGCAGAGATTTTTTTAAACTCCTTTTTTTCTTTTTGAGACAGAGTCTCACCCGTCGCCCAGGCTGGAGTGCAATGGCATGATCTCGTCTCACTGCAAACTCCACCTTCAAGGGATTCTCCTGCCTCAGCCTCCCGAGTAGCTGGGATTACATGTTCCCGCCAACACGCCCAGCTAATTTTTTTTTTTTTTTTTGAGACGGAGTCTTGCTCTGTCGCCCAGGCTGGAGTGCAGTGGCTCGGATCTCTGCTCACTGCAAGCTCCGCCTCCTGGGTTCATGCCATTCTCCTGCCTCAGCCTCCCGAGTAGCTGGGACTACAGGCACCCGCCACCATGCCCGGCTAATTTTTTGTATTTTTTTAGTAGAGATGGGGTTTCATCGTGTTAGCCAGGATGGTCTTGATCTCCTGACCTCGTGATCCACCCGCCTCAGCCTCCCAAAGTGCTGGGATTACAGGCGTGAGCCACCGTGCCCGGCCTAATTTTTGTATTTTTAGTAGAGAGGGGGTTTCACCATCTTGGCCAGGCTGGTCTCGAACTCCTGACTCCAGGTGATCCACCCACCTCAGCCTTAACTCCTTTTTTTTTTAAATTTCCATTTTCAAATTCCCTAGTGTCCTCTCTTTCCCAAATCCATTTGCTGCTTTTCCTAATCTAGTCAGATCATAGATGTGGCACAAAACATATAAAAATTTCTTAAAATGTGGAAACTCTTTGACTCTTAAGCCACTTCAAATATAATTTGGCTGGATAGTGTCAAAACGTAATATCCTTTTTGAATTTTCTTTTCTTCTAAAACTGTCATAGCTGACTTTTGATATCTACAGCAAATTCTATCTGCACATATAAGTATTCCACTGGGGGATTTATGTGACTGACTTCAGTCGCAAAGCACACACTCTTTTTGGAATCTCCCTTATGTTTATGACCCATCTCTGGGGCTCACGCTACAGAAGACTCAATTTCTCTGTACAATTCCTTCTAAACACATCCAGTATCCTTGTTAACTCCAAAATGGCTACTGCTCTGGAAATCTTTCCTCCCAGATCAAATAGCAGGGAATGGTCTGGATTGTTGTTGTACTGTAATGAAATTAGACTGAAGTGAATATAGCTTAAAATATGCATTCTGAGCGATGTGGAACTGTTATTCATATTGCTGGCACAGTGGGAGTGAAGTGAAAATGTGATAATATATGGGGGATGCTCTGAAAATTGTGAAGCGCGACGCAAATGTGAAGTAGATATTTTCCCCCCAAATTGCCAAGAAGCGTTTCCTTTCTGAGGCCAGGACTTGGCGAATGCCAGGCACACGCGATTTGAGATGAGGACCATGGTAGTGATTCTTTGCTTTCTTGCCTCTCACTGCATCCTCTGCCAAGGCCAGAATAGTTAGGAGACGCCTGGCCAGCTGCTGGAAGCAAGTTGAGGACTCTGCTTAGAAAGATGACATCACCCCTCAGCCTCAGTTTTCTTTCCAGGATGACGTCTTCACAGAGTTGTGATGGAGGTGAAATGAGATTTTGTAGGGCAAAGTGCTTAAGCGCTGGGGTCATCATAGTAAGTGCTCAACAAATGGGAACTGTTGTTGGTCCTTTTTTTTTTTTTTTGAGATGAAGTCTCTCTCTTGTCCCCTAGGCCAGAGTGCAATGACACGATCTTGGCTCACTGCAACCTCTGCCTCCCGGGTTCAAGCGATTCTCCTGCCTCAGCCCCCCAAGTAGCTGGGATTACAGGTGCCTGCCACCACGCACGGCTAATTTTTGTATTGTTTTTAGTTGAGATGGGGTTTCACCATGTTGGCCAGGCTGGTCTTGAACTCCTGACCTCAGGTGATCCACCCTCCTCGGCCTCCCAAAAGTACTGGGATTACAGGCGTAAGCCACCGCACCCGGCCAATTATTGCTCTTATTACCCTCCTCTCACTACTGACAGGGTAGGAAGGGGCCTGTCAGTCCCAGTCACTGACTCTGGGCCTCAGCTCAGGCCAGAGTTCCAAGGGCCCTTAAAAGGGCGGGAAACATTATTTCCGGGTTGCTCGGAGAGTAGACCTGTCCTAATGCCGCTGTAATCATTAAAAGGGCAACACAGATGGGCTGCCCATCGGCGGCTTGAAAACCCATTTCTTTTAAGGGGAGTGGCTTCTGGGAAGTGCGTAAAGAACCTCCAGGCAGGGGCGGGACCAGAGGGCCACGTGCGCCAATGAAAAGTGGATATGCAAATATATATATGAATATGCTAACGAGCTCTCGGTTTCCCAGTGAATGGTAGGGCACAAGCCTGGACTGGCAGAGCGGGCTAGGGAAGAAGAGGAAATGAGAGGACCTCGAGGTTCAACCGAGTGTCTGAATGGAAACTAACTCCCGACAGACCATGCACAACGTTTCTTCCACAGCACCCGGATCTCGAAGCCCCACTGGGCATCAACTGTCAGTCCCTCACTAGGGGGGATGAAGGGGGAGGGCGTGGGAGATTCTTTTGGCTGTGGTAAGGAGCTCTGAATTTAGAAGCCAGAAGGTTCTTGCCAGCAATACTACCTTGTTTCACAGATGGGGAAACTGAGGCCTGACAGGTTAAGCCCCTTCTCCAAGGTCGCAGTGCTAGACGCAGAAGAACTCAGTTTGGCAGGTTTTGTCTATTTTTGCTTTGTTTTCATTACTGCACGGGGGCACCACTCTGGAGGTGAAAAGGCAGCAGCCTGAAAGGCGGCAGAGCTTGGTACATTACCGAACGTGTCGGACTGCCCACCAGGCTGGAGGTTTTAGAAAATATGTCCTAGGAGAAGATGGAAGGAGTCAGGGTGGCCGCCAGTAGAAGCAGGCAAGGACAAATTATCATAGACTTGTCTGGAATGTGTTGCTATATAAAAGGTGACGAAGTGTTCCAGCTTCCCAGAGAACCGGTGCAGTGGAAATGAACGGGGAACAGAAGGGATTAGGGTTAGATTTAAGGCAGTACTTTCTCCCAGGGATGATAATGGGGCCCTTCATTCAGTGACCAAGGCAGGCTAGGGACTCATCCCCCTCCCACTTCCGAGGCCTTTGGGAATCCATTTCCCTCCAGTCCCACACGGCCAGCTTGGAGGTCAGGAATGAATTAGAAGACTTTGAAAAGTCCCCACTATTCAGGTAGGCGATCCTTTCCCTGGATGGGCCTCCTGGGCTCTTTGCTGAGGGTAAGGACAGCAGCCGCTCTGGCTCCAGGGCCCTGGGGAAGAAACAGCAGTCATGGCATCTCTTGCAACACGCTCCCTGCCAAATTGATTCAAATTGGCTTGGATATGAACATATGATTAAAGGAGCGGCGCGATTCATTTATCAGGAGAGATTAAAGAGCGGCATCTGCGCAGCCTAGCTGGGGGACAATTAAGGAGCAAATCGCTAAGTGTCTTTGCCACCAGGCAAGTGGGTGGAGGATGGGGCAAGGACAACTGGGATAATCTGCCAAGGAGACACAAAGACAAAAGAAGACCATTTAGGGGTCACTGCCTGCCACTTTATTTTCTGGGCACAGACTGGGCACCATGGGGAGTCCCACAGGGGCACTGGTTCCCGCCCATGCTTATTCAGGAGTCAGAGCAATCCCGGGGATCTGCAGTTATAGAGGAGGATCTAGCAGGCTGGCTTTGAGCCTGGCAAAGGGCCAGATTTGCCTTCTGCAACATCTTAGGGACCAGAGGTACCATGAGTGTACAGGTAAGGTCAACAGCAGAGCCTTCAAGGTACACCCAAAATAAAGATGGGCTTTGGTGGCCCTAAAGGCTCCTGGACTCCTCTGGGGCCAAGGGAATTGTCTCCTTCTCAACTGAAACTTGGAGAAGCACTGGTCATGTGACAATGCACAGCCAGCCTGTGGCATGTTCTACCAGCACCTCTCTTTCCCTGCCCCAGGACCTTTACTTAAACTCTTCTTCTTCTCAATATGCCTTTCCCAGCAACTGTACCTGTGGAAGTGCTATTTTCAAGCCCTGGTCAAAATAGCAGCTCCTTTTAGAGGCTTTCCCAATCCTCCCCGCCAAAGAGAGCATCTCCCTCCATAGTATGTCCAAAGCAACCTCTTCATCCTTGTTAGGTCTTATGTAATTATTTCCACATGGGTCTGCTCCAGCCCTCGTCCGCAAAACCCTGGAGGATGGATACTATGATGTGTTCCTCTCTACCCACTCTAAGCTTATGCATACTAGCAGGTGCAGCATGTATTTTGTGTCTACCTTCCTCCACTTTATGAAGGAAGGGACCTTATCCATCACCAGCACCCAGAATGGGGCCTAGGCACAGCAGGCAGTCATGAAATATTTCTCAACTGTTAAGCAAATGAATATGTTTTCTGACTTGAACAAAGCTTTTTACCCCAGGCCGGGTTATTGGAGGTTGATGTTGGAGTTTCCAGTTAACCAGAGGCTTGACTCAGTATGAGTGAACAGATTTGGGAATTCATCTAAAGGTGGCAGGGAGTTTGTCACACTAGTCCCTAGTAGAAACAGAAAATGTACCACGCTATGTGAAAACAGGAATAAAAGATGAGAGTGACAGAACTGAACATAAGCTAGCAGCCTTTTTTTTTTTTTTTTTTTTTTTGTAAAAAAAAGTAACTTAGGCCAGGCACAGTGGCTCATGCCTATAATCCTAGCACTTTGGGAGGCGAGGCAGGCAGATCACTTGAGGTCAGAAGTTCGAGACCAGCCTGCTCAACATGGCGAAACCCCGTCTCTATTAAAAATACAAAAATTAGCCAGGCGTGGTGGTACACGTCTGTTAAGTCCCAGCTACTCGGAGGGTTTAGGCAGGAGAATCGCTTGAACCTCGGGAGGTAGAGGTTGCAGTGAGTTGAGATCATGCCACTGCATTCCAGCTTGGGCGACATAGCAAGACTCTGTCTCCAAAAGACAAGTAACTTCCCTTTTACTATTGTTTCTATCCTCTTCTCTGTTCTATCGTGGGGCAATGGAGGGGGCAGTCTCTGTTCGAGACAGATCCACTTCACACTCTGTCCCATTCATTTTGGGGGAGACTTTTCTCCCTTCTTCCCTTTTGGACTCTTTCTGGATGGCTGACATTATCAGAGCCTCGGCACTTGGGCTGTTTGCTATTTTTTCCCACCCATCTGTCCAAACTACTTTATTCATTCAGGGATTATAACTGGCCACACTACAGAATGAGAAGGTAGAAGGTAGAAGAGGAGGAGGGGTGTCATTTGTTTCTTGCCTTTCTGCATGAGCTGCCTCTTAGCTGTCAATGAAGGAACAAAGCATGGAGTAGGGCATGAAGACAGGGACCGAGCAGGGCAGAGACAGCACTCCCAACCTATTCACATTGCCCTGTGGGCCCGAGCTAGTTCTGCCAAGTTTTGATCAAAAAGTCACCTTTGAAATGGCTAAAATTAAGCTTTTAAAAAATGTTCTAATGAGAAGGGCTTGAATCCAAAAAGAAAGAGAATGAAAGAAAGAAAGAGAGAGAGAGAGGGAGAGAGGGAGGGACGGAAGGAGGAAGAGAAGAGAAGAGAAGAGAATCTCTGTAATTGGTGAGATTTAACAATCAGAGGGACCTCAACATTCCCTTGTGGAGGCTAGGGAGGATGAGGCTTGGAGTCTCTGCCACCCTTGCTAACCTGAATCACAGTCCCTAGGCTCTTCACATAAAAGGTGGGGCTTGTGTCTTCCTTGGCCAATCCCCTCATTCCACTACCTCTGCCTGCCCCAAAATGAGCTGCCTAGGCTCTTTAAGTGGCACTGGTCTGACACTTTGGGGAGCAGGCCAGAGACCAGGGTGATGCCCTCACGGTCCCCATCAGAATCCTGCCTCTGCCCACCACCCCCAGGACCAATCCAGACTTTGCCTGAGCCTGAAGGAACAGGCAGGAAAACTGGCGCAGCCAGGAGGAAAAGGGCCTTTATTTCCATACATCGGGTAAACAGGGGAGAGCACAGCCCAGTGAGTACAAACCAATTGCAGGAGAGAAGGGGGGCGGCAGATGGGAGCAGCACCAGGCACTGCACTTGGGCTCCCAAGTCTGGTGGAGTTCTCAGGGATAACCTTTTTAGGGTGGGGGCTGGGACCTCCAGACCACATGGTGTTGTGTCTGGGATAAGTGTGTGGGGGCAGGGAGGTTGGAAGAATGACACGGGCTCAGGACACAGAGTGAGGACTCATGTCTAATGAGCACCGGCCAAAACTTCCATCTTCAGTTTTTCTGATCACAAGTCCTCAACCCCAAGCCTTCCCTCTCAAGTTGAGTTTATGGTCCAGACCACCTGGACAGAGCAGGAGGGAGGCAGTGCTTGGATCAGCCCTGAACTGCTGTAGTTGGAATGGGTTTACCTTAAATAGGTCATTGCACATAACACGCTGAGACAAAGAGGGTGGGGTGGGGGCTGGAGGTGCGGATGGTCCACACACACACTTGTCTGCGTAGGCTTGCTCAACCCAGCCCAGCAGCACCGGAGAGCCCCTCCGCACCTCATTCTTAAGAACCTGGACCCGGCTCTCCTCACCAGCGTCTCCAGCTGCACAGAGAAAGGACTGCTCTCTGAAGGGTGAAGATGGAGATGACATTCCCGAGTCGTTCTTGGGAGCCCCAGCTACCACTACAGCCCCCTCCCACTCTCAGGGATGCAGCTGTGATGGAGAGGTTGGGTATTTAAATTAAAAAGTAGAAAGACAGCAGGCACCAAGAAGAGAGAGCCCCCACCCCACACGAGAGGGAAGGCACTGCTTCTCCTCCCCCAATCCTCCCCATGGACCCAGCAACCTAGAGTGTCCCAGTAGGCAACCTGTCCACCGTCCCTGAGCAGGGAGCTGAGAGGGAGGTCAACGTGCTGGCTCCATGCAGTGCCAGGCCACCTGCCACTGCCCACGGTGACACAGGGTAGAAGCCAAGAGTCTGGCATTTTGAGACAGAGGAGCAAAAAGTTCTCTTCAGAAACTCCTCTTTCCCCCACCTCTTCCACGTGGAGACATCAGACACCCATAGCCTGGAAAGTGCCCCTGACAGAAGAAGGTCAGGGTGTTTCCCATGCAGATCAGCAGTCGGGTGGGGGAGACCGGTGCCCCACCACTTCCTGGGAGAGGTGCCCAGGCAGCCACAGGCCCTGGGGTGAGAGGGCTGCCAACCACTCCCCTGGGCTATGCGTTAGTCTCCGTCAGCTTGGCCTCTGTGTCGCTGTCACTCAGATAACTGTGGGAGTATCGCGGTCTGGAGGTGTTGTCGAGAGGGTCGTGCTCATCATCTGACCGATCAGGGGCAAGGGACTTCCAGTAGCTGGTGGGGCTGCAGGGACCGAGGAATAAGGTTAGGGACAAATGACACTCCTACCATTAAGCACGCACGCCTTTGGTTCTGGAGGCCCACAAAGCTGCGTCAGAGCACTCCCCAAAAGCCAAACATTGTTAAGTAAAAACCTTCCTTGGCTTACTTAGAAGATACTCAAAATGCTAAGAGGAAGGAGACTCTGGAAGCTTTTAAAGCTCCGAGGAAAGGGATGCTGAGAGCAGTGAGTCTCGGACTCAAGCGTGCATAAGAATCTGATGCAGGTTCCTGGGCCCTTCCTCTTAGAAACCTTGAATCGCTGGCTTTTGGGTACAACCCAGTAATTCTGCATTTTCAGTCCTTCCCCAGAAGGCTCTGAAGCAGGCAGTCCGTGAACCACATTGGCTTGGAGACTGGAGGTCTGGTGAGTACAACTTGTCTAGGGTAGGGGCTCTCTTAGGCGAGTGATTCCTAAAAAGATTCCTTCTGAGGAGGAGGCGCTTTCCCTGTCAAATACTCCCAGATCTGAACCCTTTCCCCTAATGATGGCTCCCTGAGGCCTGTGAGAATTTTCAGCTTTGACCATGCCATCATCTACTAACAAGAAATGGAGGCTCAGGAAGGAGAGGCTGGGAAGACCTGTTTTAGGATGGCCCAAGGGGAAAAGCCCCTTTCTTGGTACAATAACATAACTCAGAGTCTTCATCAGGCCTCTGGCTCTGGAGGCCTCCAGCTATCCCAGATGTGAAGAGGCCTCTTCCCCCTGATGGAGCAGGATCACAGCACTGAACAGGGAAGAGGGGACCTCATCTCACAGCTCCATTCACCTTCTCTTTTCTTTCTCCCAAAGCCTTGGGGCCACCTTTCCCGTACTCCTCCTGCCTCCACTGCCTCCGTCAGTTCAAGTGCACTCTCGTTTCAACACCATTGGAGAAAACACAGCCCAGTGTGGCTCCTCTCCTACTGATGCCCCACACTCGGCGTGGTCCCTGGAGCTGCAGCCCTGCCTCCAGATCCTAGAGTTCCAACTTGGGCAAGCAGGAGTTCCATGTTCCCTGCTGCCTATAATTCTGACTTAAGCTGAAAAGGGACCTTTGTTTACTAGCCCTTTTAAAGTTCTATCCCCAAACCAAAATAGGAGGAGTCAGCGTTCTGCGGCAAGAACCACCTTCTTAGCTTTTCCCAAGGTGGCAGTGAGAGATGCAGAGGGCAAGATTTGGTCACTGAGTACTCCTATGTGTAAGACACGGCCTAGGCATGTGAGATAGGCTATCTTACTCTTCACAATAACCCTATGAAATATTACGAGGAAGCCAGTCCAAAGAGATGAAAGGATCTTCCCCAAGGCCACACAGCCAGTATGTAAACTTGAATCTGGGACTCTTAGACCTCAAAGACTTTGGACGACTTCACCCCGCCACTCGATTGGTTGACCTGAGATTAAAAAAAAAAAAAAAAAAAAAGGACCAAACCTGAATTCTCCTGCTGGCTTGGGCAAGTGCCCAGGGGTTATGTAAAGAAAGGTCGGTCTCTATCCCTGGGGGAAAGGAAGAGGCTGATAGAATACATGTTCAATTATGCAAAATGGTTCAGGAATGGGGCAGTCTGGTTAATAGTTATCGTATTTCTCATGAATGAATTACCATTTTTAAAGGAATCAGGATAGCACAAAACACATTTAACACAAACTAGACTGAACATAAATGAGTCTTACTTTGATAGGCCAAAGGCACTTAGGGACTCTGGGGGGGTTTCTAGGACAAAATTATAAAGCTCACTGATGACTATGCAATATAGAAAAAAATTGGGGTTATTTTAGCTTTGGGGTTGTTTGAATTCTAAATTAGTGGGAGCCTGGTTTGGTTCTCATTCTTTACATAGAATTTCTGGGCACTCAGGGCTAGGATCTGCCGTTAGGCTAAGGAGTGCCTGGCTTTGTGGAAAGACAGTGGGGTTACTTTGTGAGCAGAGCGGGGCGAGGCAGATGCCAGGGCTGGAATCCAGATGCAAATGAGGTGCTGCTGGCGAGCTCCAAGGCACTGTAAATTGCTGAATCAGGGCCCCTCTGGTCCTTTCCATTGCCTCACCTCTTTTTAAGGTGGGGGCTCCAGTCCCCAAGCCCACATTCCTGTACCTGCTAGGCAGACACCTGGATAAATGACAGCCGTGTTTCCATACTGTTTCATCAAGACGCTGGGCAGTGGCAGGAGCTGCCGGGGAGGTGGTAAACTCCATGTCTCTCTCTGCCTTGGGCTGCGGACCCACGAGATTGCCCTTGCCCGTAGCTTGGGTGATCTTTAGCCATTCTTAGTGGCTTCCACTGCTCCAGCCATCAGGGAGTCAACAGCAGGCCGCTGCCCTCCTCTCCAGGGCAAGAGTCAGAGCTGGCAATTTGAACATTTTAACCAAATTGTTTAAAAAAGCCTTCCTCCTCACAAGCCAGCGTCTCCTGCTCAGCACTGTCACAAACAATTTGGTACATAAGCTAATTCCTGCCAGGCAAGCCCAGGGCGGCAGCTCCCCTCCCCTTGACTTTGCTATGGAAGCTGCGTTCCTGTTGCAAATTCTTGCTGGTCCTCATCACCAGATGGGAAGCTAAGTGACTGCTCCATCCCATGCCCCCACCCCAAAGCCAGTTGATGCTGAGCACCACTGAGGTCCTCCCTCCCCTGGCCTTCTCCCTCTGGCTCCGTGTTGGTTGGCTAGGTTCTGGCTTGATGGCCACTCTACCAACAGTGAATCCAATCCTCCTTGGAGCGGGTGGTATATATGGCGTCAGGACTACTCCAGCTTTCCTGGTGGAAAAGAGGAACTGCGCTGGTGGCTGGTGGAAGAAACAGGCTTTTGGTCTTTTTGTTATTGCTGGTTGTGGGGTCAAGGGTGATGGTGGGCTGAGGGCATTGGGGTCTGAAATCTGCCAGTTGCCAGTCAGTGTGGGATGGCCCAGCTTTAGGCCCATGTCCATCTGGGGGTAGAGGCGCAGTGTGCAACAAGGCCTGGCCCTCTTTGCTTTCCAAACCCCTCTCCCAGGTCCATCAGCTGACTTCCTGCCCTAGGGGTGTGGGGCACTTAGCAGGGCTGCTAAGAGGAAGGCTGAGATGCCTGATCAAATATTGACTCATATATATATATATTTTTTGAGATGGAGTCTCGCTCTGTAGCCCAGGCTGGAGTGCAGTGGTGCGATCTCGGTTCATTGCAACCTCCGAGCCTCCCGGGTTCAAGCGATTCTCCTGCCTCTGCCTCCCAAGTAGCTGGGACTATAGGCATGCGCCACCACGCCCAGCTAATTTTTGTATTTTTAGTAGAGACGGGGTTTCACCATCTTGGCCAGGCTGGTCTCAACTCCTAACCTCAGGTGATCTGTCTGCCTCAGCCTCCCAAAGTGCTGGGATTACAGGTGTGAATAACCATGCTCGGCTGACTCTTGTCTTACTATGGAGCCAACACTGGTTCCTTGGTACAACAGAGATGCTTCCTGTTCCTCCCAGAGCACCCAGTAACCATCTGCTGCATGGGGGAAGTGACAGAGCAGGGCTGAGCCATTCCACTTGCTCCATTCCTTAAAAGGTCTTACATCAGTCCGTTTGGTATAATCCATTCAAAGTCAGCCTAGGTGTCCAGCCGCTCCACAGCACAAGCATGCGACAGGTGTGTTAGTTCATGCATCTGGGAGACAAATGTCTGTGCCCCAGGGGCTGCACTCGGGGGACATACCTCCTGGGAAGCAGCAAGCTTGCCCTGGGAGGGCAGCATGCCAAAAACAGCTTCACATAAGCAGGGTGATCTAAAATGTCACCACGCACCAGAGAAACTGGCAACAATGGGATTCCAATGAGTCAGGCTCTGCCCTTCTTCCATGGTGGGGGTGTGGGCATAAAGGGCCTAACTGCTAGATCTCCCTCCCCACAGGGAGAAGAGCTGGGGGAGGCAGGAGAGCCAGGGGGAGGCTGTCACTCAGCAGTTGCTAATTTCTATTCATTAGAACTTTACAAGATGAGTAGAACCAAGGTGACGCCCATGTGTGGGCCTTTGGTGGGAGGGCTGGGGAGGGAGTCAGGCATCTCCTGGGTCTGCTGTAGGGTGTGGCGCTGTGTGGGCTGTAGCCCTGGGAGCCTTGTACTCCTAGGCTTGAGATCTATGCCAGAGAGGAAGGTAGCTTTGTGGGGGCAGGGTAGGGGAGGGAGAGCTAAGCAAAAGGCCCAATAATAGCTTAGGGCCACTGATGTGCACCAACCACAGCTGGGGTATAGCTTGGGACCTTTCCTGGCCCCAGCCTGTTGGGGCCATGAATGAAAGCTCCTGAATGGGTGCTGCTGGGCACACACAGTAAACATGTTGCCCATGTGCTCTGCACTGGCTGCCTGGAGGAGTGGGTAAGGGCAAGAGTGCTGGAGTTGGGCAGACCCCATTCAGACCCTGGCAACAACCCTTCCCAGCTGTGCGTGACCACATGGCAAGTGACTTAACCTCTCCAAGCCTCAGCTTCATCTTCTATGAAACAGAGCTAATCAGACTTTGTTACGGAGTTACTGTGAGGGATAAGTGACTAAAGTGTGGAAGGTATGAAGGACAGTCCCTGGTTCAGGGTCAGGACTTGTAAGTGGGAGCTATGACATCACCAGCGAGTTCAGCTGACAGGGCTCAGGGCTCAGGATGACTGACCAGCTTGGGTGGCCCCTGCTCATCAAGGCAGCCAGGAGGCTCTCCGAGGCCAGGCATGCCCGAGAGGAGTGCGGGTGGGCCCTAAGGTGGCGGCCTGAGGGGCAGGGAGGACGTTAGTTCACACCGGGTGGGACACACCATGCTGAACCCAGGCCAGGTGCCACCTACTGCACTAGTCGCTCTCGGGCCGGTACAGGTACCGCATCATCAGGCTGTCCACCTCTTTCTTGCGCTTCTTTTCCTCCTTCCTCGACGGCCGGTGCGTCTGCCCAGTTTCTTCACTTTCTGCAGCTGGGCCCTTCTTCACACTGGAGCAGCTGTGGCTGGAGACGGTCGAGCCGCTGGATGACGACGAGGAGGACTCAGACTCCGTCTCCGTTCTCTTTCTTCTCGACTTGGACTTCTTGCTCTTCCGAGAGCGCCCCTTCTTCCGCCTCTTGTGCTCTGAGGAAGCTTCGGAGCCGGAGCTGGAGCTGGAGCTGGAGCTGCTCCTTCCGCTCCTTCGCCGGCTCCGGCTCTTCCGGCCGCTGCGGGACCGGGACACATCAGCAGCAGAGGCGGAGCGGCGGATGCTGGCAGCTCGCTCCGGGGGGTCCAGTTGGGCGCTCCGGGCACTTTGGATGCTCTTCCTGTCATCCTCCTCGGAGTCGGGCTCCAGGCTGCTCCGCTGGAATGGAACAGGCTTGTAGCTCAAGACCTCGTTGACGGCAGCCTCCAGGTCTGGGTCCAGGTAGGAGTGACGGCTGACGGAGCGGACGCTGGAGCTGGGAGGCTCATCCACTGCCGAGGCAGAGCTGCGTGGCCGGGGTGGCACCGACAGACTGCGGGCCAGCGACGGGTGGCTGTACTGCGAGCAGGCCTCGCTCAGGGCCATACTGGCTCCATCATCCCACTCCTCTAGGCAGCTCCGGCCCAGGGACAGGCGAGAATCAGGGCTCTCCCGGCCTAGGCCAGAGGCCCGGCTCAGGGAAGGGCTGAGTGTCCTGGAGAGGCTGTCGAGCCGGGAGGTGCTGCGGCGGGAACCGGGCGAGCCCGACAGCGAGAAACTCAGGGAAGAGCCAGCCCTGTCTTCGCCAGAGCCCCGCCGCGTGGCCGAGGAGGCCCGGCTGACCGGTGCAGAGACGGTGGAGGCCGGGCTGAAGTCGGAGCCCCACCGCTTCTGCGGCCCCCGGCCAGCGCGCCCCCCGGTCCCCGAGCGGACGGAGCCGCACTCCTCCGGCTCCTCGGACTTCCTGCCTGGGCATGGCTCCTCCCTGGGGCCCACATGGGCCTTCCTAGGGGGCCTCTCAGGGGAGGCCGCCCGCTCGCTCAGGGAGGTGAAGAGCGAATCCGCGTCCCCGGTGCCCCCGATGGAGTCCTTTAGGGTGAGCCGCTTCCGATAGCTCAGGGAGCTCACCACCGAGGACGGCCTCTCCTCCACCCCCGGGGCCTCCTTAGAGAGGCTGTTGAGGGCCGTTCCGAGGGAGGATGCGAGAACCAGACGTGGATGAGGGCAGCAGGGAGAGAGGGAGGTTGAGAGAGAGAGAGGAACAAGTATTAAACTCAGAGAATAAAGACACAGGGGGAGGGAGGCGAAAGGAGGAGAAAACGGCAGCAGCCCTGGCAAAGTGGTGGTGAGAGCATCGGAGGAAATGAAGCAAAATAATTTGCGTCAGTGAAAATAGCTTCATGGAGAATGTCATGTAAATTAGACTATTGTTCTATTTCATCACTTTTCCCCCTCTAAACGTTTAGTTCAATTTATTTCATTGTCAACTACCTGGAGCCTCGTGCCATGCCGTGGTGAACCACGGCAGTGGGGCGGGGAAGCCGGCATTATCTGCAATAACAAAATGTTGTTTGGCCGAATAAATTAAACCAATTAGAGGGGGCTGCTGGGTGCTTCTGGTGAGGGGCCAGGCTTGGGGAAGGGGCCTTGGGGGAGCTGGAGAAGGGAGGGAGAGATGTTACTTTTTCTACCCAGTCTACCTGCTGTCTCTGGGAGAGGATGAGGAAGGGTGTGTCCTGGAGGATCAGGATGGGCTTGATCAGGGGGTTGGGATTCTATGTTGTGGGGGCAGCAGGGATATGGCTTTGTGGGGGGTGAGGGGGGAGCGAGGGCTCTTCTTTCTCCCTGCTGCCACACTGGCCAGTAGGAAAGAGATGGGCAAGGGGAAGCTCTGGATTCCAGGGGTAGCTGTCTGTATGATCAGAGGACTATGACTGGCTAGAAAACAGGGGAGTACATTCCCCCAGTGGATGGGTATTAGGAGGAAAGAAGTGGGGGCAGTGAAGAGATTAGAGGAAGGAGAGAATGGGCAGAAAAAGACAGAAATGTGCCTGTAACTGGGTCAAGAATCAGTGGAACTGGTGCCTCTTCTGCTGCTATTCACGGTAAGACGTCAGAGATCCAGAGCTGGCCAGGGCTGTGGGATTAAGAGTCCCCTGTGCCCCATCCCAGTTTTGATTCCAAGGGTCTGAACTATCAGGAAGCTTGATCAACATTTGTTGAATGAATAAGTGGAGGTGACATTTAACTTACATCAAACCAAAGCCTGGAGCCTAATGGGAAAACATTCCCTGGAAAAAATAAGGGCGACGCAGCCCTGGCTAAGAAGAAACTTCCTGTGCCCATGCACATGCCAGAAGCATGCCCGGGCCGCAGTCACAAATGCCAGACAAGAGACACAGGCCTGCCCTCATGGGATCCAGGCGCTACTTGTCCATTCCTTGTGGCACAAGGTGGCTTTTCCTCCCAGCTCAAGGCCATATGCTCACCTGGAACTCTTTAAGCTGCCATCATCAGAAGCTGCCTTGGAAGGTCCCTTGTTTTTTGACAACCAGGACTTGACCCCGTCAACACGGTCCTCCAGCTCCGAGTCCACATCAGAGTCTCCCTCACTGTAGGGATGAGGAGCAGAAAGGTAGACAAGGCATAGGCACCTGCTGCCCACGAGGGGAGCAGATGGGGGTGCAGGGGGTGTCTTGGGCAGGGGGGATGTGGGCAGCATGCACGTCGGTGAGTCGGGAGGGCGGGAATGAGAGAGGTTAGACAGAGCACACCATTCACAAGGAGCCTGTCCCCACTCAGCAGCCACACTGTGTGACAACCACCAAGAAGACCCTCAGGAGCATGGAGGCAGCTCCCAAGCCAGTTATCTGTGACAGGCCACTGACCAATCAAGGGAGAATGACTTAAAGACCATCCACTCATCAATTTCAGCTAAATGGCTCTGAGCTAAAAAGAGGAGCCCTGGGTTCTTCAGTGACTCCTTGAGGCCTACTCTGCTGTTTCTTGTCTGCCATTCCTCAGATTGTGGCTATAGCTGCTGTCAATTTCCATGCCTTTGTTACAAGAGCTGGGCTGCCAGCCACAGAGCAGAAGAGAAGGGCTTCGTAGGATTTGGAGTTAGCTTGAACCTGAAGGTCTCCTTAGTGGATGGCAGCACCAACCTGGGCTCTAGGTTAAGGAGGCCCAGGCCACATCCCAGATCCACCCTGTGGCTTCTCTGGCTCTTAAGAAACAGAGAAAGGAAAAGGGGCGGGGGGCGGGGGGCATCAGCATTTCCAGAGGGACTAGCAACAGTTTCAGTATCTAAATTGTCCCTGGAGACCCAGCTGGGCTCAGAAAGTCCCACACCAGAGCCCTGTCGCTCAAGGTCTCCTCTTCCGTCCTCAGGTAGCCCCCAGCCCTTGCTCACAGTGCTTCATCGGGCAGAGCTGACCTTAGCACTTGAAAGAAAGCCCAAAGGAGTCCAATTCTGAGGCTGGAGTCATGGCCACCCCCTCATGAAGCAGCTGGGCTTGGAGATAGCTTCTGAGTAAGATTGCTTCTAAAATTCTGCAGAATGTCTGCTCACCAAGTTGCCCTGCTATGGATAGGCTAGGGTTTCTCCTCGATATAAATTTCCTTTCCTCTGTGTCAAGAGGAATGGCTCCATTCCTGAATTATGTTCTTAAATAAACAGCCACACAGGCATGTGTGCGCGCGCGCGCACACACACACACACACACACACACACGAAACCAGCAGATTGTTCTGGGGACCATGCGAGAGCCCAACTCATAGAGAGGGGAATAAAGAGGCATGTTTTATGGGCTTCCATCAAATACAGAATTATAACAAAGACGAGGCTGGCTGATGCCCCGGGTAAACAGGAGTTTAGCAGACAACCTCGAAACTGCTAATGCAAGCCCTGTGCCCGTCCGAGCCTGGCAGATTTACTGTGGTGCATGGGCCCCATGGAACACCAATACCACCTGATTTATACACCTGTGCAAAAAACCTCCCTCTCTAGCTTCAGAGCCTGTAATTTATCACCACCGTTCATAACCATATTGATTGCCTTTAGAAAGGAGGTGCTGTATGCATCGCAAAATCTATGTCTACATGTTAAAAGCGTTTCCATATAAATCTCCCTTAATACCGTGCTGTTTACTGCTTTCATTAAGGTTATGGCAATAACAACTGTATCTCTAAGTAAATCGAAACATTATTTCTCTGCCTGCCTTACTGCGCTGGGCTCAATAACTTGGAGCTGGGGCCCAGAGCTGCTGAGGAAGGAGCCACACCACCTCTCTGCCATCAGCCGGAACCTGGTTAGAGCTGCACGTCCCCATGCGTCTATGTGAGCACACACCAGTGTGTGTGAGTGTGTGTGCATGCGTGGTGTACCTGTGTGTGTGCATGCCTGGCAGTGGTTTAGAATATGATCTTAAATGCGCATTTTATCAGCCCTTGAAGCTCTTGCCACACAAGGATGGCAGGGTTGAAACACACAGGGGACAGACAGTTGTGGGCCCAGAATATGAATTTTCCTCCTTACATACAGAACAGTGGATGGGTTGCAAAGCTGGCCTGCCTGCCCTCGCCTTCCCTTTAGTTGCAAGCATCTAGAAGATGTTCTTTTCCTTAAATAATCAGGCCCGTAAACAAACTCCAGGGGCAGGCAGGCTCAGAGGGCAGTTGAAATTTTAAATGGTTGGAATTAAACCTCACGTCAAATACAATTTATGTCCGGGCTCATGTGCTATTAGTTAACGGGGAGCCGAATCACGGGGGAACAAACAAACGGAGACAGAACGGCGGGGGATATTAATTGTGTGTGACAACCAGGCTCCAGCGGCCCTCTATCACTGTTACACACTATTACATTTATCATTAGCTCTCACTGAGTCCTGTGCGCTGCCACCAGCCCATCCTGGCCAGGGGAGGGGGTCCATCAGGCGAGAGAGAGTGGGGGAAGAAACCCAATGCCATGCTAAAAAAAAAAGACCTCTAAAAAACAACCCTGTCGAACTTGATGGAGGATCAGCCCGCTCTGCCTGAAGGCCTGCGCATCTGCATCCGCTGTCCAGCTCCCACCCAGAAAGCGGGAAAAGAGAGGGCTGGATTTCCTGGGCTTCCTGCCACCTGACAGTACCAGCACAAGCGCCCGCTGGGGCCTCCCTCTGCCCACGGTACCGCAGGGAGTAAAGTAAACACATCTGGCTGTGTTCCCTTCCCCCGCCACGGCAAGCAGCCCATGATTAGCTGCCTGAATGCTTTCTCCAAACAAGAAACTGGGAGATGCCCCTCACCTTCTACCCTTGTCTGCCAAGAGAAGGTAGTGGACCTTTAAAGATGAAACACGCCCGCTTCTTTCAGGCAGCTCAGGCTCCCAAGGAGCCCAAGGATGTGGACAGATCCAGCCCAAACAGACTTTTCCCCCCAGAGAAATAGGCCAGGGAGGTGGCCACACTTGGTTTTTGAGGGAGGAATGTGCTGGAGCTCAGGAAGGTAAACTTCTCAAATAGGCTGCGCTTTCCTTTCGGCAGGAGCCCCCCCATCCTGCCCACCAAGGGTGCACGGGCCAGCCCCAGCCTTCTGGGGAGCACACCTCATTGCCCGCTCCCTGCCTCCCCCGAGGATAGAGTCAGCATGTTAGCGTTAGAGACCAGTGAGGCGGGAGTGTGGGGAGGCTGTATCCACATGCTGCGTGCAGCGGCCCCAGGGTGGGAGCCAGTGTTAGGGGTGGTTAGACACCCGCGAGGACAGGCAGAGAGCACATGCGCTCCAGTCCTCACAGTTTATTCTTTCTTTTCTGATACTTTGTCACCATGTCCTGCAAACTGGAAATAGAAGGAAAATGGTGGGCAAGGGGTCCAGAGGAAACAGATGAAATCAATCGGCAACCCAAGGTGGACCCCTTAGCTGAAGACCTCTCTTCCCTCAGCAAGAGCCAGCTCTGGCTGGTTGAGACCAGGTAGTGGGATGCGTGATGGCACTGTCCTCAAAATCTGATGCGGGCTGCCCCTGGCACCTCTCCCCTGCCCCAAAGCAGCAGGGTCCCTGCGCTGCCCCAGACCTGCCTGCAGGATGGGCCCCAGCCCTAAGGTGGGAAGGGGGCAGATCTAGGGTCCACCTAGGGCAGCCCTGGGAGCTTCTCCATGGCCTGGTGCTACCCCGCACTGCTGGCCTTCCTTCCTCGTGACTGTCTCCTCAGCCTAAGACTACAAATCTCTTTCTCTCCAAACCATTCCCCGGGTGGGTTTTATGAGAAAATCTCTGGCATAGTAACAAGGCACCACAGCCTTTAAATCTCTGCTCTCCCCAGAGTGGGGCAGGTGCCATCGGAAATGCAGCTAAACGGGAGAATAACTCATCTTGAGCGGGCAGAGCTGGAGGGCCTGGTCGTGGAGAGGGGAGACTGGCTGGGTGGCCTCCATCAGGGTGCACCTGTCTCACCGTCTGCCCCTGCAGGACAGGCTGTGCTGGGATCTGGCAGTAAAGGGAGGGTGGGTTGGCGGCTTGCTCATGGGGAGGCAGAGGTTGCAACTGTTCTACCTGGTCGTCTGGTTCCAGAGGTGGTCAAGAGGGCCTCCGTGCTAGCTGCAGATGCCCCAGAGGCCACTTCTCACCTGTTGATGAGGTCCTCATTCTCATCACTCTCCATCTCATCCTCAATGGCAGCCTGCAGGTCCCCGATGCGCTTGAATGCCAACTTTAGGTCAGCCTGCAGGCTCTGGTTAGCAGCCTCCAGGCTTTCTAGATCCATCTCCTAGGAGGAAGGGGGCAGCCCAGTTTGCAGGAGGGCTAGCTTCTCCCCTAGATGGCCAGAAGAAGCCTGCTTCAAGTACTTTCCGGTCATGGGGGTGCTACCTGAGGGCTGACACAGGCTGCCAGAGCCTTTTCCGCTCTGTTGCTGCTGGGCTGTGGGGTCCAAGCCTCATCTGAGGGAGTCTCCAGTGCCGCTAGCTTCCTGGCCTGCCCTCTTGATATGCTCCTCCTCCCTCCCATTCTCTGACTCATGTGCAGTTTCTTTGCACCCTATCCTCAACCAGGCCAGAGTGAGGCATACACTCAGCAGCTACTCAAGGGGCTGCCATGTGGGCCCCGTGGGGGACAGGGGGCATTACCAGTTCGTGCTTCTTGCGGCTCGCCTCGGCCTCCTTCCTGGCAAGCTCGCCCATCTCCTCCTTGGTGTCCCGGAGCTGCCTCTGTAGCCGCTTGTTCTGTTCCTTCTCCCGGTTCTCGGCTGCAATGCGCTGATCCCGCTCCTCAGTCAGCTTCTCCATGTTTTCCTTGAGACGGCTAGCCAGGCTCTGGATAGGTAGGTGGGGAAGAAAGACACAGCAGGCAGGCCCATCAGCCAGGCAGAGGGAGGGTGTGGCAGAGCTCTGGGTGAGGAGGCCTGGGGTCGAGCTCTGGCTCCACCGTTCATTGGCTACCTGGGCAAGCAACCCCGAAGCTTCCCTTGCTTTTCTGTAAAATGTGGGGAGAATAACACCTAACCCCCAGGGGTCTTCTGAGGATGAATAAGGTAATGAATGTGAATGCACTCTGAAAGATGAAAGGTGCTATTATCATTATTACTACACCAAGACTGAGGGAGTGTTCTGGGTACAGCCTGGTGGGCCTGTCGGTATTGACACTGCATGTAGAGTCCTCTCAGGTCAGCAGGGCTTCCCGCAGGGACTCTGAACCCAGAAGCCCCAAAAGCTAGATCCTGTGCTCAGAGGTAAATGGCTTTGCTGGAGTTCTGAATTAGGAGAGACTAAACAATCATCAGATTCCAAGCAGAGAGCATCTCTCTAAGCCTAATGAATCTCCTGCCAGGCAGTGGGATGCTGAGCAAAAAATGACCTGGAGAGAGGGGCTGAATGTGAGGGAAGAACCCCGCATCTGCTTGTAATCCTGGTTCTACCTCGGACTGGTCCCCCAGCCTCTATATCCCTAAAATAAAAGAGCCAGGCTGCAGGATTGGGCCGTTTGTGTTTAACATCCTATGAGTCTAAACCACAAAACTCTCTGAGCGGAAGGGAACCTGAGGGGTAGAGGTGCGGGAAGGGACTAGGCCCAAGAGAAAAGGAGACAAGTCCTGTGGGCCTGTCCTGTGTCCACCAGACCAATGGCCTCTTCTGTCCCTTGATAGCTTTGTGACCTTAGGCAACCCACTTAACCCTTCCTGTATGTAAAATGGGGATCAAAATATTATCAGCCAGCCTGGGGTTGGGGTGGGCAGAAAATAAATTCTTTTTTTTTTTTTTTTTTTTTGAGACGGAGTGTCGCTGTCGCCCAGGCTGGAGTGCAGTGGCGCGATCTCCGCTCACTGCAGGCTCCGCCCCCCGGGGTTCACGCCATTCTCCTGCCTCAGCCTCCGGAGTAGCTGGGACTACAGGCGCCCGCCACCACGCCCGGCTAATGTTTTGTATTTTTAGTAGAGACAGGGTTTCACCGTGTTAGCCAGGATGGTCTCGATCTCCTGACCTCGTGATCCGCCCACCTTGGCCTCCAAAAGTGCTGGGATTACAGGCATGAGCCACCGCGCCCAGCCGAAAATAAGTTCTTAAGTTTCCCCTAACTCTCTCCAGCTCTCCTGAGAACTGTGACCCCGCCTTGGAAGGGTCAGTTGTGCTCTCTTCCTGTGTCCAGGTTATTAATGCCATCTAGATGCCCACCTGTTTCTATCCCTACCTAAATGCCTGCTCCATGGACTGTGAGCTGATGGAGGAGGTGACAGGGCTGCCCCTCACCAACCACACTCATCAACACAGGGCCCAGGGAGAACCGACGGTGTGGAGACAAAGGCTTATAAACTCAAGGAGAACTTAAAAATAAGGTGAGAGGGATGTAAACCCAGGAGATAATCCTTTCTGCCTCTCTCTTGCTATCTGCTCTGCCAGAGATGGAAGGGGCTGGCCAATACTGGCTTTGGGAGACCGAAAGAAAAAGGATTGGTCCAGCATGGTGGCTCATGCCTGTAATCCCAACACTTTGGGAAGCTGAGGCAGGCGGATTGCTTGAGCCCAGAAGTTCAAGACCAGTCTGAGCAACAAGGCAAAACCCTGTCTCTGCAAAAAATACAAAAATTAGCCAGGCATGGTGGCACATGCCTGTGGTCCCAGCTACACAGGAGGCTGAGGCAGGAGGATGGGAGGATTGCTTGAGCCCAGGAGGTCAAGGCTACAGTGAGCCATGATTGCGTCACTGCACTACAGCCTGGGCAACAGAGCGAGACCCTATCTCAAAAAAAAAAAAAAAGGGGAAGAAGAGAGAATGAACCTTATAATAAAGGGAGAGGAGAATGGGATGGGAAGAGGGTAAGAAAGAGAAATAAGATTGGAGAGAGGAAAAAATATAAAATATTTCATGCCTGTAATCCCAGCACTTTGGGAGGCCGAGGCGGGCAGATCATGAGGTCAGGAGATCAAGACCATCCTGGCCAACATGGTGAAACCCCCTCTCTACTAAAATACAATTTAAAAAAAGCACGTGCCTGTAGTCCCATCTACTCGGGAGGCTGAGGCAGGGGAATCGCTTGAACCCGGGAGGTGGAGGTTGCAGTGAGCCGAGATCGTACCACTGCACTCAAGCCTGGCGACAGAGTGAGACTCTGTCTCAAAAAAAAAAAAAAAAAAAAAAAAAAATGAAGGGAGAAGAAAGAATAGGATCATAATCAAGAAAAAGGGAGAGAGAAAAAAAAAAGCAGAGACAGGAGGGCAGAAGAAGTGAGGAAGAAAGGGAATGAAGCAGGGAAGGGGAGAGGAGCAGAGCGAGGGCAGATGAGAGAACAGATTCCAGCCTGCGCAGAAGTGGCACCATCCGCTGCATATTTATGACCCTGCCAGAGAACCGGTTGAGGGGAACAGGCGGGGGGAGCTCGTGGTGGAGGAAAATATGAAGACGAAGAGCTAAGCTGCTCTGGTCCCTTGGCAGAAAGCAAGCACGGAAACAGAATGTAAAGCAGGCGGGCTCCACGGTAGCCAGAGAGCAGGCCAGGCAGGGCGGGAGAGAAGCACCTGCCCGTCAGCTGGCCTGGCAGTGAGGCACAGGCCTCTGAGGACTGTCCGGGGGCCTGTCCAGCCCTGCTGAGCATGCGCGGCTCCAGCGCTGGGGCAGCTCTGCCCTGTTTGGTGTGGCCCGGGAGAAGTGTGAACCCACCTCCAGCCGTTTCACTTGCGTCCTTTCAAACTCCAGGCGTGTCTCCAGCTCCCGTATCTTAGCTTCCTGCCTGCTCACCAGGGACTTGTCCACCATGGACTGCTCCAGGAACTCCACCTGGCTCTGGAGGGCTTGTAGCTAGAGGTGGGGGACAGGAAGAGAAGAAAGAACTGAGCCCAGAAAGGGAGGAGACTGCGTCTGGGGCAGGCAATATCACCACAGTGACCAGAAGGCAAGGGGAGGGAGGGATGCACCTGGGAGGAAAGAGAATGGAGCCCTGGGCCAGAGGCCTCCCCCATCTGCCCCAGTGCTTGGCACAGAGATTGCCCTTCAGAGAGAAAGGAGAAAGCTAAGGATCGGAGAGGGAATACAGATGGGAAATGAGGCAGGGGAAGCCCAAATGTCTGTTATGGTGACATGGCTCCAAGCCTAGCTCTTGCTCCTCATTTACGCTGCTCTGTGGATTACTGATGGCAGAGAAAAGCGCCTTCTAAACTGTGAACTTGGGGGTTCCTCCCACACCTAGTGACCCTGGCACTCTCTCTCTCCTGAGGGAGCCCCTGGTCCTCACCTTCTCCTGCAGCTCCTGCTTCTCTTTGTTGGCTTCTTCTAGCTGAGCTTGGAGATCATTTATCTGAGCCAGGTCCCGGGAAGCCTGGGAAAGGAATGAGAGCATCAGAAGCAGGATCCCCCATAAGCATTCAACCAGCCCAGCCCAGCTGGAACACCAGGGGACCGAGGTTCCCACTCCATCACCTCCCAAAACAAGCGGTTGTGCGGGGGACCCATGAGGAGGACCACAAGGATGGTGACGGTGCAGAGTGTGACGGGCACTCCTGGCAGGGGTACCTGAGCCACGGCAGCCTTGTGCTTCTTCATCAATTCGTTCATGTCTTCCTGATCTTCCTCCAGCCGGTTCTGGATCTCATTCTTCTCACGCTGAAGGCGGCTCAGCTGCTCCTCCAGCTGGAGAGAGGCAAAGACAGATCAGAGGGCCTCAGGCCCAGTGTGCCTGTGGGCTCCAGCTGCCTCCAATGGCAGGGGCATTGTAGAGAAGATGATAATGGGCTGAGCCTGCCTGCTGGGGTGGGTCCCAGGACTAGTGATGCTCAAGGAGCTGCCTGTCCCGCTCTGGACCAGGGAGATGAGGGAAAGGGCTGTGTGCAGTACAGGCAGACCCTGGGCCTCTGAGCTGAATGACAGCTGCTTCCTGGCAGCTCCTTTGAGGCTAATGAGAAGGCAGAAAAGGTCTGCCCAGAACAAATGACCCATCATCCTGGCACTATCAGTCCAGGCCCTGGCCTGCGTGCACTCTGCCCCCTTCAGGCCCCAGGGAAGGACCCCTCAAGTCTGCGAAGGTCTCCTGGCTTAGACTCTCATTTTCCCTGGGACTGCCCACTCCCTGGGCATCCAGCCCCGACAGCCAGTCCCCTCCTTGGGGGAGGGGAAGAGAGATCCAACAGCAGCTTCAGGAAATGAATGAATCTATTAGCCTGTAATTCCAAACCAAAATGACTGTGTTGGCTCCTTCTCTGCCCCATCCATCTTGTTACTGGGCTGTGGGGAGCTGGGGAAGCCTCCGCCAAGAAATTTATTAACTCAGATTTAAATAAAATGGTAATTTTATAACAACCTTTTTTAACACAATTAAGGAATTTGAATTACTCACCTGAGAACTGCTGAGGAGCACAAATGTCATGGGGATAAATCAAGCCCGTGAGATTGGCATCTCTCAGCAGCTAGGTGACTAGCTCAGGGGCCATGAAGCCACCAGCCCAGCCCAGCCTCCTCCCCTGCCCCATTCCCTGCCCAAGGGGCCTGCCCACTGGGGTGGGTCCCAGGACCAGTGATGCTCAAGGAGCTGCCTGTACTGGCCGCATCCCAGTAATGAATTCTCTGCCGATGGATGGGCCGTGGGAGAGGTGGGAAATTAAAAGGGAGGCATTAAATAAGAGCTCTAATTAGCTGCCGCTTGGGCTTGTCAGTGGGCTGGGCAGGGGGAAGGGGAAGGAAGCCAAGCCATCCTGTCCTCTTATCTGTGCTTCTGCTAATCTCTAGGCACCTGTTTACATCCCTCAGCCACATTAGCTGCCTTTATTTATGGTGTTGGGGCCTGCGGCCAAGCTCCCGTAGGCAGGTGGTTAAACAGGGAGATGGGCCCTTGCTGGCTCCCTCTTCTGCCCGCTCCTCCCCGAGGCCTCTGCTCAGTGTGGAGAGACGCAGAGGAGGGGAGGCCCGCTCTTCCTGCAGCAAGTCCTGGCGTGAAAGGACCTGTCACAAGTCCTGACGTGGAGGGACCTGTCTAGGGTGAAGGGAGCCACAGAGGCAGCTCTATTCTGCCTCAGCCCCCCGAGCTCTGCCCCGGGCACCTTGGCCCCTCACCGCTGTCTTGGCTTTGGCGATGTCATCAATCTGCAGGTGCAGGTCTTCGATCTCCACCTCCATTGCTTTCCGTGCTTTCACGGCTGCCGCACAGGTGAACTCTGACTCCTCCAGCTGGACACAGACCACCCCCGCCCCAGGGAGAGATGTCAGCCATTCCTTGGGGGCAGGAGGGCTGTACAGGAAAGAGGGAGCTCGGATGCCCTCCTTCTCCTCCTCCATTCACTTCAGACCCCAGGGCCATGGCTGTGTGGTGGTGCACGCGTGGGGATCTCCTCCCGTGACATGGCTGGTGGGCACCAGGCCCCATCCACACCATCCCAGGCTGGGCGGTGAGACAGTAAGGCACACGCAGAGCCTGGGGAGTCTAGCTGCTACACGTGGCTCTCCCCTCTTTCCTGTCACTTTCCTTCCCAAGGACTCAAGAACCACTGAGAGGAGCGAGAGAGAGAAAGAGAATGGAAAGGTAAGCTCTGTTGTGCCTGGATCAGCCGTGTGCTCTCTGTGGATACCTGGTTCTTGAGCTGGGCAATCTCTCGCTTGCTGGGAGCACTGTTCTTCAGGTGGTCCAGCATGAGCTGGGCATCTGCCAGCAGGGCCTTGGTGCGCTTCAGGTCCTTCCGCAGCCGCTTCTCTGACTCAAAGTCCCGCCGGTTCACCTGGGTGGGCACCAGCAGTTGGGGTTCTGGGCTCTGCACAGGGCTTCCTCCTATCTTCCCCAAGCTCCCTCCTCACCACGTCCTCATTATCAGTGTCCCCATAAGGATGCTGGAAGAGCCAGGGTCATGCCAACCAGCGATAAAGGGCTGGGTGTGCCAATGTATGGTGATGCCCCCATCCCACAAGGGATGACGATGGGCTCTTTGCAGCACCCCCACCCCCGACAGCTCTGTTCGTGGCTCCCCATCCCTAGGATCCCCACTCCTCAGGCCGCATGGGCAGGGAGCCGGCCAGGCTTGGTGGGTGGAGCATCCCCTGACCTGGTCGCTGAGGGTGGCGAGCTTGCCCTCCAGCTCCCGCTTCTCTCGCAGAACCTTCTGCTTGTCCTCATACTCTTCCTCTAGCTGCACCTCCATCTGTTTTAACTGGAGTACCATGGGGACAGAGACCCGTCCGTCCCTTTAGTGCCTGGTGCGAAGCAGGCCCCTTCCATTCTGGGTTCCCCACTCCAGGAAAACAGTGGGGCAGGCCTGAGCACAATGATGTTGGTGGAGGGGTCAGAACCTAAATTCCAGGTTTCTAGGGTTTCAAAGCAGCCTGGGAGGGTGAGGAGGGATGGCAGGCCACATGCGGTGGCTAGCCAAGACAGAGTAGGAGAGACCTTGCCGCATGGTGGAGACCTGCCCGGCCAGGCTGGCTGACTGCAGGCAGCACCAGTGCAGCGCAGCACAGCAGGGGCACAGGGGGCTGCCCCTGGCACAGAAAGCAGGGAGCGATAGTTCCTCAGGGGCCCAAGCTTCTCTACAGACTCTGAGCCAATACATCCTGCCAATGCTAGGATCCCGAGAGGCGCTTCCTGGCCCAGAATGACAATGGAAGACGATGTGGCTGAGGTAGGGAGGTGGAAAGCCCCTTACTTTAAAGCGGTGATGGGAACAGGTGTTTACGCTGGACAGGTAAGTACTCAGATACCTTACCTTCTTCTGACACGACTGCCGGGCCTCCTCCACCTCCTCATCCCGACTCTCCATCTCCTTAGAATGGGTCTGTCTCATCCGCTCCATCTCCATCTCCAGACGCAGCTTGGCCTGGAGGTGGTTGGAGTAGGGTCTGGGTTCCCTCCCCAGCTGTGGCCACCCCCTTCCCACCTGTGCATGGCTCTCCCTAGGCTCAGGGGCCGAGAACGTCCACCAGCCAGTTCCCTTTGCTGGCACCTTGCTCCCGTGGCAGCAGCTTCTCCAGAGCAGCTGAACTCCCTTACTAGAGGTCTGGCATAGGCCCACAGAGAGGCAGCTGGGGTGGGGACAGTCCTGCAGCTTCTCCGTCTGCCTGCAGGCTCTAGCTCCCTGAACTGACTTGGTGGCTGGGTAGCAGGCTGGGTGGGCCTGTGGCCCTCAGCTGCCATGCATCCTGAGCCCCTCCCTACTAGAGCTCCATCAGATTTGTTTTTGTGGAAAGTTCCACGAGCGCGTCTTCACACTGTGGCTGGCACAGATCAGGTGCTCACTCCACATTTTGTGAGTAGGTGAGTGAGTGAATACGCGAATGAATGGAGGCAGGATCCTCTGGCCCATGCCTGAGGCTGGCTGTGGGGATGGTGGCGGCCTCGCTGCACCTCACCTCTCCCTTGGCCAAGCCCTCCTGTACCTGTTCCAGCATCTGGATGGTCCCTGCCTGCTCATCCAGCTCTTCTTCCTGATCCTTGACTTTGGCCTCCAGGTCCCGGAGCTGTTTCTTGACCTTGGCCAGAGAAGCCTCATCCTTGGACTCTTGGGAAGAAATGTCCTGGAGCTCTGCCTCTAGAGACACAACCTTCTGGGTGAACCCTGCAATGTCCATGTCTTTTTCCTGGAGCAAAAGAGATGAGGCTGGTGCAGGGCTGACCCCAGGTTGTGAGGGGGACAGGGCACAGATGGTGGGTGGCCCTACCCACCTCTAGTTGCTGCTTCAGGCTGAAAGCCTCAGCGAGGAGCATGTCCTTCTCCCGCTGCAGCTTCTCCCGCTGCAGCTTCTCCCGCTGGGCCTCCTCATGCGCCTGCGAGAGCTCACTGTCAAACCTGCGAGGGAGTGTGGCGGCTCCATCAGATGGGGAAGAGCCAGGGTCCCCCACACAGACACTGTCAGGAGGTGGTGCCATGGACAGGACTCAAGCAGGGGTGGGGGGACCCATGCAGCCCTAACGTGGGGCCAGTTGTAAGGTAGCGGTGACATTTAGAGGTGGCAGGTCAGGCCACTGAGGCCCTATTGAGCAACTGGGTTGGGATAGGGAGCACTCAGGTGAGCCCTTTCACCAAGTAGGCCTAAGAGGGACCCACAGACTGCTTAACAGGCCCCCTCAGGAGTTAAGTCTCTACATTTTCCATTTCAACACATCAAAGAATGAGGGACCCAGGTGAGGGTGGGGTGGGAAAAGGATAGAGATGAGCACCCTGCTTCCACTAACTCACTTTCCACAGTTTGGTTCGACAACTGTAAGGGCAATAGCTAGCTCCTTGCCCCTGCCTCTGGGCACCAGCCTTTGGCCAGGACCACGCACCCCAGCAGTGCCGGCAGGACACCACCCGGACACCCCATACTGGGTTCAGAGCTGGCATTCCCACTGTGCCCAGCTGGCCACATGCCTCAATGGGCACACAGGGGGCCTCGTTCTTCACTCCTCCACTTGCCAGCCTTCCATTTCCCACTAAATATGGAGCAAATTGCTCAAATTCCTCTTAACACCTTCCCTGAATAGCTAATCAGGTTCCTGTGGAAGTTGAATGCTCCCCTTACCCCAACTCCACATCAAAAAAAGTAAGAAAACTCCGGGCAGCTGAAACCTAATAAGTTGCCCAGCGGGGAGCAGGGCAGCACAGTAACTAGGCCGAGCTGGCAATGTCATCGGGTGCTCAGAAGGGGGGTCGAGCTAAGGGTGCCAGCCTTTGGGTAAAGGGGTAGGGTGGGGGCAGAGATGAGAATGAGGGAAGTGGTGGTCATGGTGTCAGGTGGGAGGAATAGAAAACCTTCCTATTTTCCCCAGCTGGGGAGATGGTGGTTGGTCCAGGAGGCCGGGGGTAACCCAGGGTCACTGGAAAGGTTCTGTTCTGCCATCCTCACTCCCAGTGTTGTGGGTGTGGGGATACCCCTTCACAAAGGCAACCAGTGCCTCTGCTGAGAAGCCCTTCCCCTGCAGAGGAGAAATGGGCACTGTTCCCGCTCCCCAGGGCGCCCTGCTGTTCCTAGGGTGTGTGGGTTCCTCAGTACTGCTAATGAAGACGTCCCATCCTCATTCCCAGCCCCGGAAATTAATTTAGACTGGATTTTCTCCTGTGAGGGCCACCCCCCTCCTTTGTATCATTACCATAATGAGATGGAAGTGGCACGGTAGTTTAACGACATTAGTCAGGAGAGTGTGTTTGTGTAGCTGAGGCAAGTGAGGGAGAGGCAGAGCTGGGGGCTGAGGGCAGGGACATAGAGGTTCCTGCACAGGCCCTGGTTGATGCACTTCCTGATGGGGCCTGGCACGGGATGACAGGCACATGATGCAGGGAGCACCTCTGAAAGCAGAGGCCTGGGCAGGCCTTCAGTGGGGACACAGCCTGAGTCCACCCTGGAGGTCAGGAGGGGGCCCCTTCACGTTCCAAGATGAGTGACCAGGCAAGCAAGGCCCCTGGACAAATTCAGGTCCTTCCTTCTTTCCTCCCTGGAGGGCGAGGAGGCAGTCCTGTCTGTGGCTGCTCCAGAAGGTTCTCTGGGCCCAGGGCAGGGGGCCCACCCACCTCCTCTGCTTCTTCTCCAGTTCGTGGTTGCGGACCTGCTGGCCCTCCAGGTGCAGCTTGGTGTCTTGCAGCTCAGCCGTCAGTCGCTGGCACTTCTTCTTGAGCTGCTGCAGAGCCCGCTGACTCTCCTCACTATCTGCCTGCAGGTCCCCGAGCTAGGGGCCAAGATGGGGTGCATATACAGAGAGACCCAGAAGCATAGGTGGAGAAGGTGAGGAGAGGGAAGTGGGTGAGTGAGGGGAAGACCCAGGGATGCAGGAGGAAGTCGGGTCTCCCAGGGAACTGAAGAAGCTCTAATGATAGCTTGCTCCTGATTGCCCCTGCACCAAGAAGCTAACATGCCAGCCTCCCCGATCCATTCCAGCCAGGCCTGCCTGCCCCCAGAGTTCACTGGACCGACACAAGGCACCAGTCCTCTCCTGGCCCTCCCAGGCACAGGCCTCAGCTCCTCCCCAGCCTCACCCGCCGTTCCAGCTGCCTCTTGTTCTGCTGCTCCACCTCCAGCTTGTCCTCAAACTCCTGCTGGAGCCGTTTCTTGGTGAAGTCCACCTCCCGCACAGCCCGCTCATACTTCAGCCGCCACTCGCCACCTGTGGGGTTGAGGCAGACAAGGGAGGATGGAGGTGCTGAGAGTCCCCAGAAGGGGCAGAGGGGAAGGAGGATGGGGCAGGGGGAGCAGCAGGTGGAGTCAGCCAGGGCTCAGAAAGCTCTCTGCAATGATGGCTTCCTCCCAAGGCAGAAGGAGCCACTAGCCAGGAGAAGACCAGAGCATGAGATGTGGCTACATGTGCTGTGCCCCCCAAAGGACTGCTGGGACCACGGCCCTCAGTCTTTGTCATGATCATGGTTGTTTCAGCTCTACCTAACAATCCCCTGCATTTATTGGCACCTCTGCCTTCTCATCTGTTTCTTTCAGTTTAGCCCCATGGAGGGGAGACAGGCCTGGACAAGGGGCATGACTACCCAGGGGTGGGCATCAGGGCTCGCATTGCGGGCCACTGCCGAGCTCCTTGGGCCTCAGGCCCACCTGCATCATCATCATCCACTTCCCCGTTGATCTCCGCTGCCCGGATGAGACGGGCCTCCATCACCTCCATTTCCATAACCTCCATCTGCTTCTTCAGTGCATCGTACTGGGTCTGCAGAAGACAGGGTTTCAGGGTGTGCCATTCCATCCCCTCATACCCACTCCCCGAACCACACAGACCATGATCACATGCTTACCAAGGGCAGACAGGGATGCTGGGCTAGGGGTGAAGATGCCAACTGTCTTTGGGGGGAGCCAATGGGCACTAGGGTATGGCAGTCACCAGCCTGCTGTTCTCACCCAGGCCCTGCCCTCACCTGCAGTTCCTTCATCTCCTTCTCAGCCCGGAGCCTCTCTGCTGTCTCCGCGTCCAGCAGCTGGGAGGCGGACTCTCCTGTGTTACGCTCATCTGTCAGCTCCGATGTCAGCTCTGAGATCTGGGGTTGGGGGTAGGGAGTCACCACCAGTTGAAGTGCCTGCCTCACTCAGCCAGAACACCTGGGGGACCTGCAGGGGCTGGGTCTCCCTGCAGCCATGCCCAGTCGGTGTGGTGCCAGGAGTCACTCACCCGGCTCTCCAGCCGGTCACTGTTGAGCCGCAGCTCGTTCCTCTCCTTCTCCGCCTTCTCGAGCTTGCTCCGCAGCTGCTGGATCTCCTCCTAGGGTGGACCAAAGAGGGCAAAGTGAGCCAAAGGCACTGCGAGGGATTGGGGCCCTGGGTCTGCACCCCTGTAGTGAACGAAGCTGATGAAGCTTGGGCCAGGACGCCATGGGGAAGGCATGTCCCCAATAGCAGAGCCACTGCCTCCTGGGGATCCTGTCCCTAGACGCTTCCCAATAAGCTAGGGATGCCCAAGATTTTATCGTAAGAGGCTGTCCAGGGGCTCAGCCAGCACCCCAGAGGGACATCTTCTATTTGATGAGCACATTTCAAGGATGACAGCTCTCTGGACTAAACGAAGAAGCGCCTGGAAGCCCAAGATAAACCAGCAAGGCTTCCCCCTACCCAGAGACTTGGCCCTCTCAGGCTGTCACATACGTCTTTGTTCCGGATCTGCTCCTCTGACAGCTGTACTTCGATGAGGGGCCTCACTGTGGTAAAAAGCTTCCACCAGGGCCAGTCCTTCACCCCTTTGTTCTTCTTGATGTTCTTCTGTACACAGCGAATGGCCAGGTCCTGGATCTGCAGGTGGGGTGGGGGTGGTGCACAGCGGGGCTCTCAGTCACCCTGGCCAAGCTCGGCCCAGGATCCTCCCCACCACCAGCACAGGCCCCCAGGGCTGCTCCTCTGGCCCCCTGACCCCGAGTCAGATACTTCTCATGCTCCCCCTTGCCCCAGGCTCACTCCGTCCCTCAAAGGGTGGGCAGCACAGAACCCAGCCCTGGGAGCACTGCGCTGGGCACTAGCCACTCCACTGCCATTAGGAATAATTTCATCTGCTTTATTTGCTGCCTGATTATTTCCAGCACCCTGGCCTAGCTGTGCTATAAAACCTAATCTTGCTGAAACACAAGAGGCGGCAGTGCTGGCTGTTTTATGGACTTGCTAATAAGAAAAGGAGTCACTGACACAGCTCCTTAATCTTCATGGAGCAGCCTATGATCCGGAGCCCACCTTTGCCTGGGCCCTGATTCCCCTACCCCTCATCAAAGCCCTCCAACCAGGCCCCGTCGCTGGGCACACCAGCACACTTGCTGGCACCAGGGAGCTGCCTGTTCCCCACCCTGGCCCAGGACATGGTGCCCTGGGAGGTTCCTGCCTCTTCTCCCCCTTATAGCCCCCACCCCAGGAACTTGGCTGTGCCCATCTAGGTTGGGGAGGGGGAGGGATGTCTCTAGAGCAGCACCTTTCTCTTCTTGAAGTGCTGGCGGGCCAGGTAGCCCCTGCAGGCTGCTTGGAACAGGGTTAGGTTCCTGCTGGTTTGTTCATCCCGCTGCTCCTCCAGCCGTGCCAAGGTGCCCGCCCGGAAGAACACCTGTGAAAAAGCAGGCCAGGTGAAGGCAGGATACTGGGCCAGCCCAGCAGAGGAAAGGCAGAGAAGGTGAGGAACTGGAGAAACAAGCAGGCCAGGGAGTACAGCCCTTGGCTTGGGAAGAGCCTCAAAATCCAATTGTCCAAGAGAGGAGGGGAGGAGCAGGAAGAGGCCCTGGGAAGGTTGAGGGAGAAGGGGCTGGGGAGGTTTTGGCAGGGGAGGGGTAAGGTGTGAAATTTAACTTCAAAGAGAGATGAAAGGAGAGGGAAGGTAAAGGGAAGATACCTGGGGCAAGGAAGGAAATGGAGCAGTCATTGGTCAAACAGGGAGGGGGCGTCCTGCCACATCTGTGAGGGCTTCCTCACCCAGGACTGCCAGCAACCCTGTCAATGCCCCCTGTGCCCACAGCCCACTGCAGGGCCCAACCTGGGCTCCAGGCCCCTCTGACTCCCAATTGCTGGGATCGGGTGAGTGGATGCTGGAGGATGTCTGTGTGAGAAGCAGCGCTGGGGAGCGCAGCGTGCAGAGGAAAAGCGGGGAGAATGGGAAGGGGGGTGGTGGGAAGCTCCTGCCTTCTCCTCCCCCTCCCTGCTAGTTTCATTTCAGATGGTCTCCTCTTTCATGTGCCACCCCCCAACACACACCCAAGTTTCACCTTCTCATGAAGAAGCCAGTGAGGTGGGCGGGGGTTGGCCCAGCTGAGGGACCTGTCATACAGGTTTGGGGGCTGGAGGGCAGGCATGTGCAGAACCAGCTGGGTGCCCCCACGCCCGGCCTTTCCTTAACACTCTGTGCCGCCCTGAGATAGGGCTCGGTAAAATTTGCCACACGCCACAAAGGGAAGTGTGTGTGAAACGGGAAGGGTCGGGTGAAAAAAATAGCTCTATCCATGAGAGTGGGCAGAGACACCTAGGTATAGGCCTACCTCCAACTGGCACAGAACACAGAAAATTCCTTTTTGTAGGGCAAAGAGAAGATGTGAACATCATGGGAAACACAGGTTACATAAATGCACTCAGCCAACAGACACAGTATCCCAAGGCCCCCTTCAGCAAAGATGCAAAGAGAGGGCCTAAACTTTCTGCTGAGAAAGCTCTGCCTCTGGCAACTCCACAGAAACCTGGTCCCCTGAGGCTGGCCTTGGAAAAAGCCAGCTCAGTCCTTTGTGACACTTCCCTAAATCCCACCATCGAACATGGGGTTTCCCATGGGTCTTAAGTTCTACCTGAGCCTCAATTTCTTTTCTTTAAATTTATTTTGAACAGTCTTGCTCTGTCACCCAGGCTGGAGTAAAGTGGTGTGATCATCGATCACTGCAACCTCTACCTCCCAGGCTTAAGCTATCGTCCCACCTCAGCCTCCCCAGTAGCTGGGACTACAGGTGTGCACCACCATTCCCAGCTAATTTTTGTATTTTTTGTAGAGATGGGGTCTCCCTATGTTGCCCAGGCTGGTCTTGAACTCCTGGCATCAAGCAATCCTCCTGCCTCAGCCTCCCAAAGTACTGAGATTACAGACATGAGCTGCTGTGCCTGGCTGCTCAATTTCTTTCTTTCTTTTTTTGGAGACAGAGTCTTGCTCTGTCACCCAGGCTGGAATGCAATGGTGCAATCTCTGCTTACTGCAACCTCCACCTCCTGAGCTCAAGCGATTCTCATGCCTCAGCCTCCCGAGTAGCTGGGACTACAGGTGCCCGTCACCATGCCCAGATACTTTTTTTGTATTTCAGTAGAGATGGGGTTTCACCATGTTGCCCAGGGTGGTCTCAAACTCCTGGGCTCAGGCAATCTGCCCACCTCAGCCTCCCAAAGTGGTAGGATTGCAGGCGTGAGCCACCACGCCTGGCCCCCAGCTGCTTAATTTCATATAATGTGCAAGCCTGAAATCCTGCTGGGGGTAAGGAATATCCAAGTCCCGCCGGAGGACAGCAAACACGCTTGGTTAGGACACATAGCCACCTGACCAGGGCAGAAGTGAGGTGCTGGAGTGGGGGGTGGATAATGGCTCAGAGACACAATGAGAAGAGAAAGAATGGTCTAGAGGCCAAAGCAGTGAGCCTCAAATCTCTCTTGAACATTTGGGGGGTTAAGGGTCCTTTTGGGTATTGGGTGAAAGCTCAGGGCCATCTCCTCCCCAGAAAACACATTCATACAAATTTTACAATGTCAGGAGGCTCTGAGCCCCCCCAGAGTCCTTATTGAAACTCTCAGGGTCCCATGGCTCAGATGAAGACCCCCCTCCTCTGAAGCAATGTGACACACAGGGAATCCTCGCCCATGAGTCAGTGTTAACCAGAGCCTAGACGACCTGAACTTTCTTTCCCAAACTAGATGTGAGCAGGCACCCAATGTTGACCCAGCTCTGCCCTTGAGTGACAGTGGGCCCTGGGGCTTGCCTGCCTCAGCCGGGCACCTGGCATGGCTCAGGATGACAGAAGGTCTGAGATGGCAGCTGGGAAGAGGATCAGCTTGTAGAGGCCCTTTCCTGCCCTTCCCAAGATAGGCCTGGGAACCCAGGCATGGGCTGGAGGAGGTGCCATCCCCAGTGGCAGCCAGCAGCAGCTCAGCCTGCTTGAGAGGCAGGAATCCTGGCGGGAAAGACCAGGGTGAGTGGACCCAGGGAGAGACCCTGCAGCTGAAGCAAATCCTGACAGCAGATAGCCCTAGGCAGGGGCCCAGCTGGCAGCCCCAGCTTAAAAAAGCAGGAGGAGGGGAACAGAGAGAGAGAAAAGAGCTGAACCAGACACAGAGGTAGACAAAGCAGTGACACAAACCAGAAAATGACACAGAAAGTGGATGGGACACAAAGACACAGAGAACAAGGAGAGAAACAGAAAAACAGAACTAGAAACCAAGGAATAGAGACCAGCAGGGACTGCTGGGGCCAAAGGGAAAGCCAGAGACAGCAGAAGCAAAGATGGGAAGACGCAAAGACACAGAGATGGGAGCGATTGACAGAGACGAAGGGCAGGAGGAGCCAGGAAAGTGACTCAACATGCAGGGCCGAGAGGACCAAGCACACAGGACAAGTGAGACTCAAGCCTCTGCAAGCACCTCCTTCCACCGCACACGCCCCACGGGGCCCTGCAACCGAGAGTTCCTTCCCTCTCTGCTGGCAGACAACTGGTCCAGAACCCTCTCTGGCTCTCCACTGGCCTCCCTTCCACCCTGGCCCTGGGGCACACATGCGGGTGCCACCTGTCCAAGCTTCCCAGGCTCGGAAGAGAGGGGCATGCAGGGCTTCCTGCCTGTGGGAGGAATGCTCAGCTGACCCTTTGGTGAGGAGTGACGTGGCAGACTGGCACCCAGGGGCCAGCGTGCCTGCATTTTACGCATGGCGTTCCATTCAGATGAGGAATTTGGCCTGTGGGCAGGTGGTGGTGGCACAGCCTCACCATGTCCTACTTGCTCTCTGGAACCCAGCAGCCCCAGATAACTCTCCACAGGGGCTCTACCCAAGGCCTCCTGCCTCTTCCAGCCCACATCCTCTGGGTCCAGCCCTCCTGTCTCCCCTACTCCCCACACCAGGACTCGGGTCAAGTTCAGGGCCACCTTCCACCCACTCTCTCCTGACATCACAGAGGTGTTCCACTGAACAAGCCAGTTATCCAGAATGAAGGAAAGCCAGGTTGCTGCATCTGAAACCTCTAGCTCCCTGGCCCCTGGCCCTGAAGGGGGCAGCCCCTGAGTGGCTGGGCGGGGTGGAGCTGGGGGCAAGACTCAGAGGGCACCAGGAGACTGGTGATGTCTGGCTGAGCAAAGAGAACAGGAGGAGTGGGCCAGCCACCTGACAGGGGCCCCTGGAGTGAGGCCCGACTGCCCTCCTGTGGGACAACTCACCCGGCTCAGGCCCATGCAGCAGCTGCTCTTCTCCAGATCCAAGCACTCCAGCAGCTCCTCCACTGCCTGTGGAGAGAGGCCTCTGTCAGGCAGCCCGCCTGGGCCTCCCCTCACCATGCAGGGCTTTCTCCAGGCCCTTGGCCCTTCCCCTCCCTCCTCCTAGACAGTCTGTTATTCATGCACTTGCGTGGGCTTCCTCAGTGTCAGGCACTGGGTTGGACTCTGGGGACATAGAGATGACTACGAGAGGAACAAACCGTCTTGCTGGGGAGCAAGACAAGTGAACTTGTGCAGTGCCCACAGGAGGTCGCACCTACGCAAGGCACCTCAGACAGCTGTTGGTTGTGCTGAGAACTTATGATACAAGTGAGAATTTGTTGGACAAAGTAGGGGAGAGGGCATTTCAGGCAGAGGAACCAGTGTACGCAAAGGCCTGGGAGCACAAGACAGCAAAATGCACTGAGGAAACTCCAAGTCACTCACTGGAACTGGGGGGTGGGTAGTGAAGGTGCAACTAGAGAGGGGGCTGAAGCCAAAGCATGTGGAGCCCCATGTGCTTCGGGAGCCCCTGAAGGGTTCTCTTAGGGATGGGCATGATCAGGTCTGCATTGGTAGAGGTCTCACTGGCAAATGGGTAGATGGATGGAGACCCACCCCACTTAGGCAGTAATCCACAGGAAGGGAGGCTAGAGCCTGGCCCAAGGGAAAGAGAAGAGGAGAACACGCAGCAGGTGTTAAGGAGACAGAGCCTTGCTGGATACGGGGATAGGGTATGTAAGGAGGAATCTAGGGCTATACTGAGATTTCCAATTTACGTAACTAAGCAGATAATGATGCCATTCCCCAAAGTAGGGAATATAAGAGAAAGAGGCGGCTTGTGGGGAGAATGAGTTTGGTTTGAACAAGCTGAGTCTGAGATGCCATAAGGGGTAGGGTAGAGAAGTCCAGGAGGCAGCCAGATAGAAATGTATGTCTGGAGCTCAGGAGAGAGGCCTGGGCTAGAGGTATTGATTTGGGAGTCATCAATATATATGTGATAATTGAAGTGATGAGTGTGAATGAGGATGGCCAGGAAGAGGGTGCAGAATAGAAAATACATATGGCCAAGGACAGAGTCCTGAGGAAGACACCTCTTTACTTCAGGGGCAAGTGGAAAAGAGGACCTCAGAGGGAGTGAGAACAGAGTCAAGGGGGAAACCAGGAGTGGCAGCAAAGAGGCCCAGGAGAGAATGTCCCAGAAAGAACGGAGCCCCATGCTGCTAAGAATTCAAGTAACAGAGGGATAGTAAAGTGCCAGTTGGGCCAGGCGCGGTGGCTCACGCCTGTAATCCCAGCACTTTGGGAGGCTGAGGTGGGTGGATCATGAGGTCAGGAGATCAAGACCATCCTGGCTAACATGGTGAAACCCCATCTCTACTAAAAATACAAAAAATTAGCTGGGCATGGGCCTGTAGTCCCAGCTACTTGGGAGGCTGAGGCAGGAGAATCGTGTGAACCTGGGAGGCGGAGCTTGCAGTGAGCTCAGATGGCGCCACTGCACTCCAGCTTGGGCGACAGAACGAGACTCTGTCTCAAAAAAAAAAAAAAAAAAAAAAAAAGAAAAGTGCCGGTTGGCTCTGGCAATATGGAGGGCGTGAGGGATGAGAAGACCAGTGCCAGGGCATCAGGGAGAGGGACCAGGCAGCCATGGGCAGTGAGGGCAGCAGGAGGAAAGCCCAGGGCAGGCAGGAGGCAGAGCACAGTCCAGGGAGACGATGACAGAGGCTCCTTCCAGAGAGCAAAACCTGCAGGTCTGTGGGGAGTTTCTCCGTGGAGAGAAAAGGGCCAGGAGAAAAAGAGATGCCAGAGGAAAAAGAGAGAGAAGTGAATTCACACTGATGGAATGGGTCTCTGGGGAGACCCAAGGAAATGGACTCCAAGGCACAGGATCAAGGGACTGGATGAGAGGGACCCTCCCCACCAAGACAGAAGGGGTACGGGAAGAAGGAGGCTAGGGAAGAGAGGTTTGCAGGAGGCAGAAGAAGCTGGAGCCTGATGTCCTGAGATCTGAAGGCTGGGCATCTGCTGGGAAGGTGAGCCAGGAAGGTGGGGCGGGGAGGATTTGAGAAGAAAGATGGAGAATGCAATAGCAGACAGGAAGCCTGGAGTCACGGCCAGATAAGGAGGGGACATCTAGAAGACTTGCTGGTCCCCCTGAGGGCCCACCAAAGGCTGAAGACCATGAACCTGTAGGAAGTCAAGTCCACAAAGTTGTATAATTTTCTCCCACCACCCTTGGGAGCCCAAAGCAAGGAGTGCAGACACCCAGAGGCTGGCGCTTCGGTGGGAGTTGGGCAGGCCAGGTGCTGCGGGAGGCTCAGGAGGGCTGAGGGTGAGGGAGGCCGAGTGACTGCAGAGTGAACCATGGAAAAGGAGACAATTCACAGAGAAATGGAGTGTGATCCAGAAAGAGAGGTTCTGATGGAGCCAGAGAGCGGGTGTCCTGAGGGGAAGAGAGGAGTGGGACCAGCAGGCACGAGGCTGTGGTCAGAGAAGGCCATGCTGGGATTTATGATTTTGGAGCTGGGGCATTTCCAGAGCTGATGAGGTACTGGTGTAGCCACAGGTGGGAGGCTGGAATGGAGGCTGAGGGCCTGTGAGAAGGGGGCGTGGGACGGGCATCTATGTCCACATGAGGTTGCCCAGGCCACCAGCAGGCCAAAGGATGGAGGGAAGTTCTTCCGAGCCCCCTCCATGAATTCAGGTCTTTAAGGCAGGGGTGGAGGGGCAGGGGGGCACACACAGAGGCAGGCTGGGCACTCTGTGGGCTTTCTGCCCCATTCTGCAGCATCCTCTCCATTTAGGGAAGCCATCCTAAGGTCTGAGGTGCTTTCAGAATCAGGCTGGATGCCTGAGGCCCGAGCACAGTAAAGGAGGGGTCCTCTGCTCTGGGAGCCCTGTGACTGTCTAAGGGGCTGCCTCTGGGGCTCAAGGTGATAGCCCAGACGGGCAGGGACACCCCTTCCGCAGCCACAAGTTCACCAACCAGGGCCGGCAAATGGCCCGGCAGCCTATGTTCACCTGGCACCACGGAGGTCTCACCATATCCACCTTCCTTCTAGGAGGAATGTTCGCCCAGCCCTGGACAGCTTCCTGCTTCAGGAACCAATCCCTGACATGGGGGCCCAGGTGCCATCGGTGGGGCTCCCAAAGCACTAATAATTCTCATGCACCCTCAGTGCGCCCAGGCCCTGCTCGCTCCTGGATGATTGTCTGGCTCACCAGCAAGCAGACACCCCCAGCTCAGGCCTCCAAGGAGGGGGTGGCTCTTCTCCAGCTCCTATGGTCTGGGCCCCAGGACACAGCTGGGTGCTTCCAAAACTGGGAGCCTGAGCAGGGCCAGATGAGCTGTCTCCAGGGAAGGGAAGGCAGATGAGTCTGGAAAGGGCAGCTGCTTGAGGGGCCTGGGCAGAGGGAGAGCGGTCTGGGGACCTGGACCTACCCGCCTTTCATCCACCACGATGTAGTTACGCCCGTGTTTCTTGGTCAGGTGCGGGGCCAGGACATCAAAGCGGCGGCGGAACTCGGAAAACACCATGTGGTCAGGGTAACCTAGAGAGAGCAGCCCAGAGCCAGGCCTGTCAACGCCACCTGCTCCCAGCACACCCCAGTAGCCACTGTGCCTGGGCAGTCAGTGGAGAGTCACCAAAAGGGAAGAAACTGCAGGGGGTGGGGAGCCTGTGGTTGAAGGCAGGCCTAGAAAGGAGAGGGGGTAGGCAGGGAAGAGGAAGAGAAGGTCAGGAGGACAATCAGGCCTGCTCCACAGGGGGATAGGAAGGCCCAAAAAAGGAACAGCCTCCTTCAGAGAGAAGTAAGCTCCTAGTAGTCAGTGAGGTATGCAAATGGGGGGTTGTGGGGTAGCTGACCAGCTGGGAGGAAGGCTACATCCCAATCCCCAAGATGCTTTCCAGCCCTCCAAGTCTATGCCTCAGTGATAACCCAGACAAAATAATGTCTTATGGTCTTAAAAAAAAAAAAAAAAAAAAAAAAGACACCAGGCCAGGCGTGGTGGCTCACGCCTGTAATCCTATCACTTTGGGAGGCCAAGGTGGGAGGATCACTTGAGGCCAGGAGTTTAGACAAGCCTGGCCAGCATGGTAAAACTGTCTCTACCAAAAGTACAAAAAAGTAAGCCGGGTATGGTGGTGCATGCCTGTAGTCCCAGCTACTCAGGAGGCCGAGGCAGAAGAATCGCTTGAACTCAGGAGGCAGAGGCTGCAGTGAGCCAAGATCACACCACTGCACTCCAGCCTGGGAGACAGAGCAAGACTGTGTCTCAAAAAAAAAAAAAAAAAAAGGCACCAGAGAGTAGCTGAGAGGAATCGCGCATTGGCTAGGTGCTGGATTCCTGGCCCTGCCTCTTAGGATCATGTGACCTTGGGCCAGTCACTCAACCTTTCTGAGCCTCAGTTTCTTCACCTTTAAACAGCGGCCCTCGCACTTATCTCGAATGGTAGTCATGGAGATTAAATGAGAAACCAGGTAAAAAGCACAGTGTGACTCACTTGGTTGGCATTTAATAAACACTCCTTTTCCCCCTCTGTCCACTAGAGCAGGACATGAGAAAGGCTGCCCTCCTTGCCTCACCCTGACCTTGAGTCCTAGGCCAGGTGACCAAAAAGACTTGTAGATTCTCTTTCCCTGAAGAGTGTCTGGGCTTCAGGTCAGGGGAGGTGTGACCTGACTTTTGGCTTGGAGCAAAGTGGGTCAGAGCAGTGGCTAGCAGGAAGTGACCCCAAGTCACCCTGATCTTACCAGAGCCCAGGGTGGAGGGCCACGAACTCCACTCCCACAAAATCACAGAATTTCAAACCAGAAAGGGATCTTAAGCCAGATCCAACTCATCTTTCAGACACAGAAACGGAGGCCTGGGAGGAGCGACTGTCTTGCTCAAGGTCACAAAGGCTGCTGCTGGGGGCAGAACTGGCTTCCAAACCTGGACTCCTGACAGCTAGCCAAGGGCATGCTCCACAGCAATGACGGGCTAGCTGGCTCTGGGAAACCCTCCAGCTGGGAGGTGAGGCTGATGCATGTGCCTGATAATTGAAACAGGAGGTGGGGGCTGCTGAGGGGCCAAGACAAAGTGAGCTATTGATTGTATCTGAATTGCAATTAAATTGATGGGCCAGGATAGCAGGTCTGGACGCCTGGCATCTTAATTAATCATCAGTGCTATAGTGCGGTGGCTGGGGGCCGGGTGAGGGAAGGGGGGCCTGCCGCTGCTGGCCTCATCGATCTGCTTGTTTGAGTAACGCACATTGATTTTGGTTCAGAGCGGTAACAATCTGGTTTTGAAATAATAAACACCAACTCCATATCAAGACGTGGGGACAGATCGATGATTTATTTAGAGCAGGGCAGGGAGCCTGTTTCCTGGCTTGGGCTGCTAAGGAAGTTTTAGTGCCCATGGGAATGCCTGAAGGGGACCTGGCTGTGGGTGGGTGGGACCCTACCTGCTCTTCTAGTGAAGGAGAAAAACAGCAGAAACCCAGCAACTCATAACTTCTCAGGCAAAAAACAAAAAAAAAACAAAAAAAACCCACCCTACTTGAGAGACATGAGACATGACTCTACAGCCAGCCTGCCTGGTCAAATCCCACTCTGCCACTCAGGAGCTGTGTGACCTTGGGCAAGCTACTTAACCTCTCTGAGCCTCAGTCTCCTCATCTGGAATGATACCAGTGTGCTATCCCGGCCCCCAGCCACCGATAACAGCTTCTAAGGACTCTAAGTAACCACTAATACTATCATCCTGTCTGTCGCCTCCTTTAGATGGGTCCATAAAAAAGGGTCTGTCTGACCTTTCTTGGGAATTTTAAGTACTTCAGAAAGATTTAGCACCTCATTTCTCACTGGGCAGATGGCTCCGAAAGGGCACTGGGTTTGCTGCTGTGGGCAAAGCTGAACTGTCCAAACTAGGGACGTGGGAAGAAAGGGAGCTGTGGACAAATGACAAGGTGCAGGGTGGAGCTAGGAAGGGAGGGGGACAAAGAGAACTGAATATGGAAGGGAGAGGAGGAGGCGGGGACTCTGCAGGATGGAAGGAAATGGACAAAGGGGCTGTGGGCTGGGAGAGATGAGGAGAGACCAGAGCAGAAAGGATCGTGAGGAAAGACAGGAGCAGCCCCACTGCAGCCCACGGGTCGCAGGTGGGAGGTGGGGCCGGGCAGGGCCAGCTCTGGAAAAGAGAGCCCAGAGTGGAGAGGAAAGGAGGCCCCACCTTGGCGGTACATGCGCATGGCATCGAGCAGGCGGGAGCCGCGGAGCTGGGTGCGGAGCAGGGGCACGTCGAGCTGCAGGAGCCCAGCCTCGCAGTGGTCTCCCGAGGGCAGGTCCAGCTCACTGCTGCTGCTGACTCGGCGGGAGGAGGCGGAACGGGGCTCCCCAGCCCAGCCCTCAGCTACAGGCAGGAAGCAGTGCACAAAATGCAGCTTTGACTTCTTGATGGTGTCGATGAGGGCGTCCTGCCGAGGGGAAGAGACTGCCCTCAGTGGGCTCTGATGGCCTGTGCTCAGAAGAGCAGGGACTGGTGCCAGCGTCTCCACTGCTCACAGGGTAGCAGCGGCCCCAGCACCAGCCAGGACATGCTAAACCTGGACAACTCTGCCCTCGCCGGGCCTCGGTGGCCACTCACAGGTGGCAGCACTGAAAAGAAGACCCCCACCTGCAGCCATTGAGTCACAGTGGGACGCTGAGTGGGCACCAGATGGCCTCAGTGTGCTCGGAGTCCCCAGGCCTGCCTACCAGGGGTAAGGAAGGGTCCCCAGGCCTGCCTGCTGGGACCCGGCTGGCACTCACCACCTGTAGCTTCATCTGGATGCACAGTGACTTCTTTTTGACAGCCGCCATGCCTGTGGTAAAGGTTTTCCGCATGCTGGTGGCCCGGCGCAGTGCCAGCTGCGAGCCGCCCTCCAGGCCCGCGATGGAGCCAGAGAGCACCGTGGCACTGCCTGCGCGGCCCAGAAACAGGTTGCTGATGATTTTTCTGCCAGAGGTGGGAGGATAAGGGAGGAAAAGCAGTCACATCGATGGAGCGGGAAAGGCCGCTCCTCCCCCAAGGCCCCAGAACACTAAACAGTCCCATTCAGCCACGTCCAGGGGCCTGGCTACCTGAACTGCATGCCCCACACCCTACAGAGAAACAAACTGTGGAGAAATTTTCAAACAGTAAGGAGAGAAAGCCAGAGGTGGGCAGAAGCCAAGGGGTGGACAGGAATCGGACAGAGGGGATCAATCTACTCATCTACTTCCCCTCACCAGGGAGGGCAAAGGTGTGGAAGAGTTTCCAATGTGACAGGAGGGGTTAGGGTTCAACATCTTCTAACATACGATATAATTTATTTATTATGTTTATTGTTCATTATCTGTCTCTCCCATTAGAATGTAAATTCCACAAGGGCAGGGAGTTCAGTTTTGTTTACTATTATCTGCCAAGCACCTAGAAGCCCCTGTCGCAGGGTAGGTGCCCACTAACCATCTTCTGAAGAGTAGAACGGATGACAGGGCCCGTGGGGCTGGGGGTTCTAAGGCCGCTCCTGCCTTCTTTGACTTGAGGGTGTTCTTCACATTTAAACCATAGGCTCTCCCACCATGTCTGCCTCCCACCTCTACTTCAAGAGGCCCCTCAAGCTCCTCAAGGCCAAGTGCCCTGGGCTGTTGCCTCTCAGGAATAAAGGCCATCTACTTTGCTAGTGAGGGGGCCTCTGAGACAACCCCAGGGGGAGGGAGCCCCAAAATCAAAACAGTCCTGGGTACAGAACAGGGGCGGAGGGAGTGGTGGTCTTACTTCTGGGAGTCCTGCAGGAGCCGGGGGGCATTCTGGGTGGCTGGGTTCTGCTTGGTGTAGTTCAGCCAGCCAGTCACATTGTACTCTACCCAGTTGGTGCCATGGCTGTGGCCCAGGAGAAAGTGGTGTGGTTTGCTGCTGTGCAGAAGGGGGCTTTGGCCTGATGGTGGGAGAAGCAAGATTTAGGTCGTCAGGGTACAGGCACAAAGTGACCCCCGCCCCCTCCCAGGGAGTGCCACCTGGACCCACCTGTATGTAAGAGGAAGCAGAGGAGCTACCCTCTAGGGATGCCACCTACCTTTTTTGTCACCTTCCTGGGGGCCATAATAGGAGAAAAGGCGCTCCAGGAGGGTGTCCTCACTGGCCCCTGGCACCAGAGCCTCCTCTTCCAATAGCCAGAGCAGGCCCCTCGCCTCGTCTGTGCGGGCCAGCGAGCGGACCTACAGAGAAGGAAGGAAATCCCTCCTTGTCATATGGAGCTGTGGGAAAGGGGCCAGGGTGGTGCCGGGCCCAAACACACCCTACAGAATGCTACACATGTGCACACATGCACACACGCACATGCCGCAGCTCCTGCCGCTCACTGCTGACACCTTGTGGAGGAAGCGGGCAGCCCGGGGAAAGGGGAGCCAAGAAAGTGAGCAGAGGGAAGCCCACAGCAAAAGAGGGTGCTTAGCACTCCAGTCCAAAGTCACCAAAGACTGCAGCCTTCCTGCTGGCCCGAGCCCGCGCCCCGAGGCCCTCCTCCACCCTCGTCCCCTCGGAGGTCACCAGGGACTTGGATGAACCCCACATTGCTCTCACTCCCTGGCAGTGGCATAAAGTCTGGAAGGCCCTGAGCACAAGAGTTGGCCCTAAGGAAGCTGTCAGTAAGTGACAGCTGTGAGGTTAATCCTGGTCTCTGAAAGGAGAGAACCCAGAGGGGGCTCAGATGGCTGCCAGTGGGATCACTGCAGGGTCACTCAAGGGCCAAAAGCATAAGACAGGTGACTTAACGGACGTGGCAGCCAAAACGGGTAGAGGCTGGGGCAAGCTAGAGAGCAGGTATCCCTATCCAAAGGGAAAAACCACCACTGAGCTGCAGCTAGCTGCTCTCCTGGAAGAACACTGGCCTAGCATTGATAAACCCTCTGGTTCTTCAAGAGAAGGTAGAAATATCTAATTCTAATTTCCAATATCCCATGAAGGCCAAACAAACTAGGCCTGTGGCCACATCTGGCCTGAAGGTGCCTTTTCTGTGGAGTTCCTGCATCTTTCTTGGGCAGGAAGGATGGAACCTTCCCCACACCCTATTCTGGCCTGGCCTTCAGGGGCTGGAGGAAAAAAGAAGTGAGAAAAGGGCCATTTTTCCTCTCTTTGACCCCAGCTGCCTGCATCTCCTCCCCGCAGATGCCCAAGGGAGTTGGCGTGATTACCAGAAGGAAGCAGAATGTGGCCAAAGGCCAAGGCAACTCTAGTGGCAGGAACCGAGTAGCAGGAACGAGCAATGAAGCAATGAGATGGGAAGACAGGCTTGGCACCGAGGGCCCCTTCCCCAGGGGTGCAGCCGCCCCATGCCAAGGTCCATTAGTCAGGAGAGACCACAGAAGAGAAAGGAGAGCCAAGCTCTTCCCACATGCTGTCTGACTCCTGCTGCTCATGCTGACATCCCCCCTCTCCCGGGAACCACAACGGTTCTGAGTGAGGCCACCATAGGAGCCCAGGTGTCAGGAAAAGAAAATTCACTTCCCTGGGGAGATGCGGTGCTTGGGCACTTTAAACATCTGTCCCCGGGGGGATACTCACTCTTTCGCAGCCCCACCACTTGTGCAAGCCAAGCAGGGCCTCATGGCAGAGAAGAGGGAGGGAGAGGTAGGGATCAAAGCAGAGCAGGGAGGTCGGCAGCCTCGCAAAAATGCCAGTTCTCCAATAAAGCACCTTATGCAATTTCCCTAATGGCGGACAATCGCCAAATGCCAAGAGTTTGCTAGGCCAGCCAGTCCCCCACCGAGTGCCAAGGTGCCCAGGACACTAGCACAAAGGGTGACAAAGCCTGCCCCCAAAGTTGAGGGGTGAGGGTTCATATCCATGACAGTCCCCCAGAGGGCGTCTGACAGCTTAGCACTGTTTCCCCTGGGAGCGGGAGGCTGGCTCCTGGCCCTGTTCTGTTAGGTTGCACCAGTCCTCTACTTGGGGACAATGGGAGGGAATGACTATGTCCTTGGGGTCTAGGCCCTCACCAGCTGGGACTGGTCACCAGGGCTCCTAGCAGACATACTGGAGGCTCAGCCAGTCACCAGCTGGGGCCCGAGCCTCAGCTGCTGAGAAAGGAGATATGCTTTCCTGCCTGACTGGGACCCCCATGGGCTGTGGCTCCCCAGGGCACCAGGGCAGAAGAAAGTGCCACCTTCCTGGCCAAGACTGCCTGAGTGCTGAGGGGCAGAGCCCCAGCACCAGAGAGTAGTTGGTGTCTGGGCATAGCTGCTGGACCCTCCCTCAGCCCACAGTGGCACCCCCAGCAGCAGCTCAGATGGGGAGGGCTCCACCACGGGGAGAGGGGTGGGGAACGAGAGGAAAGGCTTGCCCAAACCCTCTCTGGAGCTCCTACCAGGGACTGATGGGAGGCCTGGTCCACAGCAGCCACAGAGTCATCCGTCGGGGGTTCCAAGTCGTCAAACGCCAGCTCGATGTTCTCCTGGGAAAGAAGGCCGAGCGGTAGTGAGCATGGGGGTCACATTGTGGGGAACAGCCTTGTGAGTAGGCTGGGAAGGGGCTCTGAGATCAGCAAGGCCAACCTCCTTCTGTGCCGTGCAGGAGCTCCCTCCATCATCCCAAATGAAACAGCTCCCAAGGAAACACACTGTATTTTTTGCACAGCTAAAATTCTCAGAACCTCTTTTTATCCGAAGCCAGAGTCACATTCTCATTACTCACATGAGTTGATTAGGCAACACAGAACAAGCCCACTCTCAATTTCACACAATCATCCTTGAAACACTTGAAGACAACTGCCATTTTCCTTCTGAATCCTCTCTCGCCCCAAATAAATATCCTGACAATTCACTCAACTCACTTCCAGATGAGGCAGGATTTCCAGTTCTCGTCCCATCCGGGACACCCTTTTACAGAAGGCACTAAATCATCACCTGGCACCCTCACAGATCAGGGAAGGGAGACGGGAAGGCCAGGCCCAGACACACTTGGAGCAGGAACCACACAGTGGCAATCACCAGGCCTGGGAGGTGCCTCAAAAGAGGCCAAGGGTAGCCTCCTGGGGGCCCTCAATGCACCTGTAGGCTTCCTGGAGAGTAAACTCTCCACCAAGTAAGAACGTAGCCAAAGCCAGAGGCCACGGACAAGGGGGCAAGGAACGACTCCTGCTCCAGAGAGCGCAGGAGGACAGAAATGGAGAGTAAGGTGATGCCTTCTGCATCCACAGATGCCCTCGCTGTGGGTGCCAAGGCCAGAATCTGAGGCTAGATGAGGCCCAGGCCCCAGAGCTACCTCCTTGTATCTTTCCAACTCCTGCACGAAGGTGCGCTCGTGGAAGAGCCTCTGCAGCCGGTCTTGGGTGTAGTTGTGGCACAGCTCCTCAAAGGAGGCTCCGCGGGCTGACCCACCCTGCTCAGGGTTCTGGAAGCCCGGGGTGTCGACAATCATCATGGAGCAGAGTGAGTGCTGGCTGGACTTGAGAGCCCTGGATAGGGACAGCCTGGGTCAGAGCCTCGCTGGTTGGCCCCGGGCACCAGGAAGCCCCACCCTGCCCAAGCCAGACCTCTATCCCTGCCCAGGACCCTGGTGGGGAGGGCATGCTGGCCTTGCTCATAGCCCATGGGACAGGGAGCCCCTGCTGGAAGAGACCGGCTCTGCCTCGGCCAACAAGGCATGAAGGCATCTACTCCACCTCTGCCAAAGCAGGAAAAGCCCTGGGTCCTGCCTGGCACTCACCTATTCACCAGGGAGACGAGAAGGGTGAAGAGCTCGCTGTAGAGGCCGGCCGCCATGCCCTCAAGGCACTCCAGTGCACTCAGTTTCGGGCCTGTGGGGCAGGGGGAGCAGCGCTATCTCCTTCTCCCCAGGGCTCCCCATCTGGGTAAGCCCCTGACCTGCCCAGGGCCCAGTCAGCACGGGGCCTGGGGCAGGGCCTCTGCCACTGACAGAGCATCTGTTCACTCCAGCAGTCCCCTCCCGCCCCAGGGATGGCAGCAAGCCCCAGATGAGGCCTCACACTCACAACTACCAGCCAAGGGACAAAGGGTACCTGTCCCATCTCCCAGGCCACTCTCCTCGGGGCCCTGGCGGAAGGAGGTGGAGCGCTGCAGGGTGCCACCCTTGTGCTGGTGCTTGAAGATGGCTGAGGACAGCTCCTCCAGGCTGCAGCCCAGTAGGTACGCAGCCTTCTGGGCCCACTCATGGCGGGCAAACTGCTTGCGCCCAGCTGTGGAGTGGAAAAAGGGATCTGGCATCCTGGGTCTTTTTCCTTAGGCCAGCTGATGACCTGATGACCAGCTGATGACTATGCATCTTCTGGAGGCAAAAGCCAGCCCTGATGACACCCGATGGGCTTCAGGCAGAACAGGGGCAGCCAGCAGTGGCCAGCATTTCCTGTGTCCCGTGGGGATGGAGAGAATGAGCAGGTCCTAAAGGAGGAGGTAACTCCACATGCTGCCACCGGAGGGCAACAAACCAGCTGCAAAAATCCCTTTTCAGATGGCTCAGCTCCGGGGATGCCCAACTAGGGGAAGGGCGGAGTCAGAGGATGAACCAGCCCACCTGGGATGGGCACAAGAACCCCGTGTGCCTGTGGGGGACTTATCTTGAGAGATCGCTCATGCCTCCACATTCCCTGAGTACATTAGAACCCTCCCTCTTGCCCCCTGGCATCTGCCAGTGGAGACCACAAACACCCACTGATGGCCCAACAGTGGGGAGGCAAAAAAGCCACAGGGGAAAGGGAACAGCCCGCACAGACATATGTGCCTCAGCCAACATGTGTCTAATCACGGCAATTAGGGAAAGCTAACAAGAAACAAGGTTTTACCTTCAGCAGCTTCTGTAAGGCAAAGGACCAGCATGCAGCATGCAAAGAAAAACAGTGTGTTAGCAAACAGTCATCAATAGAGCTCGCCGCCTCGGAGGGACCGTGGGGCGGGGGTGTTGTGAGGATGAGTAGGCAAGAAAACACAACCACAGTCAGACTTGGGACAAACGCACACACACACAGTCTCCAGGGAGTATGTTTGTGGGTGTAATCACACTGACACACACAGAAAGAGACCCGCAAAGACATTTGTGCACATGTGTGTGTGCGCAAACACACCCTCCCCCCCCCCCCCCCCCCCCGCCGGAAAACACTGGAAGCTCTGAGGCGCTAACAGACATTGTTTGAGAAGATCGCTGTGCTGACACCCGGAGCTTTCCGCTTGCAGTTGGGGCTGGGTAGGTTAGAGGAAAGCTAGGCTTGTCACCGCCTCAGAGTGAAGTAACTTCCCTCAACACACAGCCACACGCCTGCCCGCCTGTCTGTCCTCCACATTCTCGAGAAAACTTCTCTAACCTAGAGCCTGGCTCCTCCTGGGCAGGGATGCCACTTCTTGGGGTCGCTCGCATGGAGCCTCACGCCTGGGCACCCATTCCTCCATACACCCACCACCTGCCAGGACTTTCTCACTCCAGCTGAGCAGCCTGGGGCCCTTCACATCCCAGAAGGGGCCAAAGCCAAAGCCCAAGGTGCTGTTCAGCGCCAGCATCCCCTTTCCCTAAACTGGAGAAAAAGGGGGTGAAGAGGTGCTCGAATCGCCATCCTCCAACGTAAGTCATCTTGAAGGATGGAGCAGAGCTCCTCCAAGCCAGGCCAAGTCCCCGAGCGCAAGTGCCAAAGCTGCAGCCCATTCGTTACCACGGTGCCTGCTGCCCCCTAGTGGCCGCCACCCTGACATGCAAGAGGAAGATACGGAGCTACCCAACCAGTGGAGAAGGGAAGAGGACTGGGGAAAACTGGTCTGGGGAGGCCCCAGGTAGCAAGCCCACCCTACCCCACCCCACGGTGGGCATCCTGAGAGGTTCCAGGATTCAGATCTAAAACTGGCAGGAGAAGCAGCTACTCCTGGGACTCTAAGACACCCCACAGCCTGCAGGCTCCACTTCCACTCTCAACCTCCAGGCTTCTCCCCAGACCAGTCCTCTCTGCAGCAACAGAACAAGCCCAGCCCCTAGAAAGTCCTGGGCAAGCACCAAGACAGGGCACGGCGGCCCCTATACCCAAGGGCGGGGCCAAGGTCAGTTACCCGCTTGCTCCTCGGGGGCCTCTGTCAGGAAGGGAACAAGAAGGAGAGTTATTCCAGCGGGGCTGCCCTGCCTTAGTGCCCTTCTCATCCCTCAGCCTCTGAACCCCCAGCCCTCCATGCTTCCTCATGGTGCCCCCCAGCACAGCCAGCTAAGTCCAGGCCTCGGGTCGTCACTGCCAAAGATGCTTCCCGGGCCTTCTGCTCTGAAGTGGGGGGCTGAGAAGAGGCACAAGCAAAAGAGGGTTGTCTCAGAACGGCTAAGTCTGTGCTGGGCAAGAATAAACTGGGAGTGGGCAGGGTCCCTGTGAGGTCACCCAGGGGACAGGCCAGCCTACTGGGACCCACTGCAGGTTACCTTTGGTGGCTCCCGCAGCCCCCAGGTGGTAGATGGCAGCCAGAATGAACCAGCAGGCCTTCTGTTCATCGGGGGAGATGCCCAGCACCTTCATGGCCGCCTGCAGCTTACTAAACTGCTGAGCTGCCTTCTGCTTTTCCTCAGGCTGTGGAGATAGATGACCTCAAAGGGCTGTCCCTCCCAGCACACCCCCATGAGGCTGGGCCCTCAGGGCAAGGCTTGGGTAGAGCCAGCAGCTGGAGCTGGGCTCCCACTATTCCCACAGGACCCATGGAGGCTTCTCCTACCCCCAAGGCCCAGGGCTGGCAACCCAGACCCCACAGACCCCTCACCTTGGCCAGTGGCACAATCCCAAACACATTGTTCTCTGCCAAGTGGTTGAGGTGGAGCTCTGTCCTAGGGGTACAAATAAGGCATCAGCACGGCACTTGGTCCCCATGCCAAGGCCATTTCCGCCCAGGGTGGAGACAGACAGACTCAGCTTCCAGACTCCAAGTTTTGTCTGCCCATCATCCCATCATCCCCAACTGGCGGGCCAGCTGTCACTGCTTTCCTAACTGGCCTGGATGCCTGGTTAGAGTACCATTCTCCTGAGGACAAGCCACCAGACATGCCCTGGTGAGAGGATGCAACCTGGCCCCCGGAAGGGAGCAGGGAACCTGCCCGAAGGGTGAGTCCCGCCAAGGCAGAGACGATGCCCTCAGTTACAAGAAGGGCTAAAGAGGACAATGGCCTGGGGATGCTGGCTCAGCCTCATCATTTATCTCTTTTTAGTGAACACACGCGGCAAATCTGAATGTCTGAAGGGAAGAGCGTGGCAGAGGCAGCCAACGTGGGGCAGGAAGGGCTAGTCTGGAGGGCACTGGAAGAGGCATGGGCTTTTGGCCCCAGTGTGGATTCAAATACCAGTTCAGCCCCCTACCAGTCATGCGACAGTAGGCAAGTCCCCAACCACTGGTACCTCAGTGTGCTTTGCTTTCCAGAACTGGCTTCATGGGTAATGGAGATCCTAGCTAGGCCCTGGCAACACTGAAGGGCTGGCTGTTCCCCTCCAATACAGCCAGGCCCCAGTACCCAGGACCAGGGAGTTCTTGATAGGCAGGGACTATGTCTCATCCATCTCACTGTCCCTGGGGCCTAGCTCAGAGCCTAGCACATAGCAGACATGCACTGACCAAACAGTGCAGGATGCGATCAAGTGGCTTTAATTCTGGATGCAATCAAGGTCCAGGAGCCCAGTCAGTGGGCTGGAGTTCAGAGAACCCTTGTGTACCCTCTGACCCATCTCACCTGAGGGTGCCATCCCCACAGGCCAGCAGGTAGTAGAAGACGTTGAATGTGGCTTCACTGGCTGGGCGCCGAGCCACACGCAGCTTCTCCAGAAGCATTGTCTGTGACACAGCATGGACGTGTGGGTAAGGAGGGTAGTGCCAGATCAAGTTTCTCCCACCCCACATAAGAAGGAATCAAACACATGGTCCTCTAGGCCCTGGGGAACAAGCAGCTGCATTTTTTTTTTTTTTTTTTTTTAAGATTTGAGATGGAGTCTCACTCTGTCACTCAGGCTGGAGTGCAGTGGAGCGATCTTGGCTCACTGCAACTTCTGCCTCCTGGGTTTAAGCAATTCTCCTGCCTTGGCCTCCTGAGTAGCTGGGATTACAGGCATGCACCACCATACCCGGCTGATTTTTGTGTTTTTAGTAGAGATGGGGTTTTGCCATGTTGGCCAGGCTGTTCTTGAGCTCCTGACCTCAGGTGATCCACCCACCTCAGCCTCCCGAAGTGCTGGGATTACAGGCGTGAGCCACCGCACCCAACCTGCATCTTGTTTTTTAAGTCTTTTTTTTTTAAGATAGGGTCTCGCTCTGTTGCCCAGGCTGGAGTGCAGTGGCGCAATCACAGCTCGCTGCAGCCTTAACCTCCCAGGTTCAAGTGACCCTCCCATTTCAGCCTCCCAAGTAGCTGGGACCACAGGCGTGCACTACCACATCTGGCTCAATTAAGCAGGTGCATCTTATTCCCAAGGTGCTCAATCAGATACCAGATCCCTCTAGGATCAAATGGGGGACAGAAACCAGAATGAGGTGGAAGAAGACAGGCCCAGCTCCCAAAGGGGCCCTGCTGCTCTGCCCAGACCCCAGGTGCCTGCCTTCTGGAAATGGGAGCTTGTGGTGAGGTATTTAGCATGGGAGGGAATCAGCCTTGGCTGGGCCTTACTTTACTGACAAGCCAGTCCTCTGCTAGGTGAAATCGGCCCGAGAGAAGCCCCGAGCATGAATCTCAGAAAGTGGGAAGTAAGGCTGAGGCCCAGCAGTAGAGTTAGGACAACCCCAGGGTTGGGAGAGTGAAGGGAACTGGGCAGAAAGCTGGACTGGCCCCATCCAGGGCAGGAGGCCCTGAGGGCAGAATGGTGATGCCTCTGGATAGTGCAGGCCAACCCTGCCCATGCCTGGGTCAATTTTGTTAGGGTAGAATCCCAGGAAAATGAGGCATGGGAGAGAGCCTGATGTCTAGGTCATGAAATCATGTGGCCTGTGTCCTACTACCCCGAGTCCTGGGCAGCACTCTCACCTGAATGGAGGCTGAGGCCACCTGGCCAGCTTGGTCAAAGTCCAGGGAGAGGATCTGGGAGAAGCGGGTGGCATTGCCATTAATGATGGTGGGGCTGTTCCCAAAGGCTTCCAGGAGGGTGTACAGAGCCTGCCACTTCTCCACTGCAGAATACAGGCCCAAGGGGATATCAGGAAAGCCAGGGGCAGCTTATCCCCCAGCTAGGAGCTACCCCAGAGGTATGAAGGCTTGGGGCCATTCAGACCAGAACTGCCCGTGGACAGAGGGGTTTCGGGGGGATGGAAAGGCCAGGGAGAAAAAGAGCTGGCACTTAAGAGGGTGCTCTCTCCTCACTCCCCTCCCCTCACCCCACTTTCAGTTTTCTCCCTTGTCCCTGCCTCACCAGAAAACACCTTGTTCCCGCTGATGCCCGCGATGGTGGCCAGGTACTGCACCAGATGCTGGCAGCTGGTGGTCTTGCCACTGCCACTACTGCCCAGGAGGATGATTGACTGATCCTGACGGCTCATCAGCATCGCCCTGTATGCGGTCTGGGCCACTGCATAGATGTGGGGTGCCATGTCCTCCCGCCGACAACCCTTGAACATGTGCATCACCTTGGGCAGGAGAGCAAGGGAGAGAAGGGGTTGGCTCTTAGCTGATCCCATTAAGACACCCCTCACCCCCAAGGTCCACATCTTTCTGGATTTTCCCTCCTGTAGTGCCCAGGGATTCCAAGGCCAAGGCCATGCATGGAAATGAAGACACTAAGTCCTGGACTCCATCAAAGGTTGTGGGGAGGTCCTGTCCCCCATCTCTTGAAATGACTCCTCTTCCCAAGGTCAACTGTGAGAGTGGACAGGAGCCCAGTGGGGTGCCACAGGGGAAGGGCAGAGAGCCAGGGCAGGGGGTGGGACCAGGAGTCTGCAGGGTAGCCTTGAGGGTGCTGCACCTTCTCAGAGTACACAGCAGGGGCCCCACGGGGGCCAAGAACCAGCAGGCTGGGGCCAGCATACGTGTGCAGCAGGCTAGCGCCATAGCGCTGGCGCAAGGTGTGCAGGACGCTGGACTCATTGAGGTACACCAGTGAGGCCAGATCCTCCAGACGGTCGCAGGAGGGAGCATTAGCCTGTGTGGGAGGACAGGCGGGTGGGTATTAGAGCAGCAGAGCCCATCTCCGCTGCCAGAGGATGGGCCTGCCCTGCCCAGTGCACTCCTGAGCCTCCTCCCCCACACCCAGCCCCCTGCCCACCTACCTTCTCAACGTCATCCTCATCCACATCCAGGATGGCCCCATCGTGGTCCAGCTTCACACGCACCTTCCCCTCAGGCAAGTTGAGCTCCTCAGATTTGAGTTGACTGGCTGCAGGGGAGGGACAGACAGCTGGGATGGGCCTGGGAAGCCTCTGCTACTCCACTTGGGAACTTCTCGGTCCTATCCTCCCCCCCACTGCATCACCAGCCTCTCCTTGCTCACTGCTCAGCCCTCACCAGATGCAGAAGGCACATTCGCTGCCCAGCCCTGAGACCAGTGAGTCCTGACATGTGCCCCCAGACCCTCTGAGACTCACCCAGTGAGAAGCCGTCCCTATGGACCAGCCACACCTTCTCCGTCTCATTCCAGGCCTCTTCTGCTGCAATCTGTTCTTCTGTTTTCGCCTGTCAGAGAGAGAGAAGAATAAACAGGCCCTGCTATGGAAGACAGGGACAAGGACAGCCGTAGAGGGGAGACAAGTGAGGGCATGGGCTTTGAGACAAGCCACTGGGCAAGGAATGAGTTAGGTGACAGACACAGAACACAGGGACATCAGAGGTGTCTGGGAAAGAGGGTGGGGAAGCTAGGAGGCAAGGGTGGCTCTAAGGAGCCCTGAGGACAGGACACAAAGGCTAGAGACCGTACCATCAGTGAGGGTCTGGCAAGACAGGGACACAGGGATCTTGTGCCCAGGAAAGAGGAGACCCCAGGAAAGCAAATCACCAGGTTCTCCCTCAGCCACCCTCTGCTCCTCCACCCTGTCAAGCCCAGGAGATCAGTGTCCTGAGTCCAAGGCCCTAGACCCTAGCCACAGCTACTAGGATCTTCCGTGCCCAGCTTCTCCCTTCATCCAAATGATAGGGCCTCCTTTGCCAAGCTGGGAGAGGGCATGTCCTCAGATCTCAGCGGGGAGTCGCCTGGACTTCGCAGTACAGAATGATAGGTGGGCTCAGAGCCCTGGCCTCAGCCCTGGCCCTCCCCTCCAGAGGGTGCTCTACCCGGACCGGGGGACAGTGCCCAGGTGCACACATCAGCCTCCCTGCTCCTTCTCCATGCCGCCATCAGCAAAGACCCCTGTCACACAGACCTAGTGGACACGCTAATGCCATACAAAGGCACGAGGCAGTGCGGCCAGAGATATGGGGGTAGGGGCAGCCCTGCCCTGTCAAACACAGGGAGAGGCTTACACGTTATACAGATGGGCACAGGAGTGGTGTAAAGGGGCTAGAAGCCCCCAGAGGCCTCAGGAGGTCACCAACTCAGACATAAGCATTCATAGGTACTGACGGTGTGGGGCTGTCAAACCTGGCACCCTCTAAGAAGGACACTTGAACTGGGAAGAAACGGTGTCTGGGGGAGCTGGGGAAACAGACGAGGGACCCAGGGCCCATCGGGCTCCTCTTGTTGTGTGTGGGCGAAATGGCAGCAAGGTCATCCCGTGCCCCGGGTGGGGGATGGGCACCCCAGTGGCATGGACCCACCCTCAGGTTAGCCCGAGCCCCTACACTCTCGGAGGGCCCCAGCTGTGAGGCACAGTCAGCCTGAAACCTGAGGCCCAGGCATGGACACTGGCTGGGTCCTGACCCCCTGGGTGAGAAATCAGGAAAAGATAAGAAAACATAAGAAGTATGTTCTTTGTCACATTTCTTGGAGTTGAAAGTAAAGGAGACGTGGGCTCTCCTCTCAGGTTGGCTTCTGGCTTTAGACAGATCCCTCCAGTGCTGGACGGCCCTTCCCCAGATTGGAGTAGGAGGGCTGGGCTGCACCAGTGGCTCCCAGATCTCCGGGTTTCATGGACCCATGAAATAACTCTGAATAGGAGGATCACCACGTGGCTGGCCACATTTTGGTGTGTTAAGTGAGGACATTAAAAAGGCTAGTTCTTTATATTTGAAGAACTATAACTATAAAAATCATGGCCAGGTGCAGTGGCTCACACCTGTAATCACAGCACTTTGGGAGGCTGAGGTGGGTGGATCACGAGGTCAGGAGATCGAGACCATCCTGGCTAACACAGTGAAACCCTGTCTCCACTAAAAATACAAAAAATTAGCTGGGCATGGTGGCGGGCACCTGTAGTCCCAGCTACTTGGGAGGCTGAGGCAGGAGAATGGCGTGAACCCAGGAGGTGGAGCTTGCAGTGAGCCGAGATTGCGCCACTGCAGTTCAGCCTGGGCGACAGAGCGAGACTCCATCTCAAAAAAAAAAAAAATCATTACAATGTTGTATATATATATTTTTTCTCAAATCACATAAGACAGGGGAGACCTTTATGTTGAATAGACACCTTCTATGGGCCAGGTATTTGGGGACTGATGAATAAGGTGACATCATAGCCTGTAACTAACTCCCTTAAAGCTCATCTGAAAATGGGTTTCTCACATTGGCCAGGAGGTGGAGACAGAGAATGTCTCACGTTCAGGCATGGGCTGGGAAGAGGGCAGAGATTCTGCCTTTCCAGCTTTCTCTCTCCAGAGTGAGCAGAGTTGAAACACCTAGAACTCAACCAGGCCCCCCTTGGGCTCCAGTGGCTGAGAACCACATGCCACATGGGCCCAACTTGAAGGGCGACACTCGGTCTAGATGCTCCCCAGGGGCCTGACACAGAGCTGCACCATCTCAAGCTCCCGGCACTACCTCCCGCTGGGGTCCTCCCAGACACAGGGTGGGAGCCTGGAGGGGAAAGAGGCCTTACACTCCAGCAGGAGGCCCGAGCACAGACGCCAGCCCAGGTGCAGGCCAGTGGGGCTAGGTGGTCACTGGAGGGAGCGGAGGGCTCCTGAGTGGGGGGAGAGCACCCTACCTGGCTGTGGGCATGAGAGGCGGCCTCAGAGTCCAGCTACCGACAGCAAGCAAAGGAGAGAGAGAGAAGAAGGGTGAAGATAAGCAGACCACTGGCACGCCCCCTTCAGCAAGTGCTCCTGAGTCAAGTGGGCCGGCACTCTCTAGTTGTCCAAGGCTCGGGGTGAAGGTGGGGGAGCTTGGTGCCAGGACCTGGGACCTGGCCTGAGCAGGTGAACTGCACCCAGTCAAGGAGAGGCCAGGAAGGTGAAGAGACACTAGTGACCATCAGGCCTCTCAGAGGAGATGCTCCTCTAAGTCATTCCCGGTGGCCCGGGCAGGAGTCTGCCACTCTGCCTCTGGCCGCAGTCTCTCCTGGGCTGGCCATCCGGTCTATTCTGAATCAGGCTCCCTCTTCTGTGTGTCTACCAGGTCAGGCCACCTCACCACACCCAAGGCCTGGGCCCCCTGCCAGCCTCTTGCCTTATCTCCAGAGCATTTCTCAGCCTAGCTCCCCTGTGGCCACCAGCACAGAGCTGTTCCTTGCCTTCTAACACAGCCCAAGGGTGCCACTCCCTAGGCCAAGGGCTGTGTTCAGAGCTGTCGCCCTGCACCTCTCATAGAACACAGCTCCCAGCAGCTTGCAGTCTAGAATCTCTTCCTCAACCCCGACGTACCCTATAGCACTCCCACCTCTGCCAGCCAGGCACACCGACCCCATCTAGATCCAACCTGGGGACCACTTGACAGCTGCCCAAGAGCAAAGGCACTGTGGGCAAACCCTGTGGCCAGCCGTGACCTCTCTGGTTACTTAAAGCCCTGAAAAGCCTTTCTGGGGAGGAAGGCAAGTCAACCAGGACTTGGATGTTACCTGTTAGAAATCGGCAAGGAGTTATCAGGCCCCACCTGGGTCTAGAGAGCCAGGTCACCAAAAATAGCGACAGCAACCTTCCTTACCACCCGCCAGGCCCTGACACCAACACATGTCCTCGAGGCAGGACAATGTGGCCAGAGAAAGGGACTGGGCCCTGAGCGAGGAGGGGTGCCCTCCCACATGCACAGGACTTTGGGCTCTCTGGAGGAACCACTCTCCCCAGAGCACTTCTCTCATTTCTTTAAGAGAGAGCCCAACATGAGGGCCCACAGGCCGCCATGGAGCCATCTTCATGGTCAGCGCGCCTACAGACACACACAGGGTCCTGCCGCCAGCCTCAGGAAGAGGGCGGCCAGGGACTGGGACCCACACACAAGAGTGGCATTACAGAAGCTGTGAAGATCCTCTCCAGCCGCTGGTGGGCCTCTTCCACGGGGGTCAGCTGGACCTTGGCAGCTCCTGCCTAAAGGTTAAACCACTATTAGTCCCAGCCCAGAAATGGAGAGGCCACAGCATGCGGAGCTCCCAGCCCAGGAAGCCACTGGGACCCACTAGGGAAGGGGAGCAGCGCCAGGGAGCAAGCCGCGCGGCAATCTGAGTTTTTAAACCATCAGATTAGAAAAAAAAGAACAAGTGCCTGGGAGTTCTGGGGTTATTTCTTCCCACCTGCCTATCTTGAGCACCAAATGGCCCTATTATCCCACTTGCCCTCTGGACCCTTCCCCAGGCCCAGGTGACAGGTGGCTAAACTCCAGGTCAGGGCATGTCTCAGCTCCCATCTCCTCCCTTGTGAGAGGAGGAGGGACGGGGAGGAGGGACGGGGAGGAGGGAGGGGAGGGCAGCCGCCCGGGAACAGGACCACGACACTCCCCACCTGCTTATGGGTTCTCCAGAGCGACCAACAGTTCTGCCCATACCCTGCCCAAAATGCCCATGCCAGCTCCTCCCTGTGAGCAGGAACAGGCACTTCCCTGATTCACAGAGTGGGCCAGGTGGGTGGGGGAAGCGGCGGCTGGCTTTTCTCTAAGTGCTGCAATGCCCAGGAAGAATGGGGAGCAACAAGGCTCCCCAGGTCCCAGGAGGTAACAGTCAGGGAGGGCCTCAAGGCCTCTCAGGCTATTCCCCCATACCCTCCAGACCCCTCTCCTTCCAGCCAGAAGGAGCCTGCATGAGCACAGGGAAGTAGTGGCAAAACTTGATGCTCCTCTCCCACACCCTGGGAGGCCTCAGCAGGGTCCAAAAAAGGGAAGCTTGAAGAGAACTGTCCCCAACTCAGAGGCCAGCCAAGAAGGCAACACTTTCCAAGGGAAAGAGGCTGGACTGACCCTCCCTCCTGCTTCTCAGCCTCCTGCCCCACCCAGAGAACACTTTCTGGGAAGATAGGGTTGCCCCTATATCCCAAGGGGCCCACTGTACCCATCTGCCATCCAAGCACAGGGCTCCTCAAGAGTCCTGCTGCCAGATGGTCATGCTGGCCAGGCCTAAAGAAGGCAGTGATGGCAGTGAGGGCATCAATAACAACTGTTATTAGCACCACTATCAACGCTACCATTTATGGAGCACCCACCATGCCAGGGACCGGCTTGGAGCATTATCTGTATCATTTCTAATCTTCTGGTTACTTAAAACCCTTATTAACCCTTATTTGCAATTCCAAAATCCCAAAAGCCCCCCCAAACAAAATATTTTTCTTAACTATTTTGGCGGCAAAACCTGGCAGTTTATCCTCTATGCCCCTGTAGTGTGAATATTCATAGATTTTGCTTTGGAAATATTAATGTTTGTTACACGTTGTTGCTCATTATGTATACTGTATGGCACTAAAATACAAAGATTACTAATTTCCAAAATACTGCCACACCCAGGGTATCAGAGAAGAAATTTTGGACCTGTATTATCCCCACTCAACAGAGGAAGTCTGAGATGGGACTTTGCTGAGGTCCCAGGGGATGAGTGGCTGGGAATGCAAGCCCAGATCCCTGACTTGAGAAAACAGTCTTTCCTCCTGGAACTGATCTGCTGAGACTCTGATCCTCGGGTTTGGGTCTCAGGCCTCAAGCTGGCGCCATGTAGCTGGGGACCAGGCCCTGACTCCCTATGGCAAGGCCAACATGCTGCTTAGCAGTTTCCATCCCAGCCGCCAGGCCAGAGCCCAGGCAACTGCAGGGTCCGCATTGGGTTAGGGAAAGCCATGCAGCCCCTGCCGGCCATCAGCACACGACCCTGGGCCCAGCCTCTCGGTCATGCGGGGTTCGCTGAGGTCGCTTGGGGAAGCCGGCTGTGAGGGTGCCTGGCCCTTGAGCTAGGGTGGTGAGGGGCAGGAGCGGTTAGTGACACACTCTTGTACCTCCTGCTTCACACCAGGGACTGGTGACTTGGACTGCTGCTCTCCAGTGAGGTCTGACTTCGGGCCGGTGGAGCCTGGGGTCACCAGCTCTTCCGGTGGGGCTGGGGAGCGCTGCTTCTTTGGGGCTTCAGGCTTGGCTGGGGATCCTGCTTTCTCAGGGGAGTCTGCCCAGTCTGGGGAGCCTGGCTCCTGGCTGGAGGGCTTCTCCCCCTTCCCAGAAGACTGCTTGCCGCGGGCCTTGTGCTCCTTGCCCCTGCCCCGAGACATCAGGCTCCGCAGGCCCAGGGAGAGCTCATCCTTGGCTGCCTCCTTCTTCACTTCAGGCTTAGGCGGAGCAGGGGGAGGTGGGGGAGGGGGTGGCGGCTTGGGACTAGAAGCTGCCTTTTCTCCCCTCTTGCTTCGAGTCGGGTGCTCGGGGGACTTGACTCCTCTGCCTGGGGTCTCCTTGGCATTCCCAAGCTCCTCGCTGGGCAGCACCTTACTCACCACCTTCCTCACTGCATTTGCCACCCGCTTCCGGGACAGGCCCTGGGCCTCTTCGCTTAGGCCTTCTGCTGTGGCAGCTCCCGGGCCGTTCATGGCGAGTGTGGGTGCAGGGCTCCTGGCTCTCTGGGAAGTCTCTGGGGGTATCGGGCTGGTGGGAGGCTGAGGACTCCTAGATGGGCCACTGCCTTCCTTTGAGCTGCCCTCTAGCTACAGTCATACAAATACAGGTAGACATTAGCATCACCCCTGCAGCCCTGCCCATCCCATGCAGAGGGAATAAGAAGGTGTGACCTCACGCCCTGGAACAGATCTCCCATTCATCTACCAAGCAACACATGGCTCCACGAGGCTACCCCAGGAAGCCCACTTTCCATCTTACAAATAGGACAACTGCAGCTAAGAGTCTGGCTTCTTTCCCACAAAGCACAATCAGCACAATCAGGTACTACTGTCACCTGCTGTCTATCCCCAGACTTAGCATGGACCTGTGAGATGCCGGCACAGAGCGCCGAGAGGCCTATGAGGTGCTCTGGGGTTACTGGCTTTGTGTCAGGGCAGCAACCAAGTCCCATTCTAGGTGAGCCCACTGCCTCGCAGCCCAGACACAGCAGAGATGGAGCATGGACACAGCAGAGATGGAGCATGGAGAGGTCAAACAGCCGAGTCCCACCTCCATTCCTACCACCAATCCCAGGCCTAACTCCAGGGCGTCCTGACCTTTGTAGTCCTTGGTCCTTCCATCACCTGTTTTCCGGGCAGTCAGACCAAGAGCCTACCCATCCTGAAGGAAAAAATGATCAGGGAGCTCTTCCTGGCCCCAAGACATGCCAGGCCTCCTCCTCACAGCGTCCCTCGTCTGCGGCCACTGTCTGCCCTTCATCTATGTTCTCAAGCACTGAGGAGCCCAGCACGGGCCAGGAAGCTTCCACTTCAGCCTGCTTTCTGCCAGTCTCCTTGCAGTTTTCCTCCTGCAAACCTCTCAAGGGTTTGGAGACCCCCTAGTTCCCAGAGTGTGTATAGCCCTCAAGCAGCCTCAGCTCCAATCTTCCCTGGAGTGGACTGGTATACTCTAGCTGGTGTGCCCACCCTTCCCCCACACACTGGTGCTAACTGTCTGGGTCCCAAGGGACTGCCACTGGAAGGCCAGGCTGGCTAACGGCAGGATAGAGTTTCCCATAAAGCCAGCTCCATTGCCTGGGGAGCGTAAGGGCAACCTGGGTTCTCCTTGTTGGCCAAGCAGAGCTCTGTCACCAGCTGAGCTGTGCTTGAGTCCTTGTTACCCAAAACAATGATCTTGGTTCTAGAACACATATGGGCACTGGGCTCCGTGAAGGCCCACCTGCCCATGCTTGCTTGGATGCAGGAAGACGCTCACAGTAGGCGCACCTGGGAGCTGCTGCCTCTGGATGCCACAAGGAGAAGTTGCTCCACCTTTTGAGCAGAGCTGAGCCAAGGGCCTTAATCTAGGCCCTGGTTACAGGTTGGCTCCGCTGAAGGGATAGAGAGAGTAAGGGCTTGAAGGTGCCTCTTCCTCAACCTCTTAGGCCAAGAGTGCTCAATGGCATGCCAGGGCACTGCAGAGTTGGCCAGTGGCCCTAGCCACTGGATCCTACACTCCTCCCCTCCCTCTTCTGGCTTTCCTCCCATCCCCCTTCCATCATTAAGATGATGACGATGGGCCAGGTGTGGTGGCTCACGCCTGTAATCCTAGCACTTTGCGAGGCCAAGGCAGGGAGACTGCTTGAACTCAGGAGTTCAACACCAGCCTGGGCAACATGGTGAAACTGTTTCTACAAAAAATACAAAAAGTAGCCAGGCTTGATGGTGTGTGCCTATAGTCCCAGCTACGCTACTCAGGAGGCTGAGGTGGGAGGATGGCTTGAGCCTGGGAGGCAGAGGTTGCAATGAGCTGAGATGGCACCACTGCATTCCAGCCTGGGTGACAGAGTAAAACCCTGTCTCAAAAAAAAAAAAAAAAAAAAAAAAGAAAAGAAAATGATGACAATGATGATGATAGTAATTGGTAAGACTTACACAGTACTCACTATGGGCCATGGCACTCTTCCAAGCACTTTACATGTAGTTTTTGCAAAAAAAATAAAATAAAATAAATTCTGGGCAACTCTGAGGCCTCTCCCACACACACACACACACACACACACACACACACACACACACACACACACACACAACCCTTTCAAATCACAGGCTGGCTTTCCAGGATTGTTTGCAGATCAGGTGGAAGCCACAGTGCCTGGCTAATCAAACTGACCAAGGAAGTGCAGGGAGCCAGGACAGGCACCATCTGGGGTAATGAAGTAAGAATATGTGTTGTGATCCAGCTCTGCCCCAGAGCCCTGGGCACTCCTGCCCCCTGTGCTACCAGCTGCCCTCTCCTAACTACACATCTTTGGACTTGGCTATTCAGAAACCTAAGGCTATTCTTGCCTTAGGAGAGTCCAGGTTTATTCAGGGTCTCTATCCCAATGCGCTGGGGCTGGAGGCAGTGAGTAGCTGGAGCCTGCCTCCAGGTCACCTGCACCAAGCAGCTGACAGGGTCTTGGAAGAGACAGCAGCGACTACAGTGAAGTCCCTCCATGCCTTTGCCTTGTGCCACCCAGAGCAGGCTGAAGAATCCCAACAGCTGAGCTCTCATTCGACGCTCCCTGACCTAAGAGTTTGCCCACCCAAGCCTCTCCAGGCCCAAAGGGTTCAGGAAACCAGAACCAAAGGGAGGCAACTTAAGGGGATTGGGGAGGAGGTTAGGGGAGGTCCCCAAAGCACCTTGGCCATCTCCTTCACACACCTGAAGCTGGCATCACATACACCGTACTTTCTTCCCCTTTACTAGAATTCTCTTCAGCTGAGCCACACAGGAAGGGGCCCCCTGCAATCCCCACCTACTCCATGGAGCTGTCTCACAGGCTAGTCCAGGGCTAGTGGGTGCAGGGGCAAACACACACACGCACACACACATGCACGCATGCACACACACATGCCCGCACACACACACGCATGCCTCGGAGAACTCAAGGATGCACTTACAGCCCCTTCCTCCTTGCCAGGAGAGCCAGGCTTTGGCAGAGTTTTGTCCTCCTCTTTAACCTGAGGGAGCAGATGAAGAAGTCACTGGCAGGTCAAGGCTGGGAGACCCAGCACTAAAAGCACAGGGAGAGAACATTCAAGGGGCCTCCCTCACCCTGAGGTGGAGCTCCTGAGTCTTTAGGAATACCGGGGCTAGGGGACCTGGGCAAGAGCTATCCTATCCTAGAATCAGAACTGTTCAGTGATGACTTCAAGAATGAAGAGTCTGTGGGGGAAAAAGCCAAGTACCCTTGCCCTCAGCAACCAGCCACTTTGCCCACTTTGGGGGCTGTCTAAAGAGGTCCACCCACAGTGCCATCGTGGCTTTGGTTACGTGGCAGATGGGAAGATCCAGCTAATTTAACTCATCCAAACTACAAGAGTCATCCCTAGCTCAGGCAAGAAGTGGTTTGAACAAAAAGCCCCAGATCTAGTGACTGAGGAGGTAAAAGTAACCCAGTGTGGGTACCTGTGGGCCAGCAGCTTTTAGAGTAGAGTGAAGGTTGGCCCCTACTGGGCTGGCTCTGGCTTACTTCTTGATCCTGCACAACTCCCCCAGCTCAGCTGAGATCTTGCTGGAGGCAGGGAGTGGGGCAGAGGCGGAGATTCAGGAGGCCAGATATTTTCTCAACCTCAGACCCACAAAACTGCCAACCACGCAGCCGAGGGAGGGAACCCTGAAGTTAGGGGCGGGGTATGGAGGAAGGAAAGATGCCTAAGCTCTGGACACTGGGGCCAGGGGTTTGTGCTGGAGCCCAGGAGCTGGCTGGCCTGAGTCAGAGGGGAGGAGTGGAGTCGTGGAAACAGCAGATACCATCACACATCTGGAAAAAGGGCAGATGATGTGGAAGCTCTGAAGGTTCTTTCAGTTCAGAAACTGGCTCACAACAGATTCAGAGAGGCCAGGCCTCAAGTTTTAAAAAGTCTTCTCCTTTCCCCTCACCAGTATCTCTCCCTCCAAAAGCTCAGGCAGTCCTATGGATTTAATTTCTCCTCTTTCCCGCGTCACCTAGGACTACAGGAAAAAGACAGCCCTGTTACCAACCCTACCTCCTCCTCAGCGTGCCTCTCCTTCCCAGCACAATGTGGGTAGGAGCATGGCAAGAAGTCCTTGATTCCTAAGGGAAAAAATCTTTAGAAACATCCAGAATCATTTACATGATCCACTTGGGGGGACTCTCCAATTTTAACCAGGGTCTGTGGCTAATTTTGAGCTCAAATTAGCAGTGCCAGGGGCACTGGCTGGCGTGATGGCTGCTGCAGTTTTAAAGCTGCATCTTGTCCACAGAGCTATCTGCAACGGGCTCAATCTTCATAGTTAGCTCACAATGCCAAGGACGAGGGGAAATGGCAAATATTCACCAGAGTGGAGCCTACTTCTTTAAGAATTGGAATCGGAGCAGAGAAAGGGAAGGGAGGGACTGGTGGACAGAGGGAGGAAGAGTGGCAGGGTCTAGGTCTGTGCCTGCTGCCCCCCACCAAGCCATCACTCTCCCCCTTGCTGCCCCAGGGATCACACCATGCAGTAGTTCTGGGGCACACAGGTTAGTGGGAGGACAAGTGTTCGCAAACCACACAGACACACTCATTACTGCACGCAGTGCTGTTAACTTGGGTGCCGGGGTGGCCCAGATTCCAAGTCCACTCTGTGTTCTTCACCAGCTCCAAATCTGTCCTCCCTCCAGTGGCTCAAGTTTGGGACCCCAAATGTCTGGCCCAAGGTGTGGCATTGGGGAAAACACTGGGTGCCCCCCAAGTGTCTGAAACACTGGGCCCAGCTCTGAGCTCAGCTCTGGATTTAGCATCAGGCTGACTCACTCCTCCCTCCCCCATCAGAAGGGCTCTGGCTGTTGTAGGTCACTGCCCAGCTGGGGACTATGCACACGCATAAAGGCACACACACAGGCAGTCCCAAGTCTGTGGCCTGAATCACCCTCTGGACCCAGGTGGCCAACTGGCCTGACTCCCCACCCTTGGCCCCTTGTCCTCCTAACCCACTGCAGCCCCCAGGATCAGGGAGACCCAGTTCCAGCGGTCCCTCCACAGCAGCCCACGTTCCAGGGGTGAGTCAAGGCAGCAGGGTGGTGGGAAGGGTGTGGAGGGGTTAACCCAGAGGGACACCAGCAGGACAAAAGGCAGCTCACCTTACCAGAGGTGGGGCTTAGGGGAGAAGCATGACTCAGTGCAGGAGCCCATCCAGCCAGAATAGGGAGTTCACCAGCCCCCGTCATTCTCCCTGCCACCCCCAATTATACACACATGCCCCAATCCATCTCTAGCTTCCAAAGCTCCCTCTCCCACAAGCCAGTCTCCTGCCTGCAGATACAACATGCCAAGCACACAGGAAAAACATAAAGATTTTAAAATCCAACTTTCCTTTTGCTCCCAGAAGGCGAACCTTGATGAAAAGGCCATGGCGCTGAAGGTAACCTGTGCCCTGGGTCAGAGAAGAAATGGGGGGCAGGGTCTCTCAGTGTCTCTGAGTCTTCCCAAAGGCCAGAACCTGCCAGGATAAACACTGTGGGCAACAAGGGGAAAGGAGGGATGGAGTGGAGGAGGAAGGATTACAAAACTCAAGAGGGCATTGGAGTAAGGAATAAAATATTAAAGGAAAATGAAGGAAAGTAGGCACAGAACATAGCACTCCCTACCCTTGGAAGCTGTGTGCATTGTTTTTATTTTTTTATTTTTATTTTTTGAGATGCAGTCTCACTCTGTAGGCCAGGCTGAAGTGCAATGGTGCCATCTCGGCTCACTGCAGCCTCTGCCTCCCGGGTTCAAGTGATTCTCCTGCCTCAGCCTCCCCGGCACCAACACGCCCAGCTAATTTTTGTACTTTTTAGTAGAGATGGGGGTTCACCATGTTGGCCAGACTAGTCTCGAACTCTTGACCTCAGGTGATCCACCCGCCTTGGCGTCCTAAAGTGCTGGGATTACAGGTGTGAGCTGACGTGCCCGGCCAGAAGCTGTGTGCTTTGAATAAGCCACTTCGCCTCTTTGGGCCTCTCTGTAGAATTAGGGGCTAGTCTAGACAATGGCTCAAGGCCTCTCCATGTCTGGCACCTTAGGAGTCTACGTGGGGAGAGGCACTCAAACTCTATTTATTTATTTATTTATTGAGTCGGAGTTTCACTCTTGTTGCCCAGGCTGGAGTACAATGGCGTGATCTCGGCTCACTGCAACCTCCACCTCCCGGACTCAAGCGATTCTCCTGCCTCAGCCTCCCAGGTAGCTGGGATTACAGGCGCCCGCTACCACGCCCGGCTAATTTCTGTATTTTTAGTAGAGACGGGGTTTCTCCATGTTAGTCAGGCTGGTCTCGAACTCCTGACCTCAGGTGACCCACCTGCCTCAGCTTCCCAAAGCGCTGGGATTACAGGTGTGAGCCACCACGCCCAGCCAACACTCAAACCCTTAATACAGTAAACCAAAGTTGCAGGCCTGTGACCTAGGAGAGGAATTGAGGAATCTGCCTCAGGACCCCAGCGACTTTGCCTTCCAGCTGTAACACACAATTACGTGGGGCAAGAGGCCCGGAGAACTGCAAAACTGTCCATCTATGGATTAGAAACCAGAGCTGGGCCGCTTGAAAAATCAAGTCAGAATCTGCCTCAGTCCAGGGAGAGGCTGCATCCAAAGAATCAGGGCACTTCAGTGGAGTTTAATAACTGGTTCTTTTTTTTTTTTTAATTGAGACAGAGTCTCATCTCACTCTATCACCCAGGCTGGAGTACAGTGGTGCAATCTTGCCTCACTGCAACCTCCGCCTCCCGGGTTCACGCCATTCTCCTGCCTCAGCCTCCCGAGTAGCTGGGACTACAGGTGTCCACCACCATGCCCAGCTAATTTTTTGTATTTTTTTAGTAGAGGCAGGGTTTCACCGTGTGAGCCAGGATGGTCTTCATCTCCTGACCTCGTGATCCACCCGCCTTGGCCTCCCAAAGTGCTGGGATTACAGAGGTGAGCCACCGCGCCCGGCCAAGAACTGGTTCATTCTTAAAACTGCTTATCATGAATAATAGTTAAAAATTAGGAAATGTTTTGTTTTCAATTAATTATTTCTATTTTGCTTTGTTGACTTCTGTTTTATTATTCAGTTAATGTGCTAGAGACTTTAAGTTTGTCTGTTGGTGTAATTTTAACTCGTTTGATCTTTGATCTCTTGTTCAAGTTTTCCTACTTGTCTATAGAGGTCCCATCTGGCCCAGGCTGTGAGGACACCGGGCCATTTCCACCCAGGCCTGTTCCTCTGCATCAGCTGTTCCTATGAGCTTCACTCTGAACACAGATGTGGGGCTCTCCCCAGAGGAAATTCTCTCTGTGGCTTTTATGCAGAATTGCCTAGACAGTTTTCCTCTCTCCCTTATCACTGAATTTGTTTAGGATCAAGAGCAAGTTATCCTGGAACTGGATTGTTTATAACCCAAAGGATAAATGCTTGAGGGGGTAGAGACCCCATTGTCCATTGCCCAAGCACATGCTTGTTTCTCAATGCATGCCCATATCAAAACAAAACATCTCATGGACCGGGCGTGGTGGCTCACGCCTGTAATCCCAGAACTTTGGGAGGCTGAGGTGGGTGGATTACTTGAGCTCAGGAGTTTGAGACCAGCCTGGGCAACACGATGAATCCTTGTCTCTACCAAAAACACAAAAAATTAACTGGGAACGATGGTGCATGCCTGTGGTCCCAGGTACTGGGGAGGCTGAGGTGGGAGGATCGCTTGAGCCTGGGAGGCAGAGGTTGTAGTGAGCAGAGATCGCAATACTGCATGCTCCAGCCTGGGTGACCGAGTGAGACCCCATCTCAAAAGAAAAAAAAAAAAAAAATATATATATATATATATATATATGTAATGTATCCCATAAGTACATAAACCTACCATGTACCCACAAAAATTAAAAAAAAAAAAGATCAAGTTACTGTTATCCAAGACAGAATGGGTAAGGAACTCAGGCCCCAAAGGTGGTGGCAGCATATGTGTTGGGAACATATGGCTCTCTGGAGCAAGGGTGTTTAGATCTAAGGCCTCTCTTCCTTGACTTGTTCTCTCTCTAGAGATTTCAGCCATTTCCAGCAACATTACTGAATATGGAGCACCTACAATGAGATGGGCCCTATACAAGATATTGAACATTTATTTTCTAATGTAAATCTTACAACAATCTGAGGATTGGTGATATGGGAATTATTATTATTCCCATTTTATCGAGGAGGGAAAAGATTCAGAAAGAGATTAAGTCACAAAGTTAGTTAAGTGGGGGAACCCAGACTTGAACCCACACTGGTCTGCCTCCAAAGCCTGTGCTGCTTCCTCAGTGCCCACCTTTTCTGGTATGTTAGGCAGGCATCAGCTTTGGTAGCCAAATCTGGTTGATAAACTTCATCGGCGTGAAGGTTCAGAAGATCTGGTCAAGCCAAAGCATGGATTGATAGTGTGTTTTACTAGTGTGCAACTCTCCAAATCGAGTTTTTGGATGTGCAAAAAGGGAGACCCCACCATGATTCTGCCACTCTGCAGGTCTACCCACCTCCTCCCTCTGTGGCACTTCTGAGGGACAGCAAGAGAGACCAAAACTCACTGAACACTTACTATGAGCCAGGCACAGGGGAAGGCACTTCATACAGGTCTCCTCATTGAATCCTCATAACAACACACTTTCTAGATAAGGAAATAAAGAAGGTGAATTGCCGAGAGCGCTGCAACTATTAAGTGGCAGAGCTGGGAGCCACAACCAGAATGTATCTTGGGGAGCTGTTTGTGCGTCTTTGTCATCCCTGGACTGTGATTCACCTCTGAGCAGAACTTACCCATCTTACTCATCATACTGTAGGCGCTTAATAAATGTTAGCTGCACGAGAGTGCTGGGACAGGGGTTCTTTGCACAAACCTCTTATTCCCATCTAATCTCTTCCCCAAATATAAACTACAGAGAACAACACTTGCCCATTCTGATTCCCAGGGACATGGTACAAACAAGGGAGGTATAATCTCTAAACCTGCTCACAATAAATACATAGTGAACTCAATGCCTGGGTTTGCAGGGAGGGCAAGGACACTGAAATTGCTTAGTAGCTCTTCGTGAACAATAGCCACAAAATGCATCATCCTCTGGCCTACCCATTCCATCTTCAGGAATGTATGTCCAGTGAGCTGACTTAAAGAAAGAAAAAGAAAAAAAACGCAAAGATTTTTATAGATGCACTCTATATAACAGCTCCAAATTGGAAAGAGCCCAAATGCCTAGAATTAAGAAATGGTTAGGTACAACCCGTTGTTGTATTGCCATTTAAACTGACAAATGTGTGGACAATGTAACCATATGGAAAGCTCCATATAAAATGACATCAATCAAAAAAACTGGAACCCAAATAGTATACAAACAGTGATCATAATAATCTTGTAAACTGTGTGAATTAGACACAACATGAACACCTGGTATTTATTTTGGTATGTATTTGTTACTTACTGCTTATTTTTATTGTGAAGATGGCTAAATAGTCAAAAAAAAAGCAAAGGAGATAATAGCTAGAAGCATTTGTTCTCAAAGAGGAGAAATCCAAGAAATGTACTGAGGGACTGTCAAGCCTCAGCCCCAGGAGGCTTCTGACACTCTGGGAGCAGCTGGGGTTTACCCTCCACCATGCCAGCAGAGCCTACCCGCCCTTAACCTGCACTCTCTGGGCCCCTCACAGGAGGGAATGGGGGCACAAATGCTCCTGGGAGAATAATGCCACGCCTCAGGCAGCCCCTCAGGCCTGGAATGCCTGGCCTGGACAAATGCTTTGAGGCCCAAGCATCCACACCAGACATCTGCACACTGCAAGCCCCCGAGAGCAGCAGGTAACTCTCAAGAGAGTGCCCAAAGGAAGCTGAGACGTAGCTGGTGGCCGAGGTCACTTTCCCGCCTCGCCGCTTCTGACAGCACTCACACACCGGAGGCTTCTCCTTCTGAGGACCAAGAGGCAGGGCATTCTCCTCTCCTCCCTCTTTCCCATTCAGAGGCACAGAGGGCAGCTCCCAGGAGACTTCTTCCTCCCAGTCCCAACCTAGCACCAACTTATCTAGGGATTGAGGGCGAGGAAGGGTGGCAGGAACAAAGGAGAAGGGAAGAAATACTAGCATAATAGTAAAAAACGGTTAATCATTATTGAGCATTTGGTATGTGTCAGGTGCTGTGCTGAATCCCTCACATGAATCATCTCATTTGATCCTCACAACATCCCTCTGAAATAGATACTAGTGTGACTGTGTGACTGCTACTTTACAAATGAGCAAAAGGAGGCTCAGAAGGTCAGGTGACTCGCCCAAAGCCTCACAGCAGCAAGTGGCAGATCTGGGACTCACACTCAGGTCTCCTGCGAGAGCCCTCCACTGCTCACTTTAAGGGATGGAGGCACGCCCTGCCCTCCATTTCCCCTGGTTCACCTGCACTGTTGTCCTTCTACATCAGCTGCCAGAAGAGCAGCTTGGGAGGAAAGCAGGGGTTCCCAATGATGACCCGCCCCTCCACCCACCAACCTGAATATGCTTTACGTGGAACTGCTTGAGAGGAAGGGAAGCTCTCTAAGGAATGAACTGAAGGCCATGCTGCCAGACAGCGGGGGAGGGGGAGATGAGCTTGGCAGGGACAACCTGGCCCTTGCAGTCCAGCCTCCAGCCAGAGCCCTCCCCAGCCCCAGGGCGGAACAGAAAGCAGCCGGGCACCCGCCTCACTGCAGGCCAGCCCAGAGGAAGCAGGTGCACTGGAATGGCTTCCTGCCGCAACTGCAGTTGCAGAAGGGTCTTGGTTTCCTCCTCCAACGACTGAACCTGCTGGAGGCCCCCCTTCCCTGGGGATGCTCACTGCCCCTCTGGAGGGCACTTTGCTGTCTGCTTGGATATCACTGTGCATGGCCCTAAATCTGTGACCTGGTGCTAGTGGCCCGGGGGTGGCTGGGGGAGAGTACCCTAGACCAGGAAGCGCCCATCTCTCAGGGTGAGGAGCTCTCTCTGACCTCTCCCCCACCCCCGGGCATACTGCCCACACAACTCAGCCCTGGTGCCAGTTTGGGGGCTGAGGCAGGGCAGTCCTGAGCACAGAGAGATACAAGTACTCACGGGTACATCTCAGGCTCCTGATGCACCTCCGCACCAGGCCAGCCCACGTACTCTGCCAACTGCTGACACAACTGAAAACCTTACCCTTGGTGGCTGGGAGGGGTAGAGTCAGGGGAACGGGAAGGACTGGGAGCAGCTATGTCTCTCCTCACTTTCTTTTTTAAGGAACTTACTTATCTGGAGTAATCTCTACTAAAAAAGAGACTTAGGGCCAGTCAGAGCATCCCCAACACGCCATCTGTGCCCCTTGCAAGTGTCCTATGCACAGAAATGGAGGTGGCCATGCTAAGACTACTCTTGGGGACAGCGAGAAGGGTGCTCCCTGACAACTCCAAGGACCATCCCCTCTCAAGGAGGAAGAGAGGAAAGAGCTATACCAGCAACAAAGCAGAGACAAGACTACCGAGGACCTTGGGTGCTGTGGGGCTGGGGCTTTGGAAGAAAACAGTGTTCTAAGGAATGAAGGCCAAAAAAGCACTAATGGTTGGTGGGGAAGGCGTGTCACAGCCTTGGGGGTGGATGCAACCCCAGGAAACTGAGGTTCAGAAGACAGTGCCCCTCCAAAACTCCTGAAGTCATGAGTCAGGCCCAGGATGCCCTGCTCCTAGCCACGGAGGGGTTTTGAGGCTTCCGGGGCTGAGTAACTCCCTTCTTACCAAGAAGCTCGGAGAGGAGCCCCAAGGCTGCCCCACCCCTCTCCCCACCTACTTCAGCCACATCTGGGGAAATCACAAAAAGGTCCCTCCTTTCCTAAATGAGGAAATAGCATGAGGAGCCTGGGACATTTCCGGGGTGGGGGGTCAGAGGGACACTCACCCGCATGGCCTGGCCTGGAGCAGCCCAGAGCAAGGAGACTCCGCTCTGATGCTGCTCTGGCTCCGTTAGCAGCTCAAAATAGCACAGGCTGTGGCCCCGCCCAGTTCCCGCCCTCTCCCCGGCCCCTCCCGTCCCGAGCTGCCCAGCCCTAGTTGGAGCCAGCAGCCCGGAGGACTTCGGGTATCAGGTATGCCAGGAGGGAGAGGGTGATACAGCAGTGTGTGTGGAAGGGAAGGAGAAGGCTCTTAGGGTAAAGCCATTGGGGTGGGGGGCAGGCAGTGTTAGGGGGTTAGGGCAAGGACAGGGAGGGTGAGACTTGCCTATGGACACACACCCCAGCTCCGGGACAGCTGGGCTGATATGGCTCCTAAAAATAGCAGAGGAATTTGAGACCTGCAGCCCCCGGCCCCACAGGCCAAGCTTGAGACAAGCACATGCGCACTCATGTGCATGTACACGTATACACACACACACACACACACCAGCATGCACGAACATTCAATCAACACAGTGTTCTTGAGAACACCCAAATCATAGGCCTACCCTAGCCATCTAATTACTGCGGCAGAGGCCAAGACAGCCACTAACGTCACATCCAAGACAGCACACGGGGCCCACTGCACACTGTGCCCAAACAGCAGCCGCAAAGCAGTCCTGTAAGGTCTGGCAGGAGCAGAGACCCACACGGGCAGGCCCACTTACTGCCCCACTGCCATCAGCACACAGGGGACATGCAGAGAATCAATTACACTCTCTTTGTTTACATCCCTCTCCCCTCCACAGACGCCAGGGACTGCACAGGCAGAGAGGAGGGTGGGGTGGGCCTCAGCCCTGCAGACAGAGGAAGTCATGGGTGTCTAGCCAATGAGTGATGGCTGCCTGTGAAAAGCCAGTGTTTCTTGTGAAGAGAAATCCTGGCCTGGCTCTCCAGTTAGCACCATGGGATGCCTAGACCAGGACTAGGGACCCGCTGAGACGCTGAAATGGGAGCTGGAGAACAGAATGTCAAGGGGCCAAAAGACAGGGAGAGCAAGTCTCAGAAGCCGTCAGCTCTGCAGAAAAAAGGAAACAGTCATTGCCTCCCTCTTCCTCTTTAGGAAAAAAAAAAAATGGGGTGGGGGTGGTGCTAGGAAGCCCTGATACAGAACCGCCTCCTAACCAGTCTGGCATACACCCCATGCTTCTTGCCCCTGGCCAGCTCTAAGGGCCATTGGTTCTATACATTGTCTGACTTTCTCCATGAAAAGATTGGTAAGCACTGCCAGAGAGGATGGAAACCCAGCCCTGCCTCCTACCTGCCATGCGCTGTCCAAGTCTCACTGTCATATAGTCACATACACAGACTCTTAGGACACGGCGCTTGTGTCCTGCTCTCTAGGGAGTGGGATGTCCCCCCAGGGGAAGCATCTGGCCCTTCTGAAGCACGTGCAGTGTCACAGGTCTTCACATCTTCAGTGGCTACTTAGAACAATGGTGCCAGCCTCAGCTGCTCACTGAAATCCACTGGGGAACTTGAAAAAAATACTGATGCCTGGAGCCCACCCTTTCCCTCTCAGTTTCTGACATAATTGGTCTGGGAGCAGGGGCCTGGGCACTGGGATTTTTTTGTTTTTGTTTTTTTTTGAGACGGAGTCTCGCTCTGTCGCCCAGGCTGGAGTGCAGTGGCGTGATCTCGGCTCACTGCAAGCTCCGCCTCCCGGGTTCACGCCATTCTCCTGCCTCAGCCTCCCGAGTAGCTGGGACTACAGGCGCCTGCCACCATGCCCGGCTAATTTTTTGTATTTTTAGTAGAGACGGGGTTTCACCGTGGTCTCAATCTCCTGACCTCGTGATCCGCCCGCCTTGGCCTCCCAGAGTGCTGGAATTACAGGCGTGAGCCACTGCGCCTGGCTGGACACTGGGATTTTTTATTGATAAAAGCTCCCCAGGTGATTCTCACATGCAGCCAAGGCTGAGAACTGCAAGACTCTAAGGCCAGCATAAGGCCTAGCACAGAAATGTCCATTTGTTAAATGAATGAGTGAATGAATGAATGATTTAGCTGTGTGAACACAGGCAGGTGACTTAAATTTCCCTTATCTGTAAAATGAGGATTACACCTTTACTGACTCTTACCCAACCAGTATGAGACTGGTACATAATGTATGTGAAAGGGCTTTGGTTCTCCAAGTTCTCAGGCCAGCAGCGTGGGCATCCCCTGGGGACTTGTTGGAAATGCAAATTCCAGGAACCCAACCCAGACCTGCTGAACCAAGAACTCTGGATATGGGGTGCAGCATCTGTGTTTTAACTAGGCTTCCAGGTGATGCTGAGGCACATTAAAGTCTGAGAAGCACGGCTTGAAAGGAATGATTCACAGCATACCATGGTTAGGAGTATGACCTCCAGGGCCACACGGCCTGGTTTAATCTTGGCTCTTGCATGAAGTAAACTACACAACTTGATCTCTCTGTGTTTCAACTTCTTTTCATTTGTATTTTATTTTTTGAAATAGAGTCTCACTCACTCTATCGGCTGGAGTACAGTGGCTCCATCTCGGCTCACTGCAACCTCCGCCTCCCAGGTTCAAGCGATTCTTGTGCCTCAGGCTCCTGTGTAGCTGGGATTACAGGCAGGCGCCACCACGCCCAGCTAATTTTTGTATTTTTAGTGGAGACGGGGTTTCACCATTTTGGCCAGGCTGGCCTTGAACTCCTGACCGCAAGTGATCTGCCCGCCTTGGCCTCCCAAAGTGCTGGGATTACAGGCGTGAGTCACCATGCCCAGCCTCTGTGCTTCAATTTCTTCATTTGTAAAATGGGAAAATAATAGCACCTACCACATGGGGTTATTACATGGGTTAAAAGAATTAGTTCATACATAGCTCTGAGAACGGTGTCCAGCACATTCATTTTCAATACTTAAAACAAAACAAACAAACAAAAGCTCTTTTGCCCAGGCTGGAGTGCAGTGGCACTATCTTGGTTCCCTGAAATCTCCATCTCCTGGGCTCAGCCCATCCTCCCACCTCAGCCTCCGTAGTAGCTGGGATCACAGGCATGCACCACCGTGCCACCATGTAGGTTTTTTTTTTTTTTTTTTTTGCACAGATGGGGCTTCCCTATGTTGCCCAGGCTGGTCTCAAACTCCTGCACTCAAGCAATCCACCTGCCTCAGCCTCCCAAAGTGCTGGGATTACAGGCATGAGCCACCACATTTGGCCTTAATACATTTTAACTATTATTATCTACCTATGATCATAAGCGGGGGAAAAAATGAGGCATTGTAAGCAAAATTTCCAGGTAACTGGAGCCTACCCTTTTTAAGGGATAAAAGATTTAAGTCATTTTCTAAATTCTATACTATTTATAATCCTAAAAATAACCAACATATATACCCTGCTTCCTTAAGTACAACACTCCTAATTCATCTCAAAGATCTCACACTCTGAGCTTTCCTTCTTGAACCCAATCCATTTCTGCTCCATCCTGTACTGAAGGGCACGCCATCTCCACCATGATGACTCCTGACTTCCTGGCCTGGCTACAGCAGCCTGGCTTCTGCCCCACCAATGCCCCAGCCTCTCTCCAAGGGCACCAGCCCCTCTTAGGCACCACCATGCTGAAGCCTTGCATATGCCTATATTAGGAAGGCCAGATGCCCTTTGTGGCCATATGTCTGCTTTTTAATTCTTTTGTCCCCTACCTCATTAGGCCATCAGCTGTCACTCGTCTGTCAGTGTGCCTGTCTCCACTCAGCTTCACATGCAACTACAGCTAGTCCCTCTGCTGCCCAAAGCGTGGTGGTGCAATATCAGGGCATGGTCCATTTCTTTGATGAGTCTAACTGATGGCTCCAGAGGCCATGTGGACACTCCCACAGCCAGCCAGGCCACCCCAAGCCCCTCAGCTTGCCTCCAAGGACAGCTGGAAGCTATAATCTGGCCCCTCCTCAGACTTTACTTTCACTTTTCTAGTCTCTTCTCCCTCTTCCCAGCCAGCCTGGCTCTCCGTCATTTGCCTGCCCTTGTCACCACCAGAGCCATTCCTTACGAATGTGTCTCTACCTTGGCTGACCCTCTCCATCTCTCCAGGCCCATCTCAACTCCTGCCTCCCTTATGAAGCCTTCCCTGAAACCCAAGACCCACCCGGCAATGCAAAGAACGTGGGCTTGGCAGCCAGACACACCTGGGTCTGAATCCCAGCCTCTTTCTTGCTGTCTGACCTAAGGGAAAGTTACTTGACTTCTTAGAGTTTCTACCTTTTTGGCCTTAAAATAGTATGATATCCACCTTATGAGGCTGTTATAAGAATAGAAAAGGCAGTACATGTAAAGCAACTGATGTGCGGCCTGGCAAATTATAGTTATTAAATTATTAATATCATTATTATCATAAACCATAGCACTCACTGTCCACACCTGAACACATTACATACATACGGTTCTTGGTTATACTCAATATGGTGCTCTATTATATACAGTGGAGTCACACACTATGTGGGGTTAGATTCCAAAGTCAGCACGTAAGGCAAAAATAGAATATAGTCCAAAACTCCTGAAAATCCCTTAAACTGCTCACAAAGTATAGTACACATGATTTTGAGTATGCCATTTGGTATAATATAGCTGCAGGAAAGCATAATAGTCATGTACAGCATATAGTAAAAACACACAAAATATTATTTTTATAATTTTAGGCTACAGTAATATAGTTTCTTTCACAACCATATAGTTGAACTTATTGAAGTTTACTGTCCACGTGCCATGACTATACAGCATAACTAATGTTCTGAATGATAATCGATTCGTGTTGAATGTTTAAGCCTGCTCTCCCTGGAGAGCTGGGACCATTTCCTACTTCCTTTATATCCCATCCCGTTCCCCAGCACTAGGCACACAAAAGGTGTTCCACGAAAATCCATATGGATTTAACCAACTGATCTGAACGGTGCACGCACAATAAACGGGCTGGAATAGAGTGGGGAACAAGGGGATCTCCATGTGTGGTGACAACTTCAACTGCTCTGCTCTCCCACATTGGTGGCGTGGATGAGTGGAAGGTCCTTGGCTCTGTTTCAGGCACTTGACCAGGCAGAGTGGCTAAGCAGAGCTGGGGGAAGGCCAGACAGGAGGCTCTGAGGGCTGGAGGAAGTCGTTCACTTATTCAACTAGCTGTGAACTGTAATACCTCAAGGCGAACACTGTGGGGAAGCACCGTGCCTGCTTCTTTTTCAGCTTCCCCACCACAGACTGAGCTTCCTGAGGCAGAGGTTGTGTGTTGTTCATTGCTCTATCCCCAGCACTCACCTAGCACTGGGCCCTGCTCAGAGACAATATGAGGCACGTTTGAGTGACTGAGTGAAAGAAGATAATTTAGTTCTTGTTTTCAACTAAATACTTCCTGATTTAAAAAAATGTACAGATCAGCAGAGGAGATAACAAATGTACCCCAATAATTAAAATTCAAGTCAGGGACGTCAATAACAGTCTAGGGAAGTTCAGAGGCAAAGATCTGTTCCAGTTACGGTATTAAGTAGACAGCTTACAGACAGCTTGGAGCTAGGCCAATGAAAGAGAGAAATGTTATAATGTGGCAATGAGGTAGGAAGGGAATTCCAGGGTGAAGAAGTAGTGTAAGAGAAGGCAAAGAGGGGCCAGGCAGGCGTAGTGGCTCACGCCAGTAATCTCAGCACTTTGGGAGGCCGAGGTGGGCGGACCACCTGAGGTCAGGAGCTCGAGACCAGCCTGGCCAACATGGTGAAACCCCGTCTCTACTAAAAATACAAAAATTAGCCAGGCGTGGTGGCATGTGCCTGTAATCCCAGCTACTCAGGAGGCTGAGGCAGGAGAATCACTTGAACCCGGGAGGCAGAGGTTGCAGTGAGCTGAGATCACGCCACTGCACTCCAGCCCGGGCGACAGAGAGAGACTCCATCTCAAAAAAATAAAATAAAAATAAAATAAAATAAAAGGCAAAGAAGTGGAAAAGCATGAGATGTGGACAGTAAGTCTGGAAGAAATGTATGACACATATAGGAAACCAAGGAGGGAGGGATAAAGCTGGGAAGGAAGCTGGGTCTCAAATCAAGCAAGTGTGTGCTGTAGTGGACATGTGTTGTTTCTGCTGCCCACCACCCATTCCTCCATCCTCTGATTATAGCACTCCATTTTCCCCTCTGGGGACCCACCCCAGCACATGACTTCGCCCTGGCCAATAAGAATATCCTGGCCAATAAGAATATCCTCAGGCTATAGGTTCATGGAGGGCATGTGACCCAATCAGTTTCAAGGATACATAATGAAACTTGGGGATTATTCAAAGAGTCACACATCTCTATCCACACAACTAGAACCTGGGGCTGTGACATTTTGCCATTACTTGTCTGAGGACCAAGGCTGCCTAGAAGATGGGGTGAGAGACAGAAAAGGTCAGGTCTTGGTCACACTGTTAATGTTTCCAGATAAGGCTGAGCCTGTAGCCGGTTCTACTGCTGGACTTTTCAGATACTGGTGACAACACATATCTTCTTTTTAAGCCAGTTGAGCTGGGCTTTCTGTTACTCTCACCTGAAAGAGCTGTACCTGAGATGAAAGCAAGGTGGGCAGTCAAAGGAACAAGAAGGTACACACCAAGCACTAGCCATGGCCAGGCACATGCTACTGGTTTTCCTCTCAAAACCCTGCGAGGTAATGAGAAGGGGAATTGTGGAATGGGGAAACGGGGTTTACAGAGGTTAAATAATTGCCTGTGATCACACAGATTGTGACTGGCCAGGTGATTTGAACTCAGATTGTTCAGATTCCAGAGCCCAGCTCCTTACACACCACCACCTGCCTGGAAAACAATGGGAGGCACAACAAGCTTTTGGAGAGTGATGGGGCATGATTTAACCTGTGCCTTAAGAATGCTGAGCAGGTCAGGCATGGTGGCTTATTCCTGTAATCCCGGCACTTTGGGAGGCCGAGGAAGGCAGATTGCTTGAGCTCAGGAGTTCAAGACCAGCCTGGGCAACATGGCAAAATCCCATCTCTACAAAAAACACAAAAATTAGCTGGGTGTGGTGGTGGCATGCCTGTGGTCCCAGCTACTTGGGAGGCTGAAGTGGGAGGATCACCTGAGCCCAGGGAAGGTCAAGGCTGCAGTGAGTCATGATCACACCACTGCACTCCAGCCTGGGTGACAGAGTGAGAGACCCTGCCTAAAAACAAAAAACAAAAACCAAAAAACATTCTGAGCTAACAGGATGCAAGAGGAGGAGAAAGGAGGCTGGAAGGTGAAAGAACATTAGAAAGTCAAGGTAGTCAGGCATGGTGGCTCATACCTGTAATCCCAAAACTTTGGAAGGCAGAGGCAGGAGGATCACTTCAGACCAGGAGTTCAAGACCAGCCTGGGAAACACAGAGACCCGTCTACAAAAAATTTAAAAATTAGCCAGGCGTGGTGGCCTGCAACTGTAGTCTTAGCTACTTCAGAGGCTGAGGTGGGAGGATCAATCACTTGAGCCCAGGAGTTCAAGGTTACAGATTACAGTGAGCTACGACCATGCCACTGCACTCCAGCCTGGGTGACAAAAAAAAAAAAAAAAAAAGGAAGTCAAGGTAAAAGGTGATGCCAAATGAGAGATAAGAAGGGTCTGCCTAGGATTCTGGCAGTTGATGGGGAAGAGAGGGTGACTCAAGAGAAAAAATAAGCTGGACTTGGTGACTATTTGGGGAAGGATGGGAAATGGGCACAAGCGGGTCTGGGTGGAGATTGAGAAAAGTAAGGAAAGATACCAAGGTTTAAAGCTTGGGAAGATATATTTTGTTAAGATATATCTTAACAATGAGATATATATATCTTAACAAAATATATCTTAACAAAAGAATACTTCTCTGACCCCATTTGTCCCTCTAGTTCCCCTGTAAATCAAAACTCCTAAAAAAAAGTCTATAAGCACTGTTGCCATAAATGGGTACTAATTATATGATCCTTGTATTACAAATTTGCGGTGTGTAAAGTGTCAATAATAGAACTATATTTAGGGAGTTGGGGAGAGTCCTGTTTAAAGCACTCAGAGCTCAGGGCCAGGAGGGCCTGGAGCACTTGCTTTTGAAGTGGGAGGGCCCAGCCACTAGGGTGGCAGGTGCACTTCCAGGATGACCACTTCAGAGGTCCTCAGCACCAGCCCTAGGGCCAGTACTAGAGTCTACACCTGTCTCAAAGAAAATGCCAGCGCAGGAGTCCCTTCCCTTTCTTGGGAGGAATTATCCTTTATTCTTTTGTGTGTGTGTGTGTGTGTGTGTGTGTGTGTGTGTAAGTAACAAAATGTCACCTCGTATGAAACAGTAGTGTTAGGAGACAGCGATTGGTATTGAGGTGCCAAGATTTTTTATGAAATTCTACCAGTGCCGATAGCCAGTGGATTCTGAAGGGTTATAGGGCAGACTCCCTTTAAGAAGCCTAGGGATGGTCTCAGAGAGGAGAAGGAGGGCTGAGAGGAAACCTGGAGTGACCAACGGCGCATGCCCAGGGCCACCCCAGCCACTCAGCACCCTACGCACGGGTCAGGCTCTGTGAGGGCCGAGTCAGCCCCAGGCCCGGGGCGGCACTTCCCGGGTTGGCCCACCGGCCAGCCGGAGCCTGGGCGGGGCCAAGGGGGTGGGGCCAAGCCCAGCACATGCGCCTAGAGCCCTGGAAGCTCCGCCCTGCAGCGCCGCTGGCGCCCAGCAGAGGGTGGCAGCCCCCTTCTCATCTACCCTCCCGCTTTGCTGGGGCCGCTTTCACCTCCGCCAGGCCGGCCTCCAGGCCCCACCCCCAGGAGGCGTCCCCCAGGAGCTCCGGCCCGAGGGGGCTGCGGCGGCAAGATGGCCTCTCGCCGTCCCCAGGACGCGTAGGGCAAGAAGAGGCAGGGATGAGCTCGGTGCCCACTTTGTTTTTATCACCGCTCTATCCCCAGAACCTAAAACAGTTCCTACATATAGTAGGCATTCAGTAAATGCTTATTGATGGAATAAATGAATGAATACATGAATGCAAGGTCAAAAGACGCCAGGAAAGCCTGTTCTAGAGAGGGGCTTGTCTAGAGACAAGCAATCAGGAAGGTCAGTGGGTATGGGACGGCGAGCCACAGATCACTGCCCCAGAGGTGGTCGCCGAGGCTTGGGGCTCTGACACTCCCCCCAGCCCCTACACCCACCCAGTCCCTGCATTGGCACACCCATCAGTTTGCTCAGAGCCATGTGCCACCACACCTTTTCGGGCACAGAGCCCAAGTAGGGACGCCTGGGCTTGTCCTCTCTGCCAAGACCCTGAGTCAATCCCCAAAGACTAGGCAGGCATATGCGGCCGACTGCAGGGACCACCTGACTGGCCCGACAGCAGGCCTGCTGCTCTCTGAGGTCTCTCAGCTGCTGGGGATTTCCTCATGGCCCCCGGGGACTTCCAAATTGCCTCTGCTTTGCCAAGCTCCCCCAAGGCCCAAAGCCATGAGCCAGCCTTGAGGATCCTTTCCCAAAATCCTCCACAGCCCTGCCCCACATCTCATCAGGACTTGGGTCACTTCTGGGTCTCCTAAATGTACCACATGCACTATGTTCTCCTATCCACCCCCTCTGGTAGACAGGAGGGAATAAACATAATGAAGCATTGTTCTCTTTTTCATATAAATGACAACTCTTCTCCATTTCCACAGAAGAAAAAAAAGGAAGCCAGCTTAAGGGTCAGCCACAGCAATTTAAATAAAATATCAGTAAGGTCTTCCTGGGTGTGAGAGATGGAGGCCTGTGGTGCTTATTCTCAAAGTCAGAGAAGTTCTTCTAGACAAGCCTCAGGTTCCTCGTAACACTGGACATCCAATAAATATTTGAGAATCTGTGTGTTCACCTCTGGAGCCCCTATTGGGCCTGTTTCTAAAACCCTCTGAAGTAAAAAATAAAGCACAAACCCTATGTCCATAGAAACAGGAAGAAGCAAAAGCCTCTACCTTGCCTACCAACCCACCACCTCTGTGCTAACAGCCTGGGCCAAATCCACTGGGGCATGTGAGTACCTGTGTGTTACAAAGCTGGGCAGAAGACATCCTTGGCGAGGAAAGGAAGCGCTGCCCCAGTTGTGGTGGCACACAGCCAGGGACCTGCTGGCCCTGGGGCATTAGGATTCCAGAGCTGGTGGTGGTTGAGGTGTAGAAATTGCCAGAGAGGACAGCTCTTCCTTCTTGAGAGGAAGGGGAAATGCCACCATCCCCTGCCTTACCAGGGGGACTCTGAAGGAGGAAACAAACCTTCAAGAACACCCAACTATTTCTTTCTGGGAGCTGTTTAGAGCCGTACTGTTCAATATGGTAGCTACTAGCCATGAGTGGCTATTCAAATTGAAGCTGGCCGGGTGTTATGGCTCATGCCCATAATCCCAACATTTTGGGAGGTCTAGGCAGCAAGATCGCTTGTCTTCCTTTGATGACTGATTTTGAGGTCTCTCTTCTGTGCCTTTGAAAGACCCTATAGAGGATCCTCTACCCTTTGTCCCGCCCATTTTCTTCAAAATCCCAAAACTGTAGCTCTTATTGTTGCTGTAGAAACAGATGCTTGTCAAACATGAAGTTGGTTGGAAGGGCTAGTTTTGGCTGCAGGAATTGCTTTCAGCTCATCTGGGGAGGAGAGAGGAGGAAGAAAGGAGGAGAGAGGGGGCCCCAGGCAAGGGCCCACAGGTCAGGAGTTGCTGTGGTTGCAAAGGTGTTGTTAACACAAGACCAGCCTGGGCAACATAGTGAGACCCCGTCTCTACAAAAAAAATTTTTTTTTAATTAGCCAAGTGTGGTCCCAGCAACTTGGGAGGGGGAGGTGGGAGGATCACTCAAGCCCAAGAGTTCGCTGCAGTGAACTGTGATGGTGCCACTGCACTCTAGCCTGGGTGACAGAGCAAGACCCCGTCTCAGAAAAAATTCCAGTTAAATGGAAACAATGAGGATACTTCTGATTAAATTAAAATCAAATAAAATTTAAGGTTCAGTTCCTACTAAGTTGGATAGCATTATAGACCATTTCTACCCTTGCAAATTGTTCTGTTGGGCAGGTCTGGTCTAGAGGTTCCCTTTCAGTGTGTCCTGGTCCCTCTACCAATGCCTCCTTCAGATGATGCCCCCGCCTACCTGCTGTTGTCTCCCTTCCTCACCCCAGAGTCTGCTTAGACTCCTATCCACACATGCCTTGCCTTGTTCCCTAGGCCTCCAAAAGAGGTGGAGGAGGGGACTGTAGTCACAATTTAATACCCAGCTGGGAGCAGAAGCCAAGACTGAATGGAAACCTACTCCCACCCCAAGGCGTCCCAGGCCTGGGAGAAAGCCCCTCAGTGCCTGCACAATCACACAATGGTTCCTTGTTTCTGCATTCTCTGGGCCAAGCACGAGTAAGACATCTGGAATGCAGTGGCCTGAGGGCTTCCCCAAGCCACCCGCTGCAGGACTTATCTGATGTTAGTACTCCTATAGAATCAGAAGTCCCAACAGAATCCTGAACTTTCAACAGCAAATAAGGCCAATGAAGCCTCATCCAGGGCATGCCAGGATTTCTGCCATGGAGCAGTGAGGCCCATAACTGGACACCTCCCTGTGTCACCAACTAGATGAAGCAAAGGAGGAGTAGGAAGGGGAGGACACGGTGGAGAATGGACTCTGGACATATCTGACATGCTGGAGAGGAGGCTCAGAGAAGCCCCCCAGCCCCGCATCCACAGAAGAGCAAAGGAACAGATTGGCGGGTCTGACCACTGTTGTGTTCCGTCACAGAGACTTCACTGGAGAGGTTTTGCTGCAGTAAAAATCACAAGTGGGAGAGTCTAGGCATGCTCATATGGGTGGTGGAAGGAGCAGAGGACAGACTCTGGAACTGGCAGGTCAGGACTGTCTTTCTGTTTTATGCCTCAATTCCTGCTTAGTCCTAATCTAAATGGGCTGTCAGGAGCAAGACAGGTGTGAAGAAACAAAATAAATTGTAGAAAGACCAAAAAGTAGGGTGAGTTTGTTCAAATGGAAAACAAATAGGTAGAAAGACACCTGGTACTCCAGAGGTCTTGCCATCAGCTAAGAATCTGACTGGAGGGAGTCACAGAGAAAGCAGCCCAATTTTAAAAACTGGAATCAAACTTCAGACCAGATTGGAAACTCAGGCCAAAGCAATCCCTCGCTAAGATTACTGTGCAGCCCTGAGTAAGCTTAGGCCTGTTCCCCATCTCTACCTGAAAGGCACTTTGGGCATAAGCATCAGCGTGGGGACAAGAATAAAGCAGTTCTCCAACACTCCCCGTGAGCAGAGCTGAGCCATTAACAGGAACAGCACCTGTGACATTCCTGCGGGTACCAAGCTACCAGGCACCAGTGCTTCCTGACGTACCAGAGACAGATTAATGAGGATGATGATAATGTTCACTTCTTCTTTTTTTTTTAAACAGGATCTCATTCTGTCACTCAGGTTGGAGTGCAGTGGTGTGATCATGGCTCACTGCAGCCTCAAACTCCTGGGCTCAAGCGATCCTCCTGCTTCAGCCTCCTAAGTAGCTAGGACAGGCATGCACCACCACACTGGGCTAATATTTTTACTTTTTGTACAAAGTAGCACTATCTTTCGCAGGCTGGTCTTGAACTCCTAGCCTCAAGAGATCTTCCCATTTCAGCCTCCCAAAGCACTGGGATTACAGGTGTGAACCACCATGCCTGGCCAATGCTCACTGACTCTAGGCACTATTTTGAGGCACTGCTCTAAGTGGTTTATATGTATTGATTCATTTAATCCTCAAGACAACCTTACAAGGAAAGTACTATTATTTTGTGTTTGCTTGTTTGTTTGAGACAGGGTCTTGCTCTGACACCCAGGATGGACTGCAGTGGTGCAATCACGGCTCACTGCAGCAAACTCCTGGGCTCAAGCAATCCTCTCACCTCAGCCTCTTGAGTAACTGGGACTACAGGCACACACCACCATGCCCAGCTAATTTTTGTATCTTTAATAGAGATGGGGTCTCACCATGTTGTCTGGGCTTGTCTCACTATGTTGCCCAGGCTAGTCTTGAACTCCTGGGCTCAAGTGATCCTCCTGCCTCAACCTTCCAAAGTGTTGGGGTTACAGGCATGAACAACCACACTGGACTAAAACTACTATGATTATTCTCATTTCATAGATGACGAAAATGAGGCACAGAGGAATTAAATAATTTGCCCAAGGTCACTCAGCCAGTAGGCAGCATGGCCAGGATTCAGACCCAAGCAGTCTGGCTCCAGAGGCCAAGCTGTAGCCAATACTTAGCAATGTGTTAACAACACCTTCGCAACCACACACAACTCCTCACCTGTGGGTCCTTGCCTAGGGCCCTCTCTCTCTCTCCTCCTCTCTTCCTCCTCTCTCCTCCCCAGATGAGCTGAAAGCAGTTCCTGCAGCCAAAACTAGTCCTTCCAAGCAACTTCATGTTTGACAAGCATCTGTTTCTACAGCAACAATGAGAGCAGCAGTTTTGGGATTTTGAAGAAAATGGGCGGGACAAAGGGTAGAGGACCCTTTATAAGATGGGTCCCTCTTTCAGAGCACAGAAGAGAGACCTCAAAATCAGTCATCAAAGGAAGACAAGGGGGCTGGGGGAGGACCCCAAAGCCCTGATTAAAGCAGGAAAACTGATTCCCCTACCCCAGAGACAAAGTCCTCTGGTGCGAAGCCAGCTGCTTTCCTCTGGACAGAGAAGGTAAGGGCTAGAAGCAAATGGCAGAAATTGGAGGGGTCTGGGAGAAAAGGACAACCCACTCTAAATTCTGCAGAGTGTGTGTGTGTGTGTGTGTGCGCGCGCGTGCGTGTGTATGTGGCGCCTAGGCCATTCCTAAGCTGGGTGTCCTGCCACAGAACCCAGTTCTGTGGTTCTCTTCCCCAGGTCGAAGTTAGGTGATGATGGATGGAGGCAAGAGTGATCAGGCAGCCCTGGGAGAGGCGTGTAGACAGGCCTCAGTGTGCCCGCACAGGGTGGCTCACCTCCCTCGAGGGAGGGCAAGGGCATTTGGGGTGAGGTGGTCAGGCTGGTACCCCTAGGAGAAGGCTTCATTCCTGCCTGCCCCTCACCTCATCTAAGCAAGAAACCCCTTTTCTTGTTCAGAAATCCTGAGGCCAGAATCTCAGGCTGCCAGGGCAATCGGGGCTCTGCCAGGCAAAGCCAAGTGCTAAGGGGAATAGGGATGTTTGCTGGTCACCGATTCCAGGAAGACAGGCCACAGCAGTCCCCCCAGGCTTCTCAGGCAGGGGGCCCAGTTTCCCTCTTGCCTCTGTTGATCTTGAGGCATGGCCAAGTGAGTGGGGACTCGACCCAGCCTGTGCCCGTGTCCTTTAGGGAACCTAGGTGCCTGCTGAGAGGAGGCAGGGCTGTGCCAGGCTCAGCACATGCTGGGTTCCCCCCATGCCTGAAGTGCCAGGCACACTAGCTCCCACAGCCTGGACAGCTCTGGGGAGGGCGAGGCAGAAGATGCCAGCCCAGCCGGGGAGGAAATCTTTTACTGCTCTGAGCCCAGTGCTTCTGCAATCAGCTCCACAACCAAAGCAGTCCACACATGAGGGAGGGGCAGGGGCATGAGGGAAGGGCCCCCAGCAGGAAGAACTAACCACACAAGGAGATGGTATCAGACCCTTCCCCTCGCCATGTCCCTGGAAGGTTCTACTGGAATCTCTAGATACTTTCCCCTTGATGTGTTGGGGCCGGGCATGAAACTGGGTGTCACGGAGAGTCATGACAGTCTCACGCTGCCTGACGGTGCTGTCACTGCCTGGCCTCTAGCCCATGCCACCCAGGGCTGAGATAGATCTTCCTGCACACGTCTTCTGTCCTTGCAGAAGCACAGGCTCCATCATCACAGGGTGCTATCTTCAGCCTTTCTTCTCCACAGAACCAGGCTCAGGGGCTGACAGGGAGCAGTGTTCATCAAGGTGTCCTGACGTCCCACCCTGATTGCAACAAGGCTCTGGGGACATCCACATCTGGCCTTTCCTACAGCACAGAGCTCTGCCTCCTCCCCACCACACATGCAGCCCTCTTCTGCCCCAGGGCCGGGGCAGCCTCAGTCCTGCTGCCAGAGAAGAGCTCCATGGGAAGAACCTGCCGCCCTGTGTGGACCCTGCTTGCCCCAGGGCCTGGCAGTGAGAGGTGCTGGGGAGGGAGGGAGGAAGTGAGTCAGCTCCCTGCAGAAATCTGAGTGGGAGGGAGGAGCCAGCAGAAATGAGATCGGGGGCAAAGGGCACAGGAGCCAGAAAGGTCACTAAGAGAGGGAACCAGGCCCCGAAGGTGTTGCGGGACCCACAGAGTACAAGACAGATACAGGTGATGAATTCGGCAGGGCCACCTCCAACCGAGGCTGGGTGGCCCCAGTAGGCCAGAGAACCTGGGTCCAGAGGCCTGGCCCCACCTGAGGATGGAATCCGAGGCGGCTCCCCTCCCTGACTCATGTTCACACCAGAGGTAGCAAGGCCTTGTGGGACATGGCCAGCCTCATTCTCTCCTCAGAGATGGAGTCTCTGGGCTCCAAGGCCTCCCACTCCCTCTCCTGAGCCCTACAGCTCCAGAAGCCCAGGTTCCCCATGACCTGGCCTAGTAGGGACATGCTAAGGTCCTACAGACAAGTCACCTAGGCCAGTCAGAGCGGGAAGGTTCCAGGAACCAAAACTGTCTCCCAGAGGGGATGGGAGCTGAGCCTGGGCCCCAGGAGCAGAGCAACTGGGGCTGCCTTAGCACCCACTCTCTCCTCCCTGGTAGGGACATGTGGGAGCTGTCCCCAGGCTCCAGCTGGAATCCATTGCTGTGACTGGGTAAGATCCTTGCTGTGAAAATTCCCATCCTGCTGACATTCCAGTATGAAGGCAGTTCAGGGAGAGCAGCGGAAGGGAAGAGGAAGCCCCACTGGGCCACATTCCAGCCCCTCAGAGACCTACAGCCAGTGAGACAGGCGCATTCCTCCAAGGTCTGAGACAGACACTGCGTAGCCCCCATGTAATCCTGAATCTTCTTCTCACCCAAGCCTGGCACCTTCATGTGGGCTCCTGTGTGGGGGCAGGAGGCAGCCTGTCCCCAGGACCTCCCTTCCCAGGCTCCTGCTCCTGGATGCCCACAGAGCTGCCTCTCCTCCAGTCCTGTGAGAGATGCCAGGCCCCAGGCATGCAAGAAACAGTCCATGGGTGGAGATGGGACACGCTAAGGTCCTAGAGACAAGTCACCAAGGTCAGTTAGAGCAGGAGGGGTCCAGGACCCAAAACTGAGCTAAAGTTTTGGTTCTGGTCTGGAAGACCGAACAGAGAGAATGAGAAACCAGTTCCTGAGTACAGAACCATCTCTTTCCTTCAACAAATATCCCCTGCCCTCATGCAGTGCTCCAGCACTGGAGAAGGAATGAGATAACTCAGTAATTACCATCTTGTGAATGCTATGAGAAGGCTGGGGTGTTGCCAGGTGGGGACCTGACATGGTCTGGGAGGATCAGGGACAAGTGATATTCAAACTGAAGCCAATGTGTAGAAGTGTACAAGGGAGGGCAGGGAAAGGGGCTACAGACAAAAGGAACAGCAGGAGCTCAAGGGTAGACGCCAGTGAGAAGCCTGCATTGCCCCCACCACTGCTAGGCCCTCTGCCAGGCTGTGCTCCGCCACTGTTTTTCCACAACACACAGAGGAAACAACAGCGTGGCCCTGAGCAACACGGCGAGCCCACTCTTGGTCAGAGGTGACACTGCAGGGATCCTGTCACCCCAAGTGCTATGGAGATCAGCACTAGCATGCCAGTATGGGCCAAAAAGGTGAGAGGGGCAACGTCCCAGACTCCCAGATCTAGCATATGGCCCTCCACTCCTGGGGACCACATCAAATGCTGCCAATGTAGGTGCCACTTCTCTTCTTAAGGCGTCCCTCTTCCACCCTTCCCTCTCCCGGCTCCCACAAGATTGAATCCTGCCTGCTGCCACTTGGGCTCACTTCCTCTGGCTAACCCTCAGGAGACACTGAGAGCAATGGTCACACCCTTCTGCAGCACACCACCACAGCTCAAGAGTGGCCCATCACTCCTGGTTTCCTTCTGGAAGGATGACAAGGAGGTGAAGAGGCTTTTAGTGACAGGGCAGCAGGAGTCAGAAGGTCTGAGCTAGGCAGTGGATTTATATGGATATCCGGATACTGCCTTGCTCTCCCCTATACAGCAGACTAGTCAAGAGCTGATGGCCTGAGTTCAAGTCCTGGTGAGTCACTTAATACCTGTGCAACCTTACACAATTTGCCTAACTTTAACCTCTCAGTAATGCAGTTTCCTCACTTTAAAACAGATTGTTATGATCCTTCAAAGGGTTGTTGAGAAAATTAAATAAGTGAATATATGTAAACACTGAGAACAGTGCCTAACCTACAGTGAATGTTAGACGTGATCCTCACCTTGCCAGAACTTTTCATGCCCTTCCCCCAAGGCATTTCTGTTTAGTTCAGTCTTTTTTTTTTCTTTCGAGACAGGGTCTTGCTCTGTGTCCCAGGCTGGAGTTGAGTGACATAATCAATGGCATAATCACGGCTCACTGTAGCCCCAACCTCCCAGGTTCAAGGGATCCTCCCACCTCAGCCATCCAAGTAACTGGGACTACAGGTGTGCATTACCACCTCTGGCTAATTTTTGTATTTTTTGCAGAGATGGTGTTTTGCCATGTTGCCCAGGCTGGTCTCAAACTCCTAGGCTCAAGCGATCTGCCCACCTCAGCCTCCCAAAGTGCTGGGATTATAGACGTGAGCCACTGTGCCCTGCCTTGGCTGAGTCTTACCCAGATCAATTAAACACCACCTAGGGCACGTGTCTACACTATGCACCATACTGAGCGCCACAGATAACACCCGGCGAACACCCGGCAAACACCGACATCCTGCCCTGGCCCAGAGTCTGTGCAAAGCAACCGGGCTGAGTCGCACCAGGGCAGAACACCATGCCCTGATTCTGGAGAACATATGGCGGGAGATTAAGGGAGCCCGAGGGGTGACCCAGGTCTAAGGAAATAGTTTCCCAACCAAACTAGAGCCCACAACTGAAAAAATAAGCTTTGCTAACACTGTCCCCTGTATTTAACAGAACAGAAGCTGCTGCCAAACACCATGCGGGACTCTTGAATTGGCTGCCCCCCATCAAACTGCACAGCAGAGGTGGGGGCCCTGAAAACTCCGCTCTTTCGCAGTGGCTGTCTGGCATGGTGGGCGCCCTCAGTGCTGCCAGATGCCTGGGGCACAACCATACCCGCTGCCCAGGACTGACAATGGAGGCGCCAGGCTGCCTGCCCAGGCAGCAGGGGAGCCCTCACCTCAGCTGGGTCACCAGTCCCCACCGTCCCCCCAAGACTGCAGTGAGTAGAATACAGCAGCTTAGTGCATTGGGGTGGCGGGAGCCCTGCTGGCAGGCAGCGCGTGCCTGTGGTTTCTGGGAAATGCTGTAGAGATTTGCAGCATTTTTAAAATACTTGTGTTCCCACCCGCCACACACTCCCCTTCACCCTACTCCCCACTCACCCCCAGTCAGGGTGTTTGCATATCTGGTATTTTCCAGAACCAGTCCAATGTAAATAAGAGAGATTAGAAGGGAGCAGAGGGCAGGGTGACTTGGGGTGTCAGGGCAGGCAGGAAGGGACCATGACAGGAAGAGGCAAGGGCAGGCTACCTTTAAGACCCTGCCCCTGCACCAAGGCTCCAAGCTGTGCCCACAGAAGCAGCCATGACCATGTCATGTACCCATACTCAGGTCAGTGCAGCCTGGGCACTGTGCCCACCACCCACAGGCTGGATGGCCACGGTACTCCAGGGCTGCAATTCATCGAGCATCTCATAAGGAAGAAGGCAGAATGGTGCCTCCAAGGACAGAGAAGGGAGCCCTGGAAATGATCTAGTCCACTGCTTCGCCCTGACAGTCCCCTGCATCCCACTACTCCACAATAGACAATCCCAAAGACCTTTCACCCACCACGTCCCATGCCCTTGACACCTGCCCCCTGCCCCCAGCCCTTCATTACCTAAAGGACTTAGATAGGGTCCCTCACTGAGCCCTCAAGCCAGGATTCTCACATGGCGAGACTCAGATGCCAGGGGTGCCTGAAGCTTTGGCACAAAATGAAGACAAATTTCCTGTTTTTAAAAACAAAACAAAACAAACAAAAAAAACAGAAACAGAAACCAAAAACCCAAAGCAAAACAAAACAAAACAAAAACGCTCCAAGGATCACTTGCAGTAAAATCAGGAACAGAAGCATTGTAGAACACTGAGCCAGGCAGCACACAGCTGCTCCACCACCACCAGAAGGCCCTAGGAAAGCCCAGTGCTCCAAACCCGGCCTGGCAGACCTGGAGGCAAGACCATTTTGAGTCTTCCCTTGGAATCCTGCAGGCCCCACTCCTGGCAGCAGCCAGGTACCCTAGGGACAAGGTTGATGAGGCTCATACAGTTTCTACCCAGGGGTCTAGGGCTTCCCCTACAGCAAAAGGGCTCTCCTGTCCTTCTCCCAGATGCAGGCAACCCTGACTTGCCCATCTCCTGCAGGGCCACCAATGGCCAAGCCTGCAGGCCCGAGAAGCTGGCCTCTAATAAGCTAGAAAAGGATAGGAAGCACCCAGAAGGCCATCTCTCCCTTCAGATGGCGTCTATAAGGCTAGGGCTACAGGAAAATCCAGACGAAAGCATCAGAAAACCTCAGGAGCAAGGATGGGTGAACACTAGGATGGATTCATTAAAGAAGCTGCAAAATTACCCTCCCAGGGTGGCTTTAGAGACTGGGCACAGGGAAGGGAAGGGTACTAATGTTTCTAAGCATTTACCACCTGCCAACATCTCACATACGTGAACTTGCCTAACATAAACATGCTTACCTTATATAAAGACCCACAAAATATACAGAATAAAAAGCAAGTCTCCTTTCAGCCTGCAATTCTATTCTGCTTCTCAGAGGCAATTGGAGTGAATTCACTGGGTATGCATCTTTCTCCAACTTAACCTTCTCAACCTCTGGGAGGATAGAATAGGCCTATTTCATAGAGATCACAGGTCACCTTCACCAGGAGGCCTCTCCTGATTGCCCCCCACTTCCCCCAGGCAGAACTTCCTCCTGCCCCACTGTATGCCTGCACAGACTTCTGCGATAGCAGCTTTGCATTTCTTTACTTAGGTCTATGCTTCCTCAAGGAAAGATTATATTTTGTTTATTTAATCCCCCAGTGCTAGCACAGTGCCCGGTCCTTAGGTCAACTTCATTAAATATTTACTGAGGGAAAAGTGAACACTGAGGCTCTGAAAGGTTTGATAACTTTGGTAAAACCCAAACCCAGGTCTTTCTGGCTCCAAAGCCCATGCTCTTTCCACTGTAACATGTCCTCTCCCAAACCCACCTGAGCGTGGAGGTGGTTTATGTGAACATGGCAACCTCATGAGGAACCCGACAGCCTGAAAGCCTTTGACTAGAAACTCCACCCCACACACTAAAACCTCCAACTAGCAGCCTCACGGTCCACCAGGAGAAGTACCCCTACCACAGCGACTAGACTTGGCTGGGAGGGAGTGGTAAGCCTTCCTTTAAGACCCCCTCTCCCTTCCCACCACATTCTCAAAAGCTCAGGGAGAGCCAGGTGTAGTGGCTCACGCCTGTAATCCCAGCACTTGGGAGGCCTGAGGCAGGTAGATAGCTTGAGCTCAGGAGTTTGAGACCAGCCTGGGCAACATGGTGAAACCCTGTCTCTAATAAAATATACAAAAATTAGGCTGGGCTTGGTGGCTCACGCCTATAATCCCAGCACTTTGGGAGGCCGAGGCAGGTGGATCACCTGAGGTCAGGAGTTCGAGACCAGCCTGACCAATATGGTGAAACCCCACCTGTACTAAAAATATAAAAATTAGCTAGGCGTGGTGGCAGGCACCTGTAATCCCAGCTACTCAGGAGGCTGAGGCAGGAGAATCGCTTGAACCAGGGAGACGGAAGTTGCAGTGAGCTGAGATCGCGCCACTGCATTCCAGCCTGGGTGACAAGAGTGAAACTCCATGTCAAAAAAAAAAAAAAAAAAAAAAATAGCCAGGTGTGGTGGTGTGTGCCTGTGGTCCCAGCTTCTCAGGAGGCTGAGGTGGGAGGATCGCTTGAGCATATAAGCCAAGATCGCCCCACTGCACTCCAACCTGGGTGACAGCAAGACCCTGTCTCAAAAAAAAAAAAAAAAGAAAAATGCTCAGGAGGCCTTGCTTTCTGGCCAGCACCTCTGGCTCTCCATGGCAGGACAACCACATTGGCCAGGGTTTAGCTGGGTGGGCTTTTCTGAGCTCAGCAGAAAAGTCCTATACTCCCAGATGCAGGAGGACATGCCTCGTCCTAAGGGACTCCATTTGTCCTCCCCTAGAATGGACCGACTGAGGATACAGACAGACTCGCCTTCTCCTCTCCCAGGCCCTAGTCTCCAGCCTGGCCTCTGCCCCTTCTCAATGGGCCTTGACTTTCCCATCCGGACTTATGGAAGTGGAGGAGGGAATTTTGATCCAACTGGGGTTTTGAGATCCTCAACTTTACCAACATCTCCCCTAATCTCACCAGACTTAGGAAACACTTGGCCTTCAGCAAACTTAAGAGTAACTGATCCAAATACAGATGCCCCCCAAGAACTTTCCCTAAGGAATCAAAGGGGAAAGAATGTAGCATCTTCCCAGTACTCTGGCGGTCACATGACCCCTCCTCTCCCTCAGGCCCCTACCAGTGGGTCACCAAGACCCCAGAGTCTGACTCAGTTGCTCGAGTCTGAGATGGCTCTCCATCCCACTGCCTCTACCTGAGTCCAGGTCTCCATCCATTCTTCTAGGATCACAATCACTCCCTCACCACTCTCCCCACAGCCAACTTTGCTACACCCTAGAGCATGCTCCATAAGCAGCCAGAGTGATTTCCTAAAACCTGTTCCTATTGCTCCCTGATTAAATTGCTTCAGTGCCCTTTGGTTAAAGTTCACGTTCCCCAGCACGGCTCACAGGGGCCTCCATGACCTGGCTCCCGTGGATGCCTCCTAGTGCTTCTCCCAGCTTTCCCTTCCCACACACCGTCTCCCAGCCTTATTCCTGAAATATGTGATTCTCTCTCCATAACTTTAGGCCTTGGCATGTGTTTGTGACAGTGTTTCCCTTCCTCTTGCCTCCGCTTCACTCATCTACTACCCAGATGTCAGCTTTCGCTGACCCATCCACAAGACTGGACTTGAAGCCCCTCTGCTGCACTCCCAGCACCAGGACTGGCCCCTGTGGTTGAGCTTCTCAGAGGGTACTGTCATGGTCTGCTACTGGAACATCTCTCCCGCTTACTATGAGCTCCTTGGGGCTGGGATTATGTGCTGCTCACCGCTGGAGCCCAGGACCTAGTATGCAGTAAGTGCTCAACAAATGCTTCCCTAATGGATGGGCAGGTGGAAGGATGATGGCAGAAGAAAACGGTGTTCTCCCAGGCCTGCTGGTTGATTTCTACCAGGCCACAAATCTACCCTACCACTGTGGCTCACCCCTGCTCCCAGCGGAACCTCATCTAGCAGCTACCAGGACACATGAAGGTGTGAACCCAGCATTCTGGACACACGCCATGTGAGAGGGAAACCCAAGGGGCTGTGTCTCCCTGGGGCCTTCTAAACAGGCCATGGAGAGGAGCCGGGGGCCTGGCCCCATCTGTGTGCAGGAAGATAACAGATGGCTAGTCAGCTCCCTCAGAGCTCCCTGGGGACAGGCAATGTGTGGACACAGTTGATGGATGGCCTGATGGCAGGGTGGCCAGCAAGAGCTGTCCCTGTGGGGCTACAGTCATCAGGGTATCCCTCCCAGGAGTCTGGAGGAGGCGGGAAGACTTCTCTTGGCGCATAACTGGGATTAGAACTGCTGCCAAGACAGGGAGTAGGAGGAGTAAAAGGAAGAGGAGGAGATACAGGCTGAGGGTACAGAAGAGGTGCAGCACCCCACGCCACTCCCAGCCCTGTCCCAGGAAGCTGGAAACGCTGGGCTCACCCTGGTCCTCTCTGCTTGTGGTATGAGTCCCCACCACCTACCTGGGTGAGAAAAGATATGGGCTTCTTTCAGCCCTATGTGTCTCCTTATCCTGCCACATGGCTCTAGGAGATGCATGGGGATGGGGTTTGCTACTGTGTCCTCTGGCAGATGAAACAGGCTGAGGCTCGGGGAAGAAGTCCTCTGGGCACCAGCTGGGCTTACCCCATAGGAGCTAGAGTGAGCCAGCATTTCAGGGATACCAGCTATAACTTGGAATCCACCAGGGCCTCCAAAGCTAAACCATCTACTTCCCCAGGGATGGGATAGCAGCAGATAGTTGGGAAGGGAAAGCTAGGAAAATCTGAGATGCCAGGATGATCCCTGTGCTATAAAGAGAAAACCAAACAGCATCTGGGATGCCAGGCCCAGGGCCCCACAGAGGCCTTGCTGTGGTTCAGCAGGGAGCTGGCAACAATCCCCTGGGGGATTCATTCTTTAAGAAGAAAATTCCATCTGTTAAAAGCAGCGTTAGCCTGGAAGAACGCAGACAGGCATGGCAACATGTTAGTCTTTGCTTCTGTTATTGTTTTTGAGACAGAGTTTAGCTCTTATTGCCCAGGCTGAAGTGCAATGGCTTGATCTCGGCTCACTGCAACTTCCGCCTCCCGGGTTCAAGTGATTCTCCTGCCTCAGCCTCCTGAGTAGCTGGGATTACAGGCATGCGCCACCACGCCCAGCTAATTTTTGTATTTTTAGTAGAGACAAGGTTTCTTCCTGTTGGTCAGGCTGGTCTCGAACTCCCAACCTCAAGTGATCCACCCGCCTCAGCCTCCCAAAGTGCTGGGATTACAGGCGTGAGCCACCACCACCCAGCCCAGTCTTTGCTTCTGACATAAAGACCCCTCCTTGTTCTTCCCTCTCTACCTCGTGGTTCTCTGAGTTCCACCTAACCTGGTGGCTAAAACATAGTAGGTGCTCAATGTGTGCTTCTGGAATGAAGAGTCCAGGTCTTCCACACAGGCCTCCTCCTCCCATTCACTACCCTTCCCTGACTAGCAAAGCTGCCTAAACCCAGCTAGCTCCGGGTTAAAGGAAGGCCTGGAACCCAACTACAGTGCTTCCTGACAGTCTGACCCTACCACTGCCAGCCCCTCTTCAGGCCCAAGGTACTACTGGGTTGAGTAGCAGCTGCTTCCCCTCCCTGGGAGAAAGCTGGGACCGGGACTCTGCCTGTTTCCTCCCATTAGCACTTCCTCCCATTTCTGACTTTGACACATCTGGCTGGTCACTTAGTACCAAAAGGTCCTGGTCAAGCAGCAGGGGCCAGATCTGGACGGTCCTAAAACCCACAGCTGGGAAGGGAAGATGGCCAGAGGTGGTCACTTGTCCTTCGTATACTATCTCCAGGCAGGACATTCAAACTGCTATGTAGCCACCCTATCAAAAGACCCCTGGGATTAGTGAGCTTGATGCCCCATGGAGATCCGCTCCTCCATCTGATCTAAACCTCTCTGCTCCTGTGCCTCCTGCTGCTCTTTTTGCGCGGGCAGCTGGGGTCTCAGTGACAGTCAGGACATACTATCTGTGTAGGTTTTATCCCTCTTGCTTTTCCAGGTCCATGCTTTTTCTCCTTCCAGGAGAGGTAATAAAGACTCTTGGAGCCCAAGTGACCATTATAAATCAGATCCAGTTACTCCCCTGCTTCGAACCCTTCAATAGTCCCATTTCACTGGGATGAAATCTGAATTCCAACTGTGACTTACAAGGTCCTTTATGATCTGCCCCTGCTTTCTCTGCAGCCTCACCTGATATTTCCTTGCTCACTCAGGGGCAAGAGGAGGCTCTGGCCTGAGGTCATCTTTCCCAAAGATATAATCATACCAGCTATACATCTCAGATGTTCCATGACGGCCCTAATTTGAAATCATTTGTCCTTTTTTATCCCCAAGATCTAAATACCATGGAAATATTGTATTTTACTGTCCAGATTGTCTCTTATATCTGGAAGTGACACATGTTAGCCTATACACCCCAATTTAGGGCTCAGGAAATATGGTGCCCAAACCCCTCACCTGTCCTTGTAATGAAGAAGCTGAATACTTTCACGGTAATTACTAACCAACAGCAGAGCTCTCTCAAGGGCTCCAGGGCTGAAACTAAGGTTCAGGCAGAGCTTGGTCTATCCCAGCACCGTTGAGAAAGGCATTCCGCTGAATTCAGTTAGGTCAATCCAACAGACACAGAACACAGGAGGGAACCATAAAACCATGAGGCCTGGCCAAACTGCTCAGAATTCTACTGCAGTGAACCTTTGGGGACTTGTCCTCAGCTCCCAGACAAGGTTGAGAGACGAAGGTGTGACTCCTTTAATGTCCTTGTCTTTCTTCATTAGGTTAAACCTGGTGGGGGTGCTGTTTGTAGGGGTGGCACCCCCAGAGGATTATGAGCATGGGGCACCTTCTCCTGAGTTCATGCTTCCCCACAGGCTCAGAGAGCAGCAGGGCTTCCCCACTTACACACTGCTAGGCTCTGATAACAGCTCTTGGGTACCCCGATTACCCAGTCAAGCAGGAGGTGCCCACATTCCCCATCCCTGCTTAGCCCAGGTGCCCAGGGAAGCACTCACATCGGATGGCTCCCTGCGAGGTCCCTCGCCGCTCCGCAGCCAGCTCCTGCTGAGCTCGCTGAGCTCTGGAATGGGCTGCACCTTGAGCCGCACGCTGTCCCCTGACTGCCGGATCATCTCCACAATCTCATCCCTGGACTTGCTCTCCACATTGTGCCCATTAATCTCCACCAGTCGATCTCCTGGCACCAGCCCCAGGGCCAGGTCCTTGGTGCCTGCACCAGGCTCAGCAAAGTGGACCACACGCCGACAGGCCTGGCCCTCGGGGCCCCGATCCAGCATGGTTGTGCGCCGCAGGGAGAAGCCAAAGTCTCCAGTGGGCCGTCGTTGCAGCTCCAGCTCCCGGAGGGTAGGTGGGGGCAGGGGCACCACGGGGGGCAGGCGCAGGTCGACTGGGAACTTTTTAGTCACTAGCTCAGGGGCTCGGGATCGGTGCCCTGGTCGAGGGATGCCTGGGCCAGGATGCTGCACCAGCTGTCCCTCTAGAGTCCTCACCTCCACCTGTGGCGAGGGGGCGGCAGAGTGCTCTGAGGGCGTCGAGGTTTCTGAGGCGCTCTCATCCCGGCTACGCTGGGAGAAGGAAAAGCGCTTGACAATCATCTGTGAGTTCTGCTTGGCCAGTGAGCCGAACTTGGCTGCCCGCTGCAGCACCGAGCCACGGAAGCTACCCTCCTCACCCTTGAGGTCATCGCTGGAGCTGGCTGTACTTAGGTGGCCCGAGTCCAGGATGACGCTGCCCCGGTTACTATCGGAGTCAATGTCAGTCAGGTGCAGGTCAGAGCCGCTGGCCACCTTGATGGGGATGGGGTTGGAGATTTCCAGGCGCGTCTTGGATTCACGCTTGGAGGAGCGGTTCAGGTTGAAGAAGCCACGTCGCAGGCTCATCTCCTCCAGGCTCCGAAGCTCTGCCGCTGACATCCGCTCCTTTTTCTCCTTTTTCTCCTTCTTCTCCTTCCGCCCGCCATCTTTGTCCTTGTCTTTCTTCATTAGGTTAAACATGGTGGGGGTGCTGTTTGTAGGGGTAGCACCCCCAGAGGATTATGAGTGCTTAGCACAGGGCCTTGGTGCCCCACTTTGCTGCTGCAAACAGAAACACACAGAGAGAAAGGTTATTCGAACAGAGCCTCATGTGTCTCCAGTCCAGACATAACCAAATGATACAGCTACTCCTCACTGGGTGCTAGCTATGTGCCAGGCACTCTGCCTTACCCAATATTGTCTCCACTGATTTAATCCTTACAACCCTTCTATAGGTAGTTACTATTATTACCCCATTTTACAAATAAGGAAACTTAAGGTTTAGATAAGGCGGTAAAAGCCCAGATTCCAAAAAGGCGGTAAAAGCCCAGATTCCAAAGCCTGTCATTTCCTTGAATCTTTGATAGACCAAGGCTTAGGTGTATCTGGAGGTAGTATGTGGGAGACCTGACCTCCTGGTGAGAGAATGCTTCAAACCAACCTGGGACCTGACTTAAAGATTCAAACACAGGCCAGGCAGGGTGGCTCATGCCTGTAATCATAGCACTTTGGGAGACTGAAGCAAGAGGATCGATTGAGCCCAGGAGTTTAAGACCAGCCTGGACAACACAGTGAGACCCTATCTCTAAAAAAAATTTTAAAAATTAGCCAGGCATGCTGGTGCATGCCCACATTCCTAGCTACTTGGGAATTTGAGGATTGCTTGAGCCCAGGAGGTCGAGGTTGCAGTGAACTATGATCACACTACTCCAGCTTGGGCAACAGAGTGAGACCCTGTCTCAAAAAAAAAAAAAAGATTCAAACTCAAAGGAAAAAGAAAAGGGACTCAATGCAACATCACCTCCCACAGACAATGTTCGTTTAAGCAACAGACATCCCATTCTTTGGACTCTTTCCTGAGCCTGTTATCCCTAGAGTAGCACCCTTAGCCACCGCCTAACAGAAGAACTCAAAGGAACCAACATTTATTTAATGACTACCACTGGCTAGGCCTAATGCCAGGCACTTTACATGCACTATCTCCTCTGAACCTCACAGCATTCCTACAAGGTAGATATCATTATTTCCACTGTACAAAGGAAGAAAATGGGATACAGAAAATTAAGTATATGTTAGTTGTCACACAGCTAATAAATGGTGATGTTGGGATTCAGTGGCAAATATTGTGTTCTTTCTAGGGCCTGGGTGACCAAAGTAAAGCAGCAAGAGAAAGAAGGGAAGTTCCAGACCAAACAGAGGATAGACAGCTGCGAGGTGGGGGTGGGGTAGGGTCCACTGGATAAACAGGATCCTAAAAAATTCACATCCTTTTCCCCAGACCAACACCTAAATATAGCCCCAGGAAGAAAACTGTGGTAGCCTGAAAGAAAATCCCAGCCCCAGGGTGTGTGAAACCTACCCACCAACCTACCCAACCCCCTGCACATCTAACTGGGGACAGGACCAATAAAAACCTGGTGGGAAGAGTTGAGAGAGTCTTTCTTGTTCTAACCAGCAGGGAACAAGAAGAAGAAATAGGCCATGCCACCTAATTGGAAATTAAATGACATTTTTTCTCTCTCTCTGAAAGCCTACCCCTCTGAGTTTCACACAGAGGATCTACAAGCTTATCCCTTCTAGTAATGGCCTCTTGCCAGGCCCTGGACAGGCCTTTCCTCTCTGTGTGCTCCACCCCTACAACCAAGCAGGGCCCTCCGGGATCCCCAGTCTACTGAGAGGGACCATCCTTCAACCCTGGTACAATGCTCAGGAAGGCATCAAGGTCAGAAATTCCCAAAGGCCGTAGTGCAATGGCTAATTGCTTCCCCCTGCCCAGCATCCTGACTTGTGTTGCTCCTGACATACCAACTCATCTCCTTTCTAGAGCAGTGCTGTCCATAAGAAATATAATTCAAGGCCAGGTACAGTGGCTCATGCCTGTAATCCCCAATACTTTAGGAGGCTGAGGCAGGCAGATCACTTGAGGTCAGAAGTTCAAGACCACTCATGCCTATAATCCCAGCACTTCGGGAGGCCGAGGTGGGCGGATCACCAGAGGTCAGGAGTTCGAGACCAGCCTGGCCAACATAGTAAAACCCCATCTCTACTAAAAATACAAAAACTGGCCAGGTGTGATGGCACACGCCTGTAATCCCAGCTATTCGGGTGGCTGAGGCATGAGAATCACTTGAACCCAGGAGGCAGAGGTGGCGTGATCTCGGCTCACTGCAACCTCTGCCTCCCAGGGTTCACGCCATTCTCCTGCCTCAGCCTCCCAAGTAGCTGGGACTACAGGTGCCCGCCACCACGCCCAGCTAATTTTTTGTATTTTTAGTGGAGATGGGTTTTCACCGTGTTAGCCAGGATGGTCTCGATCTCCTGACCTCATGATCCACCTGTCTCGGCCTCCCAAAGTGCTGGGATTACAGGCGTGAGCCACCGCGCCTAGCCTTGAACTTGTTGGTTCTAAATGCTACATGCACAGTACCTGGGAGTTAGAAAACAGGAAATCTAGGGCCCAAAAGGCACACAGCCAGGGGCCTTGGCCAGGTAGGTCTGGACTGATTTGGGGTGGAGGAGTACCTGACAGCCAGCATTCTCTCTTCGGGGCTCTACTGTGACAAGGGGAGTCTCTCTCCTCCTGACTGTTGATGGGGTGTGGCACAGACCTACCATAAACCAAGATGTGGGGTCTTCAGCTGTTACTGCCCACCTTATACCTTACCCACCACTGCCTGCACCATCTTAAAGGGATGGTTTAGAAGATAACTCCAGGGGCACTTGTGGAAGAAATGAAGAAAGAAATCCACCTTGGGGACTTGGATGGGACAAACAAGAGTATCATGGCCTCAGTTCAACCACAGAGAACCCAACTGACTAGAATGCTGTCCCACCAAGACGCCCAATTCTCGGTCTATAATGCTTACCCAATCCTGGCTCTTTGCTGGGGGCTAGATCGCTGAGTAATATGAGTGGAAAGGATCTCCCAGAATTCTAGGATCTTTGGGCTGGAAAGGTCCCTGAAAAAGTCTGAGCAAAAGCTTGTTCCTCACTGTCATTGCAGCAGGCAGGACAGCAGACGGTCACAGCAGCAGCACAAGGGATGGCGCTGGCCAGAAGTTTCAGGAGATTTGGTATCTAGGCCTGGATCTGCCAAAAAATCGCTGGGGGACCTTGAGCCTGTCACTCTGCTCAAGGTTGAACTACATGATCTAGATCTCTTCTGGCTCTAAAATTCTAAATATCTAAGTCTCCTGTGGACACAGGTTAAGTTATTAACCTTCTGCCAAAGGCACCCCTCTCATCCCAACCCTGGGGCCTTCAGAAAATGAGGCTGTGCCAGCCCTTCCCTCACCACCCCTGTCCTGCCACCATAATCTTCACAGCTCACAAGGCACCTCTTCCCCACTGCCATCCCCATAATCGCCAGGCCTGGCTGTGGACTGGTTCTCTCCTGAGTCTAGAGCTGCCTGGCTGCCTGCAGCCTCCTGTCCAGGATCAGATCTGCAATGCGACTGCTGCTCCATGGCCTTCTTGTAGACCTTGCACTTTCCGGCACCTCCTGGCCTCAGGTCCAAAGTCTCCAACAGCTCTGATACCACTACCTTCCTACCCCCTATCCCGGGCTGCAGTTTCCATCTGCCTCCCATTCCTCTCCTACCCTCTCCCTCCACTCCAGTAAAGGTAACCTTATAATTTTCCTGACCTCCTTTTCTGCGTTTCTCTCCTCATCATACTCTAAGAAGTTTTTCCTAATTTTAAGAAAAGGAAGGCATCTATGTAAGTTAGGGTATGGACCCGAATAATCTTGCTCTTACTATCCCCAAAAACAAAAAGAAAGTACAATCTGTCAACTCAGCTGCTCTATCACTTTAAGAGAGTAAGCATCCCGAAGGCAATGACCATCAACCTCAAATATACATCTATCTGTCCATCAGAGTGCATAAACAATGCTCATATTCATGCAATGGAATACTACTCAGCAAGAAAAAAGAAACAACTAAAGATACACACAATGGGGATGGACTTCAAAATCATGATGTCAAGTGAGAGGGAAAGAAGTCTTTGACAAAGAGCACATATGGGTATGATTCTCTTTATATGAAGTTCTAGTGCAGGCAAAACTAACCTATGGTGGGGGTAGGAGTGGGATCGCATGAGGGAACTTTTTGGGGTGATATTCATGTCCTGTATATTGATAGCGGTTTGGGTTGATAAGTATATGCACTTGTCAAGTTATCAAATGGTGCACATAAGATTTGTGCGTTCAGCCAGGCGCGTTGGCTCACGCCTGTAATACCAGCACTTTGGGAGGCCAAGGCAGGTGGATCATGAGGCCAAGAGATCGAGACCATCCTGAAACCCCGTCTCTAATAAAAATAAAAAAAATTAGCCGGGCGTGGCAGCACACACCTGTAGTCCCAGCTACTAGGGAGGCTGAGGCAGGAGAATCGCTTGAACCTGGGAGGCGGAGGTTGCAGTGAGCCAAGATGATTGCGCCACTGCACTCTAGCCTGGGAGACAGAGCAAGACCCCATCTCAAAAAAAAAAAGATTTGTGCATTCATTGTTTGTAAATATCCACTCAAAAGAAAAGAACTATAAACAAATATTGAACTCTAGTGAATGATATGTATGTTAAAGTATTTGGGGCGAAATATACTGATGTCTACGTTTTACTTTGAGATGTGTAAAATTTTAAGACAGCTTGATGAGGTTGGGCAAGGTGGCTCACATCTATAATCCCAACACTTTGGGAGGCCGAGACGGGCAGATCGCTTGAGCTCAGGAGTCGGAGACAAGCCTGGGCAACATGGCAAAGCCCTGTCTCTACTCAAAATACAAAAAATTATCTGGATGTGGTGGTGCATGCCTGTGGGAGCTACTTGGGAGGCTAAAGTGGGAAGATCACCTGAGCCTGGGAGGTCGAGGCTACATTGAGCCACGATCATGCCATTGCATTCCAGCCTGGGTAACAGAGTAAGACCCTGTCTCAAAAGAAAGAAAGAAAAAAAAAAAAAACCATAGCCTGATGGATGGATCAAGGGATACAGATGTGTAAAAGCAAGGATAGGAAAATGTTAATTGTAGAATCTAGGAAATGGAGGGTATTCGTTGCAAAATTCTTTAACTTTTCTGAATGTTTGCAGGTCATTGTGATAAAATTTTGGGAAAAAATATGTATCTATCAGCCACTTCCTAAAGGCAAGCAACATAAAGATAAGTAAGCCCAGTGTCAGAGCTCAGGCTTTGGATATCAAGTAACAAACCTGTGAACAAATCTGAGTAAACAGGGCCGGGCGCAATGGCTCACGCCTGTAATCCTAGCACTTTGGAAGGCCGAGGAGGGCAGATCACCTGAGATCAGGTGTTCGAAACCAGCCTGGTCAACACGGTGAAACCTTGTCTCTACTAAAAATAGCTGGGCATGGTGGCATGCGCCTGTAATCCCAGCTACTCAGGAGGCTGAGGCAGGAGAATCGCTGAAACCTGGGAGGCAGAGGTTGCAGTGAGCCGAGATCATGCCACTGCACTCCAGCCTGGGCGACAGAACAAGACTCTGTCTAAAAAAAAAAAAATTAAATAAAAATGAAAAAAAATATGAGTAAATAGCTATGAAATCTCAGGCAAATCACTTAAGGCCTCCATGCCTCCATTTCCCCATCTATAAAAATGGAGATAATAATGGTACCTACCACCTAAGGTGGGGGAATTAAATGAAATATATTTAATTACCCTCAGAGAGGTACCTAATAGTAGCAGGGCACAGTTTTTGCAGTCTAAATGACACAGTAGAGAGGATAACAGAGTACACAAGTATGACTAAAATAAGTCAAAACCTTTGTACATGGAAAGTAAAGCCCAAAGAAGTGAAGGTAACTTGATAAGCACAAGGCCAAGCTGGATCACACTGGCTTGAGTCCAGAGGGCCCACGTAGCTAGTGCCAAGGATACTATGGACAGGCAATTTGTAGGGGCAGAAATACAAATGGCCATCAAACATGAACAGGTATTCAGCCTCCATAACATTCACAGACATGTGAAATTGAGGTATACTATTTTCAATTAGCAGTTTAGTAAAAACTATCAAGGTTGATAATATCAATCAATTAGGGCATGGGATGCAGGGAGTCTCATAAGTCTTGGTGGAAACACAAATTGGTAGGTTGGTGCAAAAGTAATTATGGTTTTTGCCGTTACTTTTTTTTTTTTTGAGACGGAGTTTCGCTCTTGTTGCCCAGGCTGGAGTGCAATGGCCCGATTTCAGCTCACTGCAATCCGCCTCCCGGGTTCAAGCAATTCTCCTGCCTCAGCCTCCTGAGTAGCTGGAATTACAGGCATGCGCCACCATGACCGGCTAATTTTGTATTTTTAGTAGAGACGGGGTTTCTCCATGTTGGTCAGGCTGGTCTTGAACTCCTGACCTCAGGTGATCTGCCTGCCTCGGCCTTCCAAAGTGCTGGGATTACAGGCTTGAGCCACTGCGCCCGGCCCTTTTTTTTTTTTTTGAGACGCAGTCTTGCTCTTTCACCAGGCCAGAGTGCAGTGGCACGATCTCTGCTCACTGCAAGCTCCGCCTCCCGGGTTCACGCCATTCTCCTGCCTCAGCCTCCCGAGTAGCTGGTACTACAGGCGCCCGCCACCGCGCCTGGCTAATTTTTTGTATTTTTAGTAGAGACGGGGTTTCACCATGTTACCCAGGATGGTCTCGATCTCCTGACCTCGTGATCCGCCCGCCTCGGCTCCCAAAGTGCTGGGATTACAGGCGTGAGCCACCGCACCCGGCCTGCCGTTACTTTTTAATGGCAAAAACCTCAATTACTTTTGCACCAACTAATGTATTTTCAGAGGTCAAGTCAGTGGTATCTGTGAAAAAAAAAAATTTTTTTAAGAGACAAGGTCTTGCTTTGTCACCCAGGCTGGAGTTTGGTGGCTCAATCATAGATCACTACAGACTTGAACTCCTGGGCTCAAGTGATCCTCCTGTCTTAGCCTCCTGAGTAGCTGTGACTACAGGTGTGCGCCACCATTACTGGCTAACTTTTTAAAAATTGTTTTAGAGACAGGTTCTTGCTATTCTGTCCAGGCTGGTCTCAAACTCCTGGCCCCAAGCAATCCTCCTGCCTCAGCCTCCTGAGTAGCTAGGATTACAGGCACCACCACTGCACCTGGCATATGAAAATATTTATGTACATATTCTTTGGGCAATTCCATTATAAGACATCTATAGGTACATTCACATAATATACATGGCTAATCCTTGCAGCATTGTTTATAATAGCAAGTCTATAAATATAAAAGTCCTTACTAGAGAATAGTAAAACTGGCCAGGTGCAGCGGCTCAGGCCTCTAATTCCAGCACTTTGGGAGGCCAAGGCGGGAGGACTGCTTGAGTCCAGGAGTTTGAGACCAGCCTAGACAACACAGTGAGACTCTGACTCTACAAAAAAATTTTTTAAAAGTAGCTAGGCAGTGGTGCACACCTGTGATACCAGCTACTTGGGAGGCTGAGGTGGGAGGATCACTTGAGCCTAGAAGTCAAGGCTGCATGAGCCAAGATTCGTGCTACTGTGCTCCAGCCTGGGTGGAGGGAGATTATGTCTCAAAAAATAAAAAAAATAAAAAAAAATAAAATGCTGGGCATGGTGGCTCACAACTGTAATCCCAACATTTTGGGAGGCTGAGGCAGGCAGATCACTTGAGGTCAGAAGTTCGAGACTAGCCTGGCCAACATGGTGAAACCCCATCTCCACTAAAAATACAAAACTTTGCCGGCGTAGTGGCGCACCTGTAATCCCAGCTACTCAGGAGGCTGAGGCAGGAGAATCGCTTGAATCCAGGAAGCGGAGGTTGCAGTGAGCCGAGATCACGCCATTGCAGCACTCCAGCCTGCGCGAAAGGGCGAGACTCTGTCTCAAAAAAAAAAGCTAAATTATACAACTGAGCAGTTGTATAATTAAAAGTAAAAAGAATGAAGTAGATTTGTATACACTGACCTGGAAAGATTCTATACTATATTGTTAAGTGAAAAAATAGGTTGCAGGATAGTTTATAATTTTGCTAAAATTTAAAAACCTATATCTATATATGTGCATGAATATATTACATGTACGTTGTGTACAATATTTGCATATGTGTAGGAAAAATATATGCTCTGGGGAGGAGACTGGAATTTTAGAAGGGTCAAATAGACTTGTGTTTCATCCATATTTTAATTTTTTTTCTTTTTTTTTAAATAACAGAGATGGGGTCTCACCATGTTGGTCAGGCTGATCTTGAACTCCTGGCTTCAAGTGGTCCACCCACCTTGGCCTCCAAAGTACTGGATTATAGGCATGGGCCACCGCACTCGGGCTATATTTTAATTTTTTATAAGAACATTCATCTGGTAAATGTGTATTTGCTTACACCTAGGAGCTTCAGGGAGTGGAATTATCTATCATTTTTCTTCTACTTTTATTTCATCTTTTTTTTTTTTTTTTTTGAGACAGGGTCCCACTGTGTCCTCCAGGCTAGAGTGTGGTGCGATCTCGGCTCACTGCAGCCTCAACCTCCTGGGACTCAAGCGATCCTTCCCACCGCAGCCTCCTGAGTAGCTGGGACTACAGGCACTCGCCACCACACCCAGCTAACTTCTGTATTTTTTGTAGAGACAGGGTCTTGCCATGTTGCCCAGCCTGGTCTCAAATTCCTGGGCTCAAGCAATCTGCCTATCTCAGCCTCCCAAAGTCCTGGGATTACAGGTGTGAACCACTGTGTCCGGCCTACTACAGAAATTTTTTAAATATTTATATAAGATGATATTTTATAAAACATATATTAAACTATAAACATATATAGTGCCTAAAATATATATAACAAGCTTTTAAAAAGCAGTCTGGCCAGGCGCAGTGGCTCACACCTGTAATCCCAGCACTTTGGGAGGCCGAGGCAGGTGGATGACGAGGTCAGGAGTTCAAGACCAGCCTGGCCAAGATGGTGAAACCCTGTCTCTACTAAAAATACAAAAAAGTAGCCGGGCGTGGTGGCGGGCGCCTGTAATCCCAGCTGCTCGGGAGGCTGAGGCAGAGAATTGCTTGAACCCCGGAGGCGGAGGTTGCAGTGAGCCAAGATTGCGCCACTGCACTCCAGCCTGGGTGACAGAGCGAGACTCCTTCTCAAAAAAAACAGCAGTCTGGAAAAATTCGATCCAAAAATTTATCAGTGGTCATCTCTGGAGAGTAGGGGAGAAGAAGGGTAACACTTTAGTAACGCTTTAGCTTTCTACCTAATGATTCAACTTTTTTCCAGACTAAAAAAAAATGGACAAACTAGTAGGCAATCCACCAGCAGTAAAGCTGCAAACAGGGTAATGGTCAGTTTAAGGATTGCCTTCATGTCTTGAAAAAGTTTCAGTGGCTTGGGGGACTTGGTTAAAATAGAGTTCACTGGTGTCTTGTGGCTGTAAGTGGGGACACATTTAAATGGGTCACCTAGCAGCTGGCAAAAGAAAAAAAAAACCCAGGAAATGGAAACTATAACGTTAGAGTCCCAAGACAAGGGTGCCCAGAGTTGGCTGTGGTGGATAGATACTTAGGTCAGTCCTCCCACCCCCACCCCCAGACCACACTCATAAATAAATACAAAGGAAATACTTTCCCGAGAGAGCCGGCCTCTCTCCCTTGGCCTCTGACCTCCCTGAGCGGCCGTTTCCTCCAGCCCCGGGACCCCGGCTCTCTCCCCGCGCTCTGCCCCTCGCCAAGGGTTGTAGCAGCGGCCGGAGGGGTAGCCAGCACCTGGCCTGGCCCCGTGCTCCAGGGGGAGCCTCCTCCCGGCCGGCTGTGCTGAGCTCCGCAGCGCCGGGTGACTCCCTGCCAGGTCACACGGAGCTTATCTGGCTCCAGGTGTGCTCCCTCACGCCGACTGCACGCTTCTCACGTGACATTAGCCAGCCCTCACGCCGCCGCGCGGGGAGCCGGGCGGCCCTTGGCGTTTCCCCGCGGCTGGGCCGGCGCAGCCGCAGCCCCGCGGCGCCTCCCGCTGCGATCCCATCTCCCCCGGAAGGCAGCAATCCCGCGGGCCATGGAGGAACGCGAGCGGGAGAGCTCCTGCGGCCTCGCCAGGTTCCCTGCTGCTCTTCCAGGTGCACCGCCTGGCGCTCAGTTCCGCTAACATCCCCTTCCGTGTGACCTTGAGCAAGTCCCCTCCCCTCTCTAAGCCTCCACTATTTCAGCTACAGTTATCTTCAAGGGCCTGACAGCTCAGATTTGGCCCTCAGCCTCTGCTGGAGAGCTATTCTGCTCAACCACACACTGCAGGTTGTAATCCCGCTCTGCCTCTGACTTGCTGTGTGACCTTCAGCCCATCATCCAACCTCTCTGAATATTAGAGAATAATCACAATAATCTCTTGTAAGTGATGATAAACTACTTGGCAGACAGAAAGGGCCCTGGGTCCTGTAAAATCATCAGTCTAACAACCAAAACTGCTGCCTGACTCTAAACTGTTTAAAATGTCAAGGGAAATTGACATTTTACAAGCCCTGCAATTCCTACCTCAAAAGAAGGGCAGGGAAGTGAAGGTGGGAAGTGGAGGCTCACCAGGTCTGCTCACCACCCCTCCCAATCCAGCTCCTACCTCGGCACCTCCCCAACTCCTCTAATTCAGGCCACCTTGGAAAATGCTAGGGGGAAGAAATGGTGATGGGGTGGGGTGTGCAGATCTTAAAGCACCCGGGGGTCTGACCCAAAGCAGAACTTAAACTCCATCAAGCTGCCCTACCAATCCCAAGTCCTGTGGGAACCTGTCAATTACAGCAGACAGTGGGCTGGGCCCTCCTACTGCCCCAAACCTTTAAACTACAACCAGCCAGAGCCCCTCAGTTTTCCCACCACACTCAGGCCTGGGACCCCAGGCCACCAACAAAACCCAGCTCACGTGGATGCTCTGGCTCCTGCCTGTGGCGTCCACCCCAGGTGAGAGGATCTGGCTGAGGAGAGACCTCTGGTTTGAAGGATTAAGAACAGCCCTGCTGCCCTGAAGACCTGTGACACAGCAAGTCCAGATGAAGGCTTCCTGAGTTCCAACAACTCCCAGCTCCACCTCAGCAGGGTGGATTCTCCCTTTCACATGAGCCCCAGTTCTGCCCCACCCAGTCCACCTTTAGGTACCTGCCTCTGGGGGACCCAGAGTTTTCAGGCCCAGTTTCTGAAGACACATGCAGTCCTCAATGAATAGCCACTACCAGGGCCAGTGAGGGGGCCTCCAGGGAACTGGCTGGCTACCCAGACAGCCCAGGAGTGAGGCTGAGAGACCAGGTGGGAGTCAGGAAGGGCATAACCCACATGAGGAAAGTCTGGGGCGCAGGAGGAAGCCCTCAGGCACACACTCTGGCACCTGGGCCAGGCCAGGAGAGAGTAAACAAACTAGACACTCAGAGCTACCAGGCACCAGGTCATCAACTGTTCAAAGTTCAAAGCTCCCAAAGGAAGTGACCGCCAGCCTGTGGCCCCTCCCATGCCCACCCTCCACCCCCACCTACAACCCTTCTCATTCCCCTAATCCCTCAACACAATAGCTGCCCCCAAAGCCATGGTTTTCCTGGAATTGAGGCCACAACCCCCATGTCCTCAACCCAAAATGGACAAGCACACCTCCACCCGAGGCTATATATAACCCGTCATGTCAAATCCAGAAACCAGGAGGATGTTTCCTGGAAAGACTTCATCACAAAAAAACAGAGAGGAAGCTGAGGAGGTGGGAAGCCATGGACAAAGAGCCAGTGAGGCTTGTCAGGAAGCCAGAGACCTCAGGAGAGCAACTTTCAATATCTCCAGATAGAAAGTAGCCCCTGAACTAAAAAGGGTGGGGAACATTAGGCCAGGCCTGTTGCCACAACAACAGGGCACCAACCTGCTCAAGAAAAGGGCTCCAAAGCACAAGGGAAAGGCGGCTGATTCAATGGGCTCTGTACTCACCGTCCTGCTCAGGTGATCTTGCTCTTAATCACCCAGGTGGCCTCCCCTCCCTTCCAGCACACCCCAGTGCATACACACTTCCCAGAGCTCACTTGCCACAGGGGCACTGATGAGGCCTTCTCGGCCACAGACACGCCAGGGGCTCCAAAAGACAAGACGAACCCACACTAACTAGCCCAAGTCATTGGCAGGGTGAAGCAGGGAGGGAATCCAATTCTTTAATTCGGGGTGGCCATCTGAGGGAATGAAAGCCCTAGCCAGGACAGTCCCTCTCAGGAAGCATTCCCCCAGCCCTCCCCACACAAATACAAACTATGAGGCCAGCGCCAAACACATGCCCCATTGGCAAAGTGGTCAGGCAAAATGAATACCCGCTCAAAAACAAACTGGCTGTCTTCCTCCCCATCTCCCCCACCCCCCACCTCTAGCTCATTCTGGCCGCAACCTTTCCAACTAATCAGCAAGACACATGTGCCTTGCAGTAGGGCAACTCCCCCATCTCCACCCCCAAAACAAAGCCCCAATGCCTGGCCTGTCCCTGCGGGCCTTATCGCACCCAGGAACATGACCCACACTCCTGGCCGGGTTTGGGACCAAGGAGCGCACCCCCACTAACAAGGGGCAGGGTGAGGGGGCAGCCACCCCTACCACCTCCCCTTCCCATTGGCGAAACAACTGGCATGACAGGTTAGCAGGGCGGGGCGTCGGGGCGGTCTCTCCAGAGGCCTGGGGCAGCTTGTCCGACCTTCCCACACGCACCCCACCCCTCTGCAGGGAAAGGTGAGGTGAGCATTCAGTCTCAGGGCACAGCCTGCACTCCCTAATCCCCAAAGCCTGCCACCATTCACCCTCTCATCTTCTGTCCCAAGAGGAGGGGGCCCAGGGAAGCGGGGTCTCCATTGTTTTGCCAGCTGTCTAGCAGCTGCTCCTTTGAGAGGAGCCCGCAGTCTGCCCGGCAGTGAAAGAGTGAAGGCCGCTGGGAGGGATAAAAGGGTCGGTAGAGGTGCTCCCCTTCCCCGCTGCCTTCCTCAGCGCCCCGCTCTCTCGCTCGCTCCATCGTGGGGCCTGGACGGGGGCAGGAGAAGTCCCCCCACCCTCGAGGCTGCAGCCCCCACCCCGCAGCTCCGGGCCACCTGGGCGCCTCCAAGCCCCAAATCCCCCCACACTGAAGGCCACCCTGTCCTGCCTCCCTGCGCCCCCCAGGTTGGCTGGAAGGGCCGGTGGTTCCCCCTTCCCCGCCGCTCCCGATCGGCCCCCACCCCCGGGCGTCGAGCTCCACGGCGCCGCCAGGGACGGGAGCCGGGAGTCCGGGCCGCTGCTTCCAGGGGACGGGGGAGGAGGAGGAGGAGCCGGCGGGCCCCGCCGCCCGCCCGCCCTCCCTCCCGGCCGGAGCCCGCCCCGCCGCCCCACCAAGCCGGGCCCGCCACCGAGCGGCCGCCGCCGCCGACCGGCACTCACCGGCCACCGGAGCCCGCCCGGCAGGCAGCAGAAGCGGAGACGCGGCATCCAGCAGCCTCGGCCCGGTCAGGGATGGAGCAGAGCGCAGCGCGGCGCAGCTCAGCGCCGCCCCCAGCGACCGCGCAGGCCGAGCCGAAAGGGAGCTCCCTGCTGGCGGCTGTGGGGATAAACGCCCGGCCTGCCTGGCAGCGCCAGTGCGCGCCGCCAGACGTGGGCCAGGCGGGCCGGGCGCTGCCCTGGCAGCCTCCGTCCGCTGTGGACTCCGAAGCCCCTCTCGCTGTGTCTGAGAGAGGCCCTGCCTGGAGTTTCTGTCTGCACTGGGCACTGGAGGCTGTCCGAAAAGGGTCCGAAAGGGGCTGAGTGGCACTGCCTAGGACAGGCACCAGGGTCATGATGAACGTATAGAAGAGGGGCTGTCCAAGGCAGGCACCGAACTCTGCAGGCTGTGTTCAAGGTAGTGCTGTCTAAAGGAAGCAATTAAGTCTTACTGGCCGCCTCCTCCCAAGGTGGCTCTGCAGAGGCACACACAGGGCCCTGCTGGATGGTGCCCCAGGCTCAGTCCAGACCAGGTACTGCCTGCCATGTCCGAGATGGCACTGCCAGAATGCACTCCCCAAGGTAAAAACAGACTCCCAATAGCTTGGTCTGATACAGCCCTGCCTCAAAATGGAGTGGATCAAGAGGCGTACCAGGGCCCGGGAGCCATGGCTGTAAGTGCCACTCACTCCCTAAAGGAGTTCACCAATGCCAAGATTAACACTTTCAGAAGCTCTTTGGAATGCAGTCTGTCCCTGGGTCCACTGTGTGCTGTAAATATCAAGTGAGCTGCTGTACCCACCAAGAAGACAGTTTATACTTCCTGGGAGAGGCCAAGGGACATCCAGATACCAGGCCTCCAAGATAGGTGCTATGTCTAGAGTTTGGAGAAAGAAAGAAATGGGGACACTTCCCTGGGCAGTGTCCATGCTGGAGTGGGGTGTGCCAGAATGTGGAAGAAACTGAGTGGGGTGGTGCAGGAAGAAGGGTGTAGCAGACAAATGCTGCTACCTCCCTAGACAGCCCAAACAGGAACTTCTCCAGGCAAGGGCAGCCCAACCTGACAGACCAGGGAAGGCTGGAGCAAGGAGGCTCAGAAAGCAGAGAGTTGAGTAAGAGTTAGGGAGTTCCTGAGGAATAGACCCAGGCGGGATACACATTTTGGAATAACATGCAACTCAAATTCAATTTAACAAACTGCCTGCTAAGTGCCAAGTGCAGCCCCAGGCACTTGGGGTGACACAGAAGGAGATCAGACATGGCATATCTCCAGGGAAATCACATGGGGAACAGGTAGACCTGAGCTGTGACAGTAGTAGGGTTCACCATGCTGGCATTACTTGGATGATGAGATAGGTGCTATGATGGGAGGCTTATTTGGCTTGAGGAGTGAGAAGAGCAGCTTCAAAAACATGACATTTGAGGCCAGGCATGGTGGCTTATGCCTGTAATCCCAGCACTTTGGGAGGCTGAGGTGGGCAGATCACTTGAGGCCAGCGTTCAAGACCAGCCTGGCCAACATGGCGAAACCCCATCACTACTACAAATACAAAAAATTAACCAGGCGTGGTAGTGCATGTCTATAATCCCAGCTACTTGGGAGGCTGAGGCAGGAGAATCTCTTGAACCTGGGGAGCAGAGGTTGCAGTGAGCGGAGATTACACCACTGTACTTCAGCCTGGGCGACAGAGCAAGACTCTGTCTCCAAAAAAGAAAAAAAAAAAACCCCAAAAACATGACATTTGAGCGGAACCTTGCAGGCTAAGTAGGACAACGACTATCATTAGTGTTTCCTGAGTACCTATTATATACTAGACACTATCTCTACTCCTCACAATGAACCTATGAGGGAGACATTATTATTATAGATAGGGGTTGAGTGCATGGACTCTGGAGCTGGATTGCCTGGATTCAAAATCTCAGTTCTGTAAAGTACTAGCTGTGTTACTCTGGGTGATTTTTTATAAATCACCTCTCTGTGCTTCACTTTGCTCATCCAAAAAATTGGGATAATAACAGTGACTCCCTCCCTCAAAATTTGTTTTGAAAATTATATAAGCTTAGTCTTTTCAACACATGGGGCTTTTCAACAAACTGGACATCCACATGCAAAAAAAAAAAAAGGGGGGGGTCTAGACACAGACTTTATACCCTTCACAAAAATTAACTCAGAATAGATTATATACCTAAATGTAAAACACAAAACTATAAAACTGTCTCCTAGAGGATAACATAGGAGAAAACCTAGATGACCTTGAGTATCACAATGACTCTTTAGATACAACACCAAAGGCACCATAAAAGAAAGAGCTGATAAGCTGGGCTTCATTAAAATTAAAAATGTCTGCTCTGCAAAAGACTGTCAAGAGAATGAGAAGACAAGCCACAACTGGGATAAAATATATGCAAAAGACATCTGATAAAGGATTGTTATCCAAAATACGCAGAGTTTTAAAAACTCAACAATAAGAAAATGAACCACCCAATTTAGAAATGGGCAAAAAACCTGATCAGACACCTTACCAAAGAAGATATACAGATAGCAGTAAGCAAAAGAAAAGATATTCAACACTGTATATCATTAGAGAATAGCAAATTAAAGCCAGGTGCGGTGGCTCACGCCTGTAATCCCAGCACTTTGGGAGGCTGAGGCAGGTGTGTCATGAGATCAGGAGCTCGAGACCATCCTGGCTAACATGGTGAAACCCCGTCTCTACTAAAAATATGCAAAAGACATCTGATAAAGGACTGTTATCCAAAATATGCAAAGAGTTTTAAAAACTCAACAATAAGAAAACCACCCAATTTAGAAATGGGTAAAAAACCTGATCAGACACCTTACCAAAGAAGATATACAGATAGTAGTAAGCAAAAGAAAAGATACTCAACATTGTATGTCACTAGAGAATAGCAAATTAAAGCCAGGTGCAGTGGCTCACGCCTGTAATCCCAGCACTTTGGGAGGCCGAGGCAGGTGGATCAGGAGGTCAAGAGATCCAGACCATCCTGGCCTACATGGTGAAACCCTGTCTCTACTAAAAGAACAAAAATTAGCCTGGTGTGGTGGCATGCACCTGTAGTCCCAGCTACTCAGGAGGCTGAGGCAGGAGATTCACTTGAACCCAGGAGGCAGAGGGTGCAGTGAGCCGAGATTGCACCACTGCACTCCAGCCTGGGTGACAGAGCAAGACTCCGTCTCAAAAAATAATAATAAATAAAAAATAAAAGAGAATAGCAAATTAAGATGACCATGAGGTAAAACTACTTTATTTACCTAAATTTGGATTTTGGCCAAAATCCGAAATGCCAACAACTCCAAATGCTAGCAAGAATGTAGAGCAACAGGAACTCCCATTCTCTGCTGGTAGCAAAATGGTATAGCCACTTTGAAAGACAGTTTGGTGGTTTCTTAGAAAATGAAACATATTCTTACCATACAATCCAACAATCCCACTCCTTGGTATTTATCCAAATGAATTGAAAACTTATGTCCACACAAAATCCTGCACATGATGTTTGTAGCAACTTTATTCATAATTGCCAAAACTTGGAAGCAACCAAGATGAACTTCAGTAGGTAAATGGACAAATAACCTATGGTATATCTAGACAATGGCATATTATGTGGCACTAAAAAAGAAATGAGCTATCAAGCCATGAAAAGACATGGAGGAAACTTAAATGTATATTAATAAGTGAAAGAAGCTGATCTGAAAAGGCTACATGTTGTATGATTCCAACTATATGGCATTCTGCAAAAGGCAAAACTATGGAGACAATAAAAAGGTTAGTGGTGCCATGGATTAAGGTTGAGGGAGGGATGAAAATGCAAAGCACAGAGGATTTTTAGGGCAGTGAAACTCTTCTGTGTGATACCGCACTGTTGAATACATGTCATTATGTGTTTGTCAAAACCCACAAAATGTACAACACCAAGAGTGAATCCTAATGTAAACCATGGACTTTGGGGGATACTGATGTGTCAATGTAGGTTCATCGATTGTAACAAATGTACAACTCTGGTGAAGAGTGTGATCGTGGGGAAGGCTGTGCATGTGTCGGGGCAGGGGGCATATGGGAAATCTCTGTACTTTATGCTCAATTTGGCTGTGAACTTAAACTGATTTTTAAAATAATATTTATTATTATTATTTTGAGACAGGATCTCAGTCTGCCACCCAGGCTGGAGTGCAGTGCTGTGATCTCAGCTCACTGGAACCTCTGCCTCCCAGGTTCAAGTGATTCTCCTGCCTCAGCCTCCCAAGTAGCTGGGATTGCAGGCATGTGCCGCCACACCAGGCTAATTTTTGTATTTTTAGTAGAGATGGGGTTTCATCATGTTGGCCAGGCTGGTCTCAAACTCCTGGCCTCAGGTAATCCACCCACCTTGGCCTCCCAAAGTGCTGGAATTACAGGCGTGAGCCATTTTGCCCGGCCTTGTATTTATTAATTTTTAAAAATTACATGATTTAATATATAAAAAGAACAATGCCCAGTACATGGTAAGCATTCTATAGCTGTTAGCTTGGTTATCTTTCCTAACTCATAGTTGTGGAAATGAAGCACAGACAGCTTTGTGACTTGTACCCAGCCTAAGAGTAGCAGAGTCAGGATTCAAACTGAGGTCCCTAAGGCTCCAAAGCCCATTCTTTTCCCTACACCATGGCAGTGAAATGAATAGGTATATTAACAACTCTTTTTTTTTTTTTTTTTTAGGAAGAGTTTCACTCTTGTTGCCCAAGCTGGAGTGCAATGGTGCCATCTTAGCTCACTGCAACCTCCGCCTCCCAGGTTCAAGCGATTCTCCTGCCTCAGCCTCCCAAGTAGCTGGGATTACAGGCGCCCGCCACCACACCTGGCTAACTTTTTGTATTTTTAGTAGAAACAGGGTTTCACCATGTTAGCCAGGCTGGTCTCAAACTCCTGACCTTAGGTAATCCGCCTGCCTTGGCCTCCCAAAGTGCTGGGATTACAGGCGTGAGCCACCACATGCCAGTCAACAACTCTTTTATTTACATGTGTCTACACCTAGGGCACTCTCTGGGTAGCATATGGTGTCCCTGAGAGCTCTTCTTGCCTGAACCAGGAACCAGTTTCAGACACTAAGCAAGACTGAAACTCCAGGGCAGCACTCACACTGACACAGTAACTCTGGTTCTTCGTCACTTGATTTTAGTCTTTTCCTTCCCAAATGCCAGAATAAACCCTGCCCTAGCTCTAAGTAAAAGTAAAAGTAAAGCACCCCTCTCCTCTTCGCACAGAAAAAAGCCAGAGCAGTATCCACATAAAATCACCCAGATGGTCATGGGAAGGCCAATTTTTCCAGAAGATTCCTAAAGTCCTAAAATGATCCGACTTTAATCAAGAAGCCCTCCACCCCAGAAAGAAGCTGGGTAATAAAAATCACTTATATCAAGGGAGCCTAACTATGGGTCAGGCACTATGCTAACCCCTTAATCCAATGTCTCACTTAATCCCCAGAATTACCATATTAGGGAGATGCTAGTCTTATCCCCATTTCACAGATTAGAAACCAGGCTTGGGAAAGTGAATTAATTTGCCCAAGGCACTGTGACTAATAAACAGCAGAGCCTGGAATGCTTGCCCTGAAGCTCTGGGCTGCATCCTGGGTGGAGTGGTGAGTGCCTGGGCTTTGGGGCCTCACAGAGAGGATGCTTGGCTCTAGCAGCTGCCAGCAAGCTCCTTAGCCTCTCTAAACCTCAATTTCCTCATCTACAGAAGAGGTATAATAATGTGGCCAGGCGCAGTGGCTCACGCCTGTAATCCCAGCACTTTGGGAGGCCGAGGCAGGCAGATCACGAGGTCAGGAGATAGAGACCGTCCTGGCTAACATGGTGAAACCCCGTCTCTACTAAAAAACAAACAAACAAACAAAAAAATTAGCCGGGCGTGGTGGCGGGCGCCTGTAGTCCCAGCTACTTGGGAGGCTGAGGCAGGAGAATGGTGTGAACCTGGGAGGCAGAGGTTGCAGTGAGCTGAGATCCCACCACTGCACTCCAGCCTGGGGGACAGAGCAAGACTCCGTCTCAAAAATAATAATAATAATAATATTAATATTGCCTACCTTGTAAGGGTGTGAGATAATAAAATAAGCAAATTCATTTAAAGCAATTAGCCCAGTGCTCGAAACACAGTAAGTGGTTAACAAGTGTTAGGAATTATTAATCTCTCTGAACCTCTATTTCTTCATCTGTAAAATGGAGGCTGATAATAATATGTAGAGTTACTGTGAGGCTTAGAAGATATAGCAAATGGTAAAGTGTGTAAGATGATGCCTATCATGTGGTAAGTTACCACGATATGACTCTCCAAAAAGAATTGAAAATAAGCAAGTCTGCTTTTTTAAAAGTCCACAGAATTGCAAATCTGCCTGATAGCTGGTGTTGTTCAAACGTCAAAAGCACACCTTTAAATATTGTTCCTCAAACATTTATTAGCTTATTGCATTTATTAGCTTAAGATCCTTTACCCTTTGTGCAGAAACTTGGAGTGTGGGTGGAGAATGCTCTCCAGGAAACTTAAAGCTAAATTCTTAGAGTATTGGCTGAAGATCAGTCCAAAATGAAGAAACTCGTCTCTGAAATGAGGTAAAAAAGCTACTAACAGGAAGTCAAACACATATACATGTAAACAAAATAATATAATAAACCCCCAAGTAGCCAGCATACAACTTCAATAGTTATCAACTCACAGAAATATTGTTTCAACTATCTTTCCACCTACTCCCCAACCCCCACACTGAGTATAATTTTGAAGCAAATCCCAGATATCAAATAATTTTATATAAAAATATTTCAGGCCGGGCCGGGCGCGGTGGCTCATACCTGTAATTCCAGCACTTTGGGAGGCCAAGGTGGGAGGATCATGAGGTCAGGAGATTGAGGCCATCCTGGCTAACACAGTGAAACCCCGTCTCTACTAAAAATACATAAAATTAGCCGGGCATGGTGGCAGGAGCCTGTAGTCCCATCTACTCAGGAGGCTGAGGCAGGAGAATGGCGTGAACCTGGGAGGCAGAGCTTGCAGTGAGCCAAGATCATGCCACTGTACTCCAGCCTGGGTGACAGAGTGAGACTCAAAAAAAGTAAAAATCAAAAAAAAAATTAGGATAAAAAAAAATTTCAGGCAGGTCGTTGTGGCTCATGCCTGTAATCCCAGCACTTTGGGAGGCTAAGGCAGGCAGATCACTTGAGGTCAGGAGTTCGAGACCAGCCTGGCTGACATGGTGAAACCCTGCTTCTACTAAAAATACAAAAAAATACAAAACAAAAAAAATTAGCCTGGCATGATGTGTGTCTGTAGTCCCAGCTACTTGGGAGACTGAGACAGGAGGATCAGTTGAGCCAGGGAAGCGGAGGTTGCAGTGAGCCAAGATCACACCATTGCATCCAGCTTGAGCAACAGAGCGAGACCCTGTCTCAAAATAATCAAAAAGGCTGGGCACGGTGGCTCATGCCTGTAATCCCAGCACTTTGGGAGGCTGAGGCGGGTGGATCACTTGAGGTCAGGAGCTTGAGACCAGCTGGCCGACAAGGTGAAACCCTGTCTGTTAAAAAAATATATATACAAAAATTAGCCAGACGTGGTGGCACACACCTGTAATCTCAGCTATTTGGGAGACTGAGGCAGGAGAATCCTGTGAAGCCAGGAGGTGGAGGTTGCAGTGAGCTGAGATTGTACCACTGAACTTCAGCCTACGCAACAGAGAGACTCTGTCAAAATAAGAAAGAAGAAAGAAAGAAAGAAAAAAAAGAAAGAAAGAAAGAAAGGGAATTTCATTGTGTATGTCTAAAAGGTAAGGGTTTGACAAGGTCTGGCTCTATCACCCAGGCTGGAATGCAGTGGCACGATCTTGGCTCACTGCAGCCTCTGCCTCTGGGGCTTAAGTGATTCTCCTGCCTCTGCTTCCCAAGTAGTTGGGACTACAGGTATGCACCACCATGCCCAGGTAAATTTTTGTTTGTTTGTTTTGTAGAAACGGAGTTTCACCATGTTGCCCAGGCTGGTCTCCAACTCGTGAGCTCAAGCGAACCGTCCACCTCAACCTCCCAAAGTGCTGGGGTCACAGACGTGAGCCACTGCGCCAGCCAGGATTATTTTTTAAACAAAACCATAATACAATGGTCATACCAATTTTTAAACAATAATTTTTTTTTTTTTGAGACAGAGTTTCACTCTTGTTGCCCAGGCTGGAGTGCAATGGTGCGATCTCGGCTCACTGCAACCTCCGCCTCCTGGGTTCAAGTGATTCTCCTGCCTCAGCCTCCCGAGTAGCTGGAATTACAGGCATGCGCCACCACGCCCAGTTAATTTTGTATTTTTAGTAGAGATGGGGTTTCTCCATGTTGGTCAGGCTGGTCTCGAACTCTCAACCTCAGGTGATCCACCCGCCTCAGCCTCCCAAAGTGCTGGGATTACAGGCGTGAGCCACCATGCCCGGCCTTAAACAATAATTTTTTAATATCGTCAAACATTCTATTATCTCCATGATGGAATGATCTCCATAAATTCCAATTGTCTCCGTAAATGTCTTTTTTTAAAAAATGTCTGTTTGAATCAAGGTCCACACATTGCAGTGAGTTGACATGACTTTTAAGTATATTTTAATCTACAGGTTTCCCTTCTATCTCTTTCTGTTTTCCCCCTGCAACTTATTTGTTGAAGAAACATGGTCATTTATCCTATAGATTTTCTCACAGTCAGGATTTTGTTTATTGCATCCACATAATGTAGTTTGATATCCTATCATTGGTAGATAGATCTAAGGCTTGATCAGCTTTGAGTTTGATTTTTTTTTGGCAAGAATATTTCTTATATCTGGAAGCACATAGTATCCAGTTGTCTCTGAAACGATACTTTAAGATATCAGAAATTAATGATTGTCTTCACTTGAAATATAAGAATATAAAAAGAGTCTATCCAGCAACAGATAAATGGATAAACAAAATGTGGCATATACATACAACGTATGCACATTTTTATTCAGCCATAAAAAGGAATGAAATTTTAATACAGGCTACAACATGGATGACCCTTAAAAATGTTATGCTAAGTGAAAGAATCCAGACCCAGAAGGACAAATATTGTTTGATTCTCCTTATATGAGCTAACTAGAATATGCAAATTCATAGAGACAGAAAATAGAAGTTACCATGGACTAAGGGTGGGGGGAATTGTGAGTCATTGTTTAATGGGTATGGAGTTTCTACCGGGGATTATTTAAAGTTCTGGAAATGGATAGTGGTGATGGTTGTACAATATTGTGAATGTACTTAATGCCACTGAATTGTACACATAAAATAATTTAAATGTACACATAAAATAGCTAAAATGCAGAGATTAACTATTTTATACATAAAATAATTAAAGCCCAGGAGTTCGAGGCTGCAGTGGGCTATGAGCACATGACTGCACACCACCCTGGGTGACAGAGCCAGACCCTGTCTTTAAAAAAAAAAAAAAAAAAAGGTAAATTTTAGGTTATGCATATTTTACCACAGAAAAATTTGTTTAAGAGCCTGGCTATTGCATAGAATATGGCCCCTCTTACAAACCCCTGATGGCATAAGTTTATGTAGTGGCCTTTCTATGAACCTACAGCCTTACTCTTGCACTGATCTACACATAGCTGTGGGGCTCCTTCTACACTTCCAAGAATTTCCTGACCTCTGCCTGATTCTACAGTGAGCAGGGGATCCATAGCCCTGCCAGCCAGGAGCCCAGCTCCCCAGACTATGGACATCTACAACCAGGAGGCAGCCAGGCAAATGCTTCTGGAGTTAAAAGGCTGAGATTGAGCCCTGCCTTTGCCACTTACTTGGCACAGGTGCTTCATCAAACGCCAACCTCTCCATCTCCACTCCTGTGCAATTGCAGCTACAAACTCTTACCTCGCAGGGTTATTGTAAGGATCAAATGAGGTCATACAATGGTCAAGTGCTGTACAAAGAGAGCTTTATGTTATTATGGTTGGAGTGATTCAGAAAGGATCAACCTAGTCACTTGTGCCCAGGAGTTTAAGACCAGCCTGGGCAACACAGTGAGATACCATCTCCACAAAAAATCAAAATGAACCAGGTGTGCCTGTAGTCCCAGGTACTCGGGAGGCTGAGGTGGAAGGATTGCTTGAGTGTGGGAGGTCAAACCTGCAGTGAGGTGTGATCGCGCCACTGCACTCCAGCCTGGGCGACAGAGCAAGACTCTGTCTCAAAAAAAAAAAAGGTTCAACTTAGGACTTAGGTCATCAACTTTAAGGAAAATTGATACCTTCAGAAGCTAGCTCTTTGCAAGCTAAACTTTTCTTGACATCACTCATGGTAAGGTCAGCAGTAGGGTGACCAACTCTGCTGGTTTGCCCGAGACTGAGGGCATTCCCAGGATGGGAGTTTTCAGTGCTAAAACTGAGAAAGTTCTGGGTGTGAGTTGGTCACCCAAGCAGTAACCGCCCAATTGCTAATTCTAGAGCCTGCCTCCCTGGCCTGCTAGTCAATGCCTATTCGACCTGCCTTCCTTCTAGAACTTGGCCTCCAGAAGTACTTGTGGATCTCCTGGCTAGATATACTTCCTCTGTTTGACTTTCATTGCTGACACTTCTCAGGATTTCTTCCTTTGCCTTTTGCTCTTATGATCCTACACTCCCTCCTTGGGAGATCTTGTTCATTCTCAGGACTCCTAAACACCTCCCACACAGTGGATAACTCCCAAATCTCCACGCAGACATTACTCTAGAGGCCAGCCTGGTATGTCCACCATCACTTACAAATACCCTCAGCTGTATCCAAAGTGAAATGTACAACCTTCACCACAGACTTTTTCCTTTTGGTTAATAACCCTAACCCTCTTTTGCTGGGGCCAGAAGTCCACTTTCCCTTCCTCCTTCCTCTCCTTCAGCCACCATCCTCAGGCACCAAGTCCTACTGATCTAATCCCTAAATATCTCTCAAATCTAGGTTGGGTGCAGTGGCTCACGCCTGTAATCCCAACACTTAGGGAGGCCGAGGCAGGCAGATCACTTGAGGTCAGGAATTTGAGACCAGCCTGACCAACATGGTGAAACCCTGTCTCGACTAAAAATTAGCTAAGTGTGGTGGCGCATACCTGTAATCTTAGCTACTCCGGAGGCTGAGGCACAAGAATCGCTTGAACCCTGGAGGTGGAGATTGCAATGAGCCAAGATCATGCCACTGCACTCCAGCCTGGGTGACAGAGCGAGACTCCACCTCAAACAACAACAACAAAAATCTCTCAGATCTCCATCAGCCACTCATTCCCACTGCCATCGCCTCAATTCAGGCCTTGTCAACTCTTAGCTGGACAATAGCAACGGCCTTCTCGTGGTCGCCTGCTTCCGCTTCATCCCCTCTAACTGGTCCTCCATGTGGCTGCCAGAGTTGTCTTTCCATAATACAAATATGATCATGTCACTTCTTGGCTTGGGATTCCTCAAAGGTTCCCAATGGCCCAGCTCAGGGGTCAGCACACTTTCTGTAAAGGACTTGATGGTAAATAGTTTACGCTTTGGGGACAAGATGGTCTCTGTCTCAACTACTCAACTCTTATTGTGGCACAAAAGCAATACATAAATGAATGGGCATGGCTGTGGTCCAGTCAAACTTTATTTACTCAGCCAGGTGTGGTGGTGTGTGCCTGTGCTCCCAGCTATTCGGGAGGCTGAGGTGGAAGGATTACCTGAGCCCGGGAGTCGGAGGTTGCAGTGAGTCAAGATCATGCCACTGCCCTCCAGCCTGGGCCACAGAGTAAGAGGCTGTCTCAAAAGTAAACAAAAACAAAAACAAAAAAACTTTATTTACAAAAACATGTAGCATAACAGCCACCTCTCTCTTTGTTTGACCCAAGGGCAGTAGTTTGCTGACCTGGCCTAGGGAATAGAATCCAAGCTTCTTTTTCTTTCTTTTTTTTGAGATAGGGTCTGGCTCTGTCACCCAGGCTGGAGTGCAATGGTGCAATCTTGGTTCACTGCGACCTCCGCCTCTTGGGTTCAAGTCGTCCTCCCACCTCAGCCTCCCAAGTAGCTGGGACCACAGGTGTATGCCACCACTCCCAGCTAATTTTTGTATTTTTTGTAGAGACGGGGTTGTACCATGCTGCCCAGGCTGGTCTCAAACTCCTGGGCTCAAGTGATCTGCCTGCCTAGGCCTCCCAAAGTGCTGGGATTACAGGTGTGAGCCACCATGCCCAGCAGAATCCAAACTTCTTAGCATAACCCAAAAGACTCTTTACATGCAGCAGCCATGGGAAATGCCTTGCTCTCCCCAGAACGTAGCACCATGCCTTTGTATGTGCTGCCCCCTCCATTTGAAACATCCTTCCCCATCTCCCAAGTTGAGGGAGTCCACTAGTTCTTCAAGGTCTATTCTAAATGTTAGCTTCTCTGTGGAGCTGCCCCACAACCCCTTCAGGAGGAGTTGGTCGTCCCTCACCGACTCCAGCACTTTCTGTCTCTTTTACCACATTTATCATTCTATGAATGTATATGGTATTTATTTGTCATCATGTCTTTTGACTGTGATGCTTCAAAACCAGTCTTATTTATACTTCTTCCTCCCCCTAGTCCCAAGCACATTGCTGGGATTATGATAGGGTAATAATAGCTACTGCTAAACACCATATGTGTGTTCTCATTTAATACTCTCAGCAAAGCCCATGGAGGTAGGCACTGTTATCCCCATTATACAGATGAGGAAATGAGGCGTGGACAGTAGAAGTAACTTGCCCAGGTCACACAGCTAGTAATTGCATAGCCAAGACTAGCACTCAGATCTCTGACCCTGAAGCCTAAAGTTTGATTACCATATTATACTGACCAGTAGTTATTTGCTTAATTAATAGATGTATTAAGACAATAAATGTATTAATTATTTCCATGGCACAAGATGTCAAAATTACATGGAAAGTGGCTTTCCCTTCGGTCAAGAGCCCTGATTATAGTCACGGAGAAGAGCTGGCTAAATTCCCTGAGAACAGATGGGGCCCAGGAGAAGGTCACTGACTAGCTGATTATGAGCATGGGAAAAAGGACCTGAGCTATATTTCCACCATGTACCAAACCAGAGCAAGGTGGACCACTCCCATTTTAATCCTTCCAACAACTCTGCAAACTCCATGTTGTTATTTTCCTATTTAAATGAGGAACTGAGGCTTTAAAAGGTCAGAGATTGGCCAAGACCACACAGCTATTATAGATAATGTCAGAAGCAGGATTAAAACTCAAGTCTCAATGGCTCTAAAACCACAAGTAATTTCCACAAATCCAGTTTGTTCCAAAGAAAGAGTAACCAGCAGGGTCTCCTGATTTCCCACATAGCATCCAGCAAATCCTGTCACCTGTCTCCAGCTCAGAGTTCCCACTTATAGAGGGGGGCTATAATCCTCCCAGCAGAGACAGAATGAACAAAACCAGGTTATGTCTCCATTATTCTTTCCTTGGAAAATGGCTCTACATAGAAATCTATCTGGGCTGGGTGCGGTAGCTCACACCTATAATCCCAGCACTTTAGGAGGCCAAGGCAGGAGGATCACTTGATCTCAGGAGTTCAAGATGAGCCTGGGCACATGGGGAGACCCCATCTCTACAAAAAATTAAAAAATTAAACAATAGCTGGGTGCAGTAGCTCACGTCTGTAATCCCAGCACTTTGGGAGGCCGAGACGGGCAGATCACTTGAGGTCAGGAGTTCAAGACCAGCCTGGCCAACATGGAGAAACCCTGTCTCTACTAGAAATACAAAATTAGCTGGCTTGGTGGCGCATGCCTGTAATTCCAGCTACTTGGGAGGCTGAGGCAGGAGAATCGATTGAACCCAGGAGGCGGAGGTTGCGGTGAGCTGAGATCGCACCATTGCACTCCAGCCTAGGCAACAAGAGCGAAACTCCATCCCAAGAAAAGGAACAAAGGAAGGAAGAAAGGAAGGAAGGAAGGAAGGGAGGGAGGGAAAGAGGGAGGGAGGTAAAGAAAGAAAGAAAGAATTACTCAAACTCAGTTTGAACACTCAGTACCACCCTGCATTATCCTCCCCCTTCCCAGGGGCAACCACTATTCTGAATTGGATGTTTGTTATTTCCATGCACTTCCATACGCTTTTATTACATAGCATATATCCTCAAACAATATAAAATATTATTTTACCTAGTTTGTAAAAATAATACCACACTGTCATTACTCTTCTGAAACTTGCTCTTTTTGCTCATCATTGAAAGATTCCTATTATTTTTAAAAAAAGAATAACAAAATAAAGAAGAAAGATTCCTATTAATATGATTAGCTCTAATTTATTCATTTCACTGTTGTATAATATTCCATGATGTGAATATAACACAGTCTGTCTATTCTGTTGATAAATATTCATGGTTGTTTCTGGTTTTTGCTATTTGCAAAATAATGCTGCTATGAACATTGTGAGACATATCTTCAGGTGCTCACTGTGCAAGATATTTTCTGGTGCATATATTTAGGAATAGAATTGCTGGGTCACAGGAGGTTGACATCTCCAATTATCCTAGATATTGTCCCCCTCACTTTTTTTTTTTTTTTTGAGATGGAGTCTTGCTGTGTCTCCCAAGCTGGAGTTCAGAGGTGTGATCTCGGCTCACTGCAACCTCCGCCTCCTGGATTCAAGTGATTCTCCTGCCTCAGCCTCCTGAGTAGCAGAGACTACAGGCGTGCACCACCATGCCTGGCTAATTTTTTTATTTTTAGTAGAGACGGGGTTTCACCATGTTAGCCAGCTTGGTCTCGAACTCCCAACTTCAGGCAACTGCCCGCCTTGGCCTCCCAAAATGCTGGGATTACAGGCGTGAGCCACTGCGCCTGCCGCCCCCGCCACACACACTTTTTAGGACCTAGACATCAATAATCTGAGGCTGAAAAGCAGCTTCAATTGCAGCAAGCAGGACTGAAATTAGACCCTGCAAGGAACTTTTTTAGTTGTTAAAGGATTGTTAGAAATCGGCCCAAGTTGTGGAAGACACTGGAGGAATGTCTGTCACTCTGCTTTTCTGACATGCCTCAAGTACAGCTCAGTCTGGACTCAGTTCTAATTGTAGCCTAAAGATTTCAAAATTAATTAAATCGGCATATATGAGTTGAGCTCCTATTCCACGCAAAGTGCTAAGCTGGGAGCAGAAGCTTGTGTCCTCTTCCTGCAAAGCACATCGTCACCACCCCTCCTTGCAACTGAGATGAAAGACCAATGAGAGACATGTGCAAAGTTACACAGCAGGATGGGATTTAAATAACTGCTGAAGACCACAGTAAAGGGGAAGTCACAAAATACTGCGTGACTAATTGTTAAGTGAAATTGCCTTGGAGGCACAGAGGAAAAAAATCAGAGCAGTGGTCAAGGAACGTTGCACAGAAAAAAGGTAGTATCTGAGCAATAATAGTAGAATGTAGGTGATAATCATGGCATCTACTACTCATTGATGAACATTGTGTGCCTTGCACTTTACTCAGAGTATCTTGTTTAATCCTCACAATGACCCTGTGAAGAAAGTATGATTAGTCTCTTCTGACACAGCAGGAAACTGATCACCAGAAGACCAAGTAGCTTACGCAAGCTCACACAACCACCGAGTGGCGGGGCAGGATTCGAACTTAGTCCTGAAGCCTCCCACGTCAGAGGTCCCCGGGAGGGAACACAAGCAAAGGGTGGGAGGTAGGGGAGGGAGCCCCAGGCACAGCTCCTGGTGTGGCTAGAATGGAGGGCTTCTTTGGAAAAAGTAGGTGATCCGGCTAGAAAAGGAGGTCCAGGCTGGCTCATGGAAGATGCTGGTTTCCAGGCATAGGAACTTTAAGTGATTAATTCAAGGAGATTCCACAGCGAGGCAGGTGTATGTTGGAATAGAGGAAAGGGCAGTGCAGGCAGAGAGGTGCCTGGCAGGTTCAGCAACAGCAGTGCAGGGGGCCGAAAATACAAACTTGAACAAGGAAGATGACTTGGGGACCCAACAGAGGGGACAGGTGTAGGAGAGACTTACAAGGAAGAATGTGTGGGGACTTGGCTTCCAACAGCCGTAAGAGCAACTGAGGGAGGAATTGACAATAGATTCCACAATTGTGGGTGGCCCAGGAAGCTAGGCAAGCAAAAGCAACGCTGTAGGCAGCTGAGGTTAATACAAATGGCTAACGTTTGTTACCAGCTACTATCTATAAGCACTTTACATGTATAAACTCATTTCACCCTCACAGCATTCCTATGAAGTAGGAGTGAGGATCTATTATGATTTCCGTTTTTCAGTTAGAGAAACTGGGGTACAGAGAAGTTAAGCAATTTGTCTGAGGTTACACCACTGGTAAATGGCAGAGCTGGGATTTGAACCTGGGTTCCAGAGGCCTCACTCTTCATCACTTCACTAAACTGTGTCTGTTGAGGTAACATCTTCAGAAAGAAGCAGGGTTTTCCACTCCCACTCCACATTCCCCACCCTCAAAGACCAAGCAGGATGGCAGGATTTTTTTGCTGAGTGGCATTGCTGGGGGGGAGTGTCAGGTCTCTGCTGCTACCCTAAGCCAGCTGCTTGTCACCACCGGGCAGTGAGCATGGGGCGTGCGGTGCTGGGGCCTGCACTGCTGGGGCACTCACCAGCAGGAGGGCACCTGGAGCACGGTCCTTCCTCATCACAGTGGAGCAGAAGTAGCACTAGCTGGTGCAGGCCACAGAGCGTGCCTGGCAAGGGAAGACCCAGCCCAGGTAGCACAACTCCATCGGGTTCAGGAGGAAGCAGCCCAACCCCACCTGCACATGAAGTTCAGGAAGATTTTCTTCCTCATGGCTCTGGACACAAAGCAGTCAGGACTGGAGGGACAGGGGAGGAGTGGCAGTGAAGCAACCATGGCATATCACACCCAGAGAGTAGACCCCACCAGGAAGGCCAGCTCCATGCAGGCCCGCAGCACCACGTGGGCAGTGCAGACAGCCAGGACCCTGTATGACTGCAGGCTGGGGTACCAGGTGGCAGCCCCAAGGCATTTGGGGAAAAACCTCCTCTCCTACTAAGAGCTGCCCCTCTAGAAAGAAAGAAGCCCCAAGGGGCCCCAGCCTGGGTCCAGGGAGAGCCCCTCCAGCTGCCAGCTCTTGCACGGTTTCCAGCAGGTACCCCCTCTCCACATCCACTGTCTCCCATTCACCATCTAGTGCAGCACACAGACAACAAAGAAGATGGAGGGTACGGCCACCAGCACAATCTGGAAAGCCCCAGCGGAAGTGGGAGAAGTGGTCATTGGTGCAGCCAGGCCGCAGGGTATTGCAGATGAACTTGCAGTGCTCATCCCACAGACAGCACTTCCCAGCAGGGCGACAAGCAGGATGTGTAAGACCAGGACAGTGAGCCATACCTTGCCAACCACGGTGGAATCGTTCTGCACTCGGGTCAGGAGCCAGCCCAGGAATGACCAGTCGCTCATCTTGTGATTTCTGTGGACACAGAAATCACAAGAAATTGAAGTGAGGGGACAGGAAGGGAAGGGGACGAAAACATAATGCCCCCACAGCCAGATATTTGCAAAGCTATTTCTGGCCCACAGCAAGAGCTCCAGCTCCATCTGTGCCTGACGCCCAGGCATGCCACTCGCTGCCTGACAAGGATGGGAAGAACAAGCTGGCAGAGAAAAGGACACTGCAGAAGAAAAGATGGAAGCAGTGACTCCCAGAAGGAGCCCAACGCAGCCCAACATTCACCAAGACAGGCTGCACACTTCTATTACAGTTAGGCTTCCACTGAACTCTTCCTAACTCAACAGGCTTTCGGGCCTCCCAACTGTCTTGGCATTTTCTTCAGATCGACATAGTACCAGGCATATTTCTCCCAAGATGCCACGGTGGAAATTCATGACCTAGATTGTGTTTCTTCCGAGTCCAGGGTAACATGTTTTTTGACTACTATGTCAGGGTTTGAAAGAGACAGGCCTTACATCCTCCTGTCTCTGTCCAGTGGATTCTCCTTAAGGCCTCATATTGCAACAATCTCATTTTACTTTACATTTCTGCAGCTTCTGACCCTGAGAATTACTGAAAAAATTCCCAAGGGTATAGCTTGTGGGGCATTTACACCCATTATTTCTGTCAACACTCTCCCTTCTGCCTCTCAAATAAACATGTAGTTTATTTATTTATTGTATTTTTTTAGAGACAGGGTCTTACTCTGTCACCCAGGCTGGAGTGCAGTAACATGAACATAGTTCACTGTAACCTCAAACTCCTAGGCGGAAGTGATCCTCCTGCCTCAGCCTCCTGAGTAGCTAGGACTACAGGTGTGTCCCACATGCCCAGCTAATTAAAAAAAAAATTTGCCGGGCACCATGGCTCATGCCTGTAACCCCAGCACTTTGGGAGGCTGAGGCATGCAGATAACTTGAGGCCAGAAATTCGAGACTGCCTGGCCAACATGGCAAAACCCCAACTCCTGACTCTACTAAAAATACAAAAATTAGCCAGGCGTGGTGGCGCATGCCTTGTAGTCCCAGCTACTCGGGAGGCTGAGGCAGGAAAATCGCTTGAATCCAGTAAGCGGAGGCTGCAGTGAGCCGAGCTCATCATGCCACTGTACTCCAGCCTGGGCGACAGGGTGAGACGCCATCTCAGAAAATATGTGTGTGTGTGTGTGTGTGTGTGTGTGTATTATATATATTGTATATTATATATATTATATATATTATATATTTTTTATATATTATATATTATATAATATATTTTATATATATTATATATTATATAATATATATTATATATATTTTATATATAATATATATTATATAATATATATTATATATAATATATATTATATAATATATAATATATATATTTTGTAGAGGCTTGAGGGAGTCTTCTTATCTCACCCAGGCTGGTCTCGAACTCCTGGCCTCAAGCGATCCTCCCACCTCAGCCTCCCAAAGTGCTGGGATTACGGTCGTGAGCCACTGCACCCAGCTGACACAGTACGTAGCCTGCTTACTACGCAGCAGTACGTAGCATGCTTACTATACAAACTCAGGGTAAAGACCAGACCCCAGCCTTCCCTGTAACTGATTGCCTTCTCTAACTCCCTCCTAAACAGAATCCTGGAGATCCTACTGAGAACCTTCCTTCTTCCTCCTTAACTTTCAGGAAGCCAAGTTGTCTTGACTCTTATCTCCCTGGCTGCTCCGTTTGAGTCAATGTGCTGTTCTTCTCTCCACTCTGTAGACATTAATGTTCCTCAGGATACTTTAAGCCTCTTACTGGTCCTGGAGGACGCAGTCCACTAGGATGGCCACAGGCATTTCCAACTCACATTAAACATACTCTCCTGGGCCGGGTGTGGTGGCTCACGCCTGTAATTACAGCACTTTGGGAGGCTGAGGCAGGCGGATCGTCTGAGGTCAGGAGTTTTTGAGATCAGCCTGGCCAACATGGTGAAACCCCAGCTCTACTAAAAATACAAAAACTAGCTGGGTGTGGTGGCAGGTGCCTGTAATCGCAGCTACTCAGGAGGCTGGGGCAGGAGAATCACTTGAACCTGGGAGACAGAGGTTGCAGTGAGCCGAGATTATGCCACTTCACTCCAGCCTGGGTGACAGAGTGAGACTCTTTCTCAAAACAAACAAACAAACAAAACTTACTCTCCTGGAAAGGAGTGTTATAGTGGCTATGAACTCAGACTTAGACACCCAGAGCTGTGTAACCTCGAGCAAGTTGCTTAAACTCTCTATGCTTCTGTTTCTTCATCTGTGTAATGGAGATTCTAAGGGGATTTACCTCATAGAGTTGTATGGGTTACTTGAGTTAATGTATGTAAAGGACTTAGAAAAGTGCTTGGCACATGGTAAGTACTTCATTAATATTAAGTATTATTATCTCTCCTCCAAAGCTACTCCTCTTCCTGTCTTGGTGAATGGCACCATCATCCAAGTTGCCCAAATCCTGATCATTATCCATCATTTCTCCCTCTCGCTTCTCCTCATCTAATTGGTAACCAAGTCCCCACAGTACTACTTCCTTAATATCTCTCACACCCACTGCCTTCTCATCAGTCCATGGCATAGACTTAGTCCAGACCTTCCCCTTTCTCTTGCCGGCATTATTACACTAACCTCCTAGTAACTTGCTCTGCCTCCAGTTTTGTCCCTTTGATCTACCCTCAAATGGCTGCATTCCTATAGATTTTTTTTTTTTTTGAGACGGAGTCTTGCTCTGTCGCCCAGGCTGGAGAGCAGTGGTGTGATCTCAGCTCACCGTAACCTCACCTCCTGGGTTCAAGCAATTCTCCTGCCTCAACCTCCTGAGTAGCTGGGACTACAGGCACGTGCCACCACACCTGGCTAAATGGCTGCATTCCTAAAATGCATATCTGGTTATGCATATGGTTTCATCTCCCTCATCAAAACTCAGCCGCGTGCAAAGGCTCACGCCTGTAATTCCAACCCTTTGGAAGGCCAAGGTGGATGTATCACTTGATCTCAGAAGTTGAGACCAGTCTGGGCAACACAGTGAAACCCCGTCTCTACAAAAAATACAAAAAATAGCTGGGTGTGGTGGTGCATGCCTGTAATCCCAGCTACTTGGGAGGCTGAGGTGGGAGGATCACTTGAGCCTGGGAGGTGGAGGTTGCAGTGAGCCAAGATCATGCCACTGCACTCCAGCCTTGGTGACAGAATGAGAGCCTGTCTCAGAAAAAATAAATAAATAAATAAATAAATAAATAAATAAACAACTCACTCTCCAATGGCTTCCATTGTCCTTGGGATAAAGCCTAACTCCCCAAGAAGGCATGTAAGACCCTCTCTAATCTAGTCTCTGCCTACACCTCCAGCCCCATCTGTGTCCTCCTTACCCTTCAGCTCTCAGACTTCCTGGAAGCCCTACACACCTGCAGACAGCTTCATGCTCCTGAGCAGTCACTCACCCTCTTCCTCTGCCTGTCCAGCCCCACTGTCTTCCAGCCAATTCTTACTTACCTCCCAACATTCAGTTCAAGCAGTACCTTCTCCAAGGAAGTTTCCTGATCCTATCCCAGAAAGGACTGACCATGCCCATGGTGGTCTCCTGCTTAGTGCATTGTCTGCTGAACATAATGTCTGTAATTTCCATTTATAAACAAATTTCATTTAAAACATAAGAATTATCTCCATTACTTGACTGCGAATCATTCAATGGCAGAAACTGTATCTTATTTGTCACTACTCTTTTTTTTTTTTTGTAAAGAGAAAAAATTTTATTGTGATATAAAATGCACTTATAAAATGTCCACCAGAAGGCATGTAATTCTTCACTGCTATATAAATTTACTGGGAATATGTTATTCACCATCTAGGTATGATACTGCCAACTAAAACATACTGTAAACGATGAGTTATACTCTATAACAAATGCATCACTGATTTTCAGCAATCATTGGTTTAATAATTAGTTTAAGACTATAATCACATCTATATTCTGGAATGTCCATTTACTTTAATGTAGTGTAGTGGAATTTAGAGTATAATTGCACATAGATGGTACAGAAAAACATTCACTTCTAAATTATTGTATACCTTCATGACAGGTAGTCTTCCTGACTGAAAATAACAGCTTCAGCTATGGTCTGCTCCAGGATTCTTAATGCAATAATTTGGGTGTATGTGTGTCTGTCTACGTGTACACCCATGGAACAACTTATATCTTTAGTAAACAAGTGCAACATTATTCTCAGTTATTTTGCATGTTTAAATATTATAGTCTGATTATTTGTAAACAAACAAAACCCCACACAAATACTCTAAATTCTATTTTAAAAATCTGTCAACCCATAATTATTCTAATATGCTTTACTTACTCGAACACAAATTTCTGAAAGGTGCATATATTACCTTAGATAATAAGGTTTAGAAATGAGTGCTTCACACTATGAAATGTGCATTTCCGATAAGTGATTTATGCAGCATAAAGTTTAGATCAAGAAATTACAAATCCTGGATCCCCACAGTTCATTTAGAAAATGCCTCAAAGTTATGGCTCTTGCAGCAGGTTTAACAGATTAAACATTAAGTGTTCTAGCTCCCTCTATTTCAAGTATCAAAGAAATATGAGGCTCAAAATCTCTCTAGGTTGTAACTGATAATGCAAAGCATTAGAAAACAGTTAAATGTGTTTTGAAATACAGTATTAACTGAGATTATTAAGGTGTTTATCTACGTTAGCCTGTTAAGTACCAGGACTTTAAAGTAATTTTAAATCTGAGTATTTGCTCAGAAGTGATAAAGAACACAATTTGCCTATAAATGTATGGTTTTGGAGAAAAAAGTCAATCCTGATTTTTAAAACTCAACATTTTTTGTTTCCTTTTGAATGATATTAATTTAAATTTCAATCTGAACATAAATGTTTGGCCTCACAGAGCATTAGAAAGATAATTTACTAAGGCTGTTTAAAAGTCTTTCAATGTCATTAGAAATCCTGCAGTATAGAAAATATCTGGTACCCTTAAAGTTTCAGAGTGAGCTGATCTGCAATTTTAATGCTATTAAAAAAAAAGTCAAATATAAAAGACTGCTGCAATATAAAGCACTATTTCTAAAAGTTGCAGACATGATCCTACAGTCTGACAGAGCTAGCACAGCTACTCGGAGTAAGCAACTTGCGGCCTTTTCCGAGGCACACTAAGTTTCCAGCTTAGAAAATACTCTAGCCTGGTCCTTAACATATTCATTAAGTAATATGAATATTTTAAGGTCCTTCTGTCCCACAAGAAAGTAGTAAGTTTACCCTTTGAGACATCAGACTTTCTAGAGCTGGCCCAACTGTATAAAATTTTAAGAAGTATTTGAAGTGTGGAATCAACACTATGAAAACAGTGTGACAAAATTAAACATTATGTTGAACCCTTTTCTAGCTTTAACTCAAAAATAGAAATCATGAGTCTTCTATAACATTAATTTTAAAAACACACAGAAGTGAAAAGTGCTATTTTCCAAAAAGTACAATGTTTTTCCCTACTTTATATCAACATGGAATGATTTCAGTTCTCCTGTACTAAAAGCTGGACTTTTAAAAAACTAGTATTGCAATGTTTAATGTGACGACTTTAATCAGTAGTAGCTTCAGTTTCCGCTGGGCCCCTAATTAGTCTTCGAATTCCTCTTTTTCCTGCAGGACCTTTTGGTTTTGCAAAACTTTGCTTGTGTGCCTGCTGCTTGGGATGTACTTCTTCATAAAGGAAGTCTGCAGTCAACTCATCCCCATTGTCTATCTCGATCTTTCTAATTACATCCATTTGTAGTTGTCTTTCTACAATTTCTAGCAGAGGGCTCTTGCAGCTAGAATACAGCATCCGCTCTCTTATACTGCATGTGTATCCAGGCATTGAATAAATAAAACTATGGACTCTAAATAGTCTCCTTCATGGGAATGTTTATACAGAAAGAAATGGTAACGAGCTGAATCCTTGGGAATCCTCTTTGGCAAATCTTTCAGTTCTGTATTTGTTGTGTTGGCCAAAATTATAATTTCATTTTTTATATCTATTTCCAACTGCACATAGTTGAGCTGTCTGTTATTCAATTTTTCCAAAGCCTGAAAGGCTTCTCGAGAAATGGGAAATGCTACTCCTTGTAGTGTTTGATGCTTAGTGTCCACACCCACGTCAGTCTGTACCTCATTGATTTTAATCTGTCGTAATTCTTCCTCAGCTGCAGTCAGTGGGGCAGGGGAAGATTGTGACAGCAAGTATTTTTTATATCCATGTAATGATACATCTTCCTTTACTGTTCCAAATATTTCATCTTTAATGTGGCCACCTCCAAATTCCTTCTTCAGAGTTGCTCTTGTTGCTGCATACAACATTTTTTGACGAACATGAGAATGATCTGGAGACCATGCAATGAATATCCATTCATATCCCTGGGCATTCTGAGAATCTAACCTGAATAATATATAGCATGGTTGTTTGTCCTCCAACAGGGGTAAAACAAAGGAATCATAATCCTTATCCCAGGAATCTGAAGGCTGACTATATGATCCAATCACAAGTTGCTCATTTTCAATAGATATTTTCAGAAGTCTGTACTTTCCATTTCTGGCTCTGGCAAAGATCTCTTTAACATCTTCACTTGCTTGGATGCCGGTCTGGTGGGACATGGCGGCGGCCGCTAGCTCCCGGCTCCGGCGCTGAGTGCAGCCAGCGGCCCCGGCCGGCGGCTCCAGGAAGTCTTGTCACTACTCTTATTATTTTTCGAGATAAGGTCTCACTCTGTACTCAGGCTAGAAAGCAGTGGCACAATCTGGACTCACCACAACCTCTGCCTCACAGGCTCAAGTGATCCTCCTACCTCAGTCTGCCACCTCAGCCTCCCAAGTAGCTGGAACTATAGGCGTGCATCACCATGCCTGCCTAATTTTTGTATTTTTTGTAGAGACGAGGTTTCACCATGTTGCCCAGGCTGGTCTCAAACTCCTGGGCTCAAGCGATCCGCCCACCTCGACCTTCCAAAGTGCAGATTATAGGTGTGAGCCACCGCACCCGGCCATCACCACTCTAAATATGAAGTAAGTGTTTAATATATGTTTATTAAATGAATGAGTGAAAGAATGAATGGGTAGATGATAGAATTCCTCCATCATTGGGGTTCCCAGAGCTCCAGAGAGAGGCGTACTCTCCAAGACTTCTGAATTATTCCCATCTCCAAGAACACTCTTTGCTTTTTCTTTCATCCCAACCCTACCCACCTCTTGAGACCCACTTCCTCTAGGAATTCTCCCCTGACTATTCCAACCCACCCCGAATGCCTGCATCCCTGAATTCCTTATGCTCACTGCTATGCAGGATCCCTGTGCACATTCTGGCTGGCCTCATTCCCTGTTATCAAGCCTTATCTTGTTGTTGTGCCCTACAGAGCAGCCAGCACAAGGGAGCTGCTCAGATAGACTCACACACTGGTCAACTTGTCCAGGAACAGAAAGGCCTGAGAGGAGGGAGGTTCCGGAGGAAGCTCTGCCAGATTTTACTCAGAGCCCAGAGTTCAAATTTCCCCCACTGCTGGCTCCTCCTTATCACAGCTAGGAAGGATATCAGATGAAATTGGGGAAACAGAGGCACCAGGCAGGAAAAAAACCCACCTGTTCTCATTCAAAGCTCCAGGCCTAAATTAGGTAGGTCAGAGAGAGAGAGGGACACCCAGTCAGCGTTCCTGAGCAAGCTGTCCGTGGAAGGGAAAGAAAGAAAATGCAAGCCTCCTCCATTCCTCACCCGTTCCTCACTTCAGGCAGCTCCTCCATTCTCCCTCTTTGCCCCTCCTTTCTCTGGCCTTTGGAGCCAGACAGACCTGGGTTCAAATCCTGGTTCTGTCACTTGCTAGTTGTGTGGCTTTGGGGCCAATTACTTAACTCCTCTGGGCCTGTTTTCCTGTCTGTGAAGTAGAGATTTTTAACATAGAATGACAAAGACATATTGACAATGAGAGATAATATATTACTAAAAACTCTGCCCAAAATTCATAGAGGCAGGAAGTAGAACAGAGGTTCCCAGGGGCTAGGAGAGGGGGAATGGGGAGTTATTATTTAATGGGTGCAGAGTTTGGGATGATGAGAAAGTGCTGGGCGTGGAGAGTGATAACAGCTGTGCCACACTGTGGAGATACTTAATGCCAATGAAGTGTACACCTAAAAATGGCTAGAATGGCAAATTTTTATTTTATTTATTTATTTATTTACTGAGACAGAGTCTCGCTCTGTTGCCCAGGCTGGAGTGCAGTGGTATGATCTCAGCTCACTGCAACCTCCGTCTCCTGGATTCAAGTGATTCTCCTGCCTCAGCCTCCCGAGTAGCTGGAATTACAGGCACGCACCACCATGCCTGGCTAGTTTTTGTATTTTTAGTAGAGACGGGGTTTCCCCATGTTGGCCAGGCTGGTCTCAAACTCCTGATCTCAGGTGATCCACCCATCTTGGCCTCCCAAAGTGTTGGGATTACAGGCATGAGACACCGCACCCGGCCAGAATGGTAAATTTTATATGTATATTTTACTACAAAAAATTATATAATTGGCCGGGCACAGTGGCTCATGACTATAATTCCAGCACTTTGGGAGGCCAAGGTGGGCAGATCACTTGAGGTTAGGAGTTCCAGACCAGCCTGACCAACGTGGTGAAACGTTGTCTCTACTAAAAATGCAAAAATTAGCCAGGCATGGTGGTGCACGCCTGTAGTCCCAGCTACCCGGGAGGCTGAGGCACAAGAATCACTTGAACCTGGGAGGCGGAGGTTGCAGTGAGCCAAGATCGTGCCATTGCACTCCAGCCTGGGCTACAGAGTGACTCTCTCTCAAAAAAAAACCAAAATGGCTGGGCGCGGTGCCTCACGCCTGTAATCCCAGCACTTTGGGAGGCCGAGGTGGGTGGATCACTTGAGGTCAGGAGTTCAAGACCAGACTGGCCAACATGGTGAAACCTCATCTCTACTAAAAATATAAAAATTAGCTGGGCATGGTGGTGCGTGCCTGTAATTCCAGCTACTTGTGAAGCTGAAGCATGAGAATCACTTGAACCCAGGAGGCGGAGGTTGCAGTGAGCCAAGATCACACCACTGCACTCCAGCCTGGGCAACAGAGCGAGACTCTGTCTCAAAAACAAAAAACAAAAAACAAAAAACCCAAAAAGCTTATATAACCAAATGGTGGGGGGTGGGCAGGACCTTCCTCAGTACCTGGCACCTGGTAGGGGTGCTCAGTGATAAATAGAAGCTATTATTATTGCTCTTAGCAGCTCCTCTCCTGCTGCCCCAAACCCCTTCTCTTCACTCTTCAGGAAGAAAATACTAGAAACCCCCAGTCTGAGTATTTAAACTCCTCACCACCACCATTTAGGAAGCAGAAGTTCCTGCAGGGCTGGAAGTTTATGTATGCCTCCTTGGTCAGGCAGCAGGCACCTGGGAGATGGAGGCACTTGGGAGATGGAGGCTTCTGGGCATTTTCTTTCCCTTTTTTTTTTTTTTTTTTTTTTGAGATAGGATCTCACTCTGTTGCCCAGGCTGGAGTGCAGTGGTGCGATCACAGCTCACTGCAGCCTCAACCTCCCTGGACTCAGGTGATTCACCCATCTCAACCTCCCAAGTAGCTGCGCCACCACACCCAGCTAATTTTTGTGTTTTTTGATGAAGAAGGGGTTTCACCATGTTGCCCAGGCTAGTCTGGAGCTCCTGGGATCAAGCAATCCGTTTGCCACAGTCTCCCAAAGTGCTGGGATTACAGGCATGAGCCACCACACCTGGCCTTCTTTTCTGGCCAAGCAAAGACATCCAGGAGGGGGTGGCAAAAGGAAACTACCTGCCCCCCATGGTTCAAATATTTATTAATCATCTGGTGAGCTCCCTGCTCATCCTTGTCAGCTCCTGTCTCCCTGGCCTGCCTCTCCACAGAGCAGAGGCTGGGGCTCATTCTCAAACCCCAAAAGCCAGAACTGAGCCCCTGCTTCTCTTGATTTGAGCCCTGGTGGGAGAAGGGTGAAAAAGAGAGAAATCAACAAGGCATAGAATAGCGAGGGGGAAATGCCAGTTAGCCCAAGAAGAGAGTGGGGATTGAGGAGCTTGTTTTCTATCTCTCTTGAAGTTAGAAGGGAAAAAAGTTATAAATAACAATAGGAGTGAATGAGTTAGAAGTTTCTGGTTGCCAGAGCTTTAAGGCAATGGAAGAGAATATAGTCTCCTAGGAGAACTTTGAAAATGGGGCAGGGATCTATCTTTATAGGCCAGGGTTTCCTAACTTCAGCTTTAACCTCAGCATATTCACATTTTGGACTAGATAATACTACAGTGTAGGAAACTGCCCTGGGCATTGTAGGAGGGTTAGCAGCATTCCTGGCCTCCAGCATTCCTGGTAGATGCTAGTAGCACCCCTGCTCCTGGCCACGACAACCAAAAATGCCTTTATTGTCAAATGTCTTCTGATGGACAACATTACCCCCACCCTTATTTGAGAACCACTGATATATGCTAAACAAAGTGTTTTTCTGCTTGGAAACCGGGGAGAAAAGAATTGACCTTTATATTCTAGGATGTGAAATGTAAAACTCAGCCAGGCACGGTGGCTCACGCCTGTAATCCCAGCACTTTGGGAGGCCAAGGCGGGGGGATCTCTTGAGGCCAGGAGTTCGAGACCAACCTGGCCATTATAGTGAAACCCCATCTCTACTAAAAATACAAAAATTAGCTGGGCATGGTGGTGGGCACCTGTAATCCCAGCTATTCAGCAGGCTGAGGCAGGAGAATCACTTGAACCTGGGAGATGGCGGTTGCAGTGAGCCGAGATGGCACCATTGCACTCCAGCCTGGGTGACAAAGCGAGACTCCATCTCAAAAAAAAAAAAAAGGAATGAGTTCATGTCCTTTGCAGGGACATGGATGAAGCTGGAAGCCATCATTCTCAGCAAACTAACACAGGAACAGAAAACCAAACACTGCATGTTCTCACTCATAAGAGGGAGTTGAACAATGAGAACACATGGACGCAGGGAAGGGAACATCACACACGGGGGCCTGTCGCAGGGTGGGGGGCAAGGGGAGGGAGAGCATTAGGACAAATACCTAATGCATGCGGGGCTTAAAACCTAGATGACGAGCTGGTAGGAGCTGTAAACCACCATGGCACATGTGTACCTATGTAACAAACCTGCACGTTCTGCACATGTATCCCAGAACTTAAACTAAAATTAAAAAAAAAAAAAAGAAAAAGAAAAAACAATACAACGTCAAACTCCACAAGGGGTAAACAACATGTTGTGACTGGCTGGAAGTCAGGGAGAATAAACATAGGCCCCATATCCTAGGAAATTGTGAAGCTCCAGTCAGCTGCGCAAAGTCACACAGCAAGGACCTTGCAGGGTCGGGAGTGGTGACTCCCCAGGTCCTCAGCAATGACAAGCCCTGTCATGCAAATCAGCTCCACTGTGGATGGATTCCGCTCCCCTTCTAAACTCAGATCTTCTGGGGTTGCGGCAGGTTGCTAAGCAAGCATTCTCTGGGCCTTCCTAAGAGCCACATGGAAAACAGAAGCCTTCAAGAAGAGCCAAGGTCTGGAAGGAAGTTTCCCAGCTTCAGATCTTAATGTATCCTTGCCCTCCCCAAAGCCCTAGAACACTGGGCCAGAGAATGGCACTGATGGTGCCATTAAGCTCCATTAACAAGTGCACATTAAGCTCCCCTAGTCCCAAATCAGTATTATGGATTTTTCCTTTTGCCTCAGGCTCCAGTGTGCCCTGGCATGATACTGTTACTGATTCTGTCTTTATTGAAAATATTTTGTTCAATATGGATTTTTTTTTGCATTAATTTGATTGCTAAAAAATATGGCATTGGCCAGGCACAGTGGGGTGCACCTATAGTCTCAGCTACTCGGGAGGCTGAGGTGGGAGGATTGTGTGAGCCTAGAAATTTGAATCCAGCCTGGGCAACATAGAAAGACCCCACCCCTAAAAATTTTTTTTAATATGGCATTAAAATATTGTTTATTTTGATTACTGAGTTGTTTGCATCCCATTGAGTACTATGACTGAAGTGAGTGCCTCACTCCCCTCACCCTAGTCCTGGCCCTGCTCAATGGGTCCCTAACAGGAGAGTTCATGAGGCATGTGTGAAGGCAGAGAGGGGCCCACAGGCTGCATTCTGCACACAAATAGGTTTTGTTTGGCTTGCACTATGTTTGCAAAAATGTCTTCACTTGTTGCCAATTTTCTTAAATCAAGAGAATCGCATAAAAACCCAGATTTCTGGGAAAGAAAATTGGATAATCTGACAACCCTACACATCATGGGCAATAGCTTTTGGGACCTGGTTAGTGGTTTCCCATTTAGGAAAGGGGGGTGCTGCCCAATTTCCCTTAGCCACACCCTGCCAACTCCTCCCATTTACAAGGCCCACCTTCTCTCCTGAGCACTGGTGAGCTGCAGCCAGCTTGCACCATCTCACAAGAGCTGATTGTCAACTTTTCAGAGTCGGTTAAGCACAGTCATTATAAAAAATTAAATTATATAAACTTACAATTAAATAAATTATCTTCAAAACAAAACTCATAACTTCCTAATTATTTTACTACACTTTCCTATTATCTATGTTCTTGAGATTATGAATGTCTATTACATCTGTGTGGCGGAAGTGCAATACTGTGGTGTGCTGCTGTAAATCTCCTCCCAACTCCATGCTCAGTGATGTCACATTGGTAGCATGAACTTGGCCATGGTAAGAGTATGGAAATCAGCAAAACTGCAAAACAGGGCTTGATCTATTGTTTCGTTGATTGTTGAGACTTAAAATATTGATGGAGGCCGGGCACGGTGGCTCACGTCTGTCATCCCAGCACTTTGGGAGGCTGAGGTGGGCAGATCACCTGAGGTCGGGAGCTCGAGATCAGCCTGACCAACAAGGAGAAACCCCAACTCTATTAAAAATATAAAATTAGCCGGGCATGGTGACACATGCCTATAATCCCAGCTACTCGGGAGGCTGAGGAAGGAGAATCACTTGAACCCAGGAGGCGGAGATTACGGTGAGCTGAGATGGCACCTTTGCACTCCAGCCTGGGCAACAAGAGCAAAACTCTGTCTCAAAAAAAAAAAAAAAAAAAACTGATGGAGAAATTGTTAATTATGTAGATTAAACTTAATAGTGTGTCTTGTCTGTAGCCATTACGTAATGAATAGCACAAGAATTCAAGGAAATATTCTTCCAGTGTTTGTAAACTACTATCTGATTCACCAAAGAGGTTGCTCACGTCATTGAATAAGGAATGAAATTCAGGACAAAAATTTTCATTGTTTCACTTTCATCTTCCTCCTCAACTTAAATGAGAGTATCAACCAACATTCCTGTCAAAACTACAGTTGTCTATCATTCATAACCTTAGGTTGGTTACTGGTACAAGTATTCCTCAAAAATCAATGAAAGCATTTTGAATGAATGGCTATATGGAATTTATAATAAGGATATATATAGTTATTCCATATATATAATTATATATAGTTTTTCCCATTTTATGGATGAGAAAACTGAATGTCAGAGCTGGGATTTCAATCTAGGTCTGCTGTCTCCAAAGCCTATGCCCTTTGTACTCTGCAGCCTCCAAAGGAGAGATGGTAGGACATGAAAGGCCTGTACATCTCATGATCCCAGAAGACAAAAAAAAAAAGAGAAAAACTTGAACCAAACCCATAGACAAAACCTGCTCCAGAGCCTCATTCTCCTCCCCATCAGCAAGATGCTCCTTCAGTCTATCTTAAATCCCTCTGAGTATGGTTCTGCCTTCTGGAAACCCCCAGAGCCAGGACCACCATTCTCTTACCTGAAAGGCAGTAGTTGTCTCTGAGAGCTGGAGGTCCAAATAAATCTGCTGCCTGCTTAGGGGTACTGCAAAGCAGGGAATGTGCAGAATGTGGGCTGTTTATCCCCAGGCCTTGGGGGCCCTGCAGGAGGAAAACTCAGAAAAAGCTGGGACAAAAGCTGGGAGACACAATGGGCATCCCTCGTGCTCAAAATCCTGCCCACTCGGCACAACAGAAGCCACGAGAATCCCCCCACTGCCAGCACTCAGGACCTAGCTGTGCCCATGGCCTGCCAGATTTGTTAAATTTGCTCCACAGGTGTGAACGCCCTGAGGGTCCTGTGTGGTCACCCGTGTGGAAGGGCAGATGAGGCCTGGCTTGGAAACCACCTGGCCCCCAAGAGATCTTGGTCTACACTGGCAGGAGTGAATCAGGAGCTGTGGCTTATCCCTCCCCAAAGCAGTTCTTTTTCCCATTTTGGTGGAAGGGGCAGCGAAGCTTGAGAATGAAGTTTAGGAGCACCTTCCCAAGAGAGGGCCACCTTCTCCAGAAAGCCTGCCCAGCTTCTCTGGCCTTCCTGACCTCTCTCAGCATTCAAGCCTGAAACCAAGGGCCTAGGGCTCTATGGCTTCCTGTGTGACTTTGGGCAACTCACTCTACATCTCTGGTCCTCATTTGTGTAGGAGAACCAACAAATATTGAGTGGCTTTCCAGTGCTAAACACATAAAAACTTTACATCCCTTTCCTTATTCAAATCCTCCTACCAACTCTATGAGATTGATATTAGGATCCCCTCATTGTAGCAGAGGAAACTGAGGAACAGAGAGGTTAGGTAACTTACCTTGGGTCACACAGCTGGAATTCAAACTCAGATCTGGGTTGACTCAAACTCCATGGCTTCACATCATAAATTATACAGTACTTGACACAAGTGTAGCAGGAATGACTCCACCCTCAACTGCAGGGTATAGGAAATAGGTATTAGCTTTTGTATAACTCAGTTTAATCCCAGTCAATTTTAGTTTCCCCCTCCTTCTGCACCAGGAAATTTTCGAAGTGTCCAAAGGCAGGGGTGGAAGCACTCTGCCTCTGTGTCATCTGCAGCTGATTAGTATCATTGTGTCATCCACTGTTCAGCTAGTCATTGGCTCACACATGGGTGTTTTTTGTTTTTTGTTTTAGAGACAATATCTCGCTCTGTCACCCAGGCTGGAGTGCAGTGCCATGATTGCAGCTCACTGTATCCTTGAACTCCTGGGCTAAAGCCATCCTCCCGTCTCAGTCTCCTGAGTAGTTGGGACTACAGATTTGTGCCACTACGCCTGGCTTCTGGTGGCTTTTTTTTTTACTACATTCATGCCAGCCTTGATGTTCCAGGATTCCAGGGAGGCAAGTTCCCATTTGCCCAGCCTCACAATGGGGCCATTCTCTTTCTGCTCGCCTAGGCTGTGGCCCCAAATACACAGTAGAGTTATTCTTGCTGGAACTCATGGCCACCTACATAGTCATCGCTTTTCCTCTGCCACCAGCCTGGAGGAAGCTTCTTTAGTTTCTAAAGGGAAGCCCACTCCCCTTAAACCTGCCCCACCCAGCTTTCACTTATGGTATTTCCTTCGACTATGTGGCCGATGTTCAGAAGCCTCTCCATTCCCCTAAAGGCTGGGTTTCTGGAGAACTAGGCCAGGAAGCAACTTTATTTCTGCAGCATCATCTTCTGAGGCAACGAGCACAGGACAGTCCAGCTCCTAGAAGAGGGGCCAGTGGTGGCCATGAAGTGTTAAAATGCCAGTAAGGGAAAAATGGGTAAGGTCCGCAAAACATCACATCAAGTTCGGGCGCAGTGGCTCACTCCTGTAATCCCAGCATTCTGTGGGGCCAAGGTGGAAGGATCACATGAGCTCAGGAATTCAAGGCCAACAAAATGAGACCTTGTTTCTACAAAAAGTAAAAAAAATAGCTAGGCATGGTGATGTGCTCCTGCGGTCCCGGCTACTCGGAAGGCTGAGGCGGGAGAATCACTTGAGCCCAGAAGGTTGAGGCTACAGTGAACCAAGATTACTCCACTGCACTCCAGCCTCACTCCAGAGTGAGACTCTGTCTCTAATAATAATAATAATCAATAACTATATCTGAACTTATTGTTATTATTATTTCTTCCAATTTCCTTTTTCTTAGAGCCAGAGATATTATAGCCTGGCAGGACTTAATAGCAATAATAATCATGGCTAATATGTGTTAAGTGCTTGTTATGGCCAGGCATTGTGATAAGCGCTTTACCTATATTATTTATTTTTATTTTTATTTTTATTTTTATTTTGTAGACGGAGTCTTGCTCTGTCACCCAGGCTGGAGTCCAGGGGCACAATCTCAGCTCACTGCAACCTCTGCCTGGAGGTTCAAGTGATTCTCCTGCCTCAGCCTCCTGAGTAGCCAGGATTACAGGCGCCCACCACCATGCGCAGCTAATTTTTGTATTTTTAGTAGAGACGGGGTCTCACCATGTTGGTCAGGCTGATCTCGAACTCCTGACCTCAGGTGATCTGCCCGCTCGGCCTCCCAAAGTGCTGGGATTACAGGTGTGAGCCACCATGCCCGGCCAATATTATTTCATTTAATGCTCATAAAAGTCCTACAAGGCACTTATGATCCTCATTTTAAGAGGAAGCTGATCCTCAGAGGGCAAAATCATCTTGCATGAGGTCATCCAATCACTGAGCCACACCATTCAGATGCACCACAAGACTCGGCAGTGTTCCTCAGGCTGCCCAGTCACCAGCATCGGGAACCGCTGTCCATGAGCAAGTAGATGGGACGGGTGCCTCCCTGGATGAGGATGTGATGAAATGCTGGCGTGAACTGGTTTTGCCATGCAGAAGCAGGAAGATGGCTAGGAAAGACTTAATGTCTTACCTAGCCATCTTCCTTCCAAGGATCAAAAGGTCCAACTGTAGGTCCTTCAGCCAGGTTGGCCCACCTGTCAATGGCTTCCCAGCCCACACTCAGAAGCGTTGCCCAGGGTTCTAGGCTGGGGCCACCTCCTGCCTGTCTTCCCTCTTTTCTGGAAGATGCTAGGAAAGTACTGCCCTAATCCAGGGTCCCCTCATTCACCCAGAAGTGACTGTGGGTACAAGGAAGTGGGTGGCACCACCAACAGGTGGAACAGGTGCCAGGAGTATAGTCCTGGGAGGTGACAGGGCAGGCCTGGGACCAGAAGCTGCAAATTCCTAGTCCATCTACTGCCTGGATGCTCCTGAGCTGATATTAAAGGCCCGGGGCACTATCACTTCCTGTGTGACTTTGGGCAGCTCACTCTACCTCTCTGGTCTTCATTTGTGTAACAGAACCAACAAATATTGAATGACTTTCCAGTGCTAAACACATATAAACTTTACATTACACACACACACATGCTGTGACAGAGTTAACCTTCCTCTAATATGAGATTCCTCTTCTTCTATAGTAATTGGACTTTTATTTATACCTAGGCAATGTCTGCCCAGAATAAAGACTTTATTTTTTCCAGCCTTCTTTTCAGCTAGGTATGGCCATGCGACTACTCCCTGGTCAACAAGGATAAACGTTGTGTTGGTAAGTGCATCTTCCGGGCAAGGCTCAGCTGGATAATTTTTTTACTCCTTGTGCCATTGACTGAGGTCACTTGGTGGAGTTTAGCTGGTACACGGGTTGGCTCGGAGGGTCCATGACGGCTTCACTCATGTCTGGCATGCTGGCAGGGGCAGCTGGAAGGCTCAGCCAGAACTGCGAATTGGAACATCCACATGTGGCCTCTCCAGCTCTCGGGAGAGTTGGACTTTCTTACATGGCAGCCCAGGCTTCGGGAGCAAGTATTTCAGCGATCAAAGTAGATGCTCTATGGCCTGTTACAACTGAGCCTCAGAAGGTACTTGCCATCACTTCTGCCTATGCTAATAGACCTACTGTTTGGGTCAAGGCAGTCACAAGTCCACCAACATTTAAGGAGAAGGGACAGAGAACACTTAGAAACTTTACACACACACACACACACACACACACACACACACACACACACACGCTGTGACATAGACTACTAACCTTCCCCTAATATGAGATTCTTTTTCTCCTATAGTAATTGAACCTTTTATTTATAGCTCAGTGAGGCTGAGTCTCTCACTGACCAACTGCTCAATGAGAGAAGTGTCAAAGAATTTGCAACCTGCTGGGTGCAGTTGCTCATGCTTGTAGTCCTAGCACTTTGGAAGGTCAAGGTGGGAGGACCACTTGAGGCCAGGAAGTCAAGACCAGCCTGCGCAACAGGGCAAGACCCCATCTCTGCCAAAAATAAGAAAAATTAGTCATGTGTGGTGACGCAAACCTGTAGTCGCAGGTTCTCACGGGCTGAGGCCAGGAGGGTGGCTTGAGTCCAGGAGTTGGAGGCTGCAGTGAGCTGTGATTATGCCACTGCACTCCAGCCTGGGTGACAGAGCAAGACCCTGTCTCAAAAAAAGAAACACACACACACAAGACACCACAGCAATCCTGGACCACTTGGGTCTGGACCTTAAGTCAGAGAAAAATAAACTTCCATTTTGTTAAAGCCACCACTCCCTTGGTTGTCTGTCACTCACGGCCAAATGCAATCCCAACAGAAACACACATATGCACAGACAAGCACATGCATACACACATACTCTCAATGACAGTGCACGCGGCCCACAAGACACAAGGAGAGACGTAAATGTTGAAATCTCACTAGGTTAGGAGTATTCATCTACTCACATGAACTCATACCACACACCAGTTTCAGGAGCTGTCCTTCCCCGAGGTTCACATCTCACTCCGCACTTCCCCTGCCACAACCCTCACTGTGGTATATTATAATTAGAATATACTTGTCCATATCACCCTTCCCCTGGTCAACCCTTGGACCCCATCTGTCTTGTTCATCATCATTCATTTAGCACCAAGCACAGGACTTCAATCGACATTTGACCAGGTTTGTATTTTACAAACAGCCTGCAGGTGACACTTTGAGCTGCTGGGGACTAGAGTCTGAGTGTAATGAGACTGATGAGGAGCCTGCCTGGATGTGAGGAGACCCTGAACTGGAGCCTCAGTACTGGAGACGGGGATGAAATGGAGAGAGCAGGAGGTGGGATTGACAGGCATTGGGAGTGATTGGGGGGCGAGGGAGAAGTAGGAGTCAAGGAGCGCACCCAGATTTCTAATCTGGACGATGCAATAACAAATGGTGGCACTCTTTGCTGACAGCAGAAACAAGGGGGGAGCAGAAGACTCAGGAGAAGGTAACAAGCTCAGTTTTGCCTATCTGTATTTCAAATGCCTGGGGGGCCATCCAGGTGGACTCATGCAGGAGGCAGCTAGACGGTTGGATGGAACAAAAGACTAGTGAAGACATGACCACGCTTTCTGAAACATTCCCATGCAAGTCATTCATTGTCCAGACAAAGTGTTGGAGGAAGCGGGGTGCAGGGCAGGGCCCTGGGTTGGAAGTTGACAGACCCACATTCCCTTCGCCACTACTACCTGATGTGTCATCTTGATGGGCAAGGGACACTGCCTTCTGGCTTGTACTTTTCTACTTAGTTGTAAAAATGAGAAGCCTGCCTCAAACCTCTGTGTTTCCTTCTAGCTCTCAGATGCTATGGCTAAATATTTGAAATATTTGCAGGCCTACCCTCTGCAGGCTACTGGGCTGGGCCCTGACCCCATTTCCACTTCTCTCAAACAACAACAACAACAACAACAACAACGACAACAACCACCAAAAAGCAGGTCAACTGCAGGAGGAAACTGGGAGGTGAAACACACTGTAAGCTCCTCTGCTCCAAACTGCTCTTCTTTTTCCCCATTCCCTGCACCAAGGTCTCTGTCCACCCAATACACCAGAATGCCCTCCTTAGGTCTCCAGGCCCCTCCAGCTACTCCCAACAACTATTTCCCAAAAGACCAACTAGGAATAAAAATTATCCCCATTCCTCCCCTTTGTGTCACACTTTACATTTCTACTTTCTCCAGTATAAATGATATTTACTGCACGGGAACCATATGGTAGGCACCATGCCAGGCTCTGGGATGAAGACCACACAGACCCTACCCTCAAAAAAGCAGGGAAGAGAGTTAGCAATGTAATTCGAGGTGAATGAACCACACAGGGGCTGTAGGAACATAGATGAAGGGAAGTGGTGTGTGTGTGTGTCTGTGTGTGTGTGTGTGTTCAGGAGGATCCTCAAACCCTGTGAAGTTTTGGGTTTTTTGTTTGTTGGCATGTTTGTTTAAGATAGAGTCTTGCTTTGTTGGCCAGCCTGGAGTGCAGTGGCTTGATCTCAGCTCACCGCAACCTCCACCTCCCGGGTTCGAGCAATTCTCGTGCCTCAGCCTCCCAAGTAGCTGGGATTACAGGCATGCACCACCACGCCTAGCTAATTTTTGTATTTTTAGTGGAGACAGCGTTTCACCTTGTTGGCCAGGCTGGTCACGAACTCCTGACCTCAAGTGAGCCACCCACCTCAGCCTCCCAAAAGTGCTGGGATTATAGGCATGAGCCACCATGCTCAGCCATTTGTTTGTTTTCTGATACAGGGTCTTGCTCTGTTGCCCAGGTGGGAGTGCAGTGGTGCAATCATGGCTCACTGCAACCTCGACTTCCCAAGCTCAAGCGATCCTCCCGCCTTAGCCTCCCTCGTAGCTGGAACCACAGATGTCCGCCACCATGCCCACCTAATTTTTTACATTTTTTGTAGGGACAGGATCTTGCTGTGTTGCCCAGGTTGGTCTCAAACTCCTGAGCTCAAGCAATCTTCCCAACTTTGCCTCCTACAAGTGCTGGGGATTACAGGTGTGAGCCACTGCACCTGGCCCCTGTGAAGTTTTTATAAAACATTAGCACTGGAAGGGATCTCACAGACCAATTAGTCCCACTCCCTCATTTTACATGTGCAGAAACTGAGGCCCAGGCTGGCCACGCATGGTGGCTTACACCTGTAATCCCAACACTTTGGGAGGCTGAGGCAGGAGGATCATTTGAGCCCAGCGGTTCAAGACCAGCCTGGACAGCATAACAAGAACCCCCATCTCTACAAAAAAAATTAAAAATTAGGCCAGGTGCGGTGGCTCACGCTTGTAATCCCAGCACTTTGGGAGGCCGAAGCGGGCAGATCATGAGGTCAGGAGATCGAGACCATCCTGGCTAACATGGTGAAACCCCGTCTCTACTAAAAATACAAAAAATTAGCCGGGCATGGTGGCAGGTGCCTGTAGTACCAGCTACTCGGGAGGCTGAGGCAGGAGAATGGCGTGAACCCGGGAGGCAGAGCTTGCAGTGAGCCGAGATCGTGCCACTGCACTCCAGCCTGGGTGACAGAGCAAGACTCCGTCCCAAATAATAATAATAATAATAATAATAATAATAATAATAATAATATCTTAAGAGGTATAAGAGCTAATATGCTTCCTTCCGGGCTTCATTCTAAGCTCTCTAGATGGATTGATTCGTTTATTACTCACAACATACCTGAGAGTTAGGTTTTTATGTTCCCCTAATATGACAATATTGAGTCTTAGGTTAATTGACTTGCCTGAGGTCACACAGTTAACACAATACTGAATACAGGTAGTCCAAATAAAGAGCCATGAGCGTGGGGGGGAATTGCCTGGAGGCCTTAACATATGATTTCTATACCCTACCCTCAGAAAGTCTGATTCTCTCGGCCTGAAGTGAACAAGCTGGAATTTGCATTTTAGCCATGCACCCTAGGTGATTATGGTTTGGTGGCTATCGGACCACTCTCTGAAAAAACCCAGTTCGAATGTACCTTTTTTCTCAATTCAGAGTTTTCTGGCACAATCCCTCCCTTCCTTGGGACTCCCTGTCCTCAAGGGACCCCGCTTTCCGGAGTCTGCTGGGAATAAGGGTACTCTGGAAACGGACGTATGCCCCCTGGTGGTCAGAAATTAGAGGCTAGGCGCTACAGCCAGCAGGGTCCCGTCAACCGCACAAATTTGTGAACTTTTCTAGAATTTCGTTCAGCCAGTATTACTGAGGTGCCACTATGGGCCAGCACTGAGCCATTGTAATACACAGCACATTGGAGAGAAAGAAGACTTCTGGGGACAGAATTTTTCAAGGTGACTGCTCACCTATTTTCATCCGTGGATACAAAGGCATCAGTTTCAAGCTGCAATTGGACAAATTTCACCTGGTCTAAGTATTCGTATCTGGCAACATATAGCTCTGATCTTAGGTCTTTAGGAGGCTGAAAAAGAGTTTTTTGAAAAAGGCTGAGTCCACCCTCGGGAAGGAAACACAGGAGCATGTATATTTGCAGGGCTCCAAGGCTTTGTAGTCAGGCTGTTCCAGCTCTGTTACTTCAGGCTCTGGGACCCGGGAGCAGTTATTTCATCTTTCTAAGCTGCAGCTGCTTCACCTGAACTATGTGAATAATAACAACACCTGTCTCAAAGGTTTGTGTGATGAAATGGTCTCTTAGTGCCTGGCACAAGATAAACGTTCAAAAAAGTTGTAGGTATTTTGAAATATAATACTTTGTAGTTATATACCATAAAGTATACACTATATATACCAGGGTTCTAACACCAGCCTTAATTCATTCACCTTAAAAAGGAACACAAATGGGCCGGGCGCGGTGGCTCACGCCTGTAATCCCAGCACTTTGGGAGGCCGAGGCGGGTGGATCAACTGAGGTTGGGAGTTCAAGACCAGCCTGGCCAACATGGCGAGACCCTGTCTCTACTAAAAATACAAAAATTAGCCGGGCGTGGTGGTGCGCGCCTACAATCCCAGCTACTCGGGAGGCTGAGGCAGGAGAATCGCTTGAACCCGGGAGGTGGACATTGCGGTGAGCCGAGATCGCGCCACTGCGCTCCAGCCTGTGCAACAAGAGCAAAACTCCGTCTCAAAAAAAAAAAAAAAAGGAACACGAATAATTCTTGAGGCCAGGCACAGTAGCTCACTCCTGTAATCCCAGCACTTTGGGAAGCCAAGGTGGGAGAATCACTTGAGGCCAGGAGTTGGAGACTAGCCCAGACAACATAGTGAGACCCCTGTCTCTCCAAATAAAAAAAAAATTAGCCAGACATGGTGTCATGAACCGGTAGTCCCAGCTATACAGGAAGCTGTCGCAGGAGGATCACTTGAGCCCTGTAGTTGGAGGCAGCAGTGAGCCACTCCTGCCTGGGTGACAGACCAAGACCCCATCTAAAAAAAAGAAAAAACTCTTGATCCACTGTAGTTGAGAGACAAGATTTCCTCCAGTTTTGAATCCTCTAATATGTGATGCATAGACATCTAAACTATTCCACACTGTTGGTGGGATTGCAAGCTAGTACAACTTTGAAAAATTGTTTGATAGTGTCTGCTAAAACTGAACATATTTATGGCCCAGCAATTTATTCTTAGGTATATTCCCAAAAGAAATGTTTACATATGTTACCCAGAAAACATAAACAAGCATGTTTATAGCAATACTATTTATAACAGCCTCCAAGTGGGGAAATATCTAAGTGTCTATCAACACTACAATAAGTTTTTGTGTGTGTTTGTTTGTTTGTTTTGTTGAGATGAAGTTTCGCTCTTGTTTCCCAGGCTGGAGTACAAAGGCAAAATCTCGGCTCACTGCAACCTCCGCCTCCCGGGTTCAAGCAATTGTCCTGCCTCAGCCTCCTGAGTAGCTGGGATTACAGGTGCCCGCCACTACGCCTGGCTAACTTTTGTATTTTAGTAGAGACGGAGTTTCACCATGTTGGCCAGGCTGGTCTTGAACTCCTGACCTCAAGTAATCGGTCCGCCTTGGCCTCCCAAAGTGCCGGGATTACAGGCATGAGATATGGCGCCCGGCCTAGATGTTTATTTTTTATTTTATTTTTATTTTATTTTATTTTATTTTATTTTATTTTATTTTATTTTATTTGAGACAGAGTTTCACTCTTGTCGCTCAGGCTGCAGTGTAATGGCAGTCTCGGCTTACTGCAACCTCCACCTCCCAAGTTCATGCAATTCTCCTGACTCAGCCTTCTGAGTAGGTGGGATTACAGGCGCACACCACCCTGCCCAGCTAATTTTTATATTTTAGTAGACACGGGATTTTACCATGTTGGCCAGGCTGGTCTTGAACTCCTGAATTCAAGTGATCCGCCTGCCTCGGCCTCTCAAAGTGCTGGGATTACAGGCGTGAGCCACCACGCCCGGCTCCAGCTACATTTTTAAATTGTGGTATTTTCATAGACTAGAACACTACATGCAGTAACATGAGTAAATTTCACAAATATAATGACAAAAGAAGCCAGACACTGAAGAGTCCATACCGTATGATTTCATTTATATAAAGTACCAAATGGTTGAAATGAAATGCCATTAGAAACTGGAATACTAATTGCCTTTAGGTGCAGAGTGGTGATTAGAGGGGGGCTAAAGGGGTTTCAGGGAGGGGATTGCCAATAATGTTCTATATCATGATCTGTGTGGCAGTTATACAAAGTGTCTGGACTTTATAAAAACTAATCAGACTGATTGCTTATGATTTGTGCACTTTTCTATAGTATGGATTCATAGATTTCAATGAAAAGTTAGATTTTAATTAAAAGTTTACCTAAAAACTCTCCGTGAGTCCCTCATGACCAATCACAGAACACACCCAGGCCTCACTTATCATAAGCCCAGAGTCCCCCAGGGTATCAGAATCAGAAATTTAATGCCCTCTGGGGATGGGAGATGTGGCCTCAGGCCCATGAGCTGCAACCAGGTTTCCTGCTAAAAGTCAAGAACAAAAGAGTTGTCTTGTAGATAAAAACAGGTTCCAGAAAAACTGCACCAGAGCAAAGAGCTAGGTGTCTGCCTAGAGCCTGTGGGTGAAAAAATCACCCCTCCAACACTGTGTCAATCAGAGGGGTGGCACCTGAGTACACACCAGACTTGCTGTTTGAGAAACCCAGGGCAAGAAATTAGTAAAAATCACCCACAGGCAGTGAAACTGCATAAAATACTTGCATAGAGAAATACAAAATAGCCTCACAGGAGTTCGTCCAAAACCTAGAGAATGAGAAAGACCCTGCTCCCTGAGGAAATGAATGAAGAAACAAATGCCATCATAAACAGATGGCAGATGCAAGGAATCAGAAAATGTGTGCACCAGAAATCACAGATAAAAGGACAGTTTGAAAAAAATGTTTCAATTCATGAAACACAAATGCTAATTTAAAAGAAATGTGTTTCAGACTGGGTGCAGTGGCTCACACCTGTAATCCCAATATTTTGGAAGGCTGAGGTAGCAGGATTGCGTGAGGACAGGAGTTTTAGACCAGTCTGGGCAACAAAGTGAGAGCCTATCTCTATTTCAAAAAGAAAAAAAAAACTTTTTTGTTTTTTGAGACGGAGTCTTGCTCTGTCACCAGGCCAGAGTGCAGTGGTGTGATCCCAGCTCACTGCAACCCCCACCTCCTAGGTTCAAGTGATTCTCCTGCCTCAGCCTCCCAAGTAGCTGGGATTACAGGCATCCACCACCACACCCAGCTAACTTTTATATTTTTAGTAGAAACGGGGTTTCACCATGTTGGCCAGGATGGTCTCGATCTCTTGACCTTGTGATCCACCCGCCTCAGCCTCCCAAAGTGCTGGGATTACAGGCGTAAGCCACCACACTTGGCCCTTTTTTTTTTTTTTTTTTTGATACGGCATCTTGCTGTCATCCAGACTGGAGTGTAGTGGCACCATCTTGACTCACTGCAACCTCTGCCTCCCGGGTTCATGCCTTCTCCTGCCTCAGCCTCCCGAGTAGCTGGGACTACAGGCGCCTGCCACCACACCCGGCTAATTTTTGTGTTTTTAGTAGATACGGGGTTTCACCATGTTGGTGAACAGGCTGATCTCGAACCCCTGACCTCAAGTAATCTGCCCGCCTTGGCCTCCCAAAGTGTGAGGATTACAGGTGTGAGTCAACATGCCAGGCCAAAAAGAAAAAAAAAAATTAGATAAAAGTTTTGTTAAAAAAACAAACAAAAAAAACCTGGGCTGGGTGTGGTGGCTCACGCCTGTAATCCTAGCACTTTGGGAGGCTGAGGTGGGTAGATCACCTGAGGTCAGGAGTTCGAGACCAGCCTGACTAACATGGTGAAACCTTGTCTCTACTAAAAATAGAAAAATTAGGCAAGAGTGGTGGCACATGCCTGTAATCCCAGCTACCCGGGAGGCTGAGGCTGCAGTGAGCCAAGATCGCATCACTGCACTCTAGCTTGGGCAACAGAGTGAGATTCTGTCTCAAAAAAAAAAAAAAAAAAAAAAAAGGAAAAAACCTAAATGTCTATACGATTTATATTTCTAAAATTTTAGTTCTTTTTCAAACCCACCTTTCCTCCCATAATATCTCAGTCTCACTGTATTTTCTTTCTTCTTTCTTCTTTTTTTTTTTTGAGACGGAGTCTCGCTCTTTCGCCCAGGCCGGACTGCAGTGGCGCTATCTCGGATCGCTGCAAACTCCACCTCCCGGGTTCACGCCATTCTCCTGCCTCAGCCTCCCGAGTAGCTGGGACTACAGGCACCCGCCACCGCGCCCGGCTAATTTTCTGTATTTTTAGAAGAGACGGGGTTTCACCGTGTTAGCCAGGATGGTCTCGATCTCCTGACCTCGTGATCCGCCCACCTTGGCCTCCCAAAGTGCTGAGATTACAGGCGTGAGTCACTGCACCCGGCCTCTCATCGTATTTTCAAACCCACCTTTTCCCTCATAATATCTCACTCTCATCATATACATTCTACTTCTTCCTTTAAATATTTGAACATTTTAAACATATTTCTTTTATATTTTATTTTATTTTAAGAGACGGGGTTGCCAGGCGTGGTGGATCACGTCTGTAATCCTGGCACTTTGGGAGACCGAGGGGGGCAAATTGCTTGAGCCCAGGAGTTCAAGACCAGCTTGGGCAACATGGTGAAACCCCATCTCTACAAAACATACAAAAATGTGGCCGGGCGTGGTGGCTCACGCCTGTAATCCCAGCACTTTGGGAGGCCGAGGCGGGCGGATCACGAGGTCAGGAGATCGAGACCATCCTGGCTAACACGGTGAAACCCCATCTCTAGTAAAAATACAAAAAATTAGCTGGGCGTGGTGGCGGGCACCTGTAGTCCCAGCTACTCGGGAGGCTGAGGCAAGAGAATGGCGTGAACCTGGGAGGCGGAGCTTGCAGTGAGCCGAGATCGCGCCACTGCACTCCAGCCTGGGCGACAGAGCGAGACTCCGTCTCAAAAAAAAAAAAAAAAAAAAAACATACAAAAATGAGCTCGGCGTGGGTGCACACCTGTGGTCCCAGCTACTTGGGAGGCTGAGGTGGGAGGATCTCTTGAGCTTGGGAGGTCGAGGTTGCAGTAACCAGAAGTTGTGCCACTGCACTGCAGTCCCAGCAACAGAGCGAGACCCTGTCTCAAGAAAAAAAAAAAAAAAAAAAAGGGTCTCGTTCTGTTGCCTGGTTGGAGTGCAGTGGTGTGATCATGGCTCACTGCACCCTTGTACTACCAAGCTCAAGAGATCCTCCCACCTCAGCCTCCTGAGTAGCTGAGATTACATGTGTGCATTACTACATCCAGCTAAACAAAACTTAGTAAACAGTTAACTAGATCCTGCTATACAGTGAATTAATGAATTAGAACAAACATGAGGAAATCATTCAGGAAGTGGTAAAGAGATAGAAAATAAGAAAGACAGAATGAAAGACATGGTGTATAGCATGAGAAGCTCCAAAACAGGAATTCAGAAGGAGAAAAATCACAACAGTGGAGGGAAGGCAGCAGACAAAGAGGTAATGGGGGAAGTTTCCTGAACTGAAGAAAGACAGGAGTTTGCCAGCTGAAGAAGCAGAAGTCCTGAGTAGGATAAATAAAAGCAAGTCTATATCTAACACATTCCTGTGGGATTGCAGAACATCAAGGGAGATAGAAAATCTTAAAGGCTACTAAAGAGAACAGATACCTACATCAGAACAAGAAACAGACTGATAGGGGATTTCATGTCATTGCAGGAGTTTCCAGAAGACAATGACATGTCATCAAAGTGTTGAGGGAAATAACTACCAACCAAGAATCTTATTTCTAGCTATACTTACATTCAAAAGTAAGGCTGAAATAAAGTTGTTTTCAGACACATAAATATTAAGAAAGTTTATTACTTATAGATATTTGCTGAAAGAACTACTAAAAGATTATTTCAGTATCTATCTTTATTGTCTTTACAAATCCAGAAGGAAGGAGTGAAATACAAGAAGAAATGGTAAATATATAAATTGGTACATCTAAATAAGTATTGACCACTAAAACAATAAAATAAACAACCAAACCAAATATTAACGTAGAAGATGGGAATGGAAAGTTCCCATCTCTATCTTGTTCAGAAGAGTAGAGAAACTGAAAACATTTAAAATGAAAGTGTAAATTTACAAATACTAGAAATAGAATGTATACCTTTCAAATTATTGGAGGGGAAAAAAAAGAGAATAAAAAGAAACAACAGCAAAAGGCAGGAATAGAGGGCAAGAAGCACAAAAAATGATGAAAAAGGTCAGGTGCAGTGGCTCACGCCTGTAATCCCAGCACTTTGAGAGGCCACACTGGGAGGATTGCTTGAGCCAGGAGTTTGAGATCAGCCTGAGCAACATAACTATAACCTGTCTCTTAAGAAGAAAAGAGATCGGGTGCGGTGGCTCACGTCTGTAATCCCAGCACTTTGGGAGGCCAAAGTGGGAGGATCACCCTAGGTCAGGAGTTCAAGACCAGCCTGGCCAACATGGTGAAACCATTTATCTACTAAAAATACAAAAAAAATTAGTAGGGCGTGGTGGCCAGTGCCTGTGATTCCAACTACTCGGGAAGCTGAGGCAGGAGAATCCCTTGAACCCGGGAGGCAGAGGTTGCAGTGAGCTGAGATCGCGCCATTGCACTCCAGCCTGGGCAACAGAGCTAGAGTCTGTCTCAAAAAAAAAAGAAGAAGAAAAGAAAAGAAAAGAAAGAGGTTGGGGTGGGGGTGGAGGCGGGGGAGGGAGGGAGAAAAGAAAGAAGAAAATAATGAAAAAAGAGAGATACAAAGTAAGATTGTAAATTGTAGCATATTCATGCTGTGGAGTACTACACAGCTCATAAATTGAGTCAACATGATCTACATGTATACATATGGACAGATTTCAAAAATATGTTGAAGGGAGAAAGTGATTTGCAGATTTTTTTTTTTTAGACAGAGTCTCACTCTGTCACCCAGGCTGGAGTGCAGTGGCGCAATTTTGGCTCACTGCAAGCTCCATCTCCTGGGTTCACGCCATTCTCCTGCCTCAGCTTCCCAAGTAGCTGGGACTATAGGCACCCGCCACCATGCCCGGCTAATTTTTTGTGTGTTTTTAGTAGAGATGGGGTTTCACCGTGTTAGCCAGAATGGTCTCAATCTCCTGACCTCGTGATCTGCCCACCTTGGCCTCCCAAAGTGCTGGGATTACAAGCGTGAGCCACTGCACCTGCCCTGATTTGCAGATTTTATGAGTCATATACATCATATACAATGTACATGTACTTTTTTTTTTTTTGAGAGGAGTCTCACTCTGTTGCCCAGGCTAGAGTGCAGTGGTATGATCTTGGCTCACTGCAACCTCCGTTTCCCAGGTTCAAGTGATTCTCCTGCCTCAGCCTCCCGAGTAGCTGGGACTACAGGCATGCGCCACCACACCCGGTTAATTTTTGTATTTTTTAGTAGAGATGAGGTTTCACTACATTGGCCGGGCTGGTCTCAAACTCCTGTCCTCAGGTGATCCACCTGTCTCCACCTCCCAAAGTGCTGGGATTACAGGCATGAGCCACCGCGCCCGGCCTACATGTACTTTTTTTGTTTTTTGTTTGTTTGTTTGTTTGTTTGTTTTGTTTTTTTAGACGGAGTCTCACTGTATCGCCAGGCTAGAGTGCAGTGGTGTGATCTCAGCTCACTGCAACCTCCGCCTCCCGGGTTCAAGCAATTCTCCTGCCTCAGCCGCCCAAGTAGCTGGGATTACAGGCACGTGCCACCACACCAAGCTAATTTTTGTATTTTTAGTAGAGACAGGGTTTCACCATGTTGGCCAGGCTGGTCTTGAACTCCTGACCTGAAGTGATCCACCCACCTCAGCCTCCCAAAGTGCTGGGATTACAGGTGTGAGCCACCACACCCACCCCTTCCTTGCTCTTTCGAAACACACAGGAGCTGGGAGCGGTGGCTCAGTCCTATAATCCCAGTGCTTTGGGAGACTGAGGTGGGCAGATCACTTGAGACCAGGAGTTCGTGACCAACCTGGGCAACACAGTGAAACCTGGTCTCTACAAAAAAATAAAACATTAGCTAGGCATGGTAGCACACTCCTGTGGTCTCAGCTACTTGGGAAGCTGAGGTAGGAGGATCTGCTTGAGCCCAGGAGGTCAAGGCTACAGTGAGCTGTGATCACGCCACTGCACTCCAGCTTTCAGGCCACTGCACTCCAGCTTGGTTGACATGGCGAGACCTTGTCCAAGAAAAAAAAAAAAATAGAAAACCTCAGGAAACTCCCCCTCTGCTCCCCCACCATGGATATGAACAATGAAGAATACAGCCCCAATTGCTACTGGAAAACACCCAACAATGATGAAAGCAGTCAGCCTTAGGATGAAGTCAACAATGAATTCAGTAGGACGGAGATGGAAAAAACCCGAGTCATGGAAACATCACTGAATCAACAAGCCTGAGGCTTACCTTACTGTGTATTTTTTGTTAAGTGAACTAAATAATTTTTTTTTTTTTTGAGACGGAGTCTCGCTCTGTCGCCCAGGCTGGAGTGTGGTGGTGCAATCTCGGCTCACTGCAAGCTCCTCCTCCCAGGTTCACGCCATTATCCTGCCTCAGCCTCCCGAGTAGCTGGTACTACAGGTGCCCGCCACCACGCCCGGCTAATTTTTTTTCTTGTTTTTCAGTAGAGACGGGGTTTCACCGTGTTAGCCAGGATGGTCTCGATTTCCTGACCTCGTGATTTGTCTGCCTCGGCCTCCCAAAGTGCTGGGATTACAGGCATGAGCCACCGCGCCCGGCGAACTAAATAATTTTCTTATTGGCTATGCCACTTTGCATTCGGTTTTCTATGACTTGCAGCCAAACTTATAGTAAATGATACAATGGATATGGAGAAGTGGAGCCATATAGGACTATTAGGGAGGTAGAATTAGCAAGATTCAGCCAAAAGTTAGATATGGTGGTGAGAAAGAGAGAAGTGTCAAGATTGATCCTAGACTTCTGGCTTGAGTGGTACCATCTCTGAGATGGGGAACATCAAAGGAAGATCAGGATGGGGTTAGGGACACTAGTGGAGATCATCTGAACAGCTTGGCTGTGTTGGGTTCAGGGAATCTGTTGGAAGTCATCTAACTAGAGATGTCTGAAAGGTAGTTAAAGAGTATACTGTGTTGAATAGTATCTCCCCAGAATGCAGGTCCACCTGGAACCTCTGTTTATGACCTTACTTGGAAACCAGGTCTTTGCAGATGAAATAAGGTAAATTGAGATGAGTTCATACTGGATTAGACTAGGCACCAAATACAATGACTGGTGTCCTTATGAGAAGACCATGTAAAGACACAGTGAAGGCCGGGCACAGTAGCTCACACCTGTAATCCCAGCACTTTGGGAGGCCAAGGCGGGCGGATTCCTTGAGGTCAGGAGTTCAAGACCAGCCTATCCAACATGGTGAAACCCCATCTCTACTAAAAATACAAAAATTAGCCAGGTGTGGTGGTGCGTGCCTATAATCCCGGCTACTTGGGAGGCTGAGGCATTAGAATCGCTTGAACCCAGGCAGTAGAGGTTGCAGTGAGCCAAGATTGTGCCACTGCACTCCAGCCTGGGTGACAGAGCAAGACTCCATCTCAAAACAATAATAATAATTAAAAAAAAAACACAGTGAAACACATAAAGAGTGCTATGTAAAGACAGAGGCAGAGATTAGAATGATGCCTCTACAAGCCAAGGAGTACTAGGCATTGCTGGCAACCACCAGAAGAAAGGAGGGAGGTCTGGGACAGTTTCTGCCTTAACTTTCTCCTTAAGTCAAGGAACCACCCTTGATTTAAGACTTCTGGCCTACAGAACTGTGAGAGAATACATTTCTGCTGTTTTAAGCCAAGTTTGTAGCAGTTTGTTACAGTAGCCCTAAGAAACTAATACAAAAAGAGATGTGTGAATTTGAAATATAGATCTGGGAGCCACCAGCAAAGTAGTTATTGAACTCTTGGGAGTAGATTAGATTACCTCAGGAGAGTATAGAATGAGAAGCGAAAAGAAGGCCAAGAACAAACCCTGAGCAAGACTGACATTGATGGAACCGAAAGAAGAAAAGGAGTGGACAAAAAACAGTGAGCAGGAGCAGCAGAGAGAGGTGATTTGGAAGTCAAGGGGAAAGAGGTATCTAAAGAAAGAAGTGTTCAATAGTCTCAGTGGTGTAGAGATATTACATGTAAGAAAAACTGAAAAAGAGTCCATTGGGTGTGGCAATGGAAGTCACTTGTCTTCCCTACCAAAGCCGTTTCAGAAGAGTGGGAAGGACAGAGATACGAATGCTATGATTGAAGACTGAGTGGCCGATGAGGACATTGAAATGGCCACCATTCTTTTAAAGCCTGGGGCTACGAAAGGCAGAGTGAGAATGGATGATTCTCCAGAATCACCTTCCAGAAAGGGAATTAGAGTCTTTGGTGGGTTTTATGTTTCATTTTGAGATGAAAGAGATTTAAGCATGTTTACAGGCTGAAAAAAAGGATCTTGAAAAAGGATCAGTAGAAGAAAGTTTAAAATTGCAGGAATAGAATGTGGAGACCAAAAAACAGAAATTCAAACTAGTAGATATAACTTGTTAGATCTTTAAGACAAAAAGCGAATGAGAGTCTTTAAGGAGGGGCCATAACTCACCATTCCCTAAGTGGGGGCTGTGCATGGTGACTTTCTTCCAAAGAAGGCAGTAAAAAGGAAGAAAATAAAGTAACTTTTTAAGTGGAGAAACCTGACGAACTACCTCACGCCAGCGATAAGTCACTTGATAGTACGTATCCTTGACATGATGTGATGTGATGAGAATGGCTCTTTCTCTCTACGATCTTCCAAAAACATATTACCCTAGTCTAATCATGAGAAAAACAACAGACAAATCTTAATTGAGAGATAAAAATATACCTGACCAGGCCAGGTGCGATGGTTCATGTCTGTAATCCCAGCACTTTGGGAGACTGAGGAGGGAGGATCACTTGAGGCCAGGAGTTCAAGACAAGCCTGGGCAACATACTATTACAAAATAAAAACAGGCCAGGCACAGTGGCTCATGCCTGTAATCCCAGCACTTTGGGAGGCCAAGGAGGGCAGATCACTTGAGTTCAGGAGTTCAAGACCAGCCTGGACAACATGGTGAAACCCCAGCTCTACTAAAAATACAAAAATTAGCCAGGCATGGTGGCAACACCTGAGGTTCCAGCTACTTAGGAGGCTGAGGCATGAGAATCCCTTGAACCTGGGAGGCAGGGGTTGCAGTGAGCCGAGATCACGCCACTGAACTCCAGCCTGGGCGATGGAGTGAGACTCCATCTCAAAAAAGAAAACAACAACAAAAAAATAAAAACAATTAGCCAGCCAGCCATGGTAATGCATTCCTATAGTCTCAGCTACTTGAGAGGCTGAGGCAGGAGGATCACTTGAGCCCAGGAGTTCAAGACTGCAGTGAGCCGAGATTGCGCCACTGCACTCCAGCCTCGACAACAGAGTGAGAATCTGTCTCAAAATAAATAAAATAGGCCGGGCGCGGTGGCTCATGCCTGTAATCCCAGCACTTTGGGAGGCTGAGACGGGAGGATCACGAGGTCAGGAGATCGAGACCATCCTGGCTAACACAGTGAAACCCCGTCTCTACTAAAAATACAAAAAATTAGCCGGGCATAGTGGCAGGCGCCTGTAGTCCCAGCTACTCTGGAGGCTGAGGCAGGAGAATGCCATGAACCCGGGAGGCGGAGCTTGCAGTGAGCCGAGATGGTACCACAGCACTCCAGCCTGGGCCACAGAGCAAGACTCCGTCTCAAAAATAAATAAATAAATAAATAAATAAATAAATAAATAAAATAACAGATTGGCAAAAGAGTTTGTGACAGAGAGAATTATGGCCCTCTAGAGATGTCCACATCCTAATCCCTAGAATTTGTAAATATGTTATTATGTGGCAAAAAGACTTTCCAGATGTTATTAAGGAACTTGGGATAGTGAAGCGAGATTGTTCTGAATTATCTGGATATGTAATCACAAAGATCCTTATGAGGGAGGCAGGAAGAAAGGTCAGCGTCAAAGAGATTGAAATTTGAAGATGCTGTGCTGCTGGCTTTGGAGGTGGAGGAAAAGGCCATGAGCCAAGGAATGCAGGCTGCTTCTAAAACCTGGTAAAGGCAAAGAAATAGATTCTCCCCTAGAGCCTCCAGAAAAAAAATGCAGTCCTGCTTCCAGAATTGTAAGATAATAAATTTGTGAGGTTTCTTGTGTTTGTTTGTTTGTTTGTTTGTTTGAGACAGAGTCTCGCTTTGTCACCCAGGCTGGAGCACAGTGGCGCAATCTCGGCTCACTGCAACCTCCGCCTCCTGGGTTTGAGTGATTCTCCTGCCTCAACCTCCCAAGTAGCTGGGACTACAGGCTTCTGCCATCACGCCCGGCTAATTTTTGTATTTTTAGTAGAGGCAGGATTTGACGATGTTGGCCAGGGTGGTCTTGAACTCCTGACCTTAAATGATCCACCCACCTCGGCCTCCCAAAGTGCTGGGATTACAGGCGTGAGCCACTGTGCCCGGCCAATTTGTGTTGTTTTAAGCCACTAAATTTGTGGTAATTTGTTTTTAAATTTTTTTTTTGAGACAGGGTCTCACTGTGTTGCCCAGGCTGGAGTGCAATGGCTCAATCTCGGCTCACTGCAGCCTCGACCTCCCAGGCTCAAGCAATTCTCCCACCTCAGACTCCTGAGTAGCTGGGAACACAGGCATGCACCACCACACTTGGCTAATTTTTTTTGATGTTTTTGCTTTTGTTTTGAAATAAGGTCTTGCTCTGTTGCCCAAACTGGAGCGCAGTGGCATAATCTCAGCCTACTGCAGTCTTTTTTTTTTTTTTTTTTTTGAGATGGAGTCTTGCTCTGTCACCCAGGCTGGAGTGCAGTGGCGCGATCTCGACTCACTGCAACGTCCGCCTCCCGGATTCAAGCAATTCTCCTGCCTTAGCCTCCTAAGTAGCTGGGATTACAGGCGACTGCCACCATGCCCAGCTAATTTTTGTATTTTTAGTAGAGACAGGGTTTCACCATGTTGGTCAGGCTGGTCTCGAACCCCTGACCTCGTGACCCACCCGCCTCGGCCTCCTGAAGTGTTGGGATTACAGGCGTGAGCCACCACGCCCAGCCTACTGCAGTCTTGACCTCCCAGGCTCAAGCAGTCCTCCCATCTCAGCCTCGCAAACAGCTGGGATTACAGGTGCGAGCCACCACAACTGGTAATTTTTTTTTTTTTTTAAAGTAGAGACGAGGTCTCGCTACGTTACCCAGGATGGTCTCGACCTCCTGAGCTCAAGCAGTCCTCCCACCTTGGCCTCCGAAAGTGTTGATATTATAGGTGTGAGCCACCATATCCAGCCATTTTTTTAATTAAAAAAATGTTTTTAATTGGAATAGCTTTTAAGGTACAAGTGATTTCTGGCTACATGGATGAATTGTAAAGTGGTGAAGTCTGGGATTTTAGTGCACACATCACCTGAGTAGTGTACATTGTACCTGATATGCAGTTTTTTATCACTCACCTCCCTTCCACCCTCCCCTCCTGAGTGTCCATAGTCCATGATATCACTCTGCATGCGTTTGCATATCCACAGCTTAGCTCCCACTTCTAAGTGAGAACATACAGTATTTGGTTTTCCATTCCTCAGATACTTGACTTAGAATAATGTCCTCCAGCTCCATCCAAGTTGCTGCAAAATACATTATTTTGTTCTTTTTATGGCTGAGTAGTATTCCATGACTGGGTGTGGTGGTTCATGCTTGTAATCCCAGCACTTTGGGAGGCCGAGGCAGGAGGGCTGCCTGAGGTCAGGAGTTCGAGACCAGTCTGGCCAACATGGTGAAACCCCGTCTCTACTAAAAATACAAAACAATTAGCTGGGTATGGTGGCGTGTGCCTGTAATCCCAGCTACTCGGGAGGCTGAGGCAGGGGAATTCCTTGAACCAGGGAGGTGGGGATTGCAGTGAGCCAAGATAGCGCCACTACACTCCAGCATGGGTGACAGAGTGAGACTCCTGTCTCAAAAAAAAAAAAGAAAAGAAAAGAAAAAAGAAATCTCCATACTGTTTTGCATAGAGGTTATACTAGTTTACATTCCCACCAGCAGTGTATAAGTGTTCCCTTTTTATGGGGCAATTTGTTTTAGCAGCAATAGGAAATTAATAGGGGTTAAAAGCTAAATCAAGGAAATCTCTTAGAAGTCAGAAAAAAAGGCTGAGAGCGGTGGCTCATGCCTGTAATCCCAGCACTTTGGGAGGCCCAGGCAGGAGGATCACTTGAGCCCAGGAGTTTGAGACCAGCTTGGGCAACATGGCAAGACCTCCATCTCTACTAAAAATACAAAAATTAGCCAGGCACGGTGGCGTGCACCTGTGGGCCCAGCTACTCAGGAGGCTGAGGTAGGAGGATCGCTTGAGCCTGGAAGTGGAGGTTGCAGTGATCCAGATCGCGCCACTGTACTCCACCCTGGGCAACAGAGTGAGACTCTGTCTTAAAAAAAAAAAAAAAAAGTCACAAAAAAGACAAAGAAACATAAAATAGTAGAGACATATAAGAAAACTAGAATATCATTTCAGGAGGTCCAACATCCAACCAATAGAAGTTGCAAAAAAACACATTAAATACAAGTGAGAAAATGATTTTTTTAAAAATTACAGGAATATTTCCAAGAATTGAAGAACATAGATTTCCTAAGGTTGGAAAAGTCTACTAAATGCCCGGAAAAATAAAGAAAATAAGATTTTCACCAAAGCATAGCCTCAGGAAATTCAGATTTTTAGGGATTAAAAAAAATCCAAAAACTTTTAGAAAGAAAAAAAAATCTTATACAAAGAATCAGAAATCAAAATAGCATCATACTGGCCAGGCGGTGGGTCACTCCTGTAATCCCAGCACTTTGGGAGGCCGAGGCGGGTGGATCACCTGAGGTTGGGAGTTTGAGACCAGCTTGACCAACATGGAGAAACTCCATCTCTACTAAAAATACAAAATTAGCCGGGCATGGTGGCTCATGCCTGTAATTCCAGCTACTCGGGAGGCTGAAGCCGGAGAATCGCTTGAACCTGGGAGGCGGAGGTTGCAGTGAGCCAAGATCGCGCCATTGCACTCCAGCCTGGGCAACAAGAGTGAAACTCTGTCTCAAAAAAAAAAAAAAAGCATCATACTTCCCAATAGCAACATTGCCCATAGAAGACAAAGGGGAAGTATTTTCACAATTTGTAGAGTACTGTTACCATACTCTATATCCAGCCAAACCTTCAATAAAATGCTGCTGTACAAAAATACATTTTTAGACATCCTGATCTCAAAAAAAGTATCTCTATGTACCATGTCTCAGGACACTATTAGAGAATGTGCTTTACCAAAACAAGAGGATAAACTACGAAAGAGGAAGATATAGGGTTCAACGCTGAAGGCAAGCAAAGGGAATGCCCAGGACATCAGTCAAGAGAAGTCTCTGGGCAGTAGCTACGTACAGGGAGAAAATTCCCCAGATTGGAACCGAACAGAAGCTTCCAGGCTAGGCATGGTGGCTCACACCTGTAATCCCAGCACTTTGGGAAGCCAAGGTGAGCGGATCACTTGAGCCCAGGAGCTTGAGGCCAGCCTGAGCAGCATGGCAAATCCCTGTCTCCACAAAAAATTCAAAAATTAGCTGGGCATGGTGGCATGCATCTGTAGTCCCAACTACTTGGGAGGCTGGGGTGGGAGGCTTCCAGAAAGGAGGTCTCCTGGGGGAAAAATGGAGCTGAGACATGATCTGAGAGGTTCAAATGTAGAATATCATATTAGAAGTATTTTTTTAACCATTTTTTTATTATTATACTTTAAGTTCTAGGGTACATGTGCACAACGTGCAGGTTTGTTACATATGTATACATGTGCCATGTTGGTGTGCTGCACCTGTTAACTCGTCATTTACATTAGGTATATCTCCTAATGCTGTCCCTCCCTACTCCCCCCACCCCTGTGTGACAGGCCCTGGTGTGTGATGTTCCCCACTCTGTGGTAGAAGTATTTAATGAAGATGCTGGGAAACTGAACCTATGAAAAACATTAGGCATTTTCTTAACTCCAGAAAAAGCAAAACATGGTTCAAGAAAGGAAATGTTATTAAATTTTGCCTGGTCAGCAGTGAACAATATTTACAAACTCATAGACAAGGAAATGCTGAATATGGATTTAAGTAAAATTTATAATACATCCATAGGATGGTGGGGAGGGGGAGAGAGCCATAAGAAGGATAAAATCTTTTTTTTTTTTTTTTTGTTTTTTGAGACAAGAGTTTCGCTCTTGTTGCCCAGGCTGGAGTGCAATGGCGCGATCTTGGCTCACCGCAACCTCCACCTCCTGGGTTCAAGTGATTCTCCTGTCTCAGCCTCCTGAGTAGCTGGGATTACAGGCTTGTGCCACCATGCCCAGCTAACTTTTTTATATTTTTAGTAGAGACAGGGTTTCTCCATGTTGGTCAGGCTGGTCTCGAACTCCCAACCTCAGGTAATCCGTCCACCTCAGCCTTCTAAAGTGCTGGTATTACAGGTGTGAGCCACCGTGCCCGGCCCTTTTTTTTTTTTTTTTTTTTTTGAAACAGAGTCTCACTCTGTTGCCCAGGCTGGAGTGCAGTGATGCCATCTCGGCTCACGCAACCTCTGCCTCCTGGGTTCAAGCAATCCTCCTGCCTCAGCCTCCTGAGTAGCTGGAACTATAGGAATGAAACACCATGCCCAGCTAATTTTTTTTTTATTATTTGTAGAGATGGGGTCTCACTATGTTGCCCAGGATGGTTTCAAACTCCAGGGCTCAAGTGATTCTCCCACCACGGCCTCCCAAAGTGCTGGGATTATAGGCATGAGCCACAACGCCTGGCCAGAGGGATAAAATCTTATCTGCCAAAACCTATAATACATAATGTCAAAATTGATGAATACCAGGAAAAAAAAGCTTAAAAAGTTGAAAATGGTAACCTCTGGGCAGAGTAGCTGCTGGGTTTTTAAAAAATATGTAGGCCAGGTGCGGTGGCTCACACCTGAAATCCCAACACTTTGGGAGGCCGAGGCGGGTGGAAGATCACTTAAGGTCAGGAGTTTGAGACTAGTCTGGTCAACGTGGTGAAACCCTGTCTCTACTAAAAATACAAAAATTAGCTGGGTGTGGTGGCGGGCACCTGTAATCCCAGCTACTAGGGAGGCTGAGGCAGGAGAATTGCTTAAACCCAGGAGGCAGAGGTTGCAGTGAGCTGAGATCGTGCCATTGCACTCCAGCCTGGGCGACAAGAGCAAAACTCCATCTCAAAAAACAAAAAATAAATAAAAATAAATAAATATATATACATATATTATATACCTTTGATGCACCAAATATTTATCACACAAGAAAATATGACTTCTTAAGTTATACATAATTTTCTAACAAAATATAGCAGTTGCTTTTTAAAATACTAGATAAAAAGGGGCTATTGATTAAATGAAGTTCCTGAGATGGTAGGAAGGTGTATAATCCAGGACAGGAAGTGCTGATCATCTGGGGCTGGAGATAAAGAGGTGAGGTGGGTGTGGTAATAGATACTCCTGCAGGTATTGCAGGTTCTAGGGGCAGAAAGTTGAGGAAATCCATGCCTGATGAAATAGGTTGTAATGTCACCTGCTGGGAGCAAAGGGAGTCTAGGCGTTGAGCAGCTTGAAGACAGTGTGAAGGAACATACACATGGAGCAGGATGTTACTGTGGAAATTTCAGGCTGGGTATGGTGGCTCACACCTGTAATCCCAGTACTTTGGGAAGCCAAGGCATGAGGATCACTTGAAACCAGGAGTTCAAGACCAGCCTGGGCATCATAGTGAGATCCTGTCTCACAAACATTTTTAAAAATTACCCAGGCATAGTGGTGCACACCTGTAGTCCTAGCTACCCAGGAGGTTGAGGTGAGAGGATCACTTAAGTCCAAGAGTTCGAGGCTGCAGTGAGCCATGATCGCACCACTGCACTTCAGCCTGGGTGAGATAGCAAGGTCCTGTCTCTAAAAAAAACAAAAAAGAAAAATCAGCTGAGTCACCAAAGTGGTAGATATTAGAAGCCAAAGTAGTGAGTTGTGCAACAGACCATTATGCAGAAATTTCTTTTTTTTTTTTTCTTTTTTTTTGATACACAGTCCACTCTGTCACCCAGGCTGGAGTACAGTGGCGCGATCTCAGCTCACTGCAACCTCCACCCCCAGAATCAAGCCATTCCCCTGCCTCAGCCTTCCCAGTAGCTAGGATTACAGGTATGTGCCACCATGCCCTGGCTAATTTTTGTATTTTTAGTAGAAACAGGGTTTCACCATGTTGGCCAGGCTGGTCTCCAACTCCTGACCTCAAGTGATTCACCCGCCTCGGCCTTCCAAAGTGCTGCGATTACAGGCATGAGCCATAGTGTGTGGCCTACCCTTCCTTCTTATACCAAGAATATAAAAGAATTGGAGACAGAGGCAGAAAGAAAATTTTGGGAGATAGCTGTGTTGTGAATCCCACTGCCCTTCAGGGGAAGGGGTGAAGGAGCTTCACTGCAAGGCAAAGGAGAAGGCTACGAGGGGCCCACTCTGAAAGCTTAAGATGTGTCCCCTGCAGACTAGAATCTAAAGGTCAGAAGTTAGGCTGGGCAACTGCTGAGGGATGAGGCCAAGCAAAGGAGGCTGATTGAGTAAGAACAAGCCCACATGCCAGAATTGGCCACGGCAAAGCATGTGTGAGTGCTTCCCATGGATGAAAGGGAGGTCATGCCTGAGAGGGAGCTGGAATGGGGTTGTAGCGACTTAGACCTGGAGCACAGATGTGTCCTTAGCAGAATGACACTGGAGGTGACCACCAGGTACCTAGGAGCTGTAGAAGGAACAGGTAGCCAGAGTGGAGATGCATAGACCTAGATCAAAGTTATTGCAGGTGGGGGCTCTCCCAAGAACCATTAAGTGCCCACAAAACTGACAGCTGTGAAGAGTTGCCAGATACAGAGTAGTGTGAAGCCATCTAACCACAGGACCAGTCAAGTAAGAAATTTTCTGCCCTCTTCCTCTCTTGTTCCTTCCACTCCTGGAAGGGTCAGAAACCAGTGAAATAGTGGGAGAAAGAAAAAAGGTTCATGCTGGGCATGGTGGCTCACGCCTGTAATCCCAGCACTTTGGGAGGCCGAGGCAGATGGATCACGAAGTCAGGAGATTGAGACCACGGTGAAACCCCGTCTCTACTAAAAATACAAAAAATTAGCCAGGCGTGGTGGCAGGCGCCTGTAGTCCCAGCTACTCGGGAGGCTGAGGCAGGAGAATGGCGTGAACCCGGAAGACGGAGATGCAGTGAGCCGAAATTAGCACCACTGCACTCCAGCCTGGGCGACAGAGCGAGACTCTGTCTCAAAAAAAAAAAAAAAAAAAAAAAAAGAAAGAAAGAAAGAAAAAAGGGTTCACTTTCCCTGGGTCCCTGGGTCCAGGATTTCTGCCTAAAGCATGTCCTGTCTGGGATTACAAATAGATGACTTACTTTTGAATGGGGATTGAAGTTTTGGTTGCTACCACCATACACTGAACATACGCATTTAAAATTGAGATTGTCTTTTTTGTGATTTAAAGTAACTATCTAGGCCCAGTTGAGGTGACTCAGGCCTATAATCCCAGCACTCTGGGAGGCCAAGGCAGGCAGATCACCTGAGGCCAGGAATTTGAGACCAACCTGGCCAACATGGCGAAACCCCATCTCTACCAAAAAATACAAAAATTAGCCAGGCGTGGTGGTGGGTGCCTGTAATCCCAGCTAACTGGGGGGCTGAGGCACAAGAATCACTCAAATCCGGGAGGTGGAGGTTGCAGTGAGCCAAGATCACACCACTGCACTCCAGCCTGGGTGATAGAATGAGGCTCGGTCTCAAAAAAATAAAATAAAATAGGCCGGGTGTGGTGGCTCACACCTGTAATCCCAGCACTTTGGGAGGCTGAGGTGGGCGGATCACCTGAGGTCAGGAGTTTGAAACCAGCCTGGCCAACATGGTGAAACCCCATCTCTACTAAAAATACAAAAATTAGCCAGGCGTAGTGGCGGACACCTGTAGTCCCAGCTACTTGGGAGGCTGAGGCAGGAGAATCGCTTGAACCCAGGAGGCAGAGGTTGCAGTGAGCTGAGATCACGCCATTGTGCTCCAGCCTGGGTGACAGAGCAAGACCGTCTCAAATAATAATAATAAAAAAATAAAAATAAAATAAAAGTAACCATCTAACTTTTTATTACCAACAAGTGTCAAGAAAAGCCATGAGACCATTCAAATTTACATCTAAGGCAAAGAAGAGAAACTAGCCCCACCAGAAAAAGAAATAAATAAAGGGGCCGAGGAGATGAGAATAAAGTTGCTTTCCTAGCTACTCTGTTGTTCACACGAGTCAAGAGGAAGAGGGATGCCTATAAGCAACATGATAAAAAATACAGACTTTTGAAACAAAGAGAATTGAGTTTGTAATGTGGCTCTGCCACTTCCTAGCTTATGTGGCCTCAGGTTGATAACATAAGTTCTCTGAGTGTTTTCTGCATTAGAAAATGGAGCTAGTTAGGCATATCTCCCAGGGTTATTTGGGAGCACTAAACTAGATAACATTTGGAAAAAGACTTAAAAACATATTGGTTTTCTTCCTTTCTCCTCTTTGTTATAGGATGCTGTGGTTGGCTGGTCAGCCTGGGTAAGCCAGGGAAGATTTCCTGCAGGTGGTGACTCTTTACACTGTCTTCTCCAAAGGACAAAAGAGAAGCAGATTGGCAGAGGCGGATCATGGGATGCTCCAGACAAAAGCAAGAGGAGACTAGGGTTGGCAGATAAAACGCAGGATACATACCCAATTAAAGCTGAGTTTCAGATAAACAACAAATATTTTTTGAGTAGAAAAAAATGTTTGAGATCTACTGATACTGAAAAAAAAAGCCATTATTTACCTGATATTCACATTTAATTTAGTGTCCTATATTTTTACTTGCTCAGTCTAGCAACCCTGAATGATACAGAGTTGGACTGCTTGGCTACAGTGGAGAGAGTGGGCTGAGTGTCACACAATAGGACAAGTCCCATCCTTGTACCTACTTTTCTAGCTGTTTCATAGGGGTTCTAGTTGAGAGGAAGTGACTAAATCTGCAGTATTGAGAAATTCACTTAGACTGAGTTGAATTGAGATGCTCTGAGTCATTTACACACAGAGCAAGCAGGCTGTGGAGGCTGGGCCCTTAGGACAACAGCTCTCCCAGCAGGTTGGCATCCTTTTATGCCTGGAAGCAGAGGAATGGATGACCTCAGAAAGGGTTCAGAAAGAAATGGAGGCAAGTTCTCCCCCAGTGCCTGCCCTGCTGCCTTTTCAGGCCCAGCCAGGCCCTGGCTCCCCTGCCTGTTTGAAGAGGTAGAAAGGCACAGGGCAAAAAAACAAGATCCTGCAGCAGCAGCCCCTCATGGGGGAGGTGGGTGCAGGCTGAACGCTGACTGGGCCCTTTGCTTTGTACCCATCCTGCTTATTCCCACACAACAAAAGCGCTGCTCAGCCGCCTGGCCAGCTCCATTGTGCACTTACCACAAAGTGCTGAGTCCAAGGGCTTCCCTGGCCCCATGACCTCACTCCCTCTCCCCCGGCCTAGAGGCAAGGCCAGGGAGTCAAAGCCATCCACAAAATTCCACTGAGCATCTATGCTGCTTGGCGTGTAGCCCTGGTGTCCAGAAGCCCAAGGTTCGAAATGCCCTGGTTACATATGGGGAGCTGTCATGGTCCTCTTAATGTCAGATATCACCTCTAAATCTAACAGTGCACCCCGCTGGACAGCCAGTTGTCTCATTCAGTTGTGCAATGGGTGTGCAGGCTGAGAACACAGTTTGCAACCTGTGTCCCCAAAAGATCCATGCCCTCTAGAAAACTAGACTGACAGAATACGCTGCTAAAATTTAATAAAGAAAAATATCGGAAAACAAGAAAAATGGAGTGAATTTTCCAAATTCAAAGGAAACATTTTTTATCTGAATTTTTTTTCTAAAATCTGTGCTACTTGCTCCCACTTGTCTCTATGAGAATTTAGCAAAAGATGGTATCTGACTTGGCACAGTCAGTAATGCAATTACCATGTGGTGATGAGTTCTGAGTACCTAGCATTGCTCTAAATCCCTTTATTTCCCTTCATCTGATAGCAGTGGTTAAGGTAGATATTATCACCCTATTTTGTGCCAGGAAGAAAGAAGATGGGCTTTGCAGTCAGATAGACATATACTGAAGTCCCTGCTAGGTTCCCTGGCCCAGAACTTCCCTGGCCTCTCAGAACCTCAGTTAGCTCATCTGTAAAATGGGTATTATTATCTACTTCACGGCATTGTGGTAAGGATTACAAAGACACTGTCTGGTTTTGCAGTCAATGCTCAGTAAGCTGTAGTTATTATTAATAAGGATGAACAGGAGAGACCCATACTCAGCCTGGGAGAAGGGATTCCAAGCTGGTTGCTCCCTTCATTACCACTCCTTGAGTGGCTCTGCTTTAACTTTCCTGGAATGAGATGGGGCTGGGGGCTGCCGCAAGGGAAGCAGCAGTGCCAGACAATGTCAGAGGGGGAATCCGCCAGAACTCTGTTAAAAACTATATTGAGTTGACATTTGGAAGGCTTGGTGGTCAGTACTGGAGAGCTGAGAATCCTCAATCTTTCAGGACTTAAGGTGATTGAGAAAAGTGGATTGAGGCCAGATGAGGACTTATGACTCCAGGAATGTATGATGGATATTTGTAAATTGTTCTCACAATAACCCTGATTCCCACCCGACCACCACTATAGTTCTGTGCATGTGTGTTTGGGCTTTTCAATCAAACATAAAAGCCTCGCTTCTCTGCAAAAATTAAAAATTAGCTAAGTTGATCTCCATGTACTAGCAATTCAGTAGGATGTAAAGCCCCCATATTACGATGCTGAGGGTGTGTGAAGCCCAAGCAGGCCAGTTGTGGCTGGGGTGAGAAGGCCAAACTCAGCTGGGTGCTCCTAGCAATAAGGACTATGCCACCAGAATCACAAAACCCAGTCATTCATTCATTCATTCATTCATTCATTCGGAATATACTTATTGAGCTAGAAGGTATGCTTAGAGCCGAAGACGTAACAATGACCCAGGCAGGCTGCAGTGGCTCACACTTGTAATCCCAGCACTTTGAGAAGCTGAGGCCAGTGAATCCCTTGAGTCCAGGAGTTCGAGACCTGCCTGGGCAACATGGCAAAACTCTGTCTCTACAAACAAATACAAAAATTAGCTGGGCATGATGGCGCACACTTACCATCTCAGCTACCTGAGAGGCTGAGTTGGGAGGATCGCTTGAGCCCGGAAGGTGGAGGTTGCAGTGAGCCATGATCGTGCCACTGCACTCCAGCCTGGGCAACAGAATGAGACCCTGTCTTAATAAAAAAAAAAAAGAGAAAGAAACAACCAAAAAAAAAAAAAACCTCAGTGAACTAGACAGATGAGGCTCCTGCCCTTATAGAGCATGGAGGCTAGTGGAAGAATTAGATAGGTAAACAATGTTTTATTTTTTAAAATCACTTAGTCTTAATAGAAAATATGTTCCCAATGTTCAAAATTTAAAGATTACAGAAAAATATACTATGAAAAGTCTTGTCCTGTATCTGAGGCCCAAGTGCCTCAGTTTCCCCCAACATTTGGAAACCAGTACTTCTAGTTCCTAAAGCAATTTCTGCAGCATGATCAATGTGATCTTGTGTAATTGGAAAAGCACAGGATGACATGAGGACACACTGTGAGGGCCTAAGCCAGCCTAAGAGTGGATGATTGAAAAAATGACTAAATGAGTGTTTCCCAAAGACCCTAATTCTGAAGAAAGGAAGGAGGAAGAGAAGGGAAAGGAAAGAAGAATCACCAACCATAGACAGCTAGTGCTTTAAGCCCTTGCACAGCCACCAGGTGGCCAGAGCATGCTATGATACCAAAAGCAACTCTGTCCCCTGCCAGACATCCGTCCAGACATCACGAGTTAATCAAGGCATCAGAAACATCCTTGGGGCGATGTGCCATGCTTAGCATCAGATTTATATGTCTAACAGCAAGTTTGTCCAACCGGCAGCCTGCAGGTGGTATGTGGCCCAGGACAGTTTTGAATGCATCCCAACACAAATTAATAAACTTTCTTAAAACATTATGAGATTTGTTTTGTAATTTTTTTTTAGCTCATCAGTTATCATTAGTGTTAGTATATTTTATGTGTGGGCCAAGATAATTATTCTTCTAATGTGCCCCAGGGAAGCCAAAACATTGGAAACCCCTGGTCTGGAACGTTCTACCCAAATCTGCAAATACTCGAATACATACCAGACCTCACCCCCTGATTTTTGGTTCTGAAGAAAAGGGGCCACTGATGAAACTTGAGTCGGGGACTGGAGAGATTGCAGAGGAATTGAGAGAACTTTCTTTTTCTCTCCAAGCTGCTATGAAATTTTCTTTTTTCTTTTTTTTTTTTTTTCTGAGATGGAGTCTCGCTCTGTCCCCCAGGCTGGAGTGCAGTGGTACAATCTCGGCTCACTGCAAGCTCCGCCTCCCGGGTTCACGCCATTCTCCTGCCTCAGCCTCCCAAGTAGCTGGGACTACAGGCGCCGCCCGCCACCACGCCCGGCTAATTTTTTGTATTTTTAGTAGAGATGGGGTTTCACCGTGTTAGCCAGGATGGTTTCGATCTCCTGACCTTGTGATCCGCCCGCCTCAGCCTCCTAAAGTGCTGGGATTACAGGCGTGAGCCACCGTGCCCAGCGAAATTTTCAATAGTATCTTTCATTGGAAAGAGAGTAGGGTAAGGAGTCATAAGCCTACAATGTATCAGGCAGATATTCTATTTTTGAGGTTGAGAGAGTCTGAGTGACTTGCTTCAAATCTCCCAGCCAGGAAACTGGGATTTGAACCCACATCTGCCTGGCTCAAAGCCTTCCACATCCATTGCAGCCTCTTGCTTCTCACAATATCTGTGATGCTTGCAGAACACATCTTCCCCTTCAGGGCCCCTGCGGAGGCCCACGATTCCCCTACCTTACCTTCATCAAGTGTCCTGAAGTTTCTGGGAGAAGTCATTTTACACTTTAAGGTACTATACGCATAGTAACTTGGGCCTGTGAGATTTCCAAAGACCTAAAACAATTCAGTAAAACGTCAAAATTGGCCGGGCACAGTGGCTCACGCCTGTAATCTCAGCACTTTGGGAGGCCGAGGCAGGCAGATCACTTGAGGTCAGGAGTTCAAGACCAGCCTGGCCAACATGGTGAAACCCTATCTCTACTAAAAATACAAAAAAATTAGCCGGGCATGGTGGCAGGTGTCTGTAATCCCAGCTACTCAGGAGACTGAGGCAGGAGAATCACCTGAACCTGGGGGGCAGAGGTTGCAGTGAGGCAAGATCGCACCACTGCACTCCAGCCTAAGCAACAGAGCGACACTCTGTCTCAAAAAGAAAAAAAAAATTGGTTTTGAAGGTGTGGGTGGCAGGAATTCTCGCCCCTGGCCTGGGTGAGCTAGAGGGGAGAAGCAAGGACATCTAGGTCCCTATCACCGCTTGCCTAGACAACTTCACAGGAAGGCCCCCGGGAATCTGAGATGGAGCAGGTGAACCCTTTACATCTAGATGGTGAGTCCAAAGGAGGTATTCAGAAGGTTGCCTTCTTCCCCTTCCTACTGCTGCCCAACGATGACCCGCAGGCTGAAAGAGCCCTTTCCTCCTGGAACTGATGTGGGACCTGGCCTGTTTGGGAGCAGAATGGTGAAAGGAATTAACATGGAAGACAAAGGGACAGGCAGCCAAGATCATTTGAGGAGGAAAAATTGCTTCATTTCTAGGCTCCTTCCCCTTTTGAAACAGATAAGTTACATCCATTATATGCTCAGTGTTTATATTCAGAACTGCAGTTCTAGCCAGGGGGGTCTCTTTCCTCTCCTGGAATTTTTTGGGCCATTTATGCATTACTCCTGAGGGAGGGCCAGTGCAGGGCAGTGACTTTGGTGTTGGTTAGAACTGGATTCGAGTCTTGGCTCTGCCATTATAAATACTGTGACCTTAGGCAAGTCACCTGATTGTTCTCTTAGTTTCTTAATCTGGAAAATGGAGGTGAAAATAGCACTGTTGTGGTGGCTGTGAAAAAGTATTTCTTTCTTTTGTTGTGGAAAAGTATTTAATTCAAACTTTTTAAGTAAAGCATTTAGCACATGTCTAATATATAGGAATTATTCAATAAATGGTTTAATTCTTTTTTAAAAAACCCAAAAGTTATAGCTCCAAAATTTTTAAAGAAAATTGCAAAATTAAAAGGAATATTTAATAAAATAGCTACAGAGAGACACATGTCTGCTAGTCAACTATAATTGAAGTCAACCCTTACATAGTTATATATAAATACAGCATAATAAAGATTCCCAAGAATACAATGAACCATTTTTTCTCATATTGAGTTCAGAATTACAATAATTCTTTCACATTTTTAAACAACAAGAAATGCACATCTGTATGGAAGTGAGGTGCATTTTGATGTGTTTGATATGACATGGGGTCTCCCAGGGTCTTAAGGTCTTAGGAAGATCCCAAGGTGGTGTGAGGAACCTGGAGAAGGACAAGAGACAAGTACTCATGGCAGAGACTTCTGTCCTCACCCCCTAGCTGCTCTGAGAGATTAAGAAAGCCAAGGCCTGCAGCAGCCAGCCATGCCCACAACAGAGGGGCCTCTCTGGATTTCTGTATCCCTGGTTTAAACAAAGGCCCCAGCAAGCTGAGCCACCAAAGCTCTGGGGATCATGAGGAACAAAGGCAGAGGGAGAGCAGAGTGCTGACAGGGCCAGAGGCCAGAGGCCGCAGGGCTATAAAGAGGAGGGCCACAGAGCAAGTGGTACCAGATGGAGACCCAGGCTGAGCAGCAGGAGCTGGGTGAGTAAGGCCCTCAGGGTGCCCTTGCCCTTCCTCTCCTTGCCCTGCAGAGACATGCCCAGGAGAGGGCCCAGTTCTCCTGCCTAGTGTGTAGAGCCTTCTAGGGTGGCTGGAGAAGAGTGGGGAACTCTGGCGGAAGACAGCCTTCTCTTGTCACCCCAAGAGGAGTCACTTATATAGCAATAACCACTGCCCTAGCAACTAAGGCTGGGGGATGGGCATGGGCCCCCAAGAAACGAGCAGGGAGAAGGTATGGGAGCAGGACCTGGGAAATGTTGCTTATTCAGAGATTCAGAATGGAAAAATATATTACAGAGTTGACATGCATCATTCCTGGGCCCAATACCAGCCAGGAGGAGGGCCATGAATATCTGTCCTAAGAAACCTAATACACACCTGCCTGTCTTCCTTCTTCCCTTCCTCCCCCACTTTTCCTTCCTCTTTCTTGCTCTGTCCTTCCTTTTTTAAAACTCGTCCTACCATCTTCACTGTCTACCTAACCTCTTTGAGCCTCAGTATCCTCATCTGTAAAATGGGGATAATGATAATTCTTAATTCATAGTCTGTATGTGAAGATTAAATGCATGAATGCATGTAAAGCATTTAAAACAGGGCCGGACATGTAGATAGCCATTTTTGAGTGTAAGTATTATAACTCTTTTCTTCTTCACTTTCCTTCAATAAGTCTTTTTCAATGTCCCCCTGATCCCTCATCTCCACATGTGCTCAGCACGATGCTATACCAATCCCCTAGAAGACCGAGGCCTTGCCATTGAGGTGCTCACCAGGACATCCAACCAGAACACAGATTGGTACTGTGATGAGTGCTATAAATCAAGAAAGCAAGCAAGTGGCTGTGGGCTGGAGAAGGCAGGAAAGCCTCTGAGAAGGCAAGGTCAAGGCTGGGTAGGATCTAGGAGATAGAAAAGCAGAAAGGAATGGCCAGGCGCCGTGGCTCATGCCTGTAATCGCAGCACTTTGGGAGGCCAAGGCGGGCAGATCACCTGAGGTCGGGAGTTCAAGACCAGCCTGACCAACAGGGAGAAACCCCGTCTCTACTAAAAATACAAAATTAGCCGGGCGTGGTGGCACATGCCTGTAATCCCAGCTACTAGGGAGGCTGAGACAGGAGAATCGCTTGAACCTGGGAGGCGGAGGTTGCGGTGAGCCGAGATTGCGCCATTGCACTCCAGCCTGGGCAACAAGAGTGAAACTCTATCTCAAAAAAAAAAAAAGAAAAAGAAAAGCAGAAAGAGGCCAGATAAGGATGAGACCGTGAAGGGTTACGAGGGAGTCTGGGGCTTGGGATCCTGGCATGGCTGGCTGTTTGGCCAGTCACATGAGGGGTCTGGCCTAGGTGGTTGCCAAAGAGTTTATATTGCAGACAGAGGTAATGCTGTCACCTGAAAGCAAGTGAGAGGACAGGGTCTCAGTGCTTTACCTGCATTATTGTTTCTGATCCTTGTTTTTTTTCTTTTTTTTTTTTTTGAGATGGAGTCTCACTCTGTTGCCCAAGCTGGAGTGCAGTGGCACGATCTCAGCTCACTGCAACCTCTGCCTCCCGGGTTCAAGCGATTCTCCTGCCTCAGCCTCCCGAGTAGCTGGGACTACAGGCGTGTGCCATCATACCCGGCTAATTTTTGTATTTTTAGTAGAGACGGGGTTTCACCACGTTGGCCAGGCTGGTCTCAAACTCCCGACCTCAGGTGATCCGCCCGCTTTGGCCTCCCAAAGTGCTGGGATTACAGGCGTGAACCACCGTGCCCGGCCTATTATTTCTGATCCTTACAATAACTGCATGTCGAAGCTTTACCAATGGAAAAACTGAGGCTCAGGCTGGGCGCGGTGGATCACTTGAGGTCAGGAGTTTGGGACCAGCCTGGCCAACATGGTGAAACCCCCATCTCTACTAAAAATACAAAAACTAGCTGGACATAGTGGTGCATGCCTGTAGTCCCAGCTACATGGGAGGCTGAGGCGGAAGGATCACTTGAGCCCAGGAGGCAGAGGTTGCAGTGAAGTGAGATTGTGCCACTGCACTCCAGCCTGGATGACAGAGAAAGACCCTGTCTCAAAATAGCAACAACAACAACAACAAACCCCGAGGCACAGCTAGTGAGCAGCAGAGCCAGAATTTCAACCAAAGTCTGTCTTGCAGACTTCAAGTCTCCTTTACCTTTCAAGGCATTCCCTCACCTCCCCCTCCTCCCAAGAGGCCACATCATTCGTGTGTGCTCTGTCTTCCAGAAACCCTTCCAACCACCAAGATGGCTCAGACCAACCCTACGCCGGGGTCCCTGGGGCCATGGAAGGTAAGCCCACCCCCATCACATCCAACAGGGCAGGGGTGACATGCTGCACAGAGCAGGCCCCAGGCCTGTGCTCGTCCATAAGGCAGTGACTGACCAGAAAAACCCCAGTTTGTAGGGGAAAGGTCCACACAAGCTCCAGTGCTGTCGAAGGAAGGATCTCTCAGGATGTCCCACTGGACAAAGGAAGGATGACTGTGGATGCCATTGATGGGTGGGAGATGATACCTAGTTTCCTAACTCCTCTCTCCTCCCCACTAAAGTCATCTTAAAATACAGCAGCCCAGCAACAGTTATGTCCATGGAGAAAATGAGGGCCCATAAAGATATTTACTACTAGATCCCAAATAAATTACAGGACTCAGCCTCCCATCCTGAGGTTGGCTTTAACCATTGGCCGAAGTGGCTGATCCTCAGGCCTCTCACTGGCCTCTCTCCAACACTCCCCACTCTCCTCATTGGGTCAACTCTGAGGCCAGCTCACAGCTTTGCGAGTGGTCCTCTGGCCAGGTCCACGAGCCAGGTTTTAGTTCAATGTACAAAAAGGGTTGACCATAACTCTCCTTTACACTCTAGGTTTCTATAGGGGGTATGGCTGGAGAAGCTAAGAATCTATAAGGAGCTCCTGGGACTCCCAGAATCCTGGCCTCTGGGCCATGCTTATGAAGGAACTGTGGTGGAATGGGAGCCCATAAGTCCTTGGCCTGTCCATTGGTCTAGATATTATCCCTGGCAGACCATTTCTATCATAAACCAATCCTCCCTCCACCTCATCCCTACTCTGGGCAAATGAACACCAACCAGTGGCATTAATTCAAACCCCTTCCTGCCCTGTCTACACTGGAAGAGACCTCATCAGGCATCCCAGGCTACAGCTGGTAACAGAAAGCACAGAGTCAGACTGAAGTTAAGCTGTTGACCTGGACCTCTGTTTTTCCTGATGTTCTAGCTCTCTTGCGCCATTCAATCTCATTTCAGATAACCATCTATGATCAGGAGAACTTTCAGGGCAAGAGGATGGAGTTCACCAGCTCCTGTCCAAATGTCTCTGAGCGCAGTTTTGATAATGTCCGGTCCCTGAAGGTGGAAAGTGGCGCGTGAGTATGGACTTCCGCAGAACCGCAGCCCCTTATTTCAGGTCCCTTCAGACAGGGGACCATAGAGTGGGGATAGGGGAAGAAGGATGTTCCCCTAGGCTCTAGTCATTTCTCGGAGACAGGCCTCGAAAGAAATCACTACATGCATAATTTAGTAAGCCAAAGCTAGAAGGAAGGAACATGAGGTTCTTAGTGGCTTGGTACTAGATTTCAGGGGCTGGATAAAGAAATACATACAATGGGGTGGGACAGTGGCAGTAATCAAAATTTTGCTTCTGGAGCTCACAGGCTGCTACCTAGGGTGCCCTCAGAACAGCCACAAGACCCTTGAGTTTTTCTTGCCTGCAGAAAATTGGTAGAGAAGAAAGTGTCAAGTGGCTGCCTCTTCATGGCTAACTCTCCTCCTGCATATCCCAGAGCAGACACTGTTAGCTAATTTCTTTATGAAAAAAAAAACCTTAACCCCACGACTCCAGAGACATATTAGCTCCTGATTCATCTTTCAGGCAGTTTCTTGTTGATGGTTAATCTTGGTGAGGGAGACCCTCTCATTTTTGTCCTCTGACTCTTGGCAGAGTAGTTGAGGCCTTTATCATTAGCCTGAAAATACCTAAGGAAAAGACTCACCCTTGACTAGGCAGAATTGGCCTTGCATGTGGATAGGCTTCCACAAGTTGCTTGCCACCAAAATTAAGCTCTTCAGTCCTTTAAAAGATGTAACACTTTAAGGTGTCATCACTAACTGAGACCCAGTTGTGAAAAACTGAGCTGAGTGTTTCAAGTTTTAAGTACAGGTATGGGGCACTAGGAGAAAGAACTCGCAAGTCACAGGAAGAAAAAAGACTAGTAATCCATCAGTTGCTTGTTCATCCCTGTGCTTTCTTAAGAAGAAGCCAACAGGTTTGGCTTGAGCCAAAGCAATAGTCCAGGGGTGTCTAATCTTTTTGGCTTCCCTAGGCCACACTGAAAGAATTGTCTTGGGCCACATATAAAATACCATAACGATAGCTGATGACCTAACAACAACAAAAACAACTCATAATGTTTTGAGGAAGTTTACAAATTTGTGTTGGGCTGCGTTCAAAGCTGTCCTGAGCTGCATGCAGCCCTTGGGCAACAGGTTGGACAAGCTTGCAACAGTCACTAGATCCTGAAACAGGTAGAGAATAGGTGATTTGGAGAAAAAGAAAAAAAAATTTTTTTTTTTTTTGAGGCAAGGTGTCACTCTGTTGCCCAGGCTGGAGTGCAGTGGCACAATCATGGCTCACTGCAGCCTCCACCTCCAAGGCTCAACCCTCAGCCCCCTGAATAGCTGGGACTGCCAGTAGTGGGTCACCACGCCTGGCTAATTTTTGAGTTTTGTAGACGGGGTTTCGCCATGTTTCCCAGGCTGGTCTCCAACTCATGGGCTCAAGCGATCTGCTTGCCTTGGCCTCCTGAAGCGTTGGAACTACAGGCGTGAGACACCACACCCAGCCAGGAAATATAATTTTAGATTGGCTTTGCTAATACACTTCACTCAGACCAGTGAAGTAGATAGACCTTTTCAGTGATAACCCCCAAACAAATATTACATTCACTAACCTGCTTAGTATACCTGTCAACTCATTCCTCAACTCTTGTGACAAATTACTTTGTACAGCTCTACTGGGATTGGCTTGATATTTTACCCCACTATTGACTTATCTAAAACGAAAGATGCCTTCTCCCCAAGGCCATATAGGCTTTGAACACCATGAACAAACACTACATGTCTTTGGCAGCTGGATTGGTTATGAGCATACCAGCTTCTGTGGGCAACAGTTTATCCTGGAGAGAGGAGAATACCCTCGCTGGGATGCCTGGAGTGGGAGTAATGCCTACCACATTGAGCGTCTCATGTCCTTCCGCCCCATCTGTTCAGCTGTGAGTCTCTGAAATTTCCACTTCCGTGCATATGAGGGATGGGACAAGAGGGTGTGGACAGACTGACGTTCATGCTATTTATCATCAGTTATGCTGAATGTGGCAGGAAAAAAGACAAAAGTAAAAAAAGAGAAAACATCACTTTCTTCTCTAAGCCTGCTATTTGATTTTTCTCCACCAGGTGGTACTTCCCTTAAGCTAAAACTAAGGGTCTTACAAGTGGCAATAAGTGGATACTCAAGAGCCCAGTAAACTTGTGAAACACTAGTAAATGAGTGAAAGTGCTTACCCTGCAGCAAAAAGTAAATCCTTGGCCAGTTAAATTTCAATCTGTGTAACATTTTTACTGCAGAAACAGGAAAATGCTGAAGTAACCTTTCAGTAAGTGGGAATGACTGACGAAATAGGCAAGTCTTCCAGTATCGATCTACACTGATTGATAATAATCTTCTTGTTCTGAACACTTAAGTATTACTCAATAATGCATCAGGCTGGGATGTTTCTGGTCTTTGGAAACAGTTCAAGCAGAAAGCAGAATGACCTTAAGGGGTGTGTTGAAAATGATCCCTGTATTAGGAGTTAGGTTGGGCTAGAACCTTTCCAAATATTCAGTCTATGTGAGAGTTTCTCGTGATTTTGGTTAATAATCTCATCTTGGTTCAAAGTCTTGCCAAAATTCAACTGGTGGAGAAGTTAACCTAAATAGTTCTAATCCAAATAAATAGTTGCCTGTCTGGAAATTATTTCAATCTCACTTTTAAAAACATTTCATTTGCCCACCCTAAGGTATAACTGACATACAGTAAAATGCACAGACCCTAAGTGAATATTCTCATGAGTTTTTGAAAAATATATAGATCCATGTAACCAACACCCTAACCATATAAAGAACATTCCATCATAGTTCCCTGGTGTCCCTTTCCACTCAATTGCTCCCCTACCACTTTCTATTACCAAACAGTTTTGTCCATTTTTGAAGTTCATACAGGTTAGTCTCTGTCTTTTTAATGCTTGTGTAGTATTCATGTCCCCTACTGGACATACAGGTTATATCCAACAACACACATACACACGCAAGCGCACACATACATATTTGGGCTTACTTTTTGTAATAATCTGTGAGATCTTTTTTCACATTAGTGAATATTAATCCCTTGGTTGGCTGCATTTTGTTAGTACTTTTTCTCACTGTCAAATCCTCTTCATTGTTCCAAAATAGTATATCAGTTATTTGTACATTCAAAATGTTATGGTATTTAAATTGGAATAAACAAAATTATGGGTAACTTTTTTCTCACAAATCTGTTGCCTTAATCTTTTTAAATTATCATGTGCTTCCTTGTATAATCCAAAAGTGTTTCAATTTTGAAAAACATGAAGAATGATAGCCATAGCACTAGTACTAAACATTTTAAAACAATTTCTGAATTACAGAATCATAAGGAGTCTAAGATGACCATCTTTGAGAAGGAAAACTTTATTGGACGCCAGTGGGAGATCTCTGACGACTACCCCTCCTTGCAAGCCATGGGCTGGTTCAACAACGAAGTCGGCTCCATGAAGATACAAAGTGGGGCGTAAGTACAAAAACAGGGTTGGAATATACTTCAAAGTAACTCCTGAGGTTGCATCAATAGTTATGTTTTAATCAGATTTCATACGTATCGGTATAGATGTCACATTCTAGTTCTACATAATTTTGAATCTCAATTTCTTTATACCAACTACCACTTTAGGTTGCAGATTTATCTCCCCCAGACATGCCTCTATGGAAGAATTTACGTTGACTACTTATACCTGTTTTGATGATTAAGGCTAATTAACTAGCTATAGCCATATTATGCTTACAAATAGTGCCTGACACATTTAGGATGGCTATTTTTTCTAAGCCTAAAAGCATCTCATACCATTGTGTTGAGTAAAGAGGCTCAGGTTTTGGGGTATTAACCAGATTCCTAATTAGTTTTAATAATGAAATGTACTTTGAATTTCCTAGCTGGGTTTGCTACCAATATCCTGGATATCGTGGGTATCAGTATATCTTGGAATGTGACCATCATGGAGGAGACTATAAACATTGGAGAGAGTGGGGCTCTCATGCCCAGACTTCGCAGATCCAATCGATTCGCCGAATCCAACAGTAGCTGATTAAAAGCTCCAAGTACGATAATTCCTCAAGCATGAGACCTTGCTAAGCACTCTAGAATAAGTTTTATGTTCTGCTCACAGACATTGCTTTCAAATGTTAGCTGCTGAAATCCACAATAAACGTCATTTAAAAAAAAAAAACTTTGTAGACTGAATTAACTACCATGCTTCACATAAATCACACCTAAGTGGATGAGAATTTTTTTTTTTTTTTTAGTTATTTTGCTCTTGTTGCTCAGGCTGGAGTGTAATGGCGCTATCTTGGTTCACCACAACCTTCGCCTCCCGGGTTCAAGTGATTCTCTGCCTCAGCCTCCCGAGTAGCTGGGATTACAGGCATGCACCACCACACCTGGCTAATTTTGTATTTTTAGTAGAGACGGGGTTTCTCCATGTTGGTCAGGCTGGTCTCGAACTCCCGACCTTAGGTGATCTGCCCGCCTCGGCCTCCCGAAGTGCGGGATTACCGGCGTGAGCCACCACGCCCGGCCTGTGGATGAGAATTTTTGTTGTTGTTGAGACAGGGTCTCACTGTCACCCAGGCTGAAGTGCAGTGGTGCGATCTGGCTTACTGCAGCGTCATTCTCCTGGGCTCAAGTGATCCTGCCTCAGCCTCCTGAGTAGTTGGGACTACAGGTGCCTGCCACTATGCCTGGCTAATTTTTGTACTTTTTGTAGAGATGAGGTCTCACTATGTTGCCCAGGCTGGTCTCGAATTCTTGGGCTCAAGTGATCCACCCACTGTGGCTTCCCAAAGTGCTGGGATTACAGGTGTTGAGCCACTGCGCCTGTCTGGATGAGAATTTTTTAAGTCAAGCTTCCATAAAACTCCACATTCTCTTTTGTGTCCTTGCAAGTCACTCACCAGGCCAAGGACAATTATTCCTTATCTCAAAGAACAATAAAGCATATGACCTAAATGTTATCAATCTCTATAGCGACTGACACTTTTGGTAAATGTTTTTATGTCCTTTCCTCCCGTCTCCTGCTCTTTCTAATAATGTTGAAGTTGGCATTGATTTTCCTTTCACCTTGTGACAAATCAGTACTAAAGAAACAGGAAGTTTCTCCAGTGTGTACTGCCACATATTTCAACATAAAGTTATGAATAAATCCAGAATCTTGGCAACTTAACATTCTAGTTGCTCAACTGCTTAGCTCAATTTTGATTTATTTCAATTGGAAGGGCATAAGGCTTAATGTCCTGCAAAAAGGCAGGATAGCTCTGGATTTTTCAATAAGCAAGCTAATTCTAAGCACTGTAAAAACCTGTATGATTAAAAAATTTTTTTAAAATCATAGGACCATAGTATACTGAAGACTTAAATTCTTCACATATTTGACCCTTTGGAAAAAAATCATTATCAATGTCACAAACTTAGTTTTCGGTTTGTTTTTCTTTTTACTTTTTATCAGCTGAATTTAAGATTAGTCAGTAAAGACTTTTTAAAAAATTAAAGCACACAAAAGATAACAAACACCTCAGAAACTTTAAAATTTTTTATTCAACAATGTACACTTATTGTCTCTCAATTTGATCTACAAATTTCTCAAGTTTTTTTTCTGATAAAATAAGTAAATCTGGGTATGGTTGTAGAGTGTTTGTAATTTATATTTTTAAAACACTGAACATGATGAAGACATCAATAAAGGAAGATCATCACGTAAATGACACTTCCTCAGAATCCATGACATCAGAAACAGCTATAGCAAATACCTAAGCATTTAGCAAAAGGGAAAATTTCTGGTGACTGTTCTTATATGTAGAAAAGACCTATATTTTTGACTGGGCAAAACAAACATTGAAACTTTTTTTTGAGCGGGGGGAACATCCTTTAACATAACTGTACTCCACTTATTATCCATTCCCCCAGATTAAGAGGTAACTCAGCTCCTTAGTGCCTCTGCACGAGACAGAGAAATTACTTCACTCCTCCAGTAGGTTCTAAGACTGAACATAAGTGAACTACTGACAGATGCGGAAGAGGAACCATAGCCATCTAAAATGATGCTTGCTACACTCCTGCATTTCTGCCTTTTAAGGCCATGCAATTAATATGGGTCACCTTTTAAGTCTTAACTGGATAACTTAGTTTTTAACTGCCACTATCAATGAAGATACATATAGAAGGGTTTTGCTGTGTCCTCAAAGGCAACAATATACTTGATGAAGAAGTAACCCTCTTCTGTATATTGAAAAAGCTATAAAATGGAAATATTTATTTTTTATGTAGGAGCATGGGGAAAATGCTATCAGTAATATCTTCTACTTAAACATATTAGCCTCTCCTACAAAGGTCCTGAACCAATTAAAAAAAAAAAAACTTTAAAAAAGATGATTTGACAAAACCTGGGTAGTAGTACATCTACACATTATAAGTACACATACACAAAGTAAAGCTATTTAGTACATACAGATTGCAGCACTTGAACCAAATGTACCCAACTCCTAAACTTGTTCTAATCAGCTTGGGCAATTTTTTAAAAGATACACGTTATCTTTAAAACAACCAGTGCTTTGATCTTACAAACAACTGAATAATTCTAATCTCAAGCCAGTCAATTCAGTAAACCAAATTTATGCTAAAGCAATAAAGGTAAAAGCCTATCCTACCTTTAAACCAGCTTTAAGACAAAAAATCGTCACCAAGTTCCATATGACAAAAAAGGGTCTTTCAGTTTGAATTACTTTCCATTTCTATTTGATCAAATAAACCAAAATATTACTAAGGAAGAGCATCCAATGATTTGTAAAGCTGATAAAACTGCCCTGTTTCAAGAAAAGCTCTTTAATAGATACAAGTCAAGCTCTCGTTTAAATTGAACTTTATTAAAATAGGTGCCAGTTTTCCTCTCTCCTAGTTCCACTGATGAGCTAGCCCAGAACTATGTAACTTTGAGCCAAGTTTCCAAAGATGGTAAAGCTAACAACAGCAAAGTAGTAAGGACAAATCGGTCACTTTTGGTAATGACACACAAATTAAACTTTCAAAACATGTGCATAGCTTTATTCATCTACTTAGATCTAACCTTTTCACGGAGCTTCGGCAAAATTCGAGTGTGCAAAATGCATTTCTAAAACGTAATGCAAGCAAAGCTTTCACATTTACACTGGCAGGAAATACAGAGAGAAACTAACAAGTCACATTAGGGAAAATTCAGATCTTTTTTTTTTTTAATGACAAGAATTGCACAGTTTATTATTTTGAGACAATTGTTGCAGACATAAATATTTAAAATTTTCTAAGCAAGGTGCTTTTAACAAAATTTTTAAAGTTGGAAAGAGCTGATAACTTGGATCATAGCTCACACAGAATTCCAAATTAAAGTGGACTCCATTATCTCCCTATATTTTGCAAACAATGCTTTGTATAACACTTCTTTAAAACACTAAAAGAGACAGCAAGCTGAAACTTTTTTCAAAGCACACAAGAAATGTTTACTTGAAGAAGGTGCTGAGGGGAGAAGGGAGTGAAGAATCCTTTTACTATTTCCCACTACAGGACAGCCACTAACAGACTAAGAACAAAAAAGATACAACAAAAAAAGTAAATCACTTCCCCAGCTTATAAAATAGTTCCAGTTTCGCAAGATCTGTAACTTTAAACAGAGAGCACCAGTTGGGCAATAGAATGAGCATTTCATACTGCATAAAAATTAGTGAGGTGGTAAGAACCATCGACTATCTCAGGCATTACTACATGGCGTTTCCAATTTTTTTTTTTTAATATACATGCAAGGCACATTGATATAAAAATAGATCTCTGGCCAACAAATATATTAAATAAGCAAATTAAAATTTTGGCTTTGCGATATTGGCAACATCAAAATATAACCAGATAGCTTTGGCCCACACATCTTTCTCATTCCTCCACCTCATTTGGTGTTTCCCACCCATTATTTTGGGTTCAATCACCTTCAAGTTTGGGTATGTGCTTGAGAAATGACTTTTCTTCTTGTCAAGTAGCATTCACTAAAGTTTTCCTTTGCTAAGTAAAAAGACAAGAGAAACAGCTGGAGTTTTGATTGATTTGATTTAAACTAAATCTGATTGGTTCAGGGCAGCACTATTTCCCCTCTATATACAAACAAAAAATAAGTCCCCAGCTTACATAGACAAATGTTTTCTAAAAGATCAGCAACAAATCAATGACACCACGTCCTTTAAGCCATTCTTCCCAATTCCTCTTTCTGAGGCAGAGAGAGGGAATAATAGAAACAAAGCTAAGATTTAAACTATTTTCAGTAGTAGAAGACATTTAAGGCCAAAAAGTGTACTATTAACAGAATTCTTATATTCCTAAGTTATTGTCCTTCATAGGACAATATCAGCTAAGAATTAGTTACTTGTATTGATTCCCTCCCAAAAAGAATTTTATAATTCATTCACTCTTGTTAGTGGCTGTGCTACAGGAAAGGTATCAAAGCAACCTATGGTATATGTATGGTATATAGTAATGTAAAAAGTGCATCACATTCTTGATTTTCAGTTTCTCATAGCAGCAGGATTAATCTAAGACAGAAAACAGTTGTATTTTCATTCTTAAAATGCAACAATATCTAATGAAATGTATTCAAGATCATGAAAGGATCCTCCTCTATGAAGGATAAATGAAAACAGATTAATAATAGACAAACAGGGTAAACTAAAGGCATTCATTCATATTTACATATTAAAACCACTTTTGTTAACACCAAATCTTTACATCTAGCAAAAGAAATAAGCATTTTAAGAATAAAGCAGACATCACTAAAGCAGTATCCATTTTCAGAGCCTTTGATTAGCACCTGAGGAAAAAAGGGTACATGGAAAGCTATGTAATTTGCCCTCAAGTTAATTTGTTGGTCTGAAGAGTACAACAACTTTGATATGCACTGAAAGTAAAACTAAATTGGAAAATAAATGTTTGTAGTTAGTTTAATAAGGCTGTAGAAAAGAGATACTTGGCCGGGCACGGTGGCTCACACCTGTAATTCCAGCACTTTGGGAGGCTGAGGCGGGCAGATTGCCTGAGGTCAGGAGTTCGAGACCAGTCTGGTCAACATGGTGAAACCCCGTCTCTACTAAGAATACAAATTAGCCAGGTGTGGTGGTGTGCGCCCGTAATCCCAGCTACATGGGAGGCTGAGGCAGGGGAATTGCTTGAACCAGGGAGGTGGAGGTTGCAGTGAGCCAAGATTGCGCCACTGTACTCCAGCCTGGGCAACAGACAGTCCGTCTCAAAAAAAAAAAGGTGGGGGGGGGGGGGATACTGCAGTATTATAAAATGGCTTTAGAACTCTGCACATAACAAAATTGTATGGAAAATAGGGAAGTCTGAATCAGCAATCCCATCACATATGAGGACGGCCATTCCATAGTTTCTAGCCCATAACTGATTTACCATTCCCAATAATGCAAGAGCAACATACCAATCATGCTGCAATGGGTGTTTTTATTATGCAGACAACCGAAAATTCTATTCGCACTATTGCTGGCATCCTTTAACTACTTTAAGACCTTTCTTGAGCGGCAAAACAGTGTGAAATTTAAAACTCAGTAAAGCAATGCTTTTGAGTGGAGCCAATGATTCATCACTCTCCCAGGTGGTCCTGGTTCTCACACAGGTGATGTATATTTTAAAAGAAACATTTTAAGATACCAAAACAGAAGCCCACCCTTTTCACCATGAAAGAATCTTGGTGCTCTGTTGATTAATTACATTAGTAAAAATAACATCGATATTAAGAACTAATGTTAAGCTATGTGCCTCTGGCAAACCTAAAGCAGCTATTTATGCTTCTAGTCTTTTCCTCTGCCTCTCCCTTTTAAACAAATTATCAAAATTTTGTGGCGGGTAAGGGGACAAGAGCAAATCCTACGTTTTCCTTTCAAATCCAACAGTTAAGTCATGGGTAGGGTTATTAAGATACTGCCCTATCAGACTCTACCTTGACTGGTGTGGCATCAACCAATCTGACCATAATGACCATTATATTTGTCCCATAACATAACTGTTCTGCACAGTTAACATATTTATACAAGAGGGATCAGCTGTTGTTGAGGATGTGGCCCAGCGGCATAACTATACTAATAATACCTGGAAATTGGACTTTTAATCTATTTCTCTGAAGAGAGCCTTGTAGGAATGACTCCGTCCTTATTTACAGTGGAATTAAAATTGAGTAAAGTCCATTTCCAATAGCCATTTGATACATGACAATTTCACACTAAATGGCTTATTTAAAAAAGTTCACAGCAATTACAAAAGATAAATCATTAGATGCCTCTGATGTGGGGAAGCAACAAGCCTAACAACCAAGTATGATATTATCACTATGTAATGTTTTTTCAAAATTTTGTATTGTGGACAACTCCCATAGTTGAGGTTTGTCATATTTTCCCTACAAACTGTTATTTGTAAAAACAATGCAGCACTTTTCCTTTATGAAGTTTCTGCAGATTGAGTAATGACTAGGTAAGCAGATGATTAAGGAGGACAACAAAATTCTAAAATGGAGAAACTCTGGCCATTTATTTCAAAGAAAAAAAAATCTGTCATTAAATTCCTAGTTATTGGCTATCCCCTCCTAGAAAGTAGAGGAGGAAGGGCTGGCTACCACAGACGCTGTAAATACACTTTATGTGAAGGTTCATTACTAAGGAGGTTAGAAGAAAGGCTATGTAATTAACTTCAGTTCAGCAAAGTGGGGGTGAATAAAGAGAAAGATAATACACCCTGTGTATTTTGTGGGAAAAGGGGATTATTGAGGACACCTACAAGAGTGGTATGTGACACAGAAGCCTACAATAATCAAAACAGATTTAAAAAGAAATCTTCACCCATAATTAGTATCTTCATAGCTATTAAAAAAATAGGTCATAATTTCATTCTTAGTGCCATTTTTCAATACTACCCTTTTAAGGATTTAAACCACCTGACTTTTTTCTGTGTAATGAAAACAAATGGCACAAAATAAATACAAGTTCATTCTCTGAATACTAATGTCTTATACACATTCATTTACTAATTTTTAATATCTCCATCTTTTCCTCACACACACATACATACATACATAAACACACACACACACACACACCCCTTTTTCAGTCTTTATAATGGAGGGATGTTAAAAATCCCCTCTAGACTGTATTTGGTTTATGCTACAGTACTAATACTCTGAGTTGAAGGAAAATTCTTTATACCAAACAATAACACGTTATTTAAATGTGCTAAATTAATCACAGCTGAAGTTTGTTTAGAAGCTTACACAAAATAATCAGAAAACAGATCAACTCTTAAGATTTTTTTTTAATAAGTGCTCTGTAAGGAATTGTGTGAGGACCTAAGGAGAAAGATTGCAACAAATAGAGTTAAGTGTTACCAAACAGCACAAAGAGATTTGTCCCAAAGTCCTGCTTGTACCTAGGCAATTAAGTCTATTAACCTAATGCCCCCAAAATACTGACAGTTAATATGATGGGGCACTAGGGTTCTCAGAAAGTTAACAGACATTCCTAACTACATACCTCTAACCATATAATCAAGGAAATTTCAGTGGAGAAATCAAAGTGAAATGTTGCATTGTTTCATTTAGAAGTGAGACTCTCAAAAACCTTTGGACAGACAGAGAAGTGATACATTCTTTTTGGCTTCTCTGAACACTGAGGCCTGAGGGATATGGAAGGAAATTAGAAAAGCAATAGCTTTCTAAAGATGTTTAATCAAGTGTTGCTTCTAAGTTAAAAAGCCCAATTCAGGTGGGGTCTGGGTTTGTTTTTTGTTTTTTCCTTTTCAAATATATACTCAATTCAACCTCTGTATGTCACAAACCCAGAAAGTTTCTTGTGAGTTGTGAGACGGAAGAACTTTAAAATTCCAGGCAAGCAAAATGGACATTTAAAAAAGGGGACTAGAGAGGGGAATCTGGCCCTAAGGCGACAAGTGGTTACACAAGGCAATTGAACACACAGCAGAACTTTAAAACCTGTAAAACAAACTGGAGCCTTTTTTCCCTTTAATCAACCTTATATGTCTTTTTTTTTAACTTTTTGAAAATTTTTATTTAAAAAAACACAAAAACACAGACTTTTTTCACTTCAGTTATGTGGTATGTTGCATTTTCCAGTTTGTTCAATGCTTTAAAGCTCAAGGATGCCTCTGCTTTCAATTGTACATGGGCCTGAAGCATCCTAGCTTTTGGCAAGCAGGCAGGAGACTCAACAAAAATCAAAATAGGAACAAGGCAGACTAAATGCAGGGCACATCTGTAAACATATTATACATTTGAAAATTACAATATCAGTCAAAGTGATACAGTTTACAGGTGAAATGAAACTATCTGGAACTGGCCTACCACAAGTTTCTGAACCTGGACTGATACAATAAGTTATTTTATATATATATATATATATTATGTATAAAAAAAAGTTTTGTTTACATCAAGTGGAATTGGCAATCCATGCTTATACTTTTAAAATCTAAGCAGGGCAGAAATCCAGACTAAAAAGATAGTTACTCTACTCTATGTTGAGTCCAACAGCTTCTTTCATGAACTACTTGTTTTAAAAGCCTCAAATAATCAACAAAACAAGAAAACCCATCCATACTACAGTCACTCAAAACTGGACATTTCTAGGGGTAGAGCCAAAGTAGTTACTTTCTCCCCAAATACCCCAGGGGATCCAGTCTACTTTTATCAGAAGACTACAACTCTTTATATAAATGCCCTGATATTTTAACCTGTATTTGACATACATGGATATACTAATTTCTGTGTGTGTGATGTGATGCTGTGTCAGGCCAGACAACTTGTTATTATGTTACTAACATCACCCAATCTCAATTGGACCCTTAATTTCTGCACACACACACAAAAATTTATTTTAGCATGCTATACACAAGCTGCAGTGCAACAGGATGGCAATGTAATGATAAGACAGGGCTAATGCTCTTCTCTGCCCCAAAGAAAATTTCCAGAATTTCACATTATTTTCCTTAAAAACCCATCTTGCTCTAGTAATAAAATATATTTATTAAGATATAATTAGAAGCTAACAAGCTCAGAAGTATAGTTTGCATGAAAACACACCTTCTACAGTCAGGGTTTATTATCTTCTCACTGGCTAAAAACATGAAAAGTTTTAGTTTTCATGGACTTTTTTCTTCCCCTTTTAGATTTTGCTGAGAAATTAAAAGATAATTTACAGAAAGGTCTAAGTTTGTCTTAAATGTTTGATGAAAAACAAGGAAAACAGCACATTTAGTGTTAGTGACGGAGAGCAAGTCTGGAGCACCTACAGTTGAAAAGCAGAATATATTTTTGCTCCCAGTTATACAATTACATTAAAATATGGGCACAGGAATATTTTTCCAGATTGTATATCTAAGCCAATTGCTTGTTCTGCAACTTTTCTTTAAATGACACGCATAGATTCTTCAGTTGTTAAAGTCCAATATGTAACCGAAGCCAAGTTAACTATGTACCATCAACTAACTATTCCAGAATTGTAGAACTTCAATGCCCTCCCCTATCCCCGCCCCACAAAAAATAAATGGAAAGAAATAAAGTATTTCCCCAACACCCCAGAGGCCGCTTAACTCCTGGCAAGACATGCAAATCATATTCGCTAAAAAAATACACCCTGCTAACTTCAAGGCATTTATCCAGCATTCTCGCAGGGCTTAATTAAAGTAAAACCAAAAAGATCAAGGGAGGAGTGGGGGGAAAATGTTGAATCATTCTGGGTTCCCCGTGATTAGTGTATCACTTCAGTCACAGAACAAGATACAGAGATCTTTTAAGTGGATTTGCCTTTCCAGTGGGTCATTTGTTGCCCAAGTTGATGACAGCAGGAACTTTAGAACCACACTTGTTAAGTCTGTATTCATTAATCACTTGCATTCACACTTAAAAACAAAAACTAACAGAAGAAAAAAAACCTATTCAGTACCGGAGATTAAATAACCATGTGTAGTCTCTTGAAATAAATTTGATTCCTTAAGAAGTCTAATTACTTTCAGTTGCCTTTTTTAAATAACTATATATATATATATGTATATATATATATTTGTATATATTATCCTGTGATTCTACTTATGGTTCCTCTGCTGCGTTGAAGATCTAGGAGCATAAAAGCCTTGTGTCCCCCATGAACGATGGCTCTAATGCTGCAGAAAGGTTACGAATAGGCAGTCTGGTCCTTCATTGATCTGGACTATCCATGGCTTCATTGTAAGTGATTATCCTTTTGGGATCTAGAAAGGTTAAAAAAATAAATAAAAATAAGGTCTAGAATCTCAAAATGCCCGTATTCCAATAACAATCCCAAATAACCATCATTTAAACTGACCAATTTTTTTATGAAAACAAAACTTCAAGCCCATTTCCTCCTTGTACCAACACATGTATGATCCAGTTTCTCAACCTGGAAGTAGCTATTTGGAATTCCAATGAATTCCAAGTACAGGGTCCTCTAGCCAGTGAGGGCCTCAACTCCTGCAGATCAGAGATGGTTGAGTTCACTTAAGGGTTTTATGTACTTCTACTGATTACAAAAGCAGTGTATTTGAATACAGCAGCCAAAGAAAAAAGCTTGTCACCAATAATCCAATATTAAAAGAAACACTTGGATTTTTCTTTTGCTGTTCCCAGCAAATGAAGTCAAAATTTATTTTAACCAGTGTGGGAACTATCTAAGTAAAACCTGCCACCAAAAACTTGACGTTAAATTAATTAGCAAAACTGCCAATTCAGTCCTAATCAAGACTGACTCAACTTCCCACAGTAACACCAGCCTTTATTCTCAGCACTAACAAAAGACTATGGATCTTTCAGATTCAAAACATAAAACTGTTAGAATGTGTCTGGAAGAAGACTCCAGGGTTATTCTAAATTCTTACTATTTAAGCTGCATGCTCCCCTCTTCTGGAGGGGAACTGTTTTTATTTTTATTTTTTTATTTTATTTTATTTTTTTTTTTTTTTGAGACGGAGTCTCGCTCTGTCGCCCAGGCTGGAGTGCAGTGGCGCGATCTCGGCTCACTGCAAGCTCCGCCTCCCGGGTTCACGCCATTCTCCTGCCTCAGCCTCCCGAGTAGCTGGGACTACAGGCGCCCGCTACCACGCCCGGCTAATTTTTTGTATTTTTAGTAGACACGGGGTTTCACCGTGTTAGCCAGGATGGTCTCGATCTCCTGACCTCGTGATCCGCCCGCCTCGGCCTCCCAAAGTGCTGGGATTACAGGCGTGAGCCACCGCGCCCGGCCAGGGAACTGTTTTTATTATATATTATTTTATTATATATATTATATTATATATATACACACACATATATAATTTCTACCTTCCCTAAGAACTTTTTCAAGTATACATGCTTAAAAAAAAAAAAAAAAAAGGCAAGTCAATACAACTGGTCACCCAATGGAAAATTTTAAAGGCCTGAAAATAGTATCAGAAAAACTCAAGTCCACTTCAGCTAAGAATCAATCTAGTTTAGTCCAGAGATAATATAATAATATCCTTTCTGGGACTCCTAGGGCCACCCATTGGAAATCTGCCATGAAGAACATGCTCATTCCTAAGAGTTAACGGCCATTTTACAGTAAAAACAGGTAGGTCTACTTTGCAGGGTATATTTTCTTTTCCTTTTTTTCAGACGAAGTTTCGTTCTTGTTGCCCAGGCTGGAGAGCAATGGCGTGATCTCAGCTCACTGCAACCTCCATCTCTTGTGTTCAAGCGATTCTCCTGGCTCAGCCTCCCTAGTAGCTGGGATTTACAGGCATGTGCCACCACGCCTGGCTAACTGTTTTAATAGAAATGGGGTTTCACCATGTTGGCCAGGCTGGTCTTGAACTCCTGAACCTCAGGTGATCCACCTGCCTCCGCCTCCCAAAGTGCTGGGATTCCAGGCGTGAGCCACCGTGCCCAGCCTGCAGGGTGTATTTTCTAGTCTATGTTTTTTTCATTTGTTTGGTAAGATACACAGAAAGTAACTCCGGAAGAAAGAGCAACATTGGGAAATCAGGGGAAGCTACATTCTAGTCCTGCCACTTTCTAGTTTACAGGAACCTCACTGGGCCTCACTTTCCTAATATGTAAAATAAGAGAAATTTCTACACATTTCAAGTCCTGAAATTCTAGGAATTTCACATCCATCTGAAATTCACTTACATTAATTAGCAAAGTAAATGAGGAATAGGATACAATTCAGGAATTGTATACTATTCAATTCAAAATGAATAGGATACAATTCAGGCTCCTATAACAGCTAATATTTTTCTGAACTATGAATTTCAATTCTTAGGCTGTTTGTTGTCTACCACACAAATACAGAGAAAGACCAGCCAAAAGTGGAAATACTTATTCTTGTTGGTTTCCTACATTAATAACATTTATGGCTTGTCTTACTTTCATAACCAGGAGGGGAAAAAAATCATTCATATCTTCATCTAGTAGGTAAATAATACTTTCATCTGTTTTTTTCACTTACAGTATTGCCCCATCCTCGCCAGTCCTGGTATGGTAGTGTCTTTTTGTTGCTGTTTTCTTTTTTCGTATTCACTCTTAATACTATCTTTTTTTTTGGAGATGGCGTTTCGCTCTTGTTGCCCAGGCTGGAGTGCAATGGCACAATCTCGGCTCACCATAACCTCTGCCTCCTGGGTTCAAGCTATTCTCTTGCCTCAGCCTCCCAAGTAGCTGGAATTACAGGCGCCTGCCACCACGCCCAGCTAATTTTTGTATTTTTAGTAGAGACAGGGTCTCACCATGTTGGCCAGGCTGGTCTTGAACTCCTGACCTCGGGTGATCCACCCGCCTCAGCCTCCCAAAGTGCTAGGATTACAGGCGTGAGCCACCGTGCCCGGCCCTACATTTTTTTTTTTTTTTTAATTTAAAAAATAGAGACGGGGTCTGGCTATGCTGCCCAGGCTGGTCTTGAACTCCTGGACTTCAGCAATCCTCCCGCCTTGGCCTCCCACAGTGTTGGGATTAGAGGCATGAGCCACCCTGCCCAGCTGCTAGTGCCTTTTGATTGCAGTTATTAAATAACTCAAAATACAAAGTCTATTTGGTAAATTACCACCCATCTGTTAATCCCACCCAAAAATAATGTCCAGTGGTTACTTATTAGTGACATTTTAAGTAATCTAATCATTCTTACCTTGCTTCTGCAAATTCCAAATAGATTCCATTTCTGCAAAGAAAAAAAGAGAATTACATACTAAGTTTTGGTGAGCAAAGTCTGAAGCGATGCTTTTCATTTTAAATCTAAAAATCCTAGACTGATTACTGCCAGACTGGAGGTAGGGTTGAAAATGGCAAAATTCTATGAAGTTCAGATAAAGCATTCATATTTTCCTATAGTTTTCTTTTTTTTAAGAGACAGGGTCTTGCTCTGTTACTGCAGCCTCAAACTCCCAGGCTCAAGTTATCCTCCCACCTCAGCCTCTCAACTATAGCCGCATGCCATCACACCCAGCTAATTTTTCTTTTTTTCTTTGGTAGAGATGGAGTCTGTTGCCCAGGCTGGTCCTCCTGCCTCAGGCGTGAGCCTGGATCCTGTAACTCTTTTGTTTTTTTGAGACTGAGTTTCGCTCTGTTACCCAGGCTGGAGTGCAGTGGCCTGATCTCGGCTCACTGCAACCTCCGCCTCTCGGGTTCCAGCGCTTCTCCTGTCTCAACCTCCCGAGTAGCTGGGATTACAGGTGCCCGCCACCACGCCCAGCTAATTTTTGTATTTTTAGTAGAGATGGGGTTTCACCATGTTGGCCAGGATGGTCTTGAACTCCTGACCTCAGGTGATCCGCCCACCTCGGCCTCCTAAAATGCTGGGATCACAGGCGCGAGCCACTGTGCCAGCCCGGCTGGCTCTTATAATTCTTAAGTGTCATGTAGATTATTACCTGAAATCAAATTGCCAGAATAATTTTGTCTTCACAAATTGCAAGGACATGCAAGACACATGCTACAGATAAAATAATACTTCTCATAACAGCTCATCATTATTTAAAAAACACCAAGTATTTCTTGGTAATCCACTGACTCCTCAATGAGGTGCCCAAATTTTTTGAACAAAGCATTCATCAAATTTGACTAATTAAAATTGATGTTTAATTAGTTTAACCATTCAGGCAAGTAGTTCTAACCTCTAAACCACACCTCTTTTTTATTTTTATTTATTTATTTATTTTTACCCCCAGCATGGAGTTTCACTCTTGTTGCCCAGGCTGGAGCGCAATGGCACGATCTCGGCTCACCGCAACATCCCCCTCCCGGGTTCAAGCGATTCTCCTGCCTCAGCCTCCCGAGTAGCTGGGATTACAGGCATGCGCCACCATGCTCAGATAATTTTGTATATATATATTTTTTTTTAGTAGAGAGGGGGTTTCTCCTTGTTTGTGAGGCTGGTCTTGAACTCCCAACCTCAAGTGATCCGCCCACCTCAGCCCCCCAAAGTGCTGGGATTACAAGCATCAGCCACCACACCCAGCCCTAACCACACCTCTTATTTTATCCTTTAAGGTCAGAATGCCAATCCACATCTATTATTAATGGCACACAATCATTTGTTCTAATTTCATCCAAAATGTCTACAATGTGCTTAGTTTGGCATCTTAAAATAAGAAAATTATGTACATGTACAAATTATAGCGACATACACAGAGAATGCAGTTAAAAACTCTACCTGTGATACATGAAAGCTTCAGGGGGCTATATATAGTCAACAGTAATTGACTATTACACAAGAACCAAAGAATTGGACCTTGAAAGGAAATATTCTATCTGGAGATTAACACAAACTACTTAGTAACAAAAATGAACTATAACAAACATTAAGGATAAGTAGTCTTCTGTGGTAATAAAACTATCATTTTGAAAGGACAAAAAGATTATTTTAACCCTGCTTAACTATTATGTGTAACTACATTCCAATTTAACAGCAATCAATTAAAGAAAAGGAAAAACTGAAACTCATTAAGATGGGATACATCTAGACTTGGGTTACAGTTAAGGCACAACATAATCCCTCCGTAGGACAAAATAAGATACAGATCTAAAATTATTATTTTCTGATTGTATGTGTATAAATAGGGGCAGGGAATGGTAGAATCACATTCCTATCTCTCTCCCTACTCCCCTAGCAAAAATTAAAACTGTAAAAACCAAATTTTTTTTTTTTTTTGCACAGGGGGACAAGGTCTTGCTCTATAGCACAGGCTGGAGTACAGTGGCATAATCATGGCTCACTGCAGCCTCAATCTCCTGGGTTCAAGCAATCCTGCCTCAGCCTCCCAGGTAGCTGGGACCACAGACACATGCCATTTGTAGAGATGGGGTCTTGCTATGTTGCTCAGGCTGGTCTATTGGGCTCAAGCAATCCTTCCACCTCAGCCACCAAGTCTGGCACTTTTTTTTTTGAGTCGCCCAGGCTGGAGTACAGTGGCGCGATCTCAGCTCACTGCAAGCTCCGCCTCCCGGGTTCACGCCATTCTCTTGCCTCAGCTTCCCGAGTAACTGGGACTACAGGTGCCTGCCACCACGCCTGGCTAATTTTTTGTATTTTTAGTAGAGACGGGGTTTCACCGTGTTAGCCAGGGTGGTCTCGAACTTCTGATCTTGTGATCCACCCGGCTCGGCCTCCCAAAGTGCTGGGATTACAGGTGTGAGCCACCGCGCCTGGCCAAGCCTGGCACTTTTAAAAAATATTTTTTACAGTACTCTCAGCTTTTTGAAAATTTGTCAGATCCATATACTGGGATCAATTAATAATTCAGGATGAATAAGATAATTATCCAGATAAAATCCCATTCAAGATATTACAGTGATTAAACCAAATCTGGGAGTTTAAAGGTGCCAATTGTCCAAGCTTAGTTGTATGGTATGTCCATCAAATCTCTGCGCAGACACCTATCCAAAGAAAGGCAGGAAAATTCCCTTTCTCCTGAGAGGTCTAAAAAGGGGAGAACTATAATCAATCTAACCTGGAGAAAAAAAAAAAAAAAAAGATGACGATCGGAAATTCTAGTCACAGAAATCACACTTATCACTCCAATATAATTTCTTATTCCATTAGTTTCAAACAACGAGGAACAGTTAAATGTTCTTTATTATCTTACGAATTTCTGGATTTCAGAATGGCCTATTTTTTAAAAGTCCAAATACAAGCCTTCTCTTGGTTGACCTACTGCAAAAAAAAAAATTGATCCAATACAACCAATATTTTTTATTTTAAAGCACAGAAATTTCATATTTTGTAGCAAATAAATTCCTGAAGAATTATGTATATAGTAATAACTTGATATTCATTTTGTCTACTGCAAAGATAAATCTATATTTAGTCATACGCTGAAAAAAAAAATTGGCCAGGTATAGTGGCTCACGCCTGTAATCCCAGTACTTTGGGAGGCCAAAGCAGGAGGATCACTTGAGGGACCAGCCTGGGAAACATAGGGAGACCCTGTGTCTATTATTAAAAAATAAATAAGAAAAAAGAAAGAAAAGAAAAAGTTAATCCAACTTTTCATGTTAACCACCTATAAGTAACATTTCCTTTTTTCTTCCCCACTGGAAACTCAACCTATCCCTGCACTTTCCCCTTTTTTTGAGAATACACTTCAGAGTCACAGTAACAACACTACTTTAAAAACAAAGCAAACATACATATTTTAGAATAAAGAAGGCAAAACAACTATTTGCAAACACCCAAGTTGAAGATACTTCTTTACTGCAGCTTAAGGTTTTACTCAAATACTATACATTTAAAAATGATTTATGATAAAATGTTATTACCCTTAAATGTGAGCTCTAGAGTAGTGAGTTTGATCATGACTTCTGAGGGGGAAATAGGGATGTATGATGTACCTATAAAACTAGCTATGAAGCAAGCCAAGCTTCTAGCAAAGAAATAAATCAGCATATTCCTGGTGCGGAGGGGCTCACATCTGTAATCTCAGCACTTTGGGAGGCCGAGGCAGGTGGATCACGAGGTAAGGAGTTCGATACCAGCCTGGCCAACATGGTGAAACCCCGTCTCTACTAAAAATACAAAAATTAGTAACGCATGGTGGTGCACGCCTGTAATCCCAGCTACTGAGCAGGCTAAGGCAGGAGAATCACTTGAACCCCGTAGACGGAGGTTGCAGTGAGCCGAGATCGTGCCACTGCACCCCAGCCTGGGCGAAAGAGCAAGACTCCGTCTCAAAAAAAAAAAAAGAAAAGTAAAGAAAGAAATCAGCATTATCAGAAATGCTGAACTAAGAAGTGAATGCAATTTCCCTTCCTGTTACTTAATATTAATTACTTCTTTGACTACTAGCAACTTCATTTACTTGATCAAAATTTAAAAGTTTCCCTGAAACTCAAACAAGGTTAGGATCAGAAAGGGAAAATGAATCAAACAGCATTTGCATGATGCTATGCTTAACCTTAACAAGACTAACAAGAAATGACATGGCCGGGCGCGGTGGCTCTCACCTGTAATCCCAGCACTTTGTGAGGCCAAGGCAGGTGGATTACCTGAGGTCAGGAGTTCAAGACCAGCCTGACCAACATGGTGAAATCCCATCTCTACTAAAAACACAAAAAAGTTAGCCAAGTGTGGGGGCGGGCACCGGTAGTCCTAGCTACTCAGGAGGCTGAGACAGGAGAATCACTTGAACCCGGGAGGCAGAGATTGCAGTGAGCCCAGATCACGCCACTGCACTCCAGCTTGGGCAACAGAGTGAGACTGTCGAAAAGAGAGGGGAGGGGAGGGGAGGGGAGGGGAGGGGAGAAGAGAAGAGAAGAAAAGAAAGAAACAAATGACATTATCGATAGAACACATAGGAAAGGGCTGACATTACCTTCTGTCCTCAAAAAAAGGTTACAAAAATCTCAATTCAGATTTTAAATATGAAATGTGTTCTTTTTTTTTTTTTTTTTGAGACAAGAGTCTTGCTCTGTCACCCAGGCTGGAGTGCAGTGGCGCTATCTCGGCTCACTGCAAGCTCTGCCTCCAGGGTTCACGCCATTCTCCCGCCTCAGCCTCCCGAATAGCTGAGACTACAGGCGCATGCCACCAAGCCCGGCTAATTTCTTGTATTTTTAGTAGAGACGGGGTTTCACCGTGTTAGCCAGGATGGTCTCGATCTCCTGACCTTGTGATCTGCCCGCCCTGGCCTCCCGAAGTGCTGGGATTACAGGCGTGAGCCGCTGCACCTGGCCCCTCGTTTGTGTGATTTAATGTTTTGACTATCCCTGAGAAGCAAAACAAGTGAATAGTATAAAGAAGGCTAAGGAAGGCAATTTGAATTATACAAAATCATCATACACATACAAGTTGAGTATCCTTATCTGAAATGTTTGGGACCAGAAGTGTTTTAGATTTTGGAATGTTTCCATTATATTATTGGAAAAGGAGCATTTCCTTTTTGAACATCATGTCAGTACTGAAAAATTTTGGATCTTGAAGCATTTTGGATCTTAGATTCTCAGATTTGGGATGGTCAACCTCAGTAACTGATTCTTTTTTTTTTTTCTTTTCTTTTCTTTTTTTTGAGAGAGTCTTGCTGTCGCCCAGGCTGAAGAGCAGCAGTGGTGCGATCTCAGCTCACTGCAACCTCCACCACCTGGGTTCAAGCTATCCTGCCTCAGCCTCCCAAATAGCTGGGATTACAGGCACACGCCACCAGGCCCAGCTAATATATATATATATATATACACACACACACATATATATATATAGGAGACAGAGTCTCACTGTCACCCAGGCTGGAGTGCAATGGTGAGATCTCGGCTCACTGCAACCTCTGCCTCCTGGGTTCAAGCGATTCTTCTGCCTCAGCCTCCCAAGTAGCTGGAACTACAGGTGCACGTCACCATACCAGCTAATTTTTGTAGTTTTAGTAGAGATGGGGTTTCACCATACTGGCCAGGCTGGTCTTGGAACTCCTGACCTCGTGATCCACCCGCCTCGGCCTCCCAAAGTGCTGGGATTACAGGCGTGAGCCACCGCGCCCAGCCAATTTTTGTATTTTTAGTAGAGACAGGTTCCGCCATGTTGGCCAGGCTAGTCTCAAACTCCTGACCTCAGGTGATCCACCCACCTTGGCCTCCCAAAGTGCTGGGACTACAGGCGTGAGCCATCACGCCCAGCCTTGATCTTTTAACACTGCTCTCTTCTACACACACACACACACACACACACACACAGACACACAGCACAAAATCTAACTTGCCAGTTCTTTTTGAAGAGTGATCACAGCATCTAATTATGCAAATATTTATTGAGAAATGCTCACAGGGCCAGACCTAATAGAACGTAAGTAAAAGTTTTTGCTCTTAAGATATACCCAAGTAGGCAATTAGACCTAATAGAACCTAAGTAAAAGTTTTTGCTCTTAAGATATACCAAGTAGGCAATTTTGTTAAAATTCTGTATTTTAAACCACTACCACCACCCAATCTGAAATTTCTTTACATCAAAACTTATATTTAGCTATGCCACTCAAATGAAAAGTTAATGTTCAATTTCCTAGAGCAGACTTTCTACATAATACCTCCCTATCACAATGCTTCCTATAGCGAAATGTCCAGTTTTCCACAAGTTCTTAATTCCAAGTTGATTGAAAAAAAAATACTACTCACCAGCTCAGGGTATGAAAAAAAAATACTACTCACCAGCTCAGGGTATAGATGCAAAACCAAAGAGTCTGCCCTCTGTGAGCTTACTCTAGTAAGCAACTTCACTGGGAGGGTGGGTTATCAGTAAGAGCATCAGCAATGAACAAAGGTCGGTGGTATGTGTGTGCTTTAACAAGGTGTGTTTGAGCAGGGGTGAACAAACAATTACTATCCACCATCTGTTTTTGCAAATAAAGTTTTAATGAGGGCCTGTGGTGGTTCACACCTGTAATTGCAGCACTCTGGGAGGCAGAGGTGGGAGGATCACTTGAGACCAGCCTTAGCAAGATGGTGAGACCCTATGTCTACAAAACATTTAAAAACTAGCTGGGTGTGCTAACAGCACATGCCTGTAGTCTCAGCTACTCAGGAGGCTGAAGCAAGAGGATTGCTCGAGTCCAAGAATTCAAGGAGGCAATGAGCTATAATCATGCCACTGCACTCCAGCCTGGGCAATAAAGTGAGACAACCGTGTCTTAAAAAACAACAAAAAAAGTTTTAATTGAACACAGCCACATCCACTGTATATGTACCATCTATGACTGCTTTTGAGCTATAATGCAGAACCAAGTATTGAGTGGTTGCAACAAAGATGCTACGGTTCACAAAGTCACTAAGAATGAGAGATTTAGAGAAAGAACATTATTCAGGGGACAGAGTAAAAAGCTACATATGAAGTAAAGTTTGTTATTTCATTATATAGGTGAAGGGAAGCCACTGAAGAAATCTAAGGTTATTGTACTAAATAGTGATGATTCTTCCAGGTAATGAACAGAACAGATGAAGTGACAATAATATACAGAGAGTCCAATAAATGTTAAGAAGAGATGAAGACAGTATGCGAGATAGAAAAGAAAAAAATGGAGATCTTAGAGAAATGGTCCATATCATCTAATGACAAAAAATTGGGTTAATGCTAATTCACTAAGAGCAAGAAAGAAAAAGCAGGTTTTGGAAGAGAATGAATTCAATTTAATATACATAGAATTGCAGCAATGATATGGAATATATACGGTCTGAACTCAGTTTTTTTTTTGTTTTTTTGAGAAGGAGTTTCACTCTCATTACCCAGGCTGGAATGCTCGATCTCGGCTCACTGCAACCTCCACCTCCTGGCTTCAGGCAATTCTCCTGCCTCAGCCCCCCCCAAGCAGCTGGGATTATAGGCATATGCCATCATACCCGGCTAATTTTTTGTATTTTTTTTGTACATACAGGGTTTCACCATGCTGGCCAGGCTGGTCTCGAACTCCTGACCTCAGGTGATCCACCTGCCTCGGCCTCCCAAAGTGCTGGGATTACAGGCATGAGCCACCATACCTGGCCTCTGAAGAAGTCTTAAGCCTAGTATATAAAGTAACAGAACTGGACAAGATTATCCAGGGAAATTGATGTAACATGAAAAGGGAACTCAAGGAACAACATTTGAGAAACAGAGAATGACCCCAGGAAGGTTATAGTAAAGGTATAGGATATAAGAGTGGGTAGAGTCAAGGAAATTCAAACTAAGGAATTTACAGAGGCAATGTTCAACTCTGGTAAATCTTAACCAAAGGTAAGACACTTGCAACTTTCTAGTCATCTCTTTTTCTCCAGCCCAATGTCATTGCCCTGGCTCAAGCAGTAGTATCTTTTCAACATTTATGCAGTTGCCTTTTAACTGGCCTCCTTTGCCATTACTCAGGCCTCATTTTCTGTCTTCTACAACCTGGCTAACCATTCTTTTCCTTTAAAAATGTAAATCTGACAGCCGGGTGCAGTGGCTCACACCTGTAATCCCAGCACTTTGGGAGGCCAAGGCGGGTGGATCACTTGCGGTCAGGAGTTCGAGGCCAGCCTGACCAACATGGTGAAACCCCGTCTCTACTAAAAATACAAAAATTAGCCGGGAGTGGTGGTGCGTGCCTGTAATCCCAGCTACTCAGGAGGCTGAGGCAGGAGAATTGCTTGAACCCAGGAGGCGGAGGTTGCAGTGAGCCAAGATTGCGCCACTGCACTCCAGCCTAGGTGACAGAGTAAGACTCCGTCTCAAATATATATATATATATATATCTGAAAGTGACCACATTGCTCAAAACTTTTCAATGGATTCTCACTGCCTACAGCAAAAGCTACTAGCACTGTGAAATTGAATTTGTGTCTCCTAGCACTTGACACAATAGCTAGTACATCAACAGATTAATTAGATAACTAACTTAAAGGACTTTAAACTTGTACCATTCATCTTCCTTTAAACAAACTGAATGGCTGGCAATCTTCAAACACTATTATTTCCTCCACCTAAAGTAATCTTACTCTCCAGGCACAATAAACAGACTAATGCCCACTTCTTTTCGGAATCCTGACTGCCCTTCCCTCACCTTGCCCCCATCTTAGGGGTTCCAATTACACTTGGCACAATCTTGGCTCACTGCAACCTCCACCTCCCAGGTTCAAGCGATTCTCCTGCCTTAGTCTCCTGAGTAGCTGGGACTACAGGCACGCGCCACCATGCCTGGCTAATTTTTGTATATTGTTTTAGGAGAGATGGGAGTTTCACCATGTTGGCCAGGGTGGTCTCTAACTCCTGACCTCAAGTGATCTGCCAGCCTTGGCCTCCCAAAGTGCTGGGATTACAGGTGTGAGCCACTGTGCCCAGCCAACAATAGTAATACATTTCTTTCCATATGTTTCACTATTAGACCAAGTTTCTTAATGACACAAACTCTCACCTCTCATCTATTTATCACTACTGCTTCTCACAGGGCTTGGTGCAGTAAGTAGATACTGATTTGAACAAATACTATTCATAAGTCAGCCAGGAAGTAATAATGTAACTGTAAACAGTATTAGGCAGACCCATTTGGCATTGCTCACACTCAACTTCTTCTGACCTACAAAAACAGCAATTTCATATAGTCAAACTGAACAGATACAGCATTTAATTATTAAATCCCTCAAGGAAAAAGACTGAAGCTAAAAGGGCTAAAGCTAACTAGAAGCTTATTTTTTGCATTTAAAAATGAATAATACTATTGTCTCAGCTAATAGAACATTGTTTGTTTTTGGAGACAGTCTCGCTCTGTCGCCCAGACTAGAGTGCAACAGCACAATCTCGGTTCACAGCAACCTCCGCCTCCCAGGTTCAACAGATTCTCCTGCCTAAGCCTCCGGAGTAGCTGGGACTACAGGCACGTGCCACCATGCCCGGCTCATTTTTGTATTTTTAGTAGAGACCGGGTTTCACCACACTGGCCAGGCTGGTCTCGAACTCCTGACCTCAGGGGATCTGCCCACCTCAGCCTCCTAAAATGCTGGGATTTGCATGTGCCACCACGTCTGAACCTAGAACATCTTTTAAAAATTAACATCTAAATTAAATGGCTCCACCAGAGATAGATAACAAATCAACATAATGCCAAACAAACTGACTCCCACAACTGAGAACCCCCAAATCAATTTATCACTAATCATGCCTTCCAATCCCTTATTAAGCCATTTTGGATCAAATTCTGTAAAATTCAGCAAGGATGGTGACATGGTAAATTAAAATTCTGCTTTCCCCCTCCTAATTCAGATTTGCCCATTTTTTGGATGATTACAGGTTATTGTACCATGTTTTGCTATTCTGATTTCCTTTTTCTTAACCAGTCTGCCATACTTGTGCCTATTCTTTTACAAAGAAGCTTGTCAGAAATTTCTACCACCCTTTTTCAGTTTGACAATACCCAGAGAGAAATATAGCATGTTTTCCGGCCAGGTGCGGTGGCTTATGGTTGTAATCCCAGCACTTTGGGAGGCCGAGGTGGGTGGATCACCTGAGGTCAGGAGTTTGAGACCAGCCTGACCAACATGGTGAAACCTCAGTCTCTACTAAAAATACAAAATTAGCCAAGCGTGGTGATGCAAGCCTATAATCCCAGCTACTCAGGAGGCTGAGGCAAGAGATCGCTTGAACCCAGGAGGTAGAGGTAGCAGTGAGCCGAGATCGCGCCACTGGACTCCAGCCTGGGCAACGAGAGTGAAACTCAATCAAAAAGGGAAAGGGAAAGAAAAGAAAAAGAAATACAGCATGCTTTCAAGTAATTCTGAATTAAGGTAGTTAGAAGTCACCACCTTTTCAGTAGACCCCTTAATGAACTCTTTTCTGAAGCTACAACAATCCAGGATAAGAAGAATTATCCAGACTACTCCTAAATAGAAACTCGGAACTCAAGTTGTTTTTGTTATTTTTCTCTTTTCTATTGCTCTTATTCTAATCTCATGTACTTTATTATTATTTTTTTTTGAGACAGAGTCTCGCTCTGTCCCCCAGGCTAGACTGCAGTGGCGCGATCTCGGCTCACTGCAAGCTCCACCTCCCGGGTTCACGCTATTCTCCTGCCTCAGCCTCCCGAGTAGCTGGGACTACAGGTACCCGCCACTGCGCCCGGCTAATTTTTTGTATTTTTAGTAGAGACGGGGTTTCACCGTGTTAGCCAGGATGGTCTCGATCTCCTGACCTCGTGATCTGCCCGCCTCGGCCTCCCAAAGTGCTGGGATTACAGGAATTGAGCCACCACGCCCGGCCCCCCATGTGCTTTATAAGGGTAAAAGTTGCTTGGAATGAAACTGCTACTACTATGATAGTAATAGCTTGGAATGAAACTGCTACTACTATGATAGTAATAAACAATTTCTGGTTTTGCTACTATCATTATAGTAACAGTGTCTGCTCTTCTTACAGCATAGATGGTTATTTCCCTCACACTCAGGACTTAAGCTAGTGAAATCTGGAAGTTAAATTTTAACTTCCAAAAATTCCTTACAAGTGATCTTTCACCAGTATCAAGGTGAATATATTATTACTGTATTCATAAAGCAGACATCATGAAACATCAAGCAGTCAGTATGGGTACTAAACAGCCAGTATGAGTTCTCTCACTGGGAGAAAGGGGACCTTATCCCATATTAGGAATTATTTGTTATATTCATTACTATATGTCCCACATCATTATATCCTCATAAACAAGTACCCTTTCCAAATCTAGGGAATCCAACCAGGGCTAAAACCAAGGCAAATCTTAAAACTGTCAAATTTGCAGGCACACATTAATAAGATTATTAGAAAGACAGCTGTGATGTCAAATAGGCATTCAGGAAGCAATTGCAATGAAATGCAGTAAACGTGAAAATACTTATTCACATTGTGTTTAGAAGAGAAAATTTAATATTCAGATCCTTCTCTGAACAATGTCCAAACTGTACACCTAGTCCTTGTCAATTTTATGGATTAATCATAATTTGTCTCTTCATATCCTGTTTCCCAAATCTTGTTATGTAATCTTATCTGTTCCCTTATGCCCTTTCCCAATCTAAAAGCTTTTTAAAAAATTTTTTTTAAAATTCAGATCATTTACATGGTTGAAAATACAAAGCAGAAGACCTTTATTATACCTCTGCCTGCACTATTCCAAGAAACTGATCTTCTAGTCAACAGAAAAATGGCTTCCAGTCTACCCAAATTGGTGCCATATTAATCTACCTCAACACAGATCTGTAAGTAATTGCTTAATACCAACTGTTGTATGTTTTTGAGACAGGGTCTCACTCTGTTGCACAACCTTGAGTGCAACAGCACGATTATGGCTCACTGCATCTTTGACCTCTTGGGCTTGGTGATATCCTCCATCTCAGCCTCCACATGCCACCATGCCCAGCTAATGCTTCAAATTTTTTTGTAGAAATCAGGACTTGCTATGTTGCCCAGGCTGATCTCAAACTCCTGAGCTCAAGTGATTTTCCTGCCTCACTTCAAAAATGCTAGGATTATAGGCAAGAGCCACAGTACCCAGACTATTTTTATTTTCATTTTTTGAGGTGAAGTCTTGCTGTGTCTCCTAGGCTGGATAGAGTGCAGTGGTGTGATCTCAGCCCACTGCAACTTCCACCTCCCAGATTCAAGCGATTCTCCCACCTCAGCCTCCCAATTAGCGGAGACTACAGGCCTGCACCACTATGCCTGGCTAATTTTTGTATTTTCATAGAGATGGGGTTTCGTCATGTTGGCCAGGTTGGTCTCAAACTCCTGACCTCAGGTGATCCACCCGCCTCAGCCTCCCAACGTGCTGGGATTACAAGTGTGAGCCATGTCCGGCCCCAGCCTATTTTTAAATGAATATTCCAAAATGTCAGCATTTCAAATGCTTCATATCCTTCAGTGCCATAACAGCCATGTAAGACAGATCAACCCAGTTTAAATTGGCACTGTGACCAAACACACAACTCATATCAATTATTATTTCCAAAGACTTGGCTTCAAATGACTTTCAACCATTTCAAAATCAAAAGTTTACTTCAAAAAGTTAGGATCTAGTGTTCAAAGCTTTTAAAGTCAAGTCAAAGAGAGGCTTGCTAAGCATTCTGAGATAACTACTTTTAAGAAGGCACAGTTATATGTCCCAGGTATGTACACTAAGAGCCATCACAAGCTAAGCATGGTGGCTCATGCCTGTAATCCCAATACTTAAGGAGGCTGAAGCAGAAGGATCACTTGAGGGCAGGAATTCCAGACCAGCCCAGACAACATGGGTGGTAGCGCAAACCTATGGTCCCAGCTACACAGGAGGCTGAGGCGGGAGGATTCCTTAAGCCCAGGAGTTCAAGGGTGCAGTGAGCTAGGATCATACCACTGCATTCCAGCCTGAGTCACAGGGTGAGACCCTGTCTCTTAAAAAAGAGCCATCACAGCCAGGTGTGGTGGCTCATGCCTGTAATCCCAGCACTTTCGGAGGCGGAGGTGGGCGGAGAACTTGAGGTCAAGAGTTCAAGACCAGTCTGGCCAACATGGCGAAACCCCGTCTCTACTAAAAATACAAAAAAATTAGCCGGGCACGGTGGTACATGCCTGTAATCCCAGTTACTCGGGAGGCTGAGGCAGAATCGCTTGAACCCAGGAGGCAGAGGTTGCAGCGAGCCAAGATCGCACCATTGTACTCCATCCTGGGTGACAGAGTGAGGCTCCGTCTCCAAAAAAAAGAAAGGAAAAGAAAAGTTAGGACAGGCATGGTGGCCCACACCTGTAATCCTAGCACTTTGGGAGGCTGAGGCAGGAGGATCCCTTGAGGCCAGGAGTTCAAGACCAGCCTGGGTAAAATACACAGACACCGTCACTATATGTATATATACATATATAAAAAATACAAGAATTAGCTGGGCAGCCGGGCACGGTGGCTCATGCCTGTAATCCCAGCTACTAGGGAGGCTGAGGCAGGAGAAATCACTTGAACCTGAGAGGCGGAGGTTGCAGTGAGCCGAGATCACGCCACTGCACGCCAGCCAGGGCGACAGTGTGAGACTCCATCTCAAAAAAATAAAAATAAAAAAATTAGCTGGGCATTGCGGTGCACACCTGTGGTCCCAGCTACTCAGGAGGCTGAGGCAGGAGGATCACTTGAGCCCAGGAGCTCAAGGCTACAGTGAGCTATGACCACACCACTGTACTCCAGCCTCAACAACACAGCAACACCCTGTCTCAAAAAAAAAGAGAAAAGTTAATGGCATAACATATTATATAAAAAGCTAAAAGAGGCCAGGCATGGTGGCATACACCTGTAGTACTAGCTACTCAGGAGGCTGAGGAAGGAGGAGAGCTTCAGCCCAGTTCCAGGCTGCAATGAGCTACGATAGTGCCACTGCACTCCAGCCTGGGTGACAATGAGATCCTGTCTCTTTAAAAAAAAAAAAAAAAAAAACAGCTAAAAGGAAAATCCCACACAAGGAATTAGAATCCACACAAATCCCGCCACCCCCCACCCTTTTTTTTTTTAGAAGGAGCCTTGCTCTGTCGTCCAGGCTGGAGTGCAGTGGCACGATCTCAGCTCACTGCAACTTCCACCTCCCGGGTTCACGCCATTCTCCTGCCTCAGCCTCCCAAGTAGCTGGGACTACAGGTGCCTGCTACCACGCCCGGCTAATTTTTTGTATTTTTAGTAGAGATGGGGTTTCACTGTTAGCCAGGATGGCCTCGATCTCCTGACCTCGTGATCCACCCTCCTTGGCCTCCCAAAGTGCTGGGATTACAGGCGTGAGCCACCGCACCCAGCACAAATCCCCTTTTTATGCTCTATTGTATCTTTACTTCATACCCTCAATTGTACTTAACACTCAAATTTTTAAAAATCCATAGTACGCTTAAGGTTCCAAGTAATTGCTTAATCTAAAAACTTCCTGTATTAAAAAAAGCCCTTGCCAGAAGCTGCCGCCATGCACTTGGACTTCCCAGCCGCCAAAACCTTGAGTCAAATAAACACCTTTCTTTGTTGGGTGCAGTGGCTCACACCCGTAATCCCAGCACTTTGGGAGGCCAAGGCAGGTGGCTCATGAGGTCAGGAGACCAGCCTGACCAACACGGTAAAACCCTGTCTCTACTAAAAATACAAAATTAGCCAGGCATGGTGGCGTGCACCTGTAATCCCAGCTACTCAGGAGGCTGAGGCAGGAGAATCGCTTGAACCCAGGGGGCGGAGGTTGCAGTGAGCCAAGACTGTGACACTGCACTCCAGCCTGGGCAACAGAGCAAGACCCCATCTCAAAAAAAAAAAAAACCACCAAAAAACAAAATAAAAACACCTTTCTTTATATAAGTTAAATAAATAGTGCACCATTCTTAAAGAAGTGACATAACGCACTCTCTTACCCACTATTTCCAAATTAAGTTGCTGAAGGGCTTATTTTTGAAGTCAGGAGAAATGCAGAGAACTTCCAATTCTAAGCCCAACTTCAACTACTCACTTAGAGATTACTACTGAACATCTGAAAACTACACTAAAGCACAAAGAAAATAATACAGATGTTCTTAAAGGATATTCCAGTAGCCCAACTGATTATTACTTCTTTTAGAGTTAACTTTAAAAAAAAAAGGCTTCACTTATAAAAGATCTCCAAATATAATTCAAGTAAAGAAAAATGAGTGGCCAATGGACTGCTAATGGACCAATCAACATTTGGCAGGAATTCAAAGAACTTGCTACTCTGGAACCCAATTGAACTGAGTATTATTTATTGTTCTAGAGGGGTAAAAATTTTGATGCCAATCTGATTAATTTCCAATCATGTCCAAATACAGAACTCAAGATGACACTTTACCTACAGCAAATTTTTTCATTAATACCAGCAAAACTAAATATAACTGCACCCATATAGGGGTATTCAGCTTATATAAATACCACTGATTTCATATTCAGCTAGCCCATGGATAGGGAAAATGCATAAAGAGTAAATTCAGGTTAACATTCCAATTTAAAAATGGCCTGCAATTCCACCTAATAGAAATTGTACATAAGAACTATTAACCAGTTACCTAATGGAACATATCCTACACATTTTGTTGTTTTGTTTTGAGACACGGTCTCACTCTGTTGCCCAGGCCTGAGTGCAGTGGTGCAAACATAGCTCACTGCAGACCTGGATCTCCCAGGGACAAGTGATCCTCCCTCCTAAGCCTCCCAAGTAGCTGGGACTACACATTGTTGCCCAGGCTGGTCTCAAATTCCTGAGCTCAAGTGATCCTCCCACTTCGGCCTCCCAAAGTGCTGGGATTACAGTCATGACCCACCACACTGGGCCTCCCAGAATATTTTGGAGGTGGTAAGAGAACACAACACAACCAGATACCCTCTCAGGCTCACACAATGATCGCCAGTGCAAAATACTTCGGTAAACATTTTCCAGTAATAGTCTCTAGAGGGCAGACGGCACAGAAAACAATACCAAAAAACCCAACTCTCCTGGCAGAGGTTAACTAATGTATAACACATGTCTTAAAAAACGAAGCATTTATCTTTTTGCCCTAACATTGCTAAAAACAACCAACTCCTGTATTTACCTTCAAAGAGCAGAGCTGGAGAATAAGTGAAATCAGGTAAATGTTATCTGTGAGGATTCCTAAACTTCCATTAAGCAATTCTACTACTTCCATTTTTAAGGAAGTAAAATGATATTAAAAGGACATCTATTTATTATACTCAATGTCTTCCAGCTTGCAGATAAGGAAACGTATGCAGACTAGGAAATTTGCTTAGAAGTCACAAATCACTTTGTTATTCATCCCTGAGGCAGTATTTCTTCCAGAGAGAATATGGTAATTACCCAATTCCCACAATCTGGTATGGTCCCCTTTCCCTGCAATTGTAAGTCACTGCCTAAATGAGCCACTGTTAAAATGGGAATGTGCACTATGTATTAAGTGTGTACATGCATGCATGGAGCATACATTTCTGTTAGAGAAAGGAGGAAGAGGTAGGAAAGATGGGAAGACTGAAACCCACTGTTCTCAAAAGCAAAAGGATATAAACATCATCGTTAAACCTCATTATTTGCTCTAAGGATTTAGATTACAGTTATGCCATACAGCGAATTTTTCTTTAAGACACAAACAAACCACATTCTAAGAAAGTGATTAACATGAGGCCTGGCACGGTGGCTCACACCTGTAATCCCAGCACTTTGGGAGACCCAGGTGGGTGGATCACCTGAGGTCAGGAGTTTGAGACCAGCCTGGCCAACACGGTGAAACCTCATCTCTACTAAAAATATAAAAATTAGCCAGGCGTGGTGGTGGGCACCTGTAATCCCAGCTACGTGGGAGGCTGAGGCAGGAGAATCACTTGAACCCGGGAGGCGGAGGTTGCAGTGAGTCAAGATTGCGCCACTGCACTCCAGCCTGGGTGACAAGAGTAAGACTCCATCTCAAAAAAAAAAAAAAAAAAAAAGAAAAAAAAGAAAAGAAAGTTATTAGCGTGAAACTTGAAAGATACCTGGTTCCCTTTAAACTTGGGCTTTAGGGCTATGAAAAGGAGAATCCCAAGAGCCTGGTCTCAACTATGCTAATCATACTTGACACTGTGATTTGTCTAACTTATTTTCCAGTTACAAACTGGCATCCATTACTCCAAGACTTATCAGTCTCCTCTTCAAAAACAGTGCTTCTACTCATTTTAATCAAATTAGAACTATTAAATGAGCTCACTATTAAAGACGCATATGATATAAAAAGCAAAGGAGAGGCTGGGCACGGTGGCTCACACCTGTAATCACAGCACTTTGGGAAGCAGAGGCGGGCGGATCACGAGGTCAGAAGTTTGAGATCAGCCTGGCCAACACGGGGAAACCCGTGTCTACTGAAAATACAAAAATTAGCTGGGCGTGGTGGCGCATGGCTGTAATCCCAGCTACTCGGGAGGCTGAGGCAGGAGAATCACCTGAACCCAAGAGGCGGAGGTTGCAGTGAGCCAAGATCACACCACTGCACTCCAGCCTGGGTGAGAGAGTGAGACTCTGTCTCAAAAACAAATAAGCAAATGGGTGTGGTGGCTCACACCTGTAATCCCAGCACTTTGGGAGGCCGTGGGTGGATCACAAGGTCAAGAGGTCAAGACCATCCTGGCCAACATGGTGAAACCCCGTCTCTACTAAAAATACAAAAATTAGCCGGGCATGGTGGTGCGTGCCTGTAATCTCAGCTACTCAGGAGGCTGAGGCAGGAGAATCACTTGAACCTGGGAGGTGGAGGTTGCAGTGGGCCGGGATTACGCCACTGCACTCCAGCCTGGCAAGAGAGTGAGACTCCATCTCAAAGAAAAAAAACACAAAACAAAACAAAAAAGCAAAGACAAAAAAGCCACGGAAGGAGAACATATGTTCAATAAAATTTTTTTTCAAGCACTCAGTCAAGAGAAAATATAACATCAATACCTTTAAGCAAGTTCTCCTCACTTCTGTTCTTTGAACCAGGTAGGTCAATTATGTTTGTATTTTTAAAAATCCTTTTAAGTTGGAAAAGTGAACATTTCTTCTAAATTTTAATCATACTAGTTCCAAGGACCCTGAATTAGTTTGACACCAGCTGCTTATCCACATTGTCATTCTCTTAAAATACTCTTAATATGAACAACTAATTCTCTTAAAATTCTCTTAATATAAACAATATACTAAATTGGCCAATAAAAATCTTTGTATAGGAAACAAATGAGTTACCTTTAGTGTGATATACAATAGCAGCCCTCAGGTCAAAAGAACCCCAGCTATCATTCCTTTCTAGGCCTCTCTGGTATCTCTGTTCTTTGGCAGAGCCTAACAAAGTGTTCGTAGGAGAGGCCAGAGGATTTTGACTTTCTATCTCGTAGTCCTTTGAGAGAAACACTAAAGCACCTTGACTACTGGTGTCTGCTTTCTGCAGGTCACCTATATGACTGGGTTCCAAGGATAAGGCTCCACTCTCACTAGTAGTCCCAGATTTTAGAATGCTACCCAGAACTTGAGGACTAGTCCGTTTCTCCAGCTCGTAAGCCTTGGGAAACACAGGATGCTCAGTTCCTGAGGGAATTATTTCAGCACCCTGTGAAACCAAAGTAGCAGGATATTCTCCTTGAAATGTCACCTCCATCACTTTATGCTCTGATGACTTCCCAGTAACAGTCTCAGGGCCAGCACTGGGCTCATTTATAAATGATAAACCCCACTGATTCTGGAAGATATCCCCCAGGTTTTGCTGATCTGTCTGAGAGGGCAGATCCACTTGTGCTGTGCTCAACAGCATAGTTTGCATATTTGAAGGATAGATAAAAAGGCTAGTCTTAATTTGTTCAACAGCTGCTGAAGTTAGACTCATGTCCTGGAGAACTGAATCTGTCCCAGAAGAGATGGGTGTTAGAGTATTAGCAGCAGTAGTTAGCAGTGGCTGACCCCCTGGAGGATAAACATTTCCATCAGTCCCTGCTAAAACAGGCCCATTAGAAAAGTTGGCAGAAGTAACAGATTTCAGCGCTGACATAGGGACCTGGGATAAGCGACTTGATGATTGGGTCTGAGTTTCCCCGGTAGATGATGAAGATGATGAAGATGAAGTTGGTGACACAGAAGAGTTCTGTATAGTTTTGTTGAGGTTTTCCTTAACTTTGCTTGCATAACTTATTTTAGGAACTATTTTAGCACTGCTATTGTCCACTGGAAAAACTGGGGGTGGTTTAAATAGGGTCCACGAGTCCTCTTTGGAGGCAACAGCTGAAGCATGCTTTCCTTTGGGCCGATCATCAAACTTTTTGCTGCTCACACCAGGTTTACTATCTGAGCTTTTCCGAAGCATATCACCCACAGCAGGTTTTCCTCGACTTGTTCCTCCAGGCCCAGTTTCATACTTCCAAATGGGCTTCGAACCATCTACTCGATTTCCCTTTTGTTCACTATAGTCAGGCTTGAAAGTTTCAAGTCCCTGTTTTAAGGTTGGGACACTGGTCTCTTGTTGCATTATTTTGTCCTGCACTATATTAAGGTTTTCACAACCCTTGGCACTATTGCGCCTAGCTTTCCTTTTTTTAGGAGTTGTATATCCGCTCTCAGATCCACTACCATCATTATCTGCTCCTTTACCCATATAACCATTAGTAATATAACCAGAATTATTTGTTACCACACCATTTGGAATTGGTATAGTATCAGACTTATCTACAGACTGATTCTCTCCAGATTTATTTTCATAAGACTTCCCATTCTTTTTGTCCATACTGTTTTTCTGAATGAAATTCTTGGTTTTAATTCCTGCTTTCCCAAAGGTGTTGGCCTTTACAGTCTGCTTCAGGCTAGTGTCTACAACTTGCTGGTTGCCATTGAGGACCCTGGAAATAGGGTTGGTGGCTTCATCAGAACTCAGGTTCTTTAAAGATATTTCTCTTTCTCCAGCATTACCGTTTAGTTCACCATAGCCTAGGGGAGGGGAAAAAAAGGATTAAAAAAAAAAATCACAACATGTAAATTACACTAATACCTAACATTTAAGAACTATTTACTGTATGCTAGACACTATGCTATGAGCTGTAGCTTTATATTATTTCACATCTCTATGAGAAGACACCTGTCAGCCCCATTTTACAGACTAGGAAATGCAACCTACTGCTAAGCAAAGCAAGAGGTAGAACTCAGCGAAGATTCAAACCAAAGTCTGAGGCCAGAGAAGACAAGACCTCTTAAGCAGTATGCCAAATACCTCTCATCTAACAGAATCAATCTACCCATCACTCTCACAAGGCTGTTATAAAATTTTCTTTTTTCAAGACGGAGTCTCACTCTGTCGCCCAGGCTGGAGTGCAGTGGCGCTATCTCCGCTCACTGTAAGCTCCACCTCCCGGGCTCACGCCATTCTCCTGCCTCAGCCTCCAGAGTAGCTGGGACTACAGGCGCCCACCACCACGCTCGGCTAATTCTTTTTGTATTTTTAGTAGAGACAGGATTTCACCATGTTAGCCAGGATGGTCTCGATCTCCTGACCTTGTGATCCGCCCGTCTCGGCCTCCCGAAGTGCTAGGATTACAGGCGTGAGCCACACGCCCGGCCTAAAATTTTCTTTACAATTCAGAGCAGAGATGCCCTCTGGGCAAAAATCAAGTTTTATTGAAACAGTAATTATTACAAGGAAATTAAAGACTTCATTTCTACAAAACCATAAATAGCTGGTAGTCACTATCAGCAGTTTCCAAGGCATCTATCAGACAAATATCTAACACTTGTCAACTTTTTCTAAAGTATTCTTAAATTTCATTTTGACATTTCCCAGATATTGGATATTGTTAATACGTGAAACCAAAATATCTACGTACCAATGTTTCCAACCTTTATAAAACATACTTTCTTCATTTTACATTTAGATAAAAAGACTTTAAGAGAGATGAAGTAAATTGCCCAAGTCAAAGTGACAGAACTGGAAATCTGACCGCCAGTCTATCTGCAATCCATGGTTTCCTATCACTATGTAATACTGCCTTGACTCAAAAGATGCAATGAGAAAATATTTACTAACAAAACAACAATAAAAAGAATCCAATTTTTTAGTGTTATGGTATTCAGGTTTAATTAAAAGTCTTCAACTGCCAGTGGATCATGTCTGTAAACATAGCACTTTGGGAGGGCCAAGGCAGGCAGACTGCTGGAGTTCAAGACCAGCCTGGGCAACATGGAGAAACCCTGTCTCTACTACAAATACAAAAATTAGCTGGGCGTGGGGCATGTGCCTATACTCCCAGCTGGGGGAGCTGAGGGAGGAGGATAGCTTGAACCCAGGAGGTCGAGGCTGCAGTGAACATGCACTGAGATGGCACAACTGCCTTCTAGCTTGAGTGACAAAGTGAGACCCTCTTTCAAGAAGAAAAGAAAAAAAAACCTTCAACTACCATAAAAAGTCAATTCTATTATAGGTGATTCAAATAGTTTTCCACTGTAACAAAATGGTGCTATTAGTTATCTACCTTTTTATGAAATGTTCATAAAAGCATCTTGAGGTCAAGTCATTAGAAACAGATATACAGGCCGGGTGCAGTGGCTAATGCCTATAATCCCAGCACTTTGGGAGGCCAAGGTGGGTGGATCATTTGAGGTCAGGAGTTCAGGACCAGCCTGACCAACATGGTGAAACCCCGTCTCTACTAAAAATACAAAATTGGCCAGGCATGGTGGTGCACGCCTGTAATCCCAGCTACTTGGGAGGCTGAGGCAGGAGAATGGCTTGAATCCGGGAGGCAGAGGTTGCAGTGAGCCCACATTGGGCCACTGCACCCCAGCCTGGGCAACAAGAGCAAAATTCCACTTCCAAAAAAAAGAAAAAAGAAAGATACACAATAGAAGGACACTCCACACACATTTAAGGCAGCAGGAAGTGAGGAGTCTAATAGGAATACTGCCATTTTTATAAGTCTGAGAACCATTGTTCCAAAATAAATTAATGGAGAAGTCTATTAGATTCACAACAGGACTTACTCATTCTACATTAGAAAAAAAAGTACAAATACTAAAACTGAACAAATAAAGGCATTTTCTTCTCCTGTATTAAAGTAACCCAAGAAAACATACTCAAGGCATAATCATTCCTAAAACAGACTGGCACAAAACTTGTACCACGAGAGAATACATCTTATAACAGTTATTTTTTTTCTTTTTTTGAGACAGATTCTCGCTCTGTGGCCCAGGTTGAAGTGCAGTGATGTGATCCCAGCTCACCACAACCTCCGCCTCCCAGATTCTCCTGACTCAGCCTCCAGAGTAGCTGGGATTACAGGCATGCACCACGATGCCCAGTTCCGCCACGTTGGCCTGGCTGGTTTCGAACTCCTGACCTCAAGTGATCTGCCCGCCTGGGCCTCCCAAAGTGCTGGGATTACAGGTGAGAGCCACCACACCGGCCTCTTAGATTTCTTAGAACTCTTAAGAGTTCTTAGATTCCACAGGGTTACATTTTTAAAAATTTTTTGGCTGCTGGAAAAGCTATGATAGCCAATCAAATCAAATTTTTGGTGGCACAATTTTAACTATGAAACAGCAAGAAAGAGATTATTGCTTAGGATGTTTTCTAAAAGCTTTTTTCCTCAGAAAAATCCCAGGCACAGTGGCTCACATCTGTAATCCCAGCACTTTAGGATCCCAGGCAGGTGGATCACTTGAGGTCAGGAGTTTGAGACCAGTCCGGCCAACATGGTGAAGTCCTATCTCTACTAAAAAAAAGAAAAAAAAAATCAGCTGGGCATGGTAGCATATGCCTGTAATCCCAGCTGAGACAGGAGATTCGCTTGAATCCAGGAGGCAGAGGTTGCAGTGAGCCGAGATCATGCCACTGCACTGCACTCCAGCCTGGGCCACAGAGTAAGGCTGTGTCTCAAAAAAAAAAAAAAGAAAGAAAGAAAGAAAGAAAGAAAAGCATAAAGTTCCTAAATAAAGGCTCTTCTCATCATTTTTAACAGATATAACTTTATCTCCTTACCTAACTCTGGATAAGACCTACCTGTATCATTTAATATGCTAACAGGTTAAACAAAGGTTTGTATCCTTGGGCCCATTAGTCACAACTTTTCAGATTTCAATTAAAGATGAGCAATCTGAAATAGCAAAAAATCCAATCTCCAAACTGAGCTGAACCAAAGCTAACAAGAATAATTCTTCCTAAGATTACTAGTATGTAGCGACTCAGATACTGGAAATCACCAAACAATGAAAAAACGGCTTAGAAGCCACTGTGCTCCCGCCCGCAAGTTTTAATAACAAAAAAAAAAAAAAAAAAGAAAAGAAAATCTTGTTTAACTACATAAAGTTTTTCTCATGACAACCTTGTGATATGTATGAAGTATGCTGGAAAGAAATTTTCTTTTTAAATAGTAGATATTTAAGAAAAATGTAAACATTATAGAATAAATTTAAGAAATTAAAGGATTCCTAGCGCTTTATTTAGGGCTGCTTATACTAACCCTACTTCCAAAAGACTCAGCAAAACTTGAGTCCTGATACATCTAGCTTTTCAATTAGAAACAAATTACTCAACACATTTGGCCTTCTCTTGCGCCCTCTTCTGGATTAAAAAAAACTGTTCCTCTTTAGGTTTGTGAGCAATGGATTACCAAAGCCTACCTCAACATGTTACAGATAAATTTCAAAAATATTGTAATGTTTTCTTAGTTATTAGCATTATGCATGTCAAAGCAACAGTACTGTGACCAAATCATACACTCGCCCCAAACTGTTTACATTCTGTCAAAACTGCTAATTCCAGTTTCCTCCTCTTTATCCACCCCTTCCAAGACAAGAAATATTTGGAGGAATACCACCTTGAATGGTTCAGCGGTTGCTTCCACATGTAGAGAGAAGTCTGGCAAGAGTATATTAACCTGACCGATGAGATACAATTTTTCAATCTCAACAGTAATATTGCCTTATGCAGCCATAATATGGTAGTATTTTCTCATCTTTTGAACAAGATCTAATGCTAAAAAATCTAGTTATATAGTCCCTAACAGTTTTTAAACTGTTCCAAATCTTTAGGATTAAAACACCTAACTCGTGCGTATGTGTTCACTTCTATTGCATACTATCGGGTCCCTACGAAGTCCCAAAATGGAAAATCTGACATTCTAATTTCAGTCTTCAAGTTACAATCTGCAATAAAAAAGCACTTAGTATTTCTCCAGCTCTCAACAATTCCTTCTATCAAATTTGATACGCTGGGTTTAACATACGCTTTCTTACGCTTCATTTCTCTTCGATTTATAAAGAGCCCTTATTTTTTAAAATCTGCGTGGGTTATAAACTATTAAACTCACTTCTCGTGAAATACTTTCTTACATGACTTTTACCCTCAATTTCTCGTTTATTAAGATTAGTTTGGGGATCAATATCGATTTTAAAATACGAAAAACACCTTTCTTTTTAACACGGAGAGAAGCCTCATCCGAGGCAAGATGGTAGTAGTCTAACCTCATGGATGAGCCACTTGGGTTCACCCTTAAGGACAAGAAAGAGGGGTCAAAAAGCTCGCACTCTTCCCCATCCTAACATTTTTTAAAATCCCTCACCTCAAAGACACTACCCAAGCTCAGAAGGTAAGTGCTGGGTCGGGAGGGGAATGGAACAAGGTTTTTGGATTTTTTTTTTTTTTTTGTAGAAAATGAGCTGCTAGAAGGAAAAGGCCCAAGTGAAAGCCTCAGAGGCGGAGTCGTGAGCGAACCTGGCAGGAGACGAGGTTCCTGTGGCAGAGAAACTCGTGACCGGGGAGCTGGGTTCCCGCTGGGTACCCCACCCGGCCTCAGGCACCGCCTCTACCCGAAATGAATCCCCCCGCCGCCCCCCCAGGCCTCCTGCCTCTAGGAGCGCCGCGGCCGCCGCCCGCGGCCTCCTTCCCTCTCAGCTCCGCTTCGAGGCCGGCTCCCCGCCCCGACTGCCCGCGCCTCCCGCCGCACCCGGGAGCGGGAAACGCGGCCGCTGGCGCGCGGGGCCCTGCGCAGGCCGCTCCCCTCGTGGCCGCTTCCCTCCCCCACCCCAACCGCCCCCGCCCCTCACCCCAGGGACCCGCCCGGGGCCGCGCGCCGCCACCGGGTTACACAACCCCGGCCGGCGACGGGGGGGGGGGCGGCCGCGGTGCGGGGGGCGCCGGCGCCCCCGCAGTGCAGGGGGCGAGGCTGCGGCCGGTGGTGATCCCGGGTCACCCGGCTCCGCCGCCCCGTGTGGCCCTCGACACCCTTCCCCCTCCGCTCCTCAGTGGGCCGGAGTCGGTGACAGGAATCGGCTTCCAACATGGCGGACAGGAAGCGGCCCCGCGAGGAGGAGAGAACATTCCAGCCGCGCCGGCTCTGGGGGGAGCGGGCGCGGGGCGCCGGCCTCGGGAGGAGCCGCGGGACAAGACTGCGGGGTCCGGCGCCCAAAAAGGGCGTTTAGTGGTGGAAATGACCCGTGAGATGAGGGGTCCCAACAGCCCCCCCCACCGAGACGGGGAGCCCCAAGGCCACAGGTGGGCTTGGGGTGGCGGGTGAGGGGCACTTCCTCAACTCACCCTACCTACCCACTCCTCGCCGCCTGCAAAAGGGTCTCGCGACACCATCCGAGTCGGGATTCGCTAGGCCTTCCTGAGTTACACCTCGAGGGATTTTTTGGGGGGGTAGGTTTACCCCATCTCAGGGCCCCCAAATTGAGGTAACTCCAGGGACGCAGGGAGGTGAATGGGAAAAGAATAATGAGGTTGGACTTGCAAGGCCGACCCAGCAGGTCTCCCTTCAGCCGGGGCCGGGGCCAGGAAGGTCACGCTGGCCTGGCTGGGCCTCTCCCATGCTGGAGGGAAGGAGAGGGCGCTGCAAACCCCATTGCTCAGCCCGAGCTCTAGAATGAAAGGGGCATCCCCAGAGCCGGAGGGGACACACACACACACACCCCGACCCCGTCCGCGCTTTTCGGATCCAGCCCCACCCCCATCTCTCCTGTCCTCCACCCCCAACCCCCTTCCCCCACCCGTCCTCCCTCCCAGACCTGTTTTCTTCTTCGGCGTTTCCTGGTGCTGCTGGAGGGTGTGTTTCTGCTCATGTTTCAGCGGCTTTGGCTGGGCCTTGGGGCTGCCCTCGGCTCCATGCTGCAGGTATTGGTGAGGCTGCTGGTGATGATGGTGGTGGTGGTGGTTGTGGCTGTGGTTGTAGAAATAATAATGGTGGTGGTGGTGCGGCTGCTGCTGCTGCTGCTGAGGGTGATGGTGCGGATGGTGGTGGCTGTGATGGTGCTGAGGCTGTGGCTGGCCGGGCTTCTCCTCCATTGAAAGCGGCTGGGACTCCCTGGCTGAGGCTGCGGGCTGCTGCACCGTCAGGATCTGAGACTGCTTCTCAGGGCTCACTCAGTATATCTGAGCGCGTCTCGCCAGCGCACTGGTTAACCGAGCGATTCTGCGAGATTGGCAGCCGCACTCCAACAATCAGGAGCCACGCTGTGCCGCAAGCCCCGCCCCCAGCTCAAATCCTCTTTCCTTCCCCTTCGCCGCTGCCGCCTGGCCAACGCCACTTACCCTGTGCAACCTCACAGGGCCGGGCCTTCAACGTCAGCACTATGGCTCTCTCTTCTGTCGCTTTCTCTCCTTCACCACGCAGTCTGTGAACAGCACTTTCTACACTCCTCGCCGGCAAGCAGGCTCGTGTCGAGGGTAGCAGATTCCACTGGCGATTCCACTGGTGCTGTGAGCCATCTGCTGGCTTTGCACCTCTTAGAATCTGGTGTTTTTTTGTTTTTTGTTTTGTTTTGTTTTTAATCCTTTTCCGGGTAACCAGAAAGGGAAGCTCAATTCCCTTAACCCCGAGACCACTAAAGGGGCAATACAAAAAGAGGAAATAAATACATTTTTAAGCATACAAGAGCTTCACAATCCAGTAGATCATTTTGTATTCTGGATTCATTTTGCTTTGTATTCATATGCTAATCTCTTCCTTTCCACGAAGGGATTATAGGGTTCCACAATGGGGTATCTGTGTAATTTTCTAAAAGGGCACAAAGGGTTTAAATCATTGTTTCTTTGTAGTTGGAGGCAAGGGAGAGCAGGAGGAATGAAAATTTACACTGAAGGTTTTTTTTTTTTTAATTAAACTCTGCAGGTGAGGTCAACTGTGGAACCAAAATAGGTTTTAGAATGAGAAGTTTCAAGAGCAAAGGAAGGGGAGAAAGAGCACTTAAAAGTTATTAAGTGGGTTTGTTTTTTTTTTTTTTGGCACTTATGGAAAAATTGAAATTAAAAGAAATATTCTGTAGCGTTTTGTAGTGTAGATTTAACTTATCCTGCATTACCACATCACAGTATATGATTTTCAAAAGCAAATGTTAGAGCCATGATAGTGGTTACTCAGGAAGGAAGAGGGTTGTGATGGGGAGGGACACAGGTTACTCTGATAATATTTCATTTTGGGGGCTAGGTGGTGATTACATATATTTGCTTAGTAATTATTTGTTAAACTGAATATACAGATAAAATGCACTTTTCCCAATGTATGTTATAGATTGGGGGATTTTTTTAATTGTAAAATATTCATAATATAAAATTTACCATCTTAATATTAAGTGTATGGTTCAGGTGCATTAGGTACATTCGTATTGTTGTAGAACCATGACCATCATCTATCTCCAGAACTTTTTCATCATTCCAAACTGAAACTTCATACCCAATAAAAATAAATGTCCTTTCCCTCCTCCTTCCATCCCTTGATAACCACTGTTCTGTTTTCTGTCTCTACGAACTTGACTATTCTAGGTACCTCATATAAGTGGGATTGTACTGTATTTGTCTTTTTGTGACTAGCTTTTTTGCATAATGTCTTCAGAGTAGCATACATCAGAATTTCCCTCTTTTTTAAGGCTGACTAATATTCCATTATATGTATATACCACATTTTGTTCATTCACTCAGCAACGGACATATGGACTGTTTCCTCAATGTATGTTACGTTTTTGAATTTTTAAAATGTGGCTTGAATTCCTACAACAGGACAACATTAAAGGAACAAGAAGCTTGAAAGCAAAAAGTTTATGCTATGAAATTAATGAATGTCAATGCAAAAGCTTATTTAAAACGTAAAAGCTGGTTTCCAATAACAAATGTCATTGAATCCTGAAAACCATGACCAAATTTTGGCATGTTCTATACAGTAAGGATTTGTGTTGCCTTGTTAAATTTTATTTTATTTTATTTTGAGATGGAGTTTTGTCCTTGTTGCCCAGGCTGGAGTGCAATGGCATGATCTCAGCCCACCGCAACCTCTGCCTCCTGGGTTCAAGCAATTCTCCTGCCTCAGCCTCCTGAGTAGCTGGGATTACAGGCATGCGCCACTGTGCCAGGCTAATTTTGTATTTTTAATAGAGATGGGGTTTCTCCATGTTGGCCAGGCTGGTCTCGAACTCCTGATCTCAGGTGATCTGCCCACCTCAGCCTTCCAAAGTGCTGGGATTCATGAGCCACCAGGCCCAGCCAGCTTTGCTAAATTTTAAAGAAAAACCTCTTTGGGGGTACATTTACCCAATTTTGAGAATGAAAACCCTAATAATAATATCATATCACAATAAGTCTTTACCACTGAATAATATTCTGCCACGTTCCCAATTATTAAAGAAAAAACAGGTCAGGTGTGGTGGCTCACACCTGTAATCCCAACGCTTTGGGAGACCATGGCAGATCAGTTGACCCAGCAGTTCGAGACCAGCCTGGGCAACATACAGAGACTCTCTCTCTACAAAAATTTTTAAAAATTAGCCTGGCATGGTGGTGTGTGCCTGTAGTTGGGAGGCTGAGATGGGAGGATGACTTGAGCCCTCCAGGTGGAGGCTGCAGTGAGCTGTGATTGTGCCACTGTACTCCAGTCTGGGCAACAGAGCGAGATCCTGTCTCAAAAAAAAAAAAAGAAGAAGAAAGAAAGAAAAGTATATATACAATTTAAGATTATGTTGGTATTTTTTGTTGACTTAGACATTCAGTTGGAAGGCTTGAATTTCTGAGTTCCAACTTCCCTGTCTAGGTTTTCTACATTATACCTGCAGGCAAACCAAAAGCACTCATTCTGTATTTCTGATTTATCACACTTTTGCCTACCTTTAGCTTTTCACTTACAGTTGTACTGACTGAGTTTAATAAACTAAATCTTATTCTCAGATGCTCTAGTTACTATGAATGTTGCCTTAGTAGTATGCAGTAGTATGAAGAAAGGCTTATGATATAATGTAAGAAAAAAAGCAGAATATTACATTCTTGTATACATTAGAATCATAATCTTGAACACGAATTTTAAAAATAAGAATGGAAATACAACAGTAAAACACAGACCTTTTTTCTTCTTGATTTTTCTGAAGTTGTTTTATATAAAATATAATTGGGATTTGCCAAGAATGTGAAATATTCCATTATAATAATGCCCTTAGCCGGGCGTGGTGGCACACTCCTGTAAACCCAGCACTTTGGGAGGCCAAGGCAGGCGGATCACGAGGTCAGGAGATCGAGACCGTCCTGGCCAACATGGTGAAACCCCGTCTCTACTAAAAATACAAAAATTAGCTGGGCACGGTGGCACATGCCTGTAATCCCAGCTACTCGGGAGGCTGAGGCAGGAGAATCACTTGAACCAGGGAGTCGTCGGAGGTTGCAGTGAGCCGAGATTGTGCCACTGCACTCCAGCCTGGAGACAGAGCAAGACTCCGTCTCAAAATAATAATAATAGTAATAATGCCCTAATACTAAACTTTTGGTGAGAAGAAAATAACTGGGTCTACTTATTTCAAGCATGTTTTTATAAAACGGAATCTGCATTAACGAAGAAAACACAAGAAGGGAATATAGCATAAGTCTGATGAAATTATAGGTGCTTCTTTTTTTCTTTTCTCTGTTTTCCAAATGTTCTGTAGTAGTTGTTACTTTTCATATACATTTTTTTTTTTTCTTTTTTGAGACGGGCCTCACTGTGTTGCCCAAGCTGGAGTGCAGTGGTGCCATCATGGCTCGCTGCAGCCTTGACCTTCCTAGCTCAGGTGATCCTCCCACCTCAGCCTCCCAAGCTGGGACTACAGGCACATGGCACCATGCCTGGATGATTTTGGGGTGTTTTTTTGTTCTGTTTTTTGTTTTTTTGTTTTGTTTTGTTTTGTTTTTGAGACACAGTCACGTTCTCTCACCCAGCCTGGAATCCAGTGGCGCAGTCTCGGCTCACTGCAACCTCTGCCTCTGAGGTTCAAGTGATTTTCCTGCCTCAGCCTCCCAAGTAGCTGGGATTATAGTCATGAGCCACCGCACCTGGGCTTGTGGAAATTTTAAAAGTAATCTATTTTTGTATTTTTTTATTTTTCCCCAAAGATCTCACAAAGTCAATTTTTTTCTTCAATTTCTGCTGACCAGAATCCAGAAGTCATTAGAAATTTCTGCTTTTTTTTTTTTTTTTTTTTTTTTGAGACGGAGTTTCGCTCTATCGCCAGGCTGGAGTGCCGTGGCACATCTCAGCTCACTACAAACTTTGCCTCCTGGGTTCAAGCGATTCTCCTGTCTCAGGCTTCCAAGTAGCTGGGACTACAGGTGCACGCCACCATACCCAGCTAATTTTTGTATTTTTAGTAGAGACGGGGTTTCACCATTTTGGCCAGGATAGTCTCCATCTCTTGACCTCATGATCTGCCCACCTTGGCCTCCCAAAATGCTGGGATTACAGATGTGAGCCAGTGCGGCCGGCTACATTTTTTTTTCTTAATGAGAGTTCCCCAAAACCTGGATTCACCTCTACTTATGATCATTTCGGAATTCGACTTAGAAGTATTGTAATTGCAGTAAGTACTTTAAAGGATTATATTTCATAACAATATGGAAGAATGTGGGCACCAGTAACTCAAGTACAAAAAGCAAAGCAACAAATTATATGTATGTAGTATGACTGCATATAAAATATAAATTCAGGCTTGGTGCATTGGCTTAGGCCTGTAATTCCAGGATTTTGGGAGACTGAGGCGGGCGGATCACTTGAGGTCAGGGCTCGAGACCAGCCTGGCCAACATGGTGAAACCCCGTCTCTACTAAAAATACACAAATTAGCCGGGCATGGTGGCGGGTACCTGTAATCCCAGCTACTCAGGAGGCTGAAGCAGGAGATTGCTTGAACCCAGGAGGCAGAGGTTGCAGTGAGCCGAGATCATGCAATTGCACTGCATCCTGGGTAACAAAAGCGAAACTCCATATAATAATTATATGTATATATATAATTTCAGCCAGGCACGGTGGGTCGTGCCTGTAATCCTAGCATTTTGGGAGGCTAAGGTGGGTGGATCACTTGAGCCCAGGAGTTGGTGACCAGCCTGGGCAACATGGCAAAAACCCATCTCTAAAAAATGCAAAAAATTAACTGGGTGTGGTGGCATGTGCCTGTGGTCCCAGCTACTTGAGAGACTATGGTGGGAAGATCACCTGACCCCAGAAGGTCAAGGCTGCAGTGACCCATGATTGCACCACTGCACTGCACTCCAGCTTGGGTGTCTCAAAATATACACATATGTATTTTTTATTTATTTTTAAAGTAATGAATATACATATATATGTATTTTTTTTAAGGACCATGAGAGAATTTGAAAAATGAAAGCAATTTTTTTTTTTTTTTGAGAGGGAGTCTCGCTTTGTTCCCCAGGCTGGAGTGAAATGGTGCAATCTCGGCTCACTGCAACCCCGGCCTCCTAGGTTCAAGCAGTTCCCTGCCTCAGCCTTTCAAGTAGCTGGGACTGTAGGGACTACAGGCATGTGCCACCATGCCTGGCTAATTTCTTTGTATTTTTTAGTAGAGACGGGTTTCACCATGTTGGCCAGGTTGGTCTCAAACTCCTGACCTCAGGTGATACACCCCCCCTCAGCCTCCCAAAGTGCTGGGATTACAGGCGTGAGCCACCATGCCCGGCTGCAATAAATTGTTTTATTCATTTGTTCACTCACAAATATGTATTATGCAACTTTTATGTACCAGGTATTATATTTTTTAATTTTTTTCATTTATTTATACAGCTTTAGAAATTGGTTAAGTTTATTTGCAAGACTGTCTCAATTATCAAATGAAAATTTTCACAGGCCATTAATCTTATACTTTGTGTACTATGACAACCTAAAAGAGACAGAAATGTTTAACTCTCTGGGCTTCAGTTTTCTCATCTCTAAAATATGGAGGATGAGGTAGGTGGTCTCTAAATTTGTTTCTATTCTAGCATTCCATGGTCATATTCTCTGCTCTTTCTTCCCAAACCACGCATTTATTTCATTATAATAAAACCGCACAACCGCAGGACATTTTGCTGAAAAACATCTAGTTTTCAACTGTAACAATTGGCTATAACTTTACAGAAATTATAATCAGAAACAGTATTATGTCATTTTATATAAATGGAAATTGGCTCTCTGATGATAGTTCCAGTTTCAAAATGAGGCAAATCACTGGTAACATTCACTGTTTTATTTCAGCAGGAAAAGAATTTTATTAATGTATATTTCTTTTAGATCTTAAAATTTTTGCCTAGAGACACTAACTTCAAAAACTTTCAAAGGAATGGTACAGAGGTGTGGATAAATTAGGTTGGTTTTTTAATAACTGGAATCTGACGATTTTTCTGACTATGAAAGTTTTTTTAAATGACATTTTGCGTTTTTAAAAAGTATAATGGGGAAAAAGTTTGAGGGAGAAACTACAGCAGAGTGGTGTGTGCATAAGTTTTATAGTCAAACAACTGAGATGGAATCCCTTTCATGAAACTCCTTATTTTTATGATCTTGGTTGGGGAGATTACTTAACCTCTCTAAACCTTAGTTTACTCATTTGAAAACTGAGGGTAATCTTATTACCCAACACACAAGGTTCAGTGAGGTTTAAATAAAATAATGGAAAAAAGTTGTCTAGTATAGTGCTTATAACATCAGTAAGTGGTACTAATTTTTTTTTTTTTTTTTTTTTTTTTTTTTTGAGACAGGCTCTTGTTCTGTTGCCCAGGCTGGAGTACAGTGGTGCAATCTGGGCTCACTGCAACCTCCACCTCCTGGGCTCATTCGATCCTCTGACCTCAGCCTCCCTAGTAGCTGAAACTATAGGCGCACACCACCATGCCCAGCTAATTTTTGTATTTTATTTTAGTTTATCTGTTTTTTTTTGAGATAGAGTCTCACTCTGTCGCCCAGGCTGGAGTGCAGTGGCATGGTCTCAGTTCACTGCAACCTCCGCCTCCCAGGTTCAAGCGATTCTCCTGCCTCAGCCTCACAAGTAGCTGGGAGTACAGGCGCCCGCCACCATACCTGGCTAATTTTTTGTATTTTTAGTAGAGACAGGGTTTCACCATGTTGGCCAGGCTGGTCTCAAACTTCTGACCTCATGATCTGCCCACCTCAGCCTCCCAAAGCGCTGGGATTACAGGCATGAGCCACTGCGCCCGGCTCACCTGGATAATGTTTGTATTTTTCAGTAGAGACAGGGTTTCACCATGTTGGCCAGGCTGGTCTCAAACTCCTGACCTCAGGTGATCCATCCACCTCCACCTCCCAAAGTGCTGGGATTATAGGCGTGAGCCAACGCGCCCAGCCTAATTTTTGTATTTTTTTTTTAAGAGACAGGGTTTTGCCATGTCGCCGAGGCTCGTACTAAATCTTAAATGTTTGTGATACTGAGTTATTAGAGATTAGATATATACAGCTAAACTTTCAGATATTTCATTAAGGAAACTGAGTTTTAAAGAAATCAATTATCTGTTTAACCAAGGATAGAGTGTTTTCCCAAGTTTTGAAAGGAAAGGCAAATGCTGTCAACTGAAATTCAAGAGCACATTCAGGCTGGGCACGGTGCTCATGCCTGTAATCCCTCCCTTTGGGAGGCCAAGGCAGGCAGATCACCTGAGGTCATGAGTTCAAGATCAGCCTGGCCAACATGGTGAAATCCCATCTCTACTAAAAATACAAAAAATTAGCTGGCCATGGTGGCGGGCACCTATAATCCCACCTACTTGGGAGGCTGAAGCAGGAGAATCACTTGAGCCCAAGAGGCGGAGGCTGCAGTGAGCTAAGATCATGCCACTGCACTCCAGCCTGGGTGACAGAGTGAGACTCCATCTCAAAAAAAAAAAAAAAAGTACATTCAATCTCAATAGCAGTCCTGTCTAAGTGTCAGATTCAAAAGTGACTTTCGGCCAGGCGCAGTGGCTCACACCTGTAAACCTGGCACTTTGGGAGGCCAAGGTGGGTGGATCACCTGAGGTCAGGAGTTCAAGACCAGCCTGGCCAACATGGTAAAACCCTGTCTCCACTAAAAATACAAAAAATTAGCCAGGCATGGTCGTGGGCCCCTGTAATCCCAGCTATTCAGGAGGCTGAAGCAGGAGAATCACTTGAACCCAGGAGGCGGAGGTTGCAGTGAGCTGAGATCACGCCATTGCACGCCAGCCTGGGCAGCAAGAGTGAAACCCTGTCTCAAAAAAAAAAAAAGTGACTTTCACTTTCTTTTTGTTTGTCTATTTCTCTAAATGTTGAACATTAAATATTTATTTCTTTTCTGTAAAAAGAAAAAAGCGTTTTTAAAGAATGAATTCAGCATTCAACTGTCTTATAAACATTAATCTAAAATAAAGACCAAGGTTTTTTGTAGCCGGGCATGGTAGCTCACACTTGTAATCCCAGCATTTGGCGAGGCTGAGGTGAGAGGATGACATGAAACTAAGAGTTCAAGACTAGCCTGGGCAACATGGTGAGACTCATCTCTACAAAAAAACAAGAAACTTTTTTTTTTTTTTTTTTTTGAGACGGAGTCTCGCTCTGTCGCCCAAGCTAGGGTGCAGTGGCGCGATCTCGGCTCACTGCAAGCTCCGCCTCCTGGGTTCACGCCATTCTCCTGCCTCAGCCTCCCAAGTAGCTGGGACTACAGGCCCCCGCCACCACGCCCGGCTAATTTTTTGTACTTTTAGTAGAGACGGGGTTTCACCGTGTTAGCCAGGATGGTCTCGATCTCCTGACCTCGTAATCCGCCCACCTCGGCCTCCCAAAGTGCTGAGATTACAGGCGTGAGCCACTGCGCCTGGCTACAAAAAACTTTTTTAAGATTAGCCAGATGTGGTGGCCTGCACCTGTAGTTCTAGCTACCTGGGAGACTGAGGTGGGAGGATCACTTGAGCCCATGAGTTCAAGGCTGCAGTGAGCTATGATTGTGCCAGCCTGGATGCACTCCAGTCTGGCTGACAGAGCAAAAACCTATCTCTAAAAAAGCAAACAAAATAAAGACCAAGGGAATTAGTATGCCATTTTGGATGCCATTTTAAATCTCCAGCAGCCGTGATGAATTTATGTATGAATGAATCAGTAAATATTTAGTTGTCAGTAGGTATATGCAGTATGTTGGAATCAATAGTTAGATGCAAACAGAAGTTTGTCTGAAGGTGATCCCTGAAAGTAAAACTAGTAAGACTCAACATAAACTGGATTAAATTAGCCACTAATAAGAATCTAGTCAGTATGATTTGATGTCTAAGAAGCTATAAAAAAAACTACAACTTATTGGCCAGGCATGGCGGCTCACACCTGTAATCCAACACGTTGGGAGGCGGAGGCGGGTGGATTGCTTGAACCTAAGTGTTCGAGACCAGCATGGGCAACATGGTGAAAACCTATCTCTAAAAAAAAAAAAAAATACAAAAATTAGCTGGGCATAGTGGTGTGTGCTTGTAGTCCCAGCTACTTAGGAGGCTGAGGTAGGAGGATCACTTGAGCCCAGCAGATGGAGGCTGCAGTGACCCATGATCACACCACTGTAGTCTAGCCTGGGTGACAGCATGAGACCGTGTCTCAAAAAAAAAAAAAAAAAAAAAAACCCACAAAACTACAACCTATTGAATTTATTTCCTTCCTCTATTCTATTTTAATGCTTCAAATTAGTATTTCACATCGTATGATTGGTATTGTTAGTTATTGCTACTAACAATTTATCCCAAAACTTAGTGCCTTAAAACAACAAACATAGATTGTCTCACAGTTTCTGTGAGTCGGGAATCTGGGTGCTCATTAGCTGGGTGCCTCTAGCTCAGGGTCACTCATGAAATCAGTGGGAAGATCTACTTCCAAGCTCACCCATGGTTGTTGGTAGGACTTAGTTTTCAACCCCATGAGGTGTTGGACTGAAGAACTCAGTTCCTCATGACTTTTCACTGGAAGTTTCTCCATAGGGCAGTTCACAACATACCAATTGTCTTTCCTCAGAGCAAAGAACAAGAGAAAGTTTTCAAGAAGAAGCCACTGTCTTTTTGTAACCTAATCTCTGAAGTGGCATCCTGTTATTAATACTTCTATGTCCATTTGTTAGAAGTGAGTTATTTAGGCTGGGCACGGTGGCTCACGCCTGTAATCCCAGCATTTTGGGAGGCCGAGGCGGGTGGATTGCTTGAGGTCAGGAGTTCGAGACCAGCCTGGCCAACATGGTGAAACCCTGTCTCTACTAAAATACAAAAATTAGCTGGGCGTGGTGGCACACATCTGTAATCTCAGCTACTGGGGAGGCTGAGGCTGGGGAATCGCTGGAACCTGGGAGGCAGAGGTTTCAGTGAGCTGAGATCTCACCACTGTGCTCCAACCTGGGCAAGCCTCCCTCTGAAAAAAAAAAAAAGTGAGTTATTCAGTCCAACCTATATACAAGGGGAGGGGAATCACACAAGCTGTAAATAGTCGGAGGCAGGGATCACTGGGGGTCTTCTCACAGGGGTCAAACCCTACTACAGGTATAAAAGCATTCATTCATCAAACTTACTCTGCTTGCTCTGATGTCATCACTGTATTCTGAATGTAATTTTATTTCATATATGAGTTGTCTACAGGGAGAGAGAGTATACTAACCAGCACACAGGTGTTCCTTATCATTTATTAAATTAATAAGTATTTTTATATGCTTGAATTTTGTCATTTGCTAGACTTGTGATTTTGGTTACTGTGATTCCATGTCCCTAATGCTGGTCAGTATCTGAACCTGAACTTATGACCAGATCCAGGACTATAGTTCTGCCTTGAGATGGCCTACCTGAGCAGATAGGAGGCTGCTCTGGGCAGCAGAAGTGACAATATAAAATGCATACATGAAAAAAAAAATGCATACATGGGCCAGGCAGATAACTTAACTTGAGCTACGTTACTTGTGTATAAGCAAAATTCGGTGTAAGAAACATTTCTCCCAACACAGCATCAAATTCTATAGTTCTATTAAAATATATACCCGTGTACCTTAAGAACTAGATGACTTAATTTCTCAGTGCAATATCTGCAAAAAGATAATGCACACACAGACACAGACATACACAAATAAGTGCATGTGTAACAGGTAAAATCTGAATAAGCTCTATGGATTATACCAGTCTCAACTGCCTGATTTTAATATTGTGCTATAGCTGCGTAAAATGTCAACATTTGGCTGGGCGCGGTGGCTCATGCCTGTAATCCTAGCACTTTGGGAGGCCATGGTGGGCTGATCACTTGAGGTCAGGAGTTTGAGACCAGCCTGGCCAACATGATGAGACCCCCGTCTCTATTAAAAACACACACAAAAAAAATGCCAGGCGTGGTGGTGTGAGCCTGTAAACCCAGTTACTCAGGAGGTGGAGGTAGGAGAATTGCTTGAACCTGGAAGGCAGAGGTTGCAGTGAGCCAAGGTAGTGCCACTGCACTCCAGCCTGGGCGACAGAGCAAGACCACGTCTCAAAAAAAAAAAAAAAAAAAGTCAACATTTACAGAGGCTGGAGGAAGCGTACATAGGAATTCCCTATATGTTTCTTTGCAACCTCCCGTGAACGTGTAACTATTTTTTTTTCCAAGATGTAGTCTCACTCTGTCGCCCAGGCTGGAGTGCAGTGGCTGGATCTCCGCTCACTGTAACCTCCACCTCCCAGGTTCAAGCAATTCTCCTGCCTCAGCCTCCCGAGTAGCTGGGATTACAGGCACATGCCACCACGCCTGGCTAATTTTTGTATTTTTAGCCAAATATTTGATTTCCTGACAGCGTGATCCAATTGCTTCAGCCTCCCAAAGTGCTGGGATTACAGGCATGAGCCACTGCACCTGGCCCAAAATGAAAAGTTTTTTGAAAAATAATCTGTTCCCAAAGTAAATTTAGCCCTCAACGTCTTCTGTAATTTATTTATTTATCTTTAAATGTAATTATATTGTAAAGCCTTACTTGCTGCCAGGCGCAGTGGCTCACGCCTGTAATCCCAGCACTTTGGGAGGCCGAGGTGGGTGGTCAGGAGTTCGAGACCAGCCTGGCCAACATGGTGAAACCCCGTCTCTACTAAAAATACAAAAGTTAGCCTGGCGTGGTGGCGGGCGCCTGTAATACCAGCTACTCGGCAGGCTGAGGCAGAGAATTGCTTGAACTTGGGAGGTGGAGGTTGCGGTGAGCTGAGATCGTGCCAGTGCACTCCAGCCTGGGTAACAGAGCAAGACTCCATCTCAAAAAAACAAACAAACAAACAAAAAATTCTCACTTGCGTAATATTGACTTAGAACTAAAAAGTATTAATTAGAAAAGAGGCCAGGCACAGTGGCTCATGCCTGAAATCCCAGCACTTTGGGAGGCTGAAGTGGGCAGATCACGAGGTCAGGAGAGAGAGACCATCCTGGCCAACATGGTGAAACCCTATCTCTACTAAAAATACAAAAATTAGCTGGGTGTGGTGGTGCGCGCCTGTAGTCCCAGCTACTCAGGAGGCTGAGGCAGGAGAATCGCTTGAACCCGGGAGGCAGAGGTTGCAGTGAGCCAAGAATGCGCCACTGCACCCCAGCATGGCAACAGAGGGAGACTCCGTCTCAATAAATAAATAAATAAATCAGAGGCCAGACACGGTGGCACATGCCTGTAATCGCAACACTTTGGGAGGCTGAGGCAGGAGGATTGCTTAAGCTCAGAAGTTCGAGACCCAACCTGAATAACATAGTGAGACCCTGTCTCTGCAAAGAAATATCTTTTTTAATTAGCCAGGCATGGTGTTGCATGCCTGTGGTCCCGGCTACTCAGGAGGCTGAGGTGGGAGGATTGTTTGAGTCCAAGGATCACTTGTGCCCGGGAGATCAAGGCTGCAGTGAGCTATGATCGCACCACGGCACTCCAGCCTGGGCAACAGAGCAAGACCTGTATCAAAAATTTATTAATTAATTAATATTTTAAAAAATATCTGGCGGGGCGCTGTGGCTCATGCCTATAATCCCAGCACTTTGGGAGGCCGAGGCGGGCAGATCACGAGGTCAGGAGATTGAGACCATCCTGGCTAACACGGTGAAACTCCGTCTCTACTAAAAATACAAAAAAATTAGCCGGGCATGGTGGCGGGCGCCTGTAGTCTTAGCTACTCAGGAGGCTGAGGCAGGAGAATGGCGTGAACCTGGGAGGCGGAGCTTGCAGTGAGCGGAGATCGCGCCACTGCACTCCAGCCTGGGTGACAGAGAGACTCCGTCTCAAAAAAAAAAAAAAAAAAAAAAAAAAGAGAGAGAGAGATGGAGACCATCCTGGCCAACATGGTGAAACCCCGTCTCTACTAAAAATACAAAAAATTAGCTGGGTGTGGTGGCGTGCATCTGTAGCCTCAGCTACTCGGGAGGCTGAGGCAGGAGAATCGCTTGAAACCGGGAGGCAGAGGTTGCCGTGAACAGAGATCGCACCACTGCACTCCAGCGTGGCGACACAGCGAGACTCCATCTCAAAAATAAAATAAAATATCCCTCTCCTTAAAAAGTTTCTTTTAAGACAAAGAGATATGAATACTTATGGAGCATTTTGTCAAGCATGAAAGTTATGTCTACATACATAAGGTAAAATGAAACTGTTTAGATCAAAGTCACTGTTATGTATCAAAAGGAAAATCATGGGTAACTTAGCAGTACAGCATGGAAATTTCCACAGCCGTTTGTTAAAAGCAGATTTACCATTTGTCAGTTATTTAGTAAATGTTCCTCCCTCTATATATCCATCTATCGTTCCATCCATCAATTCATCCAACAATGTCTTCTATCTTGAATTTGCAGACCATTGTCACTTCTTCTGTCCATCAAATCTCCCTCTGACTCACTCTTACAGACGCTTGTCATTGGATTTAAGGACCACCCAGATAATCCAGGACAAGCTCCTATTCTCAAAATCCCTCATCACATCTTTTCACATAAGGTAGTATTAACTCTTTTGCCGTTATGAGGTGATATCCATTGGTTTGGGGGATTAGGACACGGACATATCTTTCTAGGGACCAACATTCAGTCCACTATAGGGGCATTATCTATAGAGAATTTTAGAATAATAGTAAAACTGACTAAAAGTCCACCTACCTTTTATTATCACCATGTGCAGGCAATTTTATTTATATTTTATTTGTTTATTTATTTATTTAGAGACAGAGTTTCGCTCTTGTTGCCCAGGCTGGAGTGCAATGGCATGATCTAAGCTTACTGCAACCTCACCCTCCTGGGTTCAAGTGATTCTCCTGCCTCAGCCTCCCAGGTAGCTAATTTTTGTATTTTTAGTAGAGATGGAGTTTCTCCATGTTGGTCAGGCTGGTCTCGAACTCCCGACCTCAGGTGATCTGCCCGCCTCAGCCTCCCAAAGTGCTGGATTACCGGCATGAGCCACCATGCCCGGCCTATTTTATTTATTTTTGTTTATTTATTTGGAGACAGGATCTTACTCTGTCACCCAGGCTGGAGTCCAGTGGTGCAATTCTTGGCATACTGCAGCCTCAACCTCGCAGGCTCAAGAGATCCTCCCATCTCAGCCTCCCAAATAGCTGGGACTACAGGCATGGGGCAGCATGCCTGGCTAATTTCATTTATTTTATTTTTATTTTTGGAGAGACAAGGTCTCACTATGTTGCCCTGTCTGGTCTTAAACTCCTGAGCTCAAGCAGTCTTCCTCCTCGGCCTCCCAAAGTGCTGGGATTACAGGTGTGTGCCACCTGCCCAGCTGGCAATTTTATTTATTTATTTTATTATTATTATTTGAAACAGAGTCAGTGAGATGGAGTCTTTCTCTGTCACCTAGGCTGGAGTGCAGCAGCAGGATCTCAATCTCTGCTCACAGCAAACTCTGCCTCCCAGGTTCAAGTGATTCTCCTGCCTCAGCCTCCCTAGTAGCTGGGATTACAGGCATGCTGCACAATGCCTGGCTAATTTTTGTATTTTTAGTTGAGACGGGGTTTCGCCATGTTGGCCAGGCTGGTCTCAAACTCTTGACCTCAAGTGATCTGCCAGACTTGGCCTCCCAAAGTGCTGGGATTATAGGCCTGGGCCACTATGCCCAGCCTCCAGCTGGTAATTATAATTGTCAGTGATAAAATACTCCCCATGGGATCAGATCACTCCCAGCCACCCCCCTTCTTGGTGCACCACTACTGAATATTCCAATACAAGCTATTTGGCCTGCCTTAGCTTTTCAGGGCCAAATACTGCAAAAGACAATTTGGTTGCTCATCACCCCCTAATCTTGGTATGTCTGACTCCCCATCCTTCAGGAATCAGTAAATGTCACCTCCTCAAGGAAAGTTGCCCTAAATATCCTATCCAGACCCTAAGTACTATCCCCTGCTTTTTTCCTGTATTTGTTTCTTTCACACCACTCACCAAAATTTGTAGTTATTTTATCTGTAAGTTAACTTTTTTCCATCTCCCTTACTAGTTTATAAGCTCCTATACTTGTCTGTCATGTTCTGAGTTATCCCCAGAGCCTAGCACAGTGCCTGGCACATGGTAGATGCTCAATATATGTCTATTACCATTGTGTTCTCCTCAGTTTCTGTGCTGCCAGCAAAGTGTATTTGCTCAACATTGGACAAATCCTTCTTTCTTCATCTCATGTCCATTACTAAAATAAAATAGCTGCTTGTTGTCTAAGATTGGTGAAATAGAAAGCCATTTAGCAGCATAATTCAGAAACAGCTGCAGCATCATGGATCTTAGTAAAGTTGTTTTCTCTCATTCCAGACTCCAACTCTGGCGTGATTAGGGATGTTTTATTCTGAAAATTCATGGAGATACAATAAGACTGAATCATAAAATAAACTATAAATGTAGCATTAACATTTGAAAAGGGACCTATATATTTTGCTCAGGCACCACATTAGGAACGACAGGAACCCAGTCAGGACCCCAAACTTGTCAAGTTCCAAACATAAATCATCAATTTCCTCTCTAAACCACATGCTCCTCTTAATTTCTTTCAGCATTTCTTTTCAGTAACATAACTGTTCACCTGGTTAGTTCTCCAGGCTCAATTCTGGGATTTCTTTTCTTTCCTTTTTTCCCTACCCTCTCATTAGTGCTGGTATGGGCTCTCTTTTCTACTCTCTACATTGTCTTCCTAGGAGATCTTACCCATTTCCAGGGCTAAAATATTATCCCAGTAGTGTTCACTCCTAATATATGTCCTCAGTCCTCTCCTCTGAGCTCCAGACATGCAGTTGTCCAGTTGTGGTATCTTTTTAGATACATCACAAGCAATTCAAATTTATCATGTCCAAAACCAAACTCTGGCCAGCCGCCGTGGCTCATGTCTATAATCCCAGCACTTTGGGAGGCCGAGGCGGGCAGACCACTTGAGGTCAGGAGTTTGAGGCCAGCCTGGCCAACATGTTGAAACCCCGTCTCTACTAAAAATACAAAAATTAGCTGGGTTTGGTGGCACGTGCCGGTAATTCCAGCTACTCAGGAAGCTGAGGCAGGAGAATCACTTGAACCCAGGAGGCAGAGGTTGCAGTGAACCGAGATCATGCTGCTGTACTCCAGCCTGAGTGACAAGAGCAAAACTCCATCTCAAAAGAAAACAAAACAAAAACAAACAAACAAACAAAAAAACTCTTAGTTTTTCTTCTCCAAATCCCTTTCTCTCTGATCTTCACCATCTGTAATGATACCACCATTCCCCAGTGTCTTGCTCCAGAAACTTAGGAGTATACTTGTTTCTTCTTTTTCTCCCACCCCCACAACTAGTTCATTGATAAGATCTATCAACTCTATTTACAAATGTATACTAATTGGATTTTCTTCCTTCTATATCCTCTACATCCTAGTCTAAGCTACAATAGTCTCCTAATAGGTCTCTCTACTTTCATTCTTTTTTTCCCCCTCAGTCTTGCTGTCATCCTATCTACTTTCTTTCTTAAACTCCTACCCATTCCTGCACAAAACACATGGCGTAATCTTAAAACATAAATCTAATCACTCCATTCCACTCTAAGCTCATTTTATCTCACTCTCTGCTCAACCACTGTGTCACCACCATTCACCATGACTTTTAGGGCTTTGCCCAAGTCAGAGCCTTAGCACATTCTGTTTATTCTGCTCTTCCCATAGTAGATTCCTGCTCATCCTAAGGCTTGATTTAAGTGTCACTTCAAATAATCTTTTCCTTCCTGCCCTGTCAAAGTATTTCTTGCCTCTCCTACTCTTATTTGCATGTATTGTATCCTATACATTTTCTTCATAACACCTTATGTAATTAATATATTTGATTAATTTTCCTCCCTGGGAACTATGTGTTGTCTGCTCATGTATATCTAGCTCCTAGTGCAGTGTCTGGCATACAACAGGTATTTAATCAGTTGTTGAACAATTAAGTTGTCCTATTCTGTTTTGGCCTATAGGTTACAAGTGTGATGCATTTGCACAACGTTGCACAGAAGGAAGAAAAAAAAATTTTTTGAGACAGAGTCTCACTCTGTTGCCCAGGCTGGAGTGCAGTGGGGCAGTCACAGCTCACTGCAACCTCCACCTCCCCAGGCTCAGGTGATCCTCACACCTCAGCCTCCTGAGTAGCTGGGACTACAGGCGCACGCCACCATGCCTGGCTGATGTTTTCTATTTTTGTAGAGATGAGATCTCTCTGTGTTGCCCAGGCTGGTTGCAAACTCCTGAGGTCAAGTGATCCACCCACCTCAACCTCCCGAAGTGCTGAGATTACAGGCGTGAGCCACTGAGCCTAGCCATAAGGAAGAAATTCTTATTCCTTCATTTCATGTCCATCACTTCTAAAAAGTCACATGTCTAAGACTAATGACAGAGAGAGCCACTTATCTCCATAGTGCAGAAATAGCTGCAGTGTCATGGATCTTAGTGAGGATAATATCTTTTCCCATGATTAGGAAAATTCCATACTGAATCTTATAGAAATTTCATTTAACAATTGAATCATAAAATACAGGAAGGATTAATAGCATAAGGGGGGTAGAACAGAAAAGTTTTACCTGGCACAATAAGATATTTTCTTTAAACTTCTGAGATAACCATACAGATGTTTCTTTTTGCACACTTTCAAATCATCTCACAAAAATAGACAACATCTGTGGCCTGTGCTGGCCAGAAGTATGAAAGTTGTTTACAGAGGCATAATTAACCCACCAAGAGGCCTTCATTTCCATAAAGAGGGGAGGCAAACTAATTTCAGATAAATCTGGTGTAGTAATTTGACCTAACAGAAAAGTGAGACTACATTTACCACTGTCTTTTGTTTTGTTTTGTTTTGTTTTGTTTTTGTTTTAGAGACAGAGCCTTGCTCTGTCGTCCAAGCTGGAGTGCAGTGGCGTGATCTCGGCTCACTGCAACCTCCGCCTCCCGGGCTCAAGCAATTCTCCTGCCTCAGCCTCCTGAGTAGCTGGGATTATAGGCGTGTGCCACCACTCCCAGCTAATTATTATATTTTTTTAGTAGAGATGGGGTTTCACCATGTTGGCCAGGCTGGTCTCTCCTGACCTCAGGTGATCCACCCGCTTCAGCCTCCCAAAGTGCTGGGATTACAGGCATGAGCCACCGCACCCGGCCAACCACTGTCTTGAATCTTACACAAGATGACAGTGTCCAAAGCAGTGTCTCTACCTCAACTATACTTCAGAGCTGTTTTGCATACCAGGGCTTCCCAGCAACCAGGCCTCATCTGCTATCCCTCAAGCGCACACTCTTTGGTCTAGCTCGAAAGTGCTCAAAGCTATAATAGCATTCAAACAATAACAAAAAGCCCTCAGATTTCCTTATTGTCTATCTTTGAACAGTTCAAAGAGCTTCCACATTTATTTTTTTCATAGTGCTTTCTCTGTCACACTATGACGTAAGAAAATCTAAGATTAGAGAATCTGAAGTTCAAATGGTTTGTTCAAAGCTGCAGTGAAATTACATATCACAATCAGAATCCATTCTCTCATTTCCCACTAGACCATGTAGTTTCCCAAGGGATTTGAAACCTTTTATGAAAAAATGTTAAAACTACATATAATTATGAGTCTTGAGCATTTTTTTTCTAACCTTCTTCACACAGAAAAAAAGTGTTATTTTGTGGTTTTTAAATAAAATGGCTTTGCGAGGACAGGCTTCTAAATTGCCTCATTCTAAATTCACATTGAAATGATCAAAGGAATAAAAATAGAGGGAAAATTTTCCATATGCCAGAAACTTTGAGGAATTTCTGCTAGTTAGAACATAGACGTTCCCAATTAGAAGGAGAGGTCAGATCAAGATTCTACTTCTATAAAATATCTTATCACCCCATTAGAGTTCTATGAACACCCCATTACTCAGGGTTGAAGACTAGGTGAGGGCAGTGGAAAGGGAAGATAGGGGATATACTAAGACCCATTCCAGTTCTTTTCTTTTTTTTTAGACAGAGCCTTGCTCTGTCGTCCAAGCTGGAGTGCAGTGGCACAATCTCAGCTCACTGCAACCTCCACCTCCCAGGTTCAAGCGATTCTCCTGCCTCAGCCTCCTGAGTAGCTAGGATTAACAGGCATGCACCACCATGCCCAGCTAGTTTTGTTTTTGTATTTTTAGTCGAGACGGAGTTTCACCGTGTTGGCCAGACTGGTCTGAACTCCTGACCTCAAGTGATGAGCCTCCCAAAGTGCTGGGATTACAGGTGTGCACCACTGCGCCCAGCCACATTCCAGTTTCTAATAGAATTCACCGCAATCTTCATTTAAGTATTATCGAAAGCTGGACAACCATAGACCTCTTTATGTTAAGATGAGCAAGTGGTGGCCAGGCTCAGTAGCTCATGTCTGTAATCCTAGCATTTTGGGAGGCTGAGGCAGGAGGATCGCTTGAGGCCAGGAATTTGAGACCAGCCTGGGCAAGATAAGGAGACTCTGTCTCTACATCCCAACTACTTAGAAGGCTGAGATACGAGGATCGCTTGAGCCAGGAAGGTAGAGGCCACAACGAATCACGATTGTGTCACTGCACTACAGCCTGGGTGACCAAGCGAGACTGTCTCAAAAAACAAAACAAACAAAAAAAAAACAAATGGAGAAAGATCATAGGACTATGAAAAGATGCTATAGGCTGGGCACAGTGGCTCACGCCTGTAATCCCAGCACTTTGGGATGCTGAGGTGGGCAGATCACTTGAGGCCAGGAGTTTGAGACCAGCCTGGCCAACATGGTGAAACCCATCTCTATTAAAAATACAAAAATTAGCCCGGCATAGTGGTGCACACCTGTGGTCTCAGCTACTCAGGTGACTGAGGCATGAGAATCGCTGAACCCAGGAGGCGGAGTGCAGTGAGCCAAGATCATGCCAGGCGACAGAGCAAGACTGTTTCAAAAAAAATAATAATAATCTCTGAGGAACAAAAGTCAAGCTGGCCTCAGAATTCTGCAACTCTGTTTTTTTATTTTATTTATTTTATTGAGACTGAATCTCCCTCTGTCGCCCAGTCTGGAGCGCAGTGGCGTGATCTTGGCTCACTGCAACCTCCACTTCCTGGGTTCAAGCGATTCTCCTACCTCAGCCTCCCGAGTAGCTGGGACTACAGGCGCCCACCACCACGCCCAGCTAATTTTTGTATTTTTAGTAGAAAGGGGGTTTCACCATGTTGACCAGGCCTGACTTGAACTCCTGACATCAGATTATCTGCCCACCTCAGCCTCTCAAAGTGCTGGGATTACAGGTGTGAGCTACCAGTCCAGGCAGAATTCTGCAACCCTGTAAGCCACAAGTCATTAAAGCATATAGTACAGAATTCTGAGGGTAATTTAAGAATTCGACATTCAGCTAAGTTGTCATGCAATTGTGAAGACCTCAGAAATAAGTACTCAGATATAAAAGACTCAAAAATGATACCACCCAGGTTATCTGTTCTGAAAGAAAACTGCTCAAAGATATACTTTTGCTGAATGAGAACTTAAGAATAAAAAAGAACTATAAAAGAGGCTGGGCGTGGTGGCTCACACCTGTAATCCCAGCACTTTGGGAGGCCGAGGCGGGTGGATCACGAGGTCAGGATATCGAGACCATCCTGGCTAACACGGTGAAACCCCGTCTTTACTAAAAATACAAAAAAGTAGCCAGGCGTGGTGGCAGGCACCTGTAGTCCCAGCTACTCGGGAGGCTGAGGCAGGAGAATGGTGTGGACCCAGGAGGCGGAGCTTGCAGTGAGCCGAGATCATGCCACTGCACTCCAGCCTGGGCGACAAAGCGAGACTCCGTCTCAAGACAAAACAAAACAAAAAACAGAAACAAAAAAGAACTATAAAAGGACTTATACATAATAGAACTTTACTTAAATGTCCAAAATAACTTTTGTAAGAAAAAATTGTAATGTAAAAAAAGAAATGTCTTTTTCCAAGAAGAATAATAAAGGTTTAAAAGGACAAACAATATTAATAAAACTGAGCTGGGAGGGTTGGGAGTGGGAGGTAAAGAATGAGGGAAAATAAAAGTATGCTAAATACCCCAATCATACACAGGAGAAATCAAGAGCTGCTGTTTCATTTTAACATTGAAAATAGGTGGGTTTTTTTAAAATTTAAAGGTAGGCACTTTTAGAATAAAACCCAGATGATCATCTTTCGAAGCAGTAGACAGCATTTTAAAAGCAAAGAAAACAGTTCATATAGAAATAGACAAAAGGCCGGGTGCTGTGGCTCACGAGGCCCAGGCGGGTGAATCACGAGGTCAGGAGATCGAGACCATCCTGGCTAACACAGTGAAACCCTGTCTCTACCAAAAATACAAAAACTTAGTTGGGCATGGTGGCACGCACCAGTGGTCCCAGCTACTTGGGAGGCTGAGGCAGGAGAATTGCTTGAACCCGGGAGGTGGAGGCTGCAGTGAGCCGAGATCGCACCACTGCACTCCAGCCTGGGCGACAGCGCGAGACTCTGTCTCAAAAAAAAAAAAAAATTAAGATGATTAAAATAATCTCAAACATCAGAACATCTATTCAATCCAAGCTATACCAGTGTGTGTATGTGTGATAAACAATATCTTATTCATTCATTTATATTCCTTAATCTTATAGATCATAAAGTCATGAAAATTAAGTTAGTAAAACATATGAAATGCTATAAGAGCCGGGTGCGGTGGCTCACACCTGTAATTTCAGCACTTTGGGAGGCTGAGACAAGCGGATTACTTGAGCCCAGGAGTTCCAGACCAGCCCGGGCAACATGGTAAAACCTCATCTCTAGAAAAAAATACAAAAAATTAGCCAGGCATGGTGGTGCATGCCTGTAGTCCCAGCTACTCGGGAGACTTTTTTTTTTTTTTTTTTTTTTTTGGAGAGGGAGTCTCGCTCTGTCGCCCAGGATGGAGTGCAATGGTGTGATCTCTGCTCACTGCAACCTCTGCCTCCCAGGTTCAAGCGATTCTCCTGCCTCAGCCTCCCGAGTAGCTGGGACTACAGGCGCCCGTCACTATACTCAGCTAATTTTTGTATTTTTAGTAGAGATGGGGTTTCACCATGTTTGTCAGGCTGGTCTCTAACTCCCCACCTCAGGTGATCCGCCCACCTTGGCCTCCCAAAATGCTGGGATTACAGGCATGAGCCACCGTGCCGGGCCTACTTGGGAGATTGAGGTGGGAGGATTGCTTGAGCCTAGGAGGTTGAGGCTGCAGTGACCTGTGATTGCACCACTTCACTCTAGCCTAGGTGACAGCGCAAGACCCCATCTCAAAATAAACAAAATTATTTCTATGGTAATTCCAGTTTGATTTAAAACATAGAAATGTACACACAGCTATATAGCATAATGATTGAGATTATAGACTTTTAGATCTAGATTTGCATCTCAGATCTACCATTTACTAATGACATGACCTTAAGCAAATAAATTGATACTCTCAGCCTCCGTTTACTCATTTATAAAGTAAGAATAAAAATATCTTCTCATATAACTATTGAGAGGATTACAAGAGTTAATATGTTTAAAAAGGAAATGAAGTTTCCTGGCATATTCAGTAAATAACTAGTATATCCTTATGTATGTGATAATTTTTTTGAGACAGAGCTTCACTCTGTCACCCAGGCTGGGAGTGCAATGGTGTGATCTCGGCTCACTGCAACCTCTGCCTCCCTGGTTCAAGAGATTCTCGTGCCTCAGCCTCCTGAGTAGCTGGAATTACAGGCATGTGTCACCATGCCCAGCTAATTATTTGTATTTTTAGGAGAGGTGGGGTTTCACCATGTTGGCTAGGCTGGTCTCCAACTCCTGGCCTCAAACAATCCGCCAGCCTTGGCCTCCCAAAGTGCTGGGATTACAGGTGATAACTATCATAAATATATGTGTGCACCTACCCAAACATACACATAGAAATAAGGCTGAGCTGGCCAGGCACGGTGGCTCACACCTGTAATCCCAGCACTTTAAGAGGCCAATGCAGGCAAATTGCTTGAGCACAGGAGTTTGAGACCAGTCTGGGCAACATGGTGAAACTGTGTCTCTACAAACAATGTAAACAATTAGCCAGGCAGCTGGGTGCGGTGGCTTATGCCTGTAATTCCAGCATTTTGGGAGGCCAAGGTAGGTGTATCACTTGAGGTCAGGAGTTTGAGACCAGGCTGGCCAACATGGTGAAACCCCATCTCTACTAAAAATACAAAAATCAGCCAGGCAGGTGGCATGAGCCTGGAATCCCAGCTACTCAGGTGGCTGAGGCATGAGAATCACTTGAACCCTGGAGACGGAAGTTGCAGTGAGCTGAGATGGTGCCACTGCACTCCAGCCTGGGTGATAGAGAGAGACTCTGTCTCAAAAAAAAAAAAAAAAAAAAAAAAATTGGCCAGGCATGGTGGCATGTGCCTGCATTCCCAGCTACTCAGGAGGCTGAGTGGGGAAGATTGCTTGTGCCTAGGAGGTTGAGGCTGCAGTGAGGCATGATTGCACCACTGCACTCTAGCCTGGGTGACAAAGCAAGACCCTGTCTCAAACAAAAAAAAAAAAGAGAGAGCAAGAAAAGAAAAGAAATAAGGCTGAGAGAGACTATACCAAAATGTTAGCAAGGATTATCTCTAATGATGAGATTCTGAGTGATATTTTTTGTTTCTTTCTACTTTTTGCTTCTCCTTCATGCTTTTCTGCAACTTCTAAAATTTCTACAAAGAACATACTTGTTTTTACAATTAGAAAAAATACATTATTAAACTATATAATACAAAGTTTGTAGGATATCAGTACAAATAGAAATATTATTTAGGCCGGTTGCGGTGGCTCATGCCTATAATCCCAGCACTTTGGGAGCCCAAGGAGGGCAGATCACGAGGTCAGGAGTTCGAGACCAGCCTGGCCAACATAGTGAATCCCTGTCTCTACTAAAAATACAAAAATTAGCCGGGCATGGTGGCACATGCCTGTAGTCCCAGCTACTTGGGAGGCTGAGGCAGGAGAATTGCTTGAATCCGGGATTTGGAAGTTGCAGTGAGCTGAGATGGTGCCACTGCACTCCAGCTTGGGCAACAGAGTAACACTTTGTCTCAAAAAAAAAAAAAAAGAAAGAAAGAAAGAAAAAAGAAAAGAAATATTATGTCCACCCAAAAACAATGCCCACTCTTGGATACCTAAAATGCACAAAATTATCTATAAATGCAGCTGTGTCTTTCATATAGTTTAAGTTCAGTTTTAGCAAAACAAAACAAATGTCTTTTCCTTTGCATGGTGAATGCCTTGGAGTTACTCCAGAATAACATTGAATTATTCACATTGAATGGTGAATGCCTGGAGTTAATCCAGAATAATGTGAAATCAAACTTTATTTCAGTAAGAACCTCTAAGCCTAAAATCCTGTAAACTGAATCAGTCTTGGTACATGTATCTGTTCCAAAAACTAGTCTCCAAATATACAGAGATTAGGGCTTGGCACTAGGAGATTAGATGTGGTAGACAAATGCTACTTGATGGTGAGGGTAGAGATGGGGTGACGGTAGAGGATGCTTAAACCCAACATCAATCATTTAAATATTGTTAGTAACATTTATTTCTACCCCAAGCTATCCTTTACCAGAGTAGCATGTAATAAACAACATTTCATTCATTTATTCATTTATTCTCTCAATTAATATGTATTTAAGAGCCTGCTATACATGCAGCATGCAGCACTGTGTTAGGCATTGCGTTAACATGAAGAACAAAACAGATGGGGGGCTGGGTGCAGTGGCTCACGCCTGTAATCCCAGTACTTTGGGAGGCTGAGGCGGGTGGATCACTTGAGCCCAGCAGTTTGAGACCAGCCTGGGCAACATGGTGAGATCCTACTAAAAATACAAAAAAAAAAAAATAGGCTGGGTGCAGTGTCTCACACCTGTAATCCCAGCACTTTGGGAGCCCGAGGCAGTGGATCACCTGAGGTCATGAATTCTAGATCAGCCTGGCCAACATGTTGAAATCCCACCTCTACTAAAGATACAAAAAATTAGCTGGGCATGGTGGTGGGCACCTGTAATCCCACCTACTCAGGAAGCTGAAGCAGGAGAATCACTTGACCTTGAGAGGTGGAGGCTGCAGTGAGCTAGGATCGTGCCACTGCACTCCAGCCTGGGTGACAGAGATTCCATCTAAAACAAAAACAAAAACAATAACAAAAAGATAGCCAGGTGTGGTGGTGTGGTGGTACACAGCTGTGGTCCCAGATACTCAGGAGGCTAAGGTGAGGTGGGAGGATTGCTGGAGCCCATGGGGTGTGGGTGTGGAAGTTGCAGTGAGCTGAGATCGCGCCACTGCATTCCAGCCTGGGTAAGCGAGAAAGACCCTGTCTCAAAACAAACAAACAAAACAAAACAAAAAACAAAACAAAAAGACAACAACAAAAACAGATGGTATCCCTGCCTACATAGGGCTAAGAGCCTGTTAGAGAAGACAAATACATACACAAATAGACATATAATTGCAAATTGTGATGAGTACTCTGGAGGAAAGTATAAAATACTGTGAAAGAGAATGAGGGAGGTAGGGCAGGAGAGGGATACCTAAACAGTCTCTCTGACATCTCAACCAGGACCCAAAAGATAAGAGTTAGGGGAGGGGCCAGGCACGGTGGCTCATGCCTGTAATCCCAGCACTTTGGGATGCCGAGGCAGGTGGATCACGAGGTCAGGAGTTCAAGACCAGCCTGGCCAAGATGATGAAACCCTGTCTCTACTAAAAATGCAAAAATTGGCCGGGTGTGGTGGTGGGCGCCTGCAATCCCAGCTACTCGGGAGGCTGAGGCAGAGAATTGGTTGAACCTGGGAGGCGGAGGTTGCAGTGAGCCAATACAAAGGCCATTAAGATAGAAAAAAAGCTTGGAGCCTTGGGGTAACTGAAAGAAGACCAGTGCAACCTCTTATGGAAAGGTGTGTGTAGGCTTCACTGTTCCTCATCCCAGTAAGAACAGAGCACAGTGCAATGATACAGTGCACAGATGGCAGCAGCACAGGTCTTTCTCAGGTCTGACACCTAACTTTAACTTTATTGCTGGGCCTTGTTTCAGCATCTTCAAAATGAGAATAATGGATTTCCTTCCTGAATCCCTTGTGAAAATTCACTCTATTTCATCTGCACAATACTTGCCCTTTTTATGATGTTACGTAAGCATGTATGTCAGGTAATAATCAACAAAATGTGGCATTTTTACTATTAAAATGCACATTCTGAGGAAGAAGAGTAGAAACTCCCTACCAGTATAGGAAGTGAAAGGAGAGAATTATATTCGCGCATTAGCAATTGTCATTCAATTCCAGAAGGCTAATTATGATCATGAGCTAGGTCACCTATTTTTGTGAAAGTAAACTGTTATTTGCAAGGAAATGCTCTATTTGAAGCTTTCTCAATGGGAATCCACTGGCTTAGCCTGAGAGTTTTCTTGTAAGTTTTCTAGATCGTCATGGTTTTCACTTAAACTCTTGCTTTGAGCCATGTGGTACCTGGATAAGTGTCAGAATCAAACTGACAAGAATATATCCAGAGCGAGTCTCACCCCAACCTCTACCACCATTCTGCATTGGTCCTTAACTCCCATTTGGTAGCTCTTATTAAATAGTAGAAATGTAATACTGAAGTATCACCCCCTTATCACCTTATATAGCTTTTCATAGAATTTTACTACCATAATTTGTTTGTTACCATAATTTGCTGAACACTTGCATGCAATAGTTTAGTTAAGCCCTGCAACTACACTATGTATGAGATAGTGAATTGTTGTTATTTTTAGTAGTTGTATTTTTTGTTTGTTTGTTTGTTTTGAGACAGAGTCTTGCTCTATTGTCCAGGCTGGAGTTCAATGGCGTGATCTCGGCTCACTGCAACCACTGCCTCCCGGGTTCAAGCAATTCTCCTGCCTCCGCCTTGCAAGTAACTGGGATTACAGGCGCCTGCCACCATGCCCGGCTCATTTTTTGTATTTTTAGTACAGACCGGGTTTCACCATGTTGGCCAGGCTGGTCTCAACTCCTGACCTCAGGTGATCCACCTGCCTCGGCCTCCCAAAGTGCTGGGATTACAGGCGTGAGACACCGCGCACAGCCTATTTTTAGTAGTTGTATTTTATAAAGTATCCACGAACACTGAATTAGTGAATAGCAAGCCATTGCTCCTAGGGGATACACAGGGTTAGGTTCCTTCGAGCCTCTGATCACAATATTTTCTTTTTTTATTTTTGAGATGGGGTCTCGCTCTGTCGCTCAGGCTGGAGTACAGTGGTGCGAACTCGGCTCACTGCAAGCTCCGCCTCCTGGGTTCATGCCATTCTCCTGCCTCAGCCTCCCCAGTAGCTGGGACTACAGGTGCCCACCACCACGCCCGGCTAATTTTTTTTGTATTTTTTAGTAGAGACGAGGTTTCACCGTGTTAGCCAGGATGGTCTCGATCTCCTGACCTCATGATCCACCCACCTCGGCCTCCCAAAGTGCTGAGATTACAGGCATGAGCCACCGTGCCTGGCCTCTGATAACAATATTTTCATCAACCAATCAAAGACATTATGTTCAATACATACTGTTGACTCCTTAACATTAAACCCATGGCTGGGTTTGGTGGCTCATGCCTGTAATTGCAGCACTTTGGGAGGCTGAGGCGAGAGGATCCCTTGAGCTCATGAGTGTGATACCAGCCTAGGCAACATAGTGAGACTTCATCTCTAAAAAAATTTAAATTTAAATTTAAAAAAATCATTGAACTCATGGCCAGCAGCATTATAACTCATGCTTGAATGAAGCTTATCTAACACACATCTTTTTTCCATCTTTTCTCCATCACAATTTTCTTGCACTTAAGAACTGTAGACAGAACTTCAGCAATACACTTGGGGGCCATTTTAACAGTGAAATCACCAATAAAAAGCACAGAAATGTAGAAAGCATGGCACTAAATAGACGACAACGAGGATACTTGTTACAGTATGAGAGCTAAAACAAGAAGGCAAAACATTGCCTTGTTCCACCTTGGCTAGGAACATGCATTTTGGGCAGCTCAAATGTTTTCCTCTTCTGTAGTGTCAAGCAATGAGTGAAAAAACATCATGAGTATTGATTTTGGGGTTACAAATAAATTTTGGCATGTAAGCAAATTCATAAATACAGAATCTGCAAATCATGAGAATAAATTATAGGTTAATGATTTTCACAATTCAGATAAAAAAATTGAAGATGAGAGAGGTTAAAGTCACTTACCCAAAGTTACTCTGATAATAAGTGATAGAGATGGGATTTAAACACACATCTGCCCAACACCAAAGCCAAATGCACTTGACCACTATTATCTTCTGAAGTCCTTTAATAAGGAACTAGTTAAACAAATTATGGTAGTAAAATTCTACGGAAAGCTACATAAGGTGATAAGTGGGTGATACTTTAGTATTACGTTCCTACTATTTAATAAGAGCTTCCAAAAGAGATCTTAGATGCTATATAAGTAATTTTCTATTTCTTTCTTTCTTGATTCTCACAGTTACCCAATGAAGTAGGTGCCATCAGAATTACCATTTAATGGATTAAAAAATTGAGGCTCAGGCTGGGTGCAGTGGCTCACGCCTGTAATCTCAACACTTTGGGAGGCTGAGGCAGGCGGATCACTTGACATCAGAAGTTCGAGGCCAGCCTGGCCAATGTGGTGAAACCCTGTCTCTACTAAAAATATGAAAAGGCAGGCATAGTGATGCATGCCTGTACTCCCAGCTACTTAGGACGCTGAGACAGGATAATCTCTTGAACCTGGGAGTCGGAGGTTACAGGGAGCCAAGATTGCATCATTGTACTCCAGCCTAGGCAACAAGAGCAAAACTCCGTCCCCCCCAAAAAAAAAGAAAAGAAAGAAAAAGAAAAACAAATAGAAGAAGAATCATTTCATTCTGTAGGTGTCTTATTACTAGCATGAAAAATCTTTCCTCAAAGACATTCTCACTCCCGCCAGCAGAACTGTTTTTATATATCATTAGCCGTAATTATGTCACATGCTCATGCCTAAACCTTGACTGGCTTAGACCAATGAAAATTCACCTCTTAGCGATAGGGAGGACCCAGATATCTGTATCTTAATAAAACTGGGATTCTGTTAGAAAGAAAAAAATGGGAGGAGGGGGCTGGCCATGGTGGCTCACACCTGTAATCCCAGCACTTTGGGAGGCCAAGGAGGGCAGATCATGAAATCAGGAGATCGAAACCATCCTGGCTAACATGGTAAAGCCCCGTCTCTACTAAAAATACAAAAAATTAGCCAGCCGTGGTGGCACGCGCCTGTAGTCTCAGCTACTGGGGAGGCTGAGGCAGGAGTGTTGCTTGAACAAGGGAGGCAGAGGTTGTAGTGAGCCGAGATCGTGCCACTGCACTCCAGCCTGGGCTACAGAGCGAGACTCCATCCCAAGGAAAAAAAAAAAAAAAAAGGAGGAGGGAACAATAGTTGGGTAGGCAAACAGCAAGTGTCTATCATACTGCCCAGTGCAGTGGCTCATGCCTGTAATCCCAGCACTTTTGGAGGCCAAGGTGGGGCAGATCACTTTAGGTCAGGAGCTCGAAACCAAGTTGGTCAACATGATGATATCCCATCTCTACTGCAAATACAAAAATGAGTCAGGTGTGGTGGCACATGCCTGTAGTCCCAGCTACTTGGGAGGCTAAGACAGGGGAATCTCTTGAACCCAGGGGGCAGAGGTTGCGGTGAGCCAAGATCACACCACTGCACTCCAGCCTGGGTGACAGAGCAAGACTCCATCTCAAAAAAAAAAGAAAGAAAGAAAATATACTGCATGGGTACTAATATCCTATACACATTATAGATGTCATTGATTAATAATGGTGCTCTTTAATGAGTCATATATTCAACATCACAAGTTTACTTTTTTTATAAGAATACTATAAATAACTTTCTCCCCAATTTACTTGGATGAAAGTTGACAACATTATGTCCCATTACCCACAAATACAGTATGTAATTAGAGTGTAATTCCTACAAATATAAATATTCTCCTACATAACCACAATACAATTATCAAAATCAGCAAATTAACACTGATACATTACTACCATCATTGTCCCTTTAATGCCCTTTGTAGCTATAGCATTCAACCCAAGATCGTATGTTGCATTTAGTTGTGTCCTTTTATCTGAAACAGTAGTTCCTCAATCTTTCCTTGACTTTCAATATCTTACACTTTTGAAGATTACAGGCCAATTATTTGGTAGAATATTCCTCAGGTTTGTCTGATGATTCTTCATGAATAGAGTCAAGTAATTTATTTTTGGCAAGATTATCACAGAAGTGATGCTGTGTTTTTCTCATTACATCCTATCAGGTGGTGCACAATTTCAATTTGTCCTGTTAGTGGTAATGTCAACTTTGATCACTTGATTAAGGTGGTATCTGCCAGGTTTCTCCACTGTAAAGTTACTTTTTCACTTTGAAATTATGAAGTATTTTGAGGGGAAGTATTTTGAGACTATACAAATATTCTGTTCCTCATCAAATTTTCACTCACTAGTTTTAGCGTCCACAATATTTCCTGGCTGGTTTTTTGTGGGTTTGTCTGTTTGTTTTGAGACAGAGTCTCACTCTGTCTCCCAGGCTAAAGTGCAGTGGCACGATCTCAGCTCACTGCAGGCTTTGCCCCTGGGCTCAAGGGATTCTCGTGTCTCAGCCTCCCAAGTAGCTGGGACTACTGGTGCACACCACCACACCAGGCTAATTTTTTGTATTTTTAGTAGAGATGGGGTTTCACCATATCAGCCAGGCTGGTCTTGAACTCCTGATCTCAAGAGATCTGCCCGCCTCAGCCCCACAAAGTGTTGGGATTACAGGCGTGAGCCACCGCGCCCAGATTCCTATTTTATATAATTCATTACTATATTATTTATTTTGATGCTCTTATTGTCCCGAATTTAATCCCATAGAGCTAGCTTCTGTGTTGTTTGACATGCTCCCATTATTCTTTGAATACTATCTTATTTTGGCACAATATATTGTTCCAAGCTTATCTTGTACTTTTCATATCCCAGACCTGGAATAAGCTGTATTTCCCAGCATCCTTGAAATCTTTTAACAGAGTACCATATAGAAACCAAGATATCGGCTGGGCAGTGCGGCTCACACCTGTAATCTCAGCCCTCTGGGAGGCCGAGGTGGGTGAATCGCTTGAGTCCAGAAGTTGAAGGCCAGCCTGAGTAACATGGCGAAACCTACAAAACAAAAACAAAAACAAAAAAACAGAAACCAAGATAAGGGCACTTGGTGTGCTCATTGATATTGGGTTGTTGCTGCTCCCAGACCGTATATGAGCTAAAGGATATATATCTGCTATAGTCTGAACATATGTGTCCTCTCAAAATTCGTATGTTGAGGCTCAGCACGGTGGCTCATGCCTGTAGTCCCAGCACTTTGGGAGGCTGAGGCAGGCGGATCACTTGAAGTCAGGAGTTCGAGACCACCCTGGCCAACATGGTGAAACCCCATCTCTACTAAAAAATACAAAAAGTAGCCAGGCATGGTGGTGTGCATCTGTAGTCTCAGCTACTCAGGAGGTTGAGGCATGAGAATCACTTGAACCTGGGAGGCAGAGGTTGCAATGAACCGAGATCGCCACTGCACTCCAGCCTAGGCAACAGAGAAAGACTCTATCCCAAAAAAAAAAAAAAAAAGTATATGTGGAAATGCTACCCCTAAGGTCATGGTATTAAGAGGTGGGGCTGGGTGTGGTTACTCATGCCTATAATCCCAGTGACTCAGGAGGCTGAGGTGGGAAGATGGCTTGAGGCTGGGAGTTCAAGATGAGCTGGGCAACATAGCAAGACTCTGTATCTAAAAAGCAAAAAAATTAGGCCCAACGCAGTGGCTCATGCCTGTAGTCCTAGCACTTTGGGGGGCTCAGGCAGATGAATTGCTTGAGCCCAGGAGTTTGGGACCAGCCTGGGCAACGTGACAAAACCCTGTGTCTACAAAAAAATACAAAAATTAGCCAGGCATGGTCGTGTACACATATAGTTTCAGCTACTCAGAAGGCTGAGGCAGGAGAATTGCTTCAATTCAAGAGGTTGAGGCTACAGTGAGCCATGATCACGCCCCTGCACTCTAGCCTGGGTAATGAAGCAGGACTCTATTGGGAATAAATAAATAAATAAATAAATAAATAAATAAATACAAATTTTAAAAAATTAACCAGGCAAGGTGGCTCATACTTGTAGTCCCAGGTACTTAGGAGGCTAAGGTGGGAGGATCACTTGATCCCAGGAGTTTGAGGCTGCAATGAGCTGATTGCACCACTGCACTCCAGCCTGGGCAACAGAGTGAGACCCTGTCTCTAAAAAAAACACAAATGACAGAGCCCTTGAGAATGGAATTAGTGCCCTTATAAAGGAGGCCTGAGGGAGTTTTTTGCCCTTCTGCTGTGTGAGGACATATAGAAGGTGCCATTTCTGAGGAACAGGGCCCCTTGCCAGATGTCAAATCTGCTGGCATCTTGATCTTGGGCTAGGAAGCCTCTAGAACTGTGAGTAATAAATTTCTGTTTTTTATAAATTACCCAGTATCAGGTGTTTTGCTGTAGCTTCCCAAACACATTAAGACAGTGTCTCTTATACATTTAAATTTAAATAAATCACAACACTTAAGCTAGAGCCTTGCTACTCCACAGACCAGTATCATCAGTATCATCTGGGATCCTATCAGCAATACATGACCGGGCGCGGTGGCTTACACCTGTAATCCCAGCACTTTGGGAAACCGAGGCGAGCAGATCACATGAGGTCAGGAGTTCCAGACCAGCCTAGCCAACATGGTAAAACCTCGTCTCTACTAAAAATACAAAAATTAGCTGGGCGTAGTGGCATGCGCATGTAATCCCAGCTACTTGGGAGGCTGAGGCAGGAGAATTGCTTGAACCCGGGAGGCAGAGGTTGCAGTGAGCCAAGGTAGTGCCACTGCACTCCAGCCTCGGCGATAGAGCAAGACTCTGTCAAAAGAAAGAAAGAAAGAGAGAGAGAGAGAGAGAGAGAGGGAGGGAGGGAGGCAAGGAAGGAAGGAAGGGAGGGAGGGAGGGAGGGAAGGAATCTCGTCCCACACCCTAGACCTACTGAATCAGACTCTGCATTTAACAAGATCCTCCCAGGAGATTCATCTTCATATTAAAATTTGAAAAGGATTGAGGGCTGGGAGCGGTGGCTCACATCTGTGTAATGCCAGCACTTTGAGAGGCCAAGGTGGGAGGATCTCTTGAGCCCAGGAGTTCGAGACCAGCCTGGACAATATAGGGAGACCTCATCTCTACAAAAAAAAAAAAAAAAAAAAATTGAGCCCAGGAGGTCAAGGCTGCAGTGAGCCATGACCATGCCACTGCACTCCAGCCTGGGTGATAGAGCAAGACCCTGTTTCAAAAATAAACAAAAATAAAAATAAATAAAAAGCACTGAGTTAGAACAGTCACCAGCTAGTAGCAAAGTCTACTCTGGGTTTACTCGCAAAATGTAGGTAGTAAAAGTTCATCTCCTTTAGCCCTAGAAGTCAAGGATAAAAGTATATACTCCTAGCCAGGTGCAGTGGCTCAGGCATGTAATCTCAGCACTTTGGGAGGCTGAGGTGAGTTGATCACTTGAGATCAGGAGTTCAAGACCAGCCTGGCCAACATGGAAAACCCCATCTCTACTAAAAATAAAAAATTAGCAAAGCCGTGGTGGCGCACGCCTATAGTCCCAGCTACTCAGGAGGCTGAGGCACGAGAATTGCTTGAACCTTGGAGGCAGAGGTTGCAGTGAGCCGAGATCGAGTGACTGCACTCCAGCCTGGGTGACAGAGCAAGACTCCATCTCAAAAAAAAAAAAAAAAAAAAAAAAAAGTAAATACTCCAGCCAGCAGTGGCATGCACTTATAGTCCCAACTCAAGTCCCAAGGCCAAGGCAGGAGGATTGCTTGAGCCCAGGAGTTCACGTCCAATCTGGGCAACATAGCAAGACCCTGCCTACTAAAAAAAAAGTGAATATTGTATCTTATTTCTTCCCTTGTACTACTATTTTTATTCCCTCACTTTCTTCTTCTCTTCCTATCTGTCTGCCTGCCTCATCCCTTCCTCCTCTCCTTTTTAAATGCCTCCTTCCCCTAACTAGGTGATACACAGCTTTATAATAAGAACTATTTGTTCTGCAAGTTTACAGTGTAGTAGGCAGATATCAAAAAGTCTGGCTAGTGATTTACACACTAACTTCAGGGGAGCTATATCTAAAGAGTACAATGAAATAAAGCCCAGTTAGATTGCTCTAGTTTCAGAATTAGCTCCAAATCAGAGGAAAAATTATTTTTCATTATTTTTCTTACTAGAAAATGTTAGCATTTCAATTCTAGAATCAGATAAACCTGGATTCAGATATCATTCTTCAACTGTGGGCTGTGTAATCGTGAGCAAGTCCCTTAAACTCTCTGAACTTACATTTCTATTTTTGGACTGCCTAAGCTCATGAGCTTTGTAATTAGAGAGACTAGCTTTCAATCCTGCTTCTTCTTCTTACTTATGTAGACTTGCGCAAACTATTTGCTCTCGATAAAATACAGACCTAGGCCGGGCACAGTAAAATACAGACCAGGCCAGGTGCAATGGTTCACACTTGTAATCCCAGCACTTTGGGAGGCCAAGGCAGAAGGATTGCCTGAGCTAAGAAGTTTGAGACCAGCCTGCACAACATAGTGAGACCATGTCTCTAGCACAAAATTTTAAAACATTAGCCAGGTGTGGTGGCACACGCCTCTAGTCCCAGCTACCCCAGAGGCTGAGGCAGGAGGATTGCTTGAGCCAGGAGTCTGAGGCTGCATTGAGATATGATCACACCACTGCACTCTAACCTAGGTGACGGAGCAAGACCTTGTCTCTAAAAAAAATAAAAAATAAAAAAAATACAGACCAGGCAGGGCATGGTGGCTCACACCTGTAATCCCAGCACTTTGGGAGGCCAAGGCAGGTGGACCACTTGAGGTCAGGAGTTCGAGACCGGCCTGGCCAACATGGCGAAACCCCATCTCCACTAAAAATACAAAAATTAGCCAGATTGGGTGGTGTGCACTTGTAATCCCAGCTACGCAGGAGGCTGAGGCAGGAGAATCACTGCCAGGAGGTGGAGGTTGCAGTGGAGCCGAGATCACACCGCTGGGTGACAGAACAAGACTCCATCTCAAAAAAAAAAAAAAAAAAGCAAACCTACTTCAAAGGTTTATCATGGGAAAATGTATATCAAGTGCTTAGCACAGTTCCTTGGCACATATCACATGTTCAATAATTATTAACTTTATGTTCTTTTCTTCCATTTTGAAATAAGAATAATAAAAATCTACAGCAAAAGTGCTTGTGAAGACTTAGATGAGATGACACACAGTCTGAAAAGTATCTGGCACAAAGTTAGTGCTCAGTAAATATTAGCTATGATAGGCACACAGAGTTGTTGTGAGGACTCATTGGGATAAGATGTATGATACTCATAATCATTGTTGTCCTCTCCTGACAAGGGGAAATTCTCACCCTGAATTCAGAGAATTTTGACTATACCATTTTTTGTTTTTTGGATTTTTTTGACATGAGTCTCGCTCTGTTTCCCAGACTGGAGTGCAGTGGCGCAATCTCAGCTACTGCAACCTCTGCCTCCCGAGTTCAGGCAATTCTCCTGCCTCAGTCTCCCGAGTAGCTGGGATTACAGGTGCCTGCCAACATAACTGGCTTTTTTTTTTTTTTTTTTTGAGATGGGGTCTCACTCTGTCACCAGGCTGGAGTGCAGTGGCGTGATCTCGGCTCACTGCAACCTCCACCTCCTGGGCTCAAGCAATTCTCCTGCCTCAGGCTCCCGAGTAGCTGGGACTACAAGCACGTGCCACCAAGCCCGGCTAAGTTCTTGTATTTTTAGTAGAGACGGGGTTTTATCATGTTAGCCAGGATGGTCTCAATCTATTGACCTTGTGATCCGCCCTCCTCGGCCTCCCAAAGTGCTGGGATTACAGGCATGAGCCACCGCGCCCAGCCTAGTTTTCATATTTTTAGTAAAGATGGGGTTTCACCATGTTGGCCAGGCTGGTCTCGAACTCTTGACCTCAGGTGATCCACCCACCTTGGCCTCCCAAAGTGCTTGGATTACAGGCATGATCCGCCACACCCGACCTTAACTATACTGTTTATAACCTGCGTGGGGTTTTAAAAAGCCATTCCAGGCTGGGCACGGTGGCTCACGCCTGTAATCCCAGCACTTTGGGAGGCCGAGGTGGGCGGGTCACCTGAGGTCAGGAGTTCCAGACCAGCCTCAACATGGGGAAACCCCGTGTCTACTAAAAATACAAAATTAGCCAGGCGTGGTGGTGCATGCCTGTAATCCCAGCTACTTGGGAGGCTGAGGCAGGAGAATTGCTTGAACCTGGGAGGCGGAAGTTGCAGTGAGCCGAGATCAAGCCATTGCACTCCAGCCTAGGCAACAAGAGCGAAACTCCATCTCAAAAAAAAAAGAAAAAAAAAGCCATTCTACACCTTGCTTAATCCCTACACTTATCACTTATTTACATCCTGCGATGCTCTAGAAGTCAGCAACCAGGCATTTCAATTCAGACCAGTCTTGGTAGTGTCCTTTTGATCCTAAGGTCCTGCTCCTGAAATGGCCGGTGCCATCCAGCTCTTCCCAGATGAATGGCTGGACCAGACGTCACAAAGAGAAAAGGAAAAGCAGATGGAAAGGAATGTTCCAAAATCTTTAAGATAAATGGCAAGGACTACGTCTGCCTGGGAAACCACTTTAAAGGCCATGCAAAGGATAAAAGGAGGACCAGTGGAAAGAGCAGTATCCAATTGCTATGGCAACTGAAATTTTGCAAATAAATACTTCAGCATAGCTTGTTTATCAAACACACTGACCTATTCTTTCTGTTCTTTGGTCCCCCTCCTGCTTCCTCATCCTTCCTTCATTAGTATACACCCATTCCTACCATACCTTGGGACAAAAGGAAAAGTACTCCCTCTGAGCCATTCCCCCCACCAAATAAAATCTAGCAGTATACTGTTTGTTCATACACTGGAACAGGAAGTGTCTTTACTATATATCATGAACTCTGTCCCTTTACAGGTGTTGTCATATTGAGCTCCTGGGAAGTATGGTAAGCCAGGAACCTTTTCAAAATCCTGACAATCAAAGGCACACTGGTGTACTAATGACTAGCTGAGTCACCAAATTTCTCTAAGCCTCCCTTTCCCTGTGTGCATGAGGGAAATACTGCTCTAAATTATAGAAAATATGGGCAAGATTTGGGTCATTTGTATTCTTATTCAACTGACCCAGTTTGGGCCCAGTCTCTCTTTCTAGCCTAAGCTCTCACTGGTCTCCTGTGCCTTAGCCAAACACGTCTACTTGTTCCTGGCACCACATTTCTGTGCCTTGGCTCTTGCCATTCTTTCTGCCTGGAACACCCTCTCTCCTTCTCTCCATTTCCTCCTTCTATTTCATTAAACTCTCATCTGTCTTCCTATATGTCTCAAACCAAATAGCACCTCTTCCACAAAGCCTTCTCTGACTCTATAGCTGGTAGAGATCTTGCTTTTCTTATTTGTGTGCTTTTCTGGCATTTGTGGTTGCTTATGTGCATCTTTCATCCCCCCTGCCACCCCCAGAACAAATGAACACCTTGAGAGCAGAGACCATGTTTTCGCCTTGAGCACCCCAAATTATAAGTGGCCTTTTAACTAGATGTATCCCTCCCCAATTAACCTTTGACTTATAAGCTCTTTGGGACCAAGGGCTACTTCTTGTTCCCTGTTATTTACCCAGCACCTAGCTCATTGCTTGGCACATAATTGGTGCTCCAAAAATATTGGTTAAAGTAATGAATAAAAATAGATGCTTTGTGGGGAAATGAAGTAAATCAGCTTGTAAACTAGAGCTTTAATGGGAAAAGTATGTTGAGCAGTTACAGCTGTATGGGATTCATTCATTCATTCATTCATTCAGCAGTGATCAAGCCAATTTTTTTTTTTTTTTTAGACGGAGTGTCAGTCTGTTACCCAGGCTGGAGTGCGGTGGTACGATCTGGGCTCACTACAACCTCTGCCTCCCTGGTTCAAGCAATTCTCCTGCCTCAGCCTCCCGAGTAGCTGGGATCACAGGCATGCACCACCACACCCAGCTAACTTTTGTATTGTTGGTAGAAATGGGGTTTCACCATGTTGGTCAGGCTGGTGTCGAACTCCTGACCTCAGGTGATCCACTCGCCGCAGCCTCCCAAAGTGCTGGAATTATAGGCGTGAGCCACTGTGCCCAGCCGGCAATTTTTCTTTTTTTTTTTGATACAGAGTCTCGCTCTTCTTGCCCGGGCTGGAATGCAATGGCGCTACCTCGGCTCACTGCAAACTCTGCCTCCTGGGTTCAAGCGATTCTCCTGCCTCAGCCTCCCAAGTAGCTGGATTACAGGCATGCGCCACCACACCCAGCTAATTTTGTATTTTTAGTAGAGACGGGGTTTCTCCATGTTGGTCAGGCTGGTCTGGAACTCCTGGCCTCAGGTGATCAGCCGGCCTCGGCCTCCCAAAGTGCTGGGATTACAGGTGTGAGCCACCACACCTTGCCAAAATTTTTTTTTTTTTTTGAAACAGGGTCTCACTCTGTCACCCAGGCTGGAGTGCAGTGGCACAATCATGGCTCACTGCAGCCTCGACCTCCTGGAGCTCAAGCGATCCTCCTGCCTCAGCTGGGACCAAAGGTGCATGCCACCCAACAGACTAATGTTATGATGATTTTTTTTTTAGTAGAGATCAAGGGGTTCTCATTTTGTTGCCCAGGCTGATCTTGAACTCCTGGACTCAAGTGATTCTCCCACCTCAGCCTCCCAAAGTGTTGGGATTACAGGCGTGAGCCACCACACCTGGCCACAAATGAGCAATGAGAATCTTGACTTTATGAAACTTATATTGAGGCCGGGCGTGGTGGCTCATGCCTATAATCCCAGCACTTTGGGAAGCAGAGGCAGGATTCCATCTCGAAAAAAAAAAAAGAAACATATATTGTAGTGGAACAAGTAGAGAATTAACAAATAAAAAATAAATAAATTCACATTGTGAATAAATAAACAGGGCAATGAAATAGAGTCATTTTAAGTAGGATGTTATTTATAGTATTGTTTGTAGGATTTCCCAACCTCTGCACTATGGACATTTTGGGCTAGATAATTCTTTCTTGCAAGGCGCTGTCCTGTGTACTGTAGGATATTTAGTAATATCCCTAGAGGCATGTAGTGGCCTCTAACCACTACATGCCAGTAACAAACAGTCCCTAGGGTTGTGACTATCAAAAATCTTTCTAGAGATTGCCAACAATCTCTGGGGATCAAAATTACCCCTACTTGAGAACTACTGTGTTAAAGGGGTGCCTCTTTGAGTGAATGACATGAGCTGAGACCTAAAAGACAAGACAAAAATAAACCTTCAACACTAGTGAAGTGTATTCCAGGCAGGAAAGTGGACAGCAACACAAACAATGGGACCACAGTGGCCGAAGATAATGAGTGAGGAGGGGAGTGATATATGATGAGATTGGAGACAGAGGCAAGGACATAGATCACATAGTTGCTTGGAGTCATATAAGGAAACTTAGATTTCATTTTAAAGCAGTTGAGACCATAAAAGTTTCATGTGTTTTTGTTTTGTTTTGCTTTTCTTGAGATGGAGTCTTGCTCTTGTCACCCAGGCTGGAGTGCAGTGGCACAATCTCAGCTCACTGCAACCTCTGCCTCCCAGGTTCAAGTGATTCTCCTGCCTCTGCCTTCCAAGTAACTAGGATTAGAGGGGCATGCCATCACACCTGGCTAATTTTTGTATTTTTTTTGTAGAGATGGGGTTTCACCATATTGGCCAGGCTGATCTTGAACTCTTGGCCTCAAGTCATCTGTTCGCTTCAGCCTCCCAAAGTGCTGGGATTACAGGCCTGAGCCACTCACTGTGCCCGGCCAACAAGCTTAGTTTACTTAGCACAATGTCTTCAAGGTTCATCCACATTGTATCATATATCAGAATTTCACTCCTTTCTTCCATCTGGGGGGCCTGAAGCAGGGAAGGAAAAGAATTTCATTTTAAGGCTGGATAATATTCTGTATATACATACGTATATATACACAGTATATACATACGTATATATACACAGTGTATACATACGTATATATACACTGTGTATACATATGTATATATACACAGTGTATATATACGTATATATACACTGAGTATATATACACTGTGTACATATACACTGTATATATATACAGTGTATATATACACAGTGTATATATACACAGTGTATATATACACAGTATATATATACTGTACAGTGTATATATATACACAGTATATATATACACAGTATATATATACATATATAGATACACAGTATATATATACATATATAGATACACTATATATATGCACAGTATATATATACGTATATATATGCACAGTGTATATATATACGTATATATATGCACAGTGTATATATACGTATATATATGCACAGTGTATATATACGTATATATATGCACAGTGTATATATACACATATACGCACAGTATATATATACACGTATATATACGCACAGTATATATATACACGTATATATACGCACAGTATATATATACGTATATATACACAGTATATATATATACGTATATATACACAGTATATATATATACGTATATATACACAGTATATATATATACGTATATATACACAGTATATATATATACGTATATATACACAGTATATATATATACGTATATATACACAGTATATATATATACGTATATATACACAGTATATGTATACGTATATATACACAGTATATGTATACGTATATATACACAGTATATGTATACGTATATATACACAGTATATGTATACGTATATATACACAGTATATATATACACATATATATACACAGTATATATATACATATATACACAGTGTATATATATATGCATATATATATACATATACATATACACAGTATATATATATACATATATATATACACTATATTTTGTTTATTCATTTATCTGTCCATGGACATTTGAGTTTCTACCTTTTGGCTATTGTGCATAATGTTGCTATGAACATGGGTGTACAGATATCTCTTCAAGACCCTGCTTTCAATTCTTTTGGGTCCTAAAAGTGTAATTGCTAGACCATATGGTAATTTTATGTTTATGTTTTTGAGGAGCTACCATACTATTTTCCATAGTCTCATACCATTCTACATTCCCACCATTAATGCATGAGGGTTCCAATTTCTCTACAATCTGACCAACATTTCTTGTTTTCTGTTTTTTGGTAATAGCCATCCTGATGGGTGTGAAATGGTATCTCATTATAGTTTTTTGTTTTGGTTTGGTTTTTGTTTTTTTTTTTTTTTTTGAGACAGGGTTTCACTCTGTCACCCAGGCTAGATTGTAGTGGCGTGATCAAGACTCACAGCAGCCTCAACCTCCCGTGCTCAAGTGATCCTCCCACCTCAGCCTCCTGAGTAGCTGGGGCATTAAGCGCATGCCACCATGCCCAGCTAACTTTTATACTTTTTGTAGAGACGGGGTTTTGTCATGTTGCCCAGGCTGGTCTCCAACTCCTGGGCTCAAGCGATCCACCCATCTCTGCCTTCCAAATTGCTACAATTACAGGCATGAGCCACCACACATGGTTGACTTGTATAGTTCTTCATAGATTCGGAATATTAATTCATTATTCAATATATAATTTGCAAATATCCTATTTTGCGGATAAGATGGAAATTTTAAGATTTAGTGCCTGATTAAGCAAATGCTGTGAAACAACTTCATCAAAACAAGCTCTAGTCTTGTTTCAGCTTGCTCTGGAGGTCTGGGTCAAGGTGATATTAAATAGTGGCTTAAAACAGTTCATGGCTGGGCCCAGTGGCTCACGCCTATAATCCCAGCACTTTGGGAGGCCGAGGCAGGCAGATCGCTTGAGTCTAGGAGTTCGAGACCAGTCTGGCCAACATAGCAAAACCCGTCTCCACTAAAAATACAAAAATTAGACCTGGCGCAGTGGCTCACGCCTGTAATCCTAGCATTTTGGGAGGCAGAGGCGGGTGGATCACTTCAGGTCAGGAGTTCGAAACCAGCCTGACCAACGTGGTGAAACTCTGTCTCTACTAAAAATACAAAAAAATTAGCCAGCTGTGGTGGCGGGTGCCTGTAATCCCAGCTATTTGGGAGACCGAGTCAGGAGAATTGCTTGAACCCGGAAGGCGGAGGTTGCAGTGAGCTGAGATCATGTCACTGCACTCCAGCCAGGGTGACAGAGTGAGACTCCGTCTCAAAAAGAAAAAAAAGGAATATAAAAATTAGCTGGGAGTGGTGGTGCAGGCCTGTAATCTCAGCTACTCTGGAGGCTGTGGCACGAGAATTGCTTGAACCCGGGAGGTGGAGGTTGCAGTGAGCCATGATTGTGCCACTGCACTCCAGCTTGGGAGACAGAGAGAGACTCTCTCAAAAACCAAACAAACAGTTCATATCTACTCCAGAGAACCCTCCTGAGAAGCTGGTTGTGTTTCACATTTACCCCCTAGATATTTTATTTTCCTCCTGAGAATCAAGGCAGAGGAAGCCATGAATGTGAGAGTCAAGGTAAGGCTGGAAATAAAAGACTGTCCTATTCTTATCACAGATGGATTATTCTCTTATTTTCTAACTTAGTCTGTAAGTTTCTTGATGGCAGGTACTGCTATATAAATTTAAAACCAATATTCTATTCAGCACCTAGCACATCAGCCTTTACATAGTAAATGCTCAATAAATTATTGTTTATTGACATTAATTGATTAACAATTCCTATAATTCTAGAAGATTGTCATGGTCTATATTGTCTCATATGAATAATAACAGATTGCATTCTTACTTGAATATTTGATATCAAATAAATATTTGTATAAAGTATTTATAAAATTATAAAATAAAGATATGCTACAAAGCTTCTTCTTTCTTTTTCTTCTTCTTTTTTTGAAATAAGATCTTACTCTGTCCCCCAAGGCTGGAGTGCAGTGGCACAATCATGGTTCACTTCAGCCTCGACCTCCTGGGCCCAAGCAATCCTCCTACCTCAGCTTCCCAAGAATCTGGGAGTATCTGGGACTACAGGCATGTGCCACCATCCCTGGCTAATTTTTCTGTAGAGATGGGATTTTGCCATATTACCCAGGCTGGTCTTGAACTCCCGACTCAACCGATCTGCCCACCTTGGCCTCCCAAAGTGCTGAGATTATAGGCGTGAGCCACCATGCCCAGCTAAAATTTATTTTTAAATTCAATAGACATGAGGGCCAGGCTCAGTGGCTCACACCTGTAAATCCAACACTTTGGGAAGTAGAGGCGGGCAGATCGCTTGAGGTCAGGAGTTTGAGAGCAGCCTGGCCAACATGGTAAGACCCTGTCTCTACTAAAAATATAAAAATTAGCTGAATGTAGTGTCATGCGCCTGTATCCCAGCTACTGGGGAGGCTGAGGCACAAGAATCACTTGAACCTGGGAGGCAGAAGTTGCAGTAAGCCAAGATCGTGCCCCTGCACTCTAACCTGGGCAACAGAGTGAAACTGTGTTTCAAAAAAAACAACTTTGTTAATCACTAGACCTGTGATAGATTGGGAGGATTCAAAGGTGGACAAGGCAAATCCTTAGAAGAATTTGCAGTTTCATAGTTAAGTAGACAATAAGCAGCAAACATGCCATGATAATGGAGTGCTATAACACAGGTAAGCACTGGATGCCATGGGGCAGAACATAAGGAACACCTAACTCGGTTCATAATTGGAAGAAAGGGAAGTCGGAAAGGTTCCTGAGCTGCTTCTTAAAAATAAGTATGGGCCAGGCACAGTGGCTCGCACCTGTAATCCCAGCACTTTGGGAGGCCGAGGAGGGTGGATCACCTGAGGTCAGGAGTTTGAGACCAGCCCTGCCAACATGGCAAAACCCCGTCTCTACCAAAAATACAAAAATTAGTCAGGTGTGGTGACAGGTGCCTGTAATCCCAGCTACTTGGGAGGCTGAAGCAAGGAGAATCACTTGAACCTGGGAGGCGGAGGTTGCAGTGAGCCGAGATCGCGCTGCTGCACTCCAGCCTGGGTGACAGAGTGAGACTCTGTCTCAAAAAAAAAAAAAGTATGATCAGTTCTTATGAGTACAGAAATAAACTCGCATTTATGGTCAATTGCTTTTCAACAAATGTGCCAAGATGATTCAATGGGGAAAAGAAAAATCTTTCCAACAAATGGTGCTAGGACAACTAGATATCCACATATAAAAGAAAAAAATTGGACCCTTTTCCAACACTACACACAAAAATTAACTCAAAATAGACCACAGACCTAAATGTAAGAGCTAAAACAATAAAAATCTTAGAAGAAAATATAGAAATATGTCTTTGGGAACTTGAGTTAGTTAAAATCTTCTTAGATACGAAACTAAAAGCACAAAGCAGCAAAATAAAATAAATAAAGTGAATTTCATCAAAATTAAAAACTTTTGTTCTTCGATGAAAGGCATCCAGAAAGTAAAGACACCTCTCAAGATAGGAGAAAATATTTGCAAATCAGATATCTTTTTTTTTTTTTTTTTTTTTGAGATAGAGTCTTACCCTATTGCCCAGGCCAGAGTGCAGTGGTGCAATCTCAGCTCACTGCAACCTCCACCTCCCCGGTTCAAGCGATTCTCCTCAGCTGCCTGTGTAGCTGGAATTACAATCATGCATTACCACACTTGGCTAATTTTTGTATCTTTAGTAGAGATAGGGTTTCCTCACGTTGGCCAGGCTGGTCTCGAATTCCTGGCCTCAGGTGATCCGCCCGCCTCAGCCTTCCAAAGTGCTGGGATTACAGGCATGAGCCACTGCACCCGGCCGTGCAAATCATATATGTTAAAAGGGATTTATATTTAAAATATCTAAAGAATCTTAAAACTCGATAATAAAAGACAACCTCATTAAAACATAGTAAAGAGAAGGATGAAATAAAATCATCTTTGTCACAGATGACATGATTATGTAGAAAACTGGAAATGACAAAAGAAACACTTGGAACTAATAAGCAATTATAGCAAGTGATGATAGTTGCAGAATGCAAGGTTAGTATACAAAAGTCAGCCAGTTGCGGTGGCACGAGCCTGTAGTCACAGCTACGCGGGAGGCAGAGGCAGGAGGATCACTTGAGCCCAGGAATTCAAGGCTGCAGTAGGCTCCATGGAGTGGCTCATGCCTGTAATCCCAGCACTTTGGGAGACTGAGGAGCACAGATCACTTGAGTCCAGGAGTTTGAGACCAACCTGGGCAACATGGTGAAATCTCGTCTCTACAAAATATACAAAAATTAGCTGGATGTGGTAGTGCATGCCTATAGTCCCAGCTTCTTGGGAGACTAAAGCAGGAGGATCGCTTGAGCCTGGGAGGCGAAGGTTGCAGTGAGCTGAGATAACACCATTGCATTCCAGCCTGGGCAACAGAGTGGGACCCCCATCTCAAAAAAAAAAAAAAAAAAAAAAAAAAGCCAATGACTTTCCTATATCTCAGTAATGAACAAGTGAGCAAGACTCCATCTCAAAAAAAAAAAAGAAAGAAAGAAAGAAAGAAAAAAAAGATAGCAAGCACAATTTCATTTACATTAGGCACCCTCCAAAATGATTTTTTTTTTCTCATGTGGAGTTTCACTCTTGTTGCCCAGGCTGGAGTGCATTGGCATGATCTCAGCTCACTGCAACCTCTGCCTCCTGGGCTCAAGCAATTCTCCTGCCTCAGCCTCCCAAGTAGCTGGGATTACAGGCATGTGCCACGACACCTGGCTAATTTCATATTTTTAGTAGAGACGGGGTTTCACCATGTTGGTCAGATCCACCCGCCTCAGCCTCCCAAAGTGCAGGGATTACAGGTGTGAGCCACTGAGCCCGGCCTGAAATGCTTTTTTACAAGAGCACAAATCCACTTTTATTTATTGACTTTTCATTAGTTTAAATCCTTGAGGGGTACAGCATGAGGGTACAGCATCACTTGGATTCTGTGTCCAATAGCCTTAGCAGGAAGATTGCTTCGGAATTTGGCACAAGCCATGCCACTGTTTCTGTGGGCCAGAGTTACCTTTCCCCAGATTACTCTGGTTTTGTTTGATTGCCGCCAGGAGTCACTTTGTTGTTCTTTGCTTTGTATACATAAGCACATCTCTTGCCCAAATAGAATTCTGTTTCATCTCGGGCATAAACACCGTCAATTTTAAGGAAAGTTGTGTGCTCTCTGTTCCGGAGACCCTGCTTATAGCCAGCAAAAATGGCCTTGGACCACAGCTTCCAGACATATTTTCTTTTAGAAGTCTTGTTCCCAGCAGGATCCAAGATGGCAGGAAAAACCAAAATGAAATATTTTGATATAAATATATATATTTTTTGAGACAGAGTCTTGCTCTGTTGCCCAGGCTGGAGTGCAGTGGTGCAATCTTGGCTCACTACAATCTCTGCCTCCTGGGATCAAATGATTCTTCTGCCTCAACCACCCGAGTAGCTGGGATTACAGGCACCTGCCACCACACCTGGCTAATTTTTTTTTGTATTTTTAGTACAGACAGGGTTTCACCATGTTGGTCAGGCTGGTCTCCAACACCTAACCTCAAGCAATCCACCCGCCTTGGCCTCCCAAAGTGCTGGGATTACAGGCATGAACCACTGCACCTGGCCTATATTTTGATTTAAATCTAACAAAATATGTTTAAGATCTATGAGGAAAACTAAAAACTCTGATTTTAAAAAATCAAAGAAGAACCAAATAAATAGGGAGATATTCAATGATTGTGGGTAGAAAAACTCAATTATCAAGACATCAGTTCTTCACAACTTGATTTATAGATTTCAATACAATCCCAATCGAAATTCCAGCAAATGATTATATGGATATCAACAAACTAATTCTATAGCCAACACAATACTGAAGGAGAAGGCAAAGTTAGAAGACTGACAAGGTCAGAGGACTGATATTACCTGACTTCAAGACTTACTATAAAGCTACAGTAATCAAAACAGTGTAGTATTGCTGAGAAAATAGACAAATAGATCAATGGAAAAGAATAGAGACCAGAAAGAGCCCTGGCAGAAAAGTAGAGGGGGAGGGTGGTAGGATGGGGAAGGGAAGAGGGTGGAGAGGAGCGAAGAGTAGGGAGGGGAGGTGGAGGACAGGTAGAAGATTGAAAATGGATGGAGGGATGATGCCTGGAATACAAACCAGGATGTGTTCTAGAGCACTTATGGATAGGCTTGGAGAGAAGGCAGGACTCTTTTTCCTTTGAGACTAGGGAGAAAGATGGAGACTGCTGGTAAGACAGAGATAATTTGTTCAGAGGCAGGGCAAGAAGTTGAGGGAATCCCTGACTGATGTAACATGTTATTCATCCAGCAAATGATTATTGGGCAACATTTATGTGTCAAGCCCTAAGCCCAGTGCTAGAGATTCAGAGATGAATGAGATAAAGCGCTTGCTCTCTCAGAACTTAGAGTCTGGCCAGGCATGGTGGTTCACTCTTGTAATCCCAGCACTTTGGGAGACCGAGGCAGGCAGATCACTTGAGGTCAGGAGTTTGAGACCAGCCTGGCCAACATGGTGAAACCTTGCCTCTACTAAAAATACAAAAAATTAGCCAGGCATGTTGGCATGCGCATGTAATTCCAGCTACTCAGGAGGCTGAGGCAGGAGAATCGCTAAAACCCAGGAGGCAGAGGTTGCAGTGAGCAGAGATCGTGCCACTGCATTCCAGCCTGGGTAACAGAGCAAAACTCTGCCAAAAATAAAAAAAAACTTAGAGTCTAGTGGTCTCTACTTCCTTTTTTCTTTTTTCTTTTTTTTTTTTTTGAGAAGGTCTCACTCTGTCACCCGGGTGGAAGTGCAGTGGCATAATCTGGGCTTACTGTAGTGATTCTAGTTGCAGGATATAAGACATCCTGGGGCTCAAGTGATTCTCCCACCTTGGCCTCTGGAGTAGCTGGGACTACAAGCGCCACAACACCTGGCTATTTTTTGTAGAGACAAGGTCTCACTGTGTTGGCCAGGCTGCTCTCGAGCGATCTTCCTGGGCTCAAGCGATCTTCCCGCTGTGGCTTCCCAAATGCTGAGACTACAGGCATGAGCCACTGCACCCGGCCCTCTACTTTCTTTATGAAGTAGAAGATAAAGTTTTGCTGGAAGGAGGTGTGTGGGAGACTTAGGGGACTTGAGTAGAGTGGCGAATATTTAGAATACTTTTTCAGGAAATGAGAAACCAAAAATGAATAGGAAAATGTTGTAAGAATTGCTGCTTGCCATGGAGTATCCAGATGAGAACAGATATGTTTATGGTAGTATGAATCCAAAAAGCGATGTTATTTTTTTCCTACTAAATTTCTTTCTTGTTTTTTTTTGAGACGGAGTCTCGCTCTGTCGCCCAGGCTGGAGTGCAGTGGCGCGATCTTGGCTCACTGCAAGCTCTGACTCCCGGGTTCACACCATTCTACTGCCTCAGCCTCCCAAGTAGCTGGGACTACAGACGCCCACCACCGCGCTCGGCTAACTTTTTGTATTTTTAGTAGAGACGGGGTTTCACTGTGTTAGCCAGGATGGTCTTGATCTCCTGACCTCGTGATCCGCTCACCTTGGCCTCCCAAAGTGCTGGGATTACAGGCGTGAGCCACCGCGCCCAGCCTTTTCCTACTAAATTTCAGTAGCCCAGATGAAGTAGCAGAGGAGATTGAGGGATAGATTCATCTGGAATTGGAAGTTTATGAGGCAGTTGCAATAGAAGGACAAGGAAGAGAGAGAGTTGACAGTGCTGGCAAAAGAAGAATTGAGCTGATCAATTACTGGATGGGACATTAGTCTCTTTCAGTTGGCAAGAAGCAGAGATACCCTTAGTTCAGGTTATCACAAAGTCTGAGGTAGAAGATAATGGCACTGAAGTAGAAGGCAGGAAGCCCAGGAAACTTGTTCCACAGACAGGCATCAGGGAGAAACGAAAACATGCCTAGAATAGGATGCAATAGATGTTCTAGTCTATTGAATAGAATTTCACCCTAATGTCAGCTCTAATCATCTGGTTTGCTTCTACTCTCTCAGAAGTAAATGCCCATTTACTCCTTTTTCCGGGAATTCTCCCATATTCATAACTCAGCTTCTTACTGCCTAGTTTCTCTCTCTCCTCTTCTGCACATACTTACTACTTCTCCCTGTTTGTATTAATTTTTCTGTGACTTGCATCCAAATTCCCCCAAAAGAGGACTTATTGAGTCAGTTAGGTTCATCCAATATGGACCACATTAAAGACTTCTGGTCTTCCCTTATGTTTAGCCTATAAATGTTTATCTTCTGCTATTTTATAGATTTCTGATCTAATCAGCCACAACCAGGGTAACACAATGATGATGCTGGAAAAAGGTCCCAACCCAGACCCTAAAAGAGGGGTTCTTGGATCTCATGCAGAAAGGAATTCAAGGCAAGTCACAGAGTGCAGCAAGAAGAGATAATTTATAGAAAGCTACTCAGTTACAGAGTAGGGCATCCTTAGAAAGCAAGCGGAGGAATGAGCACTGTCTTTGTTTTGTTTTGTTTTGTTTTTGAGACAGAGTTTCGCTCCTGTTGCCCAGGCTGGAGTGCAATGACGCGATCTCAGCTCACCGTAACCTCCGCCTCCCGGGTTCAAGCAATTCTCCTGCTTCAGCCTCCTGAGTAGCTGGGATTACAGGCATGCGCCACCATGCCCGGCTAATTTTATATTTTTAATAGAGACAGAGTTTCTCCATGTTGGTCAGGCTGGTCTCAAACTCCCGACCTCAGGTGATCTGCCCGCCTCAGCCTCCCAAACTGCTGGGATTACAGATATGAGCTACCGCGCCGGCCGCTTTGTTTTAAACTCTTCTTATATAGAGGTCTTATCTATGTAAAAGCTAAGCTATGTCTACATGCAGGTAGGCTGACAGCATGACAACATTTATTACTTTGTTGATTTAAAGATAGTTATCCTTGGCATTTTAGTGCGTAAGTACATCAAAGCATGACTATAATCATCTTAAAAGCATATATTGTTATGTGATATCGGGGCATCTGGACATTCTGTGGTTGCAGGAGTTTGTCCTTGCAGGCATTATTAAGCTGCTTTCTTAGCCGTAAACATCTTGTGACCATGGGTCATGAACTGGTGAGGAATGTGCCTTGCTAGCTTTAAGATGGAGTATATTTTAAAATGGTGTCAACCTTGCTCTCTGATACTCCTGTTTCCCTAACAATTATATAACATACAGCATGGCCACCCCAGCCTACTTTTCTCAGAAAGGAATTGTGAGTAGAGCTTCACAGACCATGGAGGACTCCATCATAGAAAAGGAAAGAAAAGCAGGAGGGGGATTGATGGCCAGGTGTGGTGGTGTGTGCCTGTAGTCTCAGCTACCCCAGAGGCAGAGGTAGGAGAATCGCTTACACCTGGGAGCTCGAGGCTGCAGTGAACCCTGATCACGCCACTGCACTTCAGCCTGGGTGATGGAGCAAGACTCTGTCTTTAAAAATGTGTGTATATACATATATAGCTCCATAATCTTAAAGAACTTGAGTATTAGGAGTGGGGAAATGAAAGAGCTAGAAGGAACGATAAGGAATTTCAGATTGTTAGAAGAGTGAAGATAATGGGATGGTATAAGCCAAAAAATGTTGAGGACAGAATCTTAGGTGGCTCATCCACATGAATAAAGTTACACAACTCAGAAGATGACAGATGCCGGGTTGAAAAAAAGCCAGATTATCGAAGTTTGCAACAAATGTAGAGGCAAGTCTTGGAAGTCAATACAAAACAATGATCAGGAGAGATAAAAGGTAAGATGAGGAAAGCATGGACTGCAAAGGAGGATAGTGTAGTGGTTGGAAATGCATCTGAGGAATGATGACATAATCTCTCATCCCCAAGATGCAGGGGACATGAGGGAATGCATAGGGAAACATGTATGTTATGTAAGACAAAATTAATGCATAGTGTATATTAGGAGGTGCAGTGATCTATAAAGTAAGTATATAAGACACAGAAAGTACCATTCTATTGTTTCACAGCTTTTGTCTGAAATTAGTGTATGTGGTATAAGAAACATTAAATTGGCCAGGCGCGGTGGCTCACGCCTGTAATCCCAGCTCTTTGGGAAGCCGAGGTAGGCGGATCACCTGAGGTCGAGAGTTCGAGACCAGCCTGATCAACATGGAGAAACCCCATCTCTACTAAAAATACAAAAAAATTAGCCGAGGTGGTGGCGCATGCCTGCAATACCAGCTACTCAGGAGGCTGAGGCAGGAGAATCACTTGAACCCGGGAGGCGGAGGTTGCAGTGAGCTGAGATCACACCATTGCACTCCAGCCTGGGCAACAAGAGCGAAACTCCATCGCAAAAAAAAAAAAAAAAGAAACATTAAATTTCAAAATTAATGTTTATTTTGCTAATAGTGTTAGAGATGAGGTAATTAAGCATCCTCATTTTACAGAAAGCTTCAGAAGGTTTAGTGATTTCCTTAAGGCATGCAGGTGATTAAGGCTGCCCAGGCTGGAGTGCAATGGCGCAATCTCAGCTCACCGCAACCTCCATCTCCCGGGTTCAAGGAATTCTCCTGCTTCAGCCTCCTGAGTAGCTGGGATTACTAGAATTTAGAAGTATTTTTTAAGCACCTTGACCTCCCAAAGTGCTGGGATTACAGGCATGAGCCACCACGCCCAGCCTAGAATTTAGAAGGATTTTATGGGGAGGATGATATTGTTGGCCCAGACCTGTTGAACTGTTAAAGTGTTAAAGTTTGATTTGATTTTTTTTTTTTTTTGAGACAGAATCTCGCTCTGTTGCCCAGGCTGGAATGCAGTGGCGCAATCTTGGCTCACTGCAACCTCCACCTCCCGGGTTCAAGCCCAGATTTTTGTGCCTCAGCCTCCTGAGTAGCTGGGACTACAGGCAGGTGCCACCACGACAGGCTAATTTTTGTATTTTTAGTAGAGATGGGGTTTCGCCATGTTGGCCAGGCTGGTCTCACCTGGCCAGGCTGGTCTGACCATGTTGGCCAGGCTGATCCTGACCTCAGGTGATCCCCCCGCCTTGGCTTCCCAAAATGCTGGGATTACAGGCATGAGCCACTGCGCCTGGGCCCCTGTTTGTTGTTTTTTTGTTGTTTGAGACAAGGTCTCACTCTGTCGCACAGGCTGGAGGGCACTGGCACCATCAAAGCGCATTGCAACCTCAACCTCCCTGGTTCAAGTGATCCTCAGCCTCCCAAGTATCTGGGACTACAGGCATGGGCCACCACACCCAGCTCATTTTTCTTTTGTAGTGATGGGGTCTCCCTGTGTTGCTCAGGCTGGTCTAACTCCTGGACTCAAGTGATTTTCCTGCCTTGGCCTCCCAAAGTGCTGGTACAGGTATGAGCTACAGCACCTAGCCCTCTTTGTTTTCTTCTTTTTTTGTTTTTTTGAGACAGAGTTTTGCTCTTGTCACCCAGGCTGGAGTGCAATGGCATGATCTCGGCTCACTGCAACCTCTGCCTCCCAGGTTCAAGTGATTCTCCTGCCTCAGCCTCCCAAGTAGCTGGGATTACAGGCGCCCACCACAATGCCCGGCTATTTTTTTTTCTTTTTTTGAGATGGAGTCCTATTCTATCACCCAGACTGGAGTGCAGTGGCGTGATCTCAGCTCTCTGCAACCTCTGCCACCTGGGTTCAAGCAATTCTCCTGCCTCAGCCTCCTGAGTAGCTGAGATTACAGGCACCTGCCACCGTGCCCCCCTAATTTTTGTATTTTTAGTAGAGATGGGGTTTCACCATCTTGGCCAGGCTGGTCTTGAACTCCTGACCTCGTGATCCACCCGCCTCAGCCTCCCAAAGTTCTGGGATTACAGGTGTGAGCCACCGCACCCTGCCAATTTTTGTTTTTTGGTTTTTTTTTTTTTTCAGACGGAGTCTCGTTCTGTCACCCAGGCTGGAGTGCAATGGCACGATCTCAGCTCACTGCAACCTCTGCCTCCCGGGTTCAAGCGATTCTCCTGCCTCAGCCTCCCAAGTAGCTGGGACTCCAAGTGCCTGCCACCATGCCCAGCTAATTTTTTGTATTTTTAGTAAAGACGGGGTTTCACCATGTTAGCCAGGATGATCTCGATCTCCTGACCTCATGATCTGCCCGCTTCGGCCTCCCAAAGTGCTGGGATTACAGGTGTGAGCCACCATGCCAGGCCCAATTTTTGTGTTTTTTTAGTAGAGATAGGGTTTCGCCATATTGTCCAGGCTGGTCTCAAACTCCTGACCTCACATGTCTGGGAGGCCCGCCTCAGCCTCCCAATCTTTTTTTCTTAATAAACTTCCTTGTAAACCAGAGTACAGTTTTCAAGACCAGCTCCAGCTCCACTCCTAATATTCTAGTTCTGAGTAGCTCCAGCTACTCAGGAGACTGTGGTGGGAGGATCCCTTGAGGCTATGATTGCATCACTGCACTCCAGCCTGGGTGACAGAGTGAGATCCTATCTCTAAAAAATAAAATAAATAAATAAATAAATTTCCTTGTAGCAAAGAGACACAGTCAAAATCAGTCTAATGATCTTCAAGCTGTTTCTAAAATTAGGAGCTCCATAAATATTGTGGTTGATGATTATGGCATTTCTCCCATGGAAGGCATATTTTAAAGTAATGGTTGACGAAATACATCTCCCTTTCTCTTTCACTTTCCTCCTCTACACATGCAACTCTTGGATGACAACTTAAGCCAATCACTATATCTCGTATTCCTTTAACTCCTCTCACTCCCAGATTGGTTCAGGAACAGGAACGTAATCATATGACCCAACTAAGGATATTCAATGCTAATAAGATTAAATTTTTGGAACTTTTTCCAGCTATCAGGGAAATTGAGTCTCTTTTCTACTGGATGGAAGTACATAGCTTCAGGACCTATTAGCAGCCAGCTTGGCACCATGAAAGGATAGCCTGCCCAGAAATGGAGTCATCACCAAGGAAGAAGATGTCATTTGAACCCTGGATCAAGTTTCTTTCAAGAAGAAGCAAGAAACTGTTTCACTGGCATATGAGCAATAATAAAGTCTTTTTTGTTGTTGTTGTTTTTGCTGTTAAATCAGTTCTAGTTGGATTTTCTACCATTTGTAACATACAGTCCTAACTGATACAGATAAGTTCTGGTATACAAAACCATAGTAACCATGTTTCTGTTTTTTTTTTTTTTAAGACGGAGTCTCACTCTGTCACCCAGGCTGGAGTGCAGTGGCGCAATTTCAGCTCACTGCAAACTCTACCTCCCAGATTCAAGCGATTCTCCTGCCTCAGCCTCCTGAGTAGCTAGGATTATAGGCATGCACCACCACACCAGCTAATTTTTGTATTTTTAGTAGAGACAGGGTTTCACCATGTTGGCCAGGCTGGTTTCGAACTCCTGACCTCAAGTCAGGCCCACCTCGGCCTCCCAAAGTGCTGGGATTACAGGTGTAAGCCACCACACCTGGCCATAACCATGTTTCTTAATACAAGTCTGCATTGCAACTAGCTATATACAAAGATACAGTTTTAAACTGTGATTTTTGGAATTCTTGAGACTCTTAACATGCCATCACTCCACTTCACACTTTATTGGAAAACCAGCAAAAAAAAAAAAAAAAAAAAAAGGCCGTGTCTTAAATACAGATTTATAAAATCTATTCAAAAATAATTTCCTCTTAATAAAATGGAAATCACTATATCCCAAAGTCAATTCAATGGTTGCAACAGATAAAGGATTTCTTTCCATTTTCTATACTTTGCTTTCACCCAAACTTAGATTCAAATTTAAACACAGATGTTTTGAGTGATACATTAAAATACTGCTTCATATTTGCTAAGATAGATATAAAATGAATCTCTGACTTCCCATATAGTACTGTGCTTGTTTTATGCAAAAACTGGAAATAAAGAAGTAAAAAGTGGTTTTAAAAAATGTGATATAGGTAGGTCTTAAATAAACATTGTTAAGCTGAGTAGTAAAAAACAGTAAGTGTCATAAAAGGGATATACACAAAATGTTTTTGGAAGCCCAGAGAAGGGTAAAGTAATGCTGGCACAGCCAGAGAGGAAGTGACATTTGAGCTATGCTAAAAGATTGGGAAGGAATTTGCCAGGCAGAGAAGAAAATAGTTACACTATACAGGAGGAAGACTTATGGCATTTTCTTTTTTTTTTGTTTTTTGTTTTGTTTTGTTTTGTTTTTGAGACGGAGTCTTGCTCTGTTGCCCAGGCTGGAGTGCAGTGGCGCAATCTTGACTCACTGCAAGCTCTGCCTCCCGGGTTTACGCCATTCTCCTGCCTCAGCCTCCAGAGTAGCTGGGACTACAGGCGCCTGCCACCACGCCTGGCTATTTTTTTTTTTTTTTTTAATTTTTAGTAGAGACAGGGTTTCACCATGTTAGCCAGGGTAGTCTTGATCTCCTGACCTCGTGATCTGCCCACCTCGGCCTCCCAAAGTGCTGGGATTACAGGTGTGAGCCACTGCGCCTGGCCGAATTATGGCATTTTCAAAGTCTGTTATGTAGCTAAACTTTTCTCTGTCTGTCTTAAAAGCTAAGAGCTGAAAAATTACCTATTATTATTTGGGTCTGGGGTTGATGACTGTGAAGGCAATGTAGAATATATAGATTGGAAGCTGCAATGCCTTTTATGACCTAGTCTCTGAACTCAAATACCATCACTTCTGCTGTATTCTTTGCATTACAAGCAAGTCACTAAGCCCAGCCCACACTCAAGAGGAGTGGGATTAAACTCAGTCACTTAAAGGGAGGAGTATCAAAGATTTCTGTGGACATATTTTAAAACCACAACAAATATCTAGCGCACTGTTACTCCTTGAGGGTAATTTTGGACACTCTTTTCTTCTCTATTAATCTTTTCTTTCTTTTTTTTTTTTTTTTTTTTTTTTTTTTTGAGATGGACTCTTACTCTGTTACCCAGGCTGGAGTGCAGTGGCACAATCTCAGCTTAACCTCAACCTCCACTTCTCTGGTTCAAGCCACTCTCCTGCCTCAGCCTCCCAAGTAGCTGGGATTACAGACATGCACCACCAAGCCCAGCTAATTTTTTTGTATTTTTAGTAGAGACGAGGTTTCACCAGGTTGGCCAGGCTGGTCTCAAACTCCTGATCTCAAATGATCCACCCTCCTCGGCCTCCCAAAGTGCTGGGATTACAGGCATAAGCCACTGCGCTCAGCCTGTTTTTTTGTTCTTTGGTTTGTTTTTTGAGACAAGGTCTCAATCCATCAGTGGTGTGAGCCACCATGCCCGCCTATTTATTTATTTATTTGTTTTGAGACGCAGTCTTGCTCTGTCACCCAGGCTGGAGTGCAGTGGCATAATCTCGGCTCACTGTAACCTCTGCCTTCTGGGTTCAAGCGATTCTCCTGCCTCAGCCTCCCAAGTAGCTCGGATTACAGGCGAATGCGCCACCACACCAGGCTAATTTCTGTACTTTTAGTAGAGACAAGGTTTCACTATGTTGGCCAGGCTGATCTCAAACTCCTGACCTCAAGTGATCTGCCCATCTCAGCCTCCCAAAGTGCTGGGATTACAGGTGTGATCCACTGTGCCTGGCCTTCTCTATTAATCTTGATTTTCTTCCAAGCCTGGTCTTCCGTTAGCTTTCCCATTCTTAGTAAATGACACTACTTCCACTTAGTTACTAAAAGCCACAGTCATCCTTGATTCTTTTCTTTTCCTCAATCTCCATTCCCTAATAAATCCATCAGCAAAGATAAAGTATATACCATGTTCCTTGGTATCTGTGGGGGACTAATTCCAGGTACCCCTTGGAAACCAAAATCCATGGATGCTCAAGTCCTCCATACAAAATGGCATAGTATTTGCATATCGCCTACACATATCCTCCCATATACTTTAAATTATCTCTAGAGTACATATAATACAATGTAAATAATTGTTATTTATAAGCACTGTTTACAGAGTAATGACAAGAAAAAAAATGTCTGTACGTGTTCAGTACAGATGCAATCATCCATTAAAAAAAAATTTCCATTCACAGTTAGTTGAATCCAGGGATGCAGAACCCACAGATATGGAGGGCCAACTGTATATGTCATTTGTTTATTCCCTCTTCTGGCCATTAATCCATGCTACCATGAACTCTTGCTTACTTCAGTGGCTTCATAACTTGTCTTCTTCTACTTTTGCCTCCCTACTGTCCATCTCCACACACCAGCCACCTTTTTTTTTTTTTTTTTTTTTTTCAGAGACAGGGTCCTCCTCTTTTGTCCAGGCTGAAATACAATGGCAAAATCATAGCTCACTGCAGCCTCAAACTCCTAAGCTTAAGTGATCCTCCCACCTTAGCCTCCAGAGTAGCTGGGATTACAGGGGCACACCACTATGCCTGGCTAATTTTAAAATTTTTAATTCTTATTTTAATTTTTATTTATTTATTTGTTTATTTATTTATTTATTTTTGAGACAGGGTCTGGCTCTGTCACCCAGGCTAGAGTACAGTGGCATTATCTCGGCTCACTGCAACCTCCGCCTCCCGGATTCAAGCAATCCTCCCACCTCAGCCTCCTAAGTAACTGGGACTACAGGCGCATACCACCACACCTGGCTAATTTTTGTATTTTTTTGTAAAGAAGGAGTTTCACCATGTTGGCCAGGCTGGTCTCTAACTCCTAAGCTCAAGAAATCTGCCCACCTCAGACTCCCAAAGTGCTGGAATTACAGGCATGAACCACCACACCTGGCCTAATTTTTAAATTTTTTGTACAGATGAGATCTCACTATGTTGCTGATCATAGGTGTGAGCACCAGTCTAGACTGGCCAGTCAGCGTTTTTGTTTGTTTGTTTGTTTTAAGACAGACTCTCACTCATTGCCCGGACTGAAGTGCAATGGTAAAATCATAGCTCATTACAGCCTCAAATTCCTAAGATAAAGTGATCTTCCTACCTTAGCCTCCCAAGTAGCTGAGACTACAAGTGCATGCTACCACACCTGGCTAATTTTTTTTTGTAGAGACAGGGTTTCTTCATGTTACCCAGGCTGTCCTTGAACTCCTGCGTTCAAGTGATCTGCTTACCTTGGCCTCCCAAAGTCCTGGGATTACAAGCATAAGCCACCACATCTGGCCCAGCCAGCCACCTTTTATTAAGCATGTACTTTGTGCTTTGCAGAACAATAAGTAATTTACATGTATCATCTAATTTAATCATCACACCTGTCTAAGAAATAGTTATTACTATTTAACACCCTTGCTTAAAAACCTATTTTCACTATTATAAAGATAACGCGTCTTCACAAATATATTTTTCCCTCTCCTGTTAAATTACTTTTCTTAGGATAAATTTTAGGAAGCAGAATTACTAGGTTAAAGAATATAAAGATTTTAAAGCCACCAATAACTCTTTTTCTATTCTTACTTGGAGGACTTGTCAGTTCTCTTTCTTTATATTTAATTTTTTACGGTGGTGGGGGGTGGTCCTCCATTTTCTGATGTCCTGTCCATGAGTAGATACATGTTCCTGGAAAATAGTCTAGAATAGTAGTTCTCAAGTTCAACTGCACATTACAATTACCTAGGGAGCTGTTAAAAATATCAATGCCAAGGACTCTAGATATTCTGACTTAATTAGTCTAGGGGAGCATGAGCATGGACTTTTTTTTTTTTTTTTTTTTTGAGGCAGAGTCTCACTCTGTCGCCCAGGCTGGAGTGCAATGGTGCCATCTTGGTTCACTGCAACCTCTGTCTTAAAAATGTCCATGCTTGGCCAGGTGCGGTGGCTCACACTTGTAATCTCAGCACTTTGGGAGGCCGATGCAGGCAGATCACTTGAAGTTAGGAGTTTGAGACCAGCTTGGCCAACACGGTGAAACCCCGTTCCACTAAAAGTACAAAAATTAGCTGGTCGTGGTGGCGGCTGCCTGTAATCCCAGCTACTTGGGAGGCTGAGGCAGGAGAATTGCTTGAACCCACGAGGTGGAGGTTGCAGTGAGCTGAGATTGCGCCATTGCACTCCAGCCTGGGCGACAAGAGCAAAACTCTGTCAAAAAAAAAAAAAAAGAATATCCTTGATGAAATAGAAAAAAAATATTGGTTTTATTAGATCCCTCAGAACATGTTTTTAATTATTTGGTATGACAAGCTATGTATGCATGAAGCACTTCTGTTGCATATCAAAGAATGATTGGTGGTTGTCTTGAGGAAAACCGTTTCTCTAATTCATTGAGCTATGAGCTGACCTTTTTCATTGACCACTATTTTTACCTGAAAAAACGACTAACAGACAAACTATGGCTATCAAAACTTGGGTATTTGGCTGAAATTTCCCCATAATGAAGAAAGTGAGCTTGCATGTCAAGAAAAATAACTGATAAACTGATATTGTTTCTTGCCAATGACAAAATTTGAGTTTTCAAACAAAAATTAGAATTTTGGAAAACTTATATCTACTACCATGAGCTTGACAGTGTCCCAATACTTAAAGATTTTCCTGATGATAATAAATGTGTTTTTTTTTGGGGGGGGGGACATCATATAATGAAATGTGTCAACATTTGGAAGATATGCATATCTCAAGGAATTAATATTTTTCAAATGACTAGGGCATATATTAAATCATGCATGGGTAAAAGATCCATTCAAAGAGAAAGACAGACCAGTGGATTTTATTTTATTTTATTTTATTTATTTATTTTTTTGAGATGGACTTTCGCTCTTGTTGTCCAGGCTGGAGTGCAATGGCAAGGTCTCAGCTCACTGCAACCTCTGCCTCCTGGGTTCAAGCAATTCTCCTGCCTCAGCCTCCCGAGTAGTTGGGATTACAGGTGCTCACCACCATGCCTGGCTAATTTTTGTATTTTTTTCAGTAGAGACAGGGGTTTTACCACGTTGCCCAGGCTGGTCTCGAACTTTTGACCTCAAGTGATCTGCCCACCTTGGCCTCCCAAAGTGCTAGCACTATAGGTGTGAGCCACTGCACCCAGTCCTAATGGATTTTAATGAAACAGAGGACAAAAAGTTCATTTAATAATGTTTCAGATTCTACATTGCAAATAACTTTTTTTTTTTTTTCTTTAAAGACATCAGATCTCACTGTGTTGCCTAGGCTGGACTCAAACTCCTGGGCTGAATTAATCCTCCCACCTCAGCCTCCTGAGTAGCTGGTACTATAAACCCGCACCACTGTGCCTGGCTGCAACCAACCTTTAAGAAATTACCATTTGTTGGCCGGGTGTGGTGGCTCATGCCTGTAATCCCAGAACTTCAGGAGGCTGAGGCAGGTGGATCACAAGGTCAGGAGTTCAAGACAAGCCTGGCCAACATGGTGAAACCCCGTCTCTACTAAAAATACAAAAAAATTAGCCGGGCGTGATGGGGCACACCTGTAATCCCAGCTACACGGGAGGCTAAGAGAGGAGAATCACTTGAACCTGGGAGGTGGAGGTTGCAGTAAGCCGAGATTGTGCCACTGCACTCCAGCCTGGGACAGGGTGAAACTCCGTCTCAAAAATGAAAAGAAATTACAGCTTGTTGCATTTCCATGTACTATCAAAGAATAACCACAATGGTCAGAAAAAAACTATCTAAAAACTTCTTCCAGCTACATATCTGTGTGAAGCCAGATTTTCTTCATATCCTTCAACTAAAACAACATATTGCAACAGACTGAATGCAGATGCATACATGAGAATCTATTAGCTAAAGCTGACGTTAAAGAAATTTGTAAAAATGTAAAACATTGACACCCTTCTCATTATATTTTTTGTTTTGGAAAATATAACTGTTTTTCATAAAAATATTTATGTTAATGTACAATAAGTTTGCTGTTATTTAGTTTTAAATTCTAGTACAGTAATTGATAATACACATATTCCACATAAACGAAAGCTCATTAGTTTTTAAGACTTCTTGGTTTGAGAACTACTACTCAAAATTTTTTGTTTGTTTTGAGAGAGGGTCTCTGTTGCTCAGACTGGAGTGCAATGGCACAATCATAGCTCCTGACTATAAACTGAACCTCCTGGGCAATCCTCCCATCTCAGCCTCCTGAGTGGCTGGGACTACAACACCTAGCTATTTTTTTTTTTTTAATTATTTTTAGTAGAGATAAGGTCTCGCTATGTTGTCCGGGCTAGTCTCGAACTCCTGAGCTCAAGTGATCCTTCTGCCTCAGCCTCCCAAAGTGCTAGGATTACAGGTATGAGCCACTGGGTCCCGCCTAGAAGTTTTACTAAATTTTAGAGGCCTAAAATCTGAAATAGTTAAGAACCACAGACCTTTGAAAAGGAATAGACGAACTGATTGCATATTCTCAGTTAAAAGCTTTTGAAAAGTATGAAATGGCAATGAGTTCTAGATTCTATTCCTGATAAGAACTTGCCAACAGCTCTGATATGCCAATTAACTGCTGACCCTTAATATTAATGGGTTTTAAACAACGCTTAGATGTTCAAATCCCAATTCCTTAATATGATATACAAAGCATCCTGTATAAACTGTGCTTTCCAAGAATTAACTGATTTAATTTGTGACAACTCTATGTAGTAGGTACTGTTACCATGTATGATTTGTACATTCTGTTCAACAAATGAATGAATACAATGAGTAAATAAAATTAAGAATTTTTTTTTTTTTTGACAGAGTCTTGCACTGTTGCCCAGACTGGAGTGCAGTGGTGCGATCTCGGCTCACTGCAAGCTCCGCCTCCTGGGTTCACGCCATTCTCCTGCCTCAGCCTCCCAAGTAGCTAGGACTACAGGTGTCCACCACCACGCCTGGCTAATTTTTTCTTTTTTTGTATTTTTAGTAGAGACGGGGTTTCACCGTGTTAGCCAGGATGGTCTCGATCTCCTGATCTCGTGATCCGCCTGCCTCGGCCTCCCAAAGTGCTGGGATCACAGGTGTGAGCCACTGCGCCCGGCCAAAATTAAGTAATTTTTATTTTTATTTTTTTGAGACGGAGTCTCGCTCTGTCGCCCAGGCTGTAGTGCAGGGCACGATCTCGGCTCGCTGCAGGCTCCGCCTCCTGAATTCAAGTGATTCTCCTGCTTCAGCCTCCTGAATAGCTGGGATTACAAGTGCGCACCACCATGCCTGGCTAATTTTTGTACTTTTTAGTAGAGATAGGGTTTCACCATGTTGGTCAGGCTGGTCTCAAACTCCTGACTTCGTGATCCGCCAGCCTCAGCCTCCCAAAGTGCTGGGATTACAGGCATCAACATGCCCGGCCTAAGTAACTTTTTTTTTTTTTTTTTGAGACTGAGTCTTGCTCTGTCGCCCAGGCTGGAGTGCAGTGGTGCAATCTTGGCTCACTGCAAGCTCCGCCTCCCGGGTTCACGGCATTCTCCTGCCTCAGCCTCCCAAGTAGCTGGGACTACAGGCGTCCACCACCATGCCCGGCTAATTTTTTCTTTTTTTGTATTTTTAGTAAAGACGGGGTTTCACCATGTTAGCCAGGATGGTCTTGATCTCCTGACCTTGTGATCCGCCTGCCTCAGCCTCCCAAAGTGCTGGGATTACAGGCATGAGCCACTGCGCCTGGCTAGTAATTTTAAAATCTAGATCCAAGTCCAGTTTAGAAAAGAGAAGCATTCTCAACTCCAGCTCTGTTCATTCAATTAATGATCACTTCCTGTCTTTTTCCTCATTATTTGCCTATCTGCAGTTTTCTTCTGTGTTTTTACTGCCACCTGCCTCTTCTCTGTTTCATCTCTTCAAAAGTCTCACTGTTAATTCCTTTCTTTCTTGGGATTTTAGATCCCTCTAAATCTGCATGCACCTTTTGAAAACAAATACGAACATCACAATCTTTACCAACTAGTCTCATAAGAGCTAACCTTCATGGAGTAATCACTATGTGATACATTCTTTACTGCATGACCTTACTTAGTCTTCATTGTACTACGGTACTATTTTTATCATCCCTATTTTACAGGGATGGGACAACAGAGGTTAACAGAACTAAAATAACTTGGCCAAATCTCACAGCTAGATAGTGGTAGAGCCAGGATTTGATTTAAACCTGTGTCTTTTCCTCCTACAGCTTTAATTAGAAATAATTTATGCATTATAAAATTCACCTGTTATAAGTGTACAGTTCAATGCTTAGTAAATTTATAGAGTTGTGCAACTATCACCACAATTCAGTTTTTAGAATATTTTCCTCACCCCAAAAAGTTCCCTTGTGCTCATTTGCAGTCAATTCCTGCTCCCAACCCTAGCCCCAGACAACTACTAATCAGCTTTCTGTCTCTATAGAGTTGCCTTTTGTGGAACTTACATAAATGGAATCCTACATTGCATGTAAATAGAATCTTTGTGTCTGGCTTTTTTCATTTAGCATGATGTTTTTGAAGTTCATCCATGTTGTATAGTGTGTCAGTCATTCATTCCTTCTTATGGCTGAACAATATTCTGTTGTACAAATATACTGTGTTTTGTTCCATTCACCATTTGGGTCGTTTCCACTTTTTGGCTATTATGAATAATGCTGTTGTGAACATTCACATACAAGCTTCTGTGTGGTCATATATTTTCATTTCTCTTGAGCAGTACCTAGGAGTGAAATTGCTGAGTCATAGAGTAAGTTTATGTTGAACTTTTTTTTTTTTCGAGATGGAGTCTCACTCTATCGCCCAGGCTAGAGTGCAGTGGCGCAATCTCGGCTCACTGCAACCTCTGCCTCCTGGGTTCAAGCAATTCTCCTGCCTCAGCCTCCCAAGTAGCTGGGACTACAGGTGCGTGCCACCGGGCCCGGCTAATTTTTTGTATTTTTAGTAGAGATGGGATTTCACTGTGTTAGCCAGGATGGTCTCGATCTCCTGACCTCGTGATCTGCCCGCCTCAGCCTCCCAAAGTGCTGGGATTAGAGGCTTGAGCCACCACTCCTGGCCTATGTTGAACTTTTAAAGAAACTCCAAAACTATTTTCCAAAGTGGCAGTATCATTTTATATTCCCACTAACAATGCATGAAGGTTCTAATTTCTCCATAACCTCATACACATTTGGCATTGTCGGTCTTTTTAATTATAACCATTCTAGTGAATGTGAAGTGGTATCTCTGTGGTTTCAGTTGGCATTTCCCTAATGACTAATGCTGTTGAATATCTTCTACTACATTTGTTAGCCATCCATATATCTTCTTTGGTGAGAACTCATGACTACAAAGTAAATGCCACTCAACCAATGTTTCCCAAACATGCCATACACATTCTTGCCTCTCTGCTTTTTATTTATTTATTTTTTTGAGACAGGGTCTCCCTGTATCACCCAGGCTGGAGTGCTGTGGTGCCATCACAGCTCACCGCAGCCTCAACCTCCTCGAGCAATCCTCCCACCTCAGACTCCCAAGTAGCTGGGACTCCAGGTGCCCGCCATCAAGGCTGGCTAATTTTTGTGTTTTTTGTAGAGACGGGGTTTCACCATGTTGCCCAGGCTGGTTTAAACTCCTAAGCTCAGGCAAACTGCCTGCCTTGGCCTCCCAAAAGGAGACCTCCCAAAGTGCTGAGATTACAGACATGAGCCGTCGTGCCTGGCCACCTCTCTGCTTTTAAGTATACTCTTCTTCTAATCTAAAATGCCCTGTTATTTTATGATCCAAATTTACCATTTCAAAAAATTTATCGGCCAGGCATGGTGGCTCATGCCTGTAATCCCAGCGCTTTAGAAGCCCAAGATGGGTGGATCACCTGAGGTCAGGAGTTCAAGACCAGCCTGGCCAACATGGTGAAACCCCGTCTGTATTAAAAATACAAAAAATTAGCCAGGAGTGGTGGCGCATGCCTGTAATCCCAGCTACTCGGGAGGCTGAGACAGGAGAATTGCTTGAACCCAGGAGGCAGAGGTTGCAGTGAGCTGAGATCGTGCCATTGCACTCCAGCCTGGGTGACAGAGCGAGACTTCCTCTCAAAAAAAAAAAAAAAAAAAAAAAAAAAATATATATATATATATATATAAACTAGCCAGGCGAGGTGGTGGGCGTCTATAATCCCAGCTACTCAAGAGGCTGAGGCAGGAGAATCATTTGAACCCAGGAGGCAGAGGTTGCAGTGAGCTGAGATCACTCCACTGCACTCCAGCCTGGGCAACAGAGTGAAACTGTCTCAAAAAAAAAAAAAAAGTAAGGCCAGGCGCGGTGGCTCATGCCTGTAATCCCAGCACTTTGGGAGGCCGAGGTGGACAAATCACCGGAGGTCAGGAGTTCATGACGAGGTGGCCAACATGGTGAAACCCCGTCTCTACAAAAATACAAAAATTAGCTGTGTGTAATCCCAGTTACTAGGGAGGCTGAGGTGGGAGAACTGCTTGAACCTGGGAGGCAGAGGCTGCAGTGAGCCGAGATCGTGCCACTGTACTCCAGCCTGGGCAACAGAGCGAGACTGTCTCAAAAAAAAAAAAAATTACCCACAGATTCTCATCTCCTGTAAGAGTAATGTTGGTCCAACCCTTTACACTTCCTATCTGTCACAGTATTCTCATACAGCAATAAGACAATAAATGTTAAGTTTATGAATGGACTTTGACCTGGTTAAAACATACAAATTCTATTCCATTTCTGAGCAGAACAGATCCTCAATATATATTTCTTGAAAATGGGTACTATAGAAGATACAAAGACAAATAAAGCAAAATAAAATATAAAAATGTTTTATTGGCTGGGTGCGGTGGCTTATGCCTGTAATCCCAGCACTTCAGGAGGCTGAGGTGGGTGGATCACAAGGTCAGGAGTTCAAAACCAGCCTGGCCAAGATGGTGAAACCCTGTCTCTGCTAAAACTACAAAAATTAGCCAGGCATGGTGGCAGGTGCCTGTAACCTAGCTACTTGGGAGGCTGAGGCAGGAGAATCGTTTGAACCTGGGCGGCAGAGGTTGCAGTGAGCCAAGATCGCGCCACTGCACTCCAGCCTGGGTGACAGAGCGAGACTCTGTCTCAAAAAAAAAAAAAGTTTTATCATCTAATACGATGCACAGATATGGGTCCTGCTGTGGTTTGAATGTGTTCCCCAAGGAATACATGTTGGAAACAATCCCCAACGCCAACAGTGTTGGGAGGTAGGGCCTAATGGGAGGTGTTTAGGTCATGAGGATGGAGCCCTCATGAATGTGTTAATATAATATCCAATTAAAAAGGGCTTAAGGCTGTGAGTTCTATGGCCTGCACTCACCCTTTGCCTTTCACCTGCCAAGGGATGACACAGAAAGAAGGCCCTCATCAGATGTGGGTCCCTAGAACTTAACCTTCCCAGCCTCCAGAAATAAATTTCTTTTCTTTGTAAATTACCCACTCTGTGGTATTCTGTTATAACAACACAAAACAGACTAAGACAGGCCCAAATGATGCAAAAGTATGTCCTCTGCAATTGTACTACCACTTCAGGCCTAAATAAGACCCAAAGGCCTAGTATCCATATATCTGTTAATTTGTTTAACAATGATTTATTAAGCATCTTTAATGTATTTGCCACTGTGTAATTGCTATTGTTAGAGGGAGAATAGAAGTAATAGATATTATCTTTCTATTTGTTCATAGAAAGATGAAGAGAAGTGACAGGTAATCAAATAATTTTAATACAATGATAAGTGCAATAATAAAGATAGCTCCAGCCAGGCGCGGTGGCTCACACCTGTAGTTCCAGCACTTTGGGAGGCCTAGGCGGGCGGATCATGAGGTCAAGAGATCAAGACTATCCTGGCCAACATGGTGAAACCCCATCTGTACTAAAAAAACAAAAAAATTAGCCAGGCGTGGTGGCCCGCGCCTGTAGTCCCAGCTACTCAGGAGGCTGAGGCAGGAGAATCACTTGAACCCAGGAGGCAGAGGTTGCAGTGAGCTGAGATCGCGCCACTGCACTCCAGCCTGGTGACAGAGCAAGACTTCATCTCAAATAAATAAATAAATAAATAAAGGTAGCTCCACCTGTAGGACTGCACATGTTATCACAGTGTCACAAAAGAAATGACTTTGATTTGGTTCTTTAAGAAAGAATATTAGCCAAATGAAACATAGGGCTTCCTGGTGTCATTCTGGCCCAGCTCTGGGTTTTTCCCTCACCACAAACTGTCAAAAAGCCTGATCCAATTTTGTATCAGTAAAATAATCAAGACATTTGAAAAAGTGCTGGACTGATCTGGGTTCCTGGGGTTATTGGGATAATGTCAACAACAGCACTTCCCCCCACATTTCCCCTTTTCTGGACTCATTTCTAGGTATCATCCTGAGTTTTTAAGACACTTAAATAGTTTTAGAAATCAACAAGGGTAGTCTGGGTGCAGTGGCTCATCCTGTAATCCTAGCAATTTGGGGGGCTGAGACCAGAGGATAGCTTGAACTCAGGAATTCGAGACCAGCCTGGGCAACATAGCAAGACCTCATTTCTACTAAAAACCAAAAGAACTAACTTGGCATAGTGGCACATGCATGTAGTCCCAGCTCTTCAGGAGGCTGAGGTGGGAGGATCACTTGGGCCCAGGTGATGGAGGCTACATGAGCTATGATCATGCCACTGCACTCTAGCCTGGGCAACAGAGCAAGAACCTGTTTCAATACAAAACAAAACAAAAAAGCACAACACACAACAACAACCAAAAAAAAAAAAAAAAGGAAAGAAAAAAGAAATCAATAAGGGTAGGAGGACTTGAGGACTAGATAAAAAATGAACCTCTTGAAAAAGACTGTCTTTAGCAGTCTGATCTCTCCAAGCCTGGAGGAGAGCCCAAGAGATGGAGGTGAGCCAAAGAGCTGGAGGCTCTTTATTGTAAATAGGGTTAGTTGTTTCCAGGTAAACCATTAGGTTTTTAGATCCCCAAATTCTGCCCATTGGTATTGCTCAGTTGTTGTTTGGTTTTAGCCCATACGGCCTTTTATTTAAACCTCCCTTGGAGGGCTTAATCTGGAAAGCAAAAAGGGATGATGGCCAAGGAAACAGGGAAAATATGGAATAGTAATATTTGTCCTGGGCATCACTATTCTGAATAACAGGAAGTTATTTCTGCGGCCATCAACCTGTTGTAATGAAAGACATTCAAATTTCAGTCATAATTTGAATACTGACGCTGAAACCTTGTTCAAACTATTCAACACTATTAAATCAGAAGCTCTTTAACAGAAAAATAATCTACCTTTAATTCTTTGGTGAAAATTAAAAGAAAGTATGTAGCGACCCCTCATTATCAGTTTGACAATGGTGATGATAATACTAATACTTCTACTACTCACTTACACTTATAGAGCGTTGTCTATGCACCAGGCAGTGTTTCAGAGTGCTTTGTATGATAATGATGATTTGTTGAATTTCTAAGTCTCAGTTTCTGATATTTATATCGGCTCTCCACTATGCCTGTATGAAAGACCAGTATATTGCGGATCACTTGTGGACAGGAGTTCCAGATCAGCCTGGCCAACATGGTGAAACCCCGTCTCTACTAAAAATTCAAAAGAATTAGCTGGAAATTGCTTGAACCTGGGAGGCAGAGGTTGCAGCGAGCCGAGATCGCGCCATTGCACTCCAGCCTGGGCAACAGAGCGAGACTCCATCTCAAAAAAAGAAAAAAGAAAAAAGGGCCAGGCGCAGTGGCTCACGCCTGTAATCCCAGCACTTTGGGAGGTCGCGGCGGACGGATCACCTGAGATTGGGAGTTCCAGACCAGCCTGGCCAACATGGCAAAACTCCATCTCTACTAAAAGTACAAAAATTAGCCGGGCCATGGTGGTGGGCACCTGTAATCCCAGCTACTCAGGAGGCTGAGGCAGGAGAATCGCTTGAACCCAGGAGGTGGAGGTTTGCAGTGAGCCGAGATCGCGCCACTGAGCTCCAGCCTGGGAGAAAAGAGCGAGACTCCGTCTCAAAAAAAAAAGCAAAGCAAAGCAAAAAAGAAAGACCAGTGTGTTGCTGTTTGTCTTAGGCAGCTTGAGGTGCTGTAACAAAATACCATAGACTAAGTGGCTTAGACAACAGATTTTGGCCGGGCGCAGTGACTCACGCCTGTAATCCCAGCACTTTGGGAGGCCAAGGCGGGTGAATCACCTGAGGTCAGGAGTTCAAGAGCAGCCTGACCAATATGGTGAAACCCCATCTCTACTAAAAATACAAAAATTAGCCAGGCTTGGTGGCAGGCACCTGTAGTCCCAGCTACTCAGGAGGCTGAGACAGGAGAATTGCTTGAACCCGGGAGGCAGGGGTTGCAGTGAGATGAGATCACACCATTGCACTCCAGCCTGGGTGAGAGAGCAAGACTCTGTCTCAAAAAACAAAAACAAAAACAAAACAGATTTATTTCTCAAAGTTCTGGAGGCTGGGAAGTCCCAGATCACAGGGTCAGCATGATCAGGTTCTTGGTAAGGGCCTTTGCCCTGGCTTGCAGATGGCCAACTTCCAGCTGTGTCCTCACATTGTGGGAGAGAGAGACACACACACACACACAGAGGTCTGGTCTCTTCCTCCCTATCAGGACACTAATCTCAATACGGGGCTTTACTCTCAAGACCTCATCTAAATCTAATTACCTCCCAAGGTCTCACCCCCAAAACCCACCACATTAGGGGTTAGGGCTTCAACATATGAGTTTAAGAGGGGCATATTATGTCCATAACGTCATTCTAAGAACTGCTTCTCCAACCTGGCTGCACATTTTATCATTCAGGGAGGCTTCTAAAAAATACCGATTCCTATATGCTAAACCAATTAACTCAGAATATCTGGAAGTAGAGCCTAGCTCCTCTTTGTAGATTGAACGAGAGTTAGAAAAGGGTAACTAAGGCCAAGTGCGGTGGCTCACACCCATAATCCCAGCACTTTAGGAGGCTGAGGCGGGCGGATCACCTGAGGTCCGGAGTTCTAGACCAGCCTGGCCAGCATGGTGAAACACAGTCTCTACTAAAAATACAAAATTAGCCGGGAATGGTGGCGCATGCCTGTAATTCCAGGTACTCGGGAGGCTGAGACAGGACAATCGCTTGAACCCGGGAGGTGGAGGTTGCAGTGAGCCGAGATCGCACCACTGCACTCCACCCTGGGCGACAGAATGAGACTTTGTCTCAGAAAAAAAAAAAAAAGAAAGAAAGAAAGAACAGAGTAGCTCACATTCACATTTTCCCTAAGTAAGGAGCATCCGACTTTTTTTCTTAAAGCCTTAGTGGTCAGCCCAAGGAGTCCTGATTTCACTCAATTTTCACTCAATTTCTGGGTTTCTGTTTTTCCATGTGGGAAGAGAAGCTTCTTTGAGGATTTCTATGTTTTGTTTTAAGACCAGGTTTTGTTTTGTCACCCAGGCTGGAGTGCAGTGGCATGATCAGGGCTCACTGTAGCCTCAGCCTCCAGGGCTCAGGTGATCCCCCTACCTCAGCCTCCCAAGTAGTTGCAACACCACGCTGGCTAATTTTTGTAATTTTTTTTTAGATGGGGTTTCGTCATGAGTTCAGGTTGGTCTTAAACTCCTGGGCTCAAGTGAGCTGCCCCGCCTTGGCCTCCCAAAGTACTGGGATTACAGGCATGAGCCACCGTGCCTGGCCCATTGCTTTTTTTTTTCTTTTTTTTTTTTGAGACAGAGTCTCACTCTGTTGCCCAGCCTAGAGTGCAGTGGTGCGATCTCAGTTCACTGCAACCTCTGCCTCCCGGGTTCAAGTGATTCTCCGGCCTTAGCCTCCTGAGTAGCTGGGAATACAGGCGTGTGCCACCACGACTGGCTGATTTTTGTATTTTTTAGTAGAGACGGGGTTTCACCATATTGGCCAGGCTGGTCTTGAACTCCTGACCTTGTGATCCGCCCGCCTCGGCCTCCCAAAGTGCTGGGATTATGGGCATGAGCCACCGCACCCGGACACCTGGCCGATTTCTATGGTTTTTAAAGAAAAGATGTTTCTGAGGCATGATTAACACAGTATTTGCCTTTTCTCTTTTTATTTTATTTATTTATTTATTTTTTTGAGATGGAGTCTCGCTCTGTCACCCAAGCTGGAGTGCAGTGGCACGATCTCGGCTCACTGCAAACTCTGCCTCCCAGGGTTCACACCATTCTCCTGCCTCAGCCTCCCTCCTGAATAGCTGGGACTTACATGCGCCTGCCACCAGGCCGGCTATTTTTTTGTATTTTTAGTAGAGACGGGGTTTCACCGTGTTATCCAGGATGATCTCAATCTCCTGACCTTGTGATCCGCCCACCTCAGCCTCCCAAAGTGCTGGGATTACAGGTGTGAACCACCACACCTGGCCTTTTCAGTATTTGCCTTTTCTCAGAGTCCTATCAGGTCTCTTATTGTTAGTTTCTGGGATAACTTGTGTTTTTCTTTTAAAGATACTCTGCCCTGGATTTACTAATTTGCTTACTATATATTGACTGCATTCCATGCATCAAGAGCTGTACTGAGTGGTGGGGATTTAAAGAAGATAACAAATCTCTTATCCCTAAAGAATTCACTCCTTGGGGTAAGAGACTCACACAAATAACACATAAAAAATGTGAAAAGTTAATGTAAAAGTATTGTGAAAGGCTCTGGGAAGGAAACAGTTAATTGTGGACTATCAGGGAAAACTAAAAAGGGAATGCGCTTGCCCTTTGAGTTGAGCTTTAAGGACAACATGACAATATGGGATGGGAAGTAGACGGGGGCATTTCTGGGAGAGGAATAGTGCGAACAGTGGGTTGGAGGTGTGACGGAATGTTAAGTGGTCCAGTTTAACTCAAATTCAGGGCATTTAAGGAGATTATAGAAAATGAGAATAGTGGCCCGATGCGGTGGCTCACTCCTGTAATCCCAGCACTTTGGGAGGTCAAGGCGGCCAGATCACCTGAGGCCAGGAGTTCGAGACCAACATGGTGAAAACCCATCTCTACTAAAAATACAAAAAATTAGCTGGGTGTGGTGGCGGGCAACTGTAATCTCAGCTACTCTGGAGGCTGAGGAAGGAGAATCACTTGAACCTGGGAGGCGAAGGTTGCAGTAAGCCAAGATCGCACCATTGCACTCCAGCCTGGGCAACAAAAGCGAAACTCTGTCTCAGAAAAAAAAAAAAAAGAGAATAAGATAGTAATTTCTATCCTATTTTAAGGAGGTAAAGATTAGAGGAGGAAGTTTGAAGAGAGTGGTATAGCTTTGAAACAGCCATTTTGCAGAATGAAAAAGGGAGTTCACTAGGAATAATGACATCAGCTACTATTTATGAGTGCTTACTATGTGCTAGGCATTCTGCTAGGTTCACCATATATCTTGATGAACTAAGCAGCCATGGTCCTTGTTCTCATATGGAGCCTACAATCTAGTAGGGGAGATAGAAAACAAATAGGTATATTCTTTTTGGGGTGTGTAGGGGGACAGGGTCTCATTCTGTCACCCAGATAGAGTATAGCGGTATGATCACTGCTTATGGCAGCCTTGACCTCCAGGGCTCAAGTGATCCTCCTGCCTCAGCCTCCCAAGTAGCTGGGACCACAGATGGAAGCCCCCATGCCTTGCTAATTTTTTATTTACTTATTTATTTTTTTGAGATGGAGTTTCGCTCTTGTTGCCCAGGCTGGAGTGCAATGGCGCGATCTCGGCTCACAGCAACCTCTGCCTCCCAGGTTCAAGCGATTCTCCTGCCTCAGCCTCCCTAGTAGCTGGGATTACAGGCATGTGCCACCACACCCAGCTAATTTTGTACTTTTAGTAGAGACAGGGTTTCTACTAAACCTGTTGTTCAGGCTGGTTGCGAACTCCCCACCTCAGGTGATTAGCCTGCCTTGGCCTCCCAAAGTGCTGGGCTTATAGGCGTGAGTCACTGCTCCTGGCCTGCTAATTTATTTTTATATTTTGTAGAGAGACGGGTCTCCCTATTTTGCCCAGGCTGGTTTTAAACTCCTCTTGTTTTTTCAGACAGGGTCTCACTGCGTCACCCGGGCTGGAGTGCAGTGGCGTGATCTGGCTCACTGCAGCCTCAACCTCTTGGGCTCAAGCAATCCTCCCACCTCAGCCTCCCAAGTAGCTAGAACTACAGACATGCACCACCACATCCAGCTAATTTTGTTTATTTTTTGTAGAGACAAAGTCTCACTATGTTGCCCAGGCTGGTTTCCAACTCCTCAACTCGAGTGATTCTCCCACCTTGTCCTCCCAAAGTGCTAGGATTACAGAGGTGAGCCACCTTGCCCGGCCTAGATTAGTATTTTTTTACATAGGTCTGGAGACTATGGGCCAGCCGCGGCAACTCACACCTGTAATCCCAGTGCTTTGGGAGGCCGAGGCGGGCAGATCACCTGAAGTCAGGAGTTCAAGACCAGCCTGGCCAACATGGAGAAACTCCATCTCTACTAAAAATACAAAAATTAGCCCGGCGTAGTGGTGGGTGCCTGTAATCCCAGATACTCAGGAGGCTGAGGCAGGGAGAATTGCTTGAACCCGGGAGGTGGAGGTTGCAGTGAGCTGAGATCACGTCACTGCATCCAGCCTGGGAGACAAAGCAAGAAAAAAAAAGAGGAGACCTATGGAGTTTTGAAATAATAAGATATTGAATAAAATGGCATTCATTGGGCAATTGTCTCTTATACAAAATGCCTAAGTAGGGTCTCTATAAAAAACTGTAATTAAAGGGGAGTGAAAACAAACCCTTTGCTTACAGTTTCAGTGGGTTTAATGAAAATTTATTTATATGGATGAGCCAGTCCACCCCACATGCAATTTGTATTTAATGTATTTGGATTTAGAGTTCTTGCAAACAAATTCAAAAACACTAGAATAGATTCATTGTGTCTCCTCTTTTCTATAGGAGAGGCAGTACAACCTAATTGTTAAATTGAGGGCATTAACATTAGACAGACCTGGTTTTGATTCTTGCTCAGCCACTTCCTAGCCCTGGGACCTTAGGCAAGTTATTCAACCTCTCTAGGCCTAGTTTTCTCATTAGTGCTGTGCAGATAACAAAAGAACCTATTTCAAAGGACTGTGTTGTAAATATTAAATGAAAAATTAAAGCATTTAGCCCAGTGCCTGGAAGGCAGTCACTGACACATTCCATTGCAGAAAGACATAATAGAAACAATATAATATCAAACACTTATTATGCCAGCTACTGTGCTAAGTACTTTAAATTCATTATTTCATTTAATCCTTTGAGATAGGTATTATTTCTTATTCGCATTTCACTTGAGGAAAGGGTGGTTTAAGGAATTTCAGTAATCAGAGAACTATAAAAACATCCAGTTAGCACAATCACCCTCAGGTGTGCACGTGTAATTTGATGCAAACATATGCATGCATACAAATGCAAGAATATTTACATACTCATTATTGCCTGTACCATGTTTCCTGGCACTTCCACCTGGATTGATGGTGCTGTAATAACATAGTGGCATTAGTGGAACTGGCTGGAAGAGCACCCACTCAACCAGAATGGGTGTTTTATTGGAAAGAGTGATGCATTGCAAAAGGCCCAACTCTGTCTCTACCTTGCCCTCAGACCTTGAATAAGTCATTTGACTAAATCTTTGGGCCTCAGTTTCCTCATCTGTAAAATAAGGGGGCTGGCTCAGGTCTACTCTAATCAGCTCTGAATCAAAAGCAGCCCTCAATCCTGCCACCTTGTATAGGCAGTTCTATACAAACACACTCGCCCCCATGGCAACGGCCACTCAGCTCTCAGAAGCACTGGTATGCCGCTCTACTCCAGCCAACAGTACTATTTCCATCGCAAATTCCTGGGTGAATAGAGGGCTTGGATGGGGGAGGGATCTGTTCATCAGTAATCTTAAAGCCCCTGGCATTAAAAGAAAGTCTAGAATAAATTGTCTGTGGGTGGTGCATATGTGCTAAATCAGAAACAGCATCAGCATTTAATTCACAATATTATCCTTCTAGGAGGTGGAGGAGCTATCTTAGCTGAGGTGAAATTTAGAGGGTCACTTTGCCACTGAAGTGCTGAGTCAATGAGTGGAGGAAACTGTGACCCAAGTTATTTAAAATTGGGGAGGATGCCAAAAGAACATTGCCAGAGGGTGTTTAAATCAATCTGGATTTTTGAGAAGCAATTCCAGTGTTTATTTCCAAGCTACATAGATAGACTCTCTTATTATCTTATCACAGCAGACACTTATCAGAACTTCATCTTGGAAGCACAGAGGCTGTAGGGCAAATGGACTGAGAATAAAGATGCAAGAAAAAGAGAACATCTCTTTTCAAAAAAAGGAGGAGATATCCTTGAGAAGGCTGCCCTATATCTGCTCTACCCTCTATTTTCAAGCCTTCACCAAGTTGTTTCTAGAGTCTGTTGCTGATAATGGTGAAATGGTGACGATGACAATGATGAATTCATGGCAAGGATTAGCTCTTGCCTTTTCTTCCTCCACATTGCATAGATTTGAGCCAAAGGGGGCACTATTCTTTTATAACTCAGATGAAAAGGAAGTAGATGCTCACTTAAGATAGAGTTTGAATTGCCTTTCTCACAAGGAGTGGTTCCAGGAGAAATGTAATAGGCACTACACTAGGTTTCCAGCTGAGGGCAGCCGTGTTAGCCTTTGCTGACTCCTTACGGCTGCCTACTGAGAGATCTGCAGAGGAAAGGCACTGAAAACAGGCAAACAATGTGAAGGTGGACTGGGAGTTTAGAAATCAGGCTGGTGAGAGTTTCCAGAAGAAGGCTGTCTGTAGTTAGAGACCGACCTGTGTCCATGAGCTGGGGGAATCCCGGAATGAATGGATGGTCTTTGCTGAGGATTGTATGAGCAGCAAAACTTTCTGAGCTATGACGTGCAGGGCAAATCAAAGCTGGCTGCTCCTTACAAACCTGTGGAGTTGGACTTGCTGTTTTTCCTCTTGCCACTAGAGGGTAGAATATGAAAAGAAGATTAGCATGTTTTCATCCTTGCCTAGTTAGCCCTGTAGGAATTCTAAGTGTTAAAGGATAAGAAATCTTGATCTTGCTAACACATATATCTGTCCAAGCTATTTCCTGGCTTACACATGTTCAATGGCTCCCTAAAGTTTCCAGAATAAAGTCTGAGTTGATGAGAATGGCATACAAGCTCTTCCCAAATTCGCCTTGGTCTTCCCTCATAACTCTGCCCTTCAGTCCCCTGCTCTTCATCTACAATACAAATCCTTGGGGAAGTAGTGTGGTAGAAGGAACATAGGTGTCGGAGACAACTGGAAGTCAGTTAATCATCCCAGACCACTTATTTTCCATCAGTACCACATGCAACTCACCACTAATTCCTGTCTATTCTATCTCTTAGAGAAACTCTTTGAGGGCAGGGACCATGTCTACTTTGCTCAAATTTGTATCTTTTTTTTTTTTTTTGAGACAGAGTCTCGCTCTGTCACCCAGGCTGCAATGTGCAGTGGTGCAATCTCGGCTCACTGTAACCTCCGCCTCCCGGGTTCACGCCATTCTCCTGCCTCAGCCTTCCGAGTAGCTGGGACTACAGGCGCCTGTCACCTCGCCCGGCTAATTTTTTTTATTTTTAGTAGAGATGAGGTTTCACCATGTTAGCCACGATAGTCTCAATCTCCTGACCTCGTGATCCATGCACCTTGGCCTCCCAAAGTGCTGGGATTACAGGTGTGAGCCACTGTGCCCAGCCTCAAATTTGTATCTTTACTGCCTAGCACTCTTCATGGGAGCTCATTCAATATTTATTGATCAAAATAATAAATGAATGATTACATCCATAGCACTGTTGTCCTCCTAGTCCAAGTTAATACCATCTCTCACCTGGTCTGCAGTGGGGTCCCAAGTGGTCTCCCTACGTCTCCTTTTGCTCATTACAATCCATTTTATACTCTGCAGCAAGAATGATCTTTCCCAAATGCAATTTTGCTTTAAAACCCTTCAATGGCTTCCCATTGCTCTTAAAATAAATACCGTTATATTCTGAATATGACCCACAAAGTAAATATAATTTCATTTATTAGCAGTTTGGCCACTTGCTAGTTATGTGATTATTAGTAAATTAGTAAATCTCACTGAGTTTTGGTTTCCTCATCTTAAAAATGTAAACAATAGGCCGGGCACAGTGGCTCACACCTGTAATCCCACTTTGGGAGGCCGAGGCAGGCAGATCATTTGAGGTCAGGAGTTGGAGACCAGCCTGGCCAACATGGTGAAACCCCATCTCTAGTAAAAATACAGAAAATTAGCTGGGCGTGGTGACAGGTGCCTGTAATCCCAGCTACTAGGGAGGCTGAGGCAGGAGAATCACTTGAACTTGGGAGATAGAGGTTGCAGTGAGCCGAGATTGTGCCACTGCACTCCAGCCTGGGTGACAGAGCGAGACTACATCTCAAAAAAAAAAAAAAAAAGAGGACCGGCACGGTGGCTGGCGCCTGTAATCCTAGCACTTTGTGAGGCTGAGGCAGGTGGATCACCTGAGCTCAGGAATTTGAGACCAGCCTGGGCAACAGGGTGAAACCCTGTCTGTACTAAAAATACAAAAAAAGAAAAAAAAAATCGGCTGGGCATGGTGGCACATGTCTGTATTCCCAGCTACTGGGGAGGCTGAAGCAGAAGAATCACTTGAACCCAGGAGGTGGAGGTTACAGTGAGCCGAGATTGTGCCATTGCACTTCAGCCTGGGCGACAGAGCAAGACTTCATCTCAAAATATATATATATGAACAATAATTATTCCTACCTCATAGAATTGTTGAGAAGGTTAAATAAACTAATACATACAAAATAATGAGCACAGTGTTCCGTTCTGTGTTCAGTAAATGGTAACTACAGTTTTTAGCACCTGAATGACATAGTCCCTGTATATCTCTTGCTATTCCCCCTCATTTTCTGGCAGTCTCATTAAGTTTCTTTCAGATCCTGGAATCCCATGCTCTTTTTTTTTTTTTTTTTTTTGGTCCAGGCTGGAGTGCAATGGCAATGGCGCGATCTTGGCTTACTGCAACTTCCATCTCCCAGGTTCAAGCGATTCTCCTGTCTCAGCCTCCCAAGTAGCTGGGATTACAGTAGCCCGCTACCACGCCCAGCTAATTTTTTTTTTTTTTTTTGAGATGGAGTTTCACTCTTGTTGCCCAGGCTGGGGTGCAATGGCGCGATCTCAGCTTACTGCAACTTCTGCCTCCTGGGTTCAAGCAATTCTCCTGCCTCAGCCTCCTGAGTAGCTGGGATTACAAGCATGTGCCAGCAAGCCCACCTAATTTTTTGTTTTGTTTTGTTTTGTTTTGTTTTGTTTTGTTTTTTGAGACGGAGTCTCCCTCTGTCACTCAGGCTAAAGTGCAGTGGTGTGATCTCGGCTCACTGCCACCTCTGCCTCCCAGGTTCAAGCAATTCTCCTGCCTCAGCCTCCTGAGTAGCTGGGATTACTCAGCTACTCAGCACGTGCCACCACGCCCAGCTAATTTTTGTATTTTTAGTAGAAACGGGGTTTCAACATGTTGGTTAGGCTGGTCTCGAACTCCTCCCCTCGTGATCCACCTGCCTCGGCCTCCCAAAGTGCTGGGATTACAGGTGTGAGCCACCGCGCCCCCAGCTAACTTTTTGTATTTTTAGTAGAGAAGGGGTTTCACTATGTTGGCCAGGCTGGTCTCAAACTCCTGACCTCAGGTGATCCGCCCACCTTGGCCTCCCAAAGTGCTGGGATTATAGGCGTGAGCCACCGCACCCAGCCTGCCATGCTCCTTTTTATTCCTACTTCTCTATCTGGTCCCATGTGGAGTTTCCTTCCTCTAAGAAGCCTTTCTTGACATCCCATGTCTTGTTCGGATGGCCCTGCAATGGGCTCCCATGGCATCCTAACACTCCTCAAAGCATTTGTTATCTATTCCTTACATAGTGACTGACATTTAGCAATCCTTCAGTAAATATCTGTTGAATCAACTCCAGACACTGCATTTCTCTTTCCCATGCTCTTTGTACATGTTGTTTCTTATTTCTTTTCTAGACAGAACATCATGACTGCTACATCCACATTTCCTTCCCAAGGGAAACTTTCCCACCCACAGCCTCTGTTGAAGAGACAGCCTCTAGGTAGCCATAGTTATGTCCCTTTTGCCTTAGCTGACTGGACCAGAATTGGCATCTGACGCAATGGTGGATAATCCAGGACCTGGCTAGCAATTTCCAACATATCTGGCAATTAAAAAGGAGTAGGTTGATCAGACACTGTCTCTCTTTTTAAAAACTTATTATTTTTTAAAAATATGTGAAATGGGGTCTCACGGTTTTGCCCAGCTTGGTCTCGAACCCCTGGGCTCAAGGGATCCTCCCCACCTTGGCCTCCCAAAGTGCTGGGATTACAGATGTGAGCCACTGCGCCTGGCCCAGATTCTCTTTATTTATTTTATTTTTATTTTATTTTATTTTTTTTGAGACGGAGTCTTGCTCTGACACCCAGGCTGGAGTGCAGTGACGCAATCTCGGCTCACTGCAACCTCTGCCTCCCAAGTTCAAGCGAGTCTCCTGCCTCAGCCTCCTGAATAGCTGGGATTACAGGTGCGTGCCACCATGCCTGGCTAATTTTTGTAGTTTTAGTAGAGACAGGGTTTCACTATGGTGGTCAGGCTGATCTCGAACTACTGACCTCGTGATTCACCCCCCTCAGCCTCCCAAAGTGCTAGGATTACAGGTGTGAGCCACCGCGTCTGGCCTATTTATTTATTTATTTATTTTGAGACAGCGTTTCGCTCTTGTCACCCAGGCTGGAGTGCAATGGCACGATCTCGGCTCACTGCAACCTTTGCCTCCTGGGTTCAAGCAATTCTCCTGCCTCAGCCTCCCAAGTAGATGGGATTACAGGCACCTGCCACCACACCCAGCTAATTTTTGCATTTTTAGTAGAGATGGGGTTTCACCATGTTAGCTAGGCTGGTCTCAAAGCCCTGAGCTCAGGCAATCCCCCGGCTTTGGCCTCCCAAAGTGCTGGGATTACAGGCATGAGCCACTGCACCCAGCCTCTCTTAATGTTTAAATTTTGAGTTAGCAAAAGGAGAGAATGAGCCTTTTTTTTCTTTTTCTTTCTTTTTTTTTCAAACAGTGTCTCACTCCATCACTCAAGCTGGAGTGCAGTGGCACAATCTTGGCTCACTACAACCTCCTCTGCCTCCCAGGTTCAAGCAATTCTCCTGCCTCAGCCTCCCATGTAGCTGGGATTACAGGCACCTGCTACCACGCCCAGCTAATTTTTGTATTTTTAGTAGAAATGGGGTTTCACCATGTTTGCCAGGCTGGTCTACGAACTCCTGACCTTAAGTGATTCACCCACCTCGGCCTCCCAAAGTGCTGGGATTACAGGCATGAGCCACCGAACCCAGCCCGAGGATGCAGCTTCGAATGATAAGAACACAAGCTGAAATGATACCTAAAGAAAAGCTATTAATATTAAGATAAATTCAGAGCCATGAGGAATCAAGGAAACCTACAAGGAAGTAGAAACTATGAGGTAGAGAACATTCATCTGAAAGGAAGAATAAAGAATCAATCAGTACTGGTGGAAGAGGCCCTGCCAGGAGGAAAATAGCTAAGTCATGCTAATGAGTGAACATCAGAGTGAAAACAATAAAAATGCCATCTCTTGCTCTACTGGGCTCTTAGTTTTCCTGAGTTTCTGTGACATAGATCTTTAAAATAAAATTGTTGAACGAAATGAAGCAAGTTATTATTTGCAACCCAGAGTTCCTAAATGATATACCATTTCTCTGTTTTGGGAAAACCCAGCCATCCTCTAAGGGTAAATTTCTGGCTCTCTCCTCTGTTTTCTCTCTTCATTTAGAGAAGCACTTGTCACATTACCTACATATTGGTTTGTCTCTCTTTACCCAGAGAATATCAGGCTGTTAACTCTTTGAGGACAGGTTACATTGTCTGTGTTTCCCAGCAGCATACTGTGTCTAGTAGTAAACTTGATATACAAAAGATGTTCAGCATATAAAACCAGCTACTGTTCTAAGCACTTTATAGATTTGAATTTATTTAATCTTCCCCAAAATCCTCTGAAGTAGATACTCGTATTTTCCTCATTTTACAGATGGGGAAAGGTGAGGGACAGAGAAAGGCTTACGAAAAGTTGCAAAGTAGAAGATTCAATCCAGGAAATTTGGCTCCAGAGTCCCAGAGCTTAACTACTATACTATATAGCCTGAACTAAAGGGGAACGAGGACAGGGAATACTAGTTAATATGAATATTTGAGCACTTATCTAAAAGCACTTTCACACATATTATATGAGGCCATCAAGAGTCTCCTCATTGTGGGAAACTAGCCAGAAGTTCATCCCTGAAATACCATATACTCAGATTCTTCCTATAGGCACAGAAAAATGAAAATCAGTAAAGGGCACATGCAGACTTATTTTGTAAAAAATTCCATGGACACCTGGTAGGTAGGTTTGATTTATAGGCTAATGTCTAAGGGAAGAATTGTATTAGAGTATGAAAACCTTTCATATGGGGCAAAGCAGCTACTTTCTCAGCTATTCCAAGAACTGTGAGTCTCTCCCTAAAGCCAACAATTGAGGGTGTGTATGTGGGGTGGTAGGAAGGGTGGATATAGTGGTGATTCCCTAGTGTATTATTGTTTTTAAAGGAGTCTGGCTTTAGGGAGCTCTTGCAGATGCCTTTATTGGCAGTGTCAACCGTTTCTTTGAGTTGCCATGGCACCCAAAAGACAAAGTTGGGGGGCTGTCTATTAGTGAATGATTAGGAGCCAAATAAAAAGGAAAGTTCTTTGAGGGAAGGCTGGGGTTGTTTGGGGAGCGGGGTGGAGCTGGGTGTTTAAGTATTGATATAGGGTTAATCCAGACAACTCTTGGCATGACCCATACACAAGCAACAAAGACCAGAACAAACAGGAAGGCTTACCTAGGAGCTTTCCAGCATGGTTTCTTCTTCCTAATTGCCTACGTCTAAGAGAGATCTGAGTAAGTGACCAGAGGAGAGGTCTGAAGCTAGCAACTGTTCAGCACTGAAAATGTTAAGTATTAATGGTGCCCTGTAGGGACAAAAAGAGTCTTTGGGCTCCTCAGAAAGTGAGGGAACAGCAGGAGCTGCCTGTACCTGAATAAAATTCACCAGGGAGGTGAGTGAGATTTCTGTTTGGGATGAATTCCTGGTGACACAGCCATATGGCTTTTACTGACTGCCATCCTCCAGACAGTATACTCTTTTTGGGGAGAAGCTAAAGTATACAGAAGATTGTGCTTTCCTCACTGTCATCTTTAATCCCTCCCCCATCATTAGCTGGAACTCTTAAATGAAGACTCAAGTGTCCCAATCTATCCTTCCAGCCTGAATTCCTGCCCAAGATCAAGGGTCCTCCTTCCCTTTCCCCAAGCCACTTCCCCACATCTCTGATTTTCTCCCTAGAGTAGGAGGCTCCAGGGGACCACAGCTGACTCTGCCAGGCACAGAGGGTTGAGTCATTCTGCAGGCGTCAGAGCTGTTAGCAACAGCTCTGCTGATCTGTATGCAGCTCCAACTCCCTCTCCAGTTCAGAGTTTTGGAGCCGTCTTGTTCAAAAGTAAAGAACAGAACACAGATGGCTGGTAACAGGATCCCACAGGGGCCTCCTTTCCCACTGAGCCCATCCTGCTAATCCTTTTACAGAAGACAAAATAAATGGTGAGTAGAGAGAGAGGAAAAAAAAAAAGAGTATCGGCTTCTGCACTGTTCTGTGGGTCCTAGTGGAAGGTCTCTGGTAACAACCCCAAGCTACTCACTAAATTTCCTAGGCATATTCCCTTCCTGATCCTTCTTTCTCTTCATCCACTTCATTTCCCTTCCAATCTCCCATTCTCCAACCCAGTTTCCTTTTCTCTGTAGTATCTATTAATCTGATGGAGTATTTTGCCCAAATGCCTTCTATTTGTGCCAGGCAATTCTAATCCTTATGTGTATAGGACAATCAAAAATACTAGGAGTTCTTGGCTGGGCGCGGTGGCTCACGCCTGTAATCCCAGCACTTTGGGAGGCCGAGGTGGGCGGATCAGGATGTCAGGAGATCGAGACCATGCTGGCTAACACGGTGAAACCCCATCTCTACTAAAAATACAAAAAATTATCCGGGCGTGGTGGCGGGCGCCCGTGTAGTCCCAGCTACTTGGGGGGCTGAGGCAGGAGAATGGCGTGAACCCGGGAGGCGGAGCTTGCAGTGAGCCGAGATCGCGCCACTGCACCCTAGCTTGGGCGACAGAGCGAGACTCCGTCTCAAAAAATAAATAAATAAATAAAAACAAAAGTACTGGGAGTTCAGAGTCGCTCATTTCATCAACCTTATCTCTTGGGAGGTCCCCATAGTTCCTTCTCTTCTACTGAGGTAGCACTGTGCATTATAAAGAACACAGACTTTAGGTCAGGACGGTGGCTCACACCTGTAATCCCAGCACTTTGAAGGCCGAGGTGGGTGGATCACTTGAGGACAGGAGTTTGAGACCAGCCTGGCCAACACAGCGAAACCCCATCTTTACTAAAAATACAAAAAATTAACTGGGCGTGGTGGTACACGCCTGTAATCCCAGCTACTCAGGAGAATGAGGCTCGAGAATCGCTTGAGCCCACGAGGCGGAGGTTGCAATGAGCCAAAATAGTGCCATCACACTCTAGCCTGGGTGACAGAGTGAGACTCCGAACCCTGTTCTAAAAGATACATAAACAGGCCGGGCGCGGTGGCTCACGACTGCAATCCCAGCACTTTGGGAGGCTGAGGCGGGCAGATCACGAGGTCAGGAGATGGAGACCATCCTGGATAACACGGTGAAACCCCGTCTCTACTAAAAATACAAAAACAAAATTAGCCGGGCGTGGTGTCGGGCGCCTGTAGTCCCAGCTACCCGGGAGGCTGAGGCAGGAGAATGGCATGAACCCGCGAGGCGGAGCTTACAGTGAGCCGAGATTGCGCCACTGCACTCCAGCCTGGGCGTCAGAGTGAGACTCCGTCTCAAAAAAAAAAAAAGTACATAAACAAATAAATAAAAAGCTAAAAATTCTGCTCTGCCATTTACTAAAGATGTGAGCTTGGCCAATTTACTTAAACTCTATGAACTCCAGGTATGGCATCTGATGATATCTATAGTAGCATCTACTTTGCCAGCTGGCTTACAGATTAGATAGAGGTAAAACATACTATCTGGAATATAATAGGTCCCCAATAAATATTAATTCTCTCTCTATCCCCCTGTTGCTGTAAGTGCCAGGTCCCTGTTTTCAACAACTGAAAAAAAAAATCTCCCACTGAGAAAGTTAGCATTCACGCTCAATTGCTGCTGATACCAGTGAGGTAAGAGAGTGGGAAGTGTGGGTGAGTTTTGCAAGACTAGAAGTCTTTGTAAAAACTAGCATGTGAATACACTAACGTTGGTTTTCCCCAATATAGGGATTCTTGGTGAAGAGTGCTGGTTTCCTCATGTTGGTGCTGCAGCATGGTTGATACTAATTTATTTTCCTTAGAAAATAAGATGCTGAGGCCGGGCACGGTGGCTCACACCTGTAATCCTAGCACTTTGGAAGGCCGAGGCAGATGGATTGCCTGAGCTCAGGAATTCTGGACCAGCCTGGGCAACACAGCGAAACCCTGTCTCTACAAAAATACAAAAAAAAAAAAAAAAAAAAGAAAGAAAGAAAGAAAAGAAAGAAAAATTAGCCGGGTGTGGTGGCAGGCACCTGTAATCCCAGCTACTCATGAGGCTGAGACAGAAGAATTGCTTGAACCTGGGAGGCAGAGGTTGCGGTGAGCTGAGATCGTGCCATTGCACTCCAGCCTGGGCGACAGAGTGAGAGACTCCATCTCAAAAAAAAAAAGAAAAGAAAATACGATGCTGGTTTGCTGATTGTGTGGCTTTAGGTAAGTTCTTATCCCTCTCTGGGCTTCACTAGAACAAAAGATTACTGCTCCTCTTCACTCCAGGAAATTAAGAGGATTCGTTGAAGTTTGTGTAAACTCCAGGTGAAAAGTTAAGTACAGGATGGTATTATCCTTGGCACTGAGAATCCCGGAAGTGTTTTTGCACAATCAGGTCAAATGCCATTGTTTAGTTTATGTGATTACCAAAGATTCAGCTGACACAGAGTTATGGTTTGACATGGTTCCTTTGTTCCGGATAATAAACATGTGTAATGTCAATTATACTAATGTGTTTTGTTCTAGTCGAAACAAGAAGGAGGCTGGTGATGAGGCTGGGACATCATACTTCATTCTCTCTGACCAGGCGCACTCTGACAACACGTTTTTCCTGTCTCTCTTTGTAACTGGTAATTAGGTTCTCAGCTGAGCTGTTAGGAATCTTGATAGGTTTCCCAGGCAGTCACCATCTGACAATTTACAACTTTGGGCTTTTCACAACTGGCGTGTTCTCTTCCAGGGAACGAAAGTTTCTCAATCTTATGTTCCTCCTATCATTCAAAGAGTCTGATCTGAGAGAAATGCTAGCTTTCTCAATGCATTATCTAATTCCAAAGCAGACTGTTGGGTCTCTTAGCAGTGATGGGGAAAATCTCTGTGTTCATGTGTGTCCTGAGCAATAAGGGTTGCCCCTATGGTGTAATAATGGAGTGAAAGTCATCAAAGCCAGAAGTGGCATGGCAGTATGGGAATTTAACATAGCCTTTCAAAAGGAGAGGAAATAATAGTAAAAATTAGTACAGTTGCTTTTTCTTTCTTTTTAAAAATAGATGGATCACGAGGTCAGGAGAGCGAGACTAATCCTGGCCAACAGGGTGAAACCCCATCTCTACTAAAATACAAAAAATTAGCCAGGCGTGGTGGCACGCACCTGTAGTCCCAGCTACTCAGGAGGCTGAGGCAGGGGAATCACTTGAACACGGGTGGCAGAGGTTGCAGTGAGCTGAGATCATGCCACTGCACTTCAGCCTGGCAACAGAGCAAGACTGTCTCAAAAAAAAAAAAAAAAATAGAGACGGGGGCCGGCCACAGTGGCTCATGCCTAGCATTTTGGGAGGCCGAGGTGGGCAGATCACCTGAGGTCAGGAGTTCAAGACCAACCTGGCCAACATGGCGAAACCCTGTCTCTACTAAAAAAATACAAAAATTAGCCAGGCACAATGGCGCCCACCTGTAATCCCAGCTACTCGGGAGGCTGAGGCAAGAGAATAGCTTGAAACTGGGAGGCGGAGGTTGCAGTGAGCCAAGATCGCGCCATTGCACTCCAGCCTAGGTGACAAGAATGAAACTCCATCTCAAAAAAAAAAACAAAAAAACAAAGAAAACAATTTTTTTAATTTTGTAAAGGTGTGATAATGATATTGTGGTTATGCTACAATAAAGGTCTTTGTTACAGATACATACTGAAGTATATACAGGTGAAATGTTATGATGATTTATAAGAGGTTTATTTAAAAATACTCCAGGGGCCTCGGTGAGGTGGCTCATACCTGTAATCCCAGCATTTGGGAGGCCGAGGCGGGTGGATCACGAGGTCAGGAGTTCGAGACCAGCCTGGCCAAGATGGTGAAACCCTGTCTCTACAAAAAATACAAAAAAATTAGCTGAGCATGCTCTACTAAAAACACAAAAAAATTAGCTGGCGTGGTGGCACAGGCCTATAATCCCAGCTACTCAGGAGGCCGAAGCAGGAAAATCGCTTGAACCTGGGAGGCAGAGGTTGCAATGAGCCGAGATTGTGCCACTGCACTCCAGCCTGGGTGACAAAGTGAGACTCTGTCTCAAAAAAATAAATAAATAAAAATACTCCAGGGGGTGTTGAGTGGGTGTGATGGCTCATGTCTGTAATGCCAGCACTTTGGGAGGACAAGACAGGAAGACTGCTTGAGTTCAGGAGTTCAAGAGCAGCCAGGGACACATAGTGAGACCCCTATCTCTACAAAAAAATTTTAAAAATTAGCTGAGCATGGTGGCACACACCTGTAGTCTTAGCTACTTGGGGGGCTGATGGGGAGGATTGTCTGAGCGCAGGAATTTGAGGCTGCAGTGAGCTATGACTGTGCCACTGCACTCCAGCCTCGATGATAGAGCGAGACCCTGTCTCTAAAATAAATTAAAAAAATAACAAACTCCAGCAGGGAGAATAAAGGTTTATGGGAGAAGAGGTAAAAGATAATGATAAAGTGTTTATACTAGTTGAAGCTAGGTGATGAACACCTGGAAGTTTATTATTTATTGCACTCCTTTTGAATGTTTGAAATTTTCCATAAAAAATTTAAAAAATACTAGGGAAAGCCTGAATCTCTTTCCACTCCCAAATGTATGAAATAACTAGAAGAGAACATTCTTGCTATAACAATTTCAGGAAAATAGATGAGGATTGGAGGGGCATCTTTTAAGGGGTAGGTGAAGGAAGAGGACCCTGCCAGGACAGGAAGGTGGAAGGAAATCTGGTTTTGAGTGGTGTTGAAAAAGCCAAGGAGGAACACAGTTTCAAGATGGAAGGACTGTCAATGACGTCAAATATTGCAGATGACAGGAATAAAACTATTAAATGACTTCACTAGACATTGCAACCAGGAAGTCAGTCTTGACCTTGGCAAGATCAATATTAGTAGAGGGGGGTGGGAAGATAGATAATTTGGAATTCCAAGAAGCTTGGCTATAGACAGGAGAGATGAAAGTAATCTTTCTTTTCTCCCCAAAGAAGAAGAAACTAGGGCATGTTTTTAATGCTGAGGGGGAGTTGCCATTTGAGAGTGGTTGACAACATAGGTGAAGAGAGGAATGACCAACTCAAAGAGCAAGGACCCTTACTACAAGAGGTAGTATTGAGAACAAATCATATACACATCCCATTGAAGCAGATAGCTTCCTTTTCTGATCCTTAGAGTTAATTTTTATTTTTTTATTTTCAAGACAGAGTCTCACTCTGACACCCAGGTTGGAGTGCTGTGGGCCACTGTGGCTGGCTGTGAGCTTTTAAAACAAACAAACAAAAAGCAGGTTTGGTGCAGGGGCTCACACTTATAATCCTAGCACTTTGGGAGGCGGACGTGTGAGGCCTGCTTGAGGCCAAGAGTTTGAGACCAACCTGGCCAATAAAGCAAGACCCTGTCTCTATTTTTATTTTTTATTTTTGGAAACAGAGTCTCGCACGGTCACCCAGGCTGGAGTGCAGTGGCACGATCTCAGCTCACTGCAACCTCTGCCTCCCGTGTTCAAGCAATTCTCCTGCCTCAGCCTCCTGAGTAGCTGGGACTAGTCGCACATTGCCACGCCCAGCTAATTTTTTTGTATTTTAGTAGAGACGTGTTTTCACTGTGTTGCCCAGCCTGGTCTCAAACTCCTGAGCTCAGGCAATCCGCTTGCCTCGGCCTCCCAAACTGCTGGGATTACAGGCGTAAGCCACCAAGCTCAGCCTTTTTTTTTTTTTTTTTTTTTTTTGAGACAGAGTCTTGCTCTGTTGCCCATCTCACTCAAACATGTCTACAGAAGGATGCCTGATAGAAGTGTGGTTTTACAGGCTGGAAAATAAAGCTGATCATGTACGGAGTTGCTTCTTGAGCTCCATATTCTCATATAATGTGATCCATTTTGTGAAAATCTTTTTAAAATGCCAATCCTTTTAAAATGCCCTGCACATGGAGGCAGCATATTCTTCTATTTTAACCTACAAGAATAGATAAATACTGGGCCAAGGTACGTAACAGTTGGTAGAATACAACTTGATATAAGAAAGTCCTGACCTAGGCCGGGCGCGGTGGCTCAAGCCTGTAATCCCAGCACTTTGGGAGGCCGAGGTGGGCGGATCACGAGGTCAGGAGATCGAGACCATCCTGGCTAACACGGTAAAACCCCGTCTCTACTAAAAATACAAAAAAAAAAAAAAAAAAAAAAATTAGTCGAGTGTGGTGGCAGGCACCTGTAGTCCCAGCTACTCGGGAGGCTGAGGCAGGAGAATGGCGTGAACCCAGGAGGCGGAGCTTGCAGTGAGCCGAGATAGCGCCACCACACTCCAGCCTAGAGACGAGTGAGACTCAGTCTCAAAAACAAAAACAAATTGACTTTGGGTTGGGCATAGCGGCTCACTCCTGTAATTCCAGCTACTCAGAAGGCTGAGGTACGAGAATTGCTTAAACCCAGGAGGCAGAAGTTGCAGTGAGCTGAAATTGTGCCACTGCACTCCAGCCTGGGCAACACAGTGAGACTCTGTCTCAAAAAAAAAAAAAGACATTGACTTTGGAGTTCCACTTCCATCACTTACTAATGTCGGTAGCTGCCCTTACTTTGTGTCATTCTCATAACCAAGCTGAGGATTCTTTTCTTTATCTGTAAAATGGGGTTAATATTACCTTCTTCAGAGGGTCATGTGAAGATTAAGTAAGTAAGATTAAGTAACATGTAAGGTGCTTAGCACCATGCCTAGTCCATGGAAAATGTTTTAAAGTGTTAGCTATTACTGTGTATGTGCAAGGAGGTAAATATTCATCCCACTTCTCTGACACTACCCTCTGGCAGGCATCCCATGATCAGTGCATCATGGTTGATTGTCTGGGACATCTGTGGCTATAGGAAGGGTTGGGCAGCATGTTTGTGGACTGAGAGGTTTTTGGAATGTATCTTCAGGACGAGTTGGTGATTTTATTATGCCCTTTGCTATGGCTGACATCTGCCAGGATTTAAAAAAATCTACATGAATTCCTACCAGATTTCTGCCACACATCATATGAAACACAAACAGCTGGCAATCAAAACATAAAATAAGTTAATATTTTATTGGCTTGGGATTTTCTTTAGGCTTCCTCTTTGGACTTCTCTTTACTAAATAGGAGTAATATACTAGTAGGAAGTCTTTTGGGGCCAGGTGCACTGATTCATGCATGTAATCCCATGACTTTGGTAAGCCAAGGCAGGAGGATCACTTGAGGCTAGAGTTCGAGACCAGCCTGGGCAACATGGCTAGACCCTGTCTCTACAAAAAATAAAATAAAAAATTATCTGGGCATGGTTGTGTGTGCTTGTAAGTCCCAGCTACTTGGGAGGCTGAAGGTGGAGGATCCCTTGAGCTCAGGAGTTCGAGGCTGCAGTGAGCTATGATCACCACTGTACTTCAGCCTGAGTGACAGAGCAAGACTCTGTCTTAAAAAAACAAACAAACAAAAAAAGAAGTCTTGTGGTTGAAGGTGACAATTCAAATCAGCTTTTTTTTTTTTTTTTTTTGAGACGGAGTCTTACTCTGTCGCCAGGCTGGAGTGCAGTGGCGTGATCTTGGCTCACTGCAACCTCCGCCTCTCGGGTTCAAGCAATTCTCCTGCCTCAGCCTCCCAAGTAGTTGGGACTACAGGTGTGCGCCACCATGCCTGGCTTAATTTTTGTATTTTTAGTAGAGACGGGGTTTCACTATGTTGGCCAGGCTGATCTCGATCTCTTGACCTCGTGATCCGCCCGCCTCGGCATCCCAAAGTGCTGGGATTACAGGCGTGAGCCACTGTGCCCGGCCCAAATCAGCTTAAGGGTGGGAAAAAAGAAATATATTAGGCCCTGTAACTGAAAAATCAGTGCCACAGGAGCTTAAAAAGTTTTGTTAAGTGTTTGACTCTGTCTCCCTTTTTTCTGTCTCTCCACACACCACACCCAGCTCCCAATCCCTGGGTATTTTTCTTTATAGATTGGGTTTTGTTATAAAGTTGAGTGTCCATACTGGGTCAGGGGATACAGCTGGTGAACTTGGGTGCTTCCCACTGCTGCCACCTAGTTTTAATACACCTCAACACTGAATGCTGTCATGGATACTGTCTACACACAGGAAATGAATCAGGAAAATTTCTAATATCTGTTTTAATCAAATGCTTCCTTTGGCCAGGTGCAGTGGCTCATGCCTGTAATCCTAACAGTTTGGGAAGCCAAGGTGGGCAGATCACTAGAGGCCAGGAGTTCGTTACCAGCCTGGCCAACATGGCGAAACGCCTTCTCTACTAAAAATACAAAAATTAGCCCAGCATGGTGGTGCATGCCTGTAATCCCAGCTACTCAGGAGGCTGAGGCACGAGAATTGTTTGAACCCAGGAGGCAAAGGTTGTGGTGAGCCGAGATTGTGCCACTGCACTCCAGCTTGGGCAATAGAGTGAGACTCTGTATCAAAAAAAAAAAAAAATCAAATGCTTCCTTTACTGATATGTTGTATTATACCCACTAGAGACAGTGAGTGTCTCAAAATTCAGGTTTTAAACAACCTCTCCTACATAACCTGCTCTCTCCTACTCACTGCCCAGAAACCCCCGAAGAAGGGACAGAGGTCTGGCCCGGATATCATATGGCACCATGTAAATGGTTACCATGAAACTTGCCTTTTATTTCTCCTCTTCATAAATTTACTCAACACAGAAATGTTAGAATGTTGTAAATGTAGAATTTGAAGGCATTTGAGACTTTGTGAGGATGAGATCAGAACTTGGAGCTTATGAACCATAGACATGCTTCTATAAGCAATTTAAGCAGGCTTCACATAGATCATATGGAGGAAAGCTTGCATCTTGGTAGTTTATTTTATGCAACAGAGGGATGCTGGATGAGGGAGATGGGGTCTGTGTGGGAGGAACTCCATAGAAAGTCTAGATTTACATCATCCCAGTTTATGAGCCCAAAGGCAAAGCAAAACTTCTCACTCTCACAAAGCAGTATATAAAATCCAAATGAACATCTCTGAGTGGTCCAGCTTGGGCTCTGGGTCATGTACCCTTCCCTGGCCCAGTTGCTTCACCAAGGGGTGAGCTATTTTGGTTGCCCACGCTGTGACGGCGTGCCCATCTGTAGCAAGAGGCCCAGAGTAACAACCCCACAAGAACTCCACAGAACAACAGACAGGAAAGTTCTCTAAGAACTGTAGAGTAATTAAAAAAATTTTTTTTTGAGACAGGGTCTCACTTTGTCACCCAGGCTTGAGTGCAGTGGTGTAAACAGGGCTCACTGCAGCCTCAACTTCCCAGACTCAAGTGATCCTCCCACCTCAGCCTCCCTAGTAGCTGGGACTATAGGTGCACACCAGCACACCCAGCTAATTTTTGTAGAGATGGGGTTTCCCCATGTTGACCAGGCTGGTCTCAAACTCCTGAGCTCAAGTGATCTACCTACCTCAGCCTCCCAAAGTGCTGGGATTGCAAGTGTGAACCACCACACCCGGCCATAGGGTACTTTTTGCCAGAAGAAGAGGGAGAAATTTGGGACAGACAAGAATAACAGATGTTCACTACAAGTGGAATAGAACTGCTAGTGAGGCTAACTGATACGTTTTTTGTGGGGATGCTAGCTAGAGTAGAATATATTAGCACTTGTGGTCAGGTGAAATAAAGCAGCTATCACCTGGATACAACAGAACTTTCATATCCAGACAGGATCTTCACTATAAGTCTGAGACATGGGTAGGGCATATTCATTTTACAGTATATGCTTTTGGGAGTCAAGAGACACAGAGAAGCATAGCAGAAAACACATCATTTACATGACAGGACCGGCTATAACTCCGATACGTACATCAGTTTGGGAAGCAGGTGACTTCTAGACATTCTTAGAACCTTAGACAATCCTGAAAACATTTGACATGTGTAAGACTCCAGAAATACCCATCGGCCAGGCACATAGTGCCAAAGTGACAGTAACCTCCAGAGAACTCTAGCATGTGTGTACACCTTTTCCTAGAGTTCTCTGTCACACTAACATTTGCAGCAGCTATTCTTCCATACACTCCAGGCAAACAGCTTTCATTCACTCACTCTTCTTGACATCTCCCACACCTAACCCAATTTCTGACACATAGGAGAAAATGTCTGCAGAATTATTGAACTGATAGCAAACATTTGTTGAATGTCATTATGTACATTATGCTAAGTTTGTGGACATAGATATAAATAAGACAAATATTCATATGCTTGTGAAGATCACAGCCTGGTGGGAAAGGCCAAAAAATAAACAGTTCTGTGTGAGGACTATTTGGTTGCAAACAAAAGAGAACCAGACCCAACGTTAGCTTAAGAAAAATGGGAATGTTTTAGCACACAAATGCTAAAAACTCCAGGGTCAGGACTGACTTCAGACAGAGTTAGTTCCAGGGCTTCAGTGATCTGGTTTTATCTCCAGAATGTGTTTCCCACTGAGTTGCCTTTGTTCTGGGGCTTCACAGCAAAAGGCAATAGCAATTCCAGTCCTTACATTCTCTCAAGGAAATAGAATGTAGTGGCTCTGAGAACTGCTTGAACCCGGGAGGTGGAGGTTGCAGTGAGCTGAGATCGTGACACTGCACTCCAGCCTGGGCAACAGAGCGAGACTCCGTCCCAAAAAAAAAAAAAAAAAAGAATATAGACCGAGCACAGTGGCTCAGCTTGTAATCCCATCACTTTGGGAGGCCAAGGCGGGTGAATCACGAGATCAGGGGTTCGAGACCAGCCTGGCCAATATGGTGAACCCCCCCCCGTCTCTACTAAAAATACAAAAATTAGCCGGGCGCAGTGACACGCGCCTGTAGTCCCAGCTATTCAGGAGGCTGAGGTAGAAGAATTGCTTGAACCCGGGAGGCAGAGATTGCAGTGAGCTGAGATCGCGCCATGGCACTCCAGCCTGGGCGACAGAGTGAGACTCTGTCTCAAAAAAAAGAAAAAAAGAAAAAAAAGAACACAGTGGTTCTGGATGAAAGCTGAGTTTGACAACTGGCTTCACCACAAACTGGCTATAAGAACTTTGACAAGTTAATCAAAATTCTTCTCTGTGCCTCAGTGCCACTCTTTCTTTCTTTCTCTCTCTCTCTCTTTCTTTCTTTTTGACAGAGTCTCGTTCTGTTGGCCAGGCTGGAGTGCAGTGGCACAATCTCCTCTCACTGCAACCTCTGTCTCCTGGGCTCAAGCAATTCTCTTGCCTCAGCCTCCTGAGTAGCTGGGATTACAGGCGTGTACCACCATGCCCGGCTAATTTTTTTCACGATGTTGGCCAGGCTGGTCTCGAACTCCTGACCTCAGGTAATCTGCCCACCTCAGCCTCCCAAAGTGCTGGGATTACAGGCATGAGCCACCGTGCCAGGCCCAGTTCCACCATTTCTAAAAGGGAATAATAATTATACCCACCCAATATGGTTATTGTGAGGAGTAAATAAGTAGAGTGTTTAGAACTCTCTCTGGCATATAATCAGCACTCAATACGTGTTAACTATTTCACTATTTTTGTTATCATCATCATCAAATTTCAGAAACTTTGTGCAGTGGCAGTATTGTAGCCAATGAGATTTATCCGAGGTGTGATTATTGCTCATTGAAAAATCATAGGCTGGGCACGGTGGCTCACATCTGTAATCTTAGTACTTTGGGAGGCCGAAGCAGGTGGATCCTTTGAGGCCAGGAGTTCAAGACCAGCCTGGGCAACATGGCGAAACCCATCTCTACAAAAAATACAAAACTTAGCCAGCACGGTGGCATATGCCTGTAGTTCCGGTTACTTGGGAGACTGAGGTAGCAGAATCATTTGATCCTGGGAGGCAGAGGTTGCAGTGAGCCAGGATCACACCACTGGATTCCATTTTGGGAGTTCAATATATATATTACATTTTTGGGAGAAAATAAGAAAGTTTCTTTCCCAAAAAGCCAGAGAAAATCTTATTGTACCCATTGGCTCTAATTGGATCATGTGCCCATCCCTGAGCCAGACTAGAGGAAGGTCATACATACACTGTATACACGGATTGCTTAGGTCTGATCAACATGCTCCTTCCTTGGAGCACAGATCTACTATGGCCAGCCTGGTCTCGAACTCCTGACCTCAGGTGATCCGCCCGTCTCAGCCTCCCAAAGTGCTATAATTACAGGCGTGAGCCACCGGGCCCGGCCCAGAGTTAATTTTTATTCATGAAACTCATATAACAGGTTTATTTATTTCAGTCGTTTTGTTGGTTAAAGAACCAAGATTTTTTATGACTACACTTTGTGTACACTTTTAGGTTCTCTCTTTTTTTTTTTTTTTTTTGAGACGAGTCTCATTCTGTCGCCCAGGCTGGAGTGCAGTGGCGCAATCTCGGCTCACTGCAACCTCCGCCTCCCGGGTTCACGCCATTCTCCTGCCTCAGCCTCCCGAGTAGCTAGCTGGGACTACAGGCGCCCACCACCACGCCCGGCTAATTTTTTTCTATCTTTTAATAGAGACGGGGTTTCACCGTGTTAGCCAGGATGCTCTCGATCTCCTGACCTCGTGATCCGCCCGCCTCGGCCTCCCAAAGTGCTGGGATTACAGGCGTGAGCCACCGCGCCCGGCCTTACACTTTTAGGTTCTTGAATAAGTACTGAGGGAGTTTTCCCTAAAAAAAAAAAAAAAAGTTTTGAGATAAAAGAATAAAAACTCTACTTCTTCTTTGCATAGGAGTCTTTAGTTTGTTTGCTGCTCTTGTTCCAAAACTTCTCATTACTCAACCTACTAAACCCACAGACACTTTTCAAGAAGTTATCTCTTTTCTACATCACCAATATATAGGGTGGCTTAGATCTGTATTTCCAAGTCTTACTGTCGTTCCAAGAATTAGTATCAACTATTAGAATCTCAAAAACTCAACTGCATACTGATTGCGCTGCCCAGTGTACCTCTGAATCCCACGGGGGAGGGGGTGTAGAACCGAGTTGTGCAGGAATGGGATATTCCACACTTCAGGGCAAACTTATTCGCAGGATCAGTGGCGGGCTTTGGAGGTGGGAAGCAGGAAGGAAGGGGAATGCAGATAAACTCTTCTTCTTCAGATCTCCGGGGTGAAATGAATGCACCTGACGCCCGCGTGGCATTAGAAGCTCCGCGAACTCAGTGAGGCCATGCTGGACAGAGGCTGGAACTCCGGGCCACCGGGACAACTCTGCCCGTAGCAAGCCTTGCGCGCTCCTGTGAGGGCGCGCGCGCGCGCATGTAGTCGTGTCTCGCGCAGGGTCCGGCCTGTCAGGCGGAAAATCTCGCGAGATCGGAGACGGGGGATGACGGTCTGGAGGAGGGGAGTGGTGTCGGGTAAAGGGGGGGAAGCTGGGCAGCGGCCGGGCTCTGTGGCTTCAGGGCTCGGGGAGAGAGAGGGAGGGTGGCAAAGAGACTGAGTCGGTGCCGCCGCCTGCCTGAGGAGAGAGGAGGGGTCCCGCTCGCCCTGCGCCCTTCGCGGGCCGAAAGCACTAGGCACTCGCGAACATCTGAGGCCTCCCGGCCCCGGGGGACCCCGCCCCGCCGTCCGCCGGCCGGCCCGCGGCCTCTCTTCCCTTTGTGAGCGCCTCCTTACCAGGGGTGGTGTTGGTGGCGGAGGGCTGCGCGTGGGCCCGCCCGCCGAGGGGCCGCGGCGGGGGACCGAGAGGGCCTCGGCTGTGTGAGGACTAGAGGCGGCCGAGGCCCGGGCCGGTTCCCCCGAGGCGGCGACGGAGACGGCTCCCGGCACTTCCCCGCGCCATCTTAACTGAGCCCAAGCGCTGAGGGCGCCTCCTCGACCCCGGTCGTCCCCTCGCCCCCCCCCCCACCCCCCGCCGCCGCCGCCCCTTGTTGCAGAGCTTGGGCTGGGCGGCTTGCTGGGGCTCGGGGGTGGGGGGCGGCGATCTGTCGCCGGGCCCCCTCCTCCTCCTCACTCCTCACCCTCCAGGGTAGCGGCTACCGGAGCGCTGCAGGGGGCTGCGCCTGCCTGCTCCGCCCCAGACCTGTCGGCGAAAGGGTAAGGGCACCTCTGCTTTGGGAAAGGGGGATATAGAGGGGGGCGGGGAAATTCGGCCCACTCGGGCCTGTGTGTGGAAGAAGGGATGTGGGAGTGGGGTGGGGGAGGGAGAAAAGGAGGGTCTGTGATTCTGTGGGTGGGGTGAAGAAGCTGGTGAGCTGGGCGCCCTCCGGTTTTAAGGGGCGAGAGCAATTCCATTCCTTTTTCCTGAGGGTCACCGGAAGGGGTGGTGGAAGGGGGATGTTTCGAGGAAGGTGTGGCCCTCACAGGGAGACTGGGTTGATGTGCACCCCGGTTTAAAGGCGCGAGGTCCCCTTCCCCTCTGGTGCCTTTGCTCCTCTTCTCCTTTGTAGTGTCTGTGTATTCTTGGGAAGGGAGACTGCTCTGGGTGGCTTGCTGGGTGGATTCCACCCCCTAGCACAGGAAATCTATACCCCTCTTCTGTAGGGGCGATGGAAGCGTTTCTCTCCCCGTACCCTTCCCCCTTCCCCATCCTCTAGTCTACTGCAATGCTGCAGAAGTCCAAGGCAGTTTCTTCATACACAGACCCATGTATACACAGAAGGGAGGGGGAGCAGGAGAGGGAAGTAATGGCGCTTCCCTTGAAAAGGTTACTCTTTTTCCTTTGGTTTTAAATCGACGACAGTATCGTTTTAATACTCTTCCCCTGAGATCTGTCCATGGGAAGTGTATCTGTTCTGGTGTTATTGTTGGGGGATATGGCCTCTCGAGAGGGACACCTCTCCTGTTAGAACAGTTTTGATGTCTCTCTTTTTGAGAGATGTCTGGATTGACATTTTTTGTGAGCAGGTTGGATTTTAGTTAGAATTCAAATAAAATAATTTTGTACCTCCTCATCCTCATTTCCCTTTTCTTTTTCTATGACTTTTGTAGTTCATGAAGAATTATTGGCCTGGCGCGGTGGCTCACGCCTGTAATCCCAGCACTTTGGGAGGCCAAGGCGGGCGGATCACGAAGTCAGGAGATCGAGACCATCCTGGCTAACACGGTGAAACCCCGTCTCTGCTAAAAATACAAAAAATTAGCTGGGCATGGTGGCACGCGCCTGTAGTCCCAGCTACTCGGGAGGCTGAGGGAGGAGAATCGCTTGAACCCGGGAGGCGGAGGTTGCAGTGAGGCGAGATGGTGCCACTGCACTCCAACCTGGGCGACAGAGCGAGACTCCGTTTCAAAAAAAAAAATTATTAACAATTATTACATACAGACAGCCTGTCTGATTCAGGGCATTTCTCCCTAAGCTGTGAATTTTTAGGGTTGATACTGTTGTGTATAATATTGAAATTGGATTTTTTTTAAAATGGTAAGGTTACAAACCTTTCTGCAGCTGTTTCTTTGTTCTTATTAATCTGCCTAATTATTCTATGATCTATTTTCTGTAGTCAGTCATTTTTCACTTCTTTTGCTACCTGTCATGTTTGTCTGAAAGCAGATCATCTTATCTGGTTTACAGTAGTACTTGTTGGTTTTGTTCTTAGTTGAGTAGAAATAAAAATTTAAACATTCTGGAAATGTGCTGCCAAGTGCTTTTTGTGACCAAAGAGTAGTTTTCAAGTCTCCATGTACTGATGATACATTTTTTTCAAGTGTTTAGTAAATACTGGTGATGTGATTTCAAAATATTCCACATATGACTATTAATAGAATTAATTTTTTCCCAAAGTGAAGAAGAAGACTAAAATGTGTACAGATAATGAGTTGTCTTTGGTGTATTTAGTGTTTTCAGCTCTACTTAGTGACTTATTTTTAAATACTTCAAATGCCATCTACATTTTATGTTGTCATTAAATGTTGTCCAATAGAGCTTTTTTGGTGTGTTTGTTGCATTTTGAAACCTGTTTTAAGATAGGGATTTAAAGGTGTTAGTAGTAGCGCTAGGCACTAACTTAGTTTCTGTCATTTTATATCATGATTTTGATGTAGGAGACATGGTATGTTAAATAAGTTTTATTTTTTTTTCTCAGAAGATGGAATTCTCTTTTCTTTATTCCCTTTTAATGGTCATCTCAATTCATTGAAATAACACTATTCATTTGAGTATTTATTTCATGGGACAAAGCTGCATGTTGTTGATATGTAGAGTTTTCTCCATTATGGCAAATTATGCCAGGAAGTCTGATTCTCCGTATTATGGCTTGTTGTTGATAATTATTTCATATATACTAGCATGTGTTGATCGAAGCATACTGCTCAGTAAGGAGTGACTGCTTTTACCTTGGGAAGTTGTAGGCAGAGAGGATTTATCAATAGAGGCTACAAAACTTAAAGGATTTACATAGGGTGTAGGTTAACTATTTACTTGCTATATTTCAGCATGCTATAACTAAGGACAACTGAAAAAAAAACAACTCTCTTTTTTCATAGCTGGTAGGAATGTTGCCTAAAAGTGGAAAAGTATGTTCATGATCAATTAGATAAATACATTATTAAGGAAAAATTGCCTGAGGGTTATTTCAGATGACCTCTGATGCCACTGTCAGAAAGAAAATGCTGAGAGCTGTTAGTCTGAGTTGATTCTAGATTAGTATGGCACTTCTTATGTTTCTAAATAGTTCATCTACAAAATGGCAGTGTACATCACTTCCTGTTCTTTCACAACTGGCTCTTTCACTGGATTCTCTTTTAATGACTTAATTTTTGGCATTCTGATATCTGATTTGTTAATTTGGTTATAATTCTCATGTTTTATAGGTGGAAGAATTTCTGAGAATCAGCTGGATTTAAAGGCTTTTAATAGTTTAAGATTATCTTGACAGTAACAAAACATTGCTTCCAAACTAAAGGATAGTATTGCAAACAAATTTAAACTCTGAGAGGTTTTAAAGAAGTACAGCAATGTACAGAATCAGAAGTATGAGGGCACTGAATAGAAAATAATTATCGTATTTTTTATAATGTCGATTTTGGGAGAAGTGAGGATATGGCAAGTAATTGAATGGGTGTTGATATAAAATAAACTTTCTGTATAACAAGGTGTATACATGATATTTGGGCCCATGTTACGATGCCATTTTAACAGTAAGAAAGCAACTCTTTAGTTACAGGATACTAGAAAGACTGGATGCTCATAACTAACCATGAGTATGATTTATTTTAATAATTTGCCAGTTTTTTTTTTTTTTTTTTTTTTTTTTTTTTTTTGAGACGGAGTCTTGCTCTGTCGCCCAGGCTGGAGTGCAGTGGCACGATCTCGGCTCACTGCAAGTTCCACCTCCTGGGTTTACGCCAGTCTCCTGCCTCAGCCTCCTGAGTAGCTGGGACTACAGGCGCCTGCCACCAAGCCCAGCTAATTTTTTGTATTTTTAGTAGAGACGGGGTTTCACTGTGTTAGCCAGGATGGTCTCGATCTCCTGACCTTGTGATCTGCCCGCCTCAGCCTCCCAGAGTGCTGGGATTACAGGCTTGAGCCACCGTGCCCGGCAAATTTGCCAGTTCTTAATAGACATGAATATTTAGTAAATCCAGAAGATATCTAGGGGTCAGTTGTTGGCATTGAAATTAGAGTTGAGATCAATCTGTCTTTCGTGTCTTTCACCTGGAAATAAAGTCTGTGTTTTGCATTTGGCTTATTTGTATATTAAAATCACTTAATTTTTCATTTGTATCTCTGTTTTGTTTTCACTAGTCTCTGTTACTTATAACAATTAATTGCACTCATACTAATTTAATCTTTTAGAAATGAGGAGCATTTTTGGTACATATTAGTTGAGGGTTGCTGTTTGGATGAGGATCATATGTGAACGAATCCCTTCAAAAAAGTGTTATTTCTGGGCTGGGCAAAGTGGCTCAGGCCTGTAATGCCAGCGCTTTGGGAGGCTGAGGTGGGAGGATTGCTTGAGGCCAGGAGTTCAAGAGCAGCCTGGGCAACATAGCATGACCCTGTCTCTACAAAAACAAATTTTTTTTTTAATTAGCATGGGCTAGGCATGGTGGTTTATGCCTATAATCCCAGCATGCTGGGGGCTGAGGCTGGAGGATCACTTGAGCCTAGGAGTTTGAGGCCAGCCTGGGCAACATAGTGAGACCCTGTCTCCAAAAGATAAAAAATGAAAATATTAGTGGGGCGTGATGGTGCGTGCTTGTTCTAACTACCTGGCAGGCTGAGGTGGGAGGATTGCTTGAGCCCAGAAGATGGAGGCTGCAGTGAGTTGTGATCATGCCACCGCACTCTAGCCTGGGTGACAGAGTGAGACTGTCTAAAAACAAAAGCCTGTGTGGTGGCTCAAGCCTGTAATTCCAGCACTTTGGGAGGCCAAGGTGGGCGGATCACCTGAGGTCAAGAGTTCGAAACCAGCCTGGCCAACAAAGAGAGACCCTGTCTCTACAAAAATAAAACAAATTAGCTAGGCATGGTGGTGGGTGCCTGTAACCCCAGCTACTGGGGAGGCTGAGGCAGGAGAATCACTTGAACCCAGGAGGTGGAGGTTACAGTGAGTTGAGATGGCGCCACTGCCTGACAGCCTGGGCGGCAGAACAAGACTCCATCTCAAAACAAAACGAAACAAATAAAAAAGTTTTATTTCTCTAGTAAAGTTTCGCATAAAATTGAGATGTTCATTAAGCAGAGTACCAACATATGCTCACCTGCCTTTAGGTATGTGTACTTTTTTTTTTTTTTTTTTTTTTGAATTTGAGACAGGGTTTTTGCTGTGTCGCCCAGGTTGGAATGCAATAGCGTGATCACAGCGTATTGCAGCCTCAGCCTCCCGGGTTCAAGTGCTCTTCCCACATCAACCTCCCAAGTAGCTGGCACTACAGGTACATGCCACCACGTCTGGCTAATTTTTTTTTTTTTTTTTTTTTTTTGTAGAGATGGGGTTTTGCCATGTTGCCCAGGCTGGTCTTGAACTCCTCAGCTCCAGCTATCTACCTGCCTTGGCCTCCCAAAGTGCTGAGATTACAGACATGAGCCACTGCACCCGGCCCGATTTCCGTACTTACTATTAATGGTTGGATTTTAAAAATTATTCTTCAGGTTTTCCTATTATAAAATATGAGAGGATACAACCTGTATTAGTTCATTCCATTCTTAAAGTATTTTAGTTTTTAGTAATAAAAATTGATGTTTAATTTCATTAAAGATGTCTCATACCTTCTAAAAATCTACATGAATTAAAAAGTTGTGTGGAGGGACTAGCAGCAATTATTTTCAGCTGGGACGTTTCTGTCATCATATGGTAACAGTTATTTCTGTATCAGTCTATTTGTGCCAGAAGCAGACTTTTTGTTCTAAAATACAGTCTAAGGCTATACCTTTTTGATGACAAAATTAAGTATCCTATAAAAGTTGGAAGAGTTTTTAAAATGTTAAGTACCTGGCATGTAAATAAAGTAAGTAAAAGTATAAATTATTAAGTGCCTTGCATAATAGATATACTGCAGCCTCCTAAAAATGCCAGTGACCGTTATGCTGTAGGTTGTTATTTAAATATAATGGCACTTAATTACCGTCTAATTTATCTTTAAAGCTGAGAAGGGGCTAATTTTTCCTTTTGATAAAATTATTTGATCAAATAGTTTTATGCAGGTTTAGAAGTAGATGAATTACTGTAACATTTAGAAAGACATTCAAAGTTTAGTTTCTGAGAAATATTATCAAATAATAGGATGGAACAAAACTTTCTGGTTTGCAGCTACCAATAATAAAATTGGCACTTACTATATATTAATGTTGGCTGGGCGTGGTGGCTCACGCCTGTAATCCTAGCACTTTGGGAGACCGTAGATCACTTTAGGTCAGGAGTTCAAGACCAGCCTGGCCAATGTGGAGGAAACCCGTCTCTACTAAAAATACAAAAAATTAGCTGGGCGTGGTGGCGTGTGCCTGTAATCCCAGCTACTTGGGAGGCTGAGGCAGGAGAATCGCTGGAACTTGGGAGGTAGTGGTTGCAGTGAGCTGAGATTGTGCCACTGCACTCTAGCTGGGCAACAGAGTACAACTCTGTCTCAAAAAAAAAAAAAAAAAAAAAGGGCTGGGCATGGTGGCTCACGCCTGTAATCCCAGCACTTTGGGAGGCTGAGGCGGGTGGATCACCTGAGGTCAGGAGTTGCAGACGAGCCTGGCCAACGTGGCGAAACCTCGTCTCTACTAAAAATACAAAAATTAGCCGGGCGTGGTGGCACTTGTCTGTAGTCCCAGCTACTCGGGAGGCTGAGGCAGGAGAATCATTTGAACCTGGGAGGCAGTGGTTGCAGTGAGCCAAGATCGTGCCACTGCATTCCAGCCTGGGTGACAGAGTGAGACTCTGTCTCAAGAAAATAATAAAAAAGTTAAAAAATGGCTGGGTGCCGTGGCTCACGCCTGTAATCTCAGCACTTTGGGAGGCCAAGGTGGGCAGAACACAAGGTCAGGAGTTCGAGACCAGCCTGGCCAGCATGGTGAAACCCTGTCTCTACTAAAAATACAAAAAATTAGCCGGGCATGGTGGCGCGCACCTGTAGTCTCAGCTACTCAGGAAGTTGAGGCAGGAGAGTTGCTTGAACTCAGCAGGCGGAGGTTGCAGTGAGCCGAGATCGTGCCATTGCACTCCAGCCTGGGCAACAGAGTGAGATTCCGTCCCCCCCCAAAAAAATATATATATATATATACATGTATACATGTATATATGTATATTCATGTATGATACATGTATACATGTATACATGTATATTCATGTATGCATACATGAATATACATGTATGTATATACATATATACACGTATATATACACGTATGTATATATGTATACATGTATATTCGTGTGTATATATGTATATTCATGTATGTATATATGTATATACATGTATATATATGTGTATATATATATATGTATGTCACCATTTACTAGTGTAAATGTGTAACTTTTTCAGTTTTTGTTTTTTTGAGATGGGGTCTTGCTGTGTCACCCAGGTGGGAGTGCAGTGGCACAGTCATGGCCCATAGCAGCCTCTACCTTCAGGGCCGAAGCCGTGAGTAGCTGAGACTGCAGGCCTATGCCACCATACTTGGCTTATTTTAAAGTTTTTTTCGAGAAACGGGGTCTCTATGTTGCCCAATCTGGTCTCAAACTCATGGGGGCTCAGGCAGTCCTCCCTCCTCAGCATCCCAAAGAGCTGGGATTACAGGCATGAGCCACAGTACCAGGCCTGTGGTAACTTCTTTATTTAACTATTTATGCCTCACCTTTTCTTTTCTTTTTTTTTGAGACGGAATTTTGCTCTTGTTGCCCAGGCTGGAGTGCAATGGCATGATCTCGCTCACTGCAACCCCTGCCTCCCAGGTTCAAGCGATTCTCCTGCCTCAGCCTCCCAACAGCTGGGATTACAGGTATGCGCCACCATGCCCAGCTAATTTTTTGTATTTTTAGTAGAGACGGGGTTTCTCCATGTTGGTCAGGCTGGTCATGAACTCGTGACCTCAGGTGATCGCCTGCCTTGGCCTCCCAAAGTGTTGGGATTACAGATGTGAACCACTGCGCCAGGCTTCTTTTCTTTTCTTTTCTTTTCTCTTTTCTTTTCTTTTTTAGAGATGGAGTTTTGCTCTTGTTGCCCAGGCTGGAGTGCAATGGCGTGATCTCGGCTAACTGCAACCTCAGCCTCCCAGGTTCAAGTGATTCTCCTGCCTCAGCCTCCCGGGTAGCTGGGATTATAGGCATGTGCCACCATGCCTGGCTAATGTTTTTGTTTTTTTAGTAGAGACAGGGTTTCACCATGTTGGCCAGGCTGGTCTTGAACTCCTGACCTCAGGTGATCCACCCACCTTGGCCTCCCAAAGTGCTGGGATTACAGGCGGGCATGAGCCACCACACCCGTTAATGTGAAGATAGTATATACTGGGTTGTTTAAATAGGATAATGCTTGCTAAGTACTTAACTTACTGCCTGATACATGCTAACACTCAATAAATTGTTGGCTATCACACACTAGCTGCCTAATATAAATGTTTATGAGTACATTGAGATAATTTTTTTTTTTTTTTTTTTGAGACAGGGTCTCACTCCTGTCACCCAGACTGGAGTGCAGTGGCACGATCTCGGCTGCCTGCAGCCTTGACCTCCCAGGCTCAAGTGATCCACCCACCTTTGCCCTCCAAGTAGCTAGGACTACAGGCAAATGCCACTGCCTGGCTAATTTTTGTATTTTTTGTGGAGATGGGGTTTTGCCATGTTGCCTGGTCTGGTATCGAACTCCTGAGCTCAAGTGGTTCCACCTGCCTCAGCCTCCCAAAGTGCTGGGGAGAGTCTAATATTTAAGGATGAGTTGCATTATATAATTTTGATTTGATATTGGATTTATTTTTATTTATTTATTTTGAGACGGAGTCTCGCTCTGTTGCCCAGGATGGAGTGCAGTGGCACAATCTCGGCTCGCTGCAACCTCTGCCTGCCCTGTTCATGCCATTCTCCTGCCTCAGCCTCCCAAGTAGCTGGGACTACAGGCGCCCGCCACTATGCCTGGCTAAATTTTTGTATTTTTATTAGAGACGGGGTTTCACCGTGTTAGCCAGGATGGTCTTGATCTCCTGACCTCGTGATCTGCCCGCCTTGGCCTCCCAAAGTGCTGGGATTACAGGCGTGAGCCACTGCGCCTGGTGATATTGGATTTATATATCTGGAGTCTGACATACATTTTTGAAAGAAATAGTTAGAATATCAAGGTAGCTTAGTAACTTTTTGCACCTATAATGGACTACTGTGTAGTACTTAATGGGAGTTTTTTTCTTTCTTTGGGATAGATTCTCGCTCTGTCACTCAGGCTGGAGTGCAGTGGTGAGATCAAAGTTCACTACAGCCTCAATCTTCTGGACTTAGCGATCCTCTCACCTCAGCCACCTCAGCAGCTAGGACTACAGGCGTGCACCACCACACCTGGCTAATTTTTTTTTATTTTTAGTACAGACGAGATCTCACTATGTTGCCCAGGTTGGTCTTGATCTTCTGAGTTTAAGTGATCCTTCTGCCTTGTTCTCCCAAAGTGGTGAGATTATACACAGGAGCCACTGTGCCCACCTCTGATGGGAGTTTTTAATTTATCACAGGTTTTCTTTTTCCTTTGCTGGATATAAAGCCTGTCTTAAGAAATGACATTTCAGGCCGGGCGTGGTGGCTCAGGCCTGTAATCTCAGCACTTTGGGAGGCCGAGGTGGGTGGATTGCTTGAGGTCAGGAGTTCAAGACCATCCTGGCCAAAGTGGTGAAACCCCGTCTTTACTAAAAACACAAAAATTAGCTGGGTGTGGTAGTGGGCGCCTGTAATCCCAGCTACTTGGGAGGCTGAGGCAGGAGAATCACTTGAACCAGGCAGAGGTTGCAATGAGCCGAGATCGCGCCATTGCACTCCAGCCTGGGAGACAAGAGCAAAACTCCGTCTCAAAAAAAAAAAAAAAAAACAACAAATGACATTTCTTTTCCAGTACTTACTTTGTTTATTTAAGAAAAATTTGGTATCCCTCTTCTACCTCCTGGAGCTCTTTTTACCATCCCTGTCTTTGAAGGGATTCAGAGTACCCATGCTCTTCTACGCATTTTTATTTAGGTATCTTTTGTAGGTATGTCCTTACCTTGAAAGTGCCTTACGTTCCAAAATGTATTAATTCAACAAACTTTAAGTGATTATTATGTGCCAGATAAGACAGTATTTCAGCCCTGGGAGAATTCCACCTTCTGAATAGTTTTCTCAAGCTAGATAATCATAGGAAAGCAAGGACTTTCCCATAATTTTTAGTTCCTCTAAGCCAGTGCTTTCAAACTTTAGTTTGTGATCCATTAATGGCTTGTAAATTCAATTTAGTGAGTCACAATAACAATTTTAAAAAGTAATGGGGAGTGTCAGTGTGGTGCATAAAGTAAGGGTAAACATTATTATGGGAAACTTTTGTTTGCCTCTTTTTTTTTTTTTTTTTTTTTTTGATGCCAGGGTCTTGCTCTGTTGCCCAGGCTGGAACGCAGTGGTGTGATCATAGTTCACTGCGGCCTCCACCTCCTGGCTCAAGTGATCCTCCCACCTCAGCCTCCTGAGTAACTGCGACTACAGGTGTGCACCACCACACCCGGCTAATTTTTGAAAAAATTTTTTTGTGCAGACAGGGTCTTGCTATGTTGCCCAGGATGGTCTCAAATTCCTGATCTTAAGTTATCCTCTTGCCTTGGCCTCCCAAAGTGCTGGTATTACAGGTGTAAGCTATTGTGCTCAGCAGTTTGCCACATTTTTATATGTTCTGGGTACCCAGTTACACTGTTATAAAGACATACCTGAGACTGGGTAATTTATAAAGAAAATAGGTTTAATGTGCTCACGGTTCTGTGGGCTATACAGGCATCTGCATCTGGGGAGGCTTCAGAAAACTTACAATCATAGCGGAAGTGGAAGTGGGCATATTTTCCCATGGTTGGCAGGAGAGAGAGGGAGAGTGTGCATGTGTGTGGACACGCAAGCGAGTGAAGGGGGAAGTGCTACAAACTTTCCACTTTCCAACAACAGTAGCTCTTGAGAACTCACTATCAACTAGAACAGCAAGGGGGAAATCCACCCCAATGATCCAATCATTTCCACCAGGTCCCTCCCCCAACTTTGGAGATTACAATTTAACATGAGATTTGGGTAGGGACACAGAGCCAAACCATATCACTTTCTTTTTCTTCTCTTTTTTTTTTTGAGACAGGGTTTTACTCTGTTGGGAGGCTGGAGTGCAGTGGGGTGATCATGGCTTGCTGAAACCTCTGCCTCTTGGGCTCAAGCAATCCTCCCACCTCAGCCTCCTGAGTAGCTGTGCCACCACGCCTGGCTAATTTTTGTACTTTTTGTTCTTTTTGTTTGAGACGGGGTTTCGCCATGTTGGCCAGGCTGGTCTTGACTCCTGGCCTCAGGTGATCTGCCCACCTTGGCCTCCCAAAGTGCTAGAATTATAAGCGTGAGCCACTGTGCCTGAACTAAAATTTCTTTTTTTACCTCATCCCTTTTACTTCTAATCTTCTGTCTCTGAAGTATGCTTGTTTTAGTTTGCTTTTTCCTTTTTCTTTCAACAACTCTCCTTCAATCTCTACTGATTCATCTGTAGTCTATTTAGTCGTTATATTGGGTATATTTACCTTTCCTAGGTTTCAAAGCTTAGGAGATAGCAAGGACTTTGCCTAAAAGGTCCTGGGCAGGGTACCAGTAGTTTTGGATAATCATGGTAACTTCTGAGGTTTTTGTATTAAGGAACGTGTTATCAGATATCTAATGTCACACACTATGTGTGAGTGCAGTTTCTCATGAATTGCAGAATTTTAAAAAAAGAAGACTTTCTATTTAATTTTTTTAAGACGGTCTCAGTCCCCTTCCCTATGCTAGAGTCCAGTGGCACACAATGATGGCTCACTGTGCCTCTACTTCCCGGGCTCAGGTGATCCTTTTACCTCAGCCTACCAAGTAGCTGAGACTACAGTCATGCGCCACCATACCTGACTAATTCTTTTGTATTTTTTGTAGAGATTAGGTTTTGTCACATTGCCCAAGCTGGTCTCGAACTCCTGAGCTCAAGCAATCTGCCTGCCTCAGCCTCCGAAAGTGCTGGGATTACAGGTGTGAGCCACCATGCCTGGTTGAAAACTTTTTATTTGGAGGATATTAAGAAAATATCTTTTATTTTTATTTTATTTGGGGACATATATAGATTTGATTTAATTGAAATACGTCTGTTCATAAAATTATTATGTGACTAATTAAGTATATTAAGTATATTTTAAAAATGCCAGGCCAGACGTGATGGGTCATGTCTTTAATCCTAGCACTTTGGGAGGCCGAGGTGGGTGGATCACTTGAGGTCACGAGTTCAAAACCAGCCTGGCCAACATGCTGAAACCCTGTCTCTACTAAAAATACAAAAAAATTAGGCCCGGCGCAGTGGCTTACGCCTGTAAGCCCAGCACTTTGGGAGGCCGAAGTGGGCAGATCACAAGGTCAAGAGATCAAGACAGAGCAAAACTTAGTCTCAAAAAAAAAAAAACAAAATTAGCCGTGCATGGTGGCGGGCACCTGCAATCCCAGCTACTAGGGAGCCTGAGGCAGGAGAACTGCTTCAACCTGGGAGGTGGAGGTTGCAGTGAGCCAAGATTGTGCCATTGCACTCCAGCCTGGGTGACAGGGCAAGATTTTGTCTCAAAAAAAAAAAAAAAAAAAAAAAAATCAGTGTGCTGCAATGTGTTACATCTAACCATAATATTTATGTTTTAGTTGATGTTTTTAATTCACTCATGGTAGTAGTTACAAACCTCTAGTTTGTATTTTGGATTGATTTGTTACAATTTATTCCCATTGAGGCTGAGAAAGAGGTTTCAGAAAAGGTTGATGAACAGCATTACTAAACAAGGTCAAGGTTTTTCCGTTTTTAGACTTGGGGAATTTAGGGTTACTGAAAATTGGAAAAGCTTTGTCTTTTTGCCAAAACCATCCATATCCTTGATTGTACTTGATAAGGAAACTTTGCTCTTCCTTGTTGTACAGAAACTTTGTATAGTATATGTTGTTTTATTTAATATATAGTATTTAAGTAATCTCCTGCTGCATAAATGGTAGATGATGATGATGTTTTATAGGGCTCATTACTTGATAGGAGTATGGTATTTCAGTTGGTTTTATTTACTGGAATTAGAGTTTTGAGTCCCAGAGGGGCAATATAATGTGCTCACTTTCAGATTCTTTTTTGTTTTTTGTGTTTCTTTTCAGACAGGGTCTTGCTCTGTCACCCAGGCTGGAGTGTAGTGGCACAATCACAGCTCACTGCAGCCCTGACCTCTTACACCGAAGCAGTCCTCATACGTCAGCCTCCCAAAGTGCTGGGATTACAGGTGTGAGCCACCATGCCTGGCCTAGATTCTTTACTTTGACATGTCGTTATTAGTGATAATGATTTTTTAATTCTCTAGAAAAGTACAAATAATTTGAAAATGGAGTAATTAAAAGATCATTTTATCTTCAGCTTAGGTAGTGAAAAAGTATTTTTGTGTTTTATGTGTGAATGTCTAGTTCTATAAAATAATGCCATTAATCTTTAATCAAGAATAAAAAAGTTGGCTGGGCATGTAAAAAATAAAACAGTGTTGAGATATGAAATATTTCTGTGTGTGTGTGGGGGGGGATTTTGTTTTGTTTTGTTTTGTTTTTGAGACAGGGTCTTACTCTTTTAAGAACCTGTTGTAGGACTCCAGACTGGAGTGCAGTGGTAGGATCACAGCTCACTGCAGTCTTGACCTCCTGGGCTCAAGTGATCCTCCTGCCTCAGCCCCACAAGTAGCTAGGACTACAGCCCTGTGCTACCACACCCAGCGAATTTTTTGTATTTTTAGTAGAGACGGCTTCACCGTGTTGCCCAGGCTGGTCTTGGATTGCTGGACTCAAGTGATCCACCCAGCTCAATCTCCCAAGGTGTCAGGATTACAGGCATGAGCCACCACACCTGGCCTGAAATATTTGCTAAAATAAGTAAAATAACTATGATATAAAAACTTTTGGCTAGGCATGATATCTTCCGCCTGTAATCCCAGCACTTTGGGAGACTGAGACAAGGGGATCGCTTGAGCCCAGGAACTCAAGACCAGCCTGGCAACATAGTAAGGCCTCATCTCTACTAAAAATAAAAAATTAGCCAAGTACGGTGGCATGTGCCTGTGGTCCCAGCTACTCAGGAGGCTGAGGCAGGAGGATTGCTGGAACCTAGGAGGATGGAGTTACAGTGAGCCATGGTTGTGCTACTGCATTCCAGCTTGGGCAACAGTGAGACCCTGTGTCTAAATAAATAAATAGGTAAGTAAAAACTGTTTAATTTTTTGACAATATGTTAAAATACACTACCATTCTGTATTTTAACATAAATTTTATTAGATTCAAGTTAGGTGGAATGATAGCCAAGATTTTAGTATCCATTATTTTACTCTATTTTATTCAAATGGCACTATGATATGAGTTCAAAAAATTTTTGAAACAGTGTCCTTTGTTTTGAGATGGAGTTTTGCTCTTGTTGCCCAGGCTGGAGCGCAATGGCATGATCTCGGCTCACCGCAACCTCCACCTCCCAGGTTCAAGTGATTCTCCTGCCTCAGCCTCCCAAGTAGCTGAGATTACAGGCATGTGCCACCAGGCCCAGCTTATTTTTGTATATATATATTTTTAGTAGAGATGGGGTTTCACCATGTTGGTCAGGCTAGTCTCAAACTCGTGACCTCAGGTGATACACCCGCCTTGGCCTCCCAGAGTGCTGGGATTACAGGCGTGAGCCACCTTGCCCTGCTGAAACAGTGTCCTTTTAAAAATGCTTTCAGAGCACAGTCATTAAGCCAGTTGGTTTACTCATGCTGCAGTAAATTTGGAAATAAATTTCAGTTTAATACTCTTTTGAGATATTCACATAGTTATAATTTGTAATTTGTTGGTATGTACTATGAAAACACCAAGTCAAGATAGTGATTGATGGAATTTGCTTTTAAAGACCACAAGTTTAGGCCAGGAGTGGTGGCTCATGCCTGTAATCCCAGCATTTTGGGAGGCCGAGGTGGGCGGATCACCTGAGGTCAGGAGTTTGAGACCAGCCTGGCCAATATGGTGAAACCCCGTCTCTACTAAAAATGCAAAAATTAGCTGGGTGTGGTGGCTCTCGCCTGTAATCCCAGCTACTCGGGAGGCAGAGGTAGGAGAATTGCTTGAACCTGGGAGGCGGAGTTTGCAGTGAGCCGACATCGAACCTCTCTACTCCAGCCTGTGAGACAGAGTGAGACTCCATCTCAGAAAAAAAAAGACAACCAGTTTAGCCAGTAAGTTATGTAGCTTTCATATCAAAGTAAGATTCAGCAATGACATACGTATTTCTTATATTTTTTGAGTGCAGCATTCTAGGCAGTGTGGTTATTAAAATAGGTTCAGTAATGACACATCTGTATTTATTAATACATTTTTTTGGTGTGTTATTTTGTAGATACTGTGCCAGTATACAGAAATCAGTAAGACTTGATCCCTCCCATTTTGTAGTTTAGTAGGGATACAGGCTTGCAAGTAAATACATACAATAGTGTAGTGCAGGGTTTCCCAACCGTGGTAGTATTGACATTTTGGGTAGGATAATTCATTGTTGGGGGGATCTGTGCTATGCATTATAGCATATTTTGCAGCATCACTGGCTTTTACCCATTAGATGCCAGTAGCGTCACCCCTGGTTGTGATGATCAAAAAATGTTTCAGGTATTACCAAATGTCCCCTAGGGAGCAAAATCACCTGATTGAGAACCATTTATTTAACTGTTATACAGGTAGAGTTAAGGGGTGTTTAGGAGTAGTGACTCCTGAGGGAGTGAGATTTTATATGGGTCTTGAAAAAAAAATAAAAGTACAAAGGGTATTATATACCTGAGAGCATGAATGATCAATATTGAAGAGGGTGATTACTGATCATATGTGGCTATAGGTTATTTATGTGATTTGGGATGGGTATTTGGTAAAATGAAGCTGAAAAGGTACTTTTGGGCCATATCTTTTTTCTTTTCTTTTTTCTTTTTTGAGACTGGATCTCACTGTTTTGCCCAGACTGAAGTGCAATGGCACAATCACGGCTCACTGTAGCCTTGCTTGACCTCCCTGGCCCAAGCAGTCCTCCCACCTCAGGTTCCCAAGCAGCTGAGACCACAGGAGTGCACTACCCACCCCCCCAACTAAGCAGCTGGGAGACTACTGGCATACACCACCATGGCCAGCTAATTTTTGTAGTGACAGGGTTTCTCCATGTTGCCTAGGCTGGTCTTGAACTCCCGGGCTAAAGTGATCCTCACACCTCGGCCTCCCAAAGTACTGGCATTACAGGTGTGAGCTACCATGCTTAGCCATTTTTCTTTTTTTAAAACTGTTTGAGGTATAATTAATGCAGCAAAGTGCATAAATATGAAGTGTAAGCCTGTTGAATTTTTACAGATGTGTATGTTCATGTAACCATCACAAAGAACAAGATAGAGAACATTCCTAGTACCTCTTACAGTTCTTTCTTTTTTTAGATACAGGGTCTTGCTCTTTTGCCCAGGCAGGAGGGTAGTGGTGCCATCATAGCTCACTTCAGTCTTGAACTCCTGGGCTCAAGTGATCTTCCCATCTTAGCCTCCTGAGGAACTAGGACTGACTATAGGCACATACAGGAATGGGGACTTGCTGTGTTGTGTAGGCTGGTCTTGAACTCCTGGCCTTAAGCCACTCTCCTGCTTTGGCCTCCCAAAGTGCTGGGATTACAGGCATGAGACACCATGTCTGACTGTCTTCCTTCTTAAAATTTGTATTTTACTGGTTGTTCTTTCTTACTGCTTTTAACAGTAGGTGTCTCTCAACACAATGCTCTTCTCTGTCTCCCTCTCTTCCTGCTGCCTCCCTAACTCCATCCTTTATACCCAATTGCCTGACGGAGATAATCTTTTTTTATTTTTATATTTTTTTGAGACAGAGTCTCACTCTGTCACCCAGGCTGGAGTGCAGGGGCACAATCATGGCTCACTGCAACCTTGACCTCCCCAAGTTCAGGTGATCCTCCCCCCTCAGCCTCCCTAGTACCTGGGACTACAGGTGCCCACCATTACACCTGGCTAATTTTTTTATTTTTTGTAGAGATGGGGTTTCGTCATGTTCCCCAGGCTGGTCTCGAACTCCTGGGCTCAAGCAGTCCGCCTGCCTTGGCCTCCCAAAGTGCTGGGATTACAGGCATGAGCCACAATGCCCAACTGAGGTATCTTACTCTTTTTGAAGACACGTTGGGGTGAACATATCTAAATTGAACTCATCTTCTTAATCTTTTGCAAAAGTTTCTCCTTATTTACCTACCTATTTCAATGTTAATAACATGTTTTGTTTAGTTTTGTTTCTGAGGCAGAGTCTGGCTCTGTCACCCAGGCTGCTGGAGTGCAGTGGCATGCGCTGCAGCCTCGAACTCTTGGGCTTAAGTGATCCTCTTGCCTCAGCCTCCCAAATAGCTGGAACTGCAGGAGCATGCTGCCATTCATTCCTGACCAATGTTTTGATTTTTTGTAGAGATTTTCTAGATTCTGTGCCAGGATACAGAAATGAGTCAGACTTGATCCTTCCCTAGCCTTGCCATATTGCCTAGGCTGGTCTCAAACTCCTGAGCTCAAGTGATACTCCTGCCTCAGCCTCCCAAAGTGGTGGTATTACAGGTGTGTGCCACTGCACCTGGCCATAAGGTTTTTTTTTTTTTTTTTTGAGACACAGGATCTTGCTGTGTCCCCCAGGGCTGGAGTGCAGTGGCGCAATCTCAGCACACCCCAACGTCTGCCTCCGGGGCTCAAGCTATCCTCTCACCTCAGCCTCCCAAGTAGATGGGACTACAGGAGTGTGCCACCACACCTGGCTAATTTTTTAGAGATGGGGTTTCGCCGTGTTGCCCAGGCAGGTCTCAAACTCCTGACCTCGAGTGATCCGCTTGCTTTGGCCTCCCAAACTGTTGAGATTACAGGCATGAGCCACTGCGCCTGGCCCATAACGTTTTTTCAATCAATTTTACCAAGCTTTAATTTATTTGCAATAATTTCACAAATTTTTAATGTACAGATCAGTGGCTGTAACAATCACTTTAATAATAGAGTAATTTTTACTTCCCCCCAAAATTTCCTAGGCCCCTTTGCAGTCTCTTTTCAGTCTTATTCCTGTGCAGCCGCTGATGTGATTTCTTTCTTTTTTTTTTATTTTTTTGGAGATGGAGTCTCACTGTGTCACCTAGGCTGGAATGCAGTGGCACAGTCTTCGCTCACTGCAACCTCCACCTCCTGGGTTCAAGCAATTCTCCTGCCTCAGCCTCCCAAGTAGCTGGGATTACAGGTGCATGCCACCACGCCTGGCTAATTTTTTGTATTTTAGTAGAGACGGGGTTTCACTGTATTGCCCAGGCTGGTCTCGAACTCCTGAACTCAGGCAGTCCACCCGCCTCAGCCTCCCAAGATGCTGGGATTACAGGCATGAGCCATCACACCAGGCCTCTGATGTGATTTCTATTGCTGTATATGAGATTAGTCTTTTCTAGAGTTTCATAGAAATGGAATTATACAGTATGAAATTTTGTGTTTTGCTTCTTTCTCTTGGCATAATAGCTGTGATATTTATCTATGTTGCGTGTTTCATTAGTTCATTTCTTTTTATTGCTTAGTAATAGTCCAGTGTTTGGATATATCACTGTTTATGTTCACCTGTTGATTGATAATTGAATTATTTCCAGTTTTTGGCTATTATGAATAAGATTGCTAGCAATATTTGTATATAAGCCTTTTTATGGACATATATATATATATATATATATATATTTTTTTTTTTTTTTTTTTGAGATGGAGTCTCACTCTGTTGCCCAGGCTGGAGTGCAGTGGTGAAATCTCGGCTCACTGCAAGCTCCGCCTCCCAGGTTCATGCCATTCTCCTGCCTCAGCCTCTCGAGTAGCTGGGACTACAGGCGTCCGCACCATATCTGGCTAATTTTTTGTATTTTTAGTAGAGATGGGGTTTCACCATGTTAGTCAGGATGGTCTCGATTTCCTGACCTTGTGATCCCCCCGCCTCAGCCTCCCAAAGTGCTGGGATTACAGGCGTGAGCCACCGCACCCAGCCTATGGACGTGTATTTTTATTTCTACTAACCCTAAGTCTTCTAAATTAGAAACTTTGGGATTATTTTTGATTTGTTTAATCTCTTTTCTCACCTATATTCACACAATAGGTTATGAAGTCGTGGGATTTCTTCTTTTGAAATGTGTTTCATTCTTTGTTCTCTTTTCCAAGTATCTGTAACATTCTTGTGAGAGGGTGTATGTGTGTGTGTAGCCTTATTTTAGGAGTAGGGGATGTAAGGATGATTGTGCAGATGATATATTTGCTCAGTGAGGTTTAAAGTCAGGTGGGGATGCTGACATTGAATTTATAGGATGGGGAAAAGGGCTATTGCTGTTGGAAGCACTCTATCTGTAAAAGTATCATTTTAGTCCCTGTTTTGTTCTAGTCTTATTATTGTTGCTATTTTTAGTTTGTTTTTGTTCTGTTATGTATTCACGGATATGTATGTGGTGTAAAGTGGTGAAAAAGTTTATCGTCATGGATGTTCTCATTGCTGTGTGAGCGGGCAAAGCACTTAATCTCTGGGCCTCAGTTCATTGTCTGTAAAATGGGAATAATAATACTTTCCACATAGTGTTAAAAGGATTAGATGCATTGTTACATGTATAGCTCTTAGTTTTGTTTTTGTTTTTTGAGACGGAGTTTCGCTCTTGTTGCCTAAGCTGGAGCACAATGGCATGATCTTGGCTCACCACAACCTCTGCCTCCCAGGTTCAAGCGATTCTCCTTCCTCACACTCCCGAGTAGCTGGGATTACAGGCATGCACCACCACGCCTGGCTAATTTTTTTGTATTTTTAGCAGAAACGGGGTTTCACTATGTTAGCCAGGCTGGTCTTGAACCCCTGACCTCAGGTGATCCGCCCGCCTCGGCCTCCCAAAGTGCTGGGATAACAGGCGCGAGCCACCACAACTGGCCTATATGTATAGATCTTAGAATAGTACCTGGCATATTGTGTTACATATGTGTTAGCTAGGGTTTTTTGTTTTTTTTTTTTTTGGTTTTTTTTTTTGTTTGAGATGGAGTCTTGCTCTGTCGCCCAGGCTGGAGTGCAGTGGCGTGATCTCGGCTCACTGCTGCAACCTCTGCCTCCTGGGTTCAAGCGATTCTCCTGCCTCAGCTTCCCAAGTAGCTAGAATTACAGGCGCCCACCACCACGCCTGGCTAACGTATTTTTTTTAGTAGAGACGGGGTTTCACCATGTTGGCCAGACTGGTCTTGAACTCCTGACCTCAGGTGATCCACCCGCCTTGGCCTCCCCAAGTGCTGTGATTACAGGTGTGAGCCACTGCACTCGGCCAGCTAGTACTATTATCTTAATTCTACTTTACTTAAAAGGCTGTCTTTTTCTCTCCCATTTCAGTTCCCCTTACATATTGGTATAAGACTTATCTCCTTATGTAATATCTGATTTTTTACTTCTACAAACCTACAGAAGTACTTTCTTTTTACTGTTTTTTTTTTTTTTTTTTTTTGAGACGGAGTCTCGCTCTGTCGCCCAGGCTGGAGTGCAGTGGCGGGATCTCGGCTCACTGCAAGCTCCGCCTTCCGGGTTCACGCCATTCTCCTGCCTCAGCCTCCCAAGTAGCTGGGACTACAGGCGCCCGCCACTACGCCCGGCTAATTTTTTGTATTTTTAGTAGAGACGGGGTTTCACCGTTTTAGCCGGGATGGTCTCGATCTCCTGACTTCGTGATCCGCCCGCCTCGGCCTCCCAAAGTGCTGGGATTACAGGCGTGAGCCACCGCGCCCGGCCTTCTTTTTACTGTTTTTTTGAGACAGAATCTCACTCTGTTGTCCAGGCTGGAGTGCAATGGTAGGATCTCAGCTTACTGCAACCTCTGCCTCCCACGTTCAAGCAATTCTCCTGCCTCAGCCTCCCAAGTAGCTGGAACTACAGGCACACACCGCCATGCCTGGCTAATTTTTTTTTTTTGTGGTAGCGATGGTGTTTCACCGTGTTGGTCAAGCTGGTCTCAAACTCCTGACCTCAAGTAATCCACCTGCCTCTGCCACCCAAAGTGCTGGGATTACAGGCGAGAGCCACTGTGCCTGGCCTACAGAAGTACTTTCTATATCATAATCTGGCAACCATTTGTGTGTATTTTTTTCAGTTGTGATGTACAAACAATAAAGTGCTTAAGTGAATTTTTTTTTTAACCAATGTATCTACTAAGATTAAGTTATGGAAAGTTTCCAGCATTCTTGAAGGCTCCCTCGTGTCCCTTCTCCCTTAATAACCAATCCTCCATATCTGTTCTGACTCTTTACCATAAATAATTTTTGCATGTAATTGTTTTTATTGTTTTTTAAGATTATCTTTGATTGACCCCTCCATATCTATGCAGCTTGCTTTTCCTTCCTTCCTTCCTTCTTTCCTTCCTTCCTTCCTCTCTCTCTCTCTTTCTCTCTCTCTTTCTTTTTTTGAAACAGGATCTCACTCTGTCACCCAGGCTGGAGTGCTGTTGTGCAATCTCAGCTCACTGCAACCTCCATCTCCCAGGTTCAAGCGATTCTCCTGCCTCGGCCTCCCGAGTAGCTGGGACTACAGGCATGCGCCACCATGCCTGGCTAATTTTTGTATTTTTAGTAAAGACGGGGTTTCACCATGTTGACCAGGTTGGTCTCGAACTCCTGACCTCAAGTGATCCGCCTGCCTTGGCCTGCCAAAGTGGTGGGATTACAGGTGTGAGCCCCCATGCCCAGCCGATACAGCCTATTTCTGATTACTGCCCAGCACACTTTGCCTATGTTTATGATGTCTCTTTTAGTGCCCTTTTGGTCTCATCTCTTCTTTTTCTCTGTCCATTCAAGTCCTCTTCCATGAAGTTGTCCCCAACTGCTTCAGCTTATACTGTCCTTGTTCTTCTCTAAGTTCTTTTTGGCTCATTTATCAGTGTCCCAGTTTAGTACTTAATGAGATATTTTCCTTTTTTTGTAAGTACTTAATTGTCTTAGCTTTTACTAGGACTATGGTTATTTTGTGTCCCTCCCATTTAATGCCTAGCATAGGACATACAGTACTAATTGTTGAATAGAATCTAATTGAATTTTTAAAGTTTAAGTTCTTTAAGTGTTGGATAGCAGCTAGCAGTTATAATAGAGAATTTGGCAGTGAACTAGGGCAACTATTTATACAACGAAAGTAAAAAGCACAGCATAGCTTCATGAACCCATATAAATGTTGATGCTATTCCACTGTATTAGACCGTAGTAGAATCAGAAATGCTGAACCCATGGGAATTGCTTGTGTGAGTCTTGCACGGGAATTGCACAGTAGGTCTTTGAACTTTCTGAGGTTGTGTACAAATTTGGTATGAATATGCACATGTGCATTTTTCTAGGGTAAGAATTCATATCTTAATTGGGTCTTCAAAAGTATCTGTGGCTAAAAACATTAAGATCCTGTGGTCTAGCAAAAAATGTCATTTTACGGATGAGACAACTGAGACTCAGAATTAAGACACAAGAGGAATGGCTTACTCATAGTCATTGTTATACATAGTGGTGATCCTGAGTCAACAGGAAATATTAATTAGGTTCAATGTGGTCTGCCTTATAAAAAGGGAAATAAGACTCCATGGAAGTGTCTAAATACAGTTAGGAAATATTTCCATCCCAAATAGCTAAACTTAAAAGAATTGAGGTGAAATGCACATAACATAAAATTAATCATTTTAGGCCGGGTATGGTGGCTCATGCCTGTAAGCCCAGCACTTTGGGAGGCTGAGACCGGTGGATTGTTTGAGCTCAGGAGTTCAGACCAGCTTGGGCAACATGACAAAATCCTGTCTCTACAAAAAGTACAAAAATTAGCTGGGCATGGTGGCATGTGTCTGTAGTCCCAGCTGCTTGGGAAGCAGAGGTGGGAGGATCACTTGAGTCCAGGAGGCGGAGGTTGTAGTGAGTGGAGATCACGCCACTGCACTCCAGCCTGGGTGACAGAGTGAGACCCTGTCTCAAAAAACAAAAACAACAACAAAAATAACCATTTTAAAGTAAACAGTTCAGTGGCATTTAGTACATTCACAGTGTTGTATAGCTACTGTATGTATGTTCCAAAGCATTTTCCTTAACCCTCAAGCAAACCCTGCACCCATTTATTATAGCAGTTGCTCGCTATTTTCCTCTCTTCCGTCTCTGATAATCACCAGTCTTTGTTCTGTGTCTATGGATTTGGATTTGCCTATTCTGGATACTTCATAAAAAAGGAATCGTACAATATTTGACCTTTTGTTTCTGGCTTCTTTTTTTTTTTTTTTTTTTTTGAGATGGAGTTGCTCTATCGCCCAGGCTGGAGTGCAGTGGCATGATCTTGGCTCACTGCAAACTCTGCCTCCGGGGTTCACGCCATTCTCCTGCCTCAGCCTCCCTAGTAGCTGGGACTATAGGCGCCTGCCACAAAGCCCAGCTAATTTTTTTGTATTTTTAGTAGAGACGGGGTTTCACTGTGTTAGCCAGGATGGTCTGAATCTCCTGACCTCGTGATCCGCCTGCCTCAGCCTCCCAAAGTGCTGGGATTACAGGCGTGAGCCACCACGCCCAGCCTGTTTCTAGCTTCTTTTACTTAGCATAGTGTTTTTGGAGCTTCATCCATGGTGGAGCATGTATCAGTACTTCACATTATTATTTGATACGGAGTCTTGCTCGGTCGCCTAGGCTGGAGTGCAAGTGGCATGATCCCAGCTCACTGCAACCTCCACCTCCTGGGTTCAAATGATTCTCCTGCCTCAGCCTCCTGAGTAGCTGGGATTACAGGCACACGCCACTGTGCCTGGCTAATTTTTGTATTTTTAGTAGAAATGGGGTTTCACCATGTTGGCCGGGCTGGTCTTGAACTCCTGACCTCAAGTGATCCACCCGCCTTGGCCTCCCAAAGTGCTGGGATTACAGGCGTGAACCACTGTGTCCAGCCCAATACTTTATTTATTTATTTATTTGAGATGGAGTCTCACTCTGTCACCGAGGCTGGAGTGTGGTGGCACAATCTCGGCTCATTGCAACCTCCGCCTCCCGGGTTCAAGCGATTCTCCTGCCTCAGCCTCCTAAGTAGTTGGGACTACAAGCACGCACCACCATGCCCAGCTATTATTTTTGTATTTTTAATAGAGACGGGGTTTCACCATGACGGCCAAGCTAGTTTTGAACTTCTGACCTCAAGTGATCCGCCCGCCTTGGCCTCCCAAAGTGCTAGGATTACAGGCGTGAGCCACCGCACCCTGCCTACTTTATTTTTGTTTATGGCTGAATAATATTCCATTATATTTATGTACCAGAGTTTGTTTTCCCATTGATTTGTCGATGGACATGTGAGCCATTTTATACCTTTTTTTTGCTCGGGGGTGGAGGAACGGAATTTCGCTCTGTTGCCCAGGTTGGAGTGCAGTGGCGCAATCTTGACCTAGGCTCACTGCAACCTCCGCCTCCCAGGTTCAAGCGATTCTCCTGCCTCAGCCTCCCAAATAGCTGGGATTACAGGTGCGTGCTACCACACCAAGATAATTTTGATATTTTTAGTAGAGACGGGGTTTCGTCATGTTCCCTGGGCTGGTCTGAACTCCTGAGCTCAAGCGATCCACCTGCCTCAGGCTCCAGAGTGCTGGGATTACAGGCGGTGAGCCACCGCGCCCAGCTGTTTTATACTTTTTGGCTACTATGAATGGTGCTAATGTGAACATATTTGTACATTAATATGTACTGTTTTCAGTTCTTTTGGATGTATACCTAGAAGTGAAATTGTTGGGTCACATGATAATTATGTGTTTAACTTTTTAAGGAAACGGCCACCTATTTTCCATAGTTGCTGAACCATTTTACATTACCACCAAAAATATATGAAGGTTCCAGTTTCTCCACATCCTCTCCAACAATTATTTCCCGTTAAAAAAATTTTATAGCCATCCTTGAGTGTGAAATGGTACTTCTTTGTAGTTTTGATTTGCATTTCCCTGGTGACTAATGATGTTGAGCATCTTTTCGTGCACTCAGCCATTTGTTTATCTTCTATGGAAAAATATAAAATAAACTTCTAATTCTCAAAGAGGTCTGCTTCAGTTAGCAAGAAAAGTCTTTGAAGATGTAAAGTATTTGGTGTTTCTGTATAATTAAGTGCCAAACTGGTACAAATATAAAATACTGTGGTAATTAAAAAGAGAAGATATGGTGAAACTGGTTTAAATTTTGAAAGCAAGTGTTTAAGAACCCGTCTACCATTATGTACAGTTATAAACTGTAATGCAGATAAATTGATTGGAGGTTTTTCTTGCTTCAAATATTCGCATATTGCCCTTTGACTTGGCATTGAAAGATGTCTATTCAATTTTCTGCATTAAAAAAGAACAGTTTTGCTGGGGCGTGGTGCCTCATGCCTGTAATCCTAGCACTTGGGGAGGCTGAGGCAGGCGGATCACCTGAGGTCAGGAGTTCGAGACCAGCCTGGCCAACATGACGAAACCCCATCTCTACTAAAAATAGAAAAAATTAGCCGGGCATGGTGGCGGGCACCTGTAATCCAAGCTACTGGGGAGGCTGAAGCAGGAGAATCGCTGGAACCCAGGAGACAGAGGTTGCAGTGAGCTGAGATTGCACCACTGCACTCCAGTCTGAGTGACACAGTGAGACTCCGTTTCAAAAAATAAAAAAGATTATGTATAGGGATTTTATTGCAACATTATTTATTTTTATTTTTATTGGATAGATTTAGAAGTCTGATACTTTTTTTGCTCTTCTTCATTTCAACGCATAGAGAGAAATAGTCACCTGGAAGATTCACAGTACCCATTAGATTTAATGGGAAAAAAAGCTAGTCTTAAGACTTCTCAAAGAGAAGTCTTAGAGAAATTAATTGGATCATCGGAAAAGGGGCAGTTATACATTGGAAATGTATACAACAAATTAAATATTACATTATTTAATTAAATATTACATTAATTAAATAATACAACAAATTAAATAGAACACATTGAGTGGCTTCTTTCCTTATTGCAAGCCGAAACTATGTATTTGCCATCTTTTAGGCTTGTTTAATTTTAAAACTTTGCTGAGTAAAATATTTTTAAGTAAAACTTGAGATTTTAGTTTTCCTCCTTGGAATTGTATTCAGTGTCATGTTTGATACTACCGTAGAGAGGCAAAATTTGAACTCATTAATTTTCTAAAAGGGGTAATCATCTTCAGGGCAGGGTTATCTTTTATTCTTTTATATCTTTTAGTTTATTTAGTCAATATTTGTTAAATGCAATTACAATCAAGTTTTTATCATATTTTCCCATCCCGCTTCATTATTTCTCAACCCAGCATCAAGGACAGTGCCAGGGATATGGTAAAGGTCTGGTAAATATTGAATGAATTATCCTTATTTTAGTTTACCAGTTTTTTTTTTTTGTTGTTGTTGTTTTGAGATGGAGTCTCACTCTGTCGTCCAGGCGGGAGTGCAGTGGCACTTTCTCGGCTCACTGCAACCTCCATCTCCTGGGTTCAAGCAATTCTGCCTGCCTCAGCCTCCTGAGTAGCTGGGATTACAGGCGTCTGCTACCATGCCTGGCTAATTTATGTATTTTTTATTAGTAAGGGGTTTTGCCATGTTGGCCAGCCTGGTCTTAAACTGCTGATCTCAGGTGATCCACCTGCCTCAGCCTCCCTAAGTGCTGGGATTACAGGCGTGAGCCACCGCGCCCAGCCCCTTCCCTCCATTTTTAAGTTGGGTTGTTTGTTTTCTTATTGTTTAGTTTTTAATTCCTTATGTATTCAGGATAAGCCCTTATTAGATGTAGGTTTTGCAGATACGTTTTTTTCGTTCATGGCTTTTTGTTTCTTTCCACAAAAGTTTATTCTTAAATGTACAACAGGCTCCATTACAACACTTCAGTCCAGCTATAGTTGGCAAAAGATGTTATAGTAGGGAATGAAATCAAGGGTCACCATTGCCTCAGGCCCATGGAACAGCTTACTTTTTGCCAGATTTCTTAATTCCACCTGTGGCCAGGGGCCCCTTCCCTATAGTTTCTTCTGGTCCTCTTTTTGTGTCTACTTGAAAGCCTTGCCTTCCTTGTATATCTCCTTGGCCTGCTTTCTGGGCTGTTTCAGGGGTTTCTTCTTGCCATCTTTGTGGCTGGACATGGCACCTGCCGCCCTTTCCCCAGACCCTGCCACTGGAAACCCAGTTACGGCTTTTAAAATTTTTTCTTAATGGTATCTTTCACAGAGCAGAAGTTTTTAATTTTGATAAACTCTAGTTCTTTGATTCTCTCTCTTCTCTCTCTTTCTTTTTCTTTCACAGCGTCTTACTCTGTCACCAAGGCTGCAGTAGAGTGGCGTGATCATAGCTCACTGCAGCCTCGACTTCCCAGGCTCCAGTGATCCTTCTACTTCAGCATCCCAAGTAGCTGGGATCACAGGCGCACACCACCACACCCAGCTAATTTTTGTATTTTTAGTAGAGACGGGGTTTCGCCATGTTGCCCAGGCTGGTCTGAACTCCTGAGCTGAAGCAATCCATCTGCCTCAGGCTCCCAAAGTGCTGGGATTACAGGCATGAGCCACTGTGCCCAGCTTCTTCGTTTTGTTTCGAGACAGGATCTTGCTCTGTTGCCGAAGCTAAAGTGCAGTGGTGTGATTATAGCTCACTGAAACCTCAGACTCCTGGGCTCAAGTGATCCTCACATCTCAGACTCCTTAGTAGCTAGGACTGCAGGCACATGCCACCGTGCCTGGCTAATTTTTAAACTTTTTTTATTTTTTATTTTTATTTTTTGTAGAAATAGGGTCTTGCATGTTACCCAAGCTGGTCTCCAACTCCTGACCTCAAGTGATCCTCCCACCTTGGCCTCTCAAAGTGCTGGGATTACAGGTGTGAGCCACTGCACCCAGCCTATCATAGCTTTATATAGTCATTCCTTGGTATCTGTGTGGGATTGGTTCCAGGACCCCTGTGGATACAATCCATGAATGCCTAAGTCACTTATATAAGATGATGTAGTATTTGCATATAACCTACATACATCTTCCTGTATACTTTAAATCTTCTGTAGATTACTTATAATACTAAATGCATTCCCTACACATCACTTCATTCTTCTGGATTCACTGTACTACTTGGTGCATGGCAAATTCAAGTTTTGCTTTTTGGAACTTTGTGGAATTGTTTTTTTCTGAATATTTTTAATCCGAGGTTGACTGAATCCAGGAACGTGGAACTAAGGATACAGGGGGCTGACTATAGTAAGTTTTAGCATCAATTAGAGTTCTTCACGTTTATTCTTTTATTCAAGTTGTTTTGGCTATTCTGGGTGCTTTGCTTTTTTTTTTTTTTTTTATGTATGTTTTAGAATCAGTTTGTCAGTTTCTTCAAAAAAGGCTGCTGGTTTTTTGGGATTTTGTTGAATCTTTGGATCATTAGTGGGACCATTGATATCCTGACAATACTGAGTCTCCCAGTCTATGAATTTAGTACATTTCTTCATTTATTCGGGTCTTTTTCTTACTTTTCTCATCAGTGTTTTGTAATTTTCAGCATACAAATCGTGCACACATTTGTTAGATTTATCTCTAAGTATTCTGTAAATTTTTTTTTTTCTTTTTGAGATGGAGTTTCACGCTTATTGACCAGGCTGGAGTGCAATGGCATGCTCTCGGCTCACCGCAACCTCCGCCTCCTGGGTTCAAGCGATTCTCCTGCCTCAGCCTCCCCAGTAGCTGGGATTACAGGCATGTGCCACCACACCCGACTAATTTTGTATTTTTAATAGAGACGGGGTTTCTCCTTGTTGGTCAGGCTGGTCTCGAACTCCCGACATCAATTGATCCACCCGCCTCGGCCTCCCAAAGTGCTGGGAATGTGAGCCACTGCGCCCGGCAGTATTTTTTTTTTTTTTTTGAGATGTAATCTCTCTCTCTGTTGTCTAGGCTGGAGTGCAGTGGTGTGATCAAGGCTCACTGCTGCATTCATCTCCCAGGCTCAAGCGATTCTCCACCTCAACCTCCTAAATAGCTGGGACCACAGGCACACACCACCACGCCTGGCTAATTTGTTTTGATTTTTAGTAGAGATGAGGTCTTGCTGTGTTACCCAGGATGGTTTTGAACTCCTGAGCTCAAGCGATCCTCCCACTTCAGCCTCCCAAAGTGCTGGAAGTATAGGCATGTGCCACTGAGCTCAGCCATGATTTTTAATTTTATTGAAAATGTTATCTCCCCCCTCCACCAAATTTCAGTTTCATTATGAGTATGTAAACATAAAATTGTTTTTTTGTTTGTTTGTTTTTTGAGACAGGGTCTCACTCTGTTGCCCAAGCTCGAGTGCAGTGACAGAATCTTGGTTCACTGCAGCCTCAACCTCCCGGGCTCAATTGATCCTCCCACCTCAGTCTCCCAAGTAGCTGGGACTACAAGTGTTGCTGCAACACCTGGCTAATTTTTTTTTTTTTTCTTGAGATAGGGTCTCACTTTGTCACCCAGGCTGGGGTACAGTGGTGTGACCTCAGCTTACTGCAACCTCTGCCTCCTGGGCTCAAGCAGTCCTCCCTCCTCAGCCTCCCAAGTAGCTGGGACTACAGGTGCATGCCACGACGCCTGGCTTAATTTTTTATTTTTTTAGAGATGGTTTCTGCATGTTGCCCAGGCTGGCCACAGACTCAAGCAATTCACCCGCCTCGGCCTCCCAAAGTGCTGGGATTACAAGAATGAGCCACAGTGCCGACCATAATTGATTTTTTTGATATTGACTTTGTATTCTGCAACCTTGATAAATTCACTTATTTCTGGTAGCTATTTTGTGGACTGGGATTTTCTGTGTACACAATTACGTTTATTAGTACAGTTTTATTTCTTCCTTGCCAGTCTGAATGCCTTTTTTTTTCTTCTTGCCTTGTTGCACTGGCTAGCTCCTAAAGTACAGTGTGAGGGTGGATATCCTTGTCTTATTCCCTATCTTATGAGGAAAATACTTAATCTGTTTTTTTTTTTTTTTTTGAGACGAAGTTTCGCTCTTGTTGCCCAGGCTAGAGTGCAATGGCACGATCTCGGGTCACTGCAACCTCCGCCTCCCGGGTTCAAGTGACTCTGCTGCTTCAGCCTCCCGAGTAGCTGGGATTACAGGCATGCGCCAGCATGCCTGGCTAATTTTGTATTTTTAGTAGAGACAGGGTTTCTCCATGTTGGCCAGGCTGGTCCTGAACTCCTGACCTCATGATCCGCCTGCCTGTAATCCCAAAGTGCTAGGATTACAGGTGTGAGCCACCGCGCCCAGCCGGAAAATACTTAATCTTTTATCATTGCATGTGATATTAGCTATAGGGATTTTTTGTTTTTCTTTTTGAGGCAGTGTCTCGCTCTGTCATCTAGGCTGGAGTGCAGTGGCTCAGTCTCAGCTCATTGCAACCTCTGCCTCCCAGGTTCAAGTGATTCTTCTGCCTCAGTTTCCCAAGTAGCTGAGATTACAGGCACCCATCACCACGCCCAGCTAATTAGTGTATTTTTTGTAGAGACAGGTTTTCCCCATGTTGGCCCAGATGGTCTCAGTCTCCTCGACCTTGTGATCCGCCCGCCTTGGCCTCCCGGAGTGCTGGGATTACAGGCGTGAGCCACCGCATCCAGCCGGTTATACATTTTTAGACTAATAAAGTGAATTATATGGATTGATTTTTACTCCTGAGAGGAATCCCACTTGATGATGTTATATTCTTTTTATAAACTGCCAGCATCTATTTGTAAATGTTTTGTTGCAATTTTTACATTATATCTGTTTGAGATACTGGTTTATAGTTTTCTTGTTGATATCTGGTTTTGGTATCATGGTAATGTTGACCTCATAAGTTGATAAATGTTTATATGCTGGAAGAGTTTATGTAGAACTGGTATTATTTTTTCTTAGATATTTGATAGAATTTCCCTGTGAAACCATCTGGGCCTAGAGTTTTCTCTAGGCAAGGCTTTTAATTATGAATTATATTACTTTAGTGGAAACAGTAAGTTAGGTTATCTTTTTTTGTTTGTCTCGCTGTGTTCACCCAGGCTGGAGTGTAGTGGTGCCATCACAGCCCACAGAAGCCTTGACCTCCTGGGTTCAAGTGATCCTCTTGCATCAGCCTCCCAAGTAGCTGGAACCACATGCACATGCCACCACACCCAGCCAGTTAAAAAATTTTTGGGGGGTAGAGATTGGGTTTTGGCATGTTGCCCAGGCTGGTCTCAAACTCCTGGGCTCAAGTGATCCTCGCCACTCGGCTTCCTATAGTGCTAGGATTACAGGTGTGAGCCACTGTGCTATCCTCTATTTATCCTTTTTTTTTGAGTCTTGCTGTGTCACCCAGGCTGGAGTGCAGTGGCACGATCTCGGCTCACTGCAAGCTCCATCTCCCGGGTTCACGCCATTCTCCTGCCTCAGCCTCCCGAGTAGCTGGGACTACAGGCGCCTGCTACCACGCCCAGCTAATTTTTTGTATTTTTAGTAGAGACAGGGTTTCACTGTGTTAGCCAGGATGGTCTCAATCTCCTGACCTCGTGATCCACCCGCCTCGGCCTCCCAAAGTGCTGGGATTACAGGCATGAGCCACCACGCCCGGCCTATCCTTTTTTTTAATTTATTTTTTGAGATGGAGTCTCGCTCTGTCGCCCAGGCTGGAGTGCAGTGGCGCAGTCTCGGCTCGCTGCCATCCCCAACTCCTGGGTTTAAGCGATTCTCCTGCCTCAGCCTCCTGAGTAGCTGGAACTACAGGCACGAGCCACCACACCCAGCTAATTTTTTTTTTTTTTTGTATTTTTAGTAGAGACTGCGTTTCATCATGTTGGCCAGGCTGGTCTCAAACTCCTGACCATCCTCAGGTGATCCGCCCGCCTCAGCCTCCCAAAGTGCTGGCATTACAGGCGTGAGCCACTGCTCCCGGCCCCTCTATTTTTGAATGAACTTCGATAGTTTATGTTTTTTCAGAGACTCTCCATTTCATGGGAGTTATCAGATTAACTGGTAAAATTACTTATAATAATCCCATATTTTTATTTTAATGTTGATAGCGTCTGTAGTGGTATCACCTCTTTAATTCCTGATACTGGTAATTTGTTTCTTCTTTCTCTTTGGCATTAGTTTGTCTACAGAGTTACCTAGCTAGCTTTGAGGATGGGCGTGCTACTGCACGCCTATAATCCCAGCACTTTGGGAAGCAGAGGTGGGTGAATCACGAGGTCAGGAGTTCGAGACCAGCTTGACCAACATAGTGAAACCCCCGTCTCTACTAAACATGCAAAAATTAACCGGGCGTGGTGGCAGGTGCCTGTAATCCTAGCTACTCAGGAGGCTGAGGCATGAGAATCACTTCAATCTGGGAGGCAAAGGTTGCAGTGAGTTGAGATCGCCTCATTGCACTCTAGCCTGGGTGACAGAGCAAGACACCGTTTCAACGACAACAACAAAAATCTAGCTGTTGGTGTCATTGACTTTTCTTTATTGGTTTCTTTTTTTTCCCCCATTTTTTTTTTTTTTACTTTGGCTCATTATTTCCTTTTGCTGTGTTGTATTTAATTTGCTCTTCCTTTTTTTTTTTTTTAAGTTTCTTAATCTGGATGCTTATATTTTGGTACTAAATCTTTCTTCTTTTCTTTTTTTTTTTTTGAGACAGAGTCTCCCTCTGTCTCCCAGGCTGGAGTGCAGTGGCGCGATCTTGGCTCACTGCAAGCTCCACCTCCTGGGTTCACGCCATTCTGCTCAGCCTCCTGAGTAGCTGGGACTACAGGTGCCCGCCACCACGCCCGGCTAATTTTTTTCTATTTTTTAGTAGAGACGGGGTTTCACCGTGTTAGCCAGGATGGTCTCGATCTCCTGACCTCATGATCCACCTGCCTCGGCCTCCCAAAGTGCTGGGATTACAGGCGTGAGCCACTGCGCCCAGCCTCTTCTAATATAAGGATTTAATGTTATAAGATTTTCCTGTGTCCCTGTATTTCAATTCAGAATATTTTCCAATTTCACTTTTATATTTCTCTATGACAAACCATGTGTATTTAGAAGTGTGTTGTTTAATTTTTAAATATTTAGGAATTTTCTTGATATTTTTCTGATTTTTGATTTCTGATTTAATTCTGTGTGGTCGGAAAACATACTGTCTGAATTTAATTCTTTATTTATTAAAACTTGTTTCAGGCTGGGGCGTGGTGGCTCACACCTGTAATCCCAGCACTTTGGGGGGCAGAAGCAGGCGGATTGTTTGAGGTCAGGAGTTCGAGACCAGCCTGCCCAACATGGCGAAACCCCGTCTCCACTAAAAATACAAAAAATTAGCCAGGCGTGGTAGTGGACGCCTGTAATCCCAGCTACTCTGGAGGCTGAGGCAGAAGAATTGCTTGAACCCGGGAGGCGGAGGTTGCAGTGAGCCAAGATTGTGCCACTGCACTCCAGCCTGGGCGACAGAGTGAGACCCTGTCTCAAAAAAAAAAAAAAAAAAGCAAACTTGTTTCATGGCCCAGTATATGGTGTATTTTGGTTGTTCTGTACATACTTGAGAAGAATGTGTATTCTTGATTTGTTGTGTATAGTGTTCTATAAATGAGAATTAGGTCAAGTTAGCACTTTGGGAGGCCGAGACGGGCAGATCACAAGGGCAGGAGATCGAGACCATCCTGGCTAACACGGTGAAACCTCGTCTTTACTAAAAATACAAAAAAATTAGCCAGGCATGGTGGCGGGTGCCTGTAGTCCCAGCTACTTGGGAGGCTGAGGCAGGAGAATAGCGTGAACCTGGGAGGCGGAGCTTGGAGTGACCCAAGATCCCGCCACTGCACTCCAGCCTTGGCAACAGAGCGAGACTCCCTCTCAAAAAAAAAAAAAAAAAAAAAAGACAAATAGAGACACGGTAACATTTGCTAAGGAAAGAAGACAAATACTGGGCAGAGAAATAGGAAGACTCATCCACTTCTCCTTGGTTGCTAAAGTATAGAAGTTGGGTGACCTACATATCTTTCTTTGGAAGTTGTGCTTATCAGAAAAAAGGAGGTCAATAGTAGGAGATGCCTATTTTTGTGTCATGTATTAGATTACTTGTCAGAAGTTTTCTTTGTTGACTGCTGACCTTTAGTTTCTCTTTTTGCTGTTTAGAAAATAGTTTGAAGTTTTGTACAACTTAACATAAGTTTAAAATTTTTTTTAATGGAATGTTTCATGAATTTGTATGTCATCCTTGCTCAGCAGCCAGGCTAATCTCTGTATTGTTCCAGGTTTTTAGTATATGTGCTGCTGAAGTGAGCACATGTAAGTTTCTTTTGGAATATTTTAACAATTTTGGGGGGATTGTCATTTTTCATTATAGATTATATACAAAATGTATTACTCTACCTGTGCTAAAGATTAATGTGCTATTGAGATATACTACTTTGTCTCCATTATAACAACCAGATAGTTAGAAGTAAAATTATTTAAAAGTTAGACCATTAAATTTATTAGTAAATACTTATTGGTTTTGGTTTTTTGAGGTAGAATCTCACTCTGTCTCCCAGGCTGGAGTGCAGTGGCACGATCCCGGCTCACTGTAACCACCACCTCCCAGGTTCAAGGGATTCTCCTGCCTCAGCTTTCCCAGTAGCTGGGATTACAGACACACACCACCATGCCCGGCTAATTTTTTTCTTATTTTTAGTAGAGATGGGGTTTTAACATGTTGGCCAGGCTGGTCTCAAACTCCTGACTTCAAATGATTCTCCTGCCTTGGCCTCCCAAAGTGCTGGGATTGCAGGTGGGAGCCACTGTGTCCGGCCCATTTTTGTTCACTTTAAAACTTATACCAGGCTTGGTGGCTCCTGCCTGTAATCCCAGCATTTTGGGAGGCCGAGCCGGGTGGACAGCTTGAGTTCACGAGTTTGAGACCAGCCTGGGCAGCATGGCGATACCCCATCTGTACAAAAAATATAAAAATTAGCTGAGTAAGGTGGTGTGTGCCTGTAGTCCCAGCTACTCGGGAGGCTGAGGTAGGAGGATGGCTTGAGCCTGGGAGAGCTGAGATTACACCACTGCATTCCAGCCTGGGTGGTAGAGCCAGATCTTGTCAAAAATGAAAAACAAACAAACAAACAAAAAAACCAAACTTTTTACTTTAGTAAGGGAGATATTGAAAGATGATAAATTATGTTTGAAAATATCATTCTTGTAATCTAAGATCAAGTGAAATTAGATTCTGTTAAAATTGATAGGTAATTTAAATATTGTAAAATTTCTCTTATTTTAATGCATTTTACATAAGAATGAATCAGGTTTTTTTTGTTTGTTTTGTTTTGTTTTGTTTTTGAGACGGAGTCTCGCTCTGTCGCCCAGGCTGGAGTGCAGTGGCGCGATCTCGGCTCACTGCAAGCTCCGCCTTCTGGGTTCACGCCATTCTCCTGCCTCAGCCTCCCGAGTAGCTGGAACTACATGCGCCCACCACCACGCCCAGCTAATTTTTTGTATTTTTAGTAGAGACGGGGTTTCACTGTGTTAGCCAGGATGGTCTCGATCTCCTGACCTCGTGATCCACCTGCCTCAGCCTCCCAAAGTGCTGGGATTACAGGCGTGAGCCACCGCACCCGGCCAAGAATGAATCAGTTTGATTCATGGTTACATTGATTTGGCACCTACTATGTTTAGGTGCTATGTAGTAGGTGAAAACGTAATGGTGAAAAAATGTGACCTGTGTCTGCAGAGAGCGTATTGTTCCAGGGTAGGAAATCAATGGAGAAAATAAATAATTATAAGCTAGTATGATAAGTGCAATATCAGAGATATTTTTATATTACAGAAACACAGAAGAGGGTTCTGAATCCAAATTAGAGATTAGGGAAGACAGTAAGTATAGTAGTCTGGGAGGACATCTAGGAGATAGTTGCTGAGCCAAAGGTAGAAAAAAAGACATTCTGAGATGCAGTAAAAGGCTAGAGGAAAGAGAATATGGGAAGTATGTGTGGCTCTAAGCCAGGGGCATCTGTCAAAGGGGCGAGTGAGGACTGAAATTCGGTCTGTGCTCTGCTATCCATTATCCATGTCTTGTGCTTATGGAGTTGCATATCCTTAAAAGGAGTCCCTTTTTCAAATTTCTTCAAAGGTTCAGTAGCTTAAGAGGCCCTCATTTGTGGGACCAGCTGTTGGTACATTGTATGATTTGTTATGGATTTTGAATTTGATTTTCTATGCCTGTTATTCTCTAACTTAGATCTGAGCAACTTCAGGGTGTTTTGGAGTGGCATCCTGGTGAGATTAAGGAAACGCCTAAATAACTTCTTATATTTTCCTTGAATATTTTATAGTAGAGCAAAATAGATTATATGCTAGAGCTAAGCTGTCCAATATGGTGACCCCTAGCTACCATAAATTTAAGTTAAACTTAATAAAAATTAAATAAAATTCAGTTTCTTAGTTGCACCAACTACATTTCAAGTGGAATTGGATGAGAATTGATATACTAGGGAACAATGAAATAGATTCGGAAGGGTGGGTAGGATTTGTAGGCAGACATGGGGGTTTTGTGGATAGCATTCCAAGTGGAGAGAATAACATTAATGAATGTAATGCCATTGGTGGAAAATAAGTTTAGAAATGTAGTTTGGACCAAAATGGGGAGAACCCTGAAAACTTAACCTGGAGAAGATTATATAATATTGAGAACTTGTAGGTTAAAGTTTTTGAGCAGGAAGATTGAGTAATTCTTTAGAAGTGCTTTAGAGATCTTGGCTAGGTGCGGTGGCTCACGCCTGTAATCCTAGCACTTTGGGAGGCTAAGGCGGGTGGATCACTTGAGGTCAGGAGTTTCAGACCAGTCTGGCCAACATGGTGAAACCCTGTCTTTACCAAAAAATACAACAATTAGCCAGGTGTGGTGGTGCACGCCTGTAGTCCCAGCTACTTGGGAGGCTGACACAGGGGGATCGCTTTGAACTCCGTCTCAAAAAAAAAAAAAAAAAGAAAGAAATGCTTTAGAGATCTTATTTGAGTTAGGAGTGATGTATCTGTTAGGGTTTTTGGAAGCAGAGAAGTGATACCAACTATCTTAAGAATTTTCTTGGCCAGGCGTAGTGGCTCACGCCTGTAATCCCAGCACTTTGGGAAGCCAAGGTGGGCAGATCACTTGAGGTCAAAAGTTCCATACCAGCCTGGCCAACATGGTGAAACCTTGTCTCCACTAAAAATACAAAAATTAGCTGGGCGTGGTGGTGGACGCCTGTAATCACAGCTGCTCAGGAGGTTGAGGCACGAGAATTGTTTGAATCCGGGGGCGGAGGTTGCAGTGAGCCGAGATTGCGCCACTGCACTCCAGCCTGGGCAACAGCGTGAGACTCTGTCTCAAAAAAAAAAAAAAAAAAGAAGAATAATTTTATTATAAGACTATTAAGTTGCTCGCAGACTGAAAAGGAAGGCTGAAGAGAGTCTAGGATAGCTCCTGGGGTCTTGATACAAGGAATGAATAGACAGTTTCATCAGGATGCCACCCAAATGAATAAGTGCCAACCGTTTTTTTCCAGACTTGTATCATTTGTTCAAGATTCAGAATTTCCAAAAACCAAGTACATGTTTCCTAGAGGGGAATACCTAGGCAGAGGAGAGGTAATATCTCAAAAGGAAATCTAAGACCATTACTAAAACATCCTCATAGATGTTGGGAGGCTGAGCAAGAAGCTGTTCTTTACAGGTGTACAGAATGGACTAAAGAGAATAAGACTAGAGATTGGAATGCTTGAGAGGTGTTTTGCTGTAGAACAGACAAGAGGTAACAGAGACCTAAACAAAAAGTAGTGGCAGTGGGATTGGCAGTGAGGGTTTTGATGTGAAAAATGCCATAGAGGTAGAATCTGTAAAATTTAGTAACAAATACTTCTTTTTAAATACACAGATGACTGTAGAGTGCCTAGATAGCCTAGAGAAAGTTGATGATGAGGTATGGAAATCTGGCTCTGTTACTTAGTAGCTATATGATAGTGAGCAAATTACTTACATTCTTTGAACTTCAAGTATAATTTGAGGTGGTAATTATTTTAAAACAGTTGTGAGAGTTATATATATATTTTTATTTTTTGAGACAAGATCTGGCTGTTACTCAGGCTGGAGTGCAGTGGGTTAACTGCAGCCTCTACCTCCTGAGCTTGGGGGATCCTCCCACCTCAGCCTCCCAAGTCGCTGGGACTGCAGTTGCGCACCACAACACCTGACTAAATTTTTTTTTTTTTTTCTGTAGAGACAGGGTTCCACCATGTTGCCCAGGCTTGTCTCGAACTCCTAGGCTCAAGTGATCCTCTCCTCTGCCCTCGACCTCCCAGAGTGCTGGGATTACAGGTGTGAGCCACTGCGCCCACCCCAGTTATGAGAATTAAATAAGCAAAATGCCTGGAATATAGCGAGAAGTCAATGAGTGTTAATTCCCTTCCCTATTAAACAGAAAAATAGAGAATTTTTGATTATTTTTTTGTTTGAGGGTGCTGCAGGCAGGTGCTATAGTTTGTTATCTCTGTATACTTGGTTTTAGAACTTAATGCCTTTCTAGGTGGGTATTCTTATGGAAGCAGATGGGAAGTATTCTGGATTAGAAATCAGTTTCAGCTTTAGAATTTTAAAATAAGCCTTTTGTTTTTACTTAATAATTTCAGATGTACAGAAAAAGTGCAAAGAAGATAGTACAGAGTTCTTGTATACCTTTCATCTACTTTCCTCTGATTTTTTTTTTCTTTTCTTTGTTTTTTTGGAGAGTCTCACTCTGTCCCCCACACTGGGGGACACTACACCCTCCATCTCCTGGGTTCAGGTGATTCTTGTGTCTCAGCCTCCCAAGTAGCTGGATTACAGGTGCACGCCACCAGGACCGGCTAATTTTTGTATTTTTTAGTAGAGACAGTGTTTCACCATGTTGGCCAGACTGGTCTCAAATGCTTGACCTCAAGTGATCCGGCTACCTCAGCCTCCCAAAATGCTGGGACTACAGGTGTGAGCCACCATGCCCGGCCTTTCCTCTAATGTTAACATTTTAAATAACCATGGTACATTTGTCAATGCTAACAAGTTAACATTGTTACAATATTATTAACTAAACTACCAATTTTGTCCAGATTTTCCACTAACATCCTTTTCCTGTTTCAGGATCTAATTTAGGATACCACCTTGTATTTAGTACCTTTAGGTTTTTTAGTTATAGTTTTGTTATTAACTGTGACTTTAAGCACACCACCCAACCCTTCAGGCACTTGTGCATCTAAGATACCTTTTATCTCTGAAGTTTTGAGTTTGTTTAATATCTGTCATACAGTGTGCCCTATTTTTATTTTGAAATAAATAAGACTATAAGATCTAATCAATACAACTGATCTTGTTGACAGTAAAATTTAATTTTTATCTTGTAATTTTACTTTAGTATTAAAGGAAAACTATAATAATGTTGAATTTTGGGAAAAATCACAAGAGCTTTTTCTTCCATTTGAATCAAAAAGATAAAAAGAGAGGGCTTGTATTTTTGTCACCAGTAGAGGGTCATGACTCCAGGTTCTTGGCGTTTTGGACAAAGAATTGGTTAAAATGTCCAGCAAAGCAAAGAAAGAATGAAGTAACAAAAGAACGAAAGCAGGGATTTATTGAAAATGAAAGTACACTCCACAGTGTGGGAGCAGACCTGAGGAGCGGCTCAAGGAGCCCAGGTGTAGAATCTTCTTGGGTTCAAATACCCCCTAGAAGTTTCCCATTGGCCACTTCATGCTCACCTCATGTAACTGAAGGGTAGCCTGCAATCAGTCTGATTGGTTGGGGAAAGCAGCCCACCAGAGGCTGATGTGAAGTTACAAAGGTCACACTCCTGTGCAAACATCCGATTGGTTGCAAAAACTTTGTAACTTCGCATCTGCAAAAAGCAACCAATCAGAGGCTAGGGTGAAGTTACAAAGTTGCAAACGAAGACTCCACCAGCAATCAGTCTGATTTGCTGGGGACAGCCAATATCCCATCTGCAGTGCTCAGGAAAGGTCAAAGGGAGTCGCCTCTGGTCCTTTTGTTACTTAGGCATGGAAAGTTAGGGTTTTCCTTTCAATTTAGTTCTAGGAAATTGGCATGAAACAGCCTTAGGTTCCCTGCCTCCAGACCCTATTCTCCTGCCTCATCTTCCTCTGAGAGACATGATCCCCATAAATCTTTATGGGAGGCAGAAGGACTGAAGGTCTTTCTTCTGTAACTGCTTCATGCTGATTTGGGGCTTAGTCCCTACCTGTTGGAGATCACGGAACTCTCACCCTGTTCTGTCTAGTGGAAGGAGGGTAGCTTTTTGATGGCCAGGGGTAGTATCTTCACCTGGAACTGGCTGGAACTTTGCTGCATGATCATCTGAAGTTTGGTGGTCTCTAGGCGAGGGGAAATGAAATTGATTAAAAGACTTAATGGGAATTTTGGGAGTGGATACCTATGCTGTTATAGAAATTTGCTGGAGAAAAAACAAAACCTGCTCTGTTCTAGAATCTGTGTGTTTCCTTAAAGTCTTAGCACAAGTGATTCCATTTTGGTTTGGTTTGTTGGGGCCCAGTGCATGAGCTTAGTCCAAAACAATGACCTCCCAGAATTTTGTTTAAAAAAACTCCCCCTTTTTGGTCAGGTTCTCACTTAGGTGAGAGTGCTTGCGCTCTGGAGTTTGAGGCCAGCCTGGGCAACATAACAAGACTTTGTCTCTACTAAAAAGAAAACATATTAGTTGAGCATGGTGGTGTGTGCCTGTAGTCTCAGCTGCTTGGGAGGCTAAGGTGGGAGGATCACTTGAGCTCAGGAAATCAAGGCTGCAGTGAGCTGTGCTTGTGTTACTGCACTCCAACCCGGGCAACGGAGCGAGACCCTGTCTCTAAATAAATAAATTAAAAAAAAACCTTAGGTTTTTGGATTACTAAATTGGATACATTAGTGTGACACACTTTAATTTTATAGGCAACTCAGAAAGAAGATTGGCTTGAATGACTAGATTATTTTGAGTTAGAAATTTCTTTGAGATATTGAAGTGGAGACATACGGTTTTATAAGTAAATAAATGTAAATAAGTATAAGTTAAATTTTTTTTTTTGAGACAGAGTTTTGCTCTTGTCACCCAGGCTGGAGTGCAATGGCGCGATCTCAGCTCACTGCAACCTCCGCCTCCTTGGTTCAAGCAATTCTGCCTCAGCCTCCCAAGTAGCTGGGATTACAGGTGCCCACCACCATGCCTGGCTAATTTTTTTTTTTTTTTTTTTTTGAGATGGAGTCTCACTCTGTTGCCCAGGCTGGATTGCAGTGGTGCGATCTCGGCTCACTGCAACCTCTGACTCCCGGGTTCAAGCGATTCTCCTACCTCAGCCTCCTGAGTAACTAGGACTACAGGCGTGAGCCACCACACCCTGCTAATTTTTGTACTTTTTAGTAGAGATGGGTGCCGAGACCAGCTCCGTGTGCGGAGACCAGCTCGGTTGTGGAGATCCTAACCCAGCGTTGCTAGAGGAATTAAAGACACACACACAGAAATATAAAGTGTGGAGTGGGAAATCAGGGGGCTGACAGCCTTCAGAGCTGAGAGCCTCAAACAGAGTTTTACCCACATATTTATTGACAGCAAGCCAGTGATAAGCATTGTTTCTATAGATTATAGATTAACTAAAATGGGAAACAAAGGGATGGGCCAAAACAAAGGTATGGGCCCTGGCTAGTTATCTGCAGCAGGAGCATGTCCTTAAGGCACAGATCACTCATGGTATTGTTTGTGGCTTAGGACCGCCTTAAGCAGTTTTCCATCCTGGGTGGGCCAGGTGTTCCTTGCCCTCATTTCGGTAAACCCACAACCTTCGGCGTGGGCATCATGGCCATCACAAACATGTCGCAGTGCTGCAGAGATTTTGTTTATGGCCAGTTTTGGGGCCAGTTTATGGCCAGATTTGGAGGCCTGTTCCCAACAGATGGGGTTTCACCATATTGGACAGGCTGGTCTCAAACTCCTGACCTCGTGATCCACCCATCTCGGCCTCCCAAAGTGCTGGGATTACAGGCGTGAGCCACTGTGCCCGGCCTGCCTGGCTAATTTTTGTATTTTTTAGTAGAGATGGGGTTTCACCATGTTGACCAGGCTGGTCTTGAACTCCTAACCTCAGGTGATCCACCCACCTTGGCCTCCCAAAGTGCTGGGATTACAGGCGTGAGCCACCACACCTGTCCAAATTTTTTTTTTTTTTAGAGAGAGACAGAGTTGTGCTCTGTCTCTCAGATCATAGCTTACTGCAACCTTAAACTCCTGTGCTCAAGGGATCCTTCTGCCTTAGCCTCCTGAGTAGTTAGGACTGCAGGTGTTTGCCACCACACCTGGCTAATTTTTAAAGTTTTTGTAGAGACAGTGTCTTGCAATGTTGCCTAGGCCAGTCTTGAATTCCTGGGCTCAAGCAGTCCTCCTGCCTCGGCCTTCGTAAGTGTTGGGATTATAGGCATGAGCCACTGAGTCTCCAGGGCCTTACCATAGTTATCTTTTTGAATTACTAGTAATGCAAGAGAATGTAAGTAGAGTTTGAGTCTCAGTTATAGGGCTAATAAAAGAATGTAGCCAGGTGCAGTGGCTCACGCTTGTGAGCCAGCACTTTGGGAGGCCAAGCCGGGTGGATTACGAGGTCAGGAGTTCAAGACCAGCCTGGCCAACATGGTGAAACCCTGTCTCTACTAAAAATACAAAAATTAGCTGGACGTGGTGGCGGGCATCTGTAATCCCAGCTACTCAGGAGGCTGAGGCACGAGAATTGCTTGAACCCGGGAGTGGATGTTGCAGTGAGCCGAGATCACTGCATTCCATCCTGGGTGACAGAGCTAGACTCTGTCTCAAAAAAAAAAAAAAAAGAATGTAAAAAGATTCTTCACTCTAGAAACTAAGGCAGCTCTGTTAGCATTGCAGGACTTTTCCTTAGTTCAGCTAAAGAACTTGTCCGTCCCATGGCTATGAAAATTCAGGCTTGCAGACAGTTTAAAGGGTGAGTAAAGCAGAGGGTTTTATTGGGTGAAAAGGGAAAAAAAGGGGAAATAGGGATACTCCACAAGGCCAGAGTCTCCTGCTAGAGCACTTCCCGCCCTGCCATTCAAATCTCAGGTTCCACACAGGAAGTGGAGGGGCCAGACTCCTCCCCACTGCAAATGGCATGAACCTCCTGAGGCTCAGCTCCAGTGGGCAGGCTTGTTGTAGTTTCTCTGGGGACCCTCTCCCACCTGGCTATCTCATTTCCCCTCTAATCTAGCAATTGTTAGATTAAGGACACGGACGAAGACCGATCTTAACTGCTTCCTGCTGACAGGGGCCTGTTTTGGGGGAAACAGCAGTCAGAGCTCCCTAAGAGGCCTATTTAGGGGTTCCCAGCAGAAGGGGCCACCATCAGAGGCTCCGGTTGCATGACCATTTGGAGTTTGATGGCCTGAAGGCAAGAACAGACAAACCGGGTTATTAGAAAACATGCATCAAAACGAAACAAGGGGCGGGGTAAGGAGAGCTGAAAAATACTGAGGCCTTTTACCAATTTTCACAGGGAGAGGGAGGCCAAAAACCCGACTGGTAAAGAAACTTTACCCTTTTGCTGGCATGTTGGGCTTTTGGGTTCCCTTCCTCTGAGCCCAATCCTAAGCCAACCAGTTTAAAGTTTGGGAAATTAACTCTTTCTAGTTCGGAGGATGCATTTGAGGGGAGTGTCTTGTAGTACAGAAACACAATTATCTATTAGTGAAGAGAGAACTGAGGAGAAAGGGAAAAAGCCTCCTTTTAAAGGAGTCCCAGAGGTTCAGGATGCATTTGAAAGGGGTACAGATTGAAGATGAATGGCTACCAATCTAGAAAGAGGGAAGCAGGCCTCCCTGGTTCCCTTATTTTCCTAGCATATACTCAGGATACGTGAGAGTGAGAGGAAAGAGTGTCCTCTTTCAGTCTTCTGTCCTTGCATCCCCGAGTTCTGGCGACCTTGGCAGGTGCCACCATGAGTACCAAAGTGGCTTGCACCCATGAAACAGGGGTGTCGAGACAATAGGAATTATTTGTCTCACCTATGTCTGTTTCCCACCTACAGTCAGTAGCTTTGGAGTTCCCTAGGCCTCATTTATGCCATGGATATTAATGTGGCCTTTATCCATGAAACAGGAAGCTTGGAGTTGGCTTAATCAGCAGGAGTCAGCCACGCTCACCTGCAATGTGCCTTTTAACCTCTGTTGTCATTTGCCTCTGGATCCCTCAGATCCAGTTTTTTTCCTAGGGCTTTGACCTGAAATTTGGAATTGAGTCTGGGACAAAGATGTGTCTCAGGGGAGTTGCATGGACTCCTTGTAAGCCAAATGCTAAGGTGAAACTGTGGAACCGAGTCCTCCTCCAGTAAGGGAGAGGAAAGGATGTCTTGTGACACACCCAGATAACTGGTGGCTCTAGTTATGCTTGCTAGGATTTGGGTGCATGGTGCTTGGCTTTGGTTAGCTCCCTTGGTCTTACTTTCCCAAAAGGAAACCTCTGTGATGGGCATCCTATGTATTCCCATCACCTGGAAGAATTTGAAGGATAATTGCTCAGAACTAGAATATTGGTCCAGATTTTTACATTACCCATCCCCGTTGTTCTTTCTGAGATGCAGCTGGAGATTGCTGGTTAGTTCACAGGAACAAGCAGGGTTAGTCTAAAATGTAGGTGAAAACTTAAAAACAACCAATGAGTTCAGAATTTAATGACAAATGTATGGTAAATTTTGGAACATGATCTCTCTCTTTCCAGTCCTCATTTTTGTTAAAAAATCATGATAGGACTGAGTGGTTTGCAAAATCCCTTAGCCCTATACTTGACCTGATTATTTGCCTAAAGTATAGCAAGAATAATTATGTCTACATAGGCCTTTTAGATTGGCTTTGATGGAACTCTATTCCCCAAGGAATCTCAGATAAGACCTTGAAACACCTATGAGTTGGGTGATCCTCTCCTCTTAAGGTCCCAAGATAAACTTGGAGCTCCTAGAACCTGTTAGAAAGTGACATTCTTTACTGACCACAGGTCAGGAACCCTGTACAAGGACTGCGAAGATGAGGGTATTAGGTCACTTTCTCCATGGGGCTTTTGTTGGTTCTGCAAGTTCGACTTCGAGCTTGACTCCTTAAAGGGGAGCATACCCTTCCAGTAAAAGCCTTGTTAAAATAACCATTTTCTCCAGTTGTATCCTGTTACAAAAGAAAAATGAATTCTCATTGCACTATTGCAAATACTTATATTGCCATAAGAATACTCACAGATAGGCGGGGTGCGGTGGCTCACGCCTGTAATCCCAGCACTTTGGGAGGCCAAGGCAGGCGGATCACGAGGTCAGGAGTTCGAGACCAGCCTGGCCAACATGGTGAAACCCCATCTGTACTAAAAATACAAAAAA